>NC_000003.12:5010000-6260000 GCF_000001405.40 Homo sapiens | reverse complement strand
ACCCAAAAATTGACAAGTGGAAACTAATTAAACTAAAGAGTTTCTGCAGAACAAAAGAAAAGATCAACAATGTAAATAGACAAGCTACAGAAAGAGAGAAAATATTCACAAACTAAGCATCTGATAAATGCATAATATCCAGAATCTATAAGAATATTAATCAGTTGAATAAGCGAAAAACAACCCCATTAAAAAGTGGGCAAAGGACATGAACAGACACTTCTCAAAAGGAGACATACAAGTGACCAACAAACATGAGAAACTGCTCAACATCTCTAATCACCAGAGAAATGCAAGCCAAAACCCAAATGAAATGCCATCTCATACCTGTCAGAATGGCTATCATTAAAAAGTAGAAAAACAACAGATGCTGATGAGGATGCAGAGAAAAAGGAATGCTTATACACTGTTGGTGGGAACACAAATTAGTTCAGCCACTGTGGGAAGCAGTTTGGACATTTCTCAAAGAACTTAAAACAGAACTACCATTTGACTCACCAATCCCATTGCTGAGTGCATATCCAAAAGAAAAGAAATCACTCTACCCAAAAGACACATGCACTTGTATGTTCATCATGGCACTATTCACAATAGCAAAAAAAAAAAAAAAAAAAAAAAAAAAAAAAAAAAAAAAAAAGGAATCAATCTAGGTGCTCATCAATGGTGGATAAGAAAAATAAAATATTGTACGTATGCATGGTGGAATACTAAACAGCCATAAACAGAAAGAAATAATGTCCTTAGCAGCAATATGGATGCAGCTGAAGGCCATTATCCTAAATTAATTAACACGAGAACAGAAAACAAAATACTGCATGTTCTCACTTATAAGTGGGAGCTAAACACTGGGTACTCATGGACATAAAGATGGCAATAACAGACGCTGAAGAGCACTAGAAGAGGAAGTGGGGAAGGGTGGAAAATCTAACTGTTGGGTACTATGCTCACTTCCTGGGTGACAGGTACAACTGTACCCCAAATTTCAGCATCATACAATATACCTATGTAACAAACCTGCACAGGTACCCCCGAATGTAAAATAAAAGTTGACATTCTTCTAAAAAAGCAAAAGAAACAAAGATGATAACAGCCCCTTTCTGAAACAAAGCCCTTCCTTGCTTGTGGACAAGACCACCTTTGTAAAACTAGCAAATTAGCCACAAGATTATAAATGGTGCAGGGGAGTCATGCAGCCAGAGGTCACAAGATTCCTGAGCTCCCCAATTGCTCCTATAGATAACATCACAATTGTAAAACCTAAGATTGATGTTTGAAGTATTTTTGAGACCCTCCTTTCTGATGGACCAGCTGGCAGCACCCAGACAGTTGAACTGGCTCATCTGGTCTTGTAGCCCCCACCCAGGAACTGACTCAGCACAAGAAAACAGGCTCTGACTTCCCATGATTTCTTCTCCAACAGAAACAATCAGCATTCTCCATTCCCTAGCCCCCTTCTTGCCAAACTATCCTTCAAAAACTCTAGCTCTGAATTTTCAGGGAGGCTGATTTGAGTAATAATAAAACTCCTGTTCTTCCACTTAGCTGGCTCTGCATTGTTTAAATTTCTTTTTGCAAAAACCTGCTGCTATCAGTGCATCAACTTTTCTGGGTAGCAGCCAAGATGAACCTATTGAGTGAGTACATAGGTTTTATTATTTATTATATATATATGATAGCGATGCAGCTGTACATATGCCTGAGTCTGAAGCAGACAGACGAAAATCAAAGCCAAGACATAGAATGAGTGACCAAGTTCAGCGTGTGATGAAGTCATAAAAGCTCTTGAATCCAGCCATGACTGAATGAACTCTTCAGTTATGAAAGCCAAGAAATTATTTTTATGACTTAATAATTTTAAGTTTGGTTTCTCAAAGAAAACTTGGGTGAGAAAGGAGTTAGCTCAATGTTTGTTCTCCCATAAGACCCATCCCCACATGTATAAAAAAGAGAACCTATGTACTCACCCATGTATGTGTGTGTGTGTGTATATGTATTACATTTAAGTGTATACACATATATTACATTTAAGTGAACTGTAAAATATTATAGATTTATATTGTAATCACAGCAGAAACCTCTAACAATATGCAAACATCTAGAGCTAAAATGCTAATAAAGGGATTGAGTAGAATACTTAAAAATAGTTAACCCAAAAAGAAAGAAGGAAATAGAAAGATGAACTAAGAATAGATGGGACAAATAGAAAAGAAAGAGAAAAAAAGTTAGGCAAATGCCAATCATAATATTAATTATATTAAACACAAATAAGATACACACACCTTCAAAGAGGTGACGATCATAAGATAATATTAAAAAGTGAGAGCTATGTGCTGTCTAAAATAATTGCACTTTAAATATAAAGAACTAGATGCCTGAAAGTCCAAGGATAAAAAAAGTTAAGCCGTTTGAACAGTAAGCATAAGAAAGATTCTATTAACATCAAAGTGGAACTCAGAAAAGCTGATTTTTTTAAAATGTGAATTATCTTATAGTTGAGTGAAATATTCTATAAATATTAATTGGGTACAGCTGGTTGATAGTACTGTTCAAGTCGTCAATATTCTTACTGGGTAGTAAGAATTCAAGTGAAATTGAAAACTAATATTTTGAGATTATTATTAGCATTTTTTAGCAATAAAGTGTTTTCAATTAGGGTATTTACATTGCTGTTTTAGACATAATGCTATTGCATTCTTAATACACTACAATATAGTGTAAATATAGCTTTATGCACTGGGAAACCAAACTATTCATATGACTCGCTTGATTGCAGTCATTTGTTTTATTGCAGTAGTCTGGACCCAGACTCACAATACCGCCAAGTGTATTAGGGTTCTCTAGAGGGACAGAACTAATAGGGTAGTTGTACGTATAAAGGGGAGTGTATTAAGGAGTATTGAGTCACACAATCACAAGGCAACCTCCCACAATAGGCTGTCTGTGCAAGCCAATCCGAGTTCCAGAGCTGAAGAACTTGGAGTCCAATGATTGAGGGCAGGAAGCATCTAGCATGGGAGAAAGATGTAGCCTGGAAGACTAAAGCAATCTAGTCTTTTCACGTTCTTCTGCCTGCTTTTATTTCTGGCCACGCTGGCAGCTGATTAGATTGTTCCCACCCAAATTGAGAGTGGGTCTACCCTTCCCAGTCCACTGACTCAAATGTTAACCACCTTTGGTAACACCCTCACAGACACACCCAGGAACAATACTTTGCATTCTTCAATCCAATCAAGGTGACACTCAGTATTAACCATCACACTGAGGTATACTTTGAAGCCTTTTGTGACTTTGGGTCTTTCTATGAAGAATCGATTTTGGAAGTCACATCCTATGACTATCCTTGGAAGTCACTTAGCATTACTTCCAAAATACTTTGTTCACTAGCCACCAAGTCCAGCTCACATTCACAGAATAAGTAGATTTAACTTTGAAGAGAGAAGTATCAAATAATTTGGGGACAAACTTTGAAATACTGCACTTGACAAGGAATTCGAACAAGGGAAGTTTTGTAAATATTTAATGGTTTTTGGTTAACATACCTTGATTCTCTATCTCACAATGAAGGATTTAATCATGTTTTTTTTTTTTTTTTTTTTTTTTGAGATGGAGTCTCGCTCTGTCGCCCAGGCTGGAGTGCAGTGGCGCGATCTCGGCTCACTGCAAGCTCCGCCCCCCGGGTTCACGCCATTCTCCTGCCTCAGCCTCCCGGAGTAGCTGGGACTACAGGCGCCCGCACCACGCCTGGCTAATTTTTTGTATTTTTAGTAGAGACGGGGTTTCACCGTGTTAGCCAGGATGGTCTCGATCTCCTGACCTCGTGATCCACCCGCCTCGGCCTCCCAAAGTGCTGGGATTACAGGCGTGAGCCACAGCGCCCGGCCGATTTAATCATGTTTAATGGTCCTGGTATGCTTGAAATCCTTTGTCTATAGATTTTCCCATTTGTTAGTGTTTGGATGGGCACTGTCTTTATTTGCTTCTGAAGAGAATGGAGACTAATGAGAGAGTGTATTCCAATCAATGCATGTGCAAACAGGCCATTCAGAGAATTCAGTATGAATGAAATATGGGACATAAATGAGGGGATAATGGCAAATGCAGTCACATAGATAGTACCCCACAGTTTCTTCTCTTCTCCTTTCACCTTCAGTTTTTGTCATTTTTACTTTTACATTTTCAAGGGTGATATCATTTATTTTCTATAACCATAATTGTTTTGTAATTTGTAAGTTAATTCTTTTTTTCTTTTTCACCTTTTATTTTAAATTCTGGGGGTATTAGAGTAGGCAAACTGGATACCTAGACATGAGCCCCTGAGAAAAAGGGGGTCTGGAAAATCTCACACCTCAGTGATCTCCAGAAATATGCATGCTAGATATGAGCAGAGAGCAGAGGAAATACCTATGCAGGAAGGAACGCCCCGTAAGATGCCCAGTAATCGCTCACTCTGCAGTCAGTCTGTCCGAATGTAGCTAGCAGCATGCTGATAAAGAAGGAAGAGGACAAAGGAGAAACTCCTAAGAGATACACAGATGAAATAAGTATAGATTTGACCTCTATACAACCATCCTGGGGTGGCGGTAATGAGCAATGCAGCCATTAGGTAGAATTCACATCTAACACCGGAGCCATGCATGTGAACCAATTAATAGTAAGGGAGGATCCCACAAGCTTGGGGTGGGAACTAGGTAAGAAAAAGGAGGGGACTTAAGGCAGAAGTGGGAAAACTAGATAAAAAAAAAAAAAAGTTGAAGACTTAAGACAGAGTTGGGAACTTCAAGGAAAAATCCACCATCATAAAAACCCAATGCAGAACCCTCGGGGGCTGCTGGCTTATTCTGTTTCAGTAGCCTGCTCTGCCTCATCTTTCAGAGTGTACTGTCTCTTTAAATAACCTTTCTGCTCTTTCCCTTTAATAAATTCGTTTTGGCTAAATTGTCTCTTGGCTGAAATCTTTCTCCCAAGATGACTAAAGACCAAGGATTCCCCCACTTCCTGGCAGCAGGGGTCCATGTGCAAGTTTGTTACAAAGGCATGTTGCCTGATGTTTGGAGTATGATTGACCCCTCATCCAGGAAGTGAGCATAGTACCCAATAGGTAGTTTTTCAACCCTTGTCCCACTCCTTCCCTCCCCCATCTTTTATTCCCCAGTATCTATTGTTCACATCTTTATGTTATGTGTACCCAATGTTTAGTTCTCATTTATAAGTAAGCACATGTGGTATTTGTTTTCTGTTTCTGTTTCTTCACTTAGGATAATGGCCTGCAGTTGCATCCATGTTGCTGCAAAGGACATAATTTCATTCATCTTCATGGCTGCATAGTATTCCATGGTGTATCTGTACCACATTTTCATTATCCAATCCACCACTGATAGGCACCTGGGTTGATTCTATGTCTTTGCTACTGTGAATAGTACTGCAATGAACATAAGCGTGCATATGCCCTTTTTGTGGAATGATTTATTTTCCTTTGGGTATATAGCCAGTAGTGAGATTGCTGGGTTGAATGGTAGTTTGACTCAGCTCTTTGAGATATCTTCAAACTGCTCTCCACAGTGGATGAACTAATTTACATTCCCAGCAACAGTGATATTAATTCCTTTCTCTCCACAGCCCTGCCAATGCCTGTTATTTTTTGACTTTTAAATAAAAGCCATATAATTGTTGTAAGATGGTATCTCATTTTGGTGTTTATTTGCATTTCTCTGATGATTAGTGATGATGAGCATTTTTTTATGTGCTTGTCGGCCACTTGTATATCTTCTTTTGAGAAGTGTCTGCTCACATCCTTTGCCTATTTATTGATGAGATTATTTGGGTTTTTTGCTTGATTAATTGTTTAAGTTCCTAATAGATTCTGGATACTAGGCTTCTATTGGATGTGTAGTTCACAAATATTTTCTCTCACTCAGTAGGTTGTGTGTTTATGCCATTGATAAGTTTCTTTTGCTATACAGAATATCTTCAATTTAATTAGGTACCACTTGTCAATTTTCAGATAGCAAAACAATATTAACTATTCAAAATGAAGTATAAAATGTTTTAAAAGTCAACTTGTTCTATTAACTTCTGAAAAAACAGTCTTGAACTCTTCAACTATAATTACAGATTTGTCTGGTTTTTCCTTTTAGGCTTTATTCATTTCTGCTGCACGTATGCTGAACCTCTGCTTTTAAGTGCATGCTCATTTGAGTTTGCTGTATCTTCTTTAGGAAATGACACTTTTTTATTATTCCTCTTTATTCCTGGAAATATTTTAAATTATAAAGTCTGCTTAGTCTGACATTAACATAGCCACTTCAGTTTTCCTTTGATGGGTGTTCTAATACTATATATTTTCTCATCATTTTACTTTAATTGATCAGTCCTCATAGTCCCTTGTATCATTCTTATGCCTTTGCAACCTCATAGTTTAGCTTCCACTTATAAGTGAGAACATAAGATGTTTGGTTTACCATTCCTGAGTTACTTCACTTAGAATAATGGTCTCCAATTCCATCCAGGTCACTGTGAGCCATTATTTTGTTTCTTTTTATGGTTGAGTAGTATTCCATGGTATAGGTGTGTGTGTGTGTGTGTGTGCACACACACACACACACATATATATATATACACACACACACACATATTGATTGATGGACTTTTTTATCCACTTTGATTGATGGACATTTGGGCTGGTTCCATATTTTTGCAATTGCGAATTGTGCTGTTATAAACATGTGTATGCATGTATCTTGTTAGTATAATGACTTCTTCCCCTATGGGTAAATATTCAGCAGTGGGATTGCTGGATCAAATGGTAGTTCTACTTTTAGTTCTTTAAGGAATCTCCACACTGGTTTCCAATAGTGGTTGTACTAGTTTATATTCCCACCAGCAGTGTAAAATTGTTCCCTGTTCACTGCATCCCCATCAACATTTATTATTTTTTTGATTTTTTGATTATGGCCATTCTTGCAGGAGTAAGGTGGTATCGCACTGTGGTTTTGATTTGCATTTATCTGATCATTAGTGATAGTGAGCATTTTTTATTTGTTTGTCATTTGTATATCAAAATGTATGACAGTACCTTTTGAGAATTGTCTATTCATGTCCTTAGCCTACTTTTTGATGGGATCTTTTGCTTTTTTCTTGCTAATTTATTTGAGTCCTTGTAGATTCTGGGTATTAGTCTTTTATCAGATTTATAGATGGCAAAGACTTTCTCTCACTCTGTTGGTTGTCTGTTTACTTGCAGACACATAAAGAGACACATCAAGAAATTCAAAACTCACTGCACTTTTTTTTTTTTATAAATTTGACATTTGACTTTGGAAACATCTTACTTCCTGTCTTTCCAAGTACCTGTCTTTTGACTCATCTGTGAGTATCTATTTTGCAGGATTGCTCCTGTTACCAATTTTTTTATTAGTCGGGGCCCAATCAAGACACAGACAGCACTGCAGTTATTTTAACGGAAATAACTTAAGGATGCATTTGTTTGCTGGGTAACTAAAAAGGCAAAAAGAGAGCATTAAAATATTGTGAAGGCTGCAACTATAGGAAATGGCTATGACCCGTAGAGCTGAGGAAACAACAACAAAAAAAAGAGGTTGGAAATTTTAAAAATTAGTAGCTTGGAGCAGAGGTCTGAAATTGGAGCTGCAACTTAGACTTCTCAGGGGACAACATCATTCAGCTTGTGCTGGTTCTCTGAGCTCAGAGAGGATGAGCCCATGGGGTTGTGACCCAGATCCCTGAGGATGGAACACTGACTAATGCTGATATCTCTGAGAGAGGCACAATAAGGCTGAGTCTGCAAGAATTAAAAAGAATGTGAGCTAGATTCCTGAGCTGCCATAGGAATGAACTTATTTGCCACTGCTGGGTGGAGAAGCAAGGCTGGGGCAATGCTGATAAAGAGCGTGTTAGGAGCAGGGAGCAGACATGAATCCTGCTGGAAGGCAACAAGGAGCAGAAAAGAAGGAGAATGTCCTTTCTTCTCTTCCAGCCTTGAGTCTTCCTCTAGAACCCCCAATAGTCATGGCCTAATAGGGAGCCAGATGGAAAGGCAGAAAAGTAGTTTTCAGACTTCAAGCCCAGGCATCATCAAGTAGAGGATAGAAGCATGAATTTGGAGCTGAGAGACCATAGCTTAATACGTGCACACCCTCCTTGACATTTTCATTTTCCACTTGATTGAGAAGACCTTAAAGGCAGCAACACTTCTTATTCACTTCTACTTCCTATGTGTCTAGTGTGGTGTCAAACTGAAAGGGGCATTCAATTTTTTCTTTCATTTAAAATAAATATTAAAGTGTATATGTGAGAAAGAGACAGAGACAGGCTGGCAGAGACAAGAGAGAGTATGTACTATGTGCTGGACATTTTCTTTCAGTTGACTGAACAGTGAAGAAAACAAATGCCCTGCTTCGATGGAGTTTATATGCTCAATAAGTGTTGAATTAATAAATACCTGATACTGCCAATTTCTCCTCTTCTCTAAAATGTTTCCCTACAAGCCACATTGCCTTGCCTTCTTCTACCTCTTGATGGTGCCTCTGGGGATCCTTGGTGGCTCCTCTTTCTACCTCCAGTCCTAGACATAAATATTTCTCAAGTTTCACTTGCCATGCCTCTGCTCTTTCCTTTCTCTGCTCTCACCCTCTGAGATCTCATCAATTCTTACAGATTAGACTGTCATGCGTATTGTCCCAATTCAAATGCTTCATCAATTGCCTGCTGGAAATGTCAATTAGGACATCCACCCGTAACTTTGAACTCAGCATATCTAATGAAAGCTCATCTCCTCTCCCCTTGAGACCACTCATAAATAGTGAAGGTAAATTTCTGGCTTTAAGAATTTCACAGAAAGAATTTCAGTTTATATGTATGTATATAAACACATATGTGTGTATATATGTGTGAATAGATGTATATGTGTGTGCGTATACATGTGTGTGTGTTCATATACGATGGATGAACAAAATATATTTTCTACTATGAGCTGTGGCCAAAAATATTTGAAAGCCAATGGAGTATATGAGCTCCAAATTCCAAGAACTTAAAAACATGATATGTTAACATACCTTAAACTCACAAGAATTCAATTATTATAGCAAAATTTATAGCCATTCTACCATGTATTCTGCTGTGCTAAGTGCTGGGATCACTGGTGATGTGCTTGTTTACTGTTTTTTTTCCTGATGAGAAGGCACCTTTTCCCAGGGTTGGGCGGCACCCTTTCCCAGGTGCCTTCTCATCAGGAAAAGAAACAGTAAACCAGCAAATAGGGCAAAATAACTTGACAGATATTATATATTTATATATGATTTAGATGTTTCTGCTGTGGCCCAATATATGTGTTTCTGGAAAATCTTTTGTTGTACAAAATTGAACATGAAAACAGCAGGGCTTATATGACTAGTAAAAATCAGAGTAGATCAACACAATATTTTAATCAAAGCAATAACAAAAACAACAATTTATATGCCACCTGATAGCTTGGATATCCTAGACAAGCTACTTTGGCAAATTATAAAAGTTCACATAAAAGAACAG
Source organism: Homo sapiens (assembly GCF_000001405.40). Classification (NCBI taxonomy): domain Eukaryota; kingdom Metazoa; phylum Chordata; class Mammalia; order Primates; family Hominidae; genus Homo; species Homo sapiens. Next base: position 6,250,457 of record NC_000003.12, on the reverse strand, counting down.
CCTTGGAGAGCTGGCTTGCAGGTACTGAATAAAAGCAGCAGATAGAAATGGAGCTCTGAATCAGCAGGGTTGTTGTTAAGGTGAACAGAGGAGGAAGTGAAACCTGTCTTTAGCAGAGAGTCACACAGGCTAGGGTTCATACCTCTGTGAGGAAGGAGACTGAGCACACACATTTATTTTTATTTTATATTTATTATTTATTATTTTATAATTTGTATTATAATTTGTATTTTATTTGTAGTTGACACATAATAATTGTCCATATTTACATGATATACAGTGATATTCCAATGCATGTATACAATGTGTAGTGATCAAATCTGGGTAATTAGCATATCCATCATTTATCATTTCTTTGTTTTGTGGACATTTAAAATCTTTCCACTATCTTTTTTGGAAATATAAACCAAAATATTATTTTTAAATGTCCCTTTCTTCCCTAAAGCTCTTCAGCCCTAAAGTAGAACTAAAATATCTCTGTGCAGCAAGTCGAGCGTGGAGCATTTCCTTTTTTCTCGGTAAAGTTTTAAACTCTGCTGTAGTTATTGTGTCTCTCCTTGCCTAGAAAAAAATCACAAATGAACAAACACTCTTTCCCCACCAGAATATCACTATGACTCCCCTGTCCATATGTCTACCTTGTTTTGCCTCAAGTCTGTGGTGCTGGCATAGTTATTAATAGCACCCCTTTCATTCTCAAAAGTATCTGAGTTTGCACCACAGATTAAATGGCCATCCTAATTATTTTGATATTTAACAATCTATTGTAGCAGGGAAGACTGAAAATTCTGGATAATAGGTTGTGATCAATGCAGTGATAATATTAAGCATGTGTTGATAGGACTAACAAGAAAGACGCATGTAAAACGTTTTAGCACTAGCTTCATGGAGAAGACGTTTAAACTGAACCATAAGAGGGAACCGCCAGAGAAGTTGTTGCCAATGGAAAAGGAAACAGAGGAAATTGCCTGTGCAAAGTCTCTGTGGTGAGAAACAGTCTGGCAGGTTAGAAGAACTGAAAGGCAGCCAGTGTAACTGGATGTGGAGGGAAGGGAGCCAAGGATGGTGGCTTGAACTTAGGTCATCTCAAGGTGGACAGTGGGTGCCATGAGGAGGTTTGGAAATACAAATGGCAGAACTTATCAACAGATTAAAAGAGTCATAAGGGAGAGAAAGGAGACAGGATGACTCCCGAGTTTTTAGAATAAACTCAAGAGATAAGGATTCGATTTCTAGCTCTCTTTCTTAATTCTTAGATATTTTTAGTGAGATCACTTCCCTCTGGGACTCAGTTATCACATCTACGAACAGAAGACGAGCCATATGATATCCAAGCATTCTACCAAGTTTGGCATTTTACTATTATAATTGCATTTCTCTAAGCACTTGGTTCATGTGCATATTGGGGCATGTTCCTTCATGCGCATTCGTCCCTTTAAAGGAGTAAATAAAACATTTATCTCAACAAGTAAACTTATCCTTCTGCACATTTTCTCAGTGTAATTCCTCCAGGTTTCTCTCTGTTGTAATGCATTTCTTCTCCTTCCCCTTTAATTCTAAATCTACTCCTTTTAGCCTTTCAAACTTGGCTGGGCTTTCCATAGATGGGAATGAAGATTGGCATAGATAGTCCAGAATCAATTGGCTTTTACCACCCACCTTAAAAAAATAACACAGAAAACATTAGCAAGCAAACTGGAACCCTGACGGAAGGTCACCTCCCACTGCATTCTACTGCTGATGAATCTCCCTGGAGTAATTTGATTAAACACATTCAATTTACTTTGCAGAGACAGGCTCTGCTTCTATTGGCACTCACAGACTCTGGGGGGAGTTTTCAACATTTAAAGAAATGTGTCTATTTATTTAACAGAGTTTTATTTTCTCCAAAAAACAATCCTGCTTCAATTACTCTAGCGTATTCTTTCTAGGTACCTAGAAAATGTACAAACTAAAACCAAAGTGAATGTACGTGTACACACAGGCATATAAGCAAGTTTATGCCATTGTTGCTTTCAAGGCTAGATATTAAAGTGCATTGATAAAGCACACAGTGGTGCTACTGAAGTAGCGCAGGCTTAGAGAGGAGCTGACCAGAGAACATAAACACTTTAAGTTTCCAGTCTTCCAGCTTTTCCCAGAGGAAATGCCCCCAAGGCAAAAGGAGAAAGAGTGAATTAAGAACAGATCTGTTCAACGTGTGATCTGAAGACAATGTGCTTTATTTAAAACTGTTGATTCCTGAGCCCTATGACAGAATGGTTGATGCAGAATCTCAGGAGGCAGGAACAAGGTACAAACTTTCTCAATGGTGTACGTGTACGTGTACGTGACTCATCTGAGGATCTTGTTAGAAACATAGATTCAGACCCAGGAGGCCTGGGATGGGGCGGGAGATGATGCCTTTCTCAAAGCTCCCAGGTACTACTACATGCTGGTAGTCCATGGACCACACTCTAAGGAACAAGGCACTCAAGTTTGGTCACTAATGTGAGGTCTAGTAATAGTGTCCTGCCATTAGCAGATTCCTCTTGTCAGCTTCATTTCAAAGGTAATTGACTCACTGCTGAAGACCTGAGGAGCAATACATAGCGGAGAATGCTTCAGATCATAAGACTCATTAGAAATGGTTCAAAAAACAATATGATCATTTCTACAATTTGAAAATGCCTATGCAATTTATCTTAACACATCAAGCATAGAAAGGCTCAGCGAGATTTCATCCACCTGTCCAATTTATTTCCTGAGCAATCGTTGTCCAGCATTGCCTGTATCACCTTTGTTACTATCACAGACAGCAAAGTGGCACAAGCTGTGAGTCAGACTTTGTAGTCTTTGATGAAGGAAAATTCAGCTTCTCAACACTGATTCTCAGCTTTTTATCACTGATGGCCCCTCAGCAAAGTAAATTCAGTCTTAAATCAGACAGCCTTTTATGTTAACACGGCTGGGAAGGGCAAGAGGTACCTGCAATATTAGCATTTATTCTTTTTTTTTTTTTTTTTTCAGATGGAGTCTGGCTCTGTCCCCCAGGCTGGAGTGCAGTTGCGTGATCTTGGCTTGCTGCAGCCTCCACCTCCCAGGGCTCACTGCAACCTCTTGCCTCCCAGGTTCAAGTGATTGTCGTGCCTCAGCCTCCCAAGTAGTTGGGACTGCAGGCGCCCGCCACCACACCTGGCTAATTTTTGTATTTTTAGTAGAAACAGGGTTTCACCATGTTGACAGGGCTGGTCTCCAACTCCTTACCTCAAGTGATCTGCCTGCCTCAGCCTCCCAAAGTGTTGGGATTACAGGCATGAGCCACCGCACCTGGCCCACATTTATTCTTAAGCTAACTCACATGCTGCTCTTTTGCTGTGGCATTTTAACATTTGAGATGCTGGCTTCCATGCTTGCACTATTTTTAAGGAAAATCACTTCATCTGAATGTGCTCACCAACTCCTACATGTGTTGATTTTTTGCATAGTACTGACTGAAGTTGCCAAAAATAAAGGTAGGAACTAACATTGATCAATTTCTAATTAGGTAAACAACACCTACACCTTTATCTGATGTAACCTTCATAGTAATACTCTAGGTATGTTTAGCTACTTCCATTTTCAAATATAAAGAAACTAGGCCAGCAAGCTTAATGGAACCAGTAATGGAACTAGTAATGGAAATAATGGGAAAGTCAACTCAGGCCTAGATACCTCATTTTCAAACCCACATATTCCTCTACAGGTACCTAGGCCTTCCGGATACTAGAATTAAGTGAGATGAGATGATATTAACCACTGGTCAGAGATTTACAGGCAATGTTTATGTAGGAGACATTTGAGCAAAATGGTCTCAAAAGATTCTTTATAATTCTAATATTCTAATACTTTGTCAACACATGAATAAAATATTTTCTTCATTATGGATTGTAAATAACGTGTTCCACTGAATCACACACAAACTTAATTAAGTAAGCTGACAAAAACTTAATAAGTGATTTAAGTTAGAAGGAAGTAGAACAAAACAAAGTTTATCCTAGAACATCAAAATCACCAATAAGTGCAGGATAAAGGAGACGTCATAGTTTGGGAACAATTTATGTTAAGAAAACAGGTAAATAAAAACCCTGGGTTTATTTGACCACAAAGTCAATATTATCCAACAATAAAATATGTTTTCTTTAAAAAGCCAAGAGTACTTTAGGGTCATTTAATGAAAGAGTAGATTAACTTCCGTATAGAGAGAAACAGTGTTGCTAAGTTCTGAACTAGTTATACTGTAAAATGGGTTTAACAGAGTAGGAACCCTGTTTTTCACCTGTAAGGATCTGAAATTATAATGATGCATGAAGTTCTTGAACAATAACAAAGTACATTTTAAAAATCAAAATCGGTCACTTATATCTAAAATAGTGTGAATCAAGGATTCCAAGCTCAAGTGCTGGTGGGGAAGAGGCAGGTAAGATAATTGAGTACAATCAACTTCGTAGAGATTGGGATAAACTGGGGTATACTGTTCTCATGGAGAGGAAACCTGACCAATACTTCAGATAATCAATGCATTGGAAGTAATTAGCCAAGGTCAGTTTGTGAAAATATCAATGAACAGAAATGACCACTTCTCCAAGGTTATCTCACATAATAAATGTACTGAGTAATGATTTACCAGATTACTGGTTCATCAGAAATTTGTTTCTATTAACCAACTTCTATGGATTAGAGCAATTTGTGTTGCTTGTATGTTCTAAAATCAATCTTTGGAATATTTTTTGTACAATTTGAGAGGAATGAGCTTCTTCTGAATTTAGATTTTAAGTGCTGCGCGTTGTTCCGTGTGTAAAAGATTTTATCAATGTTAGGTAGGGCAGGTATCTCTTTTCTAATTCATTTTCAATTAAATCCACTGTGTTTTGTACTTTTCTCATTTAATGGTTTTGCTTTCTTGAGTGGGACAAAAAGGAAGGGTTAACAACTAATGCATGGGAATTAGGACTTGAAGTATCTGCCTGAAACAATAAGAATAGTCGTAATTGTTTTAAGGGATTGTTGGAGAATCAAACCAGGCAAGTTATCTTAAAGTTCATAGTAATTAGAAAGCGAGCAATAAATGTACAATTAGGCATTCATTTCTTCATCTGCCCATAGAGAAATATCATCTATGTATTCTTAGAAAAGCAAGGAAAAATTGCTTCAATAAAATCTTTGCATTAAATTTCTCATAATTCATATTTCTACTCTGTGCAGGGAAGGCCAGGCCTCACAATGCCAAGAAGAAGCCAGTACTATAAAGATAAGAAAGAATACTAACATATTTGAAGCAGAAACAAAAAAAACCCCGTCATTTTAGGAAGTTTTTTAAAATGTATGCAAACATGTCACAACCTGATTCTTTAACAACAATCTTAATATGTTGATAGAAGATTTTGAAGGATATTCACTAACAAATACAGAGAGAAGAAATAGAATGGAGTGCTGCAGAACAGTAACAGATGACAAGACAAAAGATGGAGAAGGGAAGATAGCAAAAAGTAATTCCATTCCAGGTGGATTAGACATTGAAATGTTTTTAAAATCTTCTATACCCTTTAAGATAGAATATTGAAAAATATGCTTATCATATTTCCACAAGGAAAAGTTTTCTAAAGCAGCCATAGAAAGCACGAATATAAAGGAAAAGATAAGTAAGTTTAACTACAGAAATTAAATGGAACAAAGGACAGCCTTTACCAAGTCCTCAAAAAAGCAACTGCTTTAGAGAATGGATTTGCAACCCGTATCAAAGAAAACTGATTAACGTCTGTTGTAGTTAAAGAACTCCTCCAAATTAGTTTTAAGAGGCTAATAATCCGTTAGAGACGTGAGCAAACAATGAATGAACAATTCCCAGAGGAAGAATCCTGCTTGGACTATAAATACACGCAGAATATTAATACCAGTAGTTATTTGGGACACACAAATTTTAAAAAGGTAATATTTCTCTCCCACTAGATTAGAGAAACTTCAAGGAAACTGACAACATCAAGTGTTGGATAAGATGAGGGAATAACGATCATGCAGTTTGTATAAAAAACAAATACTTTAGAGAATATCTTGGCAAAATTCGCTTTCATTCTTTCTTTGCTATGTCAGAAGAACTCTTCTAAAAGTACATGTAAAGACATATGCAAATATATTTGAAACAATATTTATGGCACTAAACATTTGGAAAAAATATTATCATCTAAGTAAGAAGAAAGACTATCCAAATAACCAAAATGTGGTATGTCACCCAATAGAAGACCATATAGCAACTACCGTAAAGAACTCAGCCTACCTGCATCAACTCGGATGATTCATAAACACATTATTAAATTTAAAAAACCTAATGATGATATATAAACCATGCACTATTTTTAACAATTTTCAAATATAATAAAACAATAGTAAATATCGGTTTTTGAGAGGCTCTTGTGGAATAAAACCAAAAACCTAGGCAAGAAGGAAGGAATGCAACTTCAGCATAGCAATTACCAGGAGGAGTATGAATAGGACTTCACTGTTTTTCTCTGTATTCAAAATCTTTTATTTCCTCCAAAAATATGAAAAGTTTATACCAAACCATTTTTTTAAAAACCGAGATAGGTTTATAAGTGTTTCCTTGTATTTATCCTGATATTTTCCAAATGAAATATTTGAAATAATTCATAATTAGAAGGGAGGGGGAGAGAAAAATGAAAGAAAGAGGGTTGTAGTGTGAGACAAAGTAAATAGTCAAGAGAAAGACTATGACTAGGAAAGAAGAAATAGAGATTAAAAAAAAAAAAACAAGAGAGGGCATGGCGGTTCAGATCTGTAATTCTAGTACATTGGGAGGCTGAGGCGGGCGGGTCCTTTGAGCTCAGGAGTTTGAGAACAACCTGGGCAACACAGTGCGATCCCGTCTCTGCAAAAATACAAAAATTAGCCAGGTGTGGTGGTGCATGTTTGTAGTCCCAGCTACTTGGGAGGCTGAGGTGGGAGGATCCCTTGAGCACAGGAAGCCAAGGCTGCAGTGAGCTGAGATTATGCCACTGCACTCCAGGCTGAGTGACAGAGTGAGACCCTGTCTCAACAACAACAACAACAAAAGAGCCGGGGTGTGGGGGTGGGAGGCATGGGAAAGAAAAAGAAATAAAAGAGAACAAGAACAAAAGGATACTGTAGCGTGGAACAAAGTCTCAAGCACTACCCCTTGGTTGGGGCTCAATTTCTCCCCTTTCTTGCATCCTTTTTCCGTTTTCCCCAGGTTCTTTTTCATAGGACTTAAAAATATGCAACATACTTAAAACCAAGCTATTTTTGCAACCTTATCTTATACACAAATGTGTTCACATGTTATAGTCTGAAATAAAATCCTCTGAGGAAGCCCCACAGCAAGTGTGTGCCGTGAAGCAGTGTTGCTTCATGACAAGTTAAGGACAGAAACTGGGCATGTTTAGAAACTTCCATAGCAATTTGACAGAGTAATTGTATGTCCCTTGTCATAACAATACAAAGTGTAGGCTTGTATTTTACATACCTTTTAATTTCATTGTTCTATTATGTTATGTTTATTATATTTTAGAGGCATCTGCAACAGGTTGAAAATTTAAAATAATAATAAAATAATAATAATAAGGGGTTTTTGAACAGATTGATAAGCACTACTCTAAAAATCAGAAAAACAGAATTGTTCCCTTGGGGGATGTGTGCGTGCGTGTGTGTGTGTGTGTGTGTGTGTGTGTGTACTCACACACGTGGAAATTTGAGTTTAAGGAGGGGCTGTTGTTTCTCAGTGCTCCCTGGAGTACTTTTATTCATTCTTAGGTCTAAGTTAGTCACGGAAAACCTAAACAACCAAATAAACTAAAATACCATTAATCCATTCCTCAACCGAAAGGACCTTTACATTTAATTTACAAACACCTTTACTAAGGATTAGGAGAGAACCGAACCATCCTCAAACCAACGAAAATGCAGAGCCGCCTATACCTGCTTAGGAGACTAAAATCCAGCCTGTTTGGAAAGCCAGTGTTGTCCAGTGACGGGATTTTTTTTCTTCCACACTACATCCCCTTCCTGTGACTTTCACCAAGAAAGCACTTTCTTCAGATCTTGAAGCAATGCTCTTCAGTTGCTGGCATTGCTAGCAACCCCTTCTTCAGGGAGGATGACCAGACAGGAAAAGATAGCAGAGTGCTTAAAAGTCTAAGCTTTGGCGCCAGATCAAACTAGTTTCGTAACTGGCCTAGGCTACTTTAGGTAATTTTTGGAAGAATTTTTTAACCATCCTGGGCTTCAGTTTCCTAACACATAAATAGAAAAGTGAGGATAATGTACACCTCTCTCAGAAGGTCACTGTGAAGAAAGAAGCAGCTGATATACAAAAGTGCTCTTCTCAGTGACTGAAAGGGTCAGTTATTACTATTTCTACTACACTATTATTATTATTATTCTATTAGGAGCCGTGTCTGTAACCATCCCTCAGGAGAATATGGGTCATACTCAGAGAAAGAATAATATCACTGTGCATTTACTCCAAATTATATAAGATATAAATTTTTAGCAGTTGAAAGTTTTGAGAAACTTGCAATAAAAGCAAATTCAGCAAACATGTAAGAATTATCTTCTGGGATTTTACAAACTATCATAGTTAAGGGTGAATAGACACTCTAGGCTGCTTAAGAAGTCAAAACATGAATCAGTGGGTGAACTTAAAGGGTGGCAGGTTTTGAATCAAACAAATGGCTTTCTTAAATACTAGAATTCCAATACAGAGAAATGGATTGATACACAAGGGAGTACACCTATATACTCATACAAACATACATACACACAAACACACACACACACACACGCATACAAACAGAGAAAAAGAGAGAAATTTATATATCAGGCTATTTGGAATGCTTTCCATGTAATATATTGTCTCATTCAGTTTCTCAAATGTCTTGATATTTTCTACTCAGTAGGTAAACCTGGACTTCAGTTCCTTTTAGGGATTGTTTGCTCTATTTGCCCCACTGTTCTGAGAAAAGTAATTCTCCATGTAAATGCATGTTACAAGTCACTGGAAAACTCCAGGCATTCTGTTTTTTCCTGCTGCACCGCATCTTGGAAATTGCCCACCGTTGTGGTTCGGCTATTTTAGGAGCAGGAGCAGAAGGCAGCCCTGCATTTTCTGTGAGAGGGCCCCATAGGCTTCATTAGGGCAAGACATTTCCCCATGAATTTCCACCTCTTCCACTGAGACTCCAGCTCCAAGCTGCTTGTGGCTGGCAGAGGAAAATGAGAGAGATTTGAAGGCATCAACAAAGCTTCCCTGGCAGGCAGAAACCTGCCTTTGACACAAAGCTATGGCTTGCTGTATGCCTAAGATGTGGGTAGGCACCAACTGATTTTAGCACCTGTATCATGATTCTATTATCATAATTGAAGCCCTTACAATATGGAAAAGTGGCTTACTACCTTCAATAGATTCATCTATAGAACACTAGAAAAAATAATCTTTATAAGATCTTCTTTATCTTTGAGGAAAATTAAACTATTTTAAATTCTTGAACTTTTTGTAAACCAATACAAATGCAAAGGTGAAGATTTATATAAAAATAAAAATCATAGAAAAAATCACAGAAAGTTTAAAACTGAGAAATACTTTTAAAGACTTTAACTTAGTATTTTACATGAGAAAAGTTTCTTTTTTAAATGACTAAGTGTGAGTTTATTTGAGCCCAATGCCTGAGGATGGTCACCTGGTAGAAGATTCAAGTTGCCCTTAATAAACACTCCTGAGTAAAGTTTTTGACTATAACAAATGTTAAATGTGTATTTGTCAATAAATCTAACCATCAATCAATGAATTTTAAATTTCTGTCAAATTATAACTAGTCACTGTAACACCTATCCATGATTTAGTGAAGATCCATCTCATTAAAATGTCAAGGCCTAAAATGAAATGTTAATAATAGTCATAAATAATTTACATGTTAAAAGTTTATTTTGTGCCAGGCACAGTGTTAAGTGCTTTACGTGACAAATCACATTTAATTTGCACAAAACTCCTATGGGGTAGGATGCAAAATTAATGTTCCCCTTTTATAGACAAGAAAGCATTTATTTGTTCACACGTGTCAAATACATCGAGTTGGTTCACAACTAGCTATGAACCCATGTCTACCTGAATCTAAAGCTTATCCTCCAAACCACTATGTTGTAGTCTGAATGTGTCAGTCGTACTATCTCAATTTGAATTTGTACTTACTGAGTAAACTGGTATGGAGGTACCTGTTAGGATTTATCCCTCAGGAGTCACTTATTTAAGTAAAAATCCTAGAAAGCCTAACTCAGCCTGGAGGGAGTGTCTACATGCCCCCAGAGCCATACACAGCATCAGGGAGGATTGTGTCTGAGGCATCCAATCTCCTCAACTGCTTGGGTGTCATCTTGCTGTTCTGCTTAACTTGTACACGCAAGAGGTTCATAGCTATTATCCTAAGTAAGTTGTAACTGTGTTTGTATTCTCCCTATAACTGGGCTGGATTATTCCTGAGCTCCTGGGATCCTGGTTGGTTTCATTGCTTGTGGACTTTTTATACTGCATCTTGAACTCTCAGCTCTGTAGAGGCTTAACTGACCCCAGGTAATCTTATTCAACAAGTCAAGGGAGAGCCATTTTATTTGAATTTCACATTCACAGAAGATTTCAAATGTACAGTTCTGACATCATCTGCAAATAGTGGAGACACATCTGCAGGACTGATACATTCGCAGGACTTGAGCATAATATGCTTATCATACATCTTTAAATGTGCGTTCCATTACCTGACCATGCCACTGTAATGTATTGACAACTATTTTTAAGAATTATGTAACTATTATGTAAATTGTATAGTCAAACTGCATTATACTTTGTGTTAAAATTATTTTTAAAGAAAACTTTTAAATTATATCAGCTTTGGTAGCCATATTTTGGCATTTGCTGTTTTTTTAGATTCTTATCTATCTCAGTAAAAGCAAGTGGCATGAGCTTCTTTCGTCTTGTAAAGAAACTTGTGTATCTATCCTTGAGTTCTATATGCACTAACTCATAATGCAAGGGGCAAGCCTCAAGAGGGGAGTAAAACACAATGATAGGAATAAAGAAGGAAAACTGGTGGCATGTCATAGTTATCTTTCTTACTAAATTAGAATTTCCTTGAGAGTAGGCATTCTATTTAATTTTTATACAGCCATCATGTTTTACAGAATGTAAGTTTTTATTCTGTTTCTACTTGGTGGGTTCTGAAGGATGATTTAGTCCATTTTATAAGATATAAGAATGCCACACACTGGGTAATTCATAATGAACATGAATTTGTTTGGCTCATGATTCTGGAGGCTGGAAACTCCAAGAGCATGGCACTGGCTTCATGATGCATCATCCCATGGCAGAAAGCATAACAGCAAGAGAGCAACAGGAGGCTAAACTTCCTTTCATAACAAACCCAATCTGGTGATAACACACCTACTTCTGGGGTAATGACATTAATGTACTCATAAAGGCAGAGCCCTCATGACCTAATCACTTCTTAAAGCCTCACCTATCAAAATTGTTGCAATGGGGATTAAGTGTTCAACACATGAACTTTGGGGGACTCATTCAAACCATAGCATTATGCCCCTGGCCTGCAAAATCCATGTCCTTCCCAATGCAAAATACAACCATCCCATCCCAATAGTCCCCAAAGTCTTAACTCTTTCCAACATCAACTTAAAAATGAACAGCTCAAAGCTTCATTTAAATCAGATATGGGTGAAAGGGCACAATTTATCCTGAAACAAATTATCTCCAGCTATGAAGTCAAAACAAGTTATCTTATTTGGAGATAACTTGATAACTTGTTTAAAATGCAACGATGGGACAGGCATAGGAAAGAGACAAATAAGCAGAAAAATGGGGTAATTGATTGCAAATAAATCTAAAATTCACCAGGGTTTACAAAATTAGATTTTAAGACTTCAGTATATACTTTTTTGACTCTGTGTCCTGCCTTCTGGGCACACTGTGGTAGAAGTTGGGCTTCTCAGGCCTCAGGCAGTCCCACCCCTATAGCTTTGCTGGGCTCAGCCCACCCAGCTACTCTCATTTACTGGCATTGCAAGCTGGCAGCGCTGCAGTTTTGGGGTCTCAGGGGTGACCTCTCTTTCACTGAGTGGCCGCAGTGTCCATTCTCACTAGGGCATTATCCTAGTGGAGACTCTCTGCAGAGGTCCCATTCCCACAGCTATGCTGGACGTTGCTCTAGTGGGGGCTTTTGGCAGTGGCTTTGTCATGCAACAGCTGTTTGCAGCATCCTTTGCAATCTAGGTGGAGGCCACAATGAACCCACAGTTCCTGAATCCCACACACCTGCATAATTAGAACCACTTGGATGTTGCCAAGGTTTACAGCTTGTACTTTCTGGAGTGGTGGGTTGAGCCGCACCTGGATTTAGTTGAGCCATGGCTGGTGCAGCAAAGGAGGCTGTGCTGGAGTGTGAAAAGCATTGTCCTGCAGCAGCACAAGGCAGCAGATGCTGAGATCCCACAGACACTTCTCTGGAAACCTTGCCCTGAAGGTCCTAGTTTGCCTTGAAGATCATTTAAATGTTTTCATGGTTATTCTTTGATTGTCTTGATGAACAGAACTTGGCTTCCTTTTACCTATATTAATCTCTTTAGCAAATGGTCACTTGTTCATATCTTTGGTTTGCTCTCCTAAAGACTCCTTTTCATTATTTACATGACCAGGCTGCAAATTTTCCAAATCTTTTCACTCTGCTTCTCACTTAATTCAACGTTTTGTTTTAAATTATTCATTTCCTATGGTATCTTACTATATGTGGTTAAAAGTAGCCACACAGCTCCTTCAATATTTTGTTTAGAAATTTCTTTGACCAGATACACTCGTTTATTGCTATTAAAGTCCACCTTCCATAAAGTGCTAAGGCATGAACATAATTCAGCCAACTTCTTTGGCAATTTATAACAAGGAAGGCCTTTACTCCAGTTGTTAACAAGATATTCCTCACTTCTATCTGAGACATCACCATAATGGCCTTTACTGTGCATATTTCTAACGACATTCAGGTCACAACCACTGAAGTAATCACTACAAAGATTTAGGCTTTCCACAGCTCTTGTCTTCTTCTGAGCCTTCACTATAATTTCACTTAATGCTCCATTCGCGGCAATCTAGGCTTTTCTAAGTCTGCTCCTCCAAATTAATTCAGCCTCTAACCATTACCCAGTCAAAAGCCATATTCACATTTTAAAGTATTTGTTATAGTAATAGTCCTGCTTCTTATTATTAGTTTTCTTTCTTAGTCTGTTTTACGATGCTATGAAAGAAAACCACAGACTGAGTAATTAATAATGTACAAGAATTTACTTGGCTCATAGTTCTGGAGGCTGGGAAGTCCAAGAGCGTGGCACCAGCCTCCGGAGAAGGCCTTTGTGACTGTCTCATGACGAAAGGCAGAAGGGCAAGAGAGGATGAGAGCAAGAGAGGAAGAGAGTGTTAAACTCACTTTTGTAACAAACCCACTCCCACAATAACAACATTAATACATTCATGAGGGAAGAGACCTCATGACCTAATAACCTCCCAAAGGTCCCACCTCTCAATACTGTTGCGCTGGAAATTAAGTTTCCAACACACAATCTTGGAGGACACATTCAAACCACAGCAATGACAATAAGCTCTTCTAATCTCATCAACTTTATTCACAGGGAGACTTTAATGGGACAAATTATATTTTACCCAGTTGTAATTATTTCAAGCTTTTTTCTACCCTCTCTACAGTAAGATAGAAGCAACATATTGGAGTGCCAGAAAAAGACAGCAACAAGATGCCAAAAAAAGTGAAGATGGTAAAATTATTGAAATAAAAATATGCGTAAGACATGACCAGCCATTTCCTCAAAGCAAATACACTGATTCGAAAAGAGTACATGAAAATAAATTAAACATATTTAACCATTATATAAATGCAAACTAAAACCACAATGAGATAACAATGACAGATAATGCATGTATCAGAAGGGCTAAAATAAAAAACAGTGACAACACCAAAGGCTGTCAAGAATACAGAGAAACTGGATCACTCATATGTTCCTGTGAATGCAACTCAACTCAATGATTTGGCAGTTTCTTTAAAAACTAAACATACCACTACCACTTTACCCAGCAATTGTATTCCTAGGCTTTTATACCAGATAAATGAAAACTTATGTTTACACAAAAACTTATACACAAGTTTTCAAAGAGGCTTTATTTATAATAGCAAAATATTGGAAACAACCCAATTTGCTTCAGTGGGTACACAGTTAAACTGCTATATTTACATACAATGGAATAGTATATTTTCAGGAAAAAGGATTGAAATGTTGATACACACAACACATTGGATGAATCTCTAGAGAATTATGCTAAGAGAAGAAAGCCAATTCTAAAAGGTGACTGTATTAGTTCTTTCTCACGCTAATAAAGACATAATCAAGACTGGGTAATTTATATAAAAAAAGAGGTTTGATGGACTCACAGTTTCACATGGCTGGGGAGGCCTCATAATCATGGCAGAAGGTGAAGGAGGAGAAAGGCATGTCTTACGTGGAGGCAGACAAAGGAGCATGTAGAGGGAAATTCCCCTTCATAAAACCATCAAATCTTGTGAGGCTTTTCACTATCACGAGAACAGTATGGGAAAACCCATCCCCAAGATGCAGTTACCTCCCACTGGGTCCCTCCCGTGACATGTGGGAATTATGGCAGCTACATTTCAAAATGAGATTTGGGTGGGGACACAGCCAAACCACATCAGTAACATACTGTATGATTCCATTTGTAAAATATTCTAAAAATGACAAAATTATAGAAATGGAGAAGAGATTAGTGGGTGCCAGGGATGAAGGTGTAAGAGCTGGGTAATGGAACTGTTGTTTGTCTTAACTGTATCAATGTCAACATTCTGGTTGTGCTATTACAGTATAGTGTTAAAAAATGTTACCAGGGAAAATTAGATATAGACTACATGAGATATCTTTGTATCATTTCTTACAACTACATGTGAATCTAAAATGATGTCTACTTGAAAAAATTTAAAGAAAAAAAGGGCTTTAAATATTTTCAGTTTTGCAGGCCATGTGGTTTCTGTTGCAACTACTCACCTCTGTTTGAGCAGTGTGAAAGGAGCGATAGACAAGAGTAAGTGGATAAACGTGCTGTGTTTCAATAAAACATTATTCACCTAGACAGGTAGCAATAAGATTTGCTTCATGGCCTGTAGTTTGTAGATGCCTGCCCTCAATTAAACAACTCCTAGAAAGATGATTATATGTAACCCTTAAAAAATATCATACACCTGGTCCAATTCTAGTCATGTTGCATTCAAAGAGACAATTCAGCAGCCAGAAGAGAAATTTAAAGAATGAATACTTTGTTTATATTTATAATACTACAAAAGAACATTTATATACTACAGCAAATTCTCCATTTCTCTCCTTTACATTTTTCTTGCACATTGTAGGTGCTTTTTCACTTCTCCTATTCCAAATTCTTGAAAAATTCCTTTTTAATCTCCTGCTCTCATGGTTTTAACTCTTTCTATGTCTTTCTCCCCAGTCTTAATAAACAGATTGGCAAATTATTTTGCTAAATCACCCCCTTTCTCTGTTACCCATCTGGTCCTGTTCTCCACCCATAACCATCAATTTTTCATTAGCCCAAAAGAACAAATCTGTCCAGAAAGATCCATCTTTAAAGAAGGGGTGAGGGGAAGAAAATGAAATAGCAAAGTAACAAGACTCCATAATGGTGGAGGGCAAGGTAAAAATTGGCAAAAATCCGTACATTAACCATATCAGTCTGTTCAGGTTGCTATAATAAAGTATCATAGTCTGGGTGGCTTATAAACAACAGCATATTTTTTCCTCACAGTTCTGGAAGTCTGGAAGTCTAAGATCAGATACTAGCATGGTTGGGTTCTTGTAAGGGTCCTCTTTCAAGTTGCAGACCGTGAGCTTCTTGCTGTGTTTTTACATGGCAGAAGGAGCAAACAAGCTCCCCTGGCCTCTTTTACAAGTGCACCAACCCCATTCATGAGAAAAGAGCCCTCCCAAAAGGCCCTACTTCTTAATACCATCACCTTGGGGATTAGAATTTCAATACATAAATTCTGAGGGACACAAACACTCAAACCATAGCAAGTAATTGTTGTGATGCCTCTGAAAATCATAACTGGTTTAAGTGGGTCATACCCACCTATTTAAGAATGCCTCTTGTACAGGTAAGCTGTTCATAGATTACTGTTTTAACAGTTCTGTACTACGCAATGCTACACACTAAGTGCATCAGGACAAATTCTTATGACATACGTGGATTGGAAGATAACTAATCCCACATTTAATTTTGTTACAAGAGGGTAAGGAAGTTTTTTTTTTTTTTTTGTCTGTTTCATATTTGTTTTTGTATAAAGTCTGATCTCTGTGAATCCAACAAATTTAGCCATGGAGGGCATTTTGTGTTTATTATGAATGATGACACCCTAAATTCCTTCTTGCATGTTACAAGTCCAACTCTCACTTTAAACCCTTTGGCACTGCACATTTTCATCCATCTTGAAATAGAATGCCCTAAATCGATGAAAGAAAGAAATGAGGCAATCAAATAATGCCTGTCAGAAAACGAGATATGCACAGCATATTTCTTCTCATTACTGCATATTATGAGGGCTAATGACAGAGATGAATATCTCTAGTCACAGCCACTTATATAGGAATTTACATTTAAAAGTAATTGCTATAGAACATAATTGGTTGATTAGGTGTTCTCAACTCCTTAGGCCCTTTTCAAACCTTAACTGTATGATACATGGCAGGCTTTCAGAGGACAAATTTGTGTAAAAAGAAATGTAATTTGTCCCTTATAAATATCAAGTTAGAAAATGTTATCAGCTACTCCACATCCTCCCGAGGCTAGTCATTGCCTTGCACGGTAGCAGTCATTGGTTACCAGGATGGGCGTAATTGATGTGGAGATATAAATTATAGACTTGGTTCCAAATCCATCTAATGTGACTGAGCGATTACATAAGTTACTTTAAGAAAAATCCAGTAACATTATTTTATTAATCTTAGGAATCACAAGTCTCCATATCATTAGGGAGTTCATGATATCCCTCTTATGGTTTCACCTTCTCAAATTTCATAAGCTCCAATAGGCTTCGTATTAGGGGTGGGGGCAGTTGGACTTCTTTTTTTCTTTCTTTTTTTTTTTGGAGGGTGGGGAGAGAGAGTCTTGCTCTGCTTCTCAGGCTGGAGTGCAGTGGCGCGATCTCGGCTCACTGCAACCTCCGCCTCCCGGATTCAAGCAATTCCCTACCTCAGCCTCCCGAGTAGCTGAGATTACAGGCACCCACCACTACACCCGGCTAATTTTTGTATTTTTAGTAGAGGCAGAGCTTCACCATCTTGGCCAGGCTTGTCTTGAACTCCTAACCTCGTGATCCACGTGCCTTGGCCTCCCAAAGTGTTGGGATTACAGGCGTGAGCCACCGCGCCTGGCCAGTTGGGCTTCTATACTGCAACAGGAAAAAAAAAAAAAATTGGCATCTTGGTATTTCATCAGTCCTCTATTGTCTTGCTTTTTGTTGCTACCCAGGCTCTGTGTCATCTATGGGCTCTATCCAGCCCCAAAGAGGAGGGTACACTACTGAGATAACAGTTCAGAGACCTGAAACTCACATAGATAATCCTTGATGTTTCTAGAGGAGACAATCTCTCTACTCAATGCCAAACTCAAACCTAAATACCCTGCCATAGGGTTCGTGGAGTTACATCCCAAGTCATTTTATCCTTCCAATTCACATTCGCATCCTTAAAGCACAGCAGCAAAAAGGACAGAACTAGTGTTTGTACTCTGCACCTCATGGACCTAGAATTCCCAACTCTGCTCTCTGCAGAGATTTGGCTATAAAAGTCAATCAGGCCTGGTGCAGTGGCTCACGCCTGTAATACCAGCATATTGGGAGGCCATGGTGGATGGATCACTTGAGGCCAGGAGCTTGAGATCAGCCTGATCAACATGGTGAAACCCCATCTCTACTAAAAACACAAAAATTAGCCAGGTGTGATAGTGCGCGCCTGTAGTCCCAGCTACTTGGGAGACTGAGGCCGGATAATCGGTTGAACTCAGGAGGTGGAGGTTGCAGTGAGCCAAGATTGCACTGCTATATTCCAGCCTGGGTGGCAGAGTAAGACACTGTCTCAAAAACAATCAAACAAACAAGAAAAACCTCAAACAACAACAACAATAACAAAAACCCCAAAAGTCAATCAGATGTTTTTTCTCCACAGTTAAAAATTAATAGGGCTAGTCATATTCATTTCCTTGGACAATAAATCCACTTTCTCAAAAAAGACTCCCTTTGAGTAATTTGTAGGTGACATAGTCTAAGAAAAGCTTCTTTCAAGTGATTCCAAGGTAATTTTTCTGTTACTACTCTTACTTAGAAAAGAGAGATTAAAAAAAAAAGCCACAAATTTAATCCCAATGAAAGTAATTTGCTACCATGCACCTAGTATTATTTCAGTGAAATAAAGTCTTCCTGCATTAAAGGTATCTCTTATAAACCTCCTGTGCCTTATTGGTGCTTTATTAATTGAGGCTATTTATATATTTATTTGTATCTGATATGGTTTGGCTCTCTGTCCCCACCCGGATTTCATCTCGAATTTCAATCCCTATGTGTCAAAAGTAGAAACTGTAATCCTCACATGTCCAGGGAGAGAGGTAATTGGATCATGGGAGCAGTCTCCCCTGTGCTATTCTCATGATGGTGAGTGAGTTCTCACGAGATCTAATGGTTTTATGTGTTTGACAGTTCCTCCTTCACACTCAGTCTCCCTCTCTCTCTCCTGCTGCCATGTAAGATGTGCCTGCTTCCCCTTCCGCCACGATTGAATGTTTCCTGAGGCCTCCCCAGCCATGTGCAACTGAGTCAATTAAACTTCTTTTCTTTATAAATTACTGAGTCTTGGGTATTTCTTTTTAGCAGTGTGATAACAGACTAATACAATATCTCACTTAATTTCACACATTTTATAACCTGAATTATTTCATATTTTCAATCCTCGCATTATTTCCTCTCAATGAAAGTTAAGAAAGGTCTCTTCCAACAGAACATTTATTTGTGTTATGTTTGTCACCATGTTGGCCTGCCCAAGAAGATTCCTAGGCAGGGCCTGTGCCATTTCACCCTTTTATCCACAGTCCTCGGCACACTGCCTAGCACTTTAAGATGTTAAGCCATTCTTAGCAAAAATGTGTTCATTTATGGATAAGAGGGAAGACAGACAGAATAGAGAGAGGGAGAGGGAAGAAGAGAATGAGGGAGGGAGGTAGCCATAATGATTTATGCCGTTGTTTCATGTCATTTTAGTCTCTAGATATCTTCTAATCAAAATAAAAATAAATTCTGGAAAGTAACAGTGATTATATTATTAGTTGCAAAGACATTGATGGGGAATTCTTTACCTGATTTTATAGTAGCGACAACTTCCTCAGTAAGATGGATACCAGTAAGTAAAGCTGTCAATAATGGAAACTAGAGCATGACAGAGGGCAGGTGTGACCAGCAGACCACAGTCCAAGGACTTTTGTACAACTAAGGCCACTGTGAGATTCCAGACACAGGGATGAATGTCAAAAAGCGGGTAGGAGAGTTGAGAGGCTAGGGAAAAAAATTACTGATAACTCTTCCTCCTATGTACCAGCTTATGAACTTTGGGCTTAGAAGTAACGTACCCATCACACAATGCATCCTGTCTGTTTCATTAGGTGAAAAGGAGCAATGGATGCCAGGAATGATTTAGGAGGAGGATCAGACTTGGAAACAGAAGAATTGGGCTTGGGAATACCTCCACCACTTCCCTACTGTCTGTTAGCTTACCTGAACCTATAAAAATGTACATAATCATAACAGACCTCCTAGGGCTGTTGTAAGTACAGAATCAAATAATATACCTGAAGCCTGCTGATGAATGTTCAAGCACTGGGCAGACCCAGTGAGGTGTTTTTGTTGCCCGGAGATAATTGAAACTAAAATCACTTTTGAGAGACAACTGAAAGTTTTCACACTTTGATCTCGTATGTATAATTTGGAAAATTATAGTGCATGGTCAGTTCTGAAACAGAGGAGGTAACTACTTATCTTTGACTTTCAAGGATTTGGGATGAAATTTGAAACCAAAAATCAAAGAATTACCTTGTGAAACATGCAGAAATCCCAGCCCTTAGCTGTGAAAAGCAAACTCATTTTAACTCTGAAATCCCCCACTATGGGAAATTTCAGAATATTCTCTTTGCGTAAAAAATGCACTGATTATAGACCAGAAACCACTGTAAATTCCAATTTCTGAAAAAGAAAACTACCCTGTGGGACAACCGCTATTTGTTTTTCTTTTAAAGAATAGGTGGTTGATTAAGACAGAAACAAATGCGCGTGGTGGCTCTTTAATTCTCACCAAAAAAGATCTGCTAATGACTAAACAAGTATGTGTAGCAGTTGAGTCTCTGGAAATTAAAAAATCAGCTTCACACAGACTTTCCAGAAATGAAACATCATGTGTAGCTAGCTATTCCTTCATTCTTACTTAAGTCACTAAGTGTTAAGTATGTCCACCAAAACCTATTAACAGCTAGAGAGTAACTGATAAGAACAATATTCACTACAACTGAGTAGTTAATGGCACAGACTTTACCAATCTCAGATCTGAACATATGGTCAAGATTTGATATCTGCCACACAAATGTGGGAATGTTCTTTTAATCTGAAAGTCTCAGTCTCATCCATAAAATAGGGATAATAATAGCCACCTCATAGTGTTGTGAAGGCCAAATGAGGTGGAGCAGGCAGAGCATTTGTCACAATGCCTGGCACAGGGTAGGTCCTCAGTAAGCCTTAGCTATGAAAATAAACACACTTAGACCTAAGCATCCGGGTATACAGCCCTAAGTTAGCCCACAGTACTATCATAATACAGGTCGATGCTATATTTGCCTTCATAATATGTTTCTACCTATTGAATTCTAAAGGTAAATTTCTTCCAAATCATCAAGCCAAATGGACATTTCAGAAAAAGAAGCTGTGACTGTCCTATAGATTTTTCTAATTATGAGTATGGAAGTCCCAAGCACAGGTTAAGTAAACACCTTGCAGCCAAGAACCCAAATATTTTGGTTTGTGTGCTCAGTATTGAAAGTTTGAACATGAAAGTTAAAATGGAAAGAGAATTTGGCAAATCAGTTTCCTTCTGACAGTAGGATGATCTCATTTCACATACGAACCCATTTAATGACTTGAGTCACATAACTAAAATCAATCACGTATTTTACCTAATGTAATCTAGTTCAACCAAGAAAGAATTACCATAGAAGACCTGGGCTTACTGCTGGAAATAATACTAGAATACAAAATGTATTAACCCCACAAAAGAGCTCAAACTCATGATGATTTTGCATTTTATTTCTGAAATGAATCGTAATTACCTGTCCCCTTACACCTGTTCAACCCTTTACTCCCAAATAAATCATAGGAACATGGATTGGAAATAGCCTTAAATAAAACATATTTAATGCAGCAAATACAGCACCCCAGTCCACGTAAGTTCTGACAAATATAGTCTTATGATTTCTAACAGCTTTGCAGGAGATGACAAGTGCCCCTTTGAAGCACTGTCATTGTTCCATGTTGGAGAATGGAGTATACTGGTATACAAGCTCTCCCTGACTGTGGCTAGATGAAATGGCATTGCCCAGGAAAGAAATAATGGGACAAATCATTGCTATAAACACAACGTTATAATATTCTACAGAGCTTCATTATAATTCTTTCAGCATTTTCTCACTCTATTTTGGGGCTCCTCTATTCTATTACACTGTATTGCTGCCTCAAGTTTATGGGGCTCCCTATCTCAGGATAATATCTCCAAAATCACTAACTTGCCTGGAAAAATTAATGCTTCCCATTATTTCATGTAACTTGAGAATCAAATCAATGTGGAATGAAACAGATCCTGCTGCTTACTAGACATGAGAACTTGAGCAAATATCTTAGCTTCTTTGTGTCTTTTATTCCTTACTTGGGATAATATTGTTCTGATGATGAAATGAAGTAAGAATTCCAGAGAGTCCAGCATAATGTCTAGGATGTCATGATGTGCCAAATAACCAATAGTTTTCTCTTTTTTTTCCACTCTGGTTCATAACCCAACACTCCCAGAAATTTTATCAGGCTAGATTCTGGAGAGGTAGATCTTTACAAATTGAAAGTCCATGTTTCTGATTAAAACAATGGCCTGCGTCCAAAAATAATGGTAAGAGTATATACTTCCTGGTATCACATTTTACATGTTTAATCCCATTCAATACTCTCAGAACGCTTGTGAGGCAGATATCAACATTATTTCTTTTATAAAGGTATAAAAGCTGAAGCTCATAAGGGTTAATCATTTGCCTTCTGTCTCCCAGCAAATAAGTGAAAAAGTTAGAATGCGAACTTAGCTCTCTCTGCCTCGAACTCCTTCCTTATTTGTATATTAGTAGTTACTGAGTAGTAACGTAAGAATTGGGCTCCAAGCAGTATTCTTTAAAGTAGAGCCCTTGAAATCACCTGCATCAAAATCAATTGTGGTACTTATCAAAAATTCAGATTCAGGGACTATCTCCAGTCGTACTAAAGCAAAATCTATGGGGCTTTGGGACCTCACATTTTTCACTTTTAGTAAGTTGTCCAGACGTTTCTTCTGCTAAGTAAACTATCAAAGGCTTTCTTGTAGTCTATTGCAGATGTCTGTCTTAGTTATCTTGGGCTGCTATAATAAAAATACCATAGACTGGG
Source organism: Homo sapiens (assembly GCF_000001405.40). NCBI lineage: Eukaryota > Metazoa > Chordata > Mammalia > Primates > Hominidae > Homo > Homo sapiens. The sequence continues at coordinate 6,227,565 of NC_000003.12, read as the reverse complement.
TGGCTTAAAGAACAAACATTTATTTCGCACAGTTCTGGAGACTGAGAACTTCTAGAAGCATTCCAGGAAATTCCTTGACTGGTGAGGGCCCTCATTTTGGTTTGCCATCTTCTCATTGTATCTTCCCATGGGTGGGGGGAGAGAAAGAGAGAAAGAGAGGGATTGAGAGAGAGAGAGAGAGAGGGAGAGAGCACTAGTGCTCTGTATCCTCCAGCCACTTATGAGAATACCAATCCCAACATGGGGGCTCCACTCCCAGGATGTTATCCAAACACAGTTACCTCCCAAATACTTTATCTCCAAATACCATCCCATATCTCCAAATACCATCCCATCTCAACATATATCCAAATATATCTTCAAATACCATCCCATCTCAACACATACATTTTGAGAAAACACAAATATTCAGTCCATAGTATTCTGCCCCTGGCCTCCCAAAATTTATGTTCTTCCCACATGCAAAACACATTCATTCCATTGCAACAGCCCCAAAAGTCTCACCTAGTTCCAGCCTCAACTCTCAAGTCTGAAGTCCAAAGTGCCATCAAAATATTATTTAATTCAGATATGAGTGAGAGGCAAGGTAAAATTTCCTCCTAGCTGTGAAACCAGATAAGTCATGTGTTTGCAAAATACAATGGTGGGACAGGGATAGGATGAGTATGTCAATTCCAAAGGGAGAAGAAAAAAAGTGGTGATGATTCCCAAGATTAAAGTTTCACAGGAAAAACTCTATTAAAGCTTAAGGCTTGAGAAAAATCCATGTTGGCTTGAGGGTCTGCCTGTGGACCTAGTGGATTCATTAGGTCTCACCCCAGGGCCCTCTCTGCTTAGCTCCTGTTCCATGAAGTCTAGTACAGGATTGGCCAGTTGGTCTCTAGTGAAGTGACAAATGTCCACAGGTTTTACTCAATTAAAAAATAATTGAAAAAAAATAAAAGTTTGCAGCCCTAAAACTCTTTTGGTGCCACAAGCAGAACAGCAGACTGGATTTTCCATTGGTCCTTATTTCCACGTTTCTACCCAGTGGAGAACTTGGCAGTGTAGGATTCTAGTTTGCATACCTACATACATAGTCCAACAGAAATATGCAGGCTTAATTATTTTGCCCTTTTCATTACATTAGAAAACTGTGTTTCAATTATAGGAGAAAACTTTCTTCTTAAGAAAGAGATGGAGACTGATAAGAATAGATACTACACTGGATTGGTGGCTCATGCCTATAATCCCAGCACTTTGGAAGGCCGAGGCGGGTGGATCACGTGAGGTCAGGAGTTCGAGACCAGCCTGACCAACACGGTGAAACCCCATCTCTACTAAAAAATACGAAAATTAGCCATGCTGCTGGCAGGCGCCTGTAATCCCAGCTACTTGGGTGGCTTAGGCAGGAGAATTGCTTGAACCCAGGAGGCGGAGGTTGCAGTGAGCCGAGATCATGCCATTGCACTCCAGCCTGGGCAACAGAGCAGGACTCTGTCTCCAAAAAAAAAAAAAAAAAAAAAAAAAAAGAAGCAGAAAAGGAAAGAAAAGAAAAAAGAAAGGGATGGAGAAGCTGGATTTTAACATTTCTTTCTTCTTCCTTTCTTGTCTTCCCAGTTGTTTTTTTTTTTTTTTTTTTTGTAGAAGTATACTTACTTGCGGAAAACTATATTACTCAGTTAAGTAGTTTACATTTAAAGTTAAGGCTTTCAATGGGGAACAAATATGTCATGAAGACTCTAAAATATTACTGTGAATCAGCAAAAGGCAGTTCTGGGTTTCAGGTGCTAGAAATGTACTGAAGCATATATTACAGAGTCTGTGCTACCAAAAGAACATCCCGAAGAAACAAATAGATCTATTTATCCTGAGTCCTGCCTGCTTCAGCCTGCAAGATGTGATTTGCTGAATGACAGAACTTATTTCTATGAACTAACAAAAGCCAGAAAGGGGTCATTAGGGAGCCAGAGATTGCTGAATTTCCATTCCAGACCTTGAACTGCATATAATAAATGGTGAAAGGGAAAAGATGCAAAGACCAAGAATCATTGATTGGTACTTTTGTGAAGATGTTCTCATAACTCAGGGAAAAGATATCGAAGTCTTCCTTCTTCATCCTCCAGAGGCTTCCTGACTCAGTGAGTTGAAAGGCAAGTGAGAAAACCAGCAGCTCTGGAGGACTGATTTGGCTTGTCACAAGATCTGGGTCTAAAGACAAATGGTTCCCTCAGCTTGAAAATGGATGTGACCAAGCTAACCATCCTTTTGTCTCCTGGGTTAGGAGGTGAATGGGAGTTACCTCTAAAGGCAGACAAAAACCTATTACAAGCAGTGGATGAAAAATATTTTTAGAAATAAAATGAACTAAGCTGGACACAGTGGCTCACGCCTGTAATCCAAGCGCTTTGGGAGGCTGAGGTGGGCAGATTACGAGGTCAAGAGATGGAGACCATCCTGGTCAACATGGCGAAACCCCGTCGCTACTAAAAATACAAAAATTAGCTGGGTGTGGTGGCGCGTGCCTATAGTTCCAGCTACTCAGGAGGTTGAGGTAGGAGAATCACTTGAACCCGGGAGGTGGAGGTTGCAGTGAGCCGAGACTGCACCACTGTACTCCAGCCTGGTGACAGAACGAGACTCCGTCTCAAAAAAAAAAAAAAAAAGAAATAAAATGAACTATAGTGAGCATTGGTGGAATATAGTCTTCAGTTCCTGGAGTGGGTGATAGTTGGCCTAGGTCAATCAGCGTAGGCCATCCTGTTACAAACAGTAATTTGTTCAGGTCCTTAAACATTCAGGACATGGCACTTGCCTAGCCAGAATGCCAGATATTTTTATTCATCTGTCTGTCTGTTTATCTATCTATCTATCTATCTATCTATCTATCTATCTATCTGTCTTCTGTCAATCCACCATATATCTCTATTCAATCACTGTATTATGAAAATTATCAAACATCCCACACAGTTAAAAAATTCTATCCCTTCTTATTTTTTATGCATTTCAAAATAAATGTTTGAAGTCAAAGACCTTCACTATAAATAATACACACTTAATTATTTGATTTTAAATGTTTTCATCTTCAGATATAAAATTTACATGTAATATACTTGCAGATGTTTTCTTGCGGAATAAAAAGTAAAGGAAATAAAAATTTAAATTTACATAGAATAAAATGCACAAACTTCAAATGCATATTGTCTACATTTTGACAAAAGTGTACATCTCTGTATCACAAACCTTAGCAAGATATTGAACATGACCAGGATCCAAGAAAGTATTCCCACCCATGCTCAGTCAAATCTTTTCATGCTCCTTTGGAGATGACCATCGTTCTGATTATTTTGCACCGCAGTATGAGTTTTCTTTTCTTGAATTTTTGTGTAAGTGGAATCACACACAGCATATTCTTACGTAAAGCATCTTCTAATTAACCTCATATTTTTCAGGTTCATCCAATGATGTTGAATGTGACAGTAATTTTTTTCAACTACTGTGTAATATTCCATTATATGAACATATCACAGTTTGTTATGCATTTGCCTGTAATTTCTATACCTAGGGTGTTCCAGGTTTTTGAATAAAGCTATCAAAATTATTTTACAATAAGAGTGTCAGCGTGCATAGGAAAGTCTTCTCCAACGGAGAGGAGCTATTTTAACACTAACATTGTTTAGAATTGACAGAGCGTAGTGATAAAAAGCAGGCTGATTTTACTCATTTTTATTCTTGTTCTTAAATTCTCTATATACAATGCAACAGCTTGTAGCTTGCACTTAGGACAAGCTGTTTCCACTGCCCACCACATCCTCTGTTTTAGAACATCACTGACTGACACCATATCTGCTTGGTTTATTTTTATTTGTCCACTGTCTAGTGTAGTGTCTGGCACATCCTTGGCTCAATAAATACTTATCAACTTGCTAAATGAATGATCTTTAATTCACAATGGTAGAGAAAAGCAGGAGAAATCAAGTGACCCTTCTGTTTTTAAAGTCTATATTATACCCTGGTATACTTCTCTACTAGAATAAATATGCCAAAACATGAGTTAACACTTTTACTTTCATGAAAATACTTCTCAGAAATTCCCCTGGAGATTTTTTTTATTTTAGTTAGGCAAATCATATCTCGTATCATTATATTTGACATTAGTTTAAGTGACATATTACCCCAGTTTTTGGAAATTTAAAATGCATTTCCATTAAATGAGTTTTTTCTAACCGTTTAACTCCAGCTCTTAAAAAATAGCCACAACTTATTTTCATAGTCTTCAGAGGAATTTTTACCTATGTAAATAAGTGGCTTAAGTTTCAGAAACTTAATTTGAAATATTGTATTTGGCTATTTTCAGGGCTGTCTTTACTAAGTGAGAGAGCCGATGTAAAATGTCACCATATATTTGAACAAATACAAATTGTATTCTTAAAATTATACTGAATCATTAAGTGTGCACAGATAATAACCAGATATTTATTTGTAATTAATATGCTGTTATATTTGAAATCCGAATTTCTTGCATTTTTCTGATCTCCTACCTGTGTTTTTTCAACAAATAAATTACTTTATGTAATGCTTCATTAAGGGAAATGGCTAGCAAATGCACACAAAACACAGAATTGCTCTTTCCCTAAAATGAGCACAAAATTACTGCTGAAGATTTAAAGACAAAATTTAGGATTTAATTTTTTATAATAAAGGAAGGTTGATTGCAGACTGTGGATTCAAACATTCTGCTTTTCAGACCCAGTCTCACCATTTCCTGTTTGTATGAGCTTGAGAAAGTTACTGAACTTCCTGGTGATTTATCTCCTTTTAAAGCAGAGGTGATATACACTGAACCTAAGTCATAGGATGGTTGTGAGTGCCAAATGTGTTCGTACACGGACCACACTCAGTATGAGGACAACTGAGTGCTGGGCACATGAAATGTGGCGATGTCCTCTTGCTTACTATTGTTTTGTCTTTATCCCTTGAGAGCAGAGATGTATTCTTTACATCTCGCACACATTCAAAGTGCTCACAGTTAGTAGGTACTTAATAAACACCTATTGATTCATCTACACTCACATTCCACAACAACTACCCCTTGTACGTGACCTCTATCCACACCTCGGCACACCTGGTATGTGTCAGAGCCTCAGATTATCTCTTTCAATGTTCAACATCCAACAACCTTTCTTCAATGTCAACAGGCAAGGTCTGAAGAATTATAGAACTTTTACAGATAAAGTCATTGTGGCTTTGAAAGGCTGGAGTAGTATTAATGGCTTTCTGGGTCTGAAACTCTATCTCTTCACTTCACACTCTGTTCCCACGCAATTACATAATAGCTAAATAAACAGGGTCAAGGCTTTTTTACTGTTCTACTAGTGCCCCAAAAAAGGAGTTTTACTGCATTTAATAAGTTCATAACATCATAAGTTTGGTAGAAATTCCCCTGCCTCAAGTTTTACTTAAAAATTGAAGAAGTAAAGTTATTCAGAATAGATTATCATGTTCAGTAAGCTAAGAAAACTGGCTTTTCCTGAAATGAAATATGCAAAATTTGCCTGAATGTTTGAAATTTAAGACCATACCATGTAGGCCCCTGCATTTCACTATCTTTGATTTCATAGGCAAGATAAATTCTCCAAAACACATTCATATATCTCCAAAGAACAAAATCTTCTCAAATTTATTGGACTGGTTGTGTCATATGCCATTTGATTTCAGTATTGCCACCTTGCTTTCTTAAGGATCATACATAGACAGAATGTTACACAAGTGTAGTATTGAGACACATTGCCATACATACTTTCCTGAGTCCTATTCAATGGTCAAATGTGGAAGGTGAAAATAAATATATAATCCTCAGATAGGAAAAAGAATCAGTGAGGCAGAGAATTCTGAATCATTAATCTTTGGCCTGCTTGACAGGCAGGGAAAATGTAAGCTAATGATGTGTAAAAGGTACAAATCCATTTCTAGATTACTATCTGTCTTCAGAATGATGGCTCAGAGACACCCAAAATGAGAAGGCACAATCTGGCGAGACACACATGGCTCTAACATCTTCCCTGCCATCTTTTCTTTTTCAGTGGGTAAACCCGTTTAAAGAAAACATATTTCACATCTAGGAGTAGGAGGGGCTTTGTGATTTAGGATATATGGTGCCTGATTGTAATTTTTTAGAAACTAGAAATCTAATATGCAGAGAGAAAATAAAACTACTTAAATATCATCTGAATTTGAGTTTACAATTTAGAAACAGCTGCATGTTCTTCTGTAATTTCTTTAAGCCTCCCACTTGGGCAACGTCTGTTTACATACCACATGTTTTCCAAGTACCTTTTTCTATTCATCTAATCTGTTCCAGAATAAGACAGATTTTCACTAAAATAGGGTTTGGTTAAATATGAAATTGTCTCCAATAGTGGATTCGTGTGTCCAGATTATTAAACAATCCTGACATGAGACTCAAGCCTGTGGTTGGGTTGTTCCCCTTCTTTCTCCTACTGTTCACTCTTGGGTTACAATTTTTCAAGAAAACAAGAGTGAAACGTAGGCAGGCACAACTTCATAGGTGTACAAGCTGGAAAATTGCCCTATTAAAATTGTTATTCATTTTATCTTTAAACTTGTGCTTTGCATGTGAAGTCTGATGAGGCAAGAAAGCAGGTGCATGAGCAAAGGATATACATGCAATATGCACCTCTGCCACTGTTCCATGCCACCCTATTTGCATACAGTGTCATTAATGGCCCATAAGCACAGAATTCCAATGGACCTACAACATGTGAGAGTGCAACCGGACTAAAAGTAAATGCAAGGTAAGCATATTTTATGATTGAGTGAGTGGGGTGTTCTCATTTCTGAGAAACCACACCTTCTGTTCAAACTAGAACTTGCTTTGAAGACAGAAAGAAGGCAACAGCATTCTAAGAGACATGAGTGGCTAAGAAATCTGTCATGTATTTCCTTACTTTATATGACTTTATTAATAGCCACTTATGGAAAACTGCTGACACATAAGAAAAGGGAAATAAAGGGCAACACATAGTTTCCTTTTTTTTCAGTTCCTCCTTCCTCATTTCTAAGCCAAAGATAGCATTGATAGAAGGTGTGCGTATCAAATTAAATAAGAACAGGTGAATTAGTTTATGAATAGTCTCTATTCGATTCTTCAGCTAAGAATGAAATACATATGCATATAAGCTGGAAAATAGTACTTGTGTAATTTTCATTATTCCATCTATAAGTTAATTGCTTCTACATTTGCATTTAAAATTGGCATTGTACAATATAAAGATGAATGACAAAAGCCATGCTAATAATGTTAAAATTTAAATTTTTTACTTAAGGCTTTAACTAATGAATAATCATGACAAATGAGAGTAATAGTCTGCAAACTAAAAAAAAGCTGTAGATTTAGTAGCTTTAATGGCATTTTTACCTGGTTTTTGTTTGTTTTTTAAGGTGAGGATCTGAACTTTCATTTTGCACAGGAAATGATACACTACCCACATGGTCCTGAATGAATGGGAATCGTTTTAGCTATTAGAACAAAATACTATTCCTAGAAAGAGTTGTAAGTGTTTTGTGGATCCAAGAGGAATATATTAACTATAAAGTAGATGATTTAGGAAAAAAAAGGAATTTATATAATCTCACTCCTCCTTCAAAACTGTGTTCTGCACAGTACATAAATTGGCCTTATTCTGTCCTCATCTTATTCTAAGATCTCTATATGTCACTAACTAAAACTAGCTTTGAATATTATTTAATCAAGGTCAAGAACAATGCTGTATTGGTTTGTTTATTTTTAGGGGGATGACTTAAAAGTTTTAAATGATGGCCAAACTCAACTCCTGATAAACATTTTGTTGTCTCTTCCCTTTGTCAGGAAACAAAATGTCCCAGGAAAGGTGGAGTGGATCATCTTGGTAGATTAACTTGTGATCGACATTACGTCAGATGGTTGGGAATGTAGATTTTGGCAGATTTCCATAGATATAAATATCATATTCAGAAACAAGCATATGCCAATCGTTGTCCCATATAAACCGTAGTTTTGGATATGCCCATGATAGGCCCTGCACCAGAGCTTGCTTTCTAAGCTTAAAATTTTTTTTTTTTTTTTTTAAGGAGCAGTAGTAAAATTGTGAATGAACAATACGAAAGGATTAGAAGCTGAGTAGCAAGCAAACCTCATGGGCCCATGTCCTTTTATTAGCGAACTAATGTTCTATGATATTCATTCAAATATTTGCTGAGCATCTGCTCTGGAAAATGTACGATGGAAATTCCAAGAATGATGACGGTAGCTCAATGGGTCAGGAAAGATTTGGGAATGATCACATCTCTCTATATAAGTCAGCTTTATTTGTATCCCAGTTGTTAACTTATTTCTCCACTTTATCTTCAATGAGATTCTAATCAAAGTAGAACTAGAATAATTATATCTAAAACAAGCAAAAATATTTTTGCTGCACAGTAGAGCTCTAATCAAATACAAAGATAGCATATTTCGGAGAAAAAGTAAACCAGCAGGAGTTAGACTGGAGCTTGAATGCTTCAATTGCCTACTAATGTGGATTAATTCTGGCTGTTTCATACAAAAATGCATAGACAATATCACAGGAGAAGCATGCGTGCCTGAAACAAAAACAGGTAGGCAAAGTGGCCCTAACACCAACTCCAGTCTTCTAAGAACATTTTGTTTGAAAGAAGGGGTGAGTGGCTTTACATAAAAAATAACAAGAAACTCCTGGAGAAGAAAACGATAGGTCTAGAAAAATAGAGAATAAAGTATAAAGGGATTTAGGAAGCTATCAAAAAGATGGAGGTAGATGACTATAAACAAAGAGATGTAAACAAAAGAAGATAACAATTACTATGAGAAACGCAATTACAGAAGAGTATTTTTAGGAAGATTTTCTGTGTATTGCATGATGCAATTTCTCAACTGTTACCTCTTGCAGAATTCTTTTGTACAGATTCACGTTACTTATCAAGGCCTCGTAAATTACCATTTGAATTTATTTTCCAATGCAACATTTTACCTTAAGGTGGCTTGTCATATTTACATCAAACTGAAAAACACAGTGAAGAAGATAGAAGTAGGCAATGCCCATGGCAGAGAATAAAAGTAGGGGAGGTTAGAAGTTAACAAATTGACAACAGAGGAAACGAAAAAAAATGCGAAGAAAATGAGATTTCACCGTCTTAGGAGGACAGAGCAGGTAGCCCCGTAAACAATCATACAATTCTTTGAATTTATAGGAATTTAGAAAATAGAGTGGGAGAAAAAGAGGAAAACACTAAAACCTTAATTTTGCCCTACTGAAGACAGTTCAGTGTATTTAGAAAATTATCTGCCAATGAATAAGTCAAGCAAAATAATGTAAAAAAATAAACAGGCTTGGGGGTCAAATTGAATTATACATCTTCCACTTGCTAGTTATTTTTCACTCTCTTTGAGAGTCCGTGTTCTAGTGAGAAATGGATAATCATTCATATTTGTTGGTTTAGAGGATAAAATGAACAAATATGCATATTAACGTAGAACAGTGTCTAACACTAGCTCAATAGATGTTAGATCCTATTATTAATTTTTTGAGAAAACATTGTGACCTCATTCATTCAGAATTTAGATTTTCTAGTTTAGAAAATTAATATAGTACATATACCACCGGGGGGGGGGGGGTCTCAGGCAGCAATCCATAGTTGAATATTAATATTTCTGCAGCCAAAGTTATGAATATACAAAATATTGTTTAAAATAAGTATCATAGTCTCTCATTAGATGAGATCAGTTCTTATTGCCAGATAAGTTATAAAAACAAAACCAAAAATTGTTTTTCAGATTCTTTTTCAATTCTATAATTATAGATAAAGGATATTGAATCTGAACTTAAGCCATGGTATCATTTTCGTGACATGATATGATTCATTCAATTATATGTTTTCGACCATCTTCTTGTGAATCTCTACCACACCAATATCACTACCATATCAATAATGGATATGAACTGAAAGGAAAGTGAAAATAAATTTTATTTTGTATACTCCTTAAGAAATTCGAGGCAGGTGGATCAATCACGAGGTCAGGAGATCGAGACCATCCTGGCTAACATGGTGAAACCCCGTCTCTACTAAAAAAAAAATACAAAAAAAAAATTAGCCGGATGTGGTGGCGGGCGCCTGTAGTCCCAGCAACTCAGGAGGCTGGGGCAGGAAAATGGTGGGAACCTGGGAGGCAGAGCTTGCAGTGAGCTGAGATCTCGCCACTGCACTCCAGCCTGGGCAACAGAGCGAGACCCCGTCTCAAAAAAAAAAAAAAAAATTAGTAAGACAATATAAGATTTTTCTAAAATAATGAAAGTATTTAAAAGATGTAAATAATATAAAAAATTTAATGACATGGAACACTGTTTAACTCTTAAATGAAAAAGCAATTTAACAAAATTATATAAACTTGAATGTTTATGCTAAAATGGCAAAATATGGATATCACTAAATAATGAGATTAGAAGCAAGGTATATTTTTAATCTGTTTTTCTGTGTTCAGACTTTCTACAATAAGCTTTGTTGGTTACATTTTTAGATATTTTAAGGTATATAAAGTGAGCTGGGAAACTAGAGGGGAGGTTGACATAGGAAATATTTTTGACACTGCTATAACAAGATGTGGATGGAACATTGATAATTCCCCAGCGAAATTGGCCAATACTGAATGACCAAGTTGCCATTTAAGAAACACTGTATGTGATGCAATAAAGATGACTTTAAACTCTTTGGCATTTTTCCCGTTGGCAGAGGGGGACAATTTCTTCTTCTTTTGAATGTGACTCACTTATAACCATACAGTGAGATATCTGAGATGAAGTTAGAAGACACCTGGCAGCTTTTTCTTTGATTTCCTTGAATATTTGCCTTTTAGCTGCTCCCTCTTGGGACACCTGTCTTGGAACAAAGTTGTCATGCTGTGAGACTCCCATTACCCATGGAGAGGCCACACGAAGGTGCCCCAGAACAGCCAGCAATTTGTTACCAGCTGTGAGAGTGAGAGAGCTTGAATGTTGCAGCCCAGGCAAATCTTCAGTTGATGATGATAGGCTCAGCAATCTGGAGACTTCCTGAGCCCTCAAAGTATGAGAGAAATAGAATAGTTATTTTAATCCATTAAGTTTTGAAGCAATTTGTTATGCAGCCAGAAATAACCTTGAAAAGATCAGGTGCAATGTCCTTGCTGAAGTCTTATCCCAAAGCACAGTTATATAATCCCTACTGTTTGTACTTCTAATACAAATAGGAAAAACTAGATGGTCAAGTAATCAGGAGGATTTTTTGCTGAAAAGCTATCATGGGATTCCAAAAGACAACATTTTTTTAAAAAAGACCATAGACATATGCAATTAAATATATGCTGGAATCACTAGGGAAGTTTTCCCCAATCAGCATGTTTGAAGTTTCAAAATTCACCAGAGGCACGTCACTCTCACTGTGAATCACTGCATGCATAGTTTGAGAAAAATTATATTAATGCAATGCATAAAACTTCCCCAAGGGCTGTTTATTAATTATTATCCAACTTTATAACTATAGTAATAGTAGAAGATGGAATTTTTTTTCTTTTCAATGGGCTTTTGCTCTCTCCTTTTTAAAATCAAAGAAAGGCATATTTGATTAAAATCTACTCTCTAAGAATCAGTAAAATACTGATCTGTACAACCACTACTTTTTAAATGTCTATTACAATTTAATTTCTGAGAACAGAATAGAGTAGAAATGTAGAGCAAACTTCTTGTTTGAACATGGATCTATTCAATTCCCCAATTTGTAGGGTGCTGACATACCACAGAGATAAGCATGTAATCTGTTTATCTACTTCTAACCAGTAGAACTTTCTACCTTATTTATAGGCGTAATTCTTTCAGGCTCCACAGACAAAGACAAGAATAAAAACTCTGAAGAGTGACTGCAGCAAAGGCTGATTGAGAATACAGCTATGAATACTTTTCTTACTAATAAGAAGAAATTCTTACCAAATTCAAAGTCAGAATATTCGGAGGACTAACTGTATACCTTGCAACTAGATTGCTTTGCATTCCTTTTGCTTTTTGGAATGGATTTATTTTTATCAAACTTGGCCATAATACAAACATGTCAAGAAAACCTGCTTCCCTCTATCTATCCAATGTCTTTGAATCCTAGAAGATGAAAATTGGAAATAACAGAGGTTTTCTAGCTCTGTGTTTTTAAAACTCTTTCTATGGATTTCTGTGGATTTTTTTATAGGTTCCAAAACTTTTGGATCTGCATTTTTTTAAATATATTTCACTTACTTTAAACAATGTAAACATAATCTATATTAAAGATACATAATTATTATATTAAAAATCCAATCATCTGGACAGACATCTGACAGAAGAAGATACACAGATGGCAATTAAGCACATGAAAAGATGTTCAACATTATGTATATTTAGAGTACTGCAAATTAAAGCAACAATGAGATAGAACAACACTCAGCATACTCTTTTCCTATGAAGTTGCTGAACCGTTTTGCAAAGGGTCTGTATCATTTTGCATTTCCACCAGCAATGAATGAGAGCTACTGCTATTTCGCATCCTTGCCACATTTGGTGTTGCCAGTGTTTTGGATATTGGCCGTTCTAATGAGTGTTGCTCTAAAAAAAAGAAAAAAAAAAAAAAGTTAAAATTAAAAAATTAAAAATAGAAAAGCAATAAAGAAAACCTATATAAGCAAAACTGCCTCTTTCAAAAAATCCTTAATGTTTATCATTTTTTAATCTTTTAGGAGATGATCAAATAATATTTTCATGATTAAATATGTGTTAAAATATACAATGTGTAGTTGTTTTACATAGAGTGGTTAGAGCCAACTTCTCTAAGAACCTAATATTTGAGATGAGCTCTGGATAATAAAAAGAACCATCCAGGCCGGGCGCGGTGGCTCACGCCTGTAAACCCAGCACTTTGGGAGGCCGAGGCGGGCGGATCACGAGGTTAGGAGATGGAGACCATCCTGGCTAACATGGTGAAACTCTGTCTCTACTAAAAATACAAAAAAATTAGCCGGGCGTGGTGTTGGGCGCCTGTAGTCCCAGCTACTCGGGAGGCGGAGGCAGGAGAATGGTGTGAACCCGGGAGGCGGAGCTCGCAGTGAGCCGAGATGGCGCCACCGCACTCCAGCCTGGGCGACAGAGCGAGACTCCGTCTCAAAAAAAAAAAAAAAAAAAAAAAAGAACCATCCATTCAAATGTCTAAAGGAAAAGTGTCCCTGGTAGGGTGACATCTTTACAATGTAAAAACAGGCATAAGCTTACTTCTAATGTCTGCGTAAAACAATAACCTCGCCAGTATAATTTGCATATTAGTGCTCTCTGTTTTGTTTCGGTTTATTTTATTAATAAACTATATTTCTTAGAGCAGTTTTGAGTTCACAGTAAAATTCAGTGAAAGGTACAGAGTTCCCATATATCCCCTACCTCTACACATGCACTACTTCCCCACTCTCGACATCCCACACAAGAGTGATCCCACACAATTGTTCCAGTGGAAGAACCTACGTCGACACATTATTATCACCTGAAATTCATAGTTTACAATAGCGTTTACTCTTGGTGTTGCACATGCTGTGGGTTTGGAAAAATGTGTAATGATATATATCTGCCATTATAGTATCTTACAGGGCATTTTCACTGCCCTAAAAGTTGTCTGTACTCTGCCTGTTCATCCCTCTTTCCCCCAACTGGTGACAACCACTAATCTTTTTACTGATTCGATAGTTTCGCCTTTTCCAGAAAGTCAGAAATCCTTTTCAAATCGGCGTCTTTCATTTAGTAATATCTAAGTGTCTTTTCAGGGTTTAATAGCTCATTTCTTTTCGGCACGAAATCATATTCCACTGTTTGGCTGTACCACAGTTTATCCACTCACACACTGAAGGACATCTTCGTTGTTTCCAAGTTTTGCTGATTATGAATAAAGTTACTATACACATCTGTGTCCAAGTTATTATGTGGACATATGCTTTCAACTCCTTTGGGTAAATACTAAGGAGTATTTTTTTTTTTTTTTTTTTTTTTTGAGACAGACTCTCGCTCTGTCGGCCAGGCTGGAGTGCAGTGTCATGATCTCAGCTCACTACAACCTCAGCCTCCTGTGCTCAAGCAACTCTCCTGCCTCATGAGTAGCTGGGATTACAGGTGTGTGCCACCACGCCTGGCTAATTTTCATATTTTTAGTAGAGATGGGGTTTCACCATGTTGGCCAGGCTGGTCTCGATCTCTTGACCTCAGGTAATCCGCCTGCCTTGGCCTCCCAAAGTGCTGGGATTACAGGCATGAGCCACCGCGCCCAGTGTTAACTTTTATCTTTTTTTCATTTTGTTTACTTGGAGTTTAACTTGCCCTTCTTTTACTCATTTTTTTTTTTATAGGATAAAGATTTAGGTTGCTGATCTAAGACTTTCCTTTTATCCTAATAAGTACATTTAATGCTAAACTTTTCCTGTAAGGACATGGTTTTATCTGCATCCCCTGAATTCTGAATGTAGTATTTTCATTTTTAAGAAGCTCAAAATATTTTTTTACTTGCCTTGAGACTTCTTCTTTGACCAAAGGGTTATTTAGACGTGTGTTGTTTAATTTTCTAATGTTTGGGGTCTTTCCAGGTATTCTTATTTTATTAATTTCTAGTTTAATTTTATTATGGCCTGAAGACACATTTTGTATCTTTTTTTTCTTTAAAATATACTATGGTTGTTTTGTACCACTGGATATATCTATCTTGGTGAATGATCCATTTTAACTTGAGAAAAATGCTTATCATTGCATGGAATGCTCTATAAATGCTAAGTTGTTTATACCAAGTTCATTTACAGCATTGTCCAGGTCATTGCTCTTCTTTCTGGTTTTCTGCCTTCTTATTATATACTTCGATGAAAATGTTAATAGCTCCAACTACAACTGTGGGCTCGTCAATTTCTCTTTTCAGTTCTATCGGGTTTTGTGTCATGTAACTTGAAGCTTTGTTATTAGCATTAGATGCATGCACCTAATAACTTAAACAGGATTGTGTGTTTTCTTGGAGAATTGACTTTATCACTGCCTAACATGTCTGTATATCTTTGATACTATTTCTTGTTCTGAGGCGTATTTTGTCTGATACTGACATTGCTACTTTAGCTTGTTTTTTGATTAGTGTTTGCTTAGTACATCTTGTTTCATCCTTTTACATTTAATTGATCAATGTCTTATATTCAAAGCAGTTTTCCTATGGATAGAATATAGTTGGGTTTAGTTTTTTTATCAATTTGACAGCCTCTGATTTTGTAATTACAGTATTTAGACCTCACATAATTAATAAGATTATTGATATGGTTGAATTAAAATAAATCTTCACCGGGCTTGGTGGCTCATGCCTGTAATCCCAGCGCTTTGGGAGGCCGAGGGGGGCGGATCACCTGAGGTCGGGAGTTCCAGACCAGCCTGACCAACATGGAGAAACCCTGTCCCTACTAAAAAGACAAAGTTAGCCGGGTGTGGTGGCACATGCCTGGAATCCCAGCTACGTGGGAGGCTGAGACAGGAGAATCGCTTCAACCTGGGAGGCAGAGGTTGCCCTGAGCTGAGATCACGCCATTGCACTCCAGCCTGGGCAACAAGAGCAAAACTCCGTCTCAAAAATAAAAATAAAATAAAATAAATCTTCAAGCTATTTTCAGTTTATTTCATCTCTTTTTCCCCCTGTTTTTCTGCCTTAAGTTGGATGCACATTTTTTATTATTCTATGCTATCTCCATTATTAACTTTTTTTTTTAGTGGTTGTTTGGGGTTAACAATACACCTCTGAAATTAATCAGAATCTTTCTTCAAATGTGTAGTTTAAGGACCTTACAACAGTATAGTCTCAGTTTCTTCCTCCACACTTGGCACTGTTGTTGCCATATATTTTACTTATACTATGTTATAAACTCACAATATTGCTACTATTTCTTACTTAGAGAATCAGTTATCTTTTAGAGCAATTAAAAATAAGAAAAAGAAATATATTATTTTACCCTCGTGTATTTGATTTAGAGCATTTGACATTTTTTGTGTAGATTCCTGTTTCATCTAGTATCCTATTCCTTCTCCCTAAAGAACTTTCTTTAATGTTCGTTGTAGTGTAGGTCTGCTGGCAATAAATTCTCTCCATCTTTGTTACTCATGAAGTCTTTATTTTTCCTGTGTTCTTAAAAGATATTTTCACTGGATATAGAGTTCTGTGTTCACTTTTATTTCTTTCAACACTTTAAAGCTGTCACTCCATTACCTTATGGATTGAATAGTTTCTGATAAGAAGTCTGCTATAACCCTTAAGCTTTGCTCATTCTTTTATTTTTTATTTTTTCTTTTTTCATTTTTATCATTTCCACCCGGATACCTTCAGGACATTCTTATTGCTTTTTATTTTCAACAGTCTGAAGATTATATGCACAGGTGTGAATTTTATTTTTAATCCTGCTTGGTTTTCACTGAGATTATTGTGTCTGTCATTAACTTTGGAAAATTCTGTTAAATCTTTAATAATTCTGCTCCTTCTCTTTTTGTCTATTATTTTGATTACATGTGTCGTAGATTGTCTGATATTACCCCACAGCTTTTGGATGCTCTGTTATTTTTCACTCTTTATTCGCTTTGTAATTCAGTTGTGGTAATTTCTACTGACCTATCTTCACGTTCAGTGAATCTTTCTTTACTTGTGTCATCTCTTCTGATTAGCCCTTTGGAGGTGATCTTTATTACTGCTATTGTGTTTTTCCTTTTTAACATTCGCAAGTAATTTTTTACTTATAGTTTCCATCTTTCTTCTAAAATAGCATTTGTTCTTGGATGTTGTCAACCTTTTCCATTGGTAACTTTAACATATTACAAATATTTTAAACTGCATTTCAGTCCCCAGACGTGTGTCAAATCTGAGTTTGGTTCTGCTGATTGATTTGTCCTTTTGGGGAATGCTTTCTCAGTTTTTAAAAACTTCTGTTTGTGTCTTTTTATGCTGAGTAGTTTTTTGTTGTTGCAGGTAAGGCCACAGAGATTGGGGGAAGCAGCTTTTATGCTCGGAAAACAGCATTCCTTTTCTTCTGCTGGGCATTTGGTGTAGGTCGTTTTTCTTAACTCCTGGTCAAGAGTTAAGCTGGGTTTAGAGGTTCGTTGTTGCTTTAGTCATCTTGAGTACACCACAGGCTTCAAATTCCTTTAGAGATATCTTATGTTTAGGGTAACAGCTGGTTTTTCCAGAGGGCTTTCGTCAAGATCACCCTGAATTTCAGTTTTAGATCCTCCATTCATGCTGTGCCTCAGTGGGAGTCTGTCTCTTCCAACTCTTCTGGCAGTATTTCATGGTTACTTGCTATTCAATGCCCCTCAGCCTGATGATGGGGATCAGTGGGGAGCATACACTGGTGATTCTGATTAATCTTCTGCCTTCGGAAAGCACTGTGTTCCTGAAATCATGGTGTAGCCTATTCAGTGTTCCAGCTTTTTCTACCACAGTGGTTCCTCTTGCACGTATCCCTACCTCTCCCTGGTAATACAAGGGTTTGTTTTTGTTTTTGTTTCTTAGTCCCTTTTTCCCATTACCCTAGGGGAGATGGTTTATGTTGCCATTGCCCCTCAGATTAAAGCTTTTCTTTCCATCCAGGCAATGGGGAGAAGAGCACAGGGGAGTTCAGTGACTCTTACACAGCAGCTGTTATCGCCCTTTATTATTTCAGCCCAACAAGGGAAGCTTTATCAGCATCTTCCACGGTCTTCCCTGGGCGCAACTGGTGGAGTTCAAGGTAGAAAAGGCTGTGAGATTATGTGAACCATCTCCCATACGACATCCCTAGGGGTTGAAAACTCTCCAAGGCCTTCACTCAAGACCCACCGATTCATCAACTATTTTTACTTCACTCAGCGTCGACGAGAAAGTGGGGATATAGTGGTGCTCAGAAGTGACTGAATGCGGGAGTTGAGACTGGAATTCCAAAAAACTGCACTGTCCGCTTCCCACCTGGACTGAAGATCAGTAGCCATTTCTTTCCTTTAGGCATACTTTTTTTCCCTTAGAATTGAAATTCACCTTTATTAATAATAAAAAACACAAATTCAGAAGTAGGTTAGTTCACTCACATATTATTTCAGTGAGTATTATTGCACAGTCACACCAAATAGTTCATTTCTCTTTGTTACAAAAAATTATTTGTTTGTAGCTAAAATATGTTCATGCATCATTCCTTCTACTCCTACCCTCAAAATTCCATTGTCTTTTAAATTCCATTTTCTTCTTTATTGTATTTGGAGTTCCAGGTGGTATATCTGCTGTTACTCACAAACAAATTACTTTTCTATGGCTTAACAGAGGCATAATTGAATATAAAAACAAGGTCTATAAAGTAATTTCAGTACTCTAATACAACTCTGATTTCATAATGATAGAGTAAAAAGCACAAGAGTGAAAATTCAAGAGGACTCAATAGCCATGTAAAGACCAACTGGCAGAATGAGTGAGTGTTAGTACATAAAGGCACATCAGAAACAGTGCCTTGTTGTTTCCCACTTTTCCTAAAACATGTAATGAGAGGTAATAAAATGGAGGCATTTAAAATGTTTCTGCAGCTTTTCAAGTGATTCTTCAAACTTTCTTTACTCATCAACATTAATGTCAGGGATTAGAGAAATGAAATAGCTACAATAACATTCAAAATAATTTTATAGAAAATTTTATTTATTTAAAAAGTCTTCATTAAAATGTGTTTTCTTATTCCCAAATCACCTTTAATATTTTCATTGAATTAACTCAGAGCATATATAACTCCAAAAAGTCAAAAATAGAGATTCAGTTTTATAGTAAAGATGGCCAAAGGCTAGGTAATAGAAACTTGCTGAGGTATTCTGGCTATTGTTGTTAAAATCCTGATCAGCCTGGATGCTGAAACTCTCCACCATAGCACGCTTATGGACCCATCATTGCACCATCTAATAAACTGGGTCACCAACTCTCAACCTTTTAATTTTTTCTACTGAATAATAGATTTCAGAAAATACAGACAACTTATATAGTTGCTTCTCAGAGGGATCAGACAGGCAGTAACTCTTCAGGGTTTCCAGTGGCTCCTACCAGGGTTTGCACCCAAAGTCACCCAAATTACAAACAAATTACTTTTATATGGCTTAATAATTCCAGTATTTAGGTCCACGGTGGCCATAATGCACCAAGGGCAAGACAAAATCATTTTCATTTCTGCACCACCAAATCACAGTTTATCTCAGATATCTATTATCATTCATTATAAAGGATACAACTCTGGAGCAGTCAAATAGAAGAGAAGCATGGGGCAAGGTGTGGCGGAAGTGAAACAGAGCTTCCATGCCCTCTCTGGGATGCCACTCTCTTAGCACCTCCATGTGTTCGGTGTTCATCAACTCAACTGCTCTATATTTTTTCTTTTCGGTCATAAAACAGTTGCTTATTCATACATTTTTAAATTTATCTTAAAGAAAATTGATATGTTGAGGAATGTTATTATATATAAGGGGTGCCAAAGAAAAGATGAGAGGACACCAAAAAGACACCTTCATCTTAACTTCTTTGATCAGATAACATTTTTCTTCCCCAGGTGTAACTTTTTCTGAGATTTAATGCTTCCTGAATCATGTGCTATGGGAAAAACAGTGATAGAACTTAAGGAAGTATCCTTCATACCTATGAATGAAAAAAATAAAATTTAGTCAGCAAGACTACAAACCCTATAACCCTGCAATGAGTATCTCAAAAAATAAATTTTCCTTGAAGTTTTAGAAACACTAATTGACCATTGTAAGTAGGAGAGGTAATGAACTCTGCAAAATGCATATACCACATGCCCCAGGTAAGTAAGTGCTTCCATCACAGATTTGTTTCCCTCAAGGCATCTGTCTCTCCCCAGATTTTCTTCTAGTTGATTGTTTTGAGATTTCAGCTCAATCGCAATTTCCATAAAAGTTATGAACTTGCATTTTGTCTGACTTTTTTCTTGTAATTGTTGGGACAGCACTACTTCTGACTCTCTACTGTGGTAGGCATTGTGTGGGAAATAAAGAGAGAAAGACAACATAATCCCTCCTGACAAAGATGCATGCATTAACAAGGAAAGTAAGCCATAGCCAAAGTAAAAGTATCACCAATTTGGACCCGTGACCTTCCTAAAGAGACCATCTAAGACTTCAATGACGAGATAACATTTGGGCTGGACCTCAAAAATGAAGAATTTTATCAACTGGAGAAGCATGGTGAAGATGGTCTGGGGGAAGGCAAGGGAATGAATAAAGCCTAAGTTGGGGGGATTCAGAAGATGCCAGCTTAGTTGATGTATAAGACCCAGGAAAATGTGTAGTGGCAATAAGACTGAGAAAGGGACTTGGGATCATGTCATGGAGAGCTTCAAACCTGAAGCAAGACAGTTTGCATTCTTTGTGTCTATCCCTACACCCTAAATCTTCCCAGGGGAACCCTTTTATAGTAGGCAAAAGATCTATTTCTAGAAATCAATCTGAAAGTCCAAAGATGTATGAGCATTACAGGAAAGTAAAGTAAAAAGGGGGTGTCTTCCATCTATTCAAATTCTGAGCCAACTATCACAACGACAAAAAACCAAATACAGCAGGTTCTCACTCATAGGTGGGAATTGAAGAATGAGAACACGTGGACACAGGAAGGGGAACATCACACACCGTGGCCTGTCATGGGGTGGGGGGGAAGGGGAAGGGATAGCATTAGGAGATATACCTAATGTAAATGACGAGTTAGTGGGTGCAGCACACCAACATGGCACATGTATACACATGTAACAAACCTGCATGTTGTGCACATGTACCCTAGAACTTAAAGTATAAAAAAAAAAACAAAAAACCCAAAGTCTGGGAATGTTCCACTGACAGCCAAATATGTGAGCTCTGCAACGCAAGTCCTTGTCTGGCCAGATTGTGACTGCATACCAATTTCATTTTTAGCATGCTCACCTCTCTCCCCAGTAGACCCTCTGTGCTGAAACTCATGCCTTCCATATGTTCAGCAGATATATTAATAGGGCAATGATACTTTAAGCAGAGGCTACTGCTAGTACTTGTTCTTATCTGTGTGATCATGAGTAACTCTCAGAATAAAGTGGAATAGCATTGTTCCAGGACTCATTCAAGCATATAATACAGTTCCAGTAAATTACAGCAGGCTCCTACTGAGAGTACCATTTGGTTAGTTATTTTCTTGAAAGGGTTGGACCATTCTTTTTACGCACTTTGGTAGACAGGCTTCTGCAACCTGGGATGTATGGAGTTAGATTTATGTTTTCCTTGAGGTATCAGCAGGGTGCATCAGTACCTGCATCCATTAGCATTGTCTAAGGGGTGATTCAAGGGAGAATTGAAGAACCGCCCTCTTTACCTGCTGAGAAGCATAAAATTCTTTCTTAGAGAATCAATGGAACCATGACTTAGTAAGTAGGAGTTATCCATCTATTCCATCTGCCTTTGCATTAAGGCTTTACCTCATCTTCAAAATCCCCTGTTAAATAGAAAATCCTGGCATGGTAACATGTAATTAATAAAATCTCTTCTTCATGGGGCTTAGCTTATTATAATAGTTTGCAGGGTTTGCTTTTCTTCCTTAACTCAGTTGAGGAATGATGTTACTCCCATTAATGCCAGTAGCTCACTAATTATATCATCATGAGAATGAAATAAGAGGGGGAAGAAAAAAAGGTGGAGAATATTGATAATTATATCTAATACATTGATTGCTTATCATGTGCTAGATTTTATTTCTAATTAATTTTAAATATTGTCATCTGAGCATCTCAATAACTTCACTGGTTAGGAACTATTATTATTACCATTTTAATTAGCATTGATGATTAAAGATCTTAAATTTGTTTTTGTTTTTGTTTTTTTTGAGACAGAGTCGCATTCTGTCACCAGGCTGGAGTGCAGTGGCGCAATTTCAGCGCACTGCAACCGCCGCCTCCCGGGTTCAAGCGATTCTCCTGTCTCAGCCTCTGGAGTAGCTGGGACTACAGGCATGCATCACCACACCCAGCTAATTTTTGTATTTTTAGTAGAGACGGGGTTTCACCATGTTGGCCGGGATGGTCTCCAGCTCTTGACCTCATGATCCACCCGCCTCGGCCTCCCAAAGTGCTGGGATTACAGGCGTGAGCCACCATGCACAGCCAATTGTTTTCTTAAATTACACATTAGGATGATGGATATGTTAATTAGTTTAATGCAGTGATTCACAATGTACATGCATGTCAAATCATCATATGGTACATCTTAAATATATATCATTTTTGCCAATTATACATCAGTTAAGTTAAAAAAAGTTAAATAAAACAAACAGGTTTTTAATAAATGACACAATAGGGCGTGGCAAAATCAGAATGCACCTCTCTATCTGATTTTGCTGTGTTATTCTGCCTCCTACTGGGGGAAAAAGCATTCCATCATAAAGCTGCTCAGGATGATTGATACATCAAAGTGAAATTTTTGAGAATTGATACTTATGAGAATATTTCACTGAATGGGGACACAAAGAGGAATGCAACCATCCTCAGAAGTGGCCTAGGGCAGGAAGAAGAACTAGAACTCTAGGACACATCACTGTCCACTCCCCAGATGGCTGAAGATCAGCAGCTATTTCATTCCTTCTGTGTGTTTGGCACGCATTTCTTTAATTTTATCTTGAAGAAGTGAGACATGTTAAGGAAAACTAGTATAGACAAAAGAAAGCAAAGAGAACACTAGTCCACACCGAAAAGACATCTTCAGTTTAACTTTTTAAATCAGGTTCCCTTTCTGGGGCATACTTTTTTTCTGAGATCTAATGATTGATTTCAGAGGAATGAAGCTTTTCATGGATCATGTGTTATGGAGAAGACAGTGAAATTGAGGGAGCACTCCTCACACTTATAAATAAGAAATGTAGTCATCAAGACTACAAAACCTATCATCTCAGGCTGATTATCTCAAAACAAAAATTATCCCTGAAGTTCTACAAGTACTTATTGACCACGGTAAGGAGAGGTAATGAACTTTAGAAAAATGGATGTACTTCCTAAGAATAAAGAAAATAGTCATTTATCCATTTAACTGGCCAAGGTAATTTGTTTGGCTGTTTTGCTCTTCAGAGTGTGTTCATATATTTTGTGGTAATGATTTCACATTATTCAGTAAACAAAATTAAACTAACTAGTTTTCAACGGCAAAAATAAACATAGCATTTGAAGAACTACCCCTTTTGTCACTATTATCATCATCAGGTAAAAATTTCTGGGCTATGTGCTATTACCCATTTTTAAAGGAAAACATCTGACAATTCCTTCAGATTTTTTCCATAATTAAATATTTTTCTTCTTATCAAATAGCTTGTTTGCCATGTTTCTTCAGATTTTTTCCATAATTAAGTATTTTTTCTTATTATCAAATATTGTTTGTTTGCCAAGGTCAGAAACACAACTCACACTTGTTTCAAGAAAAGACAGAAAGAGGAGAAAAGGAGAGAGAGAGAGAACAAAGATAAATTATTTGCTAATGTAATTAAACAAACAATATGATTGATAGTTTACTGGATTCAGATAAAACTGTATCCAGGCATTCGAACCAGTCCTCCACTCTGTCTGTCTCTTCTGCCTTTTCAGTAATCCCTCTCACCATTCTCCTACCTTTTTTCCCCTCTCTGTCCTGCTTAGCTTTCATTGACTTGATTTACTAACACGCCCTCAACACATACTACAAAACATGTCTCCTACAAACTCCAAGATTATATAGTTCTTACAGCTTAAATCTGGGAAAGATACAGACTTTCTCAATTCTGAAAAAAAAAATGGATGCTGATTAGTCTTGCTTGAGAAGGAGCTCACGCATTGTTCACTGAAAGTCTTTGAAGGTCTATTCTTGCTCATGTGTTCTCTTTTGACATGTAGAATCTTGAGAGAAAACACTTCCAAAATCACCCAGGAGAAACAGATGCAAAACGCAATGTTTCAGGGCAGAAGAAGACAATACCAGTCATCTTTTAATCTACTTTAAATAAGAGAGGCAGTCTCTTCTAATTCATCTATTTCTACTTGGGTCTGTTTGGTGCATGTAAAGATGTATCCATGCTTACTTTTAATCAATAGCTCCATTCTCTTTATTACTAATTATGAAATATCCAGGTATTATAATATACGCAATTTGGATTAACACAATTCACTTTGAAGAGGCTCATATTCTCTCGGAGAAGACAGATATCATAATTGTGGCAAATTCAGTGGTCTTAGGACCACCAATACCATATGAGTTTGGGGGGAATAAAAAATACCACCATGTTCAATGTACACAGTAATTCTAAAATGCATACCAATAAATTAAGATGCATACTTTCTCATGGTCCAATACAGTGAGTAGAAAATATTACTGTCAGTAATAGGAAATAAAAGAAACTTGTAGGAATACTATAGGAGTATATTATAGCTAGCAAATAATTATTCTAGCATAATCCAGAAAAGCTGCACAGTGGAATGACATTTGACATGCTTGGATAATTTTGGAAAATAAGAGAAATCATGTCATGGGTGTTCAGAAAGCTTGATGCAGGTATACAGTTGGTCCTCTGTATCCATGGGTTCTGCATCAATGGATTCAACCTACCACGTATCAAAATATTTTTAAAAAGTGTGTCTGTACTGAAGAAGTACATACTTTTTTGTCATTATTTTCCATATGATACAGTATAACAGCTATTTACGTAGCATTTAAACAGTATGTATTATGTATCATAAGTAGTCTTGGGATGATTTAAAGTATATGAGAGGATGTGCATAGTTTATGTGCAAATACTACGACATTTTATATCAGGGACTTGAGCATCTGTGGATTTTGGTATCCAAGGGAGGTTCTGGAACCAATCCCCATGAATATCAAGGCATGACTATACTTCACTTTAAAAAGAACAAAATTCATACACAAAAATTTTTAATATCATTTAGCCCTGGTATGTCTTAAAAGCAAAGACTATGTTATCAGGAAACTCTAATCAGGAGGAAATGAAAGACAAGAGTGTTTCTTCAATCATGAAAATGAACAGCAAATGAAGTTAGATTTCCACATTTCTAAATTTGCCTCAATGTCCTCATCCACAGGAGACCATTTCTTTTCAATGAAAAGGCTCCCTCCAAATGAAATTGAGCAATAAGCAGGATTTCTATTGAATTTTGTGATCTAGGCATTTTTAACTTCTGTGTTAAAAAGATAAGTGACTTCCTTGGTATGGATTCCATATTTTAATGGATACAGTTTTTGTGAGGAAAAAACTCACTTGTTTATATAAACACTGTATTTTGGAACTTGTTTTAAGTGAGATGAATGGAAAGACATTTTACATCTTTAGTGTACACACAGAAATGCAAATCTGTAAGTCTAGTAGTAGATTTCAGAAAAGTTGACTAAAGAGGAGAAATAGTTTTGGATGAAAAGCTCTGTGTGTTTTTTTGGAGCTAATATCAAAGATAAGTTCGTTAAATACATAAGCAATGTAATGAAAACAAGAAGTTTGACAAGACTGAAATACATTGGATATTTTTTAAGAAAACAGAACTGACAGCCATCCACTCACCATAATAGAAGTGTGTTTACTAAACACAATGACAGAGGCAACTCCATCTCAGAAATAAATGCAGTGCATTATGCTCTTTAACAGTGTCTTCCAACTACGTGATATTTTATGTGTGAAAATTATACAGGGAACAATTGCACGTCTGCTTCTGTGTTCTTATAAATAATGAAGGGGAACTATTTCTTAATGATGTAGACTCTCACAAATGTGCTCAGGTCAAACCAATTGTGACCCAATTTTTCAAAATTTCAAGGCCACCCTTCAGCTCCAGTTGTGACATAAAATATTTATGGGATTGATGAAGGAACTGAGGATCTTTCAATTAGAAATACTCTGCCCTACTGTTGTGAAGCACAGAGCATGGAAGCAAATCCTATCATAGCTTTGCAGTTGTCTGGTGAGAGGGGGTCAATCAGAAAGAAACAACTTTATTCATTGGTAAAACTGATCAGAAAACAAAAATAAAACTTAATTGTGGATCAAGTCACATGAAATCAGGTGCAAGCAAAACTCATAAGCAGCATTCAGTTTTATCCAATCAAATCATAGTTCAGAAAGAAAATGGAGCTCTAAAATTCATAGTACTGTATGGGTTCCTTGAAGCATTGAAGCACTCTGAAAACATGCCTCAGTAGAATTTTGTAACATCAAGACAGAATGTTGAGCCTCCTATCTTCCTTCTCTGTTTAACCAAAGCAACTCTGCTTTTTTGTGTGTGACGTACAAGGCTCCCATGAGGTTTTCACTGGAGGAAGGGTTCCATGGCTTTAAAAACTTTGAAGTCAACTGGCCAATATCTCACAAAGTATAGAATAGTGAAGGACTTGCTAGAAGTCACAAATCAATCATTGATAGAGATGAAACTCATGTCTCCTGACCACAAAACGTGTGTGTGTGTGTGTCTGTGTGTGTGTGTGTGCTTGCTTGTTCATTATTTTTCCTCACTCTGGCCAATATTTTGTAAACTTGACTTAAATTAGAATCACTTGAAGACTTCTTATAAATTCCTATACCCAGGGTACAAAACGGTCCCATCATTCAAAACTTCTGGGAACAAGACCAAGACCCCGCATGTTTTTTGTTTTTTGTTTTCGTTTTTGAGGAACAAGGAATTAAGCCCCAACAGGAGAAATAGCAGAGTTGTTGTGTTTTTTGTAACATCTTTATTTATTTATTTATTTTAAGTTCTTGGGTACATGTGCAGGATGTACAGGTTTGTTTTACAGGTAAACGGGTTTGCTGCACCTAGCAGGCCATCACCTAGACATTAGGCCCAGCATGCATTAGTTTTACTGATGCTCTCCCTTTACCCTTTGCTGTCCCCCAACAGACCCCAGTGTGTGTTGTTCCCCTCCCTGTGTCCATGTGTTCTCATCATTCAGCTCCCACTTATAAGTGAGAAGATATGGTGTCTGGGTTTTTGTTTTTGTTGTTTTTTTTTTTAGATGGAGTCTCACTCTGTTGCTTAGGCTGGAGTACAGTGGCACGATCTCAGCTCACTGCAATTTCCACCTCCTGGGTTCAAGCGATTCTCCTGCCTCAGCCTCCCGAGTAGCTGGGATCACAGGTGCCCACCACTATGCCCGGCTGATTTTTTGTATATTTAGTAGAGATTGGGTTTCACTATGTTGGCCAGGCTGATCTTGAACTCCTGACCTCATAATCCACCTGCCTCGGCCTCCCAAAGTGCTGGGATTACAGGCATAAGCCACCGCGCCCGGCCTGATGTTTGGTTTTCTATTCCTGAGGATAATGACTTCCAGCTGCATCCATGTCCCTGCAAAGGACATGATCTCGTTCCTTTTTATGGCTACGTAGCATTCCGTGATGTATATGTACCACATTTTCTTTATCCTGTCTATCATTGATGGGCATTTGGGTTGATTCCATAAGACCCCTATTTTTCAAAGCATCCCAGGTGATCCCAATGTGTAAAGTGAAGAACCAGCACCCTCAGCAAAAATTTTGATTCTATGTTTCTCAATAAACAAGTCCTAAGCTGCCAAAACTTAAGCACTGAGTGATGTCTTAAGGTCTCAGTTTTCCCTTTAAAGCATGATGAAACTGGATTAGATCCGTGTTTTTTAGCTCTGCCCTTGGAAACTCTTATGATTTCTGAAAACACATTCTGAAGGGAATGAAAACAGTAGGACAGACAAGAATAGATAAAATTCGGGAACTTTAGCCCACCACCCACCTTTATCTTTTCCCAAAAACATTCCTAAACTGAGATTTTGTTTGAAGAAAAAAAAATGGCTTTTTTTTTTTAAGGTTTTAACATTACAGGGCTAGACTCCTTAAGTTTCTTCTAAATTTAATACCCAGAGATGGTAGAATTCTGTGAAGAACTAATCAATTAGCGGCTTCAAGGTCAGACTTCTTTACTTTTCTTTTCTTTTCTTTCTTTTTTTGGAGACCAAAAAAAAGAAACAAGTCTTGCTCTGTTGCCCAGGCTGGAGTGCAGTGGCATAGTTATGGCCCACTGCAACCTTAACCACCTGGATTCAAGCAATCCTCCTGCCTCAGCCTCCAGAGTAGCTGGGACCACAGGCACACGTGCCAGCATGCCTGGCTATTTTTTAAAAAAATTTTTGTGGAGATGAGGTCTCCCTATGTTGCTCAGGCTGTTTTCAAACTCCTGGCCTCAAACAATTCTCAGCCTCCCAAAAAGCTGGGATTACAAGCATAAACCACTGTGCCTGGCTGAGGTCAGAATTCTTGAACTAGTGTTTACAGATCTCTCACGCTTACTAGCGTGTTCTCGTCACATACTGGGGAGAAAGGGGTAGACCTAGAGAAGCATTAATGTTAATTACCCCTGGTTACCTAGTACTTAATCCAATCCTTCCTTCTAGATACCTGATAGCTTCTAGGGACACCAACTATGCAAGTTTACTCAGGACTGTCTAATTTAAGCACTGAGAGTCTCAAGTTCCAGGTAATCAATCGCTCAGTCCTGGAATAGTGGAAACAGCCATTGGATGACTAGCAGAGAGCTAGGGGCAGCTGTACTCCATTTATGAATTCGTCCCACAGACTTCTGTGTCTACCCAATTCATGGAATGCAGGGGCCTGGATAGATGAGTTGTTATAACCAAGAAATCAGCCATCTCCTTTCTTCTGAAGGTCTTTGGAGGGCGTCAACAGTAGCTATATAGAGAGAAGAAAGCTATAATAATCCATTATGTTTGGGTAGCACTTAGGTAATAAAGGCAATTTCCAGAAATAATATCTCACTGAACTGGGCTTTGTATATTTTACATTAGAAAAGAACTTTCATTATATCAATTTCTATAACTTCCTCAAGTCGGCACAATATGAGCCTTCAGACATGTATGCATTGCTTCCAGTGAGTATATACTAAAAATCCTATTTTCTTCCCTTCTTGTTTTTCTCTCAGGCTTCTAGTCTATCTTTCTTTCCTATTTTATTATTATTATTTTAGTTTTGGAATGTGTTTCTACACTTGAATTGTTCTGCTGTGTCAGGAAGTCTTTATGCCTAATGTTGTGATACTTTCTCCTGCCTTCCTCAGCATAGCAACAGTAATTCCTGTCATTTGAGGGCTTATTATGAACCAGGTACCGTGTTAAGCAGCTTTGATTACATTATCTTATTTGATGTTCACAATAATCCTAGGGGATTAATATTTATATTTTTCTTTTGCTGATAAGCAAATAATGGCTTTGCAAAATTAAGGATCTGGCTAAAGTTTACATGGAAAAAAAAGCAAAAGTAGGATTTGAATTCCTGTAATCCAAATCATCACACTAATTTGCCTCCCCAAACATATTCATGTTGCCATGTGCTCCTACTTCTTCCTATACTATTTATCAGTTGCCTCAAAACATGCATCGCTCCTCACAACCACTTTATGCTGAATTGGGCAGGTATTATTATTCCCATATAACAGATAGGGTGACAGAGACACAGACTTTCCTAAGATGAAAAGACCAGAGCCAAGAATCTTAACTCACTTAACTCTTTAAGATGTTTCTAAAAATCAAAATTCTGTTGCCTCTGGGAGGTTTAGGAATGAGTTTTAGGAGTTTATGAATTCTCCTAGACTTTATTTTAATATTTCCTGTCTTTAGTTCAATAATAACAAGAGACAACCATATAAAGAATTCTTTATCATTGTGGTCTAATAAAAATTTCTGTGAATGTAAAAATATTCCATATAGAAATACTACCTATATGCATTGTTTCAATATGGTAGTCACTAGCCATATGTGGTTCTCAAACATTTTAATATGGTAATGCAACTGAGGAACAAAAATTTTTAATTGCACTTAAATTCAGTGTCAATAGTCACATGTGTCTAATGGCTACCATGTTGAACAGCACAATATCTAAATCAGAGGTCCACAAACTACAGCCCATAGGTCAAATTTGGCCTGCTGACTGTTTTGTCAATAAAGTTTAAGAGGAACACAGGCACACATTTTTATACCTTATCTATGGCTGCTTTTGTGCTACCATGGCACAGTTTAGTAGTTATGATGGAAGCCATGTAACCCTCAAAACCTAAAATATTCACTATATGGCTCTTAACAGAGAAAGGTTGTCGACCCCTGGTCTAGATGGCCACTTCCGGTATGCCTAGCTTTGCATTTGTGTTTACAATAGTCTTGTGCCGTTGTAATTTGAAAAAGAAAAAAATGTGATAGGAAAAATGAGTAAATCACAATAGCACAGGCATACTGAATGCTTAATAACCTGCCCCATAGATGTCAGTTCTATATTCAAATAGCAATAGAGATAATGAGTTGGTCTCAACTTTGTAACCGTTTACTATAGAACATTAATAGAAAATATGATGGTACTAAGTACACAATTAAAATTTTTTCTGTCCCTAATTTATTCACTAACTAGATTGGATATTAATGTAATTTGGATTTTTTTTTTTTTTTTTTTTTGAGACAGAGTCTCACCCTGTCGCCCAGGCTGGAGTGCAGTGGCGCGATCTCAGCTCACTGCAAGCTCCGCTTCCTGGGTTCATGCCATTCTCCCGCCTCAGCCTCCTGAGTAGCTGGGACTACAGGCGCCTGCCACCGCGCCCGGCTAATTTTTTGTATTTTTAGTAGAGACCGCGCCCGGCTAATTTGGATTTTAATAGTACTGTAACACTACCATTACCTTCAATTAAACAAGACCTTTGGGTGTACATACATATGTATGTATGTATGTATGTTAAAAGCAGCACTTGAGCACTGATCAATAACAGAATTTGGGTTAAAGATGAATTTGAATACCCTAAATTTAGCTAATGTTATTCATGTTTTATATAACACCTTATAAAGATAAGCATTAGTTTTGTCCAAGAAAAAAACAACACAGAAATAAGTTAAGTACCAAAATAGACCTAAATTTCTATATTCCTCTTATTAACCTTGAAATTTTGTTTCAGTCAAACAAGATTATCTATCACATTTAATTAGTAGTGGTTATTTGAAATTTATCTGATTTATTTATTTATTGCATTTATTTTGTACATGTATTTCACATCTGCAAGGAAAGGAAAAGAAAAAAGAAGACTGGGAAAAATAGATGTGAGTGGAAAGTGATACAAGACATTGACAGTGAATTCAAGGGACCCTCAGAGTTTGAGAATTTTCTGATTTGGGTGCATCACAGAGACCTCTCTCCTGAACTCTTCTTTCCACCCTTTCCTGTAGTTATAATGACTTTAGAATGAATATGGAATCACAAGCTTTATAATAAAATATTTCTTATAAAATTTAAAAACTTCTGTCTGTAAAATATTTGGAGATGTTCAGATGAAAGAGACAGTGCAAGAACAAAGTATCATTATGGTTAATAAAATTGCATAAATAGCTGCAGTGACCCACAAAAGAAGCCAGGTTTAGAGTTTCACACCAAAGCAAAAAGCACCAGACATTGAGCCCTTTCTACAACCTCCATTTTGCTGAAAAGATTAAAAAACGCTTCAGACTTTTGCTGTAGTCATAATCTGCTCACTCGATAAAAAGCAGAGATGGAAATATCCCCAACCTACTGCCACAATCTATTAAAATCGCAACAAGAGGTGATGATTTTTCAACTAACTGATTTTATATTATTGGTATAAGTAAGATATAAGCAACATTGTCACAAGATAGTCAGCACAAAAGGTTTTAGAATATGAATAGGAAAAAAGAATCTAAGCCCATCTGCTAATTTAGGATGACATCTGATCACCAGTCATCAGAACATTATTCTACATTTCATACTATGACATTTTATAATAGGTTTAACCCTTTTTTCATAATACCTAAAGTGAGTAAGAAATAAGATCTAAGAAGATAGTTTAGTTATAACTCTGTTAACAAATGTCTAATGTTCTAGAGGCTAAGAGAGAGAGAAAACAGAAGAAGGGAATTATGGACCTATTTCTTGAGCTCATAGTTAATCACTAACCCTCATTTTTAGGCTCACCAAATAAATCTCCGCCCAATTCCCACAAAGAATGTAAGAAAAAATATCACAAATTATTTGACTCATACATAATATTAGACACCATTTGATCCTGCAGCATCAAGCTTTTAAGAGCCGATAGAAACAGTAAGTATCTTGGAAGTATGTCCATTACTAAATTTTGCTGAAAAATGTCTTTCCTACACTAATAAGGAAGTACATCTCCTAAAGTTATGTACATACTAAGTGTTTCACTTCAGAGATGCTTCCTTTATACTATACTAAATAAGAGATTGAGAATGGTTACTCAATTGCATATATTAAGCCTGATTGATGTTAATCCTTTTTATACTTAATAAATCTCCAAATCATTGCTATTTAAGACTTCATCATATAAGGAATAGGAAATGTTTTCAACTCTCAAAAATGCTCAAGGGAAAAAAAATCTACACTCACATAGAAAAAAAAAAAACATGCATACTCATATTGAAATAGGAATGGAATGTTAATGCATTAAATCTACAAATAAAATATATCCCAAATTATTGATGTTTCAGTAAGAAAGTAAAACTCCATTAACCTTTTAAAGGGAGGTCACACTGCACCTATATTCAACTTGGAAAAAAATTATCCCAATTATTGACTGCCTAAAACTGAGGTGATGGAATTATTCCTGAGCTCCATGGTTTCAAGGCTATTTGGTTTGATTGGCATGGGTATGTGGGGAGCTTCCCTGAGGTGCATACATTAAGCTCTCTTGCACTGAAATAGAGTAACCATTGATAAGGATGCTAAGAATTCCATAGTTTTAAATGCAGACATTTATAGTTCTTAACTGAGAAAAAGGAAGCTGAAGAGAAGGGCTCGTTTGCTAAAAATCAGTTCATGCCTACCATGTGACAGTTACTCTCTCAGGTATATAGTTCTGAGTAAAATCACATGCAGTTTCTGTCATGAATAAGTAGAGAGGAGAAATAAATATAAATCAAGTAACTGGCATATTGTGACATACACACACAGAAGATAAAATGACCACAAATACTATCAAAGCAAGTTATATTTTGCCAATAATACATAATATGCGCAATTCAGCCTAGTCAGAGAGGTTAAAGTTAATGCTTCAAGGAAGAACATTCCAAGCAGGGTAATGTAAAAGTTGAAGAAGGAAGAAACACGAAAAGCAGCTCAACAGTCAAAGACAGGTTTATTTTGGAGGAAAAACTCGAGAGGGGCTTTTGGCCAAGTTAGGTCAGGAGCACTCTCTCTTACAGACTAAGAGTATTTAAGGGTTCAGGGTGGGAGAGCTTATCATAGGCTCAGAATGTTTGTCTCCTTGTCTTGCTTATCTGGGAGGAAGAGTTTTGTATCTGTTGCCATACATCTTCCTGCAGCTGCAGGTATACCCAGAGAGTCTACCTTATCTTCCCTACCTTAGTGCACTTAAAGGGGAAGGAATGTGCTTACTAGGGACACTGTTTTATTGGGGCCCATTGTATGAGTGTGAAGTTTGGTGGTTACCCAAGAGACTTTCCCACCTCCCTCTGTGCCGGAGCTCTCTTAGCTATGTTTTACTGTCTGCTCTTTCTGACTGCTTGTTGTTTGAATAGAAGTGATTTCCTTTAAATTTATGAGGTTAGAAAGGGAGCTGGAACTTAAAATGGTGGTGGTTGTCCAAGATGAAGGTGCTCCTGCTCTGTCAGGGAGAGTGGTATATCCAAAGGTACTGGGACAAGAGAAACAATGGCATATTCAAATGGCTGGAGGAAGTCCAGTGTTGTTAGAGAGGATAGACTAAAAAGACTCATGAAAAGCAAGTGTCTGACTTTAGGTTTCTAGTTAAACATGTAAACAGCTCATAAGTCATCTCTCCTGTCCTTGAACAAACTGGCAAATCACACTTCTTCTAAGATCCATGGAAAGTTGAGATCACAAGACAAACTATCAATTCAAAAATAGGAAAGACAAGAAAATAAGGATAAAATTTACCAGAAGCAAAAACTATAGCTCTCTTCTGGCAGGAACACACAAAGCTTAATTGACTTATTGCTAAACAATAGGTATGGACTAATTGATAGAGAAAATCTCATGGGGGGTCATCCTTAGGGGAACCTCCACACTTTTTTGTGAGTATTACTTCTAAAAGTCCCACATTTTCATGAGTTTTACCTCTAAAAGCCCTCACCAGCTTCTCAGGATGATGACTGCACAAAAATCCCCTCTTGTTTTTGGCAGGAGGAGGGGAAAATTTACCATTTGAAATACATCCAGAGCATTATATTCTCAATTAGCAAAGGCTTGTGTCATAGAAAAAAATACTACTAGAGCCAACAACCATGAGCTAGAGCCTAACTGACACAGAAAAATGGAAATGCCTAACTCCAGGACCTTTGGACATTCCTATTACACTTAAGCAGGGAAGGGGAGGAAGAGATGTGAGAAGCACCTTGAAGAGGTACAGCCCACTAAAAAACCAATGCCTGATTACAGGAATATGGAGTGGCTTTCCTCCCCACACTGCACTACCCCATTAACAAGGCTTCTGGATAATAACAGGATTACAGCTGAAGAAAAGCAGAAACTCAGGCTCCAGTTCAGAGAAAGTCTCTAGGAAAACATAAAGGTAACAGGGGAGGCAAAAGCAAGGACACAGAGGAAATTTTAGATTCTAACATCTACAGGTATAATAACAATACACCTGTCTAACTACTAAATGTAGTCTAACTAGTGGCCAGATAAAAGTAAACCTCACTCAGTAGCCCTTTTCCCCAATACATCATGTCTGACATTCAAAAGTCTTGCAAGGCATGCTAACAGGCAAATAACACAGTCTGAAGAAATGGAGCAAACACCATAACCGGATTCAGATATAGTACAGACTGTGGAAATAATCAGACTTGGAATTAAAATAACTATAATTAATATGCTGAAGGTTCTAATGGGAAAAGTGGACAGCCTGTAAGAACACTTGGGTAAGCATATTGGTAGAAACTTTTAAGAAAAAAAATCAAAAGCAATGCTACAGAAATGAAGAATGCCTTTAATTTTGATCCATAGATTGAACACAGCCAAGGAAAAGATTCAGTGAGTTTGAGTTTATGTCAATGGAAACTTAGCAAACTAAAAATAAATTAAAGAGAAAAATAGAGCTTAATATTCAAGAACTGCGAGATGATTACAAAAGGTGTAACATATGCACAATGAGAATACTAGAAGGGGAAGAAAAAAATAGAGGAAATATTTGAAGAAATAATGCCCGAGAATTTTCCAAAATTAATAGAAGCAAGCGAAGTATAGATCCTCAGATAACACCAATC
Organism: Homo sapiens; assembly: GCF_000001405.40. Lineage (NCBI taxonomy): Eukaryota > Metazoa > Chordata > Mammalia > Primates > Hominidae > Homo > Homo sapiens. Next base: position 6,192,184 of record NC_000003.12, on the reverse strand, counting down.
AAGATAAATACCAAAACACACCAAAAAAAAAAAAAATCTATACCTAGACATGTCATATTCAAACTACCAACATTCAAAGACAAAGAGAAAAGTTTTAAAGAAGCAAGTTATAAAAATGTTGCCTATAGAGGAACAAGGACAAGAATTACATTGGACTATTCTTTAGAAACCGTGACATCAAAAGTGAGTGGAGTAACATATTTGCAGTATGGAAAGAAAAGAAAAACCAAACCACCATGGCACATGTTTACCCATGTAACAAACCTGCATGTTCTGCACATGTATCCCGGAACATAAAGTAAAATAAAATTAAAAAAAAAAAGAAAAGAACAACACCTACTGCAACAAAACACCAAATGATAATTCTGCATACAGTCAAATGATCCTTCACAAATAAAATTGAAGTACTTTTTCAGACAAACAAAATTGAGGAAATTGTTACCAGTGGACTTACCTTTTAAGAACTGATAAAAGAAGTTCTGCAGAAATAAGGAAAATGATGTGTCAGAAATATGAGTCTACAAACAGGAGGAGCATTAGGGAAGGAATTTTTGATTTATTTATTTATTTATTTTATTTTATTTTTGAGACGGAATTTCGCCTTCATGCCCAGGCTGGAGGAGTGCAATCTCAGCTGACTGCAACCTCCATCTCCTGGGTTCAAGTGATTCTCCCGTCTCAGCCTCCCAGGTAGCTGGGATTACAGGTGCATGCCACCACGCCTGGCTAATTTTTGTATTTTTAGTAGAGATTGGGTTTCATCATATTGGTCTGGCTGGTCTTGAACTCCTGACCTCAAATTATCTGCCCGCCTCAGCCACCCAATGTGCTGGGATACAGGCATGAGCTACCATGCCCAGCTATTTTTTTTTATTCTTAATTGATCTAAAAGATGACAGTTTGTTCAAAGTAATAACAGCAACAACATACAGGGTAATGATTGATAGCTTATGTAAGTAAAGTGAATGACAGCAATATTTAAGGTATAGGAGGGAGGAACTGGAAACTGTCCTTTAGAGGCACATGCAGTACACATGAAAAACTATAGTATTCCATTGGTCTATGTGTCTGTTTGTGTACCATGCTGTTTTGGTTACTGCTGCCTTATAGTATAGTTTGAAGTCCAATAATGTGATGTCTCTGGCTTTGTTCTTTTTGCTTAGGATTGCTTTGGCTATTTGGGATCTTTTTTGGTTCCATACTGATTTTAGAGTAGTTTTTTTTTCCAGTTCCATGATGTTGGTAGTTTGATAGGAATAGTGTTGAATCTGTAAATTGCTGTGGGCAATATAGCCATTTTAATGAGATTGATTATTCCAATCCATGAGCATGGGATGTTTTTCCACTTATTTGTGTCGTCTCTGATTTCTTTTAGCAGTGTCTTGTAGTTCTCCTCGTAGAGATTTTTCACCTCAGTGGTTAATTGTATTCCTAGGTATTTTATTCTTTTTGTAGCAATTGTAACTGGAATTGCATATTTTTTCTTTTTATTTGATACATCGTTGCTGGTTTGAATGGAATTGCACTCTTTATTTGGTTCTCAGCTTGAATGTTTTTGGTGTATAGAAATGCTACTGAATTTTGTATATTCATTTTATATCCTGAAAATTTACTGAAGTCATTTATCAGTTCTAGGAGGACAGATAACCCAGAAATGAAACAGCACCGCTACAACCACCTGATCTTTGAAAAACTTGACAAAAATAAGAAATGGGGAATAGAATCAATAAATGGTGATGGGATAGCTGGCTAGCCATATTGTAGAAGTTTGAAACTGGACCCTTACCTATTGCCATATATAAATTTAAATGTAAGACCACAAACTGTAAAAATATCAGAAGGAAAACTAGGAAACACTCTTCTCCAAATCCGCGTTGGCAAAGAATTTATGGGTAACTCCTCAAAAGTAATTGCAACAAAAACAAAAATTGATAGGTGGGAACTAATTAAACTAAAGAGCTTCTGCACAGCAAGAGAAACTATGAATAGAGTAAACAGCCTATAGAATGGAAGAAAATATTCACATACTATGCATCTTACAAAGGTCTAATATTCAGAATCTACAAGGAAATTAACAAATCAACAAGAAAAATTCAATAACCCCATTAAAGAGTCATCAAAAAATATGAGCAGATACTTTTCAAAAGAAGACATACAAGTTCCAACAAAACATATGAAAAGTGCTCATTATCACTAATTATCAGAGAAATGTAAATGAAAACCACAATGAGATACCATCTCACACCAGTCAGAAAGGCTTTTGTTAAAAAGTAAAAACAAACAAACAAAAACACAGATGCTGGTGAGGTTGTAAAGGAAAGGAAATATTTATATATTGTTGGTGGGGATGTAAATTAGTCCAGCCACTGTGGATAGTAGTTTGGAGATTTCTCAAAGAACTAAGAGTTGAACTATCAGTTGACCCAGGAGTTCCGTGGCTGAATATATACCAAAAGGAAAATAAATTGTTCTACTAAAAGGACACATGCACTTGTATGTTCATCAGAGCACTATTAACAATAGCAAAAACATAAAATGAAGCCAAATGCCCATGAACAGTGGATTGAATAAAGAAAATGTGGTACATATACACTGTGGAGTACTATGCAGCCATAAAAAAGAACAAAATCATGCCCTTTGCAGCAACATGAATGCATCTTGAGGCCATTATCCCAAGCAAACTAATGCAGACAGTCAGATACTACATATTCTCACTCATAAGTGGCAGCTAAACATTGGGTATATATGGAGATAAAGATGGAAACAAAGATACTGGGGTCTAGTAGAGAGGGCAAAGAGAGAGGGAACAACGGCTAAAAAATTACCTATTGGGCACTGTGCTCCCCATTTGGGTGACAGGTTCAATCACATCCTAAACCTTAGCATCATGCAATATACCTTTGTAACAAACCTGCACATAAAACCCCTGATTCTAAAATAAAAGTTGAAAAAGAAAAAAATATATATACATAGTGTTAATTGAAAGTGGACTTACATTAGTTATAAATATATATTGAAGTCTTTGTCAGCTAGGGCTTCCATAACAAAAGACTTGAGCAACAGAAATTTGTTTTCTCACTCTTCTGGAGGCTAGCAGTCCAAAAAGAAGTTGTCAGTATGACTGAATTCTGGTAGGGGCTCTCTCACTGTGTTGCAGACAGCTGCCTTCTTGCTGCGTTTACATGGAGGAGGGGGAGAGAGAGAGAGACAGAGATAGAGAGAGAGAGAACCAGATCTCTGGTGTCTCTTCTCATAAGATGCTAATCCCGTCATGACAGTTTCACCCTCAATACCTCATCTAAATCTAATTATCTCCCACATATCTATCTCCAAATACCATCAAGTTAGAGGTTAATGTTTCAACATATGCATTTTTCGGCGACATAATTCAGTCCATAGCAACTGCGATCTCTAGGGCAACTACTAAATTATTTTAAAAAGAAATATAGGCTAAGAGAGGAGAAAAATTGAGTCACATAAAATACAAAATTAAAACCAAAGATGGCATCGAATCCCCATCTCCAATCAGCATATCAGCAAATAAAAAGTGGCATTTTTATTCTTATATGACTGTTTTCTGAGAGAATAAGGAATGTTATTTACTAATCCTCTTAAAACATCAATTGGTTATAAAAAGCCAGGAGTACAGGAGGGCAAAACAATTGCAGGGTCCACAATGACTTGACCTAGGGTGATAGCAGTGGGAATTAGAGATATGAGCAGATTCTATTAGCATTATTTTATGTCTTAACAACTTTATTTTCTCCCATTTAAAAATGTAACAATAGCATATTATATAACAGTCATACTGAATAGTTGAACATTTCCAAATATTTCTAGCCTCTCAAAACAGTAACATATTATCATTAACATTACTCATGTCCTTAAAACAAACAAAGTCCCTGAAATTTAAAATAGCTAAACAAAATAAAAGGGAACGGAAAAATTGGACTTCAGTGTAACCAGACCTAGATGACCTACTATGTGTTTTTTAAAGGTGTAATAACTAATTAGCAAAGGTATATTCCTTCAAATTATGCAATTTATACCAGATTAAGTTTTGATTTTGAAGATCTTTAAGAATGTATGACATAAGAGCACATGATAGATATTTGTACATCCAGGTTTATAGCAGCATTACTCACAATAGCTAAAAGATGGATGCGACTGAAGTCCAAAAACAGATACATACATAATGGAATATTATTCCGTTTTAAAGAGGAAAGACATTGTAAAACACACTGCAACATGGAGGACCCTTGAAGATAATAGGCAAATGGGAGAAGCCAGTCACAAAAAGACAAATATTGTGTAATTTGAGACCTCATATGGTAACTAAAGAGGTCAAATTAATACATACAGAAAGTGTAACGGTTGTTGTTAGGGGTTGGGAAAAGAGGAAAGTGGGGATTTATTGCTTAATGGATGTGGAGTTTCAGCTTGAGAAAAAGAAAAATTTCGGGAAGGATGATGTTGATGGTTGCACAATAATGTGAATAATGTGAATGTACTAATGCCACTGAATTGTAAACTTAAAAATGGTTAAAGTTTATGCTATGTGTATTTCACCACCATTAAAAAATAAAAATATGGCCGGGTACGGTGGCTCACGCCTGTAATCCCAGCACTTTGGGAGGCCGGGGCAGGCGGATCACGAGGTCAGGAGATCGAGACCATCCTGGCTAACACGGAGAAACCCCTTCTCTACTAAAAATACAAAAAATTAGCTGCGCCTGGTGGCGGGCGCCTGTAGTCCCAGCTACTCGGGAGGCTGAGGCAGGAGAATGGCGTGAACCCGGGAGGCGGAGTTTGCAGTGAGCCGAGATTGCGCCACTGCACTCCAGCCTGGGCGACAGAGCGAGACTCCGTCTCAGAAAAAAAAAAATAATAATAATAAAAATATAAAAAACTTCTGGAGCTGAATGCCGTTGATGGTTTTATAGCAGTGTGAATTTATTTAATGCCAGTGAACTGTACACCTAAAAAGGTTAAAATGGTAAATGTTATGATATGTGTATCATAATATGCATATGTCGCACAGTAAAAAAGTATATGTATATGTTACTACAGTAAAAAAGGTCCATGAACATTGAACAGGACAGAGAGAAGGCAGAAAATAATGCAGGATAAAAAAGGAAATATGTGCAAGTCAATTGATTTTTATTTATCAGCAATGAACGACTGGAATTTAAAAATTAAAACACATTAACACACAAATAATTAACAAAATATGTGTATTTAACAAAATATGTAGATGATATATATGTGGAAAACTACAAAATTTAAGCAAAGCAATCAAAGAGGATCTGAATAAATGGAAAGCTGTTATATATTCATGATTAAGAAGTCTCAATATTGTCAATATGTCACTTCTTACCAACTTAATCTATAGATATAGTGCCATCTCAACCAAAATCCCAGCAAGTTAATTCATGCATATGGAAAATATGATTCTAAAGTTTATATGGAGAGGCAAAAGTCCCAGAATAGCCAACGTAATAGTGAAAGGGAAGAACAAAGTCAGAGGACTGACACTATCAGACTTCAAGGTTTACCACACAAGTACAGTAATCAAGACAGATGGTATTGGTGAAAGAACAGACAACTAGATCAGTGGAACAGCAGAGAGAGTTCAGAAACAGGCTCACACAAATAAAATCAGCTTGTCTTTGACAAAAAAGCAAAGGCAATTCCATGGAAAAAGTATAGTTTTTTCAACAAATAGTGCTGGAACAACTGTATATCTACATCGAAAAATAAATATAGACAAATAACTTACAACTTTCACAAAAATTAAGTCAAATGAATCATGGACCTAAATGTAAAACTGTAAAACTTCTAGAGGATAACAAAAGAGAAAATCTAGGTGACTGAATTTGGTGATGACTTTTTAGATAGCACATCAAAGGTAGAATCCAGGAAAGAACAGTTGATAATTTGGGTTTCACTAAATTCAAACACTTCTGCTCTGAAAGACATTGTTAAGATAACAAAAAGCTAAACAAAAGATAACTAAAAGATAAGCTACAGGCTGGGATAAAATACTCTCAAAACACACATCTGATAAAGAATTTATCCCAAACATAAAAAGAATTATTAAAACTCAACAATAACAACACATTTTAAAAATGTGCAAAAGATCTGAACAGACATCTCACCCAAGGAGACATACAGGTGGCAAATAAGCACATGAAAAGATGGGCAACATTATATATCCTTAGGGAATTGCAAATTTAAACAATATGATACCATGTGTAACTATTAAAATGGCTAAAATCCCAAACATTTACAACATCAAGTGCCAACAGTTTGCAGAGCATGAGGAATTCTCATTCATTGCTGATGGAAATGCAAAATGGTACAAAATCCCCCAGTTTGGAAGACAATGTGGGGGTGCCCTATTAAGCAAAATATGGTCTTACCATAGAATCCCAGCAATCATGCTCCTTGGCATTTAGTCAAGTTTAAGTTGAAAACTTATGCCCACACAAAAACATGTACAGAAACATTTATAAGAGCTATATTCATAATTGTCCCAAATTGGAAGCAATCAGATGTACTTTAATAGGCAAACGGATAAACCACCTTTGATACATCCATACAATCAAATATTATTCAATGATAAAAAGTCACAAAAATACACAAAGGAAATTTAAATGCATATTACTAATTGGAAGAAGCCAGTCTGAAAAAGCCACCTATTATATGATTCTAACCATATGATATTCTCGAAAAGGCAAAACTATAGAGAGAGTAGACAGATTAGTGGTTGCCAGGATTCAGAGAGAAAAGGGAGATGAAAGGCTAAGCACTGGAGATACAGGGCAGTGAAGCTGTTCTGTGTAATACTGTAAGTGTGGATCATGACATTATGCATTTGTCAAGAATCCATAGCACTGTGTAACCCAAACCATGAACCCTAACATAAGCTGTGAACTTCTGTTAATAATAATGTAATTATTGGTTCAATTTTTAAAATATGACACACTAATGCAAGATGTTAATAATATGGGAAACTATGTGATTGGATGGGTGGGACAAGGGTACATGGCAGCTCTCTATACTTTCTGCCCAATTCCTCTGTAAATATAAAACTCCTCGAAAAGAGTAAAGTCTATTAATGAAAAGCAACAAGACTAGAAAAATAAAGATTAGGTCATGTCAGATTTTGTAGACTGCATGGAATTTTGTCTTACTCTTAAATGCAATGGAATAGTAAAGGTTTGTCAGAGACAAGGAGGGAAGAATGGTCCAATCTATATTTCAAAGAGGTAATACTGCCTGCTCTGCGCAGAAAAGTTTGGCAGGTGTGTAGAGTGAAAGTGATGATAAATCACCAATAAGATGATTGCAATATTCCAGGTGTGAGGTTAGAGTTCATGAATGACAGAGATAGAGAAAAGTAGATAGATATGAAATATATTTAGAAGGCAAAATAAAGAGAACTCAGTGATTCATGCTTTCATGTAGTGTGAGATGAACATAAGCGATGTAAAAATGTTGGCTCCTGGGACATTTACTGAGATAAGTCTATGTTAGTGTTCTAGGGCCGCTATAACCCATTACCACTAACTGGGTGGCTCAAAACAACGGAAATTTGTTTTCTTGAAGTTCTGGAGGCCAGTTGTCAAAAATCAAGGTATAAGCAGGGTTCCCTCCGAAAGTTCCGTGGGACAATTGTTCCGTGTCTCTTCCAGCTTCTGGAAGCTCCAGACATTTTTGGTTGTGACAGCAGAATTCTAATTTCTGCCTCTGTTTCCACATGATCTTCACAGAAGGGCTGTGTCTTCTCCCTGATGTCTTTTATGAGGTCACCTTTGATTGGATCTAGGTTCCACCCAGATAACCCTAGATTACCCCATCTCGAAATTCTTAACTTGATTACATCTGCCAAGACCCTTATTCCAAATAAGCTTATGTTTATAGGTTCTTGATGTTAGAATATAGACATGCCTTTTTGAGGTCCACAATTTAAAAACCACTGCGTTAAGAACAACTAAACTTTCATCAAAAATTTGGTGTCGGATTTTGAACCTATTAAGTTAATGTGCCTTTATGACCACTAAGAGAAGACGACAGGCAGGTAATTGATTTTGTGAGTTTAAACTTCAAGGGACAAAGAGAAGTCAAACATATAAATGCAACATCTACATAGTTTATCAACTTCTTTAAAAATGACCAAGAAAACAGAGAGCACACTTGTGTTTTTTCTATATAATTTGTGAATTTTAGAAATAACTCAAGCTACTTTTCCAAGCAGATAAGGTAAGCCATTCTAGTGTACAATGCATGCTCATGATCTTATCAAATCAAAAACACAGGGATTTATTGAGGTATTTCAGTGAGATGTTTACTTTATTCCTTTGAAATTGGGGTTGAAATGCTGCATTATAGCAAGAAGAGTTCGTTCTGAGACTACCAGGAGAGGATACAGAACTTCCAGAAATAGAGGTTGGCAAAGTAACATCACTCAGAGCTGAAGAGATGAGAGGAAGTTATGCTTCGTCACAGGAAGAGAGACAACTTTTTCATAGTGTGGCCATTTTTATCCAAATGGTCTTCAAAATTATTTGAAAATTAACATGCCGAAGTAGACCAAATAAAATACAATTCCCCCACTAGTTCACCTGCTAATGCAATGTTGAGTATTTCCAGAATGTATTTATTGAAGTTTGATTTATATAACTGAATAGGCCTTTATTTGTTCAATTCTTGGCAAACATTGGCAAAAAAGCATTGCAATGTGAAGCTCTTCAAAACAGATCTTCTCTCATTCCTCTTTCCAGTCTTATACTATATGCTTTAAATTACAGTCAGATCTGACTCCTGGCCATGGGATAACTTAGGCCTGCATTTCCACCTTTAAAATTCTTTGTTGATACATTAACACCAAATGATACGCTTTGCCTGTGATTTTAGTTTTCAGTCTTCAACAGTTTTAATCTATGTTAAATGCCATTTCCTCCAGCAAGCTTTATCCATCCACTCCTAATACACTATCTTCAGCCCCATTAAAAGTTGCTCTGTCTCTATTTAGTTTTTCCAGAATGTATTTATTGAAGTTTTATTTACATAACTGAATAGACCTTTATTTGTTCAGTGATTTGGCACACATTTATATTTGCAAGTTGCCTAATAAATACACATCAGATAAAAGGGACTTCGTTTAATCATCTTTTTTATCTTTTATTTTTCTAAATAACTTCAACTTTTATTTTAGATTCAGGGGGTACATGAGCAGGCTTGTTACCTGGGTATGTTGTGTGATGCTGAGGTTTGGGGTATGATTGATCCTGTCACCCAGGTAGTGAGCACGGTACCTAATAGTTTTTCTATCCTTGCCCCCTTCCCTCCCAGTATCTGTCGTTCCTGTCTTTATGTCTGTGAGTGCTCGATGTTTAGGAGGTTTAGCTCCTACTTCTAAGTGAGAACATGTGACGTTTGGTTTTCTTTTCCTGTGTTAATTCACTTATAATGGCCTCCAGCTGCATCCATGTTGCTGCGAAGGGTATGCTTTTGTTCCTTTCTATGGCTGAACAATGTGAGCATTTCCTTTTCTCCACAACCTCACAAGCATGTGTTGTTTTTTTGACTCTTTAACACAAGCCATTCTGACTGCTGTGAGATGGTATCTTGTTGTGATTTGATTTGCATTTTTCTGGTGATTAGCAATGATGAGCATTTTGTCATATGTTTGTTGGCCCCTTGTATGTCTTCTTTTGATAAGTGTTTGTTCATGTCTTTGGCCCAATTTTTATGGGGTTATTTGTTTTTCACTTGTTCAATTTTTAAATTCCTTACAGATTCTGGATATTAGACCTTTATTGGATCCATAGTATTTGAATATTTTCTCCCTTTCTGTAGGTTGTCTGTTTACTCCATTGATAATTTCTTTTGCTGTGCAGAACCTCTTTAATTAGGTCCCACTCGACAATTTTTGTTTTTGTTGTTTCTTATCCTTATGTCTTTAGAGACAGCAAAACTGTACTTGAAATCTGCACTTATCATGGCCACACAGTATGTAACATTTCACCCAACAAGACCAGGAGCCTATATCTTCTTTATGCAAATCTGAGTGGGCTGTGTGATTGCCTTGACTTATGGAACTTAGAAGTGACGCAGTGCCAGCATCTGGACCTAGGTCTTAAGACACTGGTAATACCTACTTCCTGTCTTTTCAAATGCACAGTCTTGGAACCCAGTTGCCATGCTGTGAGGAAGAAGTGATATGAAGAGGCCCATGTGGAGAAAATATTCCCTAGTTGTCCACCAACATGAAATTGCATACCGTCTAAGTAAGGTATCTTGGAGGTGGATTCTCCAGCCAAGGTGAGCTCCTGGGGCTGACACTACATGAATAGGAGAGGAGTCATTTCTTCAAGTCCTGTTCCAATTAAAGATTGAGAGCAAAATAAGTGGTTGTTTAAGTCAGTAAGATTTGTCCAGACAATGGGTTATAAGCAGAAAAGACACATCAATTCTAGGCCACAGCAACTAATAGCTGTTGCAAGAGGCCCTTCCCATCTCTCTATTCTGTCAAGAGGGTTTAGATGAGACTTTTGTTGAAGCCTAGCTGACTCTCTGTTCAGAGATTCCTGAGGCTTAGTCTTTATTTTAATACACTTTTACAATAGAGAATCTTGAGAATGTTGGAACTTAAAAATAAGTTTTCCAACTGACTTACAAAAGAATAAAACTATTTAGGAGGACAGAGAGGATTGTACAGTCAATATACATATTGGGATGGGGAGAAAATTGAATTTGTCTTTCTGTGAATGCTGCTAATTATTTTTGGACTATCAAACTAACTTAAAAACCTATCTAAGGTTACAGGTGCAATAAACAAATGAAAATAACAAACAAACAAAAATCTTAAACCAGTGCTCTGATTTGATTTTTTAAAACAGGACAGAAATTTTTCAAATATAAATGCATGCCTTGTATGTTTAAGTAAAATATTTTAAAGAGGCCTTGCTGTTATTTTTTAAAAACTTACTATGGAAATTGTGAGAAGTTGCAAAGGCTGTCAGGCTGTGGTAAGCATGAACTAATTACCAAATATTTTTAAATTTGGTAGAATTGAGAAGGCCCTGTACTTTCAAAATGTTTCATGATTCCAATAAAATTATTATGCTGTAGCAATAATATTAATCTCCCCTCTCCAAAACAAAACAAAATAACAAACAAACAAGCAAAAAACCTCATCGAGGACACTTTTTTCCTGGGGAATATTTATGGTACAAATAAAAAATAAAGATATGTTATCCCTGATTCTTTTCTTGTTGCATCTCCAGAACTCATTTCCATCTCAATAAAAGGCATCTTCGTTTACCCAGATAGTTGGCTCTGCACAAAAATATCTTAAGAGTCCTCATTGATTCCTCTTTTCTCACAGACCACTTCCAGTTTGACAGCTCCAACTTTAAAACACTATCATATCCTACCGTATTTTCTACCCATGATTCCCATTCTGAGGCAATATCACGTCTCCTGTGGAAATTACAGCAGTCTCTGGCCTAGAGCACTCATAGGCCTTATGCAGTCCTCTCCACCCAAAAGCTAGAAGGAATTTTTTTTCCGAATATAAATCAGGTAGTTCATGTCCCTTCTCTGGTCAATACCTTCCAATGGAAACACAAACCCCTACCCTGGCTCACAAGGCCCTGAGTGATCAGACACAAACCCACTTCTCCAAGTGTATCTTCTTTCACTTCATGTTTGACTAATTCCCTTCTAGCCTCATGGGCTTAAGCACATCCCACAGGTCCCTATCCAGAAATACTCTTCTCCCTGTTAACCCCTGGCTCACTTGGTCCATGAGTCAGCTTAAATGCCACACCTCAGAGAGGATTCTTGGACCACTGTATCTAAAACCACAGCACACTCTCTATTCTTTTCCCTATATTACTTTTTCTTCAATTATCTCTCCCTCAACACAATGAATAAATCACTCTGGGTATTTTTGTTTACATTTATTAAAATGTAGGTGTTATATTGCTTCATTTTTATGAAAAGTATACTATAACTTCAGTTTTTTAAATGAAGAATATATTCTGAAGATTTCACCATAACAGCAGAAAGAAATATTCCTCATTATTCATCCATTATGTTTATGGCTTCTTCTTCCTCTCTTAAGTTGTAACATTCCTCCGTTGCTTATGTATCCAAAGGGAACAAAGAAGAAGAGGCCTTTGGTCAGTGACTCATTCTGACCATGGCTGAGACACTCATTGAGGTAGGACCACTCTGCATGTGGCATGCTCTTCCTCCATGCCAAATGCAGGAGCCTATCGGAAGAGGGGGCACCATGAATAAGGAAGGCACAGGTCCTTCCTACTCTCACAGCAGTGGCTCTCTCTGTACTCCCAGTCTTAAAGGATCCATCTTGTAGGCCTATCTCACGCTTCTCCAACCACAACTTCAGAGTTCTCCCCTTCTGAAAGAAATCATCCACACTGCTTCCATGAATCTAAACTTTCACTGGAACAGTTGATTTATTCTCCTTCCAGAGCTGAAGGATACAGAGGCCTAACTCTCTTCCAGAGCTGAAGGATACAAAGGCCTAACTCTCTTCTGTGGAGGAAATAGAAAAGGTAATAATTTTTTTTTCCTCTGATGGAATAATGGCAACATTAAATGAGACAGCAATTAGTTTTGTTTTAATTTATCCTTATGTGGAAGTAATATCACAGTCAATGGCCATTCACGTTATACAATGGATTTAGTAGGGTTAAGGACAGAGAAATTTTGCCTAGTTCTAGACTAGAGGAACTCGCTCTACTTCTGCTTATATTTTTCTGAAAAGAGTACCATAAATGAGGTTTTTAAATTCTTAAAGATACTAATAATGGATGGAAATAGATCAATTTAAGTCTGTAATGAAATGTCAGACAGATCAAGTAAAATTGAAATGATATCTAATACATTATAAGAAATTGCCATGTGCTGGTCAAATAGCTGTGATTTGTATTACTTATATAGAAAGGAACTTGAGACTTAAGGGATTTAAACACCTTTCCAGCAGCACAAATTTAGTAAATATATCAAGGTTAAAATTGAAACTCATATATCATATTTTTCTCACTATTAGTGATTTTCTTGAATAAAATGAATACTTGGATACTATATGAGACAATATCATAATGGTCTAAATAAATTTCAGCTTAATGACATCATTTTTAAACATTAATAAAACTGCTATTAAACTTTATGCCACTTTTGGGAAGTCGGGGCTCAGAGCTAAATTAGATTTGATTTAGAAACAACAAATATTTGTAATGTTTGGCTCCTCAAATGTCCTATATTGAATATTAGCTGATACACTTCAATCCACACGGCCTATTCTGTTGGCTGGCTTTCTTTTCTTCCTCTCTCAGTCTTGAGCCTCAAGATCTGTGCCTATAATATCTTCAATATTCATATGTTTGAATTTTCTCCTCTTCAGTCAAACAGCAACCATCACATCTTATTAATCAGTCTGGCGCATAACCTCTGACAGATCCAACCACAGTGACTTCAGCAACAGAAAAAAAAAGTTCAGTGGATTGCTCAATAATATTTAACTTTTCGCTAGCCCTTGAGTCATTGGAAGTTATATGTACGCTTTCAAAGTACCTTTTATAAGACAAAATAAAAATAATGGATATATATAGATGTGTATGTGTATATATATATATATATAGATGTATATATATAGATGTATATATATATAGATGTATATATATAGATGTATATATAGATGTATATATATAGATGTAGGAAATTTTAAGAAAGCTGTAGCAACTGATCTAATAAACATTAAAATGAAGGATTAATAATGGACACACAGGCATTTCTTCTAAAATTTAATCAACCTTCTTGTTGAATATCATGTTTCTTAAAACTGGGTTTTTAAGCATTAATCGACAATTATTTTTTCAAATAATAATTTAATAATAAGTTCACAATATTATTTCTCTCACTGATTTTTCTAATTTCTACATACTCTTGGCTTTTATTAAAAAATAGTTCTTGACACTTAGAAATTATGTAAAGTCATTATTTGCGTGGAGGATTTGTTTTGTTTAATACCATTGTCTCACAGACCTGTGCTCTCAGGATCAAGTTGTTTATAGGGTAAGCATCTCTGAATAAAATGCTCCCTTTCTCTATTTTATCCTTGCACATAAAAGATTAGGATAATTCTGAGTCACATCTTTGTCTCCTCTAAAAATCACCATGATAGCTCCCTTGGCTACCAAAGAAATCCAGGTTTATATTGCACCTTGCAGTCTACAATTTTTCTCTATCATTTGCCCTGTTCATTTGATCTTTGCAACAATTGTGAGGCAGAAAAAAAATGAGTCTCAGAAAAGCTGAGATCTCCTGTTCCATGACATACGTTTAGGAGATAGATGGCCCAGGACATGAGGTCTGACCAAGTTTTCCAACTCCAAATTAGCCCTCCTTTCCTCAGCATTTATGTCTGAGAAAAACACCAAATAAGGTGAAGGTGACAAACAGGTTCATAGTAAGGTTAACAATCAAATCAGTCTAGCTATTACTGACAATAAAGTTTTACTGAAACACAGCCACACCCATTCATTGTAGATGCTTTCATCACACAATGGCAGAATTGAGTACTTGGGATTAAGATTTTATGGCTCACAGGACCATATTTACTTTAGGACTCTACAGAAAAATGTTTTCTTACCTGGCATTTATACACACAGACATTTATATACCTGGAGCAATGTGATCAATTTATTAAGAACTTAAGCATGGGTGGAACTTACATTTGATTGAGCTTTGTTATTATTGAGAACTATAATGTTTGGAAAAAGCTCTCAGAATTTTCTTAAATTGAGCCTCCCTTCCCACTCCAGTTGCTATGTAATAAAAATGTATGTAAAATAGTTTATGGTCTGTGATATACAAATCACTATTCCAAATTTCTATACTAATGATGTAAGACCTATTATTAGAGATATAAGAATACTTTTTAATGGAAATTTGCTTGAATACTTTGTGTAAGAAGTGTGAAGTTAATATAATCTAAAATAGTTCTTTTGAGAAGTGTCTGTTCATATCCTTTGCCCACTTTTTGATGGGGTTGTTTGTTTTTTTCTTGTAAATTTGTTGGAGTTCATTGTAGATTCTGGATATTAGCCCTTTGTCAGATGAGTAGATTGCAAAAATTTTCTCCCATTCTGTAGGTTGCCTGTTCACTCTGATGGTAGTTTCGTTGGCTGTGCAGAAGCTCTTTAGTTTAATTAGATCCCATTTGTCAATTTTGGCTTTTGTTGCCATTGCTTTTGGTGTTTTAGACATGAAGTCCTTGCCCATGCCTGTGTCCTGAATGGTATTGCCTAGGCTTTCTTCTAGGGTTTTTGTGGTTTTAGGTCGAAGATTTAAGTCTTTAATCCATCTTGAATTAATTTTTGTATAAGGTGTAAGGAAGGGATCCAGTTTCAGCTTTCTACATATGGCTAGCCAGTTTTCCCAGCACCCTTCATTAAATAGGGAATCATTTCCCCATTTCTTGTTTTTGTCAGGTTTGCCAAAGATTGTATGGTTGTAGATATGCAGCATTATTTCTGAGGGCTCTGTTCTGTTCCATTGGTCTATATCTCTGTTTTGGTACCAGTACCATGCTGTTTTGGTTACTGTAGCCTTGTAGTATAGTTTGAAGTCAGGTAGTGTGATGCCTCCAGCTTTGTTCTTTTGGCTTAGGATTGACTTGGCAATGTGGGCTGTTTTTTCGTTCCATATGAACTTTAAAGTAGTTTTTTTCCAATTCTGTGAAGAAAGTCATTGGTAGCTTGATGGGGATGGCATTGAATCTATAAATTACCCTGGGCAGTATGGCCATTTTCACGATATTGATTCTTCCTATCCATGAGCATGGAATATTTTTCCATTTGTTTGTATCCTCTTTTATTTCATTGAGCAGTGGTTTGTAGTTCTCCTTGAAGAGGTCCTTCACATCCCTTGTAAGTTGGATTCCTAGGTATTTTATTCTCTTTGAAGCAATTGTGAATGGGAGTTCACTTATGATTTGGCTCTGTTTGTCTGTTATTGGTGTATAAGAATGCTTGTGATTTTTGCACATGGATTTTGTATCCTGAGACTTTGCTGAAGTTGCCTATCAGCTTAAAGAGATTTTGGGCTGTGATGATGGGGTTTTCTAGATATAGAATCATGTCATCTGCAAACAGGGAGAATTTGACTTCCTCTTTTCCTAATTGAATACCCTTTATTTCCTTCTCCTGCCTGATTGCCCTGGCCAGAACTTCCAACACTATGTTGAATAGGAGTGGTGAGAGAGGGCATCCCTGTCTTGTGCCAGTTGTCAAAGGGAAAGCTTCCAGTTTTTGCCCATTCAGTATCCCATTACTGGGTATATACCCAAAGGATTATAAATCATGCTGCTATAAAGACACACGTACACATATGTTTATTGCGGCACTATTCACAGTAGCAAAGACTTGGAACCTAGCCAAATGTACAACAGTGATAGACTGGATTAAGAAAATGTGGCACATATACACCATGGAATACTATGCAGCCACAAAAAATGATGAGTTCATGTCCTTTGTAGGGACATGGATGAAGCTGGAAACCATCATTCTCAGCAAACTATCGCAAGGACAAAAAACCAAACACCGCATGTTCTCACTCATAGGTTGGAATTGAACCATGAGAACACATGGACACAGGAAGGGGAACATCACACTCTGGGGACTGTTGTGGGGTGGGGGGAGCGGGGAGGGATAGCATTAGGAGATATACCTAATGTTAAATGACGAGTTTAATGGGTGCAGCAAACCAACATGGCACATGTATACATGTGTAACAAACCTGCACGTTGTGCACATGTATCCTAAAACTTAAAGTATAATAAAAAAATAGTTCTTTAACTATTGGGCAGCTCTAATGCTTGAAAGTTTCTTTGTATTGCCAAAAACTTATATTTTAATGAAAATACATCAAACACTGGCAAATCTTGCAATAGCTGAGAAGAATTTAAATATATTTTAGGTTCAACTAAAAGTTTTTAGAAACGTACAATATTCAAGGCCCTGAAATAGACATGTTAACATATTGTGATGATTAAATATGATTATATATGTCAATGTTTGTTATATTTTCCCATTTTAAAAATTAGAAATCAATTTCATTATCACTCTGCAAGTAAGTGATAAGATCAGAATTTAAATCCAACTTTTCTAGGAATTCAAATCTGAGGCTTTTTTTTTGCCCCAGTGATTTTCTACTTTCTGGCTTTTTTCCATGCTATTTTTCTTTATCTACCAGTTATCCACTCAAAACTCTTGTTTTCTCTCCTTCCTTTAAGTAGACAAAATAATGGCCCTTTTTCTTGTCTAGCTGAGCTTTTGTCTATCTGACCTATTTCCTTTTGCAAAATTATGAAAGCATAGAGCCTCCATATTTGTTAAGTCCTTTCTGGTGTTACAGGAATTTGTACTTTTCAAGTATTAGCTCTGTCCAGATTCTATCCTGATATTATTTTGAATAACTGCTCAGTGATGTTAGCTATGCCTTGATTTGTTGGTTCATCTAGTTGTCTGATATATATGTATTGAACATCCTTCAGTATCCACCCAGGACTAGGCACTAGGAAAATACAGGAATAAGTAAGCCATTGCCCCTGCTCTTAAGAACCTTAACATTTACTCTGAGTGAAGAAACTAAATCCTAACTGAAACAGGTATTGAATTTAAACTGTCAACCCTTTCTCTAAGGGACTATTTCAACAAACAGAAAATTGGGAAAATTATTAATAATATGAATCACAATATCTAACATTTTATTGGGTAATTTTTCTGTTTCAGCCATTGTTCTAAGACTTTATGGAAATTATTTCATTCATTTCTTACAATCATCTAAAAAGGTGTTGTTCTTATTATCCCTATTTTACAGATGAGGAAACGAGGGCATAGATAAGTTAAATAATCTACTCTATAACCTGTAGAGTACACAGGCTATTTGTGAAATGTCCCAAACCCTTGGACAAATAAATCAGAATCTTAGGTAATGTTTACCTGTGCATTGTTTTTTTTTTTTTTTTTTTTTAAAAAAAACTTTCCAGATGATACTAATGTGCTATCCAAATTAAGATCCATAGCTTTTCTCAAATCTCTTTCTTTCCTATCCTAAAGGTCTGGTGTGTTCTAGTCCTTAAAACATGAACTTTCCGGTCTCTCTTGTGGAAAGAAGAAAAGCTCCTCTTTCATTAAAGCTTTTACGTTCCAATGTCAAATACGGGTATAAATGATGAGCTCATAATTAGGAGAACACACTTTTTCCTCTCAACCATGATAAGGTTGATATTTGTCCTTGGACAAGGCTTTTCTGCCTTGGAGGAATTCAGTTTCCTCCTGCCTGTAAACTTTCTGGGAGTTTTTAAAAGGACAGAGTTATGGACCTCATTCTTTTGGATTTGGGTGTATCAGTCAGCCCAGGGTAGATTTACGTTGCAATGATACCAAATCTCAGTGGATTAAAACAAAAATCAATAAAACCTTTCCCTACCTATAAAAACTTTGTAGGATTTTTGGTGTGAGTGGTAATGACAGCGAATTAAAATAACACTGAAATTGGTTGGTATGACTTCACTGGAAGTCAAAAATGACAAAAAAAAAAAAAAAAAAAAGGCAATTACCAGAGTCCACCCCTCCTGTCTCTTGTTAAAGATCAGCTACTCATCACGGGAAGCAGGTTGTCATGGTAACGGAAGTAAAATGGGCATGTCATAGAAATAATGGGCAAGAGGTTATTTATAACTTCTTTATTAATATATTTTTCTCAGCCCGGTATGGAACATTGCCTCACCTGTCCTCTCATGAGGGAAGGATGTTTTTCAACATCAATCAAGTCTCCCAAGGAACCAGCCTCTCTGTCTTTTCTAAATTAATCCAGAATTTTGAAAGGCTACAACCATAGGCTGAGTATGGTGGCACCAAAAGAATTGGGCATATCCAAGCTGCCTTAGGCAAGGAGAAGTTAATGAGGCAGATGAGAAACAGAGTTCCAAGCAAAACACCACAAACAAAAAAACAACATGGTGTTCCAAAAAAAAACAACAACCATGGAAACACAGGAAAGCATGATACATTTTGGAAAACTGCAGTCATTTCCTATGGCTGAATAGGCTAGACAATATAAGACCTCATATATCATGTTAAAAAAATTTGTACTTTGTCTAGAAAAACAATTTTAAGTTGACTTGCTCAAAGTTATACATCGAGTTGAGAGCAGAATATTGATAAGACCATTTGGCTCTCCTCATTCCTAGGTTAGTAGACATGTTCGTAAAGACATATGATACCTATTTAATAGCCATCTCAAATGAGGGGACACATCTGTATGAAACACTGATATCCTAATTTCAGTGTTTGACATATTAGTGAATTGCAGCATACACTGTCCAAGGAGTAAACATCACTCACTTAGATCCTTAATTTTTTATTATTGGCATATATTAAGCCCCTTTGAAGCTGGAAAATACATGTAAATACATTCTTTTTTACTTTTTTCTTTTCTCACTGCAAATGCTAAAACTTCTCCCCTGCCATTCCAGAGACATTTAGACAACTACTATCCCTTTTATTTGCTTCATTGCTGAGTCTTGACAACTTCAATGATATCACCAAAAACTGCCACAACTCTAGGATCACTGTGTTGTGAAAATTCCCATTAATTCACTCTAAAGTGCAACTCTTTAAACAACAGGGACATATGTTTGATATTTTAAAACTCACTAGCAATGGCAAAGTAAAAATTCACCAAAAATCTAATATTAGTCAAATACTAACATTAGGCTTCAGCAGCAAAGACCAGTCATTTCTCATGAGCTGCAAATCATCTATGTATCCTGTCTGGAGACATTTTCTCTCAGGTGACAGTCATTTAAACCAAGAGGTGACATTATGTATAGGATGAGAGGGTAAGCAACTATGAAGCTTCTGACTTACAGGCCTTCCACTCTCCTGTTACATGAATCAATAATGAGTTGAGCTGTCGTTAGCAGTAGCAATGGATTTATAAGAGTATAATACAAAAAGAGCTTTTCAGAATCCTGAAGCATATCAGGGTGTAGAGGTAGGGGTAAGATGGCAAAAATGGAGACGTAATGACAAGTCTGTTCCATTCCCATCTTCACCATCTTGTCCAGAGGGTTTGCATTAAAGCAGGACAACAGAGGAGAAGAAGGGGGCCAGCTACAAATATTGTCATTTGACAGGCAGGTCCATGAAGCCCTCAACTGATACATCTTCCTCTGTAACCCCAAAGTTCAATGCCCTATCCTCACTTAGGTATCTTATAATTTATGTGATCCAGAAAATGAATATGCAAATGGCAGTTACTCTAATCAGATCAAAAGCAATAGTCACACAAAACAAACACATTTATGTTTAGTATGAGAAAGAATAAGATAAATTAATTACTGGTCAGTACTGTTATTAGGGTTCTCTAGAGAAATAAAACACACACACACACACACACATTGATTATAAGGGAAGAAAAGAAAGAAAAAGGAAAAAGGAGAGTGAGAGAGAGACAGAAAGATTGAGGTTTATTATTAGAAATTGAGTTACCATGTAATTGCAGAGCCTGAGAAGTCCACAATCTCCTGTCTGCAAGCTGGAGACCCAGGAAAACTAGCGCCAAGGCCAATCAGAAAAGCCAAGGTTATAAATCCCAGTTTGAAGGCAGGAGAAGATGAGATGACCCAGCTCAAGCAGTGAAGCAAGAAAAAAGGGCAAATTCCTTTTTCCTCCACCTTTTATTCTAGTCAGACTCTCAATCGATTGGAGGATAGGTACCCACATCGGAGAAGGAATTCCACCTTATCCATCTCCTGTGGAAACACCCTCTTAGACCCAGAAACAATGTTTAATCAGGCACCCCAGCCCACTCAAGTTGACACAGAAAACAAACCAAGACATATACTATCTTGCTTAGTTGCACACACCTTTATTTTCACTTTTTTTTTTGTCCATCCCAAGATGGAAGCTTATTTACTCTCAATAAATGCTTTCTAATAGCTATTAACAGGTGCCCCACATTCCTTGCCTAAATTCTACCCCTATCTCTAGCTCTGTGTTGTCTAGTTTTAGGATATTGGAAATGAAAAATAAAGAGTTAACAATCTACTATACAGGTCTCCTGCTTCACACCTCCAAGACACTTCTCGTTTTCTATACTTGGAGATGAACTCCATGGTAACCTATCAGCCAAGTGCTGATGTAACATCTTACAAAATTCACACTGACACCTTCCCATCACTGTGTTAGCTTCTCTCCTCACCCAGAAATGTCTTTTTATTTTAGAGTCACCCATTCCGATATCAGGGTACAGACAAATAAGACCCTTCTAATATGCCCAGAGACAGTTAAGCCCACTGTCCACTGTCTACTTGTATATACCTTTAAGAGACACAAACAGAACGTTCATCCCTTTATCATTGACCATAAGCTTGTTTTTAAAATATTTTTTTGTTTTGTTTTGTTTTGCTTTTTGAGACGGAGTCTTGCACTGTGGCCCAGGCTGGAGTGCTGTGGCACAATCCTGGCTCACTGCAAGCTCCGCCTCCTGGGTTTACGCCATTCTCCTGCCTCAGCCTCCTGAGTAGCTGGGACTACAGGTGCCCAACACCACGCCCGGCTAATTTTTTGTACTTTTAGTAGAGATGGGGTTTCACCATGTTAGCCACGATGGTCTTGATCTCCTGACCTCGTGATCCGTCCGCCTATTGTTTTTAAAATGTTTTAATTTTTTTTTTGTTTTTAAGCTTTATTGAGGTGTAGTTGATATGTAAAAAGTGCTCATATTTAATGAATAATACATTTTGATGAGTTTGGGTATATGCATATACCCATAATACCATCACCACAATCAAAGTACTAAACTAAACATCGATCACCTCCAATTTTCCTGTATCCTTTTGTGTTTTGTTTTCTGTTAAGAAAATTTAATATGAGATCTCTCCTCTGAACTTGTTTTAAAGGGTACAATGTCATATTATTCACAATAGGTATTATGCTGTACAGCAGATCACTAGAAATTAATCATTTTGTATAATGAAATGCGAAAGACATTGTGTGACAACTTCCCATTTCTGTCTCACCTCAACTGCTGGCAACCACCTTTCTATCCTCTGCTTTTGAGTTTGACTCTTTTAGCTTCCTCATACTGATTCTTAAGGGTAGCCATTAAATGCATTCATCTTTGTGTCCCCAGTCACGACCATGATTTACATGTAATATAAAAGATCCCTCAAAAAAATAGTGGCTGAATAAATAATGAGAAGATTAAGTAGCTTTGTGAAGTCTCTTAGCTTCTTCATAAATTAAACTTAGACTGAAATGTCTCAGAATTCTCTATACTAGCCCAGAAAGGATGCATTGTTTAAGGTAAATACCACCATGGCCAAATAGGTTTCTTTTAAACTCTGTCTATTGAAAGATTCTAACACTCTACCTTTTACCTCCTTTATTAACATCAGACATTTTAACACATTATATGAAAACTTAAAACATTGCATGTAGCCAAGTCTGCATAAACTGACACCACAACAGAAACATACTATTTCTTGGCAGGGGGGTGGAGGGAATAGACTTCAGGACGGTTTATAAGCTCAGGCCCCAGACACAAGCTACCTGAGTTCAATCTCCAGCTTTACTTCCTAAAGAAGACTTTGGGAAAATTGCGTAGCCTCTCTGTGCATTAATTTCCTCATCTGCAAAGTGGCATCAATTCATAGGATGAAAGAAGTGACCAGTGCATAGGATTGCTATAGGGATAAATAAACTAAGGCATGGAAAACAGCAAGGAGCCAGGCATGTGGCTTTAGATGTTATTAATAGTCTGAGTATACCATAATGTGAGAGCAACATTCACAGTGTATGTATGATTTTCCACATTAGATGTATGAGAATGTCCCAACAATCCTTTCGTAGCGTGTCCTGCTTTTGCAGACGTGTTTTCAATAACATGATGCTCCTTCAGACAGCTGCTGTCAGAATCAAGCCTTTCAGCTGCCCTGCTTCCTTCCCAATTTCTACCGGGTATGCTACCTGATATGTTCTCCAGCTGGCAGTTGGAGAATCGATAGCTCAACACTACCACCCTCATTGGCTAATTTTCTGCATTAGTTCCCTGATGAAAGAAACAAACACAGAATTCAACTGAAACTAATTCTTAAGGAGATTATGGTAGGAATTGTCCCTGTGGGACATGGTCAGAGAGTGCTGTAAACAGAACTAGCCTCTCTAAGGAATAGAGTGATTTCTATTAACCTGTAATAGTCTCCAAATTTTGTTCTTTGCGGCCATGTGATTTAGAAAAAAGAAACAGAGGTCCGGGTGTCCGGATGCCACTTTCCTAACTTAGGACCTCCATGATTGAGCAGGAGTACGTATATGCAGTGTTTACAGTCCTAGCTTCCTGCTTACCACCTAGGATGAGCTCAATACATGGTTGCTGAATGATTGAACTAAGGTGAGTCCCTTAACACTGAGTTTCTTACTCTGTTATCACACTGAAGCAAAGATACTACCTGAGACTGGGTAATTCATAAAGGAAAGAGGTGTAATTGACTCACAGTTTAGCTTGACTGGGAGGCCTCAGGAAACGCACAATCATGGCGAAAGGGGAAGCAAACACATCCTTCTTTACAGGGCAGCAGGAAGGAGAATTAATGAGGGCCTAGTGAAACGGGAAGCCCCTTATAAAACCACCAGATCTCGTGAGAACTCACTCACTATCACAAGAACAGGATGCGGGAAGCCACCTCCATGATTCAATTATCTCCACCTGGTCCCTCCCACGACACGTGGGGATAATAGAAACCATAATTCAAGAGGAGATTTGGGTGGAGACACTGCAAACCATATCACGGAGGTTTTCCCTTCTGAAAAGAGAAGTGGTAATACCTAATTTGTAATGCAGTATTGGTGACATGAGAAAATACAAATTTGGGAAATGTGGATGATGTTGAAGCATTTTAATTTTCTCTTATCTCTCCAATCAGAGTTTATTCTACAGACACTATTTTTACACACCTCTTGTGAATTGGAAGGAGGTAGAGAACCCCGATGTCACAGAGTACATTCGTCAAACTTCCGTCAGCCTTGTCCAGAGAGACAGACCTTGTTTCAAAAGGCACATATGACTTCAAATCTAATAATTCCTGTCTAACTGGTGACAGACCTAATTATGCCAGTCCAAGTATATTCACCACTTATAAACCAGCACCCAAAGTTTTTCCTTTTCATTCTTTTATTAAAACCGTTTATTTCTGTAAGAAAGACTTGAACAGTAGTCTAAAGGTTATAGTTGTCGTAGCAGTAGTTGTTGTATTTTAGCAAAATAATGGTGATAATATTGAAGACAGTAATGACAGTAAGTTAATATTGAACAAGCTCCTCTTTTGAGCTAGAGGCTGCACACTTGCTATGGTCATCTGGCGTGCTTGTTCTTCCAGCATTGATCATCCCTTCTTCATCCTTTCTTGGTGAAGGTGGTCTAGGTTGCCCCTCCCTGCTCTCTGGTAACAGGAATGAACATTTAACCTACACCCGGCCAATATGCACATGCCCATCCTCCTGGCAATTTAAGCCTGATGATTTCATGAAATAATGAAAATGAGAAACTTCTCTTTTCCCTCAATTTGACAAAAGAGAGGATACAAGCCTGACTTGCTGGCATGCCTTCCATTACATCACAGGGATAACTCATTTGATGAAGCAAAAGAAACTACAACCAAGAAATAGAACAGATTTCTGATTTCATCCTTTGAATTCCTAGAACCAGCTGTACCAGAAGCCAACTAATCAGGTGCTTTTAAGCCATATGAGCCAATAAAGCTCCCTTTTTACTTAAGCGACTTTGAACTCAGTTTCTCTCATTTATCACCTAGAGATCAAAATTGTTGGGAGCAAGCCCCCCAAAGTCTGGCCATAAACTGGCTCCAAAACTGGCCATAAATAAAATCTCTGCAGCACTGTAACATGTCCATAACGGCCCTAACACCCAAGCTGGAAGGTTGTGGGTTTACGGGAATGAGGACAAGGAACACCTGGCCCGCCCAGGGTGGAAAACTGCTTAAAGGCATTCTTAAGCCACAAACAATAACATGAGAGATCTGTGTCTTAAGGGCGTGTTCTTGCTGCAATTAATTCGGCCCATCCCTTCCTTTCCCATGAGGGATACTTTTTGTTAATTTAACATCTATAGAAGCAATGCTAATGACTGGTTTGCTGTTAATAAACACGTGGGTAAATCTCTGTTCGGGCTCTCAGCTCTGAAGGCTGTGAGACCCTTGATTTCCCACTTCACAGCTCTATATTTCTGTGTGTGTGTCTTTAATTCCTCTAGCGCCGCTGGGTTAGGGTCTCCCCGACCAAGCTGGTCTTGGCAAAAATAGCTATCCCAATTTTTTTTAAATCAAGAATGACCATACAAGCCATGGGACTTTATCACTCTATGGATTTAACATTCCTACCGAATTCTCATGAAGGCAACTTCAAGAAACTCCTACAGAATTTGTATCAAAGTACATAATTCCAGCCTCCTGAATACCACACTATGCATTATTGGGTTGCTAGACAAGATTCTCAGGATCATCTTTTACCCTTCCAAAATATATCCACCAGCAGTAATTTGAAACTGTGAGTCTCCATTTCAGGAAGTCTATAAACAAAAATATTTTAAAATTCTGCAATAAAATACAATTTTGAATATGTGATGCTCCTCAAATATAAGCCTTGTATTTAACACTGATTTATGGTTGAATTGTAGAGAATGTGACTGGGAATCAGAGCAATGGATTCTGGCTTTTGTCCTAGTAGCTGCAAGTTTCAGCAAGTCACTTTACTTCTCTTATTCTCTGCTCTCTCACTTATGAAATAGGAGTAAGGGTAATAGCCACTTCACATGGGAGTAGTAAGAATCACAGAGACGAGCAGCTAAACTTCGCTGGAAAATGTCTGGGAGCCACTCAGCCATCATGTAAGAGGCAAAAACGTGCAGCAATATCTCTAGACTTAGCTGTCCACTGTACAGAGGAGGAAACAAAACATCAAAAGGGTGAAGGGATTTGTCTAGGTTTATTGAAGTAGCCGCGAAGCTGCCCAGAGGCTCCCTAGGTTTTTCTCTTTGCTGTGTTTTTGAACTTGCATAATCAATCCATACATAATCTTTCTTCGAATCCCATTCTCTCAGCAACATCCCTGTTCTGTGAACTACCTGAATGTTGTTTAAAATGCTATTTTTTAAGTCTCTACTCTAATATGTTCTAATTTTGAGTCTGAAATCAGGCCCAGATATCTGAGTTTTTAACAACCAGGCCTGGAATTTCTGATAAAGGGAGGCCACACACCAAACTTGGAGCAGCATTCAGTCTATCCTATATGTTTGAAAAGTTAAAAAAAAAAAATCATTTTCTCTTGGTTTATAATTATCCTAAAGTATTTAGATTTAAAACTGACAGGTCCTGGCCACATGCACTACAAAGGCTCCAAGAAAGATCTTAATATAAAAATTCTTTGGAGAAAATCTCCCCGTCCAGTGCACATTATGAGCAAAATTCCATTTAAAAATTGCCTATACTTCAGGAAACATGTGAGGTAGTATTATTGTACTCTTCATGTGGCTAATGTTAGAGTCAAGAGAAGGTAAACTGAAAAAAATATATCATTTGTCTGACTAATACTGTAATTGAAAACCACCAATTCCTGCAGAGCATTTTGTATCCTCCTGCAGCTAGGCATGTGGACTATAAATTAATATGCTGCAAAGCAACAAGCTTTCTGAATGAATGAGTGCCTATGTTGCTTAAGGAAAAACAGCTTCAAGCGTTGTTTATAAATATTCATATTTTCTTTCAAATACTGAATGCTACTTCTTTATTGAATTTTTAGGAAACAAAGCAATTTTTTAACCTACAACTTAAAGGAAACTAACATTGTGTTTATTCAGAATTGAAGGGGACCTGTGTCAAAATGTTTTAACAGAATTTTATTCACTTTATTTCCAAGTATTTTTGGAAGACTGGAATGAAGGATGAGCAGAGTACTTGTTGTTGTCCTCCTTCCACCTTTCTAGTTTTCCATTTGCGAGCATTATGGCTTAAATTCAACCTGTAAAGCAGAAAGGAGCCATGGAGGTAATCTGCCCTGACATCTTGGCTTTATCTGTAAAGACGAGGAGGGAGGGTCACATCAATTCAGCAATGGAGCTGCAGGCACCAAATCAATTACATCAGTCAGATTAAACCCAGAACTTCCTCCTGAGCCAATTTTTCCCATTTCCTGAACAGAGCTTCCCAAAGGAGAAGAAAAAAGAAGTGAATAGCTGTTTTCTTGAGGCCAAGGACTTGCCTTGACTACATGGTCCTTTGCTTTCATATTTGGCACTCTTAGCTGAGTAGGTTCATACTATTTGTATTAGTCTGTTCTCATGCTGCTTTGAATACCTGAGACAGAGTAATTTATAAAGGAAAAGGGTTTAATCGACTCACAAATCCACATGGCTGGGGAGGCCTCAGGAAACTTACAATCATGGTGGAAGGCACCTCTTCACAGGGTGGCAGGAGAGAGAGTGAAGGCCAGCAGGGGAAATGACAGACACTTATAAAACCAACAGATCTTGAGAGAACTCACTCACTATCATGGGAACAGCATGGGAGAAACTACCCCCGTGATAGAATTACCTGCCACCTGGTCCCTTCCACAACACGTGAGGATTATGGGGATTATAATTCAAGATGAGATTTGGGTGGGGACACAGCCAAACCATATCACTGTTCTATCCTGTGGCAGTGCTAATATTATTTTTCAAAGACAAATGTATCCCATGGTGAAATTCATTAGGTTCCTACAAAAAAATACCGCTTCATACTTGCATCAAGTTGAAAAGCATGTTTCTCTTTTGTAAGGTAATCAACTGAAAGTAGATTGTGGGGAGATCCCCCAGCTCAGATGACCAGAGCTCAGAGAGGCTAAATGCCTTGGCTAGACTCCTGGCTTATGTTGCAAGTAGATTTATGACTCGTGGTACCTGCTCTTGTACTGAATTGCCATTAAGCAGCCCATTTCACATGGCCAACCACCACACAGGACATGAGTCCTTTCTATACAGGTTCAGATGATATCGCATCTTGAATCAGTTTGTTTCTCTAGATTACTCAAGGACTTTGAAAAGTCACAAATGCATTGATCTGATGAAAAGATCCCCTAATACATAAACAGAGACAATATGGACTTTTCTAGCCGGGCCTTGACAGTTACAGTCAAGCTGAGCAGGACGAACAACATATTATTGCCTTGCTTTGCAGTTTCTCTTTTCTCATTTTGGTCTAAAAAACAGGTAGACCAAAATCATCCTCATATAAATCAGTCGCACCTATCTGAATTCAGTATCTCTGGGCTATTTGACCTGTAGTCAGAGAATCATAACTTGTATCTTAG
This sequence comes from Homo sapiens, assembly GCF_000001405.40. NCBI lineage: Eukaryota > Metazoa > Chordata > Mammalia > Primates > Hominidae > Homo > Homo sapiens. Next base: position 6,163,709 of record NC_000003.12, on the reverse strand, counting down.
CCAACCATAAGACTGGGAAATCCTAGGCTTTAGCCTCATAACAGAGGATTTTCTTTGAAGGTTTATTACTCCTATTCTTCAGGTGCTTGCGAGAATTACCCACCCTGTTGTTCTAACAGTACACAAAGACCACAAATTGAAAGGAAAATATCCCTTTGTTTTCTTCTGTCCCGAATCACTAGCCATTAAAAGGAAAAACTCAATTTTTACCCAACCTCATAATAGTGATCACAGGTTACAATATAGTCTTTAAAATGAAGAGTAACCTTGGGTCCAGATTTATACACAGTGTTGGCTGACAGGAGGAAAACACTCCCACACACATATACTACTCTCCTTTGGATTAAGCCTGAGATATAGAGAGCTAAAAGAATTTAAAATGAAATTGAAGTAAAAGTAGAACTTTCAAGGAAAATCAACAGGAGTGGGGGAAGTGGAGAAACAGATGGCAAAAGAATAGAGCGATAAAATTGGACACTGGTATGGACAAAACCGTATCTGTTCTAACTTCTCTGGAATCTGCCCTACAAAATGGGAATGATATTACTTTCCAGATCATCAGGCAAGATATAATGCATATCTGCTTAGCTGTTACATTAAGACAAAGACATATTGGTTGCATTGACTTTTTGTAATATTGATTTGCCCTCCCTTTCTGTAATCTAAGTACTTGGAAAACTAGTAACAAAGTCTCTTAGGAGGCATTATGGAAGGAATTGATTAATATTTGCTGCCATGTAGTCAATTCTGATTATTTATCATGGTCACTTTCTAAATCAGCACTCAAGCAGATACACACACTCCAGTGAGCCTTCTGGGTATTAGTTGATGTACAGAAGTACTTTGCTCAAGCACAGGGTTTCTAAGGAGAAACAAGTTACTTTCTTTTCAGAAAGATCAGGATTCTGTTTTTACCCATCAACACATTCTGCTATTTGTAAAGCACTGACTAATAATATTTTTCTCTTGTGCATAATTTCAGATCAAATAGCATTGTATGACCTGAATTTAAGATGGGATAAATATACCTGGGTAAAAAGCCAAGCAGCACTATTTATGAACTGGGTGACCTTGTATAAGTTCTTAAACCTCTTTGAGCCTCAATTTTTTAAATCAATGAAATTCAGTAGTCACTACCTTATAAGGTTCCTGAGGCAGGTGAATTGGAAGCCTCAATAAATGTTAACATTATGTTAGGTTTTTGGTCATTATTTTAGGGTCAACATTCTGCTTCCACAGAGGTTTTAGTAGAAATAGAAAGTAAACTTTCAGCATATGGAATGGCCTCCTCAAAACTGACAACTAAGACCCCTTTAACCAGGAGTTGTTAGCTTTGTCTGCATATTGGAGTCACCTAGGGAGCTTTTAAAATTCCTAGTATTTAGTATGTCTACCAAGCCAAAGAAATTGAGATTCTCCTGGGCTTGAGATTTAGGTATCAGTATTTTTAAATGTTCCCCCGGAAATAATTCCAATTGACGGTAAGGTTGAGAATTACTCTTTTAAAAATATTGGAGATCATGTAGCCCAGACCAGAGGCACACCCTGTGGAAGGTTTTCTCCATGCCTTCTGGTATATCTCTTTCTATGGATTGATTTCTCTGAAAGAGAATTGGAGTCAGTAGGAATCTTCTTACTCCATCCACAAAGTGCAACGATCTTTAAACATTTTGTGATGGCATTTTTTCTCATTGAACTCTTCCATGAGAAAACAGTATTCTATTAGAATAAAATAATTTATGACTTATGCCATTGTATTATTAAATTAGTAACAAAATTGGGAATCTTTAGATGAACACAAACTTTGTATGTGGGTGTTTTGATAAAAAGTAGCCTCTTTTGGACTCAACATCTCAATTATTACTGTGTTTATTGTTATAGCATAAAGCCAAGCAAATTTTGATTTTCAAAGTATTCCTTGACAATGGTAACAGCTTTTTTTCTCTTATTTGTATTTTTTTAAAAAACAGTTGCAATCATGAGATATTCTTTAATTCACTAAATTAGATAACCGAAAGGATATCAGTACTAGGGGATTGTTTCAAATGTGTCTACTAAAAACACCTAACACTCATATGTCATAAATATAAGTTACACAAGTACTAAAATTTAAAATAATTGCTTAAACTATTCAGAATATAATTTGTCAGGGACTGACAAGAGAATTCCTGATATGTAGATAATGTTCTTAGGTCTTGCATAATATTTAAGAAAATGTAATGCCCATGAACTATATAATTTTGTGTGAGAGGATATGCAATTTTAAAGTAAGTGGACATGCAAAAGCCTTAGATTAAAAAGAGAGAAAAATATGGCCTTACAACATTTCCTACCAATGTATATATTTTAAAAGTAAATAAAAACTCAAATATATGCATTAGGATGGAAGAAGCAGTTTCATTCAGAAGCTGGTACTGCTTTGCTTAAGTTAAAGCATTGGTAGTTGGCTGAGAATGGTGATGAGTGACTGTAGTCCCCAGCTACTCAGGAGGCTGAGGAAGGAGGATTGCTTGAATTAAGGAGTTTGAGGCTGCAGTGAGCTGTGATAGCACCACTGCATCCAGCCCGGATGACAGAGCAAGACCCCATCTCTTAGGGAAAAAAATTTTAAAGCATTGGTAATTTCCAGTGTTTTAAGTTTTCATATGATTATTACACATGTTGGTTCATTACTTAAGAATTCAATTTAATGAGATGCTTTGATAACCTCAGGAGTATTTCATGAGAACTTCAATCAGAGACATTCATGGTGAAAATTACTACTAATATCACCAGCTTATAAAAAACAACATTGACAAGCTAGCAGGCTATGTATGCCATGGTCCTCATTTACATTCTTACACATTACTCAAAAACACCCTTTCGGGAAAGTACAATATTTATTCCTGAGATGTCAACATTAACATGTACAAGACTAATACCCTGCAAACAGGCCATCCCCAGAAGGAATCTATCTTATTTCTAGCAAAACAGGAACACTTTTGGAGGCCAACAGATGGACCCACTGGCTCGGGTTATATTCTGCCCCACCTCTGGGTTACCTTTAATCAGAGCCAAATTGGCTTCACTGAAGTTCCCTGTTTTGTATTCACAACTGCTCTTTCCCCCCAACAAACTCTTTTTTTTTCCAAATGCTTCAAGTTTACCCCTTTTCTGCTTTTTTTTTTTTGAGATAGCAAGTTATGTTTCCCACGATCATGCTACCCTCAGGTTTACTTAACATTAAACCCTGCTTTTGCTTGAGACTCAAATTCTCTCAAATGGATCACCTTTAATACAAACAACATGTTGACTCCTTGTCCCCAAACTCATCTTTTGGAGGGACAGCTTTTAAAGCTAAAAAGAAAAAGGAAAGAAAGAAAGTTATATTTTTATAAAATGTATAAAGACCATCGCTATTAGGTTTGACATATAAAACTAATCATACGCTTTCACTGTCCCTGTGTAAAAGAAGACTGAGAACTAGCAAAAATAACTTAGCTCCTTGCTCCAGCAAATGCAACTCTGGAAGATAAGGCTTTCAACTAAATAAAATAGCATCCTTTTCAAGACTGAGAGCTTCCTCATCGAGAGTCACTTCAAGAGACTCACCTTGCTATGTCCACAATTCCAACACCATTATGTCATAAACTCAGTCTCATTTCATGCAGTTCTCCCCCTTGCAAGATCAGCTTCAAATCATCCACAGCAGATCCTAAATCACTGTTACCTCTGAATCCCCTTTTTCAAGACATGACAGATATTCTATCAATGTGGCCTTCTTCCTTATGCAATAGGCTTAAGATGCTAAGTTTTGCTTGATCAACAGGTTTTTCTAATGGTCTTCTGGAGAACGGGAATGAATAGCCAGACTTAACACTTTAAAAATGGAAAAAAAGAACAATGAGGTATAAAAGTGGTAAAGGGCACGAGCAGGTAATTTATAAAAGAACCCCATAAAGTCATGGAATACACTCAAAAGAGGGAGAGTATTTCTAAATAATGCAAAAATAAAAGATGAAATACAGATGAAAATACACAGAAAACATTCAAACTTAGTTTCTTTTGAAGGGCAGGATTTCCACAATCTGAATGAGAGGTGGATGACACAATCTAATTCGTTGAGGCCAAAAAGGTCGGGACTACTACAGAAAATTAAAATATCTGGTGGGGTTAGTAGGACAGTCTTGCAGGTCAAAAAGAAGCAGGTTACAAAGAGCTGAAAAGCAGATCGTGAAGGGTCTGGAGTTATTCTGAAGATATAATATAAAGCAGATGGCAGTCCCATACTTGCACTTCATTCTCAGGTTGCTGTTTAACTCTACAGGAGTCTCTGCCTTGTTTGCTCAGGTGGGCTAGAAGGTCCATCAGGACAGGGAAGACAGGGATTTTGCTGTGAAATATAGCATCCACCATTCTAAGCTAGTGCCCTAGACACAGAGATTTGAAAGCATAGACTGAAAAAAGTGAATACAGCAATTATCTTTTACTAGTGTCTGGTATTTGTGCAAGAAATTCATAGCAGCTTAGTGAGGGAGGGAGGCAAGGCGAGTCTTCTTCCTTGACAAATGATCAAATTACGCTTTCAAGAAGAACAGAGAAGCAATTGTGAACCACCTGCAATGCGGTCCTGTGTGTGCATGTGAATTCATACTTGTTTATGCCTATATGTACATGTATGTACATGTATGCACACACACTTTTCTTGTTAGTGCTACAAGTCTATAAGGAAGGTTTTGTTGTTATCTTTTCAAAAACAATCTGATGCTTAATTGATATCTTTCCAATCTCAGTTGGTGGGGCTGACACTGGAACTCAGATTGCCTGACTCCTAGTCTGGTATTCACTTCATTATACCATGTTCCTTCCTTTATCTTGTCATTTTCTGCAGCTATTTTCTAAGACTGCTTTTATTTCCCTTCCTCCAAAGCAGAAACAGATCTAATATTTGAGCCAATCTCCCTTGACATGTCCTGGGCAGACACTGCCAGTTGTGCTGACTTACTTATGGTTTTAAAGGAAAGAGACCTTTCCACTGGGTACAGACTTAAGACTCAAGAATACCTGGACTCAGACCCCTGTCTCCAAAGACAGGTGTGTGTAATGTTCAGCCTGTAAGTAAAACCTGGGATGTGAATGTGCTTTTCCTAGCAAGCTTAGACAAGCTCTGTGACTCTAGTTCAAGCTTCTGTCACCAGCTTCTTACAAAAAAAAAATATAATAATATTTTGAGAAGACACCCAACTATCAAATGTATTCAATTTCTCATAAAACTGGAAAGAATTTACCTTCACTGGCATTTTGCAACAGATATGAAAAGTAGGCCTTTTTTAGGAGAGATACAGAGGTTATTTTAATAAGAATTTCTAATTACAGCAGCATCAAACACCCTGCTTACGGAAAAAGTCTGAGTTTAATCAGTAAATAGCATGGATTCCACTGCCCCCTGCCTTATCTCACTTTTCACTGACTATCAACTCTTTTATCTGCACCTTAAATTTCTCCTCATGATTACATAATCCTTGACATATAGTAGTTTGCCACATTTTTAAGTGATATGTTTGCAAAGCACGATATGATGAACTATCTATCTCCTTTTCCAAACGAGCTCTTGAACATTTCTCTATGTCAGCAACCTTAGCATCTGATTCATAATAGGACAAATATGGGTCAATTAATTAATTTTAAAAGATTAATTGAGAAGTGGTATTTAGAACCAGAATTTTCAAATGCTATCCAATGTATTTAAAAGAAATATACCAACCCATCAACCCAAGGTCAATAGTTATTTTGAGATACCTACTGAATATAGTCATAAGTAAACCAGTGTAATTTCAGGCAAAAGCTATGAGTTAAGATGTAGAAGGAGAGCAGGAAATCTGATTTTCCTCTATTTTTAAAACCCACTGTGAGCTTTAATCCACACAACAGCAAAATTCTTTCTATATTCAAAGCTCTGTCTAATCATTCAAAGCAAGTTAGAAAATAGGGCCAAGTTACTAGATTTCTCTGGTCCTTCCTAACTTGGACAAGAAAAATACATAAATAATAGAGATTAACAGATATAGGGCTGGAAGCTGCTGGCAAGTCAATTTCCTTATATTCTTTACGGGAGGAATGCAATCTTTGACCATATCTCCACTGAACGATTATTGACAAGAAGAAAGGTTTCTTTTATTCCAGCATCCTACTGGGAACTGAATTAAGACCCACAAATACTTAACCTCTGCTGCTGGGTCCACATTCTTATAGGCAAAGAGAAATAAAGAGGCAGAGCTACCCCAGACAATTTTGCTTACAGGTCAGTTTAGCATTCCTTTTTATTTCCAATGAATACTCAAGTTATTAGAAGACCAATTCCACTTCTAAACCTACTTATGTATCTCAATACACTTATACTGGAATAGCCATTGTATATCTGCAATGTGTCAGTTACAGTTTTAGGCACTATTGCCTCCATGAAGAACAAGAAAAGTTTGTTTCTTACCTTCATGAAGGCAAACAAACGTTTCATCATGGCTAGCTCTGGGCTAGGGTTATAAAGACCTAACAGCAAATCAACTGTTCCCAGGCTGCTTCTCTATGCTTTGAGTAATTTTAGAAAGGTAGAAATTAGTTTTAAGGGTAAAGAGTTACCAGCGGCTGCCTTTAAAAAGACGTCTTACAAAAAGTAGATTAGAGGTTACCAGGGGTTTGGGGAAAGGAGAATAGGGAGTTTCTGTTTGGGGTGATGAAAATTTTTGGAAATAAATAGTGGTGATGATTGTACTAAATGAATGAATGAATAAATAAATAAATAAAAGGACATCTTAGCCTGATAACCAAGGCTCACGGGCACTTATTCACAGAAGATATGCCAGTCCAAGAGTACTTGGAATTGGAGGATAAAGAAAAAACTAGTCATCCATCAGGATTTCTTAGTTAAATTTACAAGTCCAAGAGCAAAATAGCAAGAATTTACTAATGTGTTTATTTGGAGGCATTTTCTGCAAATAGTACATATGCACACAAATATGCACATGTATATATCAAGATGTGCTGAATTGCAGGGGAAATTTTCTCCTCTCACCTGAGGCTGTTCCCTGGGAGCCACATCTAGACACTGGTTAACATACCAACAAATCACCATGGCCTTTTAGAAACTGTGTCTTTAAAAACCATTCAGGATCATGCCTGCACTGTGACTCATAAAGAAAAATTGGTAATTATATACCACCCGGAGTTGCAAAGCAGAGGTATGAGGGGTGTGTATGTGTTTGTGTGTGAAAGAAAAATCCAGCGGAGGCATGAGAGGAGGGGTAGGATCTATTTTGTGTAAGCCTACCATCTTCATACTAATTCCAGAGAAAAGAAAAGTTTCAATAATGATATGAGTTGAGAAATAATAGGTCTATAATTTTTCATTTAAAAGGGAAACCATGGTAAGCTTCCTGCGAACTTTCTATGTAAAATGGCAAGCTGAACTCAGAAGACAGGGTATTCACGGTCCTATTTAGTTTCAGGATTCATTTCCATTTCCATGGTAATTCTGCCACATAAAACTGCAACATAAAACTGCATTACTCCTTGTAAGAGGCCTTTCATTTGTCATGTAAACCTGTAACCCAAATGGTGCCTCCAACATCTGAGTCCAGTCCTAAACGCACAGCAAACTGGCTAATATATTTATTTTAAATCAATAGTGTCACTACATTTTAATAATAATGGCATTCTTATTTGGCATTTTATTTGCTACATCAATTCTAAAGTCCTATTTTATTAGCTAGTATGGGCTTTCTGAGTACAACTGCACTGGTGCTGCAGAAGTCAATAAAAGTAATAAATTAAAAGTACAGTCAGTCATTTTTCCTTTGCTCAGCTCAAGAAATCCCTGTGCAGCCCTAACAGAACGAGAAACCCCATGCTAATGTCCTCCACTTATGTCACTGTTAAAAATAATAATGGAATGAGACTCTCTATTAGACTGGAGTGTGATTCAAGAGCCATTTGAACCTCCATCACCATAAAGGAATATTACCTTCAGGTTATTAATATTCCCCTGGGTACTTCCTCCAGTGAATGCTCACACTTGACCATTCCATTCTGAGCCCCTGTCAGAGGGCCATCTGATCACCATTGTGAGTGACATAAGTCGGAATCATGGCTTTAGAGCTAAAGGGAGCTTGGGGGTCTATATACTCCAATCTCTTTCTTTTAAAAATGATAGTAGAAACCTTGGTAGCTTAAGTGATTTATGTAAAGTCAAACAGAAGTGAAGTTGAGAGGAGGTGCAGAGATTTTGCTCAGATCCAGGCAGTTCCAGACAATCCACAAACACACTGTTTTACTACAAAGAATAAATATTTTCAGCATTCCCCAGAGGTGTTTTCTAAAGATCATCAGTAAGCTTTGAAGTTGTAAATACACTGTTTTAATCAGTTCAATTGAACTGTGCATCAGCAGTTGTTTGAATATTACTCAAATATAAGTTTAATTGTAGAGAGTAATTCTACATATTAAATCCTAAAATAGACTAATTACATTCATTAAATCATAAGAGATGTTGAGTTTCCTATTGAAAAATTAACATTTCCGGCAATGTTTTATGTGACTAAATGTTTGGATTGTATTGGTGGTGAGTGCATATAGTATGAGTGCACTTATTGGGTTACCTCTAGGGATCTTGGAAACTATAACCAAGACCATCTGTTTAGCTGCCTAATGTGGGATCCAGAATTTCCAAATAAAAAGGGAACCAATCCTTATCAAAGCATGACAGCCATCTTGAACAGATCCATAAACCTGGTATGAGTGACTTCATCTGATGATAAATTATTTCCCTTATCCCCTCCTAAGCCAATTGATGGCCAACTCTGTGTCCTTTGGAAGCCAGTTGGTGCCTTAACTCTTTGTTCAAGGGGCATATCATCCAAGAAGCACTCATATTACCCTGGCCCCCTGTTCCACTTTTCCTCTGACCTGGAGCTAGTTTGGGTATCCAGGGAAGGTGGATATCCAAAGCATTTGTTTGCTACAATCAACACCATTTTAAATGGCATCATTTGGTGTGGGAGTGAAATGCCTTTTTAGATTTAGACTAAAGCAAATGTCTGTAAAATCTCCTGGTACTTCTTTAAAGTCGTGATGTACTTAATATATCAGTATGTATAGCCCCCGAACAACCAATATTTACTGGGCACTTATTATGTTTCAGATAATAATCTAGTTGTCATATATGATATTGAATCAGAGAGAGAGAGAGAGGGAGAGAGGGAGAAAGACAGAGAGAGAGAAATATCCCCTTTATAATGCTGTCTCTGCAGTGGACCCAGAGAGCTTTCTATGATACCACATTGCCAGAATCTGTTGAGAAATACTTAGAATATTATTTCCTTCACTGAGGGTTTATATAGCAGAAATACAAAGTTTCCACATTGTGATATGGCACCTGAATTTAATCAAGAAATGATCATTAGAAGGCAGTTCTTCATAGGTGCCCAGCTGTTTAGCTGTTTATATAATGTGTAATTATCAGTGGTCATGTCTCTGAAATTGCCAAATTTGAGGACCAACCTAATGGCATATGTATAATAGGACCAGGATTTGGGGAATCCCAGTGAAAGTTTTAATGCATTTCAAGTCATGAAAATAAAGTCTTTCAATAGTTAGATTTGCTTGGACTTATATATAGGCAAAATGGAGCTTTTCAACTTGTGATATTTTTCTTGAGTCTTTATGGTGAGCTGTTTCTAACTAGGAACAAATCTGGAGATCAACTGTTCTCATCCTCTGCCAACATCCCTACAACATATGACTAAAGATCACCAGATGGTCATGCAGTTTCGACTTGAATACCTTGAGTGATGCATCACTTACTAACCTCAGAATAATTGTTTGAGTTATAAGCATGATAGGTTTATGTTCAATTAAACAATTATGTTAATTGTTAATTATGTTCAATTAAACAATTCTTTACCTTATAGTTTCTGCAGATAAGGCCATACAGAAGAAATATGACCATTTCATCTTGACATATTGTTACATTTTTAAAGACAACTGTAGTTGTAGCTTCTCTGAGTAGTCTCTACTCCAGGCTAACAACCCCTCGTGGTCCCTGCTGCTATATGGAAAAGGAAAATATTTACATGACAAAAACTCTCATGTGCCACAAGACTTGCTTCACATTTTCTTCTTCTTAAATTTTACTTTTTAATTAACGTATTAATTTTCCTAATTAGAAATAAACTATAATATGTTACTAGGGAGGATTAATACCCTAGCCTTTGCTTTTATCAACAAATATTACCCTTCACTTGGTAACTTGGATATATCCATTAGTACAAGCCAGCTCAGCCCTTAATGAGTTTACAGCCTTAGTATAAAAGCCTTCCATCCATCCATTCATCCATCCTTCATCCATTACTTCATTCAGTATGTATTGAGCACCTACTATTGTGATCAGCACCAAGAAGGCATTTAGGGTTCGGTAGCATACAAGACAGATAAAGTCCTTTCCTAGTAGAACTTACATTTTTTATAACATGAAATGATCAAATAATTAGAGTCCTGGAAAAGGTTTGGCTTATCATCATTACAGAGCAAGACACATTTTAATGGAAATGAATGAGAAAAGGAAGTCTGCTAAATGCAACTTGTGTGAAGAATGGGAGATCCTTGGTAGAGACAGGGCAGCCTGCTAGGCAAGTTAGTCTGATACCATTTATTGAGTGTCTACAGCACACAAAATAACTGGTCCGGCAATAGTTCAGAATAGACGAAGATACTGGAGTAATTCCCTGAAGAGACAGAGAGAGAACAATGCCACCTCATTTTATACGCAACTTTAGAGTTTGTAAAACATTTTTATATAACAATAATAATACATAAATAGATCATATTTAGTTAGCTGGAAATATTTCTACCCATCTTGTGAAAGGAGTCATTAAACCCATCATCTCATTTAATTCGTATAGCAACTATGTGATTTAGCAAGACAGAGAATTGCTAGGAAAGCTCTAGAGGTTAGGAAAATAGATCTCTCAAGGAAGTTAAGAAGCATTGTCCACACTCTTAGTAAATTGATGGGGCCTGGAAATTAAATCAGGCCTTCATTCTAACTCACGATTTTGTGTTTTGTTTTGTTTTTGTTTTTGATATAGATGAGCACCTACTTAAATCAAATGAGGCTAACTCTTATCTCAGAAATTTGAGTCTTGACCAATGAACTACTTATAGGCTATCCTACCCAAGGATAAATTGGGAACATTAGAAAATAGTGAGACATTATTGAGTGCTGTTTGGATCGTCATAGAAATTATCCTTGGGAAGTGCATACTCTTGCTTATGGCAACAATGTTGAAACATACTTATACTACGTTATGATCTGAGAGTTTTATAAATGAGGGTTTCTCTGCAGTTAGGCATGTTTCACAATAATAAGGATACAGTACTAGGATGTCATCATGATCTCTCAGATGTTTTCAACTTCAGTCTTCCTAGTGGGATAGCAGTGCTTTTTAACGATATTTATCTTGTGCAATTAGACATCTCAAATGTCAGATGTTTTTATCAGAAAAAAATGAAAATATGCAAATAAATACATGATGCCTAAAGCAGTTCTTTCTTGGGCTTAATTCCACAAAAATATTCAGCATTTGCTGATGATAATAGCTCAGCAGGTGTTAAAAAATTTGTAAATGTTGAGTTAGTTATATTTTTAAATATTTGTATTTTTCAATTCACAGGGCTAAAGAGCAACTTAAATATTACGAAAGCACTCTATGTTTACTTATTGAGTTAACAATTTAATAGTATAGTACTTGTCTATTCTACTAGAAGTTTATTTAAGAAAAGAGTTATACTTCATGAGAAATATCCAAAGATAAGTCAACATCAACAAATATATATTTGTTTATTAGAGGAAAAAGCACATTTCTTTGCTAAAATAAATAATAGAACATATTACTTGAAAGTCACCTTGGAATTCCACTCAATGATTAACATGCAAAAGGCCTGAAGTAAAAAGGACAACCCATGAGTGGAATGATAAAAATATATCTGGGGGAGGCATCACAGCTGCCACTGAAAAATACTCCTTAATCCAATTCTACAAACATTCATTGAGCAACCACTATGTGCCCAGCACTGTGCTTAAAGTTGAGAATACAGGATCCCTGCTTACAAATTATTCCCCAAGCACAGAAAACAAATCCTACCATGATAATTAAACAAATTATTATAGTTATGCAGAAGACATTCAATCTGACCAGTTTGATACTTCCTAAAAGAGATGACACTTGAACCAAATGGTGAGAGGCAAAACGGGAAACAAAATTCCAGACAGAGTAAATAATGGAAACAAAGGCCTGGAGGCAGGGGAACGTATGGTACTTTTACAGACCAGTCTGTTGTCTGATGTAGTTAGAAACAAGGGGAATATGGAGCCTGGGATGGCAGAAGGCGAGGCTGTGGGTGGAGGCTGGAGCTACATTGTACAGGACGTAAATATTAGACTTAAGATATACGCAGTTGCTTCAGAATTGTTCACATAATTTTACAAGGGGAATAAAATATTCATCCTATTCCAAAAGCAAGGTTGAAAAATAATATCCATCTTTTAGAGGCAACATCTTCAATATAGCTGAAGAAGCATTCTTGTTGTTTGAGAGGCTTGGAGGTAAAAGAGAATTGGAAGGTTTTAAAACCTATAGCAGGGATGGTAACACATAGAGGTGTATGTATTCTGGAAATAAATTCTGAATAAGGTGCATATCAACACACTGAAAAAACTGCTGACTTTCCTCTAGACCCCAGAAAGCACACAGAAGAATGCTCATGGTACAAGATGCCCCAAATTTCTGGAATGTAATTTATCTTCTAAATATAACAATTTCCTCATCAGTAAAAAGGGTTAATAAAGACACCTGTGTCATAGGTTGTTAGGAGGACTGAAGAGGATAATGTGTGTAGGGAGATGGTGAGGGTTCTATCAATGTCATGTCTTAAAATATTGCTATTATTCATTTTGCTTGGGTTTTTTTAATACTTATGTGTTTCTGAAGCTGCACTGAATTAATTTGTATAATGTTTTTGTTTTATTGCTAAATAAGCTCTACAACATTTGCAGATCGTACCACACTTTATGTTATGCACATATTTAAGTAACAGTAGAGAAAAATAACACTCAGAATGTATAATATCTTTTCCACTAAAAAGGACCTATGCCTATCACTTGGCCATAAACTCTAGGATGGTACTGATACATTTTAGTCATTTTTGTATCCCCAGTGCATTATAGACTTCCTAGTGCATAATACATTTTTGTGGAAAGAGAAAGGGGAAAAAAAAGAAGACTGGAAAAAGAAAGAAATTCATAGTCCATCTTAAAGTATGAAAATGCATGCTATTCTCATTTTTCATGGTAATGTAGAAACAAAAAAAGAGGAGTCTAAGCTGAAACTATACAAAAAGCAATCTTAATAAATAAAAAGGAGAAATTACAATTGTTCTGTAACTTGTAAACATCTTTGTCAAAACAAAAACCTCTCTTACTAGCATTTATGAATATATAAAGAAATAAAAAAGCAAAACTAATATTTATTTAGTACACTGTAATTAAAACATTAAACAATTGAGAAAGTGTTCTATTTGTAAATAAAACTTATCAAGACAGGACCTCCCCTTCTGGAAAGATGAAATAGATATTTTATATTCTTATTTTCCCACTAAGTGCAACTAAATTCTCTGTAAATTATATATATGAAACAAACATAAAGAGACTCTCCTAGGTGGAGAAAAGAAGACAAACCAGCTAGGGACCTTACTACCCAAGGAACATGGTGGTGAGCTCCTGGGTTTTCATGTTATCTCTTATATCCCACGTATACCCCAGACTGGGAGAAGGAGAAACCAGAGATTTGGAAATACCAATGGGCACAAACAATTAAAATCAGCAAGAAAAGCTGCTCTCTAGCCAAAGGATCAGGAAAGGGGCAACCTAGTAAGAAAGAAAGTTTTGAGACAGTAACGGTACTACTCTAGCTCAACATATCAGAAAAAAAAAAAATGAGACCTTCACCATTACTCATCAAAGGCCAAGTGTGAGCTTAGACTTCCAGGTTGGATGGCCCATACCAAGGGACTCTAATTCCCCAACTAGGGCTGAGTCAGAGAAGGCCAAGTAGGAGGCTGGGACTTTCATCTCACCCAGGAATAACAATGATCCCCTTCTCCTTACTGCTAGGATGATGTCAGAGGAGGGCTGATGGAGAATCAGAACTTTAACCCCCTCCCAGTAATAAAGAGGAGCCCACCCTCTTCAGGTGTCAATGGTGATTGAGTCTTCACTCATCTGTGGGAAGCTGGACTTCACAAGGCAGTAGCAAAACAGCAGACCTCTTTCCCTTGATGGAGGTGACAAAATCAAGCTAAACCAAAAAGTTTAAATAAGATCCAGCAACTCACAATGAAATACCCAAATGACAAAGTTTCAATCAAACTCATGTATCACATCAAAAACACGGGAGATCTAAAATTGAATGAAAAAGACAATCAACAGATGCTAATACCAAGATCACAGAGACGTTAGAATTATCGGAAAAGAATTTTAGAATTTTAAAGCAGCCATAATGAAATATTTCCAGGACAAACTACAAGAATGGTTGAAACAAATGAAAAAATAAAGTCTCCCCCACAAAATAAGGAATCTCAGTAAAATAATGGAAGACATGAAAGAGAACCAAATGGGCATTTTAGAACTGAAAAACACAATAACCAACATAGAAAAGTTAATGGATAATGGACAATGGCAGAATGAAGGGAACAGAACAAAGAAGCAGTGAACTTGAGGATGGAACAATACATGTTAATTACCCAATCTGGCCAGCAGAGAAAAATAAACTTCAGTTTATTCTCAAACGTCAGTGACTTGTGGGAGATAAAAGATCTAACATTTGTGTCATTGGAGAAAGAGTGGAAGGCTAAAAAGTACTCAAAGAAACAATTGCTGTAAGTTCCAAAATATGGCACAACACATAAATGAGATTAAGAAAACGCATAATTCCATGCATAATTAACCCAAGAAATCCACACCCAGATACGTCATAGTCAAACTTCTGAAAAGTAAAGATAATAAAACAGATGTTGAAAGCTACAACAAAGAAATGACACCTTACCTCTGGGGGAAAATGATTTAAACAGCAGAGGATTTCTCATCCAAAATCTTGGTGGTCAGAAGGAAGTAGCACATTTTTCAAATACTGAATAAAAAGAACTATCAACCCAGATTCCTACACCCGGAGAAAATATGCTTCAGAAATGAAGAGGAAATCAAGACAGTTTCAGATGAAGAAAAACCAAGATACTTTATCAACAGCAGACTTACCCTAAAATACTGGCTAAAGGAAGTTCTCTAAACAGAAAGAAAATAATTTGTTTTTTAAAAAAGGGAACTTGGAACATCAGAAAAGAAGAAAGAATGCAATAAGCAAAAAATGTGGATAAATAAATAGATTTTCCTTGTCTTCTTTTATCTTCTAAATTAGATCTCAACATGGAAAGCAAAAGTTGTAGTATTGTCTAACGTGGTTCTACTGTACGTGAAGAAAATATTTGTAAAGGGACGTAGTGAGTGGTAAGGTTTCAACTCTTCGCTTGAGCAGGTTAAGTGACTAAACCAGTGGACTGCAATAAGTTATGTATATATTTAGAGCAAGCACTAAAAAAGCTTCGCACAGAGAGACACTCAAAAACACTACAGATGTGTCATACTACAATTACAAAAACAAGTTCAAGTAACTCACAGCAAGACAGAAAAAAATCAGATATGCGAAAAAAACAGAACAATCAGAAAACAATAAATACAATGACAGACTTAAGTCTCAACACATTAAAGAGAAAAGCAAAAACTATGAACGACGTTACAGACATAAATTTAGCAACTTAGGTGAAATAGACCAATTCTTACAAAACACAGACTATTATAACTCCCCTAGTATAAAATGATCATTTTAATGGCCATAAGAGCTATTAATGAAATTAAATATTTAATTTAAAATTCCCCAAAACAGAAACATCTAGGCCAAAGTGATTTCACTGCAGAACTCTACCAAATATTAAAAGAAGATTTAACATCAATTATACACCATCTCCAAAAAATAAGAGAGGAGGAACATATTCAATTTGTTTTATTCAGTTAGCATTACTAATACCAAAACTAGGCAAAGATAGTGCCTAAAACAAACAAACAAAACACAAAAACAAAAGCTGGGGACCAATATCCCTCATAAATATAGATGCAAACATCATTAACAAAATATTAGCAAATAAAATTTAGCAATATATTAAAATAATTACATGCATTACCAAATGAAGTTTATTCGTGTTATGAAAGCCTGAATCAATAATAATAATAAAATCAATGTAACCCATTATATTTACAGGCGAAAGAAAAACCACATGATCATATCAACTGTTGGTGGGACTGTAAACTAGTTCAACCATTGTGGAAGTCGGTGTGGCGATTCCTCAGGGATCTAGAACTAGAAATACCATTTGACCCAGCCATCCCATTACTGGGTATATACCCAAAGGACTATAAATCATGCTGCTATAAAGACACATGCACACATATGTTTATCGCGGCATTATTCACAATAGCAAAGACTTGGAACCAACCCAAATGTCCAACAATGATAGACTGGATTAAGAAAATGTGGCACATATACACCATGGAATACTATGCAGCCATAAAAAATGATGAGTTCATGTCCTTTGTAGGGACATGGATGAAATTGGAAATCATCATTCTCAGTAAACTATCACAAGAACAAAAAACCAAACACCGCATATTCTCACTCATAGGTGGGAATTGAACAATGAGATCACATGGACACAGGAAGGGGAACATCACACTCTGGGGACTGTTGTGGGGTGGGGGGAGGGGGGGAGGGATAGCACTGGGAGATATACCTAATGCTAGATGACGAGTTAGTGGGTGCAGCACACCAGCATGGCACATGTATACATATGTAACTAACCTGCACATTGTGCACATGTGCCCTAAAACTTAGAGTATAATAATAATAATAAAAAAATTACCAAAAAGGCATTTGACAAAATTCAACTCCCATTCGTGATTCAAACTCAGAAAAACAGCAACAGAGTCAATCATCTTCATCTTGATAAACAACTTGATGTACAACAATCTATATGTAATATGATACCTAATGGTGAAAGACTAAATGGTTTTCTCCCAAGACTGGGAGCAATGCAAAGATGTCTGCTTTCATAATTCTCATTCAACATAGTGCTGGATATTCTAGTTGGTGCAATAAATCAAGAACTGGAAATAAAAGGCATGCAGACCAGAAAGAAAGAAAGAAACTATCCTTATTTAAAGATGATATTATTGTTGACATAGAAGATCCCAAATAATCTACAATCCACCTGCCAGAAGCAATAAGCAAGTTTAGAAAGGTTGCAATATATGATTTAAACATATATAAATCAATTGTATTTATATACACTAGAATGAACATCTGGACTCATAAATCCGTAAATTAAAATACAGCACCATTTACAATTGCTGAAAAAAAGTAAACACTTAGGTGTAAATCTAACAAAACATGGATAGGCTAGTATACCTTTATAGGTTTCGTCAGTATACAAAATGTTGATGAAAAAAATAAAATAAGACCTAAATAAATAGAGAGACATACTATATTCATGAATTGGAAGAGTCAACATAGAAAAAAGAATGCAGAGAAACTGGGTCATCAAATATTGCTGGTGGGAATGTAAAATGCCAGACAGTTTGAAGACAGTTTGGTAGTTTCTTAACAAGTTAAACCTACAGCTATTTTATGACGTAGCACTTGAACCCTCAGGAACTTATCCCTTAGAAGTGATGACTTATGTTCATACAAAACTAGTATACAAATGTTTATAGCAGCTTTATTGATAATAGTACCAAACTGAAAACAACCTAGGTGTTCTTCGGTGTATGAATGGTTAAATGAACTGTGGTACATTTATACCACGGAATACTATTCACCAGTAAAAAAGAACACACTATTGATACACACAGCAACCTGGATGACTTTCCATAGAATTATAAAGAAATCTAATTCAAAAGTTTACATACTATATAGCGTCATTTACAAAACATTCTTAACATGACAAAATTATGAAAATGCAAAACAGATTGGTAGATGCCACAGCTTAGAGAGGGGTGGGGCAGGAGGGAAGTAGGTATGACTATGACAGAGCAATATGTGGAATCTCTGTGCTGATGGAGGTGTTTTGTATTTTGACTGTATCAATGTCATTACACTGGTTGTGATTTTTGTATTACAGTTTTGAAAGGTGTTGCCTTTGAGGGAAACTGAGTAAATGATACAGGCATATTTCTATGTTATTTCATACAACTAAATGTGAATCTACAATGATATAAAAGTTTAATGAAAGCTCAGTAACCTAGAGTAGTCTGAACAGTCCTTACCTTCTGGCCTTCTTATTGTATAACTTGAGGAGGAGTTATGCAATGGAGGGATGGAGTGAGCATTGTTTTCTATGTCTTGGGAAATTGTCATGCTCCTTTTCATGTTTGAATCAACTTCCAAAATTTTATCCCTTGTGTTTTCAATGTCTCGAAATATTTATAAGAGTTTTCTTTTTAATGGAAAGTGGGGTTTTTTTGTGTGTTTTTTCTTTTTTTCGGCCATTATTACTTCCTCTGAGACATCTTTTTTCATTCTGACATCCTTTCTCACTGATGTCAGTGCTGTATTTTATGAATTCCTCTGCCTGCATATCCAGAGTCTCTTGAATGTCTGCAGTGTCAACATTCCTATTGTGAGCTATTTCTTCTATATCTCCATTTATATTCCAGTCAAATTTCACTTTGCACATGATTGGTTTTCATATCTTTACTGTACTTTCATTTTTGTTGGCCAATTCAATTCCCTCTTTCCATTATCCATTTTTGTAAAATGTCCCATGAGTTTATCGCTGAGAAAAGGAAGCAACCCAACTACACACTTTACTGTCTGTACGTGAAATAAACAACAGATAAGCAGGTTCAGCCATCCACAGAAGTTGAAAGAAGTGATGTGACTGGCCAATCATTATGATGTACATCTTTTCCTTATGTAGTGATTTGTGGACTGTAGAGTTAGCGGCAAAGTATTTACTTCATGCACTTATTCATGGTTCATATGCCATGGCAGCTGAAATTTTAGCTGTGTTGTTGGAGGACTGGCATCATTTAACTAAACTGTGGTAACTGAAACTCTTGCATATGACTCTTGCTAAATAGGGACTGCCTGTAATTTTCTTATGAAATTACTAAACCTATCTCCATAGAAGCCTGCATCAGAGGACAGATGTCTGGAGCCTGCAGACAAGGTATGTAGAAGTAATGAATCCACTGAAACCAAATGGAACACACAACTTGAAATCTTCTCCTGGCCTCCTACTTGACTTTTCTCACCCTGTAGTCTTGGTTTGTCTCTTCTGGGTACTGTCTTCATGGTCTACCTAGGCCTAATCCCCTTGAGGAACTTCTGGTTTAGAGGTATCATAGGGAAAGCTGGACTTTACCCTGGTGCCCTGAGGCCAGGGCCTCTTCCCTGCTGTAGGTCTCACTCCTCACCTGGAGTTAACTACAGCTCTCCTTAAAGGCCTGCAGTCAGGCCCAGTCTCCTAAAACTCAAGACTTGTCAGTTACAGTTCTGGACTTTAAAGCAGAGTGGTGCAGACAAAACCATACAACAAAGCCCAGGAGCCCTGATTTAGACACTCTGAAGGTAGATCGTCCTTCCAACAAGATTAATGGACAGCTTTCTGCTTACCACTTTCTTATCGCCTCTTATGATGAAAGGCACAAGGAGATAAATTGGAGAAAACTTTGCACAGACACTAGTTTACAAAGTCAAAATATTGAGATAGAAGCTGAGAGCTAATAAAAGAAAAACTAAATCACCATTTGTGATTTTTGGAAAACATTCTTTCGGTGGAGGCCTGTAACACTTCACCAATATAACAGACTAGATGTTAAGACCCATCTCCTTTTCCAGACACTGCCATTCAATACCCAGAGGAATTTGGTCACAACAGGTCTTCTTTAATATTCTGGTTCTTCTATTGGACTATAGGAATAATAGTCCCTGGTCACTTCCAAAGTAGTAGTCAATTTTAAATATGTGTATTATGCCATACATCTCTATACAAGTATTTCAGACCAAGAAACAAGGTTTATGTTTATAACACGCACTCTCTGAATATGCACCCATATTATCCAAATACTTATGATATTAAATATGAAATACCTCAGCTCTTCTAATTGAGAGTAAAGAAAATGTGATCATTTCTGCATACACATGACATGCTCATACAATAGCTCACACATATTAAAGATTCGATGAATTTGAGGGCATGAATGTGTGAATAAAGTTGCAATTCCTTTTTTCTGCTTAGCTTGAAGGAGGAGAAAGATAACTTTACATCATTTCAATCAGTAACAATAAACATATGTAAATTAGCTAACATGTATAAAGAATTTAACAGGAAACCTTGCACCTAGTGAGTCCTGGGTGGGTGGTATTTATCATTGATGATAGTTTCTTTGCTTTTGGAAGTGATTCTTCTCATTTTGTTCACCACTGCCTCTGAACACGTGATGCTCCCTTCCTCCCTCCCTTTGTTGGACCATTTTGACATATTAGAAACTCCTCATACCGTAATTCAACCTCTTCTGATATTTTCAGCATTCAGTCATTTCCATGGCATAGACATTCAATGTTAATGTGTCACACCAGCTGACTGATGACAGAAATGACGGCAAAGAAGGAATCCTTGGAAAACTTTAAGGTAATTGATGCTTCTGTAGGAAGGGAATGAAAATAGAAAGTAGCTAATATTTCAAACTCTTGGAAGTGGAAATTACATTGAATTATGCCAATCATGTAATGAATAAAGTATGAAAATGACTTAGTGATGAATGAAAATGCTGTAATATTCTTCTAGTAATTTACAGAGCTGATGGCTTCCTCTGCATTATTCTGTCAAGCCTCGATGTACAGGATATAAAAAGCAATCTAGTCTGGGAGGAGTGTTGGTGGTGGGGTATCATATTATATATATATATATCTTTTTTTATGTATATATATTTTATATATGTGTGTGTGTCATAACGTGTGTATATATATATATATATATATATATGATACCTATATGAGTGTACTTTTATAATGCCTTCAAAAGACATTTGATTGTGACATAGCACTCAAAGTGACAGGGGTTGCTCTCTCAAGTTTTGTCTAAATGACTGGTACAACTAATCAAGGATTTTCATTTTTAATGGGTATAATCAATTGTAGATGTCTTCAGCTGATGCCAAGGACTTATTGGCAAGTCACACTGCACTATGAGCTTCAGGTCTGGTATTTCCTTTATATATCAAAATGCTTGAGATGTACACGAAGAAACAGAGTCGTTGAACAGTTTTCCTAAGATCATTCAGCAAGTGATTTCACTTCAGGTTTAAGTTTCTGAATTGACTCTACTTAAATTATTGTACTCTTAATCTGTACAAAATATTGCTTTACATAAGCCCTAATGCTCAGCCCAAATAAATAATGAGCACTAAAGTTTTGACGGTATCACAAATAAATTATTGTTTCATAATGATTAAAATTTTAAATTGAAATTCAAAAACTATGTAGAGACAGGGACTGTTTCTCTGTAGTGTTTAAATTCTCAAGTCATCAACCTTGGTTATAATTATATTATCTTTTAATCATTGACAATTGAAGAATTTTTTTTATGATAAGATGTACCTCTTACCTCCTCCAAGTTTGAAATGATTATCCTTATATCTAACCCCTATAACATTCTCTGTATATTCTCTTAATGGCATTTATATTATTCATACCTTAAATTATGATAATTCATGTTGAGATATTATCTTCCTTCTGGACCTTACACTACCTAATGTTCCTTAATATACAACTTTATATCCCTCTTAGAGTCAATTTCAAGCCATCCTAATAGTAGGATGGCCAAGAGAGAATGAATAAACAAAAATTTGTTCTGCACATGTATCCCAGAACCTAAAGTAAAATTTAAAAAAATTCTTTTGTGTTTTTTCCAATTGTGCTTTAATTATAATTTATCAAAGCAATAACTCTCACAAAATTTTATCTAAGGCTTTAACCTGGATAACAAAGAAAGGTCTTCAACAAATGGAAAGATAACAATAAAAAATTGCATCCTGTAGGACTTTCTTTTCAGAGAAGTAATTATTGAAATATATTTTTGAGCTAAGGATTCTAATTTATTAATATTCCATGTTTGTCTTAAACTAACTCAAGGCACTGTACAAATCACTCCCCACCTGGTTAAGTCCCTAAATGTTACTTAAACTGGGTTCGGTTTCTGAAAGAAGTAAAGTATTTATTTAACAATTTTCTACATAAGAAATAAAATTGAAAATATGTTAAAACCTATCCAAAACTGGTGATGTTACATATAGCTTACAAACACTTAAGGATGACAGATTTAAACGTAAAAAGATCTTCCTTCTCATTTGAACATTACTAATCTCATGGAACCTTTGTGTCATGTGATATTCCCAAATTTGAAGTTGTCTTCAGATGGATATACTCAGTGTTGTATTTCTGAGCACTGATAAAGTAGAATCCATATTTGTTATAGAAGGAATTAAGACTAAATCTTTTGAACTTTGGAAAATCCACCTGGGAGAGACCTGAGGGAAATAAAACTGGATGGATTCCTATTGGAATAACGTTTTGTAATCATCAGAATGTGGTCAAGAATGGTCCCTAGGCAGCCATCATATGGCCATGAGGGTCTCTCTGCCTACACACATTGGGTCTGAAGTTCTGTTAGAAAATACTGGGAGGTGTTCTTTCCCATACTTAGCAAACTCTAATTTAGGTGGTACTTAGTTATATGGAGGGTCGCAAAAATTGGAAACCACCGTTTTGAGGTAGAAGACCCAACACTTACAGTGATTTTCTAGTAGACTCTCACTGACACAATCTTCCCTTTGTAAATCAAATTCTTAAGGAAAATGACTCAAGCTTGCCAAATTCCATTTGATAAAGTACTTCTCACCACGTTCGTCTCAGAGTGTTCCTTCAAAGAAAGATACCCCCAAATGATTCTTCGATTAATAGAAGCTTATTAGCACACTATATTTCTAGAGTCAAACTTCCTGAATTTGAAACCCAACTCTCATAATTTTAACCATGTGTCCATGGACAAATTTCCCCACTGTAAAATGTGGATAACAATAATATTCATCTCATGAGATTTCCGCAAAGAATAAATTAGATAATATGCGTAGAGGACTTAGAACAGTGCTAGGCATGAATGATACTCTCAAGAAATGTTAGCTACATTCACGTCGCCATAAAATTAAACTTGACAAACACTGCATACGATAACCATGTAAACATATTAAAGGCTCTGAAAAGTCCTTAATTAAATTAATTTTTTAACTCAGCATAGCCCAAACTCAAATAGTAAATAATCTAATGACTTACTGAACTATTTTTCAACAGAATATTGTAGTAAAAACTATTCCAACATTTTTTGCTGGTGCCAAAACCAAGTTCATTATGAGATCAATATAATCATTATTCCTAAGAAACATAACCACATAACCATCATCTCAAAAAAGAAGCCACTCTCACTTTAAACGTATAATGGTTTTATCACTTTGGAAGAGAACTGTGTGGCAAAATCTACAAATTACAGGACAAGCTGCATGAACTGAGACAGGTATGTCCCCCAAAATGAATTTTGAAGCACCCTTCAGAAACCAATCAAATGCCAATTCAAGTGTCCTCTGTCACTGAACACGTGAATGATCCATTAGTTTGCACTTTTGCTCTAATAAATTACTTATTTATATGTTACACTAATAAATTACTTATTTACATGTTACAGAGAACAGGCTGATGGCCCTGCATTCAGCAATAAAACAAGGGAAGACCCAGACTTTTAGCTATTGCCTAGGAAAGGTAGTCGGCCTCTAAGAACAAACGCAAGAATAACAGCTGCCTTTAATTGAACATTCAGTAGTTCTAGGCATCTCATGTTCTTTCTAGTCTCACAGAAATCTTCAGGGTGGGCATTATAATCTCCATTTTACATGGAAAGTAATTAAAGCTAAAGAAACAATTGAATTACACAGCTAGGAATCCAGTAACAGCTAAGCTTGTATTTAGACCCAGGTCTGTGAGACGGCAAAACTAGTGCTCATTCTTCTATATTACACTGACTATCCATAAAACGAGTTTAAATTGTTCCTTTCTGACATTTTAATTTTTATAGAACTATCTCTTTCTTTTTCCTATAAGAATGAGTCATGTAATTTTTTAAAGAAAAGGAATTGTATGCTTTGGGGGCAAGATTCTGAGGAAGTAAATTCCTGTGGACAGGTGTCCTCTTCTTAAGCTAATCTTGAGTGAGAGTGTTTAGAAACACAGAAAATACTGTTGTGGCAGCTTTTAAATGCTAACTAGATATGGTTAATTTTAGAAGGCTGTAGTGGGGGCTAAAAAAGTGGACAATCAGATTTTGGAACCTGACAGTTGGCCTGAGGCCTTATATTGTAGGAGGTTTTATTTCTCCAATAAACCCAATTCTCCCTGGCAAATTCCTTCCTTAAGTTAGATGGTTGGGCCCTAATATTTTTGCCGCTGCAGAAACTCAACTTATATAAGCTAATGGAAAAATTGGATAAGCCATATGAAATTCCACATCACCACCAATATCCTAAGAAATGCATCTGTTTCTAAAGATAGTTGAAGGGCAGCTGTTGAGTGGAGAAAACTAACCTTTGATTATGCATTATCAAAGACTGACTTAGAGAAATGAATAAACTTGACAGCAGTCAACTTTAAGGCTAACCTTGCATTGTACTAAGACAAATAACAAGAGAAATGGAAAAGGGCTTTTGTGACTTCTGTTTCTGAATAACATTAACAGACAAACTTAAATTACATATTTGCCCAGGATAGACTGGTAGGATCTACAGGCTACATGCACCTGAAGATTTACAGATCAATCAGGGTGATCATCATTAATATAGTGCCCATGGGGAGAGGATCAATATTCTGGCTCTCATATTTGATGTAATTTATGCTAATGGCTGTCAGTGGACTTGCTTAATAATTGGACTATAACATTAATGAACTGTTATTGATTTACTGTGATACCTGAGGCTATAAAATTATAATTTACGAATAGTTATTGAGTAAAGGATGGAGTCAGAAATTATATACTGATAGTGGCCCAAAGTGCATACGTAATATGAAGATGTAATAATAATATGGAGATAATCTAAATAAAGAAACTAAGGAGATGTAGCAAGTTGGAAACATGGAAATCCATCAACTTTAAGGGAACACCACAGCTCTATTTAGATAGAGACTGATACCCCCAGGGAAAAAGATGAATATCTTGAGATTGCCTAAAACTGGCATCCCAGGACTAGAGTAGTTCAGTGGGCAATGGAGGCAGTTAGACAAGGTCTTGGAGTGCTTGGTTGTGTGTGCTGCCATTTGCAATGGCAGTTTCATCTTGAGGTTGGCTGTCCTCATGAGAGTAAGATGATTTTCAGCAGGAATTGGGTTTGTAAACTTGTTTCACATGTAGTAAGAGAGAATATGTCACTTCCCGCAGTCTTTAAATGGAAGCCCTGAACTTGCTGATTGGCTCACTTGTGATTATTCCCTGGGCCCAGCGGAATAACATGTACTGAAGAAAACTTAGGCTTGGGTTACCTGAACCAATGATGATTACAAAGGGGTGCTACTATGTTGACAAATTTTGACAAATCAAATTTCACCCTTGTGGAAGTGGGTTTAACCTCATCAACAACATATGGCTATGGGCTGTCGATTTCAAAAACTATATTTTATAATGGTAAAAACATCATCTCTTTTTATTCTCTAAAACTCAAATATATTTGATAGAAACATAAAGAAGGGAGTAGTGAGATGGGAGATATTGACTGTATAGGAGTAATTAACATCTGAAGGATAGTTTCCATTACATGACAGATGAGTAAGAATGCTATTTCTCCCAACAATGTTAAATTCATACATTCATACACACTTGCATACATACACACAAACATACATACACGTGGAAGTTTAAGTATGTTCAGATATCTCAAATATCTTAATTGATATTTTTTAAGAACTTCTGTGTCCCCCAGTTGATATGATGATTTATTAGTGAATAACCTCATCGGTTTAAAAAAAAGATATGAATAGCCTACATTTCTGGGAATAATCACTTGAATAAAAGAGAGATATCCACTCAAATTAATTTACAAATGTAACCTAGTATAACTTAGTTACATTCCACAGGAGACATTTAGGGAGGTTTTCCCTTACAGCCCATATTAGTAAACACACGAATGTGACTGTATCATGATTAGCTTTTCCCTACGTATTTCAATTTGTGATATGGGATTCGAGAACAGATAGAAAAAATGATTAATTTCTTCTTAAATTTTTATCAAACTCTCAATATATGGTCCCTAGGTCAAGCTGTCATATGATTAAGTTGGTAAAATTGGGAGTTCATGGAGGCTATAGTAGAGCCAGATCTTTCCCAATTCTGGAAGTAATCATCTAAAAACAAACTTCTCAGAATAGTATAGTACATCTATCCCCTGGGATTAGCCAACCAATCTCAACTGAATATACTGAGAATGAAATCAGCACTTATTAAGTGTTAACAAGTGGGGATTAAGCCATTTTGCTCTTTGGTTAAATAAAGATTGTGTAGAATGTAAAAACAAAAAACAAAAAGCAAATACTAGCAAAGTGAGGCGACAACCCTAGTAGAATTCCTAGTGAGCTACAAAGAATCTTAAAATAATTGTGTTACACAACCAATTTTGATCTCTCTTTTATTTTACCGAAGATCTTTAGCTTAGCTATTAGGATGAATAATGAATGCTCTATTTCTGTATTTATTTATTAAATATATGTTTTAAGGAACTATACCAGATATTGGGGGAGAGGTATAAACAAATTATTTGATTACATAGAATTTAGAGTTTACTGGAGGAGACAATTCTTAAACAAGATCACTAGCCAGTTAACCAATTGCAATGGGTAGTGTTAAAGGAAAGCTGAAAGTATTGTAAGTCAGTATGGCATAAAAATACAGTTTAGACTGAGGGCAGGAAGAAGAAGAAGAACTCTTAGAAAGAGTGAAATTTAAGCTGAATAAAAAAGAATAATGAATAAATAATAACAATTCAAGGTTAGAATTCAGGTGAAATGCAATCCATGAAAATAAAATGGCACAATTATTTTAACAGTTTTCAAAACATCGAATACTCCAAAAGTGACCAACTAAATATATTTAGTATCATTGTGAATTCATGGAGTTAAACATATGTGCTTCAATCCATTAAAGTTTTTACCTTTTCAGCTCATAAATCAAGAAGAAATGATAGAATTGGAATATTATCCGGCAACTCTTAATTAATTAATGGATAGTGGCATTGATTAGCAATGTCTGCTAATAGCACAAATGGAGATAACCAGACATCACAGGTCTCCTATGAAGTATTCTTGCCAAAAAGTCAACCTAAATATAGATTCAAATGGCAAGTTACACAAAATACAGGAGACAGAATAAAATATTAAAGGACAGGATAGGGATGCAATCAGCCAAATCTACAGTATGGAAACCTCTACAGGATAAACGATCTGGTTTCTTAAGCAAATAGATTTCAAAGAAAAACAAAGAGAGATGCAAAGGAAGCTGATAGTTAAAAGAATCACAACCCATGGAACTTATTTAGATCAAGATTCAAACAATCTTAAAACACAAAATAAATTTTATGATGACATTTAAAAGACGATTGGATATTTGATAATATTAAAATTATTGTTAATTGTTAAAAAATAATAAAATTGCATGTCCAAAGGTCCTTAAATGGGAAAGAGAATGGGAACAATTTAATCAAGGGCATGGCATAATTTAGACAAGGTGATTTTTTTCTTGATTTATTATCCTATGATGATCTCTCTCCACTTTATTTCAGAAGTCATACCAACCTGTATTCAGGAATCCCATACATGCTAAATAACAGATCGGGTATTTTAAGTTAAAAAAAAAAAGAATTCACTTGCAAAGTCTGGAATGTTGTAGTTAGACTAGAGGAGAAAAATAAGAAGCTATTCTGATGAACTTGTAATACAAAGTTTTACTTGTGATGAATTTTCAATTTGTATGGAATATACCTTTAAAATATTTCCATTAGTATAGCCAATATGGATAAGAATAGGGGTTCCTCAAAAAATTAAAAATAGAACTACTGTATGATCTAGCAATCCCACTACGGGTATATATACAAAGGAAATGAGATCAGTATGTTAAAGAGATAGCTGCACTCCTATGTTTATTTCCACATCATTCCCAATATCATGGTATAGAATCAACCTAAGTGTCCATCAGTGGATAAATGCATAGAGATGATGTGGTATATATTCATTGTGGAATACTATTTAGCCATAAGAAATAAGACAATCCTGTCATTTGTGATAACCTGTATGACCCTGGAGAACATTATGTTAAATGAGATAAGCAAGGCATAGAAAGACAAGTACCACATTATCTCACTCATACGTGGAATCTAAAAAGGGTGATCTCATAGAAGTAGAGAGCAGGATGGTGGTTACCAGAAGGTGGAGTAGAGGGGAGGGAGGGTTGGGAACATGTTGGTCAAAGAATACATAATTACAGTCAAATAGAAGGAATAAGGTCAAGAGCTCTATTGTGCAGCAGGGTGCCTGTAGGGAATGACGACATATTGTACTCTTGAAAAACACAAAAATGGTGGATGTTGTGTCCTCACCACAGAAACAGTAACTATGCGAGGTCATGTATTTGTTAATTAGCTATATTTAACCACTCTGCAATGCATATAGACTTCAAAACATCATTTTGTACACAATAAATACATACAATTTCATCTACCAACTTAAAAAAGTTTCTAATTCTGTCTATTGAAAATACCCAGAATCAGAGTCAAATCAGTAGCAAAACTCATAACACTGGGAGCATGGCCTCTGCCATTTCTGATAAAAGGAACTGGGGAGCTTTAAAGAAATAGCTGGGGTAGAGAAATTACGAGATAGGCCTGGAGAATATGCTTAAATCAGAAACCAAGGAAATTATTGAAACTACTAAGGTATGTTAAAGAACTCAGCATCTAATGTAAAGAGATTTCCTATGGCCCAAGATGAGAATTTGAGCACAAATAAGAATAATTGCAATTACTGAAATACATCAGGTATTTTACAATTCTTAAGTTCAAAATAATAAAAACGAGAGAATTTTTTTTCTCATTTTGGAGAGGAATGATAGTGAACCAACTTATTTCAAAACTGGTAAAGAAAACATGAGTTGGGACAAATTAGGGGACTTAATCAAACATTTAACCCATCCTACTTATATGAACTATATGCTAGGGTAGCCAGATACTTAATTAGAGGATGTTTTCTTCATAG
This sequence comes from Homo sapiens, assembly GCF_000001405.40. Lineage (NCBI taxonomy): Eukaryota > Metazoa > Chordata > Mammalia > Primates > Hominidae > Homo > Homo sapiens. Next base: position 6,134,181 of record NC_000003.12, on the reverse strand, counting down.
ATTGGAGTAATTTAGGCAGCTAGAGCTTTAATGTAAACAGTATACTACCATATATGGTAATAATAATTGCACCCAAGAATTAATGAGTGCTTTACTAGGTACAGGGCACTGTACTAAACATGATGTGTATGTCATGTGCTTCAGACCCTATCACAAACTGTAGGTTAAAACCATTATAAAAGTGAGAAAACTGTCATTTAGAGAATGTGTCCCATACATCCGTGAAATACTTGAATTGTGAATTAAATCATTCAACCCAGGTTATCTTACTCAGTGGCCTGCCTTTTTAACTATCTTGAATACCTATGATTGAAACAAGTCAAGAAAGTTAGGAAAGAAGGAGAAGGAGTGCCTATCCCTCTCTTTGGGGATAAAGAGAGGTTTTCAGGAAGAAGTGATGCCTAAGCTAAGATATAATGGATAGTTGTATTTATTCACAAAGGAGTGAGGGAGAACATAGAAAGAGCATTCTACACAGAAGGAACATCTAGAATGAAGGCCTGCTAGCTTGAGAAAAGATGACGTATCAGTCAGTTACTGTTATGCAACAAACCACCCCAGACATCAGTGGTACTTAGCTTTTTGCATATGTGGGGTTCATCTAATCGATGTTATGCAATGCTGGTATTGGCTGGGACCGGTCATGTGTCTGTGGGTCTCTGCTCCGTGTATCTCTCATCATTCACCTGGTACAAGGCCTTTCTCTTAGCAATGGCTGAAGAATAGGCGGGAATATAGAAGCAAGACAGTGCTTGAGAACTAGAGAGAAAAGCAGTGCGCCATCACTTCTGCATCGGTCTGTTGGCCAAAGTTATCAGCGGATTGAATGCAGTGGTAGAGAATTACACTAAAACCAGAGAAGGCACTGCAGTTTCATTGAGAGGGTGTAGATAAGCGAAAGGGTGAATAGTCAGGGCAATCACGAATGCAAATATAATGCACACAGCTAGGAACTGAAAGTGGACATAATAGCTGCCACTAGAGATGCTGGGGAGCTTACAAGCAAAACAACTGTAGAATTTAGCCCAAAGTCTATGTTAGTGATGTTTGTAGGGAAATGCAAGATGGTAATATTAATGCCACTACACTGGAGCAGTTTCCTCTTTGCAATATCCAGGGTCCTTCTTTTCCCTCTCATCTTGTAATGGTCGTCCTGAAAGTTTATTTCTCAAATTTGTAAATTCTCTAGAAACCAAGGTGTCCCTGAGGCCACTGCACCACCAATGCACTTGACTGTGTACTGCTAATCAGCGTCTCTGTTCTTCTACTTTTACTAAATGACTCTCAATGTGTACCAAAGTGATGGGAAGAGGAAACAGCATTTTCTGTTTCAATGGTGTGCACGCTATCCTCTAATTCAGAAACTTTCAGCCTCTTGTCACAGAGCCAGTTCTCCTGACCACACACCTTGGTTTGAAAATCACAACATATGGCCTGTTTCTAATCACTTCAGTTAGGGAAGGTGCTCTTTGATTTTATCTAAATTACAGTGCCCAAAGTGTAATGAATTTGCTCTCCCTTTCCAGTTGTCACAGGGAAAACCAGCTTAGAGAGTATGGGAGAGGTTTAAAGCTTAGAATGAGAAAGATTCAGTCAAGTGTCATTTTCAGAGGGAAAATACATTTTTCCTTAGTCACAGTCAGGCTTTCAATTCTGGAAATTCTAAAAGTATTTCCATGTAAGACACTTAATTACATTATTATTATTATTATTTATTGTTTGCCCTAATGATTTCAAAATATCCAGAGATGAATGGAATTCCTTTTTCAGAAATCACAATAAACACCTAAAATCTTTCCATCGTTTTAATTCAAGCTGATTCTGTGATATTCTATCATTATTTGTGACTTGAGGGCGGAGAAAATGTCTCTGAGGCAAAAATTGTTTTTTAACCAAAAATTATTTCATGTTATTGTTTGTGAGAGCAAGAGAGTATAGACACATAGGATTGGATTTAAGAACTGGTTTCTTATGGGCTACGGAGCCATGGACAGACAGGTTAGAATCTTAATATACATATTAATAAGTGAAAAAAGCCAATCTGAAAAGACTACATACTATGTGATTCCAACTTTGTGATATCCTGGAAAAGGCAAAACTATGGAGCCAGTAAGAGGACCAGTGGTCACCAGAGATTGGTTAAGCACAAAGGAATTTTTGGGCAGTGAAAATACTCTATATGATACCATAATGGTGGATACAGGTCATTATACATATGTCAAAACCCATAAAATGTGCAACACCAAGAGTGAATCCTAGTATCATCTATGGACTTTTGGTGATACTGATGTATTAATACATGTTTATCAATTGTAACAAATGTACCCACTCTAGTGGGGGATGTTGATAGTTGGGGAGACTGTGCAGTGGTGGGGGAAGGAGATATATGGAAAATCTTGGTACTTTATTCTCAGTTATGCTGTGAACCTAAAACTATTCTTAAAAAAATTAAGTCTTGAAAATGGTTACTTTGAAGTTACATAAAAATTCGTGAAAATATATGCAAATACAAATAATAAGAAAAGAAAAAAATAGTATCAGACATTTTCAAGTAAATAACTCAAACAATACTAAAATATAATGTAAAGTGAAACCTGAATAAAACTTAAATCCTCATCTTTTTGTGAAATTTATTTGGACCGATTTTCTTGACTAATAACCAATACTTTACACAGAATATATCAGTTTATTTAAATGTGCTTCTTTTCACTTTTTTTCATCTCAAGACACTTTAATCTACCCATTCCCCTTTAAAGTTTGATATGCCTTCTGGCCGGGCATGGTGGCTCACGCCTGTAATCCCAGCATTTTGGGAGGCGGTGGCAGGTGGATCATTTGAGGTCAGGAGCTCAAGACCAGCCTGGCCAACATGGCGAAACCCTGTCTTTACTGAAAACAAAACAAAACAAAACAAAAATTAGCCGGGTGTGGTGGCGCATGCTTCAGTCCCAACTACTCAAGAGGTTGAGGCCGGAGAATCGCTTGAACCCAGGAGGCAGAGGTTGCAGTGAGCTGAGATTGCACCACTGCACTCCAGAAAAAAGACTCCGTTTCAAAAAATGAAATGAAATGAAATAAAATAAAATAAAATAATATAAAATAAAAAAAGCTTGATATGCCTTTGAAAATCTCTTTTGATCTTCAGATACTTCCTCTAGCCCTTTAATTTCCTTATAATTTACCTGTTGAATAATGTCAGTAGTTTAGCCAATCTATCTTCTCGGTTGGGATCTTGCTGACTGCCCAATCATGGTGCAGAGCAACATGTTCCCCCGTCCTCTGCATTTCTTGCAAATTGGCAGATGAATCAAGGGACTTGGTCAGAATCAGGTTCAATTTCTTTGGCAAGATTGATTATAGGTGGTCATTGTGGAAAACAGCTTGGCAGTTCCTCAATGAAGTTAAATATAGAGTTTTCATATGACTCCATTAATTCACTTCTAGGCATATACTCAAGAAAATTGAAAACGTCCAAATGTACATCCACATATATGTACATTTTGTAGAAAATATACATAGCAGCATTATTCATAATATTCAAAAAAAGTGAAAAAACTCAAATATCTATCAACTGATGAATGGCTAAACAAACAAAAGTGGCATATCCTTACAGTAGAATATGTTCAGCCACAAAAAGTGAAGTCCTGATCCATGCCACAACATGGATAATTTACGCTAAGTGAAAGAAGCCAGTCACCAAGGTCACAAGTTTGTGTGGTTCCAATTAAATGAAATATCCAGAATAGGCAAATCTCTAGAAACAGAATACAGATTCGCGGTTGCTGGGGTCAGGGGTGGAGACTGAGAGGGGCTGCTGATGGAAAACAGGTTTCTCCTTGGGGGGTGAAAATATTCTGGAATGAGATGACGGTTCACAACTTCATGAACACACTAAATACTAAATGCATCCAAAAGGTGAATTTTGGGTATGTGAATCATAGCTCAACTTAAAAAAAAGATGGTGTCACAGCAAGTGCCTAATGCCTTAAAGTCTTTTTAATGATTTTAGTGCGTTTTGATGCTTGAAATCTGGAACCATTAATTCATTGGGGATTGCAAAGTGGTGATATTTTTAAAATAAATTTTTAAAATAAATTTTTATTTTTATTTTTTTAAATAAAATTTTTTTAAAAATAAATATTTTAAAAAATAAATATTTATTTTTATTTTTAAATTATCAATTTTTAAAATAAATAATTGAGATTCTATCATCCTTCAAAAAAAACCAGTTAGTATATGTGTGAACCACACACACACACACACACACACACACACACACACACACAATTATTAATCCACAAATGGAAACCTGCTTAATAGATTGTAATCTGTTGCAAGTATTATCCTTTTTAAAGTTCATATGATCTCATCTTTGGCCAGTGGGAACCTCTACAAATAGGCTCCTAAGTTCATTTGACATAGCCATAGTAGTTTTTATTTTATATAGCTTCCTCATTCATTTTGTACATTTTCTGTGTTAAAACTGGAATCAGCCATTTCCCCAATAATTCTTGATTTCTTGCAGCAGGAAATGGTATTAAAAAAAAAACACAGTCTCTTGAGAACGGGCCATGATGACAATGGCGGTTTTGTGGAATAGAAAAGGGGGAAAGGTGGAGAAAAGATTGCGAAATCGGATGGTTGCTGTGTCTGTGTAGAAAGTAGTAGACATGGGAGACTTTTCATTTTGTCCTGTACTAAGAAAAATTCTTCTGCCTTGGGATCCTGTTGATCTATGACCTTACCCCCAACCCTGTGCTCTCTAAAACATGTGCTGTGTCCACTCAGGGTTAAATGGATTAAGGGCGGTGCAAGATGTGCTTTGTTAAACAGATGCTTGAAGGCAGCATGCTCCTTAAGAGTCATCACCACTCCCTAATCTCAAGTACCCAGGGACACAAACACTGCGGAAGGCCGCAGGGTCCTCTGCTTAGGAAAACCAGAGACCTTTCTTCACGTGTTTATCTGCTGACCTTCCCTCCACTATTATCCTGTGACCCTGCCAAATCCCCCTCTCCGAGAAACACCCAAGAATGATCAATAAATACTAAAAACAAACAAACAACAAAAAAAAACCACAGTCTGAAGTCTTAAAATGCTCAGAGTCACTGGGTTGGTTGAGGTTTCAGAACTCTTTCAGGATATATATATGCGTATATATATAGAGAGAGAGAAAGAGAGTACATATCTTTATCTTTGTATATAATACATATCTGTGGTGTGTGTATGTATATATAGGTCTATGTGCGTATACATACACATACATTTTCCTAATATCTTCCTATATAATACATACCTGTGGTGTGTGTGTATATATATGTGTGTATGTGTGATATGTGTATATATCAGCGCTCTGTGTCTAGCTAAAGGATTGTAAATGCACCAGTCAGCACTCTGTAAAATTGACCAATCAGCACTCTGTAAAATGGACCAATCAGCAGGATGTGGGAGGGGCCAAATAAGGGAATAAAAGCTGGCCACCCAAGCCAGCAGCGGCAACCCGCTCGAGTCCCCTTCCACACTGTAGAAGCTTTGTTCTTTTGCTCTTCACAGTGAATCTTGCTGCTGCTCACTCTTTGGGTCTGCACCACCTTTAAGAGCTGTAAAACTTGCCACTAAGGTCTGTGGCTTCATTCTTGAAGTCAGCGAGACCACGAACCCACCAGAAGTATATATATCCTACATAACACAGGTACGTGTTATATAGGAAGATAAAGATATGTACTCTTATAATATACTTTAACTATATATAATTGATATATATGACCTATACTCAAATATTAAATTTAAAATACATCTTGAGTTCACTTAATATTTCTATTTATTTTTTCAGTTTTCTTCTTTTGTTGAGATAGGGTCTCCTTCTGTCACATAAGCTGGAGTGCAGTGGCTCGGGCATAGCTCCCTGCAGCCTTGAACTCCTGGGCTCAAGCAGTCCTACCCACTCAGCCTCCTAAGAAGCTAGGACGACCGGTGCATGCCACAGTGCCTGGCTAATTTTTAAAATTTTTTTGTAGAGACAGAGTCTTGCTCTGCTGCCCAGGCCAGCCTTGAACTCCTGACCTCAAGCTGTTCTCCCCCATCAACCTCCCGAAGTGTTGGGATTACAGGTGTGAGCCACCATGCCCAGCTCTAATATTGCTATTTAAAACACAAGGCTACAGGATTTAACTCTGCCTCTTGTATCTCACATATGTGTCTCCTTTTTTATACATCTGCAATGTGAAATATGCTTTACTTGGACACAGACAATGGTAGAAGTAAAATATCTAATACTCATTTACTTTTTTCTAAATTATACTCAGAACCATTTCAGAATAATATACTAATAGTGCTGCCATCAATCAAATTCCTAAGAAAAAACAAAACATTTTGGATCTGCATCCTCCAATCTCTTCCTCATCCATTTGTGGTTATGTCATATATATCATATCATATATATATATATATATATATATATATATATATATATATATATATGGTCTGAACATGCAGCCCCTTCACTGATGACTTTAAACAAACAGGAAAATGTAGAAAAATTGTGAATTATATTATGTATTCATACATCATATATTTCCTTAATGTCTTTTTACTCATTATTAAACATCATGCTCCACTTATAATCTGCTGGTGGACAAGTGTATCTGGTATTGAGAGGTGAAGCCAGCTGGGCTTCTGGGTTGGGTGGGGTCTTGGAGAAGTTTTCTGTCTAGCTAGAGGATTGTAAATGCACCAATCAGCGCTCTGTGTCTAGCTAAAGGATTGTAAATGCACCAATCAGCACTCTGTAAAAATGCACCAATCAGCACACTGTGTCTAGCTAAAGGACTGCAAACGCACCAGTCAGTGTTCTGTGTCTAGCTAAAGGATTGTAAATGCACCAATCAGCACTCTGTAAAAACGCAGCAATCCGCGCTCTGTGTCTAGCTAAAGGATTGTAAATGCACCAATCATTACTCTGTAAAACGGACCAATCAGCACTCTGTAAAATGGACCAATCAGCAGGATGTGGGAGGGGCCAAATAAGGGAATAAAAGCTGGCCACCCAAGCCAGCAGCGGCAACCCGCTCAAGTCCCCTTCCACACTGTGGAAACTTTGTTCTTTTGCTCTTCACAATGAATCTTGCTGCTGCTCACTCTTTGGGTCCACATCACCTTTAAGAGCTGTAACACTCACCATGAAGGTCTGTGGCTTCATTCTTGAAGTCAGCAAGACCATGAACCCACCAGCAGGAAGAGAAACTACAGACATATCTGAACATCTGAAGGAACAAACTCCAGACACACCATCTTTAAGAGCTGTAACACTCACCACGAGGGTCCGCAGCTTCATTCTTAAAGTCAGTGAGACCAACAGCCCACTGGAAGGAATAAATTCTGGACACAGTATGTTTTATCATCTGTAGGAAAGATGTTTTACATCTTAATATCTTTGTTTCTTATGATAACTTTGTATGGCATTTGACCTCAAAATAATATTCTGTGAAATATTTTTATGTGAATGAGTTGTCCTGAACTTTGGAAGGGGTCATATCTCAGAGTATCATTTAAAAAATTTTTTTTGGTAATCGACGCACAATAACTTGTACATATTTTGGGATAAGAGTGATGTTGTGGTATATATAATGTATAGTGATCAAACCAGGATAATTAGCATATCCATCATCTCAAATGTTTATCATTTCTTTGTGTGGGGAACAGTCTATGTTCTCCTCCTAGCTGTTTGAAACTATGTATTATTGTTAACTATAGTCCTCCTACAGTGCTATAGAACCCTGGAACTTATTTCTCCTGTCTAGTACTTTTGTAATTCTTTAGCAAACCTCTCCCTAGTCCCCTTCCCTTTCCCCTTTCCGGCCTCTAGTATTCTCTGTTCTACTTATTTGTTCTATGAAATCAATGTTTTTTAGCTTCCACATATGAGTGAGAACATCCAGGGTTTAACTCTCTGTTCCTAACTTATTTCATTTAGCATAATGTCCCTCAGTTGTATTCATGTTGCCGTGAATGACAGAATTTCATTTTTTAAGGTTGAATAGTATTCCATTGTGTATATTAATATACACCACATTTTCTTTATCCATTCATCTGTTGTCAGATACTTAAGTTGATTCTATATCTTGGCTATTGTGACTACTGCTGCAATAAACATGGAGGTATTGTGACTACTGCTGTAATAAATATGGAGGTGTATCTTTTTGATATACTGATTTCCTTTCCTTTAGACAAAAGCCCAGTAGAGGGATTGCTGGATCACTTCTAACTTCACAGAGGTTGCTCTTCTGTGATATGTGCACAGTGTTCAAAAACATGAGCGCTCACTGGCTGTGTTCTTCTCTGGACTTTGATCTAGACCTTCTTTATCCTTTTTTTTTGTCCTTGTTCTGCTCAATATTGATTCCACCCCAGCTGTTTCTTTTCAATTTGAGGCCCTGTCCTGGAAGGGAGTGCTGAAAGGTAAGTTTTGAAAGTCCATGGCCTGCTGTGAACTCGTGGGCTCTTTTGTTTACCCTTTCCTGGAGATGCCAAAACTCTCAGTGTCGGCTGTTGTTGACTCAGGCACATGTTGGCCTGCCTGAGTCCCAGCTGGCTTTTTTGGATTTCTCTGTTTTCAGAATTCTCAGGTTCCATCAGACACCCCATTACTTTCCTCCACATTTTACTACCATGAAGTTTTTATGAATATTGACAGTTGCCTTTATCCACAGTATTTTGGAAGTTTTGAAAACCCTTTCACTTGTTTTATTTATAAATGATATTATGAGGTTTTTGGTTTTGTTATTTATCAGTCAAGTATGTTTTAATAAAAGGATTTAGAGAGTTTTTAGCAAACAACGCCACCGTGGTTTCCATCTTCCCAGAATACTGCTTATTGGTTTCTGAAAGATCCAACTTATTTAGAAAGAACTCTAACAGTGTATGTGCAAAAATAATCACTTAGAAATAACTGGAAAAACTAAATTTCTTCAAATGCCCATATTACAAATTTATCTGACCATAACTTTGTGAAAATAGTTGGAATTTTAAACAATCTCTAGAAGGACAATCATTCTTTGAATTCCTATTGACTTTGTAAGTATAATATGATCACCTCTAGATAATCTAATCAGCGATATCATGTGATTTACTCGGTATAGTGACATGTCTGGAAACTACCCACTGTAAGATTGATCACGTTTTCTGTACTGGGAAAAGTTACTGTACCGTTACAGAAAAGTTTCAGAACAATCTTTTAATCTTCCCAAAATCATAAGGCTTAGCTCTGAATAAAACCTTTTTTATTTCCACGTTCCTTCAGAGATTTTTGTTTGTGTGCTCTTGTTTAAGTCTTAGTATCGAATAGCTTCATTAGATGAAATTTGACTGAGTTCTCCATTCTACAGAGTTATTCGTACACTTTCAGCAAACATGATAGAAAGAAAAGTGGTTGTGTAAAAGAAAGAGTGGACTCACTTCCTCAAATCTGAATTTACCCTTCTGTAAAATACAAAGGACAAAAAAATGAAATAATTAGCATGAGACTTCTGACTAGAAATTAAAAAAGAATGTGATTTGTTAAATATTAAATACTTAATGTAAATTCCAGTAACGTCTGCAAGTAATACTATTTCTGCTAATATTGGAATTTTTCATATTTCAGGTTTATGCTAAACTCTTTTTAAAAGACTTCTTTTTGTAAATATGTTGTCATTTTTTTTTCTGTGGTACCGACTGATTAAAAATGGGGCATTTTTAATTCACCTGCTACTAAAAATGTGTCTTATGTTTCTGTGGAAACTTCCGTGAGGAATTCAGGAAACATTAGAACTATCAAACTCACCACAGCATGGAAACATGAGGGCATTTTACATTTTGTGAATGCCATCATAGGAAGTCAACAGCCACGGCTGTAATTGCGATTTAAATAGGATTCTTTTTCTATATTTTACCATGAAATCTCAATCTGCCCACTATTTTCTATTTTCTACTGGAGTATAAAGACAGGTCAAATGAATTTCTTTGACTTACCTTGAGTTCTATTCCATTCCTCTTCTATTCTGCTCCTATTCGCCTTGTCTAATCGGTGATCCACACACATTCTGCCTCTTTGTATATCTCAGCAAAGACCTTTCTTCCAGTTGCTGTACAAATATTGCCAAGTCTTTTCCATGTAAAGACAGATTCCACAAGAAGATTTTCTGGGCAAGTTATCACACAGTTCCAGGACTGAGGAATGGAAGAAAAAGCCATTACAGGCTGAGGATTTGAGCAGCGAAGGTACAAGCCCTCCAGGCCCATGCAGACTCTTAATGAGACAAGTTATACAGTGGTTTCTCTGCTGCAGCAGCTTCATTGGAGTGAATTGTTAAAAGGGAACACTTTTCTGGTTTGGTTTTGCATGGCAGCTAAAAATGGCAAAAAACGTCCCTTCTTTTTAAGTTCAGGTTCATAAACTTATGAAAAAAATAGACAAAAAAATTAATGGATGAGTTTGCCTATATACCTTGCACCCAGTAAAATTAAGTTCCCCAAGTGGAAATATTAGAGATGTGTTAGATGTAAAACTAGAGAGAATGATAGAGCTAGCCCCCAAGGACAAGGCACCGGCGGATTAGCCCCATCATTCTCTTTGGGGTTTAGTGAAGGGAGGTTGGACTATCTTCCATAAACAGACTCTTTGAGCAAATGTAATCTTGCTTTATGTACAGTGATAAGCATTGAGTTGAATTCTATTCCACCTATTAAACAAATTCTGTAAGGGGAAAAATGTAAGTTGATGTAAATTTTTAAAAATATTAAGCTCAACATTCAGTAAACTGTTGCATATATTTAAATAACTTATCACTGATCTGAACTTTGCAGTCATAAGGAATATACCTTGTCATGCTATTTAACTTGAAAGTGCAAGGGAACACAGCAAAAGCTTCTTCATTTTTAACCAGTTGGATGCCACCATTTTTCCTATTAGAACTTTTTCAAGTTCTCTTACAAACCACTTAGGATTTGCTGACTACAAAAATTCTTTATATCAAGTTTTGTAACGAAATTCTGAAGGAGGAATGTTCCTTTGTTTTCTTTTTAATTTTGAATCACAGTACACACATCAACTGGGAATCAGAGATGTTTTTCAACTAAGTTCATTTAAGTTACTGCGGCAGCTGATCTTCCATTGGAAGGGATCAGCCCACAAAAGCAACAAAATTTGAGCCAGGAACAAACGTATTATAGAATCTCCAGGCTCCAACCTTGCAAATTTTCTTTTGCACAACCTCTGTGGCTTACATTACTAATCTGTCTCTAAGCATTAACTCTATTCATCAAGAGCAAAACATTGTTATTCAGCATTCTCTTGAAATGTCACTATCTTGTCCAGGTCAGATAAACTTGGATAAAATCTTCTTTCAGGAATTTTTGTAGTGCTCAGTTTCCCACAGAAAGTGCATCCTCAGTAGCTAGACGTAGATTTAAGGTGTCTAAATTGCTTTATTACTTGAAAGTGTTTCTTAAATCTTTAAGGCAATTTAAACCAGCTGTGATGAAAAGAAATCGTCATTCTGAAATTTAACTCTTTTGTATCAGTACTTTGCATAATTATTCCTTTATGATGAAGGCCTGGGAGAAACCCTTAAAATTATCCAATACAAAAGTCCGAATTTTATAAAAGAGGAAAATAAGGTTCTGAGAGGTTAGGATCACATGGAAAGACAAGTTCACAGCAAATTCCGTATTTGCTGCTTTAAACTGCCAATATTCATGGATCAACCAGCTGAGATTTTAAGATGAGAAGAAAACAGTTCTGGGGGCAGAAAATTAAGGTTTGAATCTTAGCTTTCCCACTCAATAGCTATATGACTTAAATCTCAGCTTTCTAATCTACTGTGTTAGATTACAAAGAAATATGGATTTGGAATTGTTAATTAAATTTTCCTGCCTTTGCTTGAACAAGAAGCTCAGGTAGAGTCATTAGTCCAAAGAACCCCTGTGGCATTTTTCTTCAGAGTCCATGGCAAAGATTCTGTTGCTTTTTTAAAAAAAACTTTTTCCTGATATATTCTTTTTCCTTTGAATCCGCCTCTTCTCATGCCAACAATGAAAGAGCCAGATTTTTACATTTCCCAAGTTGCTTGAGGATGCCTCTGGAAGCTGCATGATAACCAAAGGTGAAACTCCTGCTGGTTAGCCACTGAGCCTGTCTTTAGAGAAGTCTTTACAGCATTGACCTGTGAAGATGAAATCTCATCCACAGAAATGATTCATTTCTGCCTTCAAATACATTTAAAATTTCTTTAAAGGGTTTAATTTTTTAAAGCTCTAAGTAATTTTAATTCTAATTAATGTCTTTACTAAATTTTTAAAGCTTTATCTTCTATTTACTGTTAATCAAGTTTTCAAAAAGGTATTCACGTATTTTATCTAAATTGATAACATTTACTTTTTTTTTTTTTTTTACTAACTATGGGTTATAAATTATGTGAAACTATAAAATCTAGGCCACTGTTTTAGATAGGTTAGCTCTTAATGTTTGCCATTATTCATATTTTTAAAATCTCAATTTTCAGCTTCTTTTGAAAACTCAAAAACTCAGGTGACATCTTCCATGGTAGCATATGGCTGGTTCCACCTGGCTTTCATTCTTTCAGAACGGACAAATACTCTGAAATTCACCATAGTTTTCCCCCAATCAACTCACACATAGATGTCATTTGTTAACTTCTGTGGACATTTGCATTTGCAATATATTCTTTTCAAATGGGAAAAAAAAAAAAAAAAAAAAAAAAAAAACTGAAGGCCAAGCTAACTTGCTCACACTTTTCTTGGGAAACAACTCCAGGCCATCTGTGAGGAGAAAATGCAATTTTTTAAATGTCAAAGCACTTTGAAAGCACCAGATATTAGCAAAGGCCTCTTATGTTACCTGTATTATATATACAAGTTTAACTGTAACCCAGTCAGATTTAGCCTCAACCAAGAGGGAAGAGTCTTTTGAATGAGAGATAGAAGAGCAAAACCTAGACAATGAATCATCCAACTAAAAATAGGCAATATATTAAATAGTAATTTTCAAACGATGTCAATTCTGATGTAAACAATTTGTCTAGAAGTAGAAAAAACAAAACCACAGGCTCTAAACCATCCAAAGACTGTTTGTGTTCTGTGGGCAGTGTTGCGGCGTTTTCATGTGTTTATAAATTCCTCCCATTTCAGGGATGCCCCATGACATTTACAACAGAGGAATCCCCTCTCAGAGAGACTTTCTGTAGTGATTTAAATAATTCCACAACAGTCAGAGGTTAGCTAACAGGAGTTTCTGACTGCTCCTTTATGGAATGTGGTTGGTCTGTGTGCACGTGGGGTGTGTATGTTGGTTCTTATGGAAATCCAATTACTGCTACGAGTCTTGCAGAGATTAAAACATTCTTAAATGATCCCAGCTTTTACGTTCACTTAGCTGTACAGAATTATATCACAAGAAGATATTCATAAAATAGAATAACTGTGAATCACCGTGTTTATTGCATAAAATGAGAAAAATCTTATTAGTAAACAGAAATCTAAGGAATTCAAGTAATAGAGCTAGGCATTGTTTTAAAGAGCTTCATTTGGATACAATTTATATATGTTACAGTTCATCCACTTAAAAGTGTGTAATTCAATGGCTTTTAATACAGTCACAGATCTGTACAAATTTTACCACAATCAAATCTAGAATATTTTCATTACTCCCAAAAAAAAATCCCACACTCCTTAGTCATCATCCTCTAATTTCCCTATTCCCCCAGCTCTAAGCTACAAGTAATATATTTTCTGTTTCTATGTATTTGCCTATTCTGGATATTTTATATAAATGGAATCATAGAATGTGTGGTCCTCTGTGACTGGTGTCTTTCATTTAGCAGGTTTTCAAGTTTCATGTGTTTGAGAACGTACCAGTAGGCATTCGTTGTTATTTAAATTTACAATTTCTTCTTACACATTTTGCATCCCCTCTTAATTTTTCATGTGTGAGATTTTATATATATGTCTATGTGTACAGACATGTATATGTACACATTTCTATACACATATTTCATTTTTCCAATTATAGGAATCATTTTAGCTGAGTTAGGCAGCTCTAAAATTAAATCATTAGTATGTAATATTATTACACATATTATTATGCAAGATGCAGAGGAAAGGGTAATATAAATATTTAAGTGCCAATAACAGATGTTGCTGGTGACAAGGATGGGGCAATTCTATGTTTCAAAAAATACATTTGCACAATGGAAATAGAAAGCAGCAGGTTCCATGGACTTCAATTCTGTATGTGTTTTTAAATTATAATTAGCTGGGTAGAGGGTTCGATTTACGGAACAGGAGGAGATTGTCCTCTTCAATGCCTGCCTGAATATCTCCTTCCATTAAATTACAGGATGACTTGTTTTTGGAGTTTCATCTCTGGCTGAACACTTTCAATGTGTCACAGTGAACGCAAACCGCTTCCACAAAATAGCTTTGATGTGGTGGTGGATTAGAGAGATTTTTAAATTGCTGCTTGGGCTGAAGATTAAACCAGTTTTAAGAAATTACTGACTAATACCTAGTTTTATTGGAACTAAATTCAAAAGGCTGTTTCCAAAATAAATAAAGAACAGATAAGCCACCACATAAAGCCAACTCTTGTGTGTGGATGTGTCCTTTGTCTCAGAAACCGATTTGAGAGTACAGATTTTTTCAAAACAATAATACTTCATTCATATCACTACACATATCCCAAACCAATTGATTTTCTAAAAAATAAACTACAAAAGAATGGGGGAAATTAACACAGTTTGCAAAACATGAAAATTTTACTCTATGATACATAACACAAAGCATATTCTTCTTCTTTGTTATTTTAAATTGAATGAATAATCAAGGGAAAAAATCAAGAGTTTCGATCCCTGGATCCATGTTGCAAATTATTTCCTTTTAAGTATGTGTTCCATAATTCAAAACCTGGTCACATTTTGCTTCCCACTGACATCTGAGGTGCAAGGCTTGCCAGGTATGCCCATATGACGTCCACCTCTCACTTGGAGTCTAGCTTTCACTGCACTCCCCTGATAATACTGTAGCAAATGCTGGAGATTTGTGATGTAGTTAGTCCACACTTTAATGCCTTTGTGATACAAAGAAAACCCCATTCCTGTGGTGGATTTTTGTTGGGGGATGTTGGGAAGAGCTTTCAAGAAGCCAGTTGAAAGCACTGCTCTAATAAGTTAACAAGTGAGCTTCCCATGAAGTTAGTTACACAAAGCCCAGGAGGCTCAGCTACCTGTCAAACACATAACTCAGGATTCCGGAGACATCCCTGCACTGAATGATTTGAGGTCAGTCTTAGATGTGAAAATGGTAAAACTTTTTATGTGTCATCAACTTGACAATTGTCAAATATCAACCTGACAAACTGGGCACAGCTTTCCCCTTCTTATTAATATTAACACTGAGGTTTGAAGTACTTGGCCCACAGATGTGCAGATAATAAGGGGTGCAAACGTATTTTTAACCAGGCCTCTAAAATTTCAAAACAAGCCAGATGATCATGCCATACTTCCTCTCAAGCTATACACTGGATTGTCCCCATGGTTGGGTTTGATCTGATTCTGCCTGGCCTTGAAATCTGATATTAAGCTAAAATTTGGTTAAGCTTAAATAAAATAATTTTATTGCTTACAAATACATGTAAAGACCTCATAACCTAACTAACCAATATTTTAAATCCTTGGCCCTATTTTTAGATAAAGAATCAAATTATATGTGGCAAGGACTTTTGCTCACCTATCCAAACCTTTCCTCTTCTCCTTCAGATTAAAAAAAAAAAAAAAAGAACACACACACACACACACACACACACACACACACACACACACAAACACACAAAACATGATCAGGATAAGGTGACCTCAGGCCTAGGAGAAAAGCCACATTAGTCTAAATTAATTACCACGAGTTTTTCTGGCAATTATTATTGATTTGGGTGGGAAAGGGGCAGATATTCAACTTAAATTGACTTAGAATGAATGAAAAAATGCTATTGGCAGATGTTTTGCAACCATGAGAGGATCCAACTTTAGGGTAAAACCTGAGCTGAAGACAGCAGAACAACCTGTGTCCTTAATATCATTATACCACTATTGGTATCATCCTTAGAACCTCTCTTACCTCTTAAATTTTTGCTGTTTGGACATAATAACTTGATTTATTGCTAGACCAGTTTGAGCAAGGATGTTTTGTTACTTGCAGCCTAAAACATTCTGACTGATACATATGTCATATTTTGTTTTAGGAAATTTAGTCATTGGTTATATTTGCTAAATTATTTGTTTCTCCCTGGAGATGCTAAAACTTATTGGATAGGTTATTTTTCCATTTTCTTACTCTTCAAAGAGTATCCAGAACATACTGTACAAAATTTAGCTGAGCAAGGAAACAGCCAAACTATCAAACAAGCAAATTCCAAGTTTCCAATTCCTAGGAAAAAAATTAAAGAGCTCAAAATGAGAGGGAACTGGTGAGTCAGGCAGTCCATACATAGTGGCTCGGGATAGGCTTTAAGGGACTCATCTACCTGGTGTAGCTGCCATAATCCTTTCAGAGTTAGATATTAGCTAAGGGCCCTTGCCAGATTCTGGTTTGGGTATGCACAAGCTATTCACCAGTAGTCCTCTCACATAATCTCTTTTGAAAGTGACAACATGTTGCTGAATATTTTTATCACCCATAAAGGAACTCCCTACCCATTAGCAATCACTCCCCAGACCATCTCTCAGCCTCTGACAAATACTAACCTATTTTGTGTCTCTATAGGTTTGCCTAATCAGGACATTTCATATAAATCAAATTGTATAATAGGCCTTTTGTGCCTGGGCTTCTTTCACTTAACAAAATGAATTTAAGGTTCATCCATGTTGTAACATTAATTAGTACTTCATTTTTATGGCTGAATAATATTCTATTGTATGTGTACACCACATTTCTTTCCTCATACATCAGTTGATGAACATTTGGGTTGTTTTCATTTTTTTGGCTATTATGAACAATGCTACTACAAACATTTGTGTACAAATATTTGTATAGACATGTATTTGGATCTCTCTGTGGTATATAAATAGGATTGGAATCTTGTGTCATATAAAAACTCTATGTTTTAGATTTATTGAAAGACTGCAAACTTTTTTTTAATCCGCTGTACCATTTTACATTTGCACCAGGATTATGTGAAGGTTCTGATTTCTCTACCACATATTATTATCTATCTTTTATATCGTATCCATCCTCATGGGTTGGAAGACATCCCAGTGTTTTGATTTACATTATTTACACGTTCCTAATTACTAACAATGTTAAGAATTTCTTTATGTGGCTATTGGCTATTTGTACTTTCTGTGAAGAAATGTTTATTCAAATATTTGGCCAGTTTTTGATGATATTATTTGTCTTTTAGTTGCTAAATTGTAAGAGTTCTCTATACATTTTGGATACTAGATCCTCACCAGATATATTACAGTTGATCCTTAAACAACTGGAGTTTAAACTGCATGGATCCACTTATACAAAGATTTTCTACCACCTCTGCCACCCCTGAGACAGCTTCCTCCTCCTCCTCAGGCTGCTCAACTTGAAGATGACAACAAGGATGAAGACCTTTATGATAATCCACTTACAGTTGATGAATAGTAAATGTATTTTCTCTTCCTTATGATTTTCTTAATAGCATTTTCTTTTCTCTAGCTACTTTATTGTAAGAATATAGTATGTAATACATATAACATACAAAATATACACTAATTAACTGTATAATCAGTGAGGCTTTTGGCCAACAGTTGGCTATTAATAGTTAAGTTTTGAGGGAGCCAAAACTTACATGTGGATTTTTGACTGTGCAGTAAGTCAGCACCCCTAATCCTGCATTGTTCAAAGGTCAAGCATGGCAAATATTTTCTCCCATGTTGTGGGTTGTCTTTTTAACTAATTTATAGTGTCCTATAAAGCACAGAAGTTCCCAATTTTGATGAAATTCAATCTATTTTTTATTTTACTGCTTGCATTTTGGTATCATATCTAAGAAACTATTGCCTAAGCCAAAGTCATGAAGATTTACATTTCTGTTTTCTTCTAAGTGTTTATACTTTTAGCTCTAATAGTTAGGTCTATGGTCCGTTTTGAGTCAATCTTTGTGTATGGTGTGAGGTAGAGTTCAAGCTTCAGCCTTTCCCATGTAGGTATCTATTTGTTCTAGCACGATTTGATAAAAAGACTATTCTTGCACTATTGAATTGTCTTGGAAAACTTTTTGAAAATTGGCCATAATGTGTGAATTTGTTTCTGTAGTCATCATTAGAGTCAATCAATGTCTATTCTGTGCCAGTACCACACTATCTTGATTACTATGCAGCTTTGCAGTAAATTTTAAAAATCGGGAAGAGTTAATCATCCAAATTTGTTTTTTTACCCTAAATTGTTTAGGCTATTCTGTGTTCTTTGTATTTCCATGTGATTTTTAGAATTACCCTGTCAATTTCTATTAAAAGGCAATTGTGATTTTGCAAGAAATTGCATTGAGTCTTTAGATAAAGTTGGAAAGTATTGCCATCTTAACAATATTAAGTCTTCTAACTTATAAACATGGAATATCTTTCATTTATTTAGCTCCTTTTTAATGTTTTTAGTGGAATAGTTTATAATGTACAGGTCTTACGTTTATTTTGTTAAATTTATTATTTAATATATTATTCTTTTTTACATGATACAAATTTAATCATTTTATTAACCTTATTTTCACAATAGTGCATAGGAATATAAATTATCTTTACATATTCACTGTTTTACCATGCAACCTTGCTGAACTTAACTCTCATAGTTTTTTAATTAATTCCTTATGATTTTCTATATACAGGGTCATGTCATCTGCAAATAGAGATAGGTTTACTTTTTCCTTTCCAATCTGGGTGGCTTGAATTTCTATTCCTTTTAAGTTCATCAACACAAATTTATAATTATTGTTTATGCAATTGACTTTAAACAGATACAAGATAAAAGTATTTACAAAAATATGTTTATGTTGTCTATTTATATTTAAGTACATTGTTATCCTTACTGGTGCTTTTTATTTATTCATGTGGATTCAAATTATTGCCTAGTGTCCTTTCATTTCAGCCTGAAAGATCCCCCTAGTATTTCTTATAGAGCAAGTCAGCTAGTGACAAATTTGCTTAGTTTTTGTGTATTTAGAAATGCCTTGATTTTTCTGCTATTTATGATGGATATAGAATTCTTGGCTTGGTGTTGTTTTTTTCTGCTCCCCACAACCCCCATCCTGGCTTTCAACAGTTTGATTGTGATGTGTCTTGGTATGAATTTCTTTCAGTTTATATTATTTGGAATTCATTGAGCTTCTTTGATGTGCATATTAATGTTTTTAATAAACTTTGGGCTTTGGAGTTTTTCTGCCATGACTTCCTCAGTCTTTCTGCCTCTTTCTCTCTATCCTTTTCTCTGAATCTCATATTATGCGTATGTTGGTACACTTGGTCTCTCATAAGTCTCCGAGACCATTCATTTTTTTTAAAATGTTTTTCTTTCTGTTCCTTATGCTAGATAATCTTACAAATTCAAGTTCATTGATTCGTCTGCCTCTTCAAATCTGCTATGAATTTTTATTTCAGTTATTGTACTTCTCATCTCTAGAATTTCTATTTGATGCTTTTAAAAACAACTTTAAGAGCTATGAAAAAGCTATTAATGGCTTTATCTCTTTATTTGTATAGCCTTTAGTAAGATATCATTCTGATCTTTTTCTTTATTCTTTGTAACCTTTTGAAAATAACTAATTTAAAATTCTTTGTCTAGGAAGTAAAAACTTTGGGCTTCCTCTGGTACAGGTTCAACTGACTCCCTTTTCCCTGAATATGGGCCTTATTTTCTTGTCTGTTTACATGTTTTATAATTTTTAAACCTGATAATTAAAAATAATATAAAGTTATAAATGTAGGCATCAGATTTTTTCTCCTCCCCAGGATTTATTGTTGTTGCTGTCTGTTGCGATTATCGTATTGTTTGGTTAGTAGCTTTTCTGAACTAATTTTGTAAAGCCTGTATTCTTTGTTATGTCTAACTTACTAGTCAGCTAATGATGTCTATCAGCTGTAACTGTCCTCATCTTTACCAAGTGACTGTGTACATCTTGGATTATGCCTTCAACTCTCAGCCAAATGTTTTACAGCTCTGATTTGGTCATCACTTCCTGCTTGTACAGAATCTTGTGGTTGGCCAGAGGTGACAGCTTAAAACCTTACCAGATCTTCAGGATGCACACAGCCATAGGCAAGTGCAAAGGCCTTCATATGCACATAGCCTTCTAGATTCACAAAAATATGTCAGAGCTATTCAAAGTCCCCTATGGATCTCTTATTGCCCATCTTTCTCCTTTCAGCTTTGTGATTAGTCTGTTGTTGTCTCAACTGTTACCAACCATCTCTGGTATTCATAAGGTTAAACAATTGACCCTGCTTGCTTTTTTGATAAATGCTTCTGGAGAAAGGGCTGTTTGCACTGGTTAAGTTCCAAGTCAGGTCAAATAAATGTGGTGTTGTGAATTGGGACTTCCAGGGAACTCTCAGACAGGTCACATTATGACAATTCTCTGCGGATTGGGTATTGAAGTAGCTCAATATAGTTCCGCCCCCTCCAGTGGCTTCCAGGATACTGGCTTTCACTATGATGATGGACTGTTAGTTTACAAGGCTATTGCAGAGCTGGGGAGAAAAGATGAGGATAGGGCAAGTTAGAATGTCACAAAGTCTTCTGTTTGAGGTTAAGAAAACCATTTTTTCTTGAAACAACACTTCTTGGATTGCTATAAGTTTATGATTCATTTCCAGAATTCTGAAAAAGTTGATTCTGACAAGTTTTGCCAGTGTTCTCTGCTTTTATGGAGGGAAGAAATTTCAGAAAGCATTTATCTGACATTTTGCTTTGATTTGCATCATCATAGCCATTTTAAAAGATGTCTCTGATACATCAATTCATTGACAATTATAAAAATTGGCTTCAATATGTTAACATAGCCATATTCATTGGCTCTTAGGATATTTTGTTATGTTCTCTGTATTCCAAGGCTTAATTAACATTGGGTCTGCGTAAGTTTTTCTTTCCAAGGTTCTTTTTCAAGGGACACAATCTTGTTTAGGTTAAAAATATAGAAAAGAATCTTATCCCCAGAGAATTTATGGTTGTTTATCACGTGTGTCAGAGTCAGATATAGGCAAGAGGAAAAAAGGCCTAAAACTGTGTTTTGTATATTAAAACCAACCTTAAAAAGCTGAAAGAAAATGAACAATAGAAAAAGTCTGACAAAAAATCACTTGTATACAAGTGACTCTGTACATCTTGGATTATGCCTTCAATCCTTAGTCAAACGTTTTACAGCTCTAATTTGGTCACCACTTCCTGCTTGTACAGAGCTTGTAAAAATCTGGATGATATCATTTGGAGAGTTAATCAAAACATTATTGTATTCTGGTGAACATTTATATGTTGTGTTGTTGAGTTTGTGTACGTTTGTGGCCATGAATGATTTATTTTCCTAACATGCAAAGTTTAGAAACCACTATTTCCCAGATTTGACAAGGTAGCCCATGGTACTATACTAAGCATGTTCATGCCTTTATTCATTTAATCTTTGTAAGAATCCATAAATGGTAATGTTATTATGGATGATTAGTATGGAACTCCGTATGTTTAAGTAACTTGATTAAAGATATACATCAAGTAATTGATAGAACTAATATTTGAATCGAAGTCTAACTTGGTGCTCCTTAGAGAGTTCTCAACCGCTCACAAATTCGAAGCGTCAATCAGAACTCTCTTCTGTGAGCACTCTAGACTTCATTGCTTGAAAACCCGTAAAGAACCTAATATTTGCAGAGTTGTGATCTCAGAAGAATGAGCAAGGTTGCTTATAGTACAGTTAGGGAGACAGGTGGTAAGTAATTATGCAGATAATGTTGATAAATGCTATGTAGAAAAATGAGACATAAACATGAGGGTGTAATAGAGGAAGCTAATTTAGATTGTGGGATTAGTGAATGATGAGTTGAATATGTGACATTCACACTGAGCATTGAAGTGAGAGTAAAACAAAACATATAGAGGAAACATTAGGTTAGAAGGAGTTCTTGATAGGCAAGAAACAGAAAAAGTCAGGATAAATGAAGCACCATTAGTGATGGAGGACCAAAAGGAAACTGAAGAAATAGAAAAGCAGACATCACGCTGGGATTTACAGGCTTTCATAGCAATGTTTACTTTCCTAAGAAAATTAGGAAACTGCTAGACGTGTTTAAGGAAGACAGTAACATAATTAGATGTGCACTTTGAAAATATTACTTTGAATTACTACTTCCTGAAATATTTTTGCAACATCTTGTGGGTCTATAATTATTTCAAAAATCAATGTTTTTTGTTGTTGTTTTCATAAGGCACAAAGAAACAGAAAAAAAAAATACTCATTCCAACTGTAAAAAATGAATTGACGGGGATAAGGTAGAATCAGGGGAACCAGGTCAGATGCTATTACAGTGGTCCAGGCCAGGAGTAATGGTGCTCTAGCTGAAAATATTAGAAAGAGCAGTGGAAAGAAGGGGGAGATTTTGAGATAGGTGCTGGAGGTATGGCCTATGTGAGGAGGACAAGTGAGAGTGAAATGCCAAGAGGAGCTCTCATGGGTACCCTAATGATATCATTTTGTGAGATGGCTAAAACTGGAAGAGAAACAATGCCACTAGAAGGCAACTAGAAATTAGATTTCTTATGTGTGATATTTGAAATGCCTCTAAAATGTCCAAATATTGATATTAACCACACAGTTGGATGTATAGGTTTTAATTCAGAAGGTGTAAACTTCCAAGTCTTCAAGGCATAGGTAGTAAAGTCATGAGTTCATCAAGGGTAATAAGGTAGAATGGAGAAAGGAGGACAACACCAAGTTTTAAAGAACAATAATACAGTTAGGCACTGTATAAATGCATTTCAGTCAATGAGGGACTGTATATGTGATGGTGGTCCCATAAAATTAGAATACTGTAATTTTACTATACCTTTTCTATGTTTATCTATGTTTAGATACATAAATATTCACCATTTTGTTACAATTACCTACAGTATCCAATACAGTTACAAGCTTACAGGTGTGTAGCTTAGGAGCCATAGGGTATCCCAAAAAGCCTAGGTGTGTAGTAGGCTATGCCATCTAGGTTTCTGTAAGTACAAACTATGATGCTTTCACAACAAAACCACCTAACAACATGTTTCTCAGAATGTTTCCCTGCTGTTATGCAAAGCCTGACTCTATTTAAAGACTAGATCAATTGGGAAGGACCATCAAAGGAAGCTGAAAAAGTTTGGCTAGTAAAGGGTTTATATTCTAGGACAAAAGATTTACTAGCCAAGTCCAGCCATCAGCAATTTCTTGGGGTTAGTTACTGTGATTTCATAGGAACTGAAACATGCAAAGGGGCAGCAAGTTTTACTGCCTCGGTGTGTTCAAGATCTGTAATGAAGTGTTTCTACTGTGAGCAGCGTGGAGAAGCTTTTCATCAGCACTTGGCTTTGGCAAGTAGTCCTCAGAAGTCCCAAAATATTGAAGTGCCAACATCCCTTTCGCTGCTAGAGTCCCTTCTGCTTGAACAGATCCAGAGATTGGAGATTGCTAATTTACTGCTTCCTGAGGCTTCTTTGGACAGTTGAGACTATTAGAAAACTCTTCCTTATACTCAGTTAAAATCTGTCATCCTGTGGCTTTCATCCACTATCCTAGTTTTACTCCTTGGGGTCATACACAACTGAATTCCCTTTGTAGCATGACAATGTTTCAAGTGTCTGCACAAAACCATTGTGTTCCCCAAGACTTCCCTGTTACAGGCAAAATGTCACTGGTACCTTCTATCAGTCCTCATAGGACACAGTTATGAATCAAATTAAGTATACTGTGTTCCAATTTATAAAACAAATATTTGTTATGAGGGAACTAACCCTGATAATAGTCATAGTGATTCAAACTATTTATGTTACAAATATCAGACTTCTCCAGTAGTTTGAACAAAACCAAGTAATAATAACTTTTACATGAAGGAGATTCCACTTGATCTAAAATATGAAACTGGCTGGATATACTAATATGCTATGGTAGGGGCACAAGTAGATGAGCATAAACAGGAAAGCATTTGAGGCTGGGCTCTTGTCTTAAACATTATATAGAGGAACTATTTCACACCATCATTAGCTAAGTTTCTAAGGGGTGTTGGGTTAAAATTACAGATGTGACCTGAGCTTCGACATTTACATCTATGCCAGATCTGAAGCGTATGTGGCTCATGTCTGTAATCCCAGCACTTTGGGAAGCCAATGTGGGCAGATTGCTTGAGCTCAGAAGTTTGAGACCAGCCTAGGCAACATGACGAAACCCCATCTCTACAAAAACATACAAAAAATTATCCAGGCATGGTGGCAGGTGCCTGTAATCCCAGCTATTCGGTAGGCTGAGGAGGGAGGGTTGCTTGAGGTAGGGAGGTGGAAGTTGCTGTGAGTCAAGACCACTGCACTCTAGCCTGGATGACAGAGTGAGACTGTCAGAAGGAAGGAAGGAAGGAAGGAAGGACAGAGAGAGAGAGAGAAAGAAAGAAAGAAAGAGAGAGAGAGAGAGAGAGAAAGAAAGGAAAGAAAGAAAGGAAAGAAAGAAAGAAAGAAAGAAAGAAAGAAAGAAAGAAGAAAGAGGAAGAGAGGGAGGGAGAAAGAGGAAGGCAAAGCATTTGAAAGATATGTTAATATTTCTTCCATAGACAAAACACAGGCGTGCGTGCGCACACGCGCACACACACACACACACACATCCTTCTTTAAAGGGCAGATAAAATATTATTTATACGTGCTAATCATTAAGTCACTTTTCTCCTTTACATGAAGTGGCCCTCCTCAAATTTTCCTTTGAGTTTGATGTGGTAGCTTATTTTTGGCTCCTTGCCAATCTTGATGTCAGGTTTTTAAAACATACACTTCAGATCTGGCATAGATGTAAATGTCGAAGCTCAGGTCATGTCTCTAATTTTAATCCAACACCCCTTAGAAACTTAGCTAATGATGGTGTGAAATAGTTCCTCTATATAATGTTTCAGACAGACAATATCTGTTGATAATATGCTATTTTTCAGACCCTGTGACTGGCACTGGAAAATGCATTTGTTCTTCCTCATACATGGTTTCATCTTTATTTTCAAAAGAGGCATTATTTCTCTCATTTTGCAGATGAGGGAACTGGCGCTCAGGAGGCAGAGGTCAAGACCCAGTCAGCCTTTATGATGTAAAAGTTGCTACACTCAGTTCTCAAAATACACATTTGAGAGTGCAGTGTTGGCTACTAGTCAAATGCAGCAGCTTGGAAATCTAAGTGCTTTGTTTTTGAATTAATGATCTAAAACTTGGGAACTGTGCGATTTTTGTCAAGTCACTTAACCTCCCTGTGCCTTGGTTTCCTCATACAGTAAACAGAATATTAATATCTATGTCTTCATTTACTGTTAGAATTGAATGTGATGTATGTAATGTACTTTCAGACATTAAATTCTGATACTTGGTAAGCACAGAATAAATGGTAACTAACAAGAATAAAAATGCAGATTTTTACCCTTCCTGTTGAGAAGCCAGTTGTATATGTCAACACAGAAGAAAAGAACTTATCTTCCATTTCCCATCTCAGAAGAAGTATCTTGGACAACACCTCATTTTCTCTTTAATTCCAAGTCATATGTGTCAACCTTCTCATGTTTCTTACCTTAACGAACTATAGAAATGATCCCTGAAAGTATAGTCTTTGTTTCTTACCTAAAATATGTATGAGCACTGCTGTGTTGAGAAGACTTCATATAAATTCACACAAACTAGTAACTTTTTCTCCAAATACTACATAACTCAATGAATATAATTTTCTCTGAGGCATAACACAGGTAGGTTGTGTTGAAGTTATGTTAGTCTCACTCCCTGAGTCATAAAATAAGACTGTGATGCCCAAATGGAAAGTGAAAAATACAATTTAGTCATTTGTTGGGTATTTCATCAAGTTCCTTGTTTTAACTCAATCAAGTGACCAAACCTGTAGCCACTTAATGTCCCACACATTCATCCACATTAAGTGAGAGGTGAGACATTTAAACTAAGTACTTGTAGTATTTTAAGCAAAACAAACTGAATTTTTCTTATTTTCAGTGTCTTTGACATGACTTAAATACATTCTGTCTAAATCTGTTGGAATGTGGTCCTGTAAATGTAACAGGGCATTTTTGGCAGGTGTAACTAGAGACTGCTACTGCAATCATGCCAATCATCCACCCATTGCACTACTCAGTATCTTTTTATATCTATTCCTTTCCTTAGGAGACTTTCTTTGGTAACTAGAGAAGGAGAGGAAAGTTTTAGTCAAGCTTAGGACAGAGAGGGGAAGAGAGGTAAATAGATGGGTAAGTTTAATATCCAAGAGGGCAGGGCCCTGCTTCTTTGGCCTCTCCTGTTCACTGCTATCTGTAGCACCTAGGACAGTGCCTACATGTCTGCCTGCTACAGCAGGCACTCAATTCAATCATTTGTTGTGTGAACAGGTCCCTGAACCCTTAAGCTACAAAGATGCAGGAGGAAGGGAAGAGAGATGAAGAAATTAAAAGAACTGATTAAGAAAGACTTTGGATTTTATAGGCAGACTTGTTCTGACACCCAGATAGCAAAGTATATTACACAGTTGGTATAGAGGTCAATCTCTCCATCTCTGAATAAAATCCATCACTCTTCTGATGTCCATGGACCTGGGATTTTGGGCACCATCTGGACATGATACCCTTAGTAGACATGTTGACATTATCATGGTGGCCGGTAGAAGTGATGAGTTCTCTTTAAAAGCCTTGGCAACTTGAAACATGGAGTGGAGCATGAGTCAAAACACAGAGCAGACTCCTGTTTGGCCACACACATAAGCATCCTTTGAGATAATCTCGTTGAAAATTATAAGATACTCTTGAGGGGACATTTTTGGCAACCAAACTTGTGTGAGTTAGGGTAAGTGTTGGCTCATGCCATAAAATCAGAATATATGAAAAAGCAACAACCAAGTTTGCAATCACAGCTAGCAGTTTCTTGGACCTAGGGGTCTCATAATCTTTGCTCTTGGATTTCCAGTGATTTGGGAAAGCAAACTTGTGCTTATTTTCAATTCTCACTGTTAAGTGCTGTGAACTTCTGGAAATTTTTAAAAGATAACGTTCCTTGAACTGTTCAGCATTCGTCTTTGAAAATCTCATGTAAATTTGATGCAGAATCCATGCCCCAGTTCTATAATTCAAAAAATATTGTGACAGAAACACTAACATTTCCTCAACGTCAAACACTTTAAAAACTTGGTTAAAATGTGAAAATCATCTTTGAACTTTCAACTTTAATGTGGCTGTTTCTAAGAATACAATGTAACAAATATTATTCCTTTTGTAGAAAACTGTTCCAGGCTCTGTACAGGAAACTGCTTTCTGGGGTTCTTTAGTGACAGAGTTATTGGAAGTGACAAGTGATACAGATTAGCCATGCATTCAAGGAGACATCTGCCATTGGTAATCGCTAATCACAGACCAGGGAACTTCACTTCTCCATACAAAGATATGGTATGTTGAAAATGGCCATGGATTCATTGCACTTCCTCCCGTCAAGAAGTTAGTATTATTTGCCTATCATGCATTCAATATGGGTGGCTTTGAGACTCTCTTTGAATAACAGAATGAATCAGAAGAGACTCTATCTAAGGTTTAAACCTAAGCCTCAAAACACCTTTAATTTACTGCCTTTGTACTCTTCGAATACAACTGGCATGTGAATAAGTGTGGGATAGCCTTCTTAAAGATAAAAGAACAAGTGGAAAGAGGCACAGATGTCCCATATGAGGCCTGAAACATGTGAATGTGCACACCTCAAAACATCCATTCCCAGTTAAGCCATCACAGACCAGAAGAAGTATTCAGATAACCCACAGATTTGCGAGAAATAATGAATGTTGCTTTAAGACACTACATGTTGGGCTAGTTTGTTATGCAGCACAAGCTAACTCATACCCAAGATAGAAAGAAAGCAAGAAAAGTAGGTAGCTTGAAAACATATTAGGACCCTATGCTTGGTGGTTGAATTATATTTTCTTTACTTTTTATTTATTTATTTTCTGAAATAGTCTGCTGTGTTACCCAGGCTGGATTGCAATGGCATGATCTCTGCTCATTGCGACCTCTGCCTCCCAGGTTCAAGTGATTTTCCTGCCTCAGCCTCCTAAGTAGCTGGGATTATAGGCATGTGCCACCATGTCTGGATAATTTTTGTATTTTTTTAGTACAGACAGGGTTTCGCCATGTTGGCCAGGCTAGTCTCAAACTCCTGGCCTCAAGTGATCCATCCACCTCAGCCTCCCAAAATGTTGGAATTACAGGTGTGAGCCACTGTGCTCGGCCATATTTCCTTTACTTTTGGTTTTCCTTTTCCTCCCCTTTTCTTTTGAGTTCTTACCAAAAAGAAATAAAAAAAAAAAAGAGAGAGGGGAAGGAAGGAAAGAAGGAAAGAAGGAAGGAAGGAGGGAGGGAGGCAGGGAGGGAGAGGAGGAAGGGAGGGAGGAAGAAAGGAAAGAAGGAAGGAAGGAAGGAAGGAAGGAAAGAAGGGAGGGAGGGAGGAAGGGAGGAAGGAAGGAAGGAAAAGGAAAGGAGGGAATGAGGAAGGAAGAGAAGGAGGAAGAGAAAAGAAGGAAGGGAAGAAAGGAGGGAGAAGAAGGAAGTGTGGGAGGGAGAAAAGAAGAAAGGAAGGAAGAAAGAAAGGGAAAAAAGGAAGGAAGGAAGGGGAAGGAAATGAGAAGGAAGGAAAGAAGGAAAGAAAGAAAGAGAAAGAAAAAAGAGAAAGAAAGAAGAAAGGAAAGAAAGAAAGAACAAAGAAAGAAAGAAAAGAAAGAAAGGGAGGGAGGGAGAGAGAGAGAAAGAGGAAAGAAAGAAAGACAGAAAGAAAGAAAGAAAGAAAGAAAGAAAGACAGAAAGAAAGAAAGAAAGAAAGAAAGAAAAAGAAAAAGAATTATGTTAATAAATTTTCTCTCCCATTTTTAGCACCTTATTTGACCTTCCCTTCCTGCCAGGTGATCTAGCATCAATTTCAAGATGCCTCATGCCCCTTCCAATTCCTCTGGCCTTCTCATGAAGCACTTCAACTACAACCCTAACTCCCACCTTTATTTCTAGTTGTTTGTCTAATTCCTGATGAGATTAGTGCTTCCGGAAGGGTAAGATAAATTTACCTGGGACAAGATATTGATTGTCAATAAATCTTGCATCTTTACATCATCAACTAGACTTTAGTTGATTGAGTTGAGAAAAACATGATATTTATCATCAAATAGATTTTCATTCAAATCCCCACTTTCCACCACCACCACCATTCCACTCCTCAGCAAAATAGCTTCAGGCATGAGGCTTAAAATCCCTTAAATCTTAATTTCCTGACTCATTAAGATGGAGTTACTGTCTACATTTGAGAGTACAATTAAGCAAAAAAGCTTCCACCTCACTGGTGATCACAAAATATTATCAATTGCTTTCTAAAATGTTTCTAATAATCTTCATTCCTGTAATTGTCTACATACTTTCTGTGTTCTCTAGTTAGATGGTAGAGCCCTTCAAACTGTGTTCATATTTTCAACCTTCGTATCCCTGGTGCTGAATAGTGTTGAACACCTCATGAATTCTCAAAAAATGTTTGTTGACTGAAATTTTAAAATAGTAGAATTTCCATGCATATTGCAAAGATGTTTTAAGACTGATTATCTTCTGCTCCCTTCTGAAATAGGGGTCCAATATTAGCTAAGACAGTCCAATAAAAGCCACCATTATTATATCTTTGCTGACATTGTTCTAGCTGAAAGACAAAGCTCATCTACATTATGTTCACACATTCCACTTAGTATTTTATACTTACAAAGATGGTAACAATTGTAATCTGATTAATACAGTAAGGATCAATGAAAGATACTACCTGGATGATTTTGCCATTAATAAGCCGTGCCATAAAATGTTAAGCATATTGCTAACATATTTAATTTCTGCTTCTCTAAAATGAGAACAGTAATAGAATCTGATTTAAAGGGTTATAACTATTCATTGTGATAAAGTCAAATAAAAACTTACAGTGCGCTGCTTGGAACACAGTAGGTGACCAATAAAAAGTGCTTCTTCCAGAATACAGACATGACTTTAGGAAAGACCTGCCTAATTCTTCAAATAAAATCTCTTCAAGTGTGCTTAAACTTGTGCTAGGGAAAGGACAAACTAAAAAGGATAGCATTTTTTTCTAGGTCGTTAAAGTTAGAAGCAAATGTCAAACTCATAAAAATGGTTTATCGTAGTGACAGGAGACAGATACAAAAAGGTTTTCTATTTGTGGAATTTGACAAATCCATCTGTAGGATTATACAGATCCTTGTCATAAAAAGTAATGCTGAATAAATTCTTAGTCCTAAGTATTCTAAAATTGTAAGCAATTTGATCTATAATACATAAATTTTGAGACATGGTGCATGGATGGCAATTTCTAGTGTCAATCTAATTACATATAAGCTTAAATGGAAGCATATCAGTTAGTTTCTAAATCCACACTCAACGAATCAGGGGATGTTAGTACAGACCCCTATTTTCAATCTAAACTTTTGTTCATAAGCGCTCCCCAAGTTATCCTAACTCATTAAATGGTCAGGTCTAACAAAATGAACACACGTTAAAGGAATAAATACAAATACTAACATATATGAACTTCAACAAATGTCATTTTAATGAGTTGAAAGCCCCATGAAAAGAAATTCGTGCAGAAATATTATATTGACTTATTCACAGGCAAGAAACATATTAGCCAGGGCTTGATTTTTGTAATGATCAAGTCACATACAGAGGCATTAGCAGGAGCATATATTGATTTTCTGGTCATTTTAGGACGTTCTTGATCTCCCCTCTATTTGGGTGATTAGTGATGAGGCATATGACTTATAAATATGTCTTAGGAGGGTAGATTCATTTTAAGACATAGTTACATAGTACTAAAATTAATAGGTGAATATGTACAAATGTATTCACAGTGGGATTCATTTAAATAGAGAAGTGTTTGTGCAATTAAAGTGTGATTTGTTTTCATAAAAGTGATCTATGCAACATTTTTAGAAATATATTACAAAAGTAAGTAGTATGCATAAAAGAAAGAAATGTCAGATGAAGCCTTGGAAACCCAAAGATCTATTAGGAATCAATTAGGGATGTCTGTCATACCTGTAGGAGCAGGAACCAGTGACATGCATGCTGTATATTTGCTGATTCATTAAAAGTCGCTGGGAGTTTGTTATACTGTGAATTTGCACTTATTCTCCTTAACTTTTGATTTATTGGTCAAATAATGGATTTTTAAAAGAGCGTCCAAATGGAAGGATAAAGGAGAAAATTATCACATGATTGAGTGCATAGGATGACGCTTCAACTTCCCTCTTTGCTGTGGTTGACAGACAGGGACAGGAGAGGTTGTCATTTCTCTGTGGCTGCACATGTATGTAGGGTGATGATACACCCCAGCTTTCCCAATGCCATCCCATTTTATACCTATTGTACTGGCATTTGTCTGGAATTACTAATTTTATAAGAAAGTAGTATTGTTTACAATTGCATTAAAATAATCATGGATGTTTTTGGTAGACCTCTACTTTATCCTTTCAGCTTCTGCTAGGATTTGTCTAGCAGGGTGTGAATTGAGCAGTGATCACATTTCTCAACTTAACATGCACTCAAAAACCAACAGCATAACCTATCTTACTTGTAAATGATATTATTTTACTTAAATGAACTCTAACTAATAATTTAAATCCCCAGGGAGACATAGTCCAGAAATCCAAATACGCTAAAATGATTGAAATTGAATCCAAATAAAAATCACAAATGGGATCTAATGAAACTAAAGAGCTTCTGCACAGCAAAAGAAACCACCATCAGAGTGAACAGGCAACCTACAGAATGGGAGAAAATTTTTGCAACCTACTCATCTGACAAAGGGCTAATATCCAGAATCTACAATGAACTCAAACACATTTACAAGAAAAAAACAAACAACCCCATCAAAAAGTGGGCAAAGGACATGAACAGACACTTCTCAAAAGAAGACATTTATGCAGCCAAAAAACACATGAAAAAAATGCTCATCATCACTGACCATCAGAGAAATGCAAATCAAAACCACAATGAGATACCATCTCACGCCACTTAGAATGGTGATCATTAAAAAGTCAGGAAACAACAGGTGCTGGAGAGGATGTGGAGAAATAGGAACATTTTTACACTGTTGGTGGGACTGTAAACTAGTTCAACCATTGTGGAAGTCAGTGTGGTGATTCCTCAGGGATCCAGAACTAGAAATACCATTTGACCCAGCCATCCCATTACTGGATATATACCCAAAGAATTATAAATCATGCTGCTATAAAGACACATGCACACGTATGTTTATTGCGGCACTATTCACAATAGCAAAGACTTGGAACCAACTCAAATGTCCAACAATGATAGGCTGTATTAAGAAAATGTGGCACATATACACCATGGAATACTATGCAGCCATAAAAAATGATGAGTTCATGTCCTTTGTAGGGACATGGATGAAGCTGGAAACCATCATTCTCAGCAAACTATCGCAAGGACAAAAAACCAAACACCGCATGTTCTCACTCATAGGTGGGAATTGAACAATGAGAACACATGGACACAGGAAGGGGAACATCACACACCGGGGACTGTTGTGGGTGGGGGGAGGGGGGAGGGATAGCATTAGGAGATACACCTAATGCTAAATGACGAGTTAATGGGTGCAGCACACCAACATGGCACATGTATACATATGTAACAAACCTGCACGTTGTACACATGTACCCTAAAAGTTAAAGTATAATAATAAAAAAAATCATAAGAAAGCCTAAGGCTAGACTCAACCAGTATTTTTTCAGAGCTTAAAAATTGTTAAGGATAAAACTAGAAAGTTCCACATCTTCCATAAACCTTTGGACCACTAAGCCTGAAGCACAGCGTCCACATAACCATATTCTGAACTAAAGGCAAATTGTGTTCCGTACTAGAAGTCACATTTCAAGCATGAAAATTTGAAAGTAGAGCATTTCCAGTCATGGGCGATTGGAAGTATGTCGTGAAAGGCCCTAGGTGTATATAACCTGGAGAAAAGATTAAAGAATCAGCATAGCTAGAAGAAAACAAATTGGACCCTGATTCAAAACTCAACAAGCCACCTCAAAGTGCTACACAAAGAGCTCTGTTCTGTGTCTTTACTTACCCATTTACCCAGCAAATGTTCATTGAGCATGCACCACATGCCGGGCATTGTTTAAAGCCCTGAACGTATGGAAGCAAAAAGGCCAATGGGATTCATAATTCCATGGAACTTACATGTTAGTAAGAAAAGGAAATAAACAGGTAAGACAGATTATTAAACTTCAACCATACCTTGTTAAGTAAAATAGCCAATATAATGCAAAAGGACTGGCTTTGGGTGAAATCTGCCTTTGTTAAGGAAGGTATTGCTGAGGAGCTGACACCTGAATGAGAAGACCTCTGTCTTCTAACATGCAATGGGATGGGTGTGAGTGAAAAGCATTTCAGGCAGGAGACCCAGGGGGTTCAGCAGTTCTCAGAAGGGTATGAGTTGGATAATTCGGGAAAAGAAAATATTGGATTAGGTAATGTTTGCATTCTTGGATAATAGGAAAGATGACCAAAGAAAGAGAAAACATTTTATTTTCCTTCCATAGTAAGGTCCATGAGCTCCAAAGATATCCAAGGCAGACAGTATTGAGCCTACACTTTGCAGCTTTTATAGAAAGCACTAGGAACTCATGTACAAAACGTTAGGGCTCAGAAAGTTCAACTTCTCTGTGAATATGCTTTTCCCCGAGTGATCCTCCCTCTTAAGAAACGTCTTCATCAAAAATTTCCATTAACCCTTGAGGAGGCAGAGTTAACCATGGCAATGTTAAGGGAGAAGTTACTGAAGCAGTTGATGTCAGAGTTAAGAGAACAATGTTCTTGCCTTTGGCTGTGGCCTCAACCCAGATTCATAGTGTGGAGCTCTCGATATGAGCAACAGAGTGCTCACGCTTTCATGCGTTGACTGGGCTGCAGCACTGGCTTGCCTCCCTCACTATGTGAGCACTCTTTCATACTCGTGGGTGGCTGTTATGCAGGGGAATAAAAACATCTGGTTCTGTATTACTAGTGAGAACTAAATTTAAACTAGAGGATGGAATTTAAGTAGACACAGTTTAGTTTAACTTTTCCAAAAAAATGTATTCAACATCGAAGACAAATTGGCTTGTATGGTAGTAAGTTTTTCATCCTTGGACACATTAAAGCCACAGCATTTTGGATTTGTTGATGAAGTTGCATAAGGCAGTCTTCTCCTGGGAGAGAGTTTGTTTTAAATGACCTCTATGGCCCTTTCCATCTTGAAGAAGCTGAGAAGGAGTTTATTATTAAGTAATTTATTGCAAAAGAGCAATTGGTTGCCAGAGAGAAAAAATACATCTCTTTGAGGTGCCTGAACCATAAATACATCATAAACCCAGTCTGTGTTTACCAATGATTAAAAAAAGGATATTGGTTGGTTTGAAGGTTTATAAGATGCATATATCCATGGATACAAGTCATAGTTACATCTTTTGGGTCCCACTGGTTCTTTCTGAAATGTGAGAATTTTAAAACCATGACAACAAATCCCAGTGATTCTCAATCTATTGGCTCCAATATCTCCCTTTGATAATAAATTTCTTATAAGGCTCCTTCACTAACTCAAAATGAGATTCATAGATAATATATTCTACCCTATATACATAAGTTCAAAACAAATAAATAATGTCATAACTGTACTCAAAGCAAAAAATAACATCAATGTATAATAAAATAATATGCACTTCAATATGTAAATAAATGGACATAACTACACTAAAGGCACAAAGAAGTAGTCAAATGTGTGTCCTAAATGTAGAATCATCATGAGTGTGACTGTAACAAATGCAGACGGACTCCAGGGTGTTGTATTAATGAGTTAAAATCTACGAGCTTCATTGCCATTGGCAACTGAATTTTCTGTAATGACAAACAACTGTTGGTAAAGTTCCCAAACAAAACAAAATACAATCTTCCCTCAGTTGGTAGACTAGTTTCATCTTTAGAAGATTCAGTATATTTTGAAGCCAGTAAAAAATATTTTCCGCTTATATGCATGATGGCCTTAAGTTCTGATTTCAGATAATTATGGACAGAGTAGGTCAGGTGATATTAAAACAGTTATTCAAGATAGAGGACAATTCTTTTTGATTCTTGATTGCATAATTTATTGTAGAACATCTGGTATCCCTGGCCTCCATCCATTAAATGCTTCTCCACCTGATTACTATGAAAATCCAGAAAAAAACATCCACAAATTTTCAAAATAGCAACCAGGATAAAGTAGTAGCTTCTTTGAGACTAGGACAGCCATGGTTTGGACACCTTTCATTAATTAGCTGCAGAAAGCTGCTAAAGCCAAGTGACAACGTAAACAATATGAACTTTCTGAATCATTAAAAATCAATTGCAGCCAAAACACCATGGGAGCCCTAGTCCTAACTGATCCTAGAAGGCCCTTTGTTGAGGAAACTGACCCAGATGCTATAGCTGAGATTCGAGATAGCTGGAACGGGGCCTCGCAAATAAAGGACTCATGCTTGACATGAGCAAACGAGGATTTCGTGTCCATTCATGCAACTTTAGAATCTAGGCTACCTTGAAAGTCACCTATCTGCCTGGTTAGGTGTTTGAGTGTTTGTGTTAGAGGTAAAAACAGGTAATAGCCCAGCTTCCATTGGGTTTAATTTGGTGATCTTGTTTCACACTCAACCCAACCACAGGAAGTGGTTTATTACCAACAAGAATGTAAAGTTTTCATGATTTAATAATTTCATTATCACCAAATGCTACTTTTGTCAGTGAAAGCACCAATAGGAGGTCCAATAGATAGTTAGTGCCTGAAGGAATTGTGGAGATAATGAAGGTGTAGGGAAAATATGAGAAAAGAGTCATTTTGTCAACATTTAACTCTCAAAAGAGCTCCAGAACGAATGGCCAATCTGCTTCTTATTGCATATCTTCACACAGATACATTCTTTCAAACTGATAACTGCTGAAGCCATTGGGGAAGCTATTTTATTTCCCTCTAAATTTTGTCTGTTAGCAAACCAAAATTTCCAGATTTGCATAGAAGGGATAAAACTTCAATGAATGCATGCCAACGTTGCATCAGCTGTTCTCATTTTCAAAATCCTATCCAGATTTTTTTTCATTCCACCCACAGAAAAAGAGGAAATATAGTCAGAAGTTGCTTTTGCAGCAATGGACAAAATGTTTTTCCCATTGCAGCAGCATCATAGTGTTATATGTGTGTGTATGTGTGTGTCTGTGTGTCTGTGTGTCTGTGTGTGTGTGTGTGTGTCTCTGAGAGAGAGAGAAAGAGACAGAGAGAGAGACTGAAGACAGAGAGAGACAGAGGAAGACAGAGACAGATAGATAGTTCTTGGAAAACAAAACATCTGTTGGTATATGGCTTTTTTAAGGAAAACTTTATAAACCACTAATGTCCTTACTGCAAAATAGATCCTCACATAATTACAGTGATTTACAGTTTACAAAGAACATTCACAAACATAATTTCATTTCATCATCACTGTATAGCTGCAGTAGAGGTATTATTGTCCCCAAATTACAGATAAGTCAATTGAAGCTTAAGTACGTTCATAACTATCCTTAAACCACACAGCCAGTGTGTGGTTTAGAAGACCAAAAGGTCAAATATTTGACTCTAACTATAGTGCTTTCGCTTGTTACTTACTCATACAGAGTTTTTAAAATCAGCTCAGCAGAGAGGCCCAAATAGATATAATAGGTAAAGTTGACCAACCAATTTTCAGATTATCATTTCATAAATATATTTTGAAGATAACTAATTTCTGTATCTAAGGAAAATGATAAATTATAAGAATAAGATTAAAATGTACAGAGGCAACTAGTTGAATCAATTTGAGGACAAGATTGAAGACTTTAAAATCTCCCCGTCAGGAGAGACAGGAGCAAGGTATCAAATACCCTGTGATTTTAAACAACATTTGATGATAACGGTTAGCTCTGTGAGAATGTGTGTGAAGCAAAGAGTAATAAGATGTCTAATGTATTTTTTACAATTAAGTCCTTTTAAAATATAATATTACAACAGGTCATGGGACATATTGAAAAATACTACTGTTTTTCTTTGGTTTTCTGCTCTACACAGAGAAGGAATGTCTTTCAATGTATAGAACACCCCTTAATCACATCTTGAAAGTAAACTTGGCAGGAAAGGATGGAACAGTGAGCTATGTAATAGAGACAGCTTGACTGATCTGTTGGCTGCATTGTATTCCAGAATTACAGAATCATGAGGTTACCCTCGAAAGCAGTTTGTTTTAAATGGTCACCAATGTCTGGTCTCTAAGACATTCCTAACTCAAGATGGAGAGGATTTCTAGTGCATATCTGCTGTTAACATGGTATGAGCTTCTCAAACTTGGCATGGCTTCTTAGAGTCATCAGGTCCATTGCCCTCATGTGAACTTAGCCTGCACTAGATGTCCAAGAACTCTGCCTTAAATAATCTCTACCATGTGCTAGGCACCGGGCTAAGTGCCATTATGCATTATCCCCTTTTTGTCCTCACAGATTCTTCTGGGGTGGTGTATTAGTTAGGGTAATCCTAGCAGCTCTAACAAATAAAACCCATGACTTTGGGCTTCATAGAGTACAGATGTATTTCTCATGGAAAAACCAGGCAGACGTTTCTATCATGGCCAGTTTTCCTCCATGTAGTAACTCGGTGACCAAGACTTCTTTTTACTAGGGGAGTCTAAAATCTTCTAAAGCAGGTGTCAGCCAACTCTGGCCTGTGGGATAAACCTGCTGCCACCTGCTGTTATTACGACCCATGAGCTAAGAATACTTTTACAATTTTTAACAGTTTTTTTTAAATCAAAAGAGATATATCATTGTGACACATAAAAATATGAAATTCAAGATTTAATTCTCCTAAATAAAGCATTATTGGAATTCAGCGATGCTTATTTGTTTACAGTTGTCTGTGGCTGCTTTTGCACTACAACAGGAGAATTGAAGAGTTGCCATAGAGATTCTATGGTTTCCATACAGAAGCCCTTAACAGAAAAAGCGTACTGACCCTGACTCTGGAGCTTCTTCTAAGAGAGAACTCTAGACACAGAAGGAGAAGCGTGGAAAACATACTCTAACCCAAAGCTTGGAGAGGTGTGTGGCTTGCCCAAGAGCATCTGACTTCAAGTTGCATGCCCAGGATTCAAATACAGATCTCTCTAACCTCAAGGCTCCAAATCTTAATCTTGTTTCTTTACTATTAGATTCTCAAATCTCCCTACCAGCGCATTTATTCATAAATTTTCATAACGTATGCATCTTTGGGAGATCACTGATGTCCGGACAACATGCTTCATCCCATGATTTCAAATTAATCTTCATTCAGCTCTAGCCATGCTAATAATAACTTTGAGAAAACAATGAGAAATATCTAGTAGAAAATAGAAGAAACCAGTATGGTTCTGCACATAAATGACTACGTACCCACCAGTTAATAAATCTTCAGAACAATAGCACTGCTTCCAATAATGTGTTATGTTTCAAAATGATTAACTTTTAATAGTATTATGTCTCTTGTGTATAATGTCTCAGATCCCATGGGGTAAGCAAACCAATCTCCATGTTACTGTGAAACAGAACTAAAATATTAAAGAATTTTCTGGTGACTCTGAGGAGTTGAATAGCTCCTATGGGACTGCAAAGTTAATTAAAATGAGCATAGAATTGTTATACTCTATTATGACACAATTATGTTCCCCTTACATCCCCCACCCCCACATTAAAGACTTTACAGTGGAGGTCACAGTGGGAGAAACAATTTTTTCCAGCTTTGATTTCCAATGGAATGAGTTTAGCTCTTTTTTTAGGTATACATTATCAGAATCTAAGCCTTATTTGCTTGGAACTCCTCAGCAATAGCCACCTAATGTATAGGGAGATAAAAGAATTAGAAAGAAATGCTCATAAAATGCTTGTAATCACCATTGCTTTAGGCATTCTCTACCTTATATTTAGACCTTCAGAACAAGGTTGGACAAATTGGTCAATGTGAAAAAGTGGTAGAGACGATATCAAGATTTTGATGTACAAGACTGAGCAGTTAAATAGGATTTTTCCTTTGAAATACTGTGTTTAAAATTAGACTTCAGCTGTCTTTCCAGCATTTGTAATTGTTTCCTGACACACATGTTCTATCCCCAATAAATAAAATATATGAAATAAGGCTTTTATTTATTTAGGGCAACTTATTCTGAGGTACAAAGTAATAAGGGTACCAGGGTCTCCCTTACATATGCTCTAAGGTACAAGTAATACAGTTTCTTCATTCTATTGGCATAGAAAGGGTATAACAATCTGGCTTCCGAGAAGAACCAAGTCTCTTTTAAGGTTAATGGGAAGTACTATGCTGTGTCCACTGTGTCTGGATAGATCTCAAAGTTCATGAGTAAAAACAACTTATCCTGCATACTTAGAAGTGTATATGTTATCTCATTTATTACTTGTAGCAAATTATCCCTATTGTACAGATCGGGGAGCTGAGACTCTGAAAGCCCTAATAACTTTGCTAGGAAAACATGCTTTATTTATGATAGACACAGAATTTGAACATACAACTTCCGGGTACACCATGTTGCCTCTGGCGTAATGGCCATTTATTCTCCAGCTGTATTTCACTTCACCCTACCCATCGGTTCTTCCCAGAAGCCACAATAGAGCATGGCTCGGCGTTTGCAGGTCAGTGGTAATGGCCACATATACCTTTCAAGCCTACCATATCAAAGAGCTCACACTCAAGCACTATATCAGTAGAAATCTTTGTAGTTCTAGGCATCAGAAAAATGGGCTCAAAGTAGAGTTTTAAATGAAGGTAATTTATTGACACACATAATTAACAGAAGAATTTACTTCTGACAAGCTTTGACTCATGATGTCTCTAAGGACCTGGTTTGTTCTTTTTCTTTTTCACCTTTTACAAAGTGCACTTTATCCCAAAGTGTAGTAGTCCTTTTGACATTTTGGGAAGATAAACAGAAACCTCCAGAAATGCATGGTATTTTTCACACTGAATAACAGAGGAAGCAGCTGCATCACAACCATCTTTATGAATCTCCTGAGATGCATTTTGACTAGACGACCTTATATCACATGCTCAACCTTGAAGGGATTTTTCTTGCTATAGGGGATGAAATATGCCACTTGTTTGGCTTTGGTCACATGCTCCAACCTTGAAGTGTGGGAGAGGTCAATTTCTGGAAAATTACATAGACTCAAATATAATCAGGGACGACTTAGAAGAAAAAGGCAGATGGATGATAATGAAGTGTATCAGTCAGAATAGGGTAGATCATATTGTGGTTAAAAAATGATCCTCAAACCTCAATAGTATAAAACAACAAATGTTCGTTTTGTGCTAATCTTCCATCATCACTAGCAGGGAGTTCTGTTGTATGTCATCATTGATCTCACTCCAGGATTTAGGTTGACAGAACAGCCATTTTCTAGAACATTGAAAAATAGTCTAGGAGAGGGAAAAGAAAATGTAAAGAAGCATGCCTCACTTTGAAGGACTCTTCACAACAAACTGGATCTCAGATTATTGACCAAGGCAAGACACACTGTCACATGTAACTTTAAAGGGGATGGGGAAACACAAGGCTACCATGTTCCTGGAAGGGGAGAGCTACAATGTTTGTGAGTGCCTTCATAAGTGCTCTAGGACATAACCAATAAGCAGCCATTACGTCTGTCCTGAGTTGGAGAAAGAGAGGATGTTCTGAGTTCAAACACCACCAAAGAATATATGGAGAATAATATTATAGACCTGAAGAATGATAGTGATAGCCCTCTGGGTGTCTTGGAAAGAAGATAAATTGCTCTCAGTTGCTCACGGAATTCTTAACCTATGCACTGTTATTTCCATTGCATGATAATAGTGCCTCACAAGGTTTAGATCAGGAGGATCAACTAAAATGCCAAAACTATGTGGAGCTAGGAGGACATAAAACTGCTTTATCTTCACTTGCACGGCTGGACAATGAATTCAAGTACCTGCCTGACATTCCTTTATAACATGCATACATTCTACTTACCCAGGGGCTAATGGGAAAGATCAAATCGGAAGAAAGCAGGGGCTAGTTTTGAATTTTAACTTGAAACTACCAGTAATTCTAAGATTTGAGAAGCTTATTTAGATGTTATCAGAGTGCACTGTCATTGACCTTATTTTTTTTATTCTAACAAAAACCAGAAAAGTAAATAAATAAATAAAACCAAAAACCTTTTTGTGAAACTTTTGTCAAAAACATTTTAGCTTTATAATTGTGATTTTAAATTAATCTAGAGAAGCCATTGAAAGGATAAACAAAAATAAATTTAAAACACGAATGGCCTAATAGAAAAAAAAAGAACTTTGAGATATTGCCCAACAAAGAGATCTGGAGGGCAGCATCTGATGAGATAAATAGGAAAGGAAAATTCAAGATTCAATCCAAGCTTCCTTTAGAAAATGAGCAATAATGCCTATACAAGAAAAACATTATTTGCAATGTTCCTGTTTCTTGTAGCAAAGGGAAATGAGAATCTCAATGACTTTGGGATACCCCATCACTTGAACGATGTCATACAATTTTATGAAGTGGAAAATAAAATGATCCAAGGGTCTTTCCATGTTTATATGCTGTATTCAGGATCTTAAGGAGTTTGATTACCTACTCTAAGATTCTTCTCTAATGATATCTATGTAATTAGCTGTAATAGCTTCTTCTAGTCTATGAAAAATATGGACTCAATCTTAAGCACTTAAAAGTGTATATTTCTTACTTCATTCAGCAAATATGAGTTATATTCCAGTCATGCATAGCCACTCTTATAGGAGTTGGGGGCAGAGTGGTGAATAATACAGACAGGAGTTAACTTTTTTTTTTTTTTTTTTGAGATGGAGTCTTGCTTTGTCGCCCAGGCTGGAGTGCAGTGGCATGATCTCGGCTCACTGCAACTTCCGCCTCCTGGGTTCAAGCGATTCTCCTGCCTCAGCCTCCTGAGTAGCTGGGACTACAGGTGTGTGCTACCACGCCTGGCTAATTTTTCTGTGTTTTTAGTAGAGACGGGATTTCACCATGTTGGCCAGGATGGTCTCGCTCTCCTGACCTCATGATCTGCCTGCCTCGGCCTCCCAAAGTGCCGGGATTACAGGCATGAGCCACTGTGCCTGGCCAGGAGTTAACTTTTCTAAATGCCTTTCTTATATAAGCAAGGAATAAGGATCCTGGGAATTGAGCCTGGGCTTATGTCCCCTGTTCAAAAATCAGCTAAAGTTGATTCATGATTGTCGGATTTAAGTCAGCATTCAAGGTCAAAGAGAGTGTTGGGACCACAGAAAACCTTGAAAGTGAAAGAGGAAAGAAAGATAATCTAAAAGCCTAGGTGGTAAGATATGCAAACAGGAGCGAGGAGACAAAATAATACTAATAGCTAATGATTACATCAAGCTGAGTAGGAACCTTGCATAGAGCTAACTTTAGTGTAGCAACTCATTCCAACCTCACAAGAGTGGTATAAGGGAGAAACTTTAATTATCTCCACTTTACAAATGAGAAAAGAGACACGGAAACTAAGTAAGGTACCCAAGATCATAGCTATCCGTCTGGCTCCATAGTTTGTGGTCTTAACCACATGATGCAACTAACAAAAGCAAAACGCAACAAACAGATTCATCTCCTGTTTCCTAGGCCTGGACTCTTTGGAATTTGGAGACGTTACCTAAGGCATTAAAAACATAAACCAGGTTTTGATGTATGGAACATTTGTGTCCACTTGGCTACAGAGGAAGTAAATCATTTTTTTTCTGGACAGACATTTGATTAATCTAGAAGCACTGGAGATTAACAAAAGCTGCATCCACATTAGACCTGTTCCAACAATTTGAGAATGCAAGTTTTCTTACAGTAGAGGCAAAATATCATATTTATCCTGATAAGCATGGAGTTGAAAAAAGAATAAATGACTATAGAATAAGTGAAAACATAAATGAATGAACTGTAAATTACTTTAGGGTTTAACTAATTTTTCTTTTTATAGCTTTTACATTATTAAGTAATTATTAATGTTCTTTACAGAAGAGTTACAAATTTTTCAATGATGCAGAAATAACTGTTTTATAATTCCTCAAACAATTCAGAATATCTTAGGATGCCTGTGGAGACATACCACATAGTATAATCATACAACGGTAATTCATTGAGAGGATTCATCAGCTCAATGCAATGTGTCTAATTGAAAACCTATTCCTGCACACCCTCAATTATTTTTGCAACTTTTGCCCTATTTCTAATGCTCAAGCTTTGGGATCAAAGCAAAACAACAACAAAATCCCACAGATATAAAGAGAAAATTTTAGGCTTTTGCCATAGTCAAGAGCATGTGTGTGATCAAATGCTAATGAAAAGTTAATGAAAAGCACAAGGTCCCACATTCTCAGGCTGTTTCTTCAGATAAAATACAGGATACCCAGCTAAATTTGCATTTTTGAAAAGCAGTGAATCCTTTTTTAGAATGAGTATGCCCAAGCATGACATGTGTTTTTATTTGCTATCTGGCCATGCTGCCACCAAGGCATAGGAACCAGGGGCTGCACTGG
The DNA here is from genome assembly GCF_000001405.40 of Homo sapiens. NCBI lineage: Eukaryota > Metazoa > Chordata > Mammalia > Primates > Hominidae > Homo > Homo sapiens. The sequence goes on along the minus strand of NC_000003.12, from coordinate 6,090,231 downwards.
AAGAACACTGAGGTACCAAATGTGTCTGCCTGTAATTCTCCTAGTGCCTGTTATTCTGCGGCCCTGAATAAATGGCACTGCCCCCCTGAGCCTCGATTTCCTCATATGCAAAGTGAGAAGTGTTGGACAAGTTGAGTCCTGAGGATCTTTTCTTCTTAGATTCTGGTAGTCTGTAACAGTCTGGACTACATGGGAAGAAAACAGATATGATGTCATTGCTTTTAAAATGCCCTGTGAGGCAGAGAAATAAATTATGAATCATTCACTTACTATTCTCTCCAAGAAGAAGAGAAAAAGAACAACAAAAACAGCAAATGAGACAGAGGATGAGGGTAGCACACGGCTGTCTTCTGCAGAGTTTCAACCAGATAAGAGAGTGCGCCCTGGGGTGTGCTCATCTCAGAAAGTCTCCTGTTGGCAAAAAACTGTCATTCTCCTCGGAGGTTACCATTTGTTCCACCCACAGGGTTCCAAAATTAAGAACTGGCCTCTTTCGTGAGGGAAAATGATTTTAATGCATTTATAAGGAGTGCAAAAATGCAGAGATGTAAGAAAAATGCTTCTAAAGATATATTTGCATTTATTTAGTAGATGGAGGGCTGAATGTAACTTTTACCTCAAAATTTATGAGATTTTTTACATTTTTTTTTAATTTTATGGGGTAGTAGACAGTAGCAGGATTCAGCTTTGCCATTGCCATTTGTCTAACTTGGGAAGACTGATTCACACCCCTCATACTGCTTTCCCTATGAGTCCTGCATGAGGGATCACGCCATTGTCTTCATTACTTCATTCTTAATAACAGCCCAGCGTTTCTCCATTCTGACTGGAGGCAGACCAGAAATGCAATTAATTGCATGAAGTACATACATAAATAGAATACCAGCAATTCTTCCTTTTCTGGGCATTAAAAATAACATTCTCCAATTTCTATGTATGTCAGCACCATTTCTTCTCCACACTGTGGAAAGGAAATCTGGGGAAATCTTTTCATAAAAACACCATGAGCACAAAGATGCAGGGCTAATTTGGGAGACTCGCCATGTGGCATAGAAGAGACCCTGTGAATTTTTTTTTTTAATTGGGGAAGTACCTCACAACCAAACACGGATGTTTCCTGAGTTAAGTGGAGTTTTTCTCCAGAGACTACGTTGTTAGTGAAAACTGGCTCAGTTGAATCATGAATGAAAGTCTGTAACAAAAGACCCCACACCTGCCTGATCATAATGGAATACAAGTTAGACTCGGGAGACAGGCAGGGTCCACTTCTTTAGGCCACTGGGGACTGAAGAGTTAAACCACATACCCTATATTAAGTTTGTACTATTAAAGAATTACAGTTTCACATAATCTTATAAAATGCCCTGCATGTCTTCTGTAAGCCTTCACCCTTGTTCATATTTCCTGGGCCATATCCACAGGAAAGCTAACAGGATGGAATCAGAAGTTACAATTCTAAAGCAGAATTTCTCAATCTTGGCACTATTATCATTCTGAGTCAAATAATTCTCGGTTAAGGGCAACTGTCCTGTGCATTGTAAGATGTTAAGCAGCTTCCCTGGCCTTTACCCACTGGGTGACAGTACCACTCTTTTCCTCTACGTGTCCCCTGCACCACAGCATGACAACCAAAAATGTCTTTGCACTCTACTAAGTGTGTCCCCAGAAAAGTGAAGGTAAAATTAGCCCAAGTCAAGAACCACTGGACTAAAGTCATGCTCCTGTAGGATGAATTTAATCTGTGAAAGAGAGGACTAAAGACTCTCAGGAAGAAATTTAGACTCTGGTAAGAGAAGACCCACAAGTAAGTATATACAAGGTGTCCATATTTCTTTCCTCTGTGTTGGGCCATTGTCATAAAGACAACTTCATACAAAGTGTACAGTTTACTCAGGCACTATAAATATTTAAAGCAAAAATGTGTTAAGAGATTATAAGGATAATTTTTCTTTCTCCAGTCAGACACTTTATTTAAATATTGTCTTCCCGACTATTCACCCTCAATTTGATCCATAACTCTTAAAAACCCACTGTTTTCTACATACAATAATTGCTTTGATTGGCCTATCTATTCCTTCAAGATCTAGCCTCTGCCTGCTCTTTCAAGCCTCCTCTCCTATTTCCACCTCACATTCATTCTCCAAATGCATCCATCTTATCACTTTGTCAGTTTCTCAGCCTGGAACGCATGTCTTCCCATGAAACTGTGAGCTTGTTGAGAACAGATCTGATGCATTTCATCTTTTACTTTCAACACTTAGCATAGTCTCCAGCTTAGTAATATTCACTGTTTGCTGTAAGAATAAAATAAATGAATCCTAAGGTTCCCTGAAGGACTCTTAGATGGCATTGCTCATTTCTCCCAGAATGCAAGTCATCTCTGCTTCTTTCAATCATTTATTTCCTCTTTGTAGTCGAAGTTAGCTATTGAGTTGGTTTAAAAAGTAGGGTGTTCTCCATTTTCCCCTGAAAAATCTAGAACTCTACTTATTCTTCAGAAAATAAAAATAGGCTTCTTGTATATTTACTGTCCTGATTAATTTTAGATTTTCTATAAAGTGTCTGTTGTATAATGAGTCAGAGATTAAACAGTGAAAGGAGAAACTCTAAGAACTCAGGCGCACTAAAACTCTTCCAGAATTAGGTATTTTGCATATGGTGGTGGAGCAAAGAAACCAGAGTGATATGAAACCAAAATAATTAGATGTTTAACTTAAAGAGAGTGCATCAACCAAATAAAAATATAATTTGTTTGGAAATAAGACAAAAATCATTGTGAAAAACTAAATAAGCCACTTTACTAATTCATTAGGATAGAATTCTGTATTTTTCTTGCTGAAAGAGGACTCCCTCTCAGCCACGGTCCTCTTAATTTCAAAATTTGAGAACCATACAGTGACCTTAGGGGCCAGCTAGGTCAGTCCTCTCCTTTATCCAGAGAGGAGACTGGCTATACGAAGATTCTAGTTTTAAGAATAAATTAACATTTATTTTCCTCTTTTCACACCACATTAACAATATTTTGGTATAAGAGAGAACGGACGATGTAATCTTCCTATAAATTCCCTGTAGCTATTATGAGCCAAGAAAATTATCTAAATAAAGTCCAGTGGCAAAGAAAGCATGAATCGTGAAGCCTAGGAATGCCAAATGAAGCCATGTTTCATCAGTTCCCAAAATTAATCCTGAATTTCATCAACTCATGCAGGCTATGTCCAAAGAAATGTGCTAGGAGTCACAGTGACTAGAAGAAGGGACTGAAATAAAATGCCAAAGTTGTGTTTTATTTGCTAAACATGTGTACTTTGGATTGGGAGGCAATAAGAACACGAAGACCACCCTCTAGCTAAAACTAGGTTTGGCCTAAGAACCACCACAGAATATTATCGTGCAGTAGGTACCTTTTAATGTAGGGGCTAGCAAACATTTTCTGTGAAGGGCCAGATAATAAATAATTTAGGCTTTGCAGGTTTATGGTGTCTGTTGAAACTATTCAACTCTTCCCTTTTATAATAATAAGAGAGCAGCACAGATAACACTTTAACAAATGGGCGTGGCTATGTTCCAATAAAATTTTATTTATAAAAAACAAGCGGTGGGCCAGATTTTATGTAAGGACCATAGTTTGCTGCCCACTGTTTTAATGTATCAGGCAACCAAGAACTGAGAGCACTGTCATGAAATGAAATTTAGTTTCTTATTCTCTTTCTAATTTCTCAATAGATACATGTTTGCATTTAATACCTCACAGCCATTAATTTAAAATGGAATCTCCAGTGACTCTGAACTGGCAATTAGTTAAAACAAGGTAAACTTGCAAAGTGCCTGTCAGTTAGTTATCTGATCTGCATCAATCCACACACGTTAAGTCAGTGAGAGAGCAGGAATGTAATTTTCCAGAACACGTAACTCTATTGCTCTGCACGCTTCTAATGAGAAAAAGTTAATTATTTTATTATCTTAACATAAACCTTCCCAAATTAAATATTTCCAGGGTTATAAACTGTTTGCCTCCAAACTTCATTAAAAGCATAAAACCAGCCATTTCACTTTTGCAAACTACAGTCTTGGTTTTTTCGGTGTTCAAATAAAGCCTTCACATTTTTTAGAGCCTAATTTTTCTTAACATAAAAAATAAGCCCTACCGACGTTGTTCTCCTCGTTGATGGTCAATATCACTACTTTCTGTTGCTAGAGGGGTCCAGAAATTGGAAAAGAAGCTGGGATAGTCCTTACGTATTACACGTTTGCATGTTGCATATATATATATATACACACACACACACACACACACACATACACATACACACACATTAAATATTCCCCTTATAAATGGAGATTAATACTATTTTCATTATCAACTTTTTCGTAGTTCTTTCTTCTGAGCTAAAAAATCTAACACTTTTTTTCTTTGAAAATACTGTACTTTAGGATCTGCCAAAATTTGTTCTGACAGCACCATTTGTATAAGACTTTTCTCTAATGTTCTTAACCTCACGGGATTAAGTTTTAGGACACATAGAGAAATGAAGCAAATAATACTGTTATCCTATTCTTTTCTTTTTCTTCGGTTGTCAAGAAAAGCCACACTTATTTTAAACTAACAGGGACAACTAAGTCACAAGTTATTATTCCATGACCAGCAGACTTCATTCCTTTCCTTTCTACAGGGGGAGAGATCAAGCCAATTTTTTTTAACTCTGACTCCTTGTTTCTGATAATATGAAATCATATTCAAACGCTTTCATTTTACAAAACTTTAAAACACATCTCACTTGCTATTTGCTATTTCTTCATTCTCTCCCTTTTTTTTTTTTTTTTTTTTTTTGAGACGGAGTCTCGCTCTGTCGCCCAGGCTGGAGTGCGGTGGCGCGATCTCGGCTCACTGCAAGCTCCGCCCCCCGGGTTTACGCCATTCTCCTGCCTCAGCCTCCCGAGTAGCTGGGACTACAGGTGCCCGCCACCATGCCCGGCTAATTTTTTGTATTTTTAGTAGAGATGGGATTTCACCGTGTTAGCCAGGATGGTCTCGATCTCCTGACCTCGTGATCCGCCCACCCCGGCCTCCCTAAGTGCTGGGATTTATAGGCATGAGCCACCGCGCCCGGCCCATTCTCTCATTTTTTAAAATCCTCTATTCTTCACATTATTTGGTGTCAAGCCATGACCAAATCTACCCATGCTCCTCTTCTTGTTTGAAACTTTTAATTACTTAAAAAAAAAATAATAAGTAGTTTTGGAATATGAGTGGCAGAGGACAGAACAGTAATTGCTGCCTGCAACAGAGGCCCTATCATAGCAGCTGACTTCACATTCAAAGACAGGATGTCTTCTCACCTGCTTGATGACTCTCCTCAAGGAAGGAGTTGTGGGCCAGTAGAAATCCAGTTCTAATTCCTTTGCCTTAAAGAGAGGTTCACGGCAATGTCATAGGGCTCCACGGTTTCCCATATAAACTTATATTGAGGTTCTTCATGCCTTGTCCAAATCCTCAGGTTTATTATGTGTCCTTATACTAGGGCCTCAAGAATTGCTTGCAGAAGGAAGAAAGGTAAAAGAATGAACGCATTCTTTGATTCATAGGATTACAGTTCCCATGGTACAACTGACCGATTGTATGTTTAATCATGAGTTGCTTTAAAGTCTAAAATGCATAAGTTGCCATCTGGAATGGCTCTTAGATTAAATTGGACAGAAAAGACATGATCGTCCATCAGTCACCATAACCTGATGAATGAGAGTAGGAGATTTAAAAGAGGATACAAATGAATATCATTTTTCTTTTAAGACTTTCTCAATGTACTCCATTTTTATTTTCAAGTCTTTAAATGTTGAGACTCTTCTAAGCACCCAAATGCTGTATCTTACTTTTTGTTTGTTTTAATGTCAGAAAACTCTTCACACTCATGAAGGGGTGGCACTAGGAAATATTTGAGAACAGCTGCATTTTATTCACAGTTTAAGACAACTCAAGGTCAAGGGTGTACATCTTTTCTGAATGGGAGAAAACAGATCTCTGAAAAATCCAGCCTCAGTTTATCTCAAAACCTATCTACCATGGCCCTATCTAGGTGAGCTGGCTGCAGTGACAAACTATAGAAGTTTGTGAATTGTAGAGTGTCAAAAACTAAAAAATAACAAGTTTCTTTTAAGTTAAAAAAAAAAAAAAAAAAGAGAAACTTGGTTCCCAGGTTTTTCAAATGGAAAGGCCTTATCAGAATTCGTAAGACAATGTGAGTTCCTACTAGGCAAAGCTCATGTTCCTGAAGGCCCAGGGTGTCTCAGCTTTGGAAGCTGCTGCCTATTCCTCTTGACAAGCTCCGTCTTTACTTTCACAGAAGAAAGGAAAGCACAAAAGGAAGACAGAGGATTATTCTTTAAATGTTCAGAAAAGTGAAGAGACATTTGGTTTATCATTATGAATACGCCCACCAGCTGCAGGTAGTAAAATTTAACATTTGGCCATTTAACTCCCAAAAAAGATCCCCCAAGGGTCAGGAAGGCAAACCTGGAAAACATTGAGAGTTGGCAGGTCATGGAAATGACCCTCAAACCTTGGCTATGCTTCCTGGCTCAAGTATGAGAGAAATTTGGCCCCCACAGCAAAGAGAGAAGAACGTGAGGTAGCACTGCATTTCATGTGGGTGATGGGGGGGTGGTCAGAAAATCTAGGGATCAAAATAGATTTTTAGGAAGTGTCCTTAATGATGAAAATAATCAAGCCAGGGCAATTCTACATTTAAGGGCATAAGGCTAATCTTTGGGATTTTGAGAAAATAGACTATTTCCACCAAATCATATTAAATGAAAAATGTGGTCAAGTAGTATTTGGAATCACGGGGTGGGGGGAATCAACTTCTACAGATTAGCTCACCATCTAGAACAGGCAGAGGAGGAGGGGTGTGGGCATGATAAAGGAGGACAGAAGTGTCAGGATGATTTCAAATAATTGAAATGAATAAGACATGGTTCTTATTCATAAGGGGTGTGCACACAATATAGCAGAGGAAAACAATATGTCTATACTGAAAAATAATGGCCACCAGGAAGGGAGCTAACTTTAATTGACAACATGCCATGTGTTGGGCACTGCATTGAGCACTCAATGTACCTGACTACATTTGAATTATCCTATGGATGGATAAAATCTTCCATTTTACTGCTAAATAAAATGCCACTCAGAGTTGTTTAGCAAACAAATATACTTTGCAGGATGCACTAAATATTACACCAACAGGTTATTACAGAGCTTTTAAAGGAAAAAAAGAGTTTGATTCCTGGAGAGTCATTATATATACACACAAACACACACAAATATACATTCATCTATAATATGAATTATTTGAAACATGATTCTATGTGTCTACTTAGTCACAGATATTTGTTTGGGCTTTATAACAGTTCTTTTCTATTTTACAGCTCTGATGGAGGCTGTAGCGTGGTGTTTATCATGCAAGTCAGACTTGATGAGTTCAAATCCCACCTCCATCGCTCACTAGCTCTATGTCCCTGAACAAGTTATTTAACTTCCTTCAGTCTTGGTTTCCTCGAGCATAAATGAGTGTTAGTGGTATCTACCCCATAAGTTTGTGAAGATTAGTAACGTAAATATATTTAATCCTCGGCACAGTGACTAGCACATACAAAATCACTCAATAAAAGCTAGGTATTAATTTTGTCTATTTTCTTTTCTGCTCTGTCGCCAATATTTACAGCAGTATCCATCACAGAGAACACAATCAATAAATATTTGCTTATGAAAGTTATGAATTTATTACTCTCTCCTGCAATTTTTTTTTTCTGTAAAGATTTATCCACCCATTGTCCACTATGGCAGACATGTACAAAAGGCATGGAAGGGTTACCTGTTGTCTAAATTGACCTGCTTTATGTGAAGAGGTGCTAGGCATTTCTCTGGTGTGAAAAAATAAGAATCAAACAACACTTGAAGAAAGGTGGCAGGCCTCAGTGCTGAATACAGCCTGTACCAGCTTTGCGAGCAATATGTTCTCTTTCAGAGAACTCAGATTCCATTAACTCAAGGTCACCTTCTCCCATTGTGCCTCTTGGATGTCTTCCCTCCCCAGACACGGCAGGGATGACTGGAGCAAAAAAAAAGAGGAGAAACAGAGCTGTAACTGCACCCAATGAGTCAACAGGACCATGGTGTGAGCCTAGACACCTCAACATCATTATTTTACTCACTTACAGGACACCCAACATTATTATTTAACTCACAGGAAAGTGAAGAAGAACAGGAAAGGGAAAGGCCATGAGTGTATGAACATGAAGTATACCCAGGCCCAGAGTCCATAATTCTAATTGTTTATACAGAGATAATTAGCTGTCTTCATTTGTTCTATTTAAAGGATTACACGCCATTGCAAAGAATTCTATTAAAATGTCCAAACTCTTTTTAATGGAGACAAAGCTAACATTCATTAAGAAATATCCATGGGCCAGTGTTAGTTTTTCATTCACTGTCACATTTAATCCTCCCAAAATCCCTTGGAAGTGCTATCACTCGAGTTTACAAATGAGGAGACTCAGGTTTAGGTGCATGAAATAAGCAGCTGAATCACCCAACTAGCAAATAATGTTGCTGTTATACCAGGTCAGCCTGGCTCCAGAGTTCATATATCATAATCTTATAACATGTAAACATCCAGGAATTTTGTGTTACTAATTACAGTTTGAAATACGCAAACCTCCGAAGGATTTGGCTGTCTTTCTTGGTATATGGAATTTTTATTTATGTTGATCTTTGTGGAGAAGGGGTGTTGATCTATACTTAATCTCAATCAATCTACATTTTATGTATCAACGAATGCTTTCCTGAACGCCTTTTAGGTATCTGTCTAATCTAATTTGACTCATTAAAGAAATTTGTTATTAAATGGATAAACAAAAAACTTATTATAGATATTCCTTTCATTTAAAACAGCAGTTTGCTATTCACCAATCTGTTCTCCACCTATTAATTCATTCACCTTAAAACAAATCCCTAAGGAAAATTGGTTTTCTCCTGCCATTCTCTAGTTGAAAGCTTAGGGATACACATAATTTGTTAATATCACAGCCAGTACCCAAGTTCCTGTCCCCTTCTACCTCAAGCCCAGTTCTTTTTTCCCTGATCACAGCAACGTACTATGGATGACATTGCACTGGAAACCCATGCAGCACATACCATCTTCTCCATCAGATACTTCCTGTCAGCAAATGAGCATAAGAATAGCTACTGGATTGCCGGTTCAGCGTAACTAAATATTCATCATAAGTTTGCACATTAACAGCCATACACAATAATTAAACCCAAATTAATTTCCTCAGTTAATATATGCCACAGAATTAAGTTAAATCTCAACAGAAAACAGAGCAGACTGTAACTATTAATCCTCCCAATGAGCAACAATAATTATTTTTGCCAACAGTTATTTCATTTGCATATATAATGTTACAGCACACATTTTTACATACTAGTGATGATTCTCTCTGCTTTGCCAGATTGAGATTTTAGAAGTATGAATTCAGATACTCTGTCAGCAGAAATTTCCACAGACCTGGTTCAGGAACAGACTGTTAAAATTTGGAGCAGCCAGATTCATTAACATTGCTGCTGTAATTCACAATGGAACCCTGTAATTACAAACGTGCGTGTGGAATTAACAAATACACACACTACGAATAGTTAAAGACTAATTTCATGATATATGAAATGTGTCTACAAGTTGCATAAGAAATACTTCAAAAATTAATATGTCTATTATTCCATATAATTATTTTGGGGATCAATTATGGTTTTCTCTGACTGGAAAATTATGTTTATAAAAATTCATTGATTTGTTTTTAGCAAATTCTTATTGGGAATCTCTTCCGTGTCCAGAATTGTACCAAACCCTGGAAATACAACAATGCAAAAATAAACACAGCTTCTTTCCTCAAAGAGCTTGCTTTTAGTGGCGGACAGGGAGAGCTACAACTAGTAACTAACCAGTTAATTCCAAAAGTGTAACATGCCTATTCTAGGGAACAAAAAGAGAGTTTGGAAAACTCACATGAATCTGCCTCTCATTAGATTGTGAAAATTTAAACAAGTCATTCAGCCTCTCTAGACTTCAGTTTCATCATCTTAGAAACTGATGTGAGAGTCAGACGAAAGAATTATAACAATTATATTAGCTTTGCTCACTGTGTGCTCTCTATACGCCAAGAACTGTGCTGATATTTTGCACATATTTTCTCAGAAATAGAGGGAGAAGTAGCATACTTCTCCCTCTATGTAATCTGCAACCGGGGCATTTATTGAAAAATTGAAGAGTAACCAGTCTTTTTCATTCCCAATTACCAGCTGACTTTTTATGTTTTAACTGATAACTCAGCCATAACAACAACCAAAAAAGCATAATGAAACGTTTAATAACAAAAATATTGTCTCTAGTGAGTGCAGTTCTGCAGTTTTCACTGAAGCATATGTTATTTCTAGGAGAAACATATGTGAACTCCAGCACGGAACTGTTTATTGGCAACTGATTAATATTTCCTTGGCTGTGAGTTTAGAGGGGAGTTGAGAGTTCTTATAAATAGAAACTAAAGGATTATCAACCTCTTACTATTCAATTATTGATTTTTCTTACGGCAATAAAAAAAATCTGTGACTTTGGGCTAGGAATAATAGCTAAAGAGTAAATAAAAGAATTATCTATCTTATGGTGTCCTGCCAAATAATACGTTTCAAGAAATGATTACATACTGAATTGAACAGACAAAAAATGGATACAGAAAGAGAACACTATAAAAAATACCCTGGAGTTAATTGAGGATTTCCCTGGTTGTAGCATACTGCTATGATCTAGATCCTATAAAATGTTTACATCCAATGTTCCTATGAATCCTTACACACAAACAGAAATGCGGCTACCACATAGAGTTGCTCTATTTGCAAACACAATGGATTCCAGTTTTTATCTTATGAAATGGGAAGGAATTGACCTTCTGGTCTTATGCATCACTTCCGCCTCCTCCGCAGATCCTCTTTTTCCCTATTGTGTTTATTTGGCTGCCTTTCCATCATCCACGAACCAGTTCTCCTTCCAGGGTCTCCTGGGTTTTGTATGGGAATCAATGTGGCTTCAGGGAAGTATATTTTTTTTCTGGAGTCAGGTCTAACCTAGGCAAAATGTGCTTCTCACCCCACTGGACAGCTGTGAATATGTGATCTAAACTGTTTAAATCACTGATAATTATTTTCTTTTTTAACTCTATGTTTTGTTTGCTTCGTTTTGCTGGGAGTGCATGTACAGAGGCATTCTCTTTTTTCTGCTGTGTGTAAAGAGAACACATGGCCACAGGAGACGCAGACAACCATCTAGGGACCCAGGGAGAGCTAGCCTTAAAATGTAACCGAGATTAAGAAAGGCAGAGGAAAAACAAAAGAAAAAAATATAAACGAAAGAAAGAAATGACAACCTCATTGTAACGGTAAATCAAGTCAAAATGGAAGCCAGAGGCACCAGTGGGCTTTTAAAATTACGTAAGCTAATAATTTCCCTTTATTGTTAAGCCAGTTTGAGTTGGCTTTTCTGTTACATGCATTGTGAACATTCTTCTTATACAAAAGCATACTAGAAAGGCCCATGAATCCATAAATCCTTTTGTACATGTGATAATCTTCCTCTTCCATTTCTCAGACTCTTGGGACCCATTTGATTTTCCTCCTCCCATCCAGGGGTGAATTTAAGTATCTAAATCAGACAAGAACCTGTGTTCTAGCCTTGGATCATTGACAGCAATAATCAAGACCATCACTGGTTTTGAAGTCAGATATGTCTGATTTCCAATCTAGCCCTTTTCAGTTATTGGCGTGCATGACTTCCCTTGCCTCTGCCCCAATTCTTCTTAGTAGATATATTCGTATATTATGGTGGCCATAACAAAGTACCTGAAACTTAAACCACACAAACGGATTATGTTTCATTTCTGTTGGCCAGAAGCCTGATATGGGTCTCACTGCCCTAACATTGGCAGGGCTGCATTCCTTTCTGCAGGCCCTGAGTAGGATCCATTTCCTTTTCTAAAGGCCTCCCACATCCCATGGCTTTTGACCTCTTCTTCCATCTTCAAAAGCAGCAAGAGTAGGTTAAGTCCTCCCATCACCTCATTCTGACCTCATCTTTTGCCCCCCTCTTTTACTTTTAAGGACCCTTATGATTACATTAGGATAGACCAGATAATCCAGGAAAATCTCCCTACCATAAGATCAGCTGATTAGCAACCTTAGTCCCATATACAGCCTTGACTTCCCTTTGCCATGTCAGGTAACATAGTTACAAATTCAAAGGATTAGGATGTAGACATCTTTTGGGGCCATATTCTGTGTACCGCAGTAAAATGTACTTCCTTGCAGGCATGCTGTAAAGATTAAATGGTATAAAGCATGCAACGTGCTTTGTACACAGTAAGTGGGCAAAATTACAACTAATATTATTAAGCCATGCTGCATTCATGAGAGATGAAGGGAGAAGTGAGATCTAGTCAGTTATTTAATCTTCCTAATACAGCCTGTGGATCATGGTCCTAAGACCCAGTAAGAAGTGTGTAAAGAGTCAGCACAACTTCTTCATTCCCTGTGTTTCCACAACTTCATTCCCTGTGTTTCCACATCACCTTATCCCCAAGTGGTCACCATACTTGCCATTCTCTCTCTGTGTCTCTTCCCAGTGCCAGGATTTCTTGCTGCGGGTCTCACCTGGGTCTGTTCGAACTCTTGGCACACTGATTCCAGATCTTTCTTGGATCTTAACAAAGCAAACCTGAACTGATCTAATGCACTCTGATAAATTATGAAGCCAACTGGCTCAGGATGATGATAGCTAACACCCCTAGACATACAAATTATTACCTTTTAACAAAAACTCCAGGGCCCTAATCTTATTGTTCTTTAACTGAGCTATTTGAATTTCACCTCCACGACATTTGCCACAGCATTACTATCATACTTCTGTTATTACTAAAGATTTTTAAAATCGTCCCATTTCAAGGAACTTATTTAAAAAAAAAAAAAACACTTTGTATCACCACTTAAAACAAAAACAAATAAAAACTACTATAATTTTCCGTAAATAGAGAGCAATAAAGAAAGATAAGGAAATGAAGGCAATGCCAGATCCAGAAGACTATTGTTGCTTGCCAAGATTCTGAGCTGAGAGGGGTATTAGAGTGGTCAAGAAAACCCACGAACCCAGGTATCCCTCAACATGGAATTGATCATAAATTGTGGTATAGCCAGACAACAGAATATCAGATCAAACCCTACAAAGCAGAGAGAATGTATATACTACAACCATATGCTATCATGCGGATGAACCTCACAAACAGGTTGGCTTATAAAAGACAGACACAAAAGAAAATCGGTTCTATGACTTCACCGCACTTACATAAAGTTCAAACCCAGCGGAAACTAATCTTTGGTGGTAGAAGTCAGGTTCGAATTCATGTTAGAGGTGGTGATGACCAGGCAGGGACACAAAGGGGACTTCATCGAGTTGGCAAAGGTGTTTGTTTGTTTTGAGAGAGTCTCGCTCCGTCGCCCAGGCTGGAGTGCGGTGGCGCGATCTCGGCTCACTGCAGGCTCCGCCTCCCGGGTTCCCGCCATTCTCCTGCCTCATCCTCCCGAGTAGCTGGGACTACAGGCGCCCGCCACCACGCCCGGCTAATTTTTTTGTATTTTTAGTAGAGACGGGGTTTCACCGTGTTCGCCAGGATGGTCTCGATCTCCTGACCTCGTGGTCCGCCCGCCTCGGCCTCCCAAAGTGCTGGGATTAGGGGAGTGAGCCACCGCGCCCGGCCGGCAAGAGGCTATTTCTTAACCCAGCTCCCGATATGTGGACATGTTTATCTTATGATAATGCATCAAGCTGTACACTTAAGATCTGTGCACTTTAGTGTACGTATGTCAGATTTCAAAGAAATGTTTGCTTTCAAAACATCTCCACAAACACACTCTAGGAACAAACTGAGTTGTGCTCCCAGTGGGATCTAAAAGATTCATCCCCACAGTTTTAAAAACACGACTTTCAAGGAATAAGTTCTAGTGTTCCATCGTACGGTAGGATGACTACAGTTAACAATCGTTTATTGTGTATTTCAAGACAGCTAGAAAAGAAAATATGGAATGTTCCCAACACAGAGAAAGGATAAATGATTGAGGTGGCGGATTACCCCGATTACCCTGATTTGATCATTACACATTGTATGCAGGTATCAAAACAGCCCGTGTGTCCCAGAAATATGTACAATTATTATGCATCAATACAAAATGGAAAAAAATCTCCGAAAAAATAAAAATAACATAAAAATCATTCTCTCAAGTCAGATAAATGACGAGAAGAGTCTATACCACCGACCAAGGCATCTATCTCTGCCTACAACCGTTTCCCCTAAACTGAGCTAGTGAACCCTCCTCTATGTTTTCAGAGGACCACGGGGCTTACTAGGATCATAGCATCTGTCTCTGTATTTGGTATGATTATTTTCTACCCCCTTTCTCCAAACCAAGAGTCCCACGAGGTCAGGAACTAAGCCTTTAACTGTAGGGCGTTAGCCCCTAACAGGGTACTTGATATATAGGGGGTTGCTCTGTAAGGATCTGTGGAATGAACGAATAACGGTGTGATTCTGTTGCAAGACATAAACTGTGTAGAGTTGGCAGGAGAGAGAGAAAAAAGGTGTGTATCTCACTGAGGGGAACGATTGCACACAAACCCTGACACTGGCACATTTACAATTTTGAGGAGAAAGGAGGACTGGGATACTAATAATCAGCTAGGAACCCTTTGGAGGACAGATGCTATTACTTTGCCTTTAAGGAGGCTTGAGTGGAACTGTACAGGGCCTGGTACTTTTTACTATTTAAAGGACCCAAGGTAGTGCTAGAGCTGTAATGTCAGTAATGAAAGCAAATGTGTGAGCTGCTTGGACCTATTAAAGATAAGTCATTTCAGGTGCATTGAGAATAAGTGCACATGGAAACGTGGAACTATCTCTTTTTTTTAATCCTTGCTGGGGATGAGTCAGAGAAAGAAGGATGTCTGAATTCCTCAGATAAGGTTCCAAATGCCTTTCAGCTACCAGTTTGCAATATTTTGTACTACAGGAAAAATCAACACTTGGTGTGGATAAACATGCCAAATTTAGTCTGATCTGAATGCTACAAAAGCCCCCGTGTGCTTAGCCAGGTGCCTGATATCAAGTAGGCACTCAACAAATGAAAGACTCTGCTAGCTCCAACCCCTGTCTTCTTGTCATTAAGAAATAAAGAAGGAAAGAAAGTACAGAAGAAATGATGTACGTAAAGTACAGAAGAATGGATGGAGGAAGGGAGAGAAAGAGGGCAAAAGAAAAAATGGAAGCACAGTACATTTCAAGTTAGTGGATTCAAACAAAACACTTTGCAGGTTTTGCAAAAAGGCAAATAAGAAAAGAAATTAAACCAACAAAGTGAACTGTAAATGTGTTCCATAATAAGAGATGATGTTCTTAAATTAGAGCTAATGATACTAACACAGATTGAAGAGGAAAAGACAAATGATGATGACAATCACTTTATTGCCCTGTGCTATGCACATTTTTGCTCAAATGTTCAGATATCAGAAATGTTCTGAATACTGTGAATCAAAGAAGGGAGTAGACTGTGGAGAGATGCGCTAGACTGGAAAGCCATCACCAGTGGAGGGGGTTCCTTCAACACCCTATTCTTCAGATGTGGGAAAACATGAAATGAGAAACAAGGTTACTCATGCCATAAAACAAGTAAGAATGCCTCAGTGTTTATATTTCATCAGAGAGTTTTTATAAAACCTGTGGTCCAGCAAATCAGAGATAATATCATCTATATAGCTCACAATTCTACATGTTCTTGCTTATTTATTCATTGTGGACAACCTACTGATAACCTTTGAAAGGAGATTTCTTACTGTTGTCCATGATTTTACACTGCAGTTCAGTATGTAAGATAAATGCAACAGCCAAAGTGATTCAATAAATGTGCGGGATGATGTATGGTTACGTTCCAGTGGTAGGTTGTATTGCTACTCACCAAAAAATCCCTCTCTAGCTTGCTTCTCCCTGAGGGTGGATTACATACTCCTACTGTGCTGAACTCAAGATGTTTTATTTTGGATAATCAAAAGAAAGGAAAAGTGATAGATGCCTTTTCCAGGGAGAAACACTGATGCTGAGCTGTGGGTGCCATGTTTCTTTTCCCGCTGGCACAGCAATCACAATGTTCCCCACAGGAGCTGCTCCATCATCCTAGGTCCTAGAGTAGGATGTAGAGCAAAGCCCCAGCTGACCCACAAGGAACATGCAATGCCCGTTGTTTTCATCAGCTACCGAGATTGTTTGATATGGCAGAACGACTTAGCTTGCACCAAATGGTATCCAAACGAGGCAAACAAAAATCAGAACCAAATATATAAATGCATTCATTGGTCCAACAAATAGGTATTGAACACATTCTATGTTCTGTCTGTGTTTGTTTCTAGGAGTCAAACTATGGACAAGTTCGTTATCTTCTACAACTAGAGTTGTAGAAACTCACAAGTAAAGAATCAAAATGGATAGAAAAAATAAGAACTAGTGTTTGGTAGATCAGTGGAGTGGCTATAGTTTACAATAATCTTCTGTATATTTCAAAATAACTAAAGAGAATAACTGTTTCTAGCACAAAGAAAAAACAAATATCAAAAAGTGATGGATATCCTAATTACACCGATTTAATCTTTACAAATTACATGAACTTACTAAATTATCACACATATATCAAAAATATTTACATCTATTATGTACCAATGAAAAATTTTAAAGAAAAAATATTAGAAAGAACTCACATGGGCTCAAGAATTCCGGAGGAAGATCACATAGAGATTTGCATCATGAACAGGACCTTATTCGATAGGCATGTTTGGAGAGGGCATTCCTAATAGAATAGATAGAAGCACATAAGCAGGGGTGTAACTAAAGGAGAGAACCTGTGTAGGGAATTAGTGGGCAGGAAATTGAGAAACAATCAGGGTTGAGCCAGAGGAAGGAAAATCTTTATTATTAAACAAAACCTTCTGGAGGCAATGGGAAATGAAAAGGTTTCGAGCATGGTAAAAATCAGCATTTGTAGGTACTTTGAAAGAGGTCAGAGAGAGAAAATACCGGATTGGAGCAAAAATCATGGGGATGGAGCCAAGTCAACTTTTTTTGTCTTAATATGACTTAAGCAGAATTTTTGGTGTCATCAATTTAAAGTTATAATGCCATTCTGTTAAAATTATGTATCAAGGTCAAAATTTTCAATCTCACATTTCATAACCATTAACCATGTGTACCCTATGAGACGTATATCAGAGCACTCTGCCTACCATGAATACACAGTATATGTTCAGGGATAACAAAAACATGACCATATGGAAGCTTTAAAATATGCCAACTAATGTTTACAGAAGACCTACAAAACTACAGGAATTTTTAAAATTTAATCTTCTTAAAACGTAATGGCTTATTTGCTTCCTTGAGTAAAAAATGCCCTATCTTAAAAAATTTATTGGTTGCTTTGAATGTAAAGCAAATATCAGTTAAGATTGGGGTCAGAATGACAACTAAGACATGGCACACTTACTTATTGAAAACTATTACATTATTTTGTAAAGACAGGGTCTCACTATGTTGACCAGGCTGGTTTCAAACTCCCAGCCTCGTGTGATCCTGCCACCTTGGCCTCCCAAATTGCTGGTATTACAGGAGTGAGCCACTGTGCCCGGCCTGGCACACTTGCTTTTAAAATGATGGGTGGAGGAGACAATGCTAAATGTCCATTTCATTTTCCATTTTCTGGGAACAATGGAGTACTTCTCAGACTCCCTTGCAATTAGGCCAAAGTTGTGTGATTAAGGCAAGTGCATTGGGAGCAGCCGAGTGATTTACTTTTGTGTAATTCCAAACCCACAAAGGAATCTACTTTCCTACCTAGGAGTTCCTTATACCTACTCTTCAAAAGCATTAATTTACAAAAACTTTCAGAGAAAGACTAGATTAGCAAAGGATACAGGGGGGTCTGGAGCACTTAGCACTTCAAATGCAACCAGATAAAGAGAGGCATCCAAGGCAAAGCAAATAAAAGTATCTTTAGAGGAGCAATAATCATATACAAATCAAAATAGTTAGGTCATTTGAATTCTAAATGCATAACCATATGGACTGATTCAAAACATTTATAACTTTATGTTTATGTAATAAAACAGAAGCAGTTTAGTTTTAAATGAATGTTTCTCTAAATTATGGTGTAATCTGTTTATGAAAAAAATATGTTTGAGGATTTCTGAACCCCAGAATTATAAAAGGTACTGTGAATTTGCTATAATTTATTGAATTCCAAGTGCATTATATGGTCCACCTCTTGTCTTCAGAACAGCCCTAACTGATAGGCATATATTACTGGCATTCCCAATTTACCCAAAAGGAAATAGAATCTTAGAGAGATAAGGTAAATTATGAAGTTTCCTGCAACTGGGAAGACATAGTGAGGGGATCCTAGCCCGGGTCATCTGACTCTAGAGAATACACTCTACACCAAGCTTCCCCAACCCATGGCCCATGGGTCACATGTGGCGCAGGACGGCTTTGAATGAAGCCCAAAACAAATCTGTAAACTTCCGTAAAACATCATGAGATTTTTCTTTTTAGGAGCTTATCAGCTATCATTAGGGTTAGTGTATTTTATGTGTGGCCTAAGACAATTCTTTTTCTTCCAGTGTGGACCAGGGAAGCCAAAATATTAGATGCCCCGATCTACAGTCTATACAACCACCCCGTCTTTCAAGATCAGCTAATCTTGAAAAGCCATTTTATTTAAATAGATGAGCCATTAGCTCTCAAATTAGTTTCTTCAGCAGAAGCTAAATAAATGTCCAGAATATAATTTAGCCAGCCATTATGGTCTCTAACATCTCAAATGAAGTCCCTGAATATTTAAATGTTTCTAAACCACTACTTTGTTACAAAAGGTATACCATGGAGTCACTCAGAGGGACTGAAACATGTTCGCAAAGTGTTCTGATGGCCCAAAACCAGGTGAACATGTTGGCAAAGTATTCTGATGGCTCAAAACCAGGTGAACACCCAAGATAAAGCACCAAAGGCAGTTAATTTTAGATGGGTCTGAAACGGGGGTAGGGATGCACAACCAAAAAAAAGAAATTTGCAGAATCTTGAGGACCTACAATTCACAAGATCCCTATTTAGGACCAAGGAGGAAAACACAGGGACCAAAAATCAATTGCATATCAAGAAGCTTCAGGAAGTTGTAACCATGATTTAAACAAATCCTTGCAAATGCTAAGTGGTTCATGCAGTATTTCCCTGAGCTCATTTTCTCTTGCAAGGTTCAGAATGTTACTCTCAAATTCGTGGTAGCTCAGGTCCCAGTTCTTATTTCATGAACAGACAGGAAAAAGAGTGTGTTTGGGATTATCTGGACCTATCAAACTCTCATAGAAAACTCAGGCCCAGCCTGCTGATGATGAAGATGGGGCTGTTTAATACAGTGCTAAATCCAGTCCCCAAAGAGACAGGTTATTTGGAAGTGCTTCAACAACACTCCCACTAGAATGGCATGTACTGTGCCTTTTTTGCCCATTTGAGTATAAATTCTGTGATAAACTGTTTGTAAAATCTTTTTTAAAGAGTACAGTCAGTGACAACATCTTCATTAGAATTTTACCATGATGTGAAGCAGAGTGTGGAGCATAAATTATGGCTGGCTTTCCAGAAATACTTTCTGGTAACTTTTTTTCTCTGGATAAAAGGATGTAAATGCCCCAGAAATGCTTTTGATGAATCCCACAGGCTTTAATGAGTATTTATACTATAATAAACTTTCTTCTAATTTTAGTCACTCTCCAAGAAACAAAAAGTTTCCTTTAACAGATTCAGGCTTTATAAGAGCATTGGTATATGATCTCATCTCTTTATTAATATTCTGTTTTGAAATTGAAGATAAAGATAGTACTGGCACCATTGGCTATACCCACTCAGAAGCAGGCTACATTCTTTAAAAACTTGCAGTGGACAATCCATGAAGGAACATAGCAAATATTGAAAATGTGTATTTTTTCTTCAATTAATTGGAAAAAGTCGCCATAATCATTTTCAGATTTAAGAAGAATTAGTAGTCCGTGAAAAACTGGTATCTGTGACAAATGTGAAAACTTTGAGTGACATCTATAAGACCATGGGGTGGACAGAATCAATATGTGTCTATACCTGACACTGGACAAGGCTGTCCCAGTCTTCAGGTCATGATTCACAGTGTGTCCAAAAATCACAATTGGTTCAGAAACCTGCTCCAAGTATTTTTTAGATGAATAATTTCTGAAAGTCATGAATGCTTTAATATCATTTAGCAAATCAGAACAGATTAATTCTGTAGTAAAATTCCCTCATTAACTCATACTCAAATAAGTTGTTTTGAATGAAAGCTAAAAGGGTACATTGCAACCTTATATGTAGATGTCAAAAATTAAATGTATCACACTAGACAAAATGCTTAAGTTATCAGAGGGAGGAGCCAAGTGGTCAAAGATAAGACACACGGAGTTTGGAGTCTAAAGGATACAAGTCTTTGTCATTGCTGCCTCGAAGACCCTGGACAAGTCCATGCCCAGTCTTGGTCTTAGCAACATCCATAAAACTAGACATTTGAACTAGGGTTGACAAACAATGCCCATGGACCAAATCCAAACCACCACCTATTTTTGTAAATAAAGTTTTATTGAAAGGCAATCACGCACATTCATTTTCACATCACCTATGGTTGCTTTCCATCCATAATGGCAGAATTGAATAGTTGTCAGAGTGACTGAATTGGACTGCAAAGTCTAAAATATTTACTATACAGACCTTGAAAGAAAAGGATTGTGGGCTGGGCATGGGGGAGTCATGCCTATAATCCCGGTGTTTTGGGAGGCCAAGGTAGGAGGATCACTTGGGGCCAGGAGTTTGAGACCAATCTAGACAACAAAGTGACATCCCATCATCTCTACAGAATTTTTTTAAATTAAGTTTAATTAAAACAAGTTTTAATTAAAATAAAGAGAAGAAAGATTGTGAAACCCCTGAGTTAGACTATGAGATCTGCTAGATTTCATGCAGCTCTCAAATGCCTATGCACCTATTCTATGTCATGCCATTCAAAAGTTATTCCAAATGTCCCTCTTGCTTAAACTTGATATAGTTTAAAAAAAAAAAAAGCAATAGAACAGCAGGATTGTAATACTGGTTAACAGAATTACTTAAAGTCTATCAAACCTCCTTTCAAAGCTCAGTTCTGCCACTGGCCTTGACATCCCATTCCTCTCTTCTATAAAATGGGATAACAACTATATATTATGGATGTTGCAGAGCTTAAATGAAAAAAAAGTATGTAAAATATTAAACATACTGTATGACACAGAGTAAGTGTTAATTAAATAGTAGCTTCCATTAGTACTACTACTGAGATAGCCTTTGGTACTATAGCAAGAGAAACAGTGCAATGACTCACTCATTTATGCCTTCCTTTATATACTAGCTGTTTGGTGAGAAAACCGAAGGAAGACCCTTTTACAGAGAAAAGCATCAAGTCCATTGCCTGCGTCTGATCCACACAGCTCCTTTTCTTAGTCTGCTATGTAATCACAGCCAAGGAAATTTCTGGTCATCTTTAAAACTGAAACACTCTATGCATTTTTCTGCCACAGTGACACTTAGATTTGAGTAAAATGTTGGTGGATCTAGGCCAGGCGCGGTGGCTCACGCCTGTAATCCCAGCACTTTGGGAGGCCGAGGCGGGTGGCTCACGAGGTTAGGAGATGGAGACCATCCTGGCTAACACGGTGAAACCCCGTCTCTACCGAATATACAAAAAATTAGCTGGGAGTGGTGGCGGGCTCCTGTAGTCCCAGCTACTCGGGAGGTGGAGGCAGGAGAATGGCGTGAACCCGGGAGGCGGAGCTTGCCGCGAGCCGAGATGGAGCCACTGCACTCCGGCCTGGCAGACAGAGCCTGACTCCGTCTCAAAACAAAACAAAACAAAACAAAACAGTTGGTGGATCTAGAAACAGTCTAAGACTTCTTGAGGGTCCGGAGAAATGCTGCCAGGAAAAACCATGTGAGTGAAGATATTCACTGAAATCAATAATCCCTAGATCACACTAATCCAACCTTACAGGTAATAATGTAAAACCTGCTGGCTAAGGTGTTCCAAGTTATCATGCCCAGAGCAGTCATAATTTGGTTCCAAGCATCAGGCTTCTATTCTATTTTGTGGTGCTTTATACACCATCTACGAAAACTACTGCTGAGACTTCCAGGTCCCTGACTTCTGAATGTATAAATCATGTCAAACTATCATTTCTACCCCCATCCTAGTGAAAATGCAAATAAATAAATAAATAAATAAATAATAAATATCCGCTATGCATCGTTTTTGAGGTAGTGATTTTCGCTACAAATGACTTAAAGCAATGTTTTCCAAAGTAGCAAGGATGAAAGATGTTTGTTTCTTTTTTCTTTTCTAGTCCATTGTGCTCTGAGCCTTTAACAACATAAATTACTAGTGAAAAATGAAATGAAAAGGAAACGAGATACAAGATAAACCCAAGTCCAGATTTGTTATTTATTAAATTCAGGAGACACAAAATTGACTGTCAAATTGCTCTAAAATTTTCTGAGTTCTATATTTCTGTACTTACCTCTTTGCAAACCAGGGTAACACCAAAGGTTGTTGCCTTAGCCACGCCAAAGGGTTGGGGTGGCGGCAGCCCGCGGCAAGAGAGAGAGACGTGGACCCGACCGAGAGAAAAAAGGCTGTAGGCTTTACTGAGCAGAATGACAGTACAAAGCTTCCACAGCGTGGAAGGTGTCCCGAGCGGGTGGCCAGTGTTAGATTTTTTGATCACCTTTTAAACTCTTTAAGGCGGGAAATATGTGCAGCGGGAAGATGTTACCAGAGCGAGAAACAAAGACAATTAACATGTCTCAGATCTTGAGGAAAACCGGAATTGCAACTTAAGTTTTATCTACTTTATGACCTTGCAGCGGCATGGCAAAGGAGACAGGATCTCTCAGGATTGTACAAACTGTGTTTACAAGGAATTGGAATTGGGAGCATAGATAAGGTCTGCTGGTCACAGAAAAACAGGCTTTGAACATTCCTTTTAGTTTCAGGGGAGGGGGAAGGGAGAGAGGGAGAGAGGACACAGGGAAGCTTACAGCAAAATTTTCGCTGTTTATAGCTTTCTTGGGGAAGAAAACACATGCACAAATTCTGAGGTTAGGAATATTTTAAGCATATATCTTCAATATTATTCATCCAGGACCAAAATAAGTCCTGATGCAGGAAATGAGTGAGTTTCACAGCTTTCTGAGCCCCTACTCGACCCAGGAAGCCCAGCTGGCACCTCCTCTCACCAGTAACCAACAGTTGGTAGCCCTGTACTTGTTGGCATTCTGCCTTTTGAATAGAGGGTGGGCAGATCTGGAATTTGCTGGGCTGTGATGGTAACTTGGGATGTCCACAATAAGCCCAGGATGGAAGAATAGCCTCTGCCAACCTAGCCACAGAGGCCACGTGAAACAACATGTGGAATCAGGGAGCAGGGGCAGCCAAATCAAGGGAAAGGTGGTTGTTTCTGGTTTACACTATCCATTATATGGTCTAGATTTTGTGCAATGAGCATGTAATTACTTACCTGCATTAGAGTGTTAAACAAAATTTTGCAGAAGGCCTCTGACTTGGACTAGGCTCCTGCACTAAGCCTAATAGACCAAACCAATATGGCATTTACTACAGTAGCTGAGCTTTATTAATTGCAGGAGGCTCTGTAACCAATTTACCAATTAAGTGATAACCAATTAAGTCATCTCTACACTGCTCTTTGGTTTCCTATAAGTGAATGGAATTTTTTGCATTTTCACTAGGGATCACCTTATTGGTGGGATTTCTCTGAACCTTCTCATGTTCAGAGGTCTGTCTCATCCGTGAATCAGTTTCGCTTTGCTTTGTTTTATTTTTCTTTGCTCAGATTAAAGTTTAAACTTCCTAAGGGATTTCCCTTTAACAGAGTTTTCAAAAATGCAAATTAAAGACTGATTAAAGCACTTTAGCACTTTTTGTTTATCTTTAGAAGTGAAATGCAAAGAGTGAGGCCTTCAGAGCAAGCAATTCAAATGTTTCAGGTTCTCAAAAAGCATGTGTTCAATTACTGTTTTTTTTTTTGTTGTTGTTGTTTTTTTCATTTTTACTGAGCACACAGAAAGTAGTTTCAGTGCTAGGCAGTGAAGGTACAACAGTAAATGAGACACAGTTCCTGCTCTCATGGGACTTACAGTCTGGTTCAGAGAGAGACACCTAAAAATTCATTAAATTCTTACAAAATCTATGCTAGAAATTTCTTCAGTGTAAAGTGATAGCAAAGAGGACAGGGTGTTTAATTCTCCCAGAGGGAAAACAGTTTGTCCCCTTTCCCAAAATGTGACTCCTTTCTTAAGGGTGTTGAGAAATGACAAGAGGTAGAAAGCTCAGCCATGTCATCTGGCACTAATTTTCACAAGTTTGTGTCTAAAACTTATAACCTCTAAAACCAGCACACCCAACCCCACAAAATCCCCATCCCCAAGTGTAAATTCCTGCCAGCATCTACTCTTTACCACATTGAAAATGTACAAAATTCAGGGAATTGTGGGATGATTTCCAGGAAAACTCTTGGGGAGCATTATTTGATGCCCAGGCTCCTGCTGTGTCTTTGTCTATCTGGACAGGAGGGAGCAAGAAAGTCACTAACAAGAACTGAAATCTTGATTGATAGGTCCTAGGGCCAAGAACAGAGTCAAGTAGTACCATATGAATCTCCTATTGTAGTACCATGTGTGACATTCTAATAAAAATGGCATTTTTTTTCCATCAAGTTAATTGTTGTCTGACCCATCGTCCGCCTATAGCAGTGGCAGGAAAAGAGATATGATAACGTTTCAGTGAAATCAATTCAGGCTCCCCAAATCTTCCGGGGAAGACAACCTGCTGTGCTCACTCACCTGGTGTCAAAGAAGGGTTCTAGAGGGGAGTCAAAGAAAAGGAGCTCTTGGGTGTTGTGACTCCGAGCAGAAAATCTGAGCAATGTTTGTTTCCATTGGGATGGGCGATTGTCCTGTTTGACTTAGTTTTATTCACTAGTGCAGTCACACTGTCATTCAAAGAATTAGCTAAACGAACATTTTTTTCCCCAATAATTGCTCATCTTCATGAATACATATGTTAATAGGTCACCTCTGAAGCTACAAATATTGCTCACATGATTAAAAGTGGAGAGGTTCAGGAAGTCACACTGCATGCAGATATGACACAGATGCTTTTCAGTTACTTTTCCAAATATGTGCTACCAGGCCTTGCTCCCATTTTTATGCATGCAATGGCATCCCTGGGGGAAATGGAATTTGGAAGGTTCTAATTATTTATAAGACAATTTACCAAGACACTTTTATATTACTGCCTGGCAAAATCTCACACAAAAAGTTCAGGTATTTGCTTTTACCACTATACCTCTCCAACTATTTATATACCACTTCCAGGAAGATCTTCCTAAAGCTTATCTCTAATTGCATCAATATCTACCTCAAAAATCAATAGCTCTCAGTATCTACAAATTAAATAGTACCATAAACTATTGGGATGCAGTACAGTATAATGGTCAAGAGCATGGCCTCTAAAGTCAGACTGCTTGCCTTTAAATCCTATCTCTGCCCTTACTGTCTGTGTACACTTAAGCAGCCTATTTTATTTCTGTTTTCAGTTTCTTTACCTGTATAGTATGAGAAATTATAAACATATATACATTCTATATATTTAAGCAACTTGTACATTATCTATGCATATGTATATAACAAATTATATATAACAAGTATATATCATAATAAATTATATATAAAAATCACAAATATATAACATAATAAATGTATTTAAAAATATACTTAATAAATATATGCTAAATACACTATGTATAATATATCTTGCTTATTATACATAATTTTATATATGTATACACATGTGTGTGTATATACATATATACAGCATTGTATATACAGCTGTATATACACGTGTATTTATAGCCCAATCCTGCTTCCTTGGTTTTATTTGTCATTTCTTTCTTACACATAACCTAAATTCCAGCCAGGCTCCCTAATTACTATTCATCCAATTCGCCAGACTTTCTAGCCATCCCACCTTTGTTCTTCCTGCCTGGACTATTGAAACCCACAGTTTCTAATTAGAATACTTCTGAAAACTCATCTATCTTTCTTAGGCTCACTTAAATGTGACTTTTCCAGGAAGATTTTCCTGCTTTCTCAGTCAAGTCACAATCTTCTCCCACCTTAGAGTGTCTACTGGAGAGTGGTAAAGAAACTAACTTTGATTCACTGGCAGTGGCTTTATAGAAACTCTGCTGAGAAGAATCAGAGGTCAGATATGACAGAGAATCAAGACTGATTAGTGATGTCTGTCATGAGTGTTAGCAGGGCAAACAGCACCTTCTTGCCATCTCTGCCTATTTCCTTCTGTTTAAAAACATCACCAAGACATTGATTCATTCAACTGCTGTTTTATATGCATCTTTGAACTGTGTCCTGTCTCTTTATACTCCATGAAGGAACAGCCTCCATTTTATTCAAATTTGTATTTTTTACAATGTGCAACCCAGTGTCTTGCACAGCACATGAGCTTACACTTTGTTGAATTAGTTTGAGTTGTCCAGCCTTACATTCTCTTTATTTAACTCAATTCACTTTTTATTTTGCTTTGGGACTGACGCATGTCTCAGCCAGTGAGCTTTTACTCTGGAGACCATGTCAGGTCATGTCACCCTGTATGCAATCCTGCTTGGCTTGGACCTGTGCTATCACAAGGACCAATGGATTCTGACAGCCTCCTAAAACCTACATTCACTCATCTTGCTCTTCTGTCCTACATCTGCATCTTTGTAATTCTTCTGGCTTATTCGTGTATTAACTATATTTTCTTATTTTCTGGATTCTTAATGCTCTAGCATCTGGGGCCTTGCTGATGAGGAAAAGAGTGCCTATCACAGGGCTAGCCAATCCTTAAAGATAGCAAATAACCCATCCAGAGTGCATCTTTCACATGCAAACTAACCAATTCAGAGCACATACTCCAACTACCTCTTTCATGTGGCCTTTATACTCCAGGAAGCAACATTTCCCTGCCCTGCTCATCCCAAGGCCTGATACCAGACAACTAGAGACAACCCCTGGACCCTAGAGTTCACTAAAATTATTTAAACTAGCCAGTTCCAAGCCTGCTGACCCTGCCTTGTCTTTCCCATGAAAGCCACATCAAAGGCTCCCGGCAACGCTTTCCCCACACTTTTTTTGCCTCCTGGTAGACCACAGCCAGCGGGTAGACCAGCCTGGAGCTTCCTCCCATGGCTCTGCATGCTGTGGCATATCCCCTTCTCCCAGGGACTGTGAGTAGCAAATGATCATTTTCTGTTAGCCTCACCATACCTGAATGATAATAAAACCTACGTTTTAAAGCAACTTGCCTTTCTGTATTCATGGATCCCCCTCTCTTTACCCAGTCTTCTATCCTTCCTTTCAAATCACATGAGTCAATCATTACGTGCCTGGAATAGCCAATTTTTAAACCCTTTCCCTCATCAGTTGTGAGATAACTATATGCATCTTTCTCTCTAAATCACCTTAAAGGACTCTCTCAGCAGGAGCCTGCTCTGGTTTATTCCCTCCTAGGATAATACCATTAGAGATAATCACATTTTGTAGATACCATCTCCAAAGAACAATTGCCTAAAGAGTCCCTATTGAAGTATTTTTCATTTATAACAAGATCTTATGATAGTTAAAAATAAATACAGCACTGAAAACTAATTCTCTGAATATCTAATGCTGTGAACTGTCATGTAGATCAACACACACAGTATGTTTTGGGAAATTTTCCAGCAGATCTAACATTTCTTAATTCTATTTCTTAGTTTTCTATTTTTTCAGAAGAAAAAAGTGTATTATTCTACTAATTAATGGACTTGTACATCTTAAAACTTAATCTTTATTTGTAATAATAGTAATACACAGAATTTTTACAAGTCTGTAAGAAATAATAACAACCTGAATCTAAAATAAAATAAATTTTTAAAAAGGAAATAATAGCAAGAGACATATCGGAAGAGAGCATTTTCATTCGACTGCTCTTCGTCACCCTCCTCACCTACCTAGTTAACCACGTTTATCTCTTATGGTATTTATTGCCATAAATAATCGTAATATGCTCATATTGCTATTTCTAAGTTTACTAATTTTAAACATTATGCATTGACTTTATATTATAGCAGTTAAGGCTTTGTTTTCCTTAGATGCATTCTTTTCATCCCTTATGAAATCTGCTTGCTTTAGGCCCCTTCTTCTAATTGATTTACATCATAATTATCAATGAAATAAATTATCAGAATTTGGTTATTATCTATTTTAATGCTGTTCATTTCTCAAAAAAATTATGCAGTATTATTACTATTATTTTCATACAATGTTTTGATTTCCCGTGGTTCATAACTATATTTTAAAAATTATTTTTATTTTTTTATACAGCTATGCTAATTTTTCCTAAAACATTCAAAATACATGCAACATACAAAAGCCTCTCCATATGGTTTTCCGTTATGCCATTTATATCATCTCAATTGTTGTCCTTGGAGAACTTCCTCCTGGAGCCTTTTGTCCTTCTGTTCCAAATGGGACTGGTGTCTCCGTGGGCCTGCTATAAAGATTCCATCCTGGGTCTTTCTGTCACCATCAACTGAACTTCCCCCTCGAGAATGCTCTGTTTCTTGAATAGGATGTTTTCCTTTGTCTTGATTTGTTCCCCCATTTTAGTAAAGCACATATCCACAGCTTTCCGAGAAAGTTTCCGAAAGTAAAAATGTCTGAGATTTTTCTTGCCTTAAAATGTCTTGATTAAACATACTCTCTTAAGACAGAGTTTAATATTTTCCTTCTTATAGTGAGAACATTGCTCTGTATACTTTTTAGAGTTTCCTGACAGTAGTTCTAATACCTAATCTTTGGTACATAAGCTGTTGCATAGTCCTCCTTTCTTCTTAGTTAAAAAAACTAACATCTTCTTAATCTTATTAGTAGGTCAGAGAGATTTTCTTGCATAATTTTTTTAAATTTCACCACTGTTTTCTTCATTCTTTTTTTCTTCAACATTATTAAATAGATGCTGGAGTTTCTTGATTCACCCTATAATTGTTTCATCTTTTCTCTGCTGCAGTCTTTTTGTACACTTTTTGACATTATTTTTTCAAACTTTTTACTATTTTAAATTTCAGTTACTAAAGTTATCATTACCAAGAGGGTTTTTTGTTGTTGTTGTTCTCAGAAGGTCCTCTTATTATTTCATGAATGGAAAATCTCTATTTCTCCAAAGATCTCAATTTAAACTGCAAATGCCTTTGTTATCTTTATTCTTCCAAGTTTACCATTTTTCCCTGTTTCTTTGTGTGTTTTGATCACTCTTTCATGTTGAAGATTTACCAGCAATCTTTGCTAGGGTTTTTTCCCTGTCTATTTAATTTTGATGAAAAGCTACTAAAGCTATTGTAACCCCACTGAATGTTAGCCAAGCTGTGGACTGTAAATCACTTGAAGAGTGATCTACTGGAGCAGGCTCTGGATTTCTGTGTTTATACCCCCATCTCTAGGGAATACGCCTCTGATCATGGTATTTGAGAAAAGAGGGATAGGAAATCTTAGAACTCTGGATGTGTGCTTAGTTACTCTTTCATCAGAAATCCTCCCCTATGCCTGGTATCTCTGAAATTTTCTAGGAGAAGACAAGGGCAGGCAGTGGGAAGTGGAGCTAGGGTCTTGGTATTTAATTTTCCTTATAAAGATTAGTCCTTCCAATTCCTGAACACCTCTGAGTTTCTGAAAGATGAACTGGCCACTTTTTATCCATAACCTCCTATATAAGTGCTGAGTCTTCTCTTTCTCTCCTGAGTTTCATTCTCATCAGGGACCATTTCTTTATCCTCACTCCATCTTTCAATATGGGTTGAGAGTTCTCACCTGCTATTGTCTCTTCTCCTTTCCTCATTGTGCTGGTAGGTCTATATTTATTTAAGGCCTTTACTTTCACTTTATTAGGGTGTCAGCAGTAACATAAGAAAATAAATGTGCATGTTCTTATATTATACTTAATGTAAAGATAGCTGTGTATGTTTTAATGGCTAAATTGTTAAAGAAATGAGCTATGACTGTTCACACGTGGGAAATCAACGAGGTAAATGGAGGAATATCCGTTCCAACACATAGATCGGGGTGTCCCAGAAGCAAGATATGGACCATTGCATAATATCATTTAGGAAATTTCTTAAAAATACAGGCCAGATTCCTGAAGTATCATATTCAGAACATCTAGGTGGTGAGAAAGGATTGGTATATTTAATAAATTCCCAAGTAATTTTTATGTTTAACTACTTATGTGGAAAGACTATTCTGTCATTTAATACAAGAGAAAAATTCCCCACTGAATTTAGTCATGTAATTTACAAAGTAAGAATGCCTCACATTGACTTAATTTTTTTCCACTGAGCTTTAAAAAATGCAAGAAAATTACATATACATATGTAAAAATACATAGCCTTCTGCTATGTAGCTTTTTATGTGTTCCCGAAACACTACAGTGATGTAAGTAGATTCCCCATTATATAGATGACTCAATAATGATCAGAGATATTACATCATTTGTCCAGTTAGGAAAGCCTAAAAATTATTTAATGGCATAGAGGTAGGAGTAAGGAGGCTGGAATGAGGTTGGCCTGCTTCAGATGGAGACACGTACAACCACATTGAGAGCTAATGCAAGTGCCAATTGGAAAGAGATCCAGAAATCCTGGCGGAGATGGGAGGTGGCATGGAAACTTAAATAATATGACTATGGAACAATGAAGCTGATGGTCTCTTATGCCAGCCCAACTGCAGAATCCTGACATTGAAAAGACTGAGGAGTGTAATATAGTAAGATGATTCTCTTCACTTACCAGGAAGCTACTCATGTGATCATTTATATATTTTAAAAACACATGTTCTGAATGTATTTACTCACATTAGAACTAAATAATAAGTAAATAACACAGTAAACATATATCGATGCTATCATTGATAATACTCTTATCTTTTCAAAATAATGAACATGGTCACTCATTGTGATGTACTTTCTTATTTGATCTTCACCAAAACCTCTTGAAATATATACAGCAGTCATTATCATCTCTGATGTTTCATAACAGTGAAAATATATTCATGTCAGAATTATTTTGGTTGCAATGGCCAAATTCAAGTTAAGCTAATAGAGAGAATCGATTAGCTATATTAGTTTAGAAGGGTATTAGGTAAGCTTAAAGGGTCAAGGAAAATAGTATGCTTGTTAGTTTCTTATCTTTTTCTCTCTCAAAAAGATATTATTTGTCTTGTTCATGTCTTGTCCTTATCACTTTTTGTAAAGCCTGTCACTTTTAAGGCACTAGTTATTAATAAATAGTTACCGAAGAAATGAATTAAACAAATATATTCTGAGCAAAATATCAATAATCATCTTTATAGGTACCTATTTGTACCATAAACAACTACACTTAAGTAAAAAGTACTATAAAAATAAACTATCATACCCTTTTTACATTAAAAAATACAACAATGGAAAGGCATATAAGTTTTATAAAAACACTGAATTGGAACTTTCTATCAGAAAAAAAAAAACCTGCACAAGAACCTGAAAAGCTAACTGGAAAAATTATTAAATTTTTTTAATGGAATAGATAGCCATCTTAAAAGTCTGGCAGTGACTTCTTACAGATTGTAAAATATATTCAATTACAAACATTTTCTTTTCAGCAGAATCTGATTATACTAGCAAGACGATATTTTGGATTAAACTTTGCTCTTCCTTTACATTAAGGGAAGATTTAAGGTAGGCGTTAATGAGTGAAATTATATTTGAGGTACAAGAAGAACAACCAGGGGAGACATAAAGACAGAAAAGCTTAAGTTACATTTAGGTCCCAATAACTAGCTCAGTTTCGGAGGAGGCTGGAGGAATTGGACAAAGTAAGTGCTTACAATGAAGAGTCATTCTCTGTAGGTTCCTGAAGGTAAGGGTGACAGGACTGTTCTTGGTTTTATAGCTGCTCAAGGATTTTAAAGTAGGAAATTGCTATTTAGGAAGAATAATGTAGCAGCAGTGCTTATAAAGGATTGGTGTGAAGAAAGTAGCACCTATTGAAGTACAGACTAGACCATGGAAGAAACAACTGACGTCTAGGCTAGGGGAATGGATGCAGGGAGGAAGCAAGGAGGTGATGGTTTCAAGAGACCCTGAGGGTGTGGTCAGGCATGAGGAAGAAATGACAGTAGACATGAGGACAGACAGATTTCTGAGTCTTGGCATTGCTGCAGCTCATCAGCTGATCACCCTAGACTAGACACTCATAGTTTTCCCCCGACCAGCAACTTTTTACATTACACTTTTAATGATTCCATGTTCCAAATCCCATCCACATAGGGACCACGTGTCCCAGGCCTGGCCAGTCACAGTTCCCTATTTACTTGGCATCAGTGGTCCCATGACTCAAGCAGGGCCAGAGGCAACCTTTCCTGGGATTTATATTTTGTGCTGAAAGAAATTCTTTCCCCCTGGAAAAGTTCCCTCTGCAGGAGAAAAATTATTCCAGGTAGAAGAAGAGAGTCTTAAGTAAATAAGTTATCAGTACCAGTCCTTAAGGTACACGTCCATGATTTTGTGAGTTGCCCCTATATCATTCTTAGCCACATGAGACAGTAAGTTTTTTTTATTAAAGTTTAAGTTTTATTTTTGCCACTTTAAACCAAAACAGACCCCAATAATGCATAACCTCCTGGTGCCAGTTTCTGCCATTGTGATATGGCAGGAGTGCACGACATATCCTGCAAATTGTTGCAAGACATGTAGAAACCATACTCTATTATTTACTGTCATCTATTATCTTTTATTTACTACTATATATTATCTTTTACTTACTATTATGCATTATTTACTTTACATGTAAAATTCTATACTCTGAGTACATGTTAATTTTTTACCACATTACTCAAAACTATTGTAGATGCACTTTAATTTTGCTTTCTCTAAGGCATTTATGCACCTGGTGTAAAAGAGTAAGAGTGATAATGATAATGATTTACAATACCAGCTTTTGCTTGCAGTGTTTTATAAGACCATTCAGCTAACAGAAGTTACAGAGCTGAGATGAAAACTCAGGACATTTGATTAGAGAATGTGCTGTTAGCTAGTATCCAAATCATCATCAGATGTAAAATTTCAAAAAGGAAAAGGCATAGTATTGTCTTCCTTAATATACATTCTGACTACATCAGATGAATTAGACTCTGGTTTCAATGGCCTAAAGATAATTCAATTTTTGTGTCTGCGATAAAGTTAAAAGTTGAAAGTAAGTTGTCAGAGTGGTCTATTATGGTTTTTGCAAACTGTTCTTGATATCGTTCAATTAACATGAGGAGTTGGAATCATGACTCAGCTATCTGAAATTCCATCTACTTTTTCTTCCCATGGAAGTAATTCCATTCTAAGGCCCTTTAACTAGACAGACGATATCAGGATATGGAAGACTGACTCTAAAACAGAAATTAATTAATCTAACATGGTATGAGAGATTATATTTTGAAGTACAGGATATCATCTTTTATACTTGAATTATCCACATTTAGAGAACAAACTTTTTCCATTTGGTGTGTCCACAAAAAAGGCTGCAGGAGAAATAAATTCAATGTTTTGCTATTAATTATTGGGGTTGCTTTGAGATCTAAAATAAATTTTTTTGTCACACAGGTATCATTAAATAGCAAAAATACAGTCATATTTCATTAAAAGTATATTTTTTTCAATCAAATGTTAAGTCTCTCCTCTCTTTTGTTAATTTTACATGCTTGCACAGGCAAAGAAATTATGAAATATTATTTGAATTCCTAATACAGGCCAACTAATTGTGTTAAAAAGAACAAATCCAGCCTGATGGCAATTATCCATGTGAAAAATTAGTTTTCTTAGGAGGTGGCATTGTGCAATTTGGCTTCTAATTGGTGTATGGCACCAATTAATGTCTAACAATCCAACTAGCAAATGAAAGAAAATTTACTGAAAATAACCAAGTAAAATGCCATGCTTTGGTAGTACAGAATAATGGCAGTGTTTGTCTCTCATTCTTTTAAAAAAGTTGTATAATATGTAATTGTTTTGTCTTGCTGTTTAGGATTCATTTACATTTTCTTCTGGCCCTGTCATATCCAGTAGTTTTTGCTAGGTTTCCAATTAGTCAATTAGCCATTGATAGGCATTCAATCACATTTTCCTCTGTGCAATGCTCTGTGATAGGCACTGTGACCACCACAAATTCAATCAACACTCATTCTTGCTGCAATGTTTCCAATCTCAAGTCTGATGTCTCTTTTTCCAGACCAGAAGCTTTCTCTGCCTGTCATTGTAAAATCAGTTTGACATCAGTGTTTTCACAGCAACTTGTGGTTATTTCTGTCTTGTAGTGATGGTGATGATGATGGTGATGATGATGATGATGCCTAATATTTTTATAAGGTTTATTATGTGCCAGTTATTTTTCTAACAATTTTACATATACTAACTCATTTAATCCTCATAAATTTGTGAGTATAATTATTATTACATCCTCATTTTACAGAATAGGAAACTGTGGCATAGAAGAGTTAAATAACTTTCCCAAGGCTATGAAGTTCACAAGTGAGAGAGTCACACTTCAAACACAGACTCTCTCCTTGCAGTGTTTGTGCTCTTAGCCACCACTCTACAATGTCTTCCTCTAATACGTCTCCTGAACCAACCTCCATGTAACTAGCTCAATGGATGAACTGAAAAAAAAATATAATTATCAATGTGAAAAGAAAGTGGTCAATTTCATGACAATATAAATTAACATAAACACTTCAGAATGAAAAAAGCAAGTTACCAAATTATGCTATAAAATTAGATAAGAATGAGACATTTAGAAATGAGGTAAAATCACTAGACTCACACTCAAAAAGTAACAAATAAAATAAATTTACTCACATATGTTTATTTTAACCTGAAATAAAACGTGTAAGGTACAGATATATATCTCTCCTAAAGTATAGATACATAACACATACATATATATGATTTTAATAAATCCACTCTTTAACCAATATTTAACAAAGTGACTAAGTTCCTATCCTAATCATGTTGGCTAACAGTGTTTCTGCCTTTCTCAAGTTCATCAACTTCCTTGTGTCTTTCTCCCATGAGACCCTAAGCTGCTCATTTAACATTTAAAATGACTAGCAAGGTTTTTACACATACATGATACTGAAAAAATATTCTTTGGATGTATGGGTATATGGATAGGTAGGGTAGGTATATTATAATGGAAGACATAGTTCAGATATGTATGCCTTCTAACTTTCATGTTGAAATGTAATCTTCAATGTTGGAAGTGGAGGGCCAGGTGGGAGGTGATTGGGTCAGGGGGCCAGATCCCTTATGGCTTGGAACTGTCCTCGCAATAGTGAGTGAGTTCTTGCAAAATCTGGTTGTTAAAGTTTGCAGCATGCCTCACCCCCCAACACACATACTCTCTCTCTCTGCTCCTGCTTTCTCCATGTGAAGTATCTGCTTCTGCTTTGCCTTCCATCACGAGTAAAAGCTCCCTGAGGCCTCGCCAAAAGCCAAACAGATGCTGATGCCATGCTTTCTGTACAGCCTGCAGAACTGTGAGCCAATTAAACCCCCTTTCCTTATAAATTATCCAGCCTCAGTTATTTTATTATAGGAATGCAAGAATGGCCTAACACAATGGGCAAAGAGAAGTAGGGTGGAGTTAGAGCATAGAAGGTATAGGTAGCTGAAAATAGTAAGGAAAACTTAGACCAAATTCCAAGTCTCTGTTGTGTTGGAAAGTTTGAGGATCATTCTGAAAGCAACTGGGAGCCACTCAGTTATGTGAGGAGAGGAATAACTTGATCACATATCAATATTTTATTTAAAAAACTCTATGGTGATGATATAAGACGAACCAAATAGCGAAGGCATGAGGCACGGCAATATTGAAGGTTTGGTGGCCATAGGATTATGCCTAGCAGATCTCCAAGTTCAGGAAGCTGAATTGATCAAGGACCCCAGATGCCTCTGGAAACCTTTCTGGCATTTACCCTAAATGCATTCTTCCCGCAGGTTGCTCACAGAGAATAACTAATCATGGAAGGAATACCAGGCTAGGCCTGCTCCTGGAAACATGAAGTTCTCTGATGGCTTACTTTGATTCTATGACTCCTTGATTGCCTCGTGAACTATCCTTAGGTGCAGGACAGTCTGAAACACTTTATGCAACCTCATCACTCTCTCTTTCACTCAGGGTCAGATTTGCATCACAGTCTGATGACTCTCAGCCCTACTTGACTTCCTCCCCATTGTCAGTGATGGCATTCTTGCAATAAAATCTTTGCACATTTCACCTTGCCTTGGCTTCTACTTGGTTTAAACAAGCTCATGAGAACCAACACTTAAATTTGCAGGAATTTTGCAAGCCAGCTTTTAAATATAATCATTATCAAAAATTACGTTATGGAAATCTACAAGTAGATATATTAACAAAAATGTTACAAATATGTTAAACTCATCGTTTTCTAACTTATTATTCTATTATTTATGCTTTCGATGTTATTTCTAAGAGAGCAGATAATATACAATATAATGATGTTCTGCTGCACACATGTCGATCACATGGATATTTATGTCGTGGAAATCAATGAATGCTACAAATCAGTGTTCGTTTTTTTCTTTGTTTCTATCGCCTTTTTATTTCAAACAGCCAATTGTGAAACACTTGCTGACACACCACTTATCTGCATCTCATAGAGGACCAAAAGAATATGGTCACAACAAAAGGATAACAGAGAGCCTTAATCAAGTATCTTTTTTTTTTTTAACATTTTTTAACATAGCATAGTCTTTATTTTTTTTTTGTAGACTAAAATTGTACATATTTAACAGAAACAACATGAAGTTTTGAAGTATATATGTTGTGGAATGACTAAATTTAACTAAATAACACATGTATTGCCTCACATGGTTATCATTCTTATGGTAAGAACACTTTGCATTCACTGTCTTACCATTTTTCAAGAATAAAATATATTATTAATTATGGTCACCATGTTGTACAATAGATCTCTTGAGTTTATTCTTCCTCTAGCTGAAATCCTGTATCCTTTGATCAGCATCTCCCTAAATCCCCCACCTACCGACCAACCACTGCAGCCACTGGTAAGCACCATTCTACTCTCTACTTTTATGGGATAAACATTTTTAGATTCTACATGTGAGCAAGCTCATGATGTGCTAGTCTTTCTGTGCCTACGGCTTATTTCATTTAACATAATGTCCTCCAGCTTCAATTATGTTCTTGCCAATGACAGGATTTCTTTCTTTTTATGGCTGAATAGTATTTCATTGAATATATCACATTTTCTTCATCCATTTATCCATTGATGGACAATAAGTTTGATTTTATGTCTTTATTATTGTGAATAATGCTTCAATAAACATGGCAGTGCAGATACCTTTTCAACACACTGATTTCATTTTCTTTGTATATATACCCAGTAGTTGGATTGCTGGATTATATGGTAGTTCTGTTTTTAATTTTTGAGGAAACTCTATACTGTTTTTCCATAATGAATGTACTACTTTACTTTCCCAACAATGTATAAGAATTTCCCTTTCTCCACATCCACAATAGCATGTGTTATCTTTTGTTTTTGATAATTGCCATTCTAACAGGTATGAGGTAACATCTCATTGCAGTTCCCTGATGATAAGTGATGTTGAGCATTTTTATCACACACATATTGGCTATTTGTATGTCTTCTTTTAAGAAATGTTCATTCAGGTTTTTGGCCCATTATTTAATCAGGTTATTTGTTTTCTTTCCATTGAGTTGTTCACGTTTCTCATGTGTTTTTGATATCAACACCTTATTAGATATACAGTTTGCATATATTTCCTCCCATTGAGTAAGTTGTGTTTTCACTCTATTTAATGTTTTCTTCGTTGTGCACAAGTTTTTAGTTTGACATGATCCCATTTGTCTATTTTTTTTATTTTTGTTGCCTGTTCTTTTGATGTCCTGTCCAAATAATCATTGCCCACACCAACATCATAGAGCCTTTCCACTATGTTTTCTTCTACTAGTTTCATAGTTTCAGGTCTTATATTTTTTTTCAGGTCTTATATTTAAGTTTTTAGTCATTTTAAGTTTATTTTTATATATGGTTTGAAATAAAGGTCCAATTTTATTCTTCTGTATGTGAATATCCGGTTTTCCCACCATAATTTTTTGAAGAGACTGTCTTTTTCCCATTCTGCATTCTTACCACCTTTGTTGAAAATCAGTTAGCTGTAAACGTTTGTATTTATTTTTGGTCTCTATATCCTGATCCATTAGTTTGTGTGTTTGTTTTTATGTCAATACCATACTGTTTGTATTACTATAGCTTTGTAGCGTATTTTGAAGCCAAGTAGTGTGACGCCTCCACCTTTGTTCTTTTTGCTCAACATTACTTTAGCTATTTGGTTTTTCATTATGGTTCCCGACAAATTTTAGGATTGCTTTTTCTATTTCTGTGAAAAATATCATTGGTATTTTGATAAGTATTGCATTGAATACATAAATTTTTTTGTATATGATAGACATTTTAACAATATTAATTCTTCCAATTTATGAACAGGGAATATCCATTTATTTGTGCTTTTTTATTTTATTTAATCAATGTTTTATAGTATTTAGCGTGCAGATCTTTCATCTCCTCAGTTACATTTATTTCTAAGTATTTTTCATAGCTATTGTAAATGAGATTGTACTCATAATTTTTTACAAAGCTTGCTGTTAGTGTTTTAATATGCTACTGATTTTTTACGTTGATTTTGTGTATTGCAACTTTAATGGTTTTTAAAATTGATTCCAGCAGCTTTTTAGTGGAGTCTGATATTTTTCTACATATTTAGAACATGTCATTTACAAACAGGGGCAAGTGAAGTTCTTCCTTTCCAATTTGGATGACTTCTATTTCTTTCTCTTGACTAATTGTACTGGCTAGGATCTCCAGTACTAATAGAAGTGGGAAGAGTGGGTATCCTTGTCTTGTTCTGGATCTTAGAGAAAAAGCTTTCAACTTTTCCTATTGAGTGTGATGTTAGCTGTGGGTTTGTCATATATGACCTTTGTTGCACTGAGGTAGATTTCTTCAATGCCTAATTTGTTGA
This sequence comes from Homo sapiens, assembly GCF_000001405.40. Classification (NCBI taxonomy): domain Eukaryota; kingdom Metazoa; phylum Chordata; class Mammalia; order Primates; family Hominidae; genus Homo; species Homo sapiens. Next base: position 6,050,759 of record NC_000003.12, on the reverse strand, counting down.
AAATTTTTATCATGAAAGTTTGAAAGTGTGCTGAATATTGTCAAATGCTTTTTTTGTATCTTGAAATAATTATATAGTTTTAGTTCTTCATTATGTTTATGTGATGTATCACATCTATTGATTTCCATATGTTGAACCATCCTTGAATCCTTGATATGAATCCCACTTGATCACAGTGAATGATCTTTTTAATGTGTTGTCAAATTTCGTTTGCTAGTATTTTATTGATGATTTTTGCATATATGTTTATCAGAGATATTGACTTGTAGATTTCTTTTCTTTCTTTTTATTTATTTATTTTTATTTTTATTTTTATTTTTGTAGTGTCCTTGTCTGGCTTTGATATCAGGGTGATGCTGGCCTCATAAAATGAGTTTGGAAATATTTTCTCCTTTTTAATTTTTAATAAAAGCTTGAAAAATGGCATTAGTTCATCTTTAAATGTTTGCTAGAATTCAGTAATGAAGCCATCAGGTCCTGGGACTTTCTTTGATAGGAGACTTTTTATTACTGGCTAAATCTTCCTCCTTTTTACTGGTCTGTTAAGCTTTTCTATTTCTTTGTAATTCAGTCTTGGTAAGTTGTTTGCATCAAAATTACCTATTGTTCACACATTATCCACTTTGTTGGCATATAATTGTTAATAATAGCTTTTTACAATCTTTTGTATTTCTGTGATATCAGTTATAATGTTTCCTTTTTCATTTGTGATTTTATATATTTGCATCTTCTCTCTTTTTGTCTTAGACTAGCTAACCTACCATGGCCTGACCATCACCTGATGAGGGAACCCTCTCCTGCCCTGGCAGGTGATGGGGAAACCCTCTCCTGCCCTCCTTTTGCCTGACTAGCTGTCTACTGTAATAATTGCACTGCAAGAAACTGGGAAAACAAGAACAAACTAAGCCTAAAATGAGTAGAAAGAAGAAAATAATAAAGATCAGGGCAGAAATTAATGAAATAGAGACTATGATAACAAAAAGATAAACAAAACTAAGAGTAATTATTTTGGAAAGATAAACAATTCCAATAAATCGTTAGCTAGTCTAAGACAAAAAGAGAGAAGGTGCAAATAAATAAAATCACAAATGAAAAAGGAGACATTATAAATGATATCACAGAAATACAATCTTTCGTATTTCTTGCTAAAATAATAATTGGTTGCAGCTGGCACCAGGGAAAGGCGGTTTCCCAGTAGATAGAGAAACCTGAAACTGGTAATTAGTAGCTTCCTGATAAGATCTCAGGAGTTGGGCCAGTTGACTTAAGCATGCACATTAAGAGGCAAAATGGCAGAATTTAAGTGGTATATGACCTTCCAGGGACATTCCACCAGTAAAGGGAAGAACACCTCTAGTGAGCATGCATACAACTCCAGTAAATATACTGCACATACTCACCTTCTGAGCACTAGCAGGCAACTGCCCATGTGGGCAACCCATCCCAAGGGGAGAATCATGGGACAAGGGAGCAAAGACCTGGGAAGTATGCCAATGTATAAAACCCTAGTCAAAAGGTCAAATCATGCACTTGTCCTTCAAGTAGCCTGCTTGGCCCTCTCCCAAGTGTACTTACCTTCCTTCTCTTCCTGTTCTAAAGCTTTTTAATATACTTTCACTCCTTCTCTAAAACTTGCTTCTGTCCCTCCTTCTGCCTGTGCCCCTCAGTCAAATTCTTTCTTCTGAGGAGTCAAGAATTGAGGTTGCTGCAGACCATAAGAATTTGCCACCACTAACACAATGTTGTAATTTGAGATCTTTCTTCTCTATAAAGTATTTATTGCTATAAACTTCCCTTTTTAGAATTGCTTTTGCTTTATCCCCTAGGTTTTAGTATGCTGTGTTTCACTTTAGAATTTTTTTAAAAATTATTTCTTTTAATTTATTTATTGATCCATTAATTGTTCAGGAACATATTGTTTAATTTCCATATATCTGTGACTTTTCCAAACCACTTCCTGTTATTGATTTCTACTTTCATAACACTGTGTTTAGAAAAGAAACTTGCTATGATTCCGATCTTCTTAAACTTGTTAAGACTTGTTTTGTGGCTTATGACATGATCTATTGTGGAGAATCTTCCATGTGCTGCTGAGAAGAATCCAGCTACTGGATATAATGTTCTATATATACTTATTATGTCCATTTGATCTTCAGTGTAGTATAAGTCCCATGTTTTCTTATTAACTTTTTGTCAGTTTTGATAAAAATTAGATGTTCAAATCTCCTCTTTTAAAAATGAGATGTTCAAGTCTCTTTAATGTATTGCAGCCTCTTTCTTCTCAGATCTATTATTTCCTTTATGTATTTAGGTGCTCCAATGTTGAGTGTATATATAATTACAATTGTTATATCACCTTAATCAATTGACCTTTTATCATTATGAAGCAGCCTCTTTGTCCTGGGTAAATACCCGCGATTCATCGTCTCACGCGAAGATTAAGGACATGGACATACACAAAGAGTGTGTTTAGGAGCAGAGATTTCATATCAAAGAAAGAGAAAGGAGAACAGCTCTCTCTTGTGAGAGAGAGGGGCTCCCAAATGGGAATTCGGGCCAGGAGTAGGAGTGCATCGGCTTTTATAGGCAGGCTTGAGAAGGTGATGTCTGATTTACAGACATCGATTGGTTGGACCAGGTGTGATGTTTACATAGCATGCAGGGAAGCTGGCCACCCCACCCTAATCTTATTATGCACATGTGGTCTTTGCTTTGGCTGGAGCCATGTTGCCTGCTCCTTACTGTACACATGGCTGGCAAAGAGAAAGGAAGAGGGAGCCGCCATTTTGAACGTGCCTGGTTCCAGGTAGCCTTTTCCCATTGGCACAGCTGCCTGCAAATCACCTGCTCAAGCTTCCAGCCTGCTTTTGTATGTCTGCAGCTTGATTTTACCAGCTGTTAGAAAAAAACTGATTTTGGGGCTGCTTTCCGTTAAAAGAGAAACCTTACCAAGGACTTCCTTACCCTTACTCTTTGCCTAATTTCTTTTTAACTCCTATATCAATTATATATAATGACCTTCTTTGTCTCTTTTTACAGTTCTTTTTTAAAGTCTATTTATCTGATATAAGTATTGCTAATCCTCCTTTCTTTTGATTTCCATTTGCGTGGAATATTTTTTCCATCCCTTCATTTTCAGTCTATTTTTTTATTTAAAAGGGAAGTGAGTCTTTTATGAGCAGCATATATGTTCCTTGCTTCTTTTCTCTTGCTGTTTTCAGAATCCTCTTTTTGTCTTTGATTTTTGGCAATTTAATTATAATGTATCTTCGGGCAGTCTTTTTTAGATGGAATCAGATTACAGACCTTTGACTTTCGTGTACCTGGATATTTACGTCTTTCTCCAGGTTTAGAAGGTTTCCTGTTACAATTTTTTAAAAAAAGTTTTCTACCCCTTTCTCTTTTTCTTCTTTAACTCCTATTACTCAAATATTTGCTGTTTTGAGGCTGTCCTATAAATCCTATAAATTTCTTTCTTCCTTTTCACTCTTCACTTTTTTCTCTTCTGACTGTATATTTTCAAGTAACCTGTCTTCAAGTTTAAAGATCTCTCGCTGCTTAATCTGGTCTGCTGTTGATGCTCTCTATTGCATTTTTCATTTTGTTTATTGCATTTTTCAGATCCAGGATTTCTGTTTGATATACAATCTCTCTATTAAATTTCTCATATTTCTTGTTCTGGTCTCTTACTGTTTTAATCATATTATTGAATTGTCTCTCCGTATTTTCTTGAAGGTCACTGAGCTTCCTTAAAACAGTTATTTTGAATTATTTGTCAAGCTGTTCATATATTTTCACTTCTTTAGGGTCAGTAAATGGCACCTGATTTTGTTTGTTTGGTAACATAATGTTTACTGATTGTTCCTGATTTTTGTGCTTGTACATCAATGTCTGTGAATTTGAAGAAGTATTTATTTTAGTCTTTGCAAACTGAAAAGCCCTAGAAAAAGCCCTGTAGCAGCTGTGGCACTAGGGTACACCAAAAGCCAGGAACAGCTTTAGTCATCACAGTACTGCCAGAAGCCTGGGTTCTACTATAACAGGCACAGTCCTAGGGTAGGCCAGAAGCCCAAGGAAGATATATCTGGCATGGCACTGAAACATTTCAGAAGCTCAAGGTCACTGAGGGCTATCTGGGTCCTGGAGTCACTGACATCAGCCTGGCAGTGGGCAGGCAGGAGATCAAGTCCAACAAACAAGCCTGAGGCCTGGAACTGTATGATTCTTCCTGGAACTGCGGCAGTCTAGAGGCTCAGTTTATAGGTACTAGCCTGGAGTATGGGGCCATGGGCATATGCCTGGTGCTTGGTTTTACTGTGGCAGGCCCAGTTGTTGGGGTCTAAGGAAAAGTCTCATGCTCACTTCCCTCTTTTTCCCAAGTGGATAGTATTTCTGTCTACACTGTGCTGCCTAAGATTGGGAGTATAACGATGTAGGTAATGTAAAACTTCCATTTCCACCCTCTTCAATGCATCTTTTCTGATAATTGTGCTACAACAGGGTATTTCAATCTCTTACCTGGTTTTCTTCATTCTTGTGAAGGTATTTATATGCATGAGACTTTGTGTGTGTGTGTGTGTGTGAATAATTTCTTTACAGAAACGATCCCTGGAGAGTTCTACTCCATTATCCTGTTTCACATATCACCTATCAGAAATTTTTAAAGGAAGAAAGAAAATAAAATCAAATACCAATAACACAATAGAACTTAAAGATAAATCCAATTCAATTTCAACATTATAAAAAAAATGAAAACTGAAGCCCAGATTGGCTCATGCTTACATAATTAAACAATAGTGGAGACAGAACTAATTTCAGAGAAATAAAATGAAACAAAGCAAATATAATCTGTAATCTACAGAAAAAGACAAAGTGATATAAACTTTTAGTTTCAAAGCCATTGTATTTTCCTAGTCTCCTTTATTTGCTCTTTTGTCTCAACTGATGTTGGAATAGAGCTTTTTGGAGGAAAAAAGGTCAATATTACTCTTGGACACATAAGTGATTGTAGTTCTATCTTCATACATCTTAACTTAGACATCTGATATGTCAAGTTAAGGAATAAACCAAAACTGTGTTGCCTGGCTGTCTGTCCAATGTCTCAGAACAAAAGTAATTCAACTGCTTCTAAATAAGAACACTTGCTTTGGGATTAAAAAGAAATCATCCAAATTTGGAGATGTGCGACAAATGTTTTGCATGTTATTTTCTTTAACAGGAAGCTGAGTCACTGTCACAGTGATTTCCAGACTTTGAATAGTAACACCTCTGTAATGTTCCATGAAATTTTCAAAATAAAATTTGCTTCAATTCATCTCCATTTTTAAAATATAGCAATTTTAGGGCAAATGTGATTGGTGAAATATACTCCTATTACGTTTGAATGGAGAATTTGAAATAGATGGTGAATCACTTCTGTACAGAACAAACTCCCCTAGTCTTAGAAGCAAGGCTAACAAAAACAGCTGATGGATACCCTGTGATTTTATTTACTTGTCTTCTGCCTGCATCTCAAATCTCCCCCTGGCTGATTATAAATGTAAAGTGCTCTCCAGGGCAGTGGCATTCCAAGTGTGGTTCTCAAACCAGCAGCATCATATGAGAACTTGTTTAAAATACAAATAGTTGACTCTAAACTCAGATTAACTGAATCCAAACTTCTGCAATGGAGTTCAGGAATGTGTGGTGTAAAAATCCTCCAGGTGAGACTGCTGCACAATAAAGGGCGTGAATCACTGCTATTGCTCTTATTATTTAGGTGTCTGATGGGATCTAAGAAATGAACTAGGAAATTGAAGCCTTCTAAGAATGTGCTATTACACAGAAATTAGATCTAAGGTAATACAGGTATACACACACACGCACACACAAACACGTGTAAATGTGTGTGTGTGTATCACATATCAAGAAAAGTAAAACATGCTATTCTTTACCGGATGTTTCCAAATATCCAGGTGCTTTTGGTTGGATAGTGCATATATCTGGATGACCATACAGATTTTTCATCTATCAATCTATCAGAAATCATATAAATAAATTAATTTCTGTTAACTTATTAATTATGACACTCACAACCATGTACACACCATGAGTACTCCCTTCATTTATTTGACTTCAGGGCATTATTTTCTGAGACTAGCGTGATCAAAATTCTTGGACACTGGGAGACTGCTAGAGACTATGGGGAGCTCTCATCCTTTTGCCTTTCACTAGTTTACCTCCCTTACAACACTAAAAAAATGCCAATCTCTAGTGTTTCTCAGCCCCCTCCCCAAAGTGGATTCTCACTATACGTTGGTGGTTCCCAGACTTTGTTCTCCGTTGAGCATCTCATTTAATTATTCCTTATATTCCCACAAATGATTCCGCATATTGCAATATTTTGTCCAGGAAGATATATTAAGCAATACTAACTTTGTTTTCTTAGACCCATTAAAGGCATAATTAAGAGGTCAATCAAAGCTTCTGATTAACACAAGTTACCAACTACTCCCTCAGCATTTTGTTTTATAATTAAAGTTTTGGTAGCCATTTCAATGCTATATTTAAAGATTCTTGCAGAATTTTTTAAATATTGGAAGTAATCCTTTCTTGCCTAATATGACCTGCAAAATCTCAAAGGAAACGTATTTCTCTTTTTGTAATTCTGATGATGGTGTCTTGTACAAATATACTATCTGGGCCCAACTATTCAAAGACTTCTATTGCTTTGCAAATAGAGTATAAAATCCCTTACAGGACTACGAAGGCCTGGTTTTCCCCCTGTATCTTCCTCCCCATTTTCATCCCTGCCCTTGCTCTCTAAATTCTACTCACCCTGACTTTCTTTCCGTTCCTCAAATGGGTTTTCTCTTTATTACCTCAGGACCCTTGCATATGCTCTTCTCTCAACTTGAAACCTTCTTCCTGCTCCCTTTGCTTGTTAATTTCTACTATTTAACTCTCAGTTCAAATATCTCTTCCTGAAGACACTTTCCCGAAGTTTCCTTCTTTGCCACTTCCACAGCTAGGTAAGGTCCCCAAATTATTATCTTTTATTGTTCTGCTTTTTCTTCACTGCAAACTATAGCAATATACTAATGTAATTATTTGATTAATTATTCTCACTCCAGAATGCAAGCTTCATGGCAATGAAAGTCATATTTGGTTTTCTCTCTTTGGTATCCTTAGTATCTACTATGGTGCCCAATACATAATGAGGGTTCAATACATATTAGTTAAATGAATACATGGATAAGTTAGCTGGGCAAATGCATTGGGTTTTTAACTAAGGTTGAGATCACTAGTAATTCATGAATACTCTCATACTGCTGGAAGTAAACAACCTCTGCCTCTCAAGCTGATAGAACTTCAGAGTAATATCTACAATATCACTGTTACTGGATTTTGTCACTTCACATTGAAATTTTTAATGACATGAGAGAATGCTCTTTAAAAAATCTGAGTGAAATGCATGAAATACATTTTTAAATTCAGTGTGGTCTCAAATGTGTGCAAATATAAAGGCATGTCAGAATGGAATTCTCTATCCCCTTTACCACTTTATCTCATCATTGTCCATCTAACTGGGGAGGGATACTTTAAAATGCATTCAAATTGTTATAAAAGACAACCAACAATAAGAACCACGACAATAATAAACAAGTGCTTACTATCTATCAGGCACTATTCCTTATGTTTCATATGTAATTGCAGTAAATCTATAAGTTCTGTTTTTAGTTGGTTTGTTTATAGATGCTCCACGCTACAAACTGTAGGTGTCTGATGTCCTCCTTGTTTGGGGGAACATTTCTTGTGTTCTAGACATGAACGCAAGAGACATAGACAAGATCATTACAATCTAGGACCCTGAATATTACCTAGAGTGAGGGGAGAAAGATGGGGAAGGAGAAAGAAGGTAGAAAGAACAATTGGAAAAGGACATTTGAGGGTTTAATTAAAGAGATTCAATATCATTTGAAAACTTTCCAGGAGGGAATAGTAAAAACATATTTTTTTATACTACAGTTTTGGACTCTAACATAGTTGTCAGTTCCAAAGGAGAACAGGATTATGTTGGTAATAGACTGTGCCCGCATTAACTCCCAGATGTTGGGGAGCAACAACGCCATGCACACGCACATGCACACACACAAACAGATAATTAAGGATTAGAAAGAAATGAACTAACATTCACACTGCTTACCTCTTGTAGAGAGTTTATAAATGATTGTTATTTTATTGTTTGTAATATGTTAATGGTAATAATTTCTAAAGTGAAACCAGAAATTGCCAGAATATATATTTCTGTATGCTATGATATTCTCAATATAAATATAATTTGCTGTCATCGTTGTTTGCCATGTTTATGTGTTCATGCCTAGTTTCAAGGAACCCTGAGAATGTGAATATTATAAACACAGTCAGAGCATAAGCAAATTGCAAAGGGACTTGTGTTAACTCATTAAATCCATGCTCAGTTTAAAGTGCAGTTTAGGTTATGGTTGAACAGGAGCAAAGGGAGAAAGTTGAGGAAATTCAAATTCAGTTAAATAATGCTGTACTTGAGGAAAAGGCCAGCTTTTTGAGCTGATTTTCTTATTTCTTTCTATACAGGCACTCATGCATTCAACAAATTTATTGAATGCCAGCACTGCCAAGGACTGCAGGGCAAAACGGAGCTTAGACTTCAGTAGACTTAGAGAATGTGTAACTTATGAAGGACATCTGATATTCAGCCTGCTCTGAATTGTTTTTTTCCTACCACAATCTAATGATCTTTTGAAAACATCCCCCACTCCTCAGTTACACTAAATCCAGGTGCTTTGAGAAAAAATGAACCTTCTTTAGGGATAAGCACATGACCCAAATCTTGCCATTGATAAAATAATAACACTCTCAACATATGCACACATAGCAGAAATATCAATTAAAATTAATTGTTTTAGAAAGGCATGTGATCCAAACCAATCTACTGAGACTGATTCCTAAATATATTATATGAGTTAACTGTTATTACAAACTAACCCAAAAGTGTAGAATGATTCTAATAAACTAAAATTTATTTCTTGCACAAATAAAGTCCAATAGATTTATTGGAAAAAGGATACATCTTTTGATGCATGAGTTAGTTTTGAGAATTTTAAATTTTATCTACTCTCTTAATCTTACGAATAAAAACATCAATACCCAAAGGCAAAGCCAACTTGTAAAAGAAGGGATGGCCTTTTACTGTCACCAGGATCAGAACTCAAGGGTTCAGTGTCATCTTGTATTCTACCCATGACACTACGCTATCAAACTCTAAGTCAGCACCCAAAACACTCAAACCCTGCTTTTGGTGGGATAGGAACCTCACAAGGAGCTATAACTCTTCCAGTCCATTCAATCCATTCATTCCCCAGGTTTCAAAAAGAGAGGACAAGAAATACCAATATGAGTGATACAAGATCTCTTGAACTTCCTCCCCTATTCAAGATTCTAAATTTCTAATATTAATAGTAAAATTGATGCTATCCCCTCTGAATGGAAAGTGGTGGTGGGGGGATCAAAAACAGAAATGAAGTAGGAGTCCCATACCACAATGTTCAATCCTCCACCACCCAACATCACAAACACACACTTTGAGCAATGTTTAGGGATAGTTGAAGTGGGAACCTGTTGACGTCACGATGTCCCTATTCTAATTTTAATACAACATAAAAACACACTTCTTATTTACGAATTGATATGTACATCTTTTCCTTGTACCCCTTTCCCTTAGGCCTCAGCCCTAGTGTAGTAGATAAAATTATAGAATATAGAGAGAACAGGTGACATTGAGAACCTTGGAGTGTTAAATTTCAGGACATGGAAGTCTGTGAGTCAAACACATTGAAACTGTCAATTCTGTAGGAGGAACTTAAAGAACCCACTCTTCCTTGTTTTCTGTAGCCCTATGGCTCTTCTCTGCAACCATGATTATAAAAGCAATAAAAGAAAGGTTTTCTTTTTTCTCAATTCAGAAAGCCAGTTAGAGGCCAAACTGATCAGTGGCCTTTTATTTTGAGACTCTAAATGAAAAATTTAGTCTCAAACAAATGCAAAACAAATAGATTGGTGGGGGCCTCTTTTTCTAAAGATTGGGTGTTCCATTTTCCTTGAATATTATTAATTGTGTTGAGTAGAAGAGAGTCATCAGAGAATTAAAAGTGCATCTGAGTTTTCTGAGAAATTCTATTTATTCTGAGAAGAAAAAAAAACATCAAACCACTAAATTAAGTGCTTACAAACAGCTCAATGACAAAAACAAAAGGCAGCAGGGTTGCGACTTTGTAATTGCCTATTCTTAGGAAATTAGCATTTAACATGGGAAAAGATGAGGTTTATCATAGCTAACCCTACTGTAGATATTTAATTCACCATGACATTATCAATTATCTCATCGGAGGTTGTTCAGGTATTTCTTGCTACATTTTAACTGCAGGAATATTCAGTTCTATCTTTTGTTCTGTGATTTACAGCCTAATTTACTTGCTATAAAAACACATGTGCTCATGCATTTATCTGCTTCGCTAAGAGCCTTGGAACCATTTGTCTGAGCATATTCCATTTCTTCTTTGCAATGCAAAAAGCCCTAGATAAACTAAGGGATATTTCACCCCTCAGTTTTTTATTTATGGACCATATCTGAGAAGCTACACTAATCAGTCCAAAGCCATTCATATCTGAGGCATTTTCTTATTCCTTTCAGAATCCAACATGTTTCTCTTTCATCACTTACCATCTGCAAAATACAATCAGCATATTACGATGTGCTCTATTATGATATTCTTTAATGGTTCTACACCTGCAATTTTTAATTTGCCTCAAGTAAATTTTAAAGCCCTCAAGGACAAGAGCCATTTCTTTGGCTTCTTTCCAGATATATGCAAGATCCAGGTGCATGATACATATTAAATAAATATCTATTGATGAAGTTCAATAGTTGCATATTGATCTAGATATTGACTCATAGAACAAATCCTTGCTGTATTATACTAAGATCTAGACAGTGTTCTAGATCGCACCTTCACATACTTCATGTGTATCACCTGTGCATTTTGTTAAAACAAAGGTACTAATGAAGTAGCTCTCTGGTAGGGCATTAGATATTGCATTTCCAACAAGGTCTCCGGTTCACAGACCACACTTTGAGTAGCAAGAGACTAGATCAGGGTTGGAAAACATTTCCTGTAATGGGCCAAATAGCAAATACTTTACACTTGTTGGGCCATAGGGTCTCTGACATAACTAGCCAATTCTGCCTTTGTAACACAAAAGAAGCCATAGATAATAAGGAAATGAATAGGTGTTGTTGTATTTCAATGAAATGTTATTTACAAAAACAAGTGTCTAGCCAAATATGTCTTGTAAGCTGTAGTTTACCTACCCTTGGCCTATGAATCCACAAAAGATATGGGCCTATGAAGTTCAAGCAGGGAATATCTATAGGCTTTTACATTCTAAAGTGTTAGTAAAATTAAATATACATTTTCTAGGCACCAGAACATCTTAGTTTTATCAGATAATTAGTAATTTGCATTTGGTTAGCAATTTACCTGATGTAAATGGGCTTGGATCAGTCTCTCTCAGGTTCTGCTAGACTAGCAAAATTAAAAATTTTAATTTTCCAGTGTATTCAGCTGATCAGCCAGTTTCAGGTAAGCATATATCCTTTTTTGCTCCTTTAAATGTGTGTGTGTGTGTGTGTGTGTGTGTGTGTGTGTGTGTGTGTGTGTGTGTGTGTATTTTGTTTGTTTGTTTTGGTTTAGAAAGATAACACTCACTTGACTCTCCCACCACTAGGAAGCACTTTCATGTGGTTGAGAAGATTTTGCTCATTTTATTGGTCTACGAAATGTCCAATAAATTTACCCAGTACTCAATGTCCTGTTTTCTTTATTTTCTCCCTGCCTTTTGCAATATTTCCAGGCTGTCCTTTCCATTTTCATTTCCGTTTTTAAAAACCTGGTTAAGTGTATGTCAATACCTATTTATACCTCCCTGATATGGTTTTGCTGTGTCCCCATTCCAAAATCTCATCTTGAATTGTAATTCCCATAATTACCACACTCCCCATGCATCAAGGGCAGGACCAGGCAGAGGTAATTGGATGATGGGGGTGGTTTCCCCATGATGTTCTCATGATAGTAAATGAGTCTCATGAGATCTGATGGTTTTATAAGCATCTGTCATTTTACCTGTTTGCACTCACTCCATCCTGGCACACTGTGAAGAAGGCGTCTGTTTCTCCTTTGCCTTCTGCCATGATTGTAAGTTTCCTGTGGCATCCCCATCAAGGTGGAACTGTGTCAATGAAGCCTCTTTCCTTTATAAGTGACCCAGCCTTGGGTATTTCTTCATAGCAATGTAAGAACAGACTAATAGAGTAAATTGTTACCAGAAGTGGAGTACTGCTATAAAGATACCTGAAAATGTGGAAGCGACTTTAGAACTGGGTAACAGGCAGAGTTGAAACAGTTTGGAGGGCTCAGAAGAAGAGGGGAAGATGTGGGAAGGTTTGAAATTTCCCAGAGATTTGTTGAATGGCTATGATCAAAATGCTAATAGTGATATGGACAATGAAATCCAGGCTGAGGTAGTCTCAGATGGAGATGAGGAACTTGTTGGGAACTGGAATAAAGGTGACTCTTGCTATGCTTTAGCAAAGAGACTGGCAGCATTTTGACCCTGCCCTAGAGATCTGTGGAACTTTCAACTTAAGAGAGACAATTGAGAATATCTGGTGGAAGAAATTTCTAAGCATCAAAGCATTCAAGATGTGACTTCGGTGCTCTTACAGGTATTCAGTTTTATGCATTCACAAGGAGTTGGTTTGGAATTGGAACTTATATTAAAAGGGAAGCAGAGCATAAAAGTTTAAAACATTTGCTGCCTGATTATGTGATAGAAAAGAAAAACCCATTTTCTGAGAAGAAATTCAAGCTGGCTGCAGAAATTTGCATAAGTAACTAGGAGCCAAATGTTAACGACCAAGACAATGGGTAAAATGTCTCCAGGACATGGCAGAGATCTTCATGGCAGGCCCTCCCATCACAGGCCCTGGAGACCTAGGAGGGAGAAATGGTTTCATGGGCTGGGCCTAAGGGCTTGCTGTTTTCTGCAGTCTTGGGATTTGGTGCCCTGCACCCCAGCCATGGCTGAAAGGGACCAATGTACAGATCAGGCCATTTCTTCGAAGGGTACAAGCCCCAAGCCTTGGTGGCTTATACATAGTGTTGTGTCTGCAGGTGCACAGAAGTCAAGAGTTGAGGTTTGGGAACCTCCAACCAGACTTCAGAGTATGTATGGAAATGCTGGGATGCCCAGGCAGAAGTTTGCTGCAGAGGCAAAGCCCTCATAGAGAACCTCTGCTAGGGCAGTGCAGAAGGGAAATGTGAGGTTGAAGCCCCTAAACAGGATTCCCAATGGGGCACTGCCATTGGAGATGTGAGAAAAGGGCCACAGTCTTCCAGACCCCAGAATGGTAGAACTGTGTGACTGGAAAAGCTGCAGATAATACCAGTCCATGAAAGCATTTGAGAGGGCAGCTCTACCTTGCACAGCCACAGAGGTGAGATGCCCAAGGTCTTGGGAAACCTCTCCTCACATCACTGTGACCTGCATATGAGACATGGAGTCAAAGGAGATCATTTTGATGCATTAAGATCTTACTGCACTGCTGGATTTGGGGCTTGCATGAGGCCTATAGTCCCTTCATTTTGGCAAATTTCTCCCATTTTGAATGGCTGTATTAACCCAATGCCTGTACCCTCATTGTATCTAGAAAGTACCTAACTTGCTTCTGATTTTACTAACTCATAAGCAAAATGGACTTGCCTTGACTCAGGCGAGACTTTGAACTTGGATTTTTGGTTAATGCTTGAGAGACCTAAGAATTTGGGGGACTGTGTGGCTGGAAAGATGGCCAAATAGTAAGAGCTCTGATCTGCAGCTTCCAACAAGATAAACACAAAAGGCAGGTGATTTCTGCATTTCCAACTGAGGTACGTGGCTCATCTCATTGAAACTGGTTAGACAGTGGGTGCAGCTCATGGTGGGCGAGCCAAAGCAGGGTGGGGCGGTGTTTCACCCAGGAAGCACAAGGGGGCAGGGAACCCCCTCCCCTAGCCAAGGGAAGCCGTGAGAGACCGTGCCCTGAGTAATGGTGCATTTCAGCCCAGATGCTATGCTTTTCCCATGGTTTTTGCAACCTGCAGACCAGGAGATTCCCTCGTGTGCCTACACCACTAGGGCCCTGGATTTGAAGCACAAAACTGAGTGGCCATTTGGGCAGACACCGAGCTAGCTGCAGGAGTTGTTTTTATATCCCAGTGGCATCTGGCATGCCAAAGAAACAGAACTGTTCACTCCCCTGGAAAGGAGGTTGAAGCCAGGGAGCTAAGTGGTCTAGCTCAGTGGATCCCACCCCCATGGAGGACAACTACCTAAGATCCATGGGCTTGAAAATCTCACACCAGCACAGCTGTCTGATGTCAACCTGGGATGCTTGAGCTTGGTCGGGGATGGTGCATACACCATTACTGAGGCTTGAGTAGGCAGTTTTTCCTTCACAGTGTAAACAAAGCAGCCAGGAAGTTTAAAGTGGGTGGAGCCCACTGCAGCTCAGCAAAGCCACTGTAGCCAGACTGCCTGTCTACATTCCTCCTCTCTGGGCAAGGGATCTCTGAAAGAAAGGCAGCAGCTCCAGTCAGGGGCTGAGAGATAAAACTCCCATATCTCTGGGAGAGAGCACTTGAAGGAAGGGGCAGCTGTGGGCACAGCTTCAGCAGACTTAAATATTCCTGCCTGATGGCTCCGAGGAGAGCAGCAGATCTCCCAGTGCAGTGCTCGAGCTCTGCTAAGGGAGAGACTGCCTTCTCAAGTGGGCCCCTGACCCCCGTGCCTCCCGATTGGGAGACACCTCCCAGCAGGGACCAACAGACACCTCATACAGGAGCGCTCCGGCTGGCAGCTGGTGGGTGCACCCCTGGGGCAAAGCTTCCAGAAAAAGCAACAGGCATCAATCTTTGCTGTTCTGCAGCCACTGCTGCTGATAACCAGGCAAACAGGGTCTCTATCAAACTCCAGCAGACCTGCAGCAAAGGGGCCTAACTGCTAGAAGGAAAACTAACAAACAGAAAGCAATAGCATGTCCACCCAAAGACCCCATCCGAAGGTCACCAACATCAAAGACCGAAGGTAGATAAATCCAAAAAGATGGGGAGAAACCAGCACAAAAAGGCTGAAAACTCCAAAAACCAGAAGGTCTCTTCTCCTCCGAAGGATCATAACTCCTTGCCAGAAAGGGAACAAAACTGGATGGAGAATGAGTTTGACGAACTGAGAGAAGTAGGCTTCAGAAAGTGGGTAATAACTAACTCCTCCAAGCTAAAACAGCATGCTCTATCCCAATACAAGGAAGCTAAGAACATTGGAAATAGGGTAAAGAAATTGCTAACTAGAATAACCAGTTTAGAGAAGAACATAAAAGACTTGATTGAGTAGAAAAACACGGCACAAGAACCTCGTGAAGCATACACAAGTATCAATAGCCAAATCGATCAAGTGGAAGAAAGGATATCACAGACTGAAGATCAACTCAATGAAATAAAGTATGAAGACAAGATTAGAGAAAAAAGAATGGAAAGGAATGAACAAACCCTCCAAGAAATATGGGACTATGTGAAAAGACCAAATCTACATTTGATTGGTATACCTGAAAATGATGGGAAGAATGGAAATAAGTTGGAAAACACACTTCAGGATATTATCCAAGAGAACTTCCCCAACCTAGCAAGTGCAGGCCAACATTCAAATTCAGGAAATACAGAGAACACCACAAAGATACTTCTCGAGAAGAGCAACCCCAAGACACACAGTCGTCAGATTCACCAAGGTTGAAATAAAGGAAAAATGTTAAAAACAGCCAGAAAGTTCTGTTTACCCACAAAAAGAAGCTTATCAGACTAACACCAGACTTCTCTGCAGAAACCCTACAACCACAAGACAGTAGGGGGGCCAATATTCAACACTTTTAAAGAAAAGAATTTTCAACCTGGACTTTCATATCCAGCCAAACTAAGCCTCATAAGTGAAAGAGAAATAAAATTCTTTACAGACAAGCAAGTGCTGAGAGATTTTGTCACCACCAGGCTTGCCTCACAAGAGCTCCTGAAAAAAACACTAAATATGGAAAGAAAAAACTGGTACCAGCCACTGCAAAATCATACCACATTATAAAGGCCATTGACACTATGAAGAAACTGCATCAACTAATGGGCAAAATAATCAGCTAGCATCATAATGACAGGATGAAATTCAAACATAACAATATTAACCTTAAATATAAACAGACTAAATTCCCCAGTTAAAAGACACACACTGGAAAATTGGATAAAGAGTCAGGACTCTTCAGTGTGCTGTATTCAGGAGACCTATTTCACGTGCAAAGACACACACAGGCTCAAAATAAAGGGATGAAGGAATATTTACAGAGCAAATGGAAAGGAAAAAAAAAGCAGGGGTTGCAATCCTAGTCTCTAATAAAACAGACCTTAAACCAACAAAGATCAAAAAAGACAAAGATGGGCATAACATGATCAATGCAACAGGAAGAGCTAACTAGCCTAAGTATATATCCACTCAATACAGGAGCACCAAGATTCATAAAGCAAGTTCTTAGAGACCCACAAAGAGACTTAGACTCCCACGCAATAACAGTGAGAGACTGTAGCACCCCACTGTCAATATTAGTCAGATAAACAAGACAGAAAATTGAAAAGGATATTTAGGACATGAACTCAGCTCTGGACAAAGTGGACCTAATAGACATCCACAGAACTCTCCACCCCAAATCAACAGAATATACACTCTTCTCAGCACCACATCTCACTTAATCTAAAATCAACCAAATAATTGGAAGTAAAACACTCCTCAGTAAATGTAAAAGAATGGAAATCATAATAATCAGTCTCTCCGATCACAGTGGAACCAAATTAGAACTCAGAATTTTGAAACTCCCTCAAAACCACACAACTACGTGGAAACTGAACAACTGAATGATTACTGGGTAAATAACAAAATTTAAGGCAGAAATAAAGATGTTCTTTGAAACCAATGAGAACAAAGACACAACATACCAGAATCTCTGGGACACAGCTAAAGCAGTGTTTAGAGGGAAATTTATAGCACTAAGTGCTCACAGGAGAAAGTGGGAAAGATCTAAAATTGACATCCTAACATCATGATTAAAAGGACTAGAAAAGCAAGAGCAAACAAATTCAAAAGATAGCAGAAGAAAAATAACTAAGATCAGAGGAGAACTGAAGGATAAAGAGACCTGAAAATTGTTAAAAAAATCAATGAATACAGGAGCTGGTTTTTTGAAAAGATTAACAAAATAGACCACTAGCAAGACTAATAAGGAAGAAAAGAGAGAAGAGTCAAATAGACACGATAAAAAATGATAAAGGGGATATCACCACTGATCCCACAGAAATACAAACTACCACAGATACTATAAACACCTCTATGCAAATAAACTAGAAAATATAGAAGAAATGGATAAATTCCTGGACACATACACCCTCCCAAGACTCAACCAGGAAGAAGTTGAATCCCTGAATAGACCAATAACAAGTTCTGAAATGGAGGCAGCAATAAATAGCCTGCCAAACAAACAAAGCCCTACACCAGCCAGATTCACAGCCGAATTCTACCAAAGGTACAAAGAGGAGCTGGTACTATTCCTTCTGAAACTATTCCAAACAATAGAAAATCAGGGAATCCTCCCTAACTCATTTTATGAGGCCAGCACCATCCTCATACCAAAACCTGGCAGAGACACAACCAAAAAAGAAAATTTCAAGCCAATATCCCTGACGAACAACGATGTGAAAATCCTCAATAAAATACTGGCAAACCGAATCCAGCAGCACATCAAAAAGCTTATCCACCACAATCAAGTCATCTTCATCCCTGGGATGCAAGGCTGGTTCAACATACACAGATTAATATACATAATCCATCACATAAACAGAACCAATGACAAAAACCACACGATTATTTCAAAAGAAGCAGAAAAGGCCTTTGACAAAATTCAACAGCTTTTCATGCTAAAAACTGTCAATAAACTAGGTATTGATGGAACGTATCTCAAAATATTAAGAGCTATTTATGACAAACCCACAGCCAATATCATACTGCATGGGCAAATACTGGAAGTATTCCCTTTGAAAACCAGCACAAGACAATGATGCCCTCTCCCACCATTCCTATTCAACATAGTATTGGAAGTTGTGGCCAGGGCAATCAGGCGAGAGAAAGAAATAAAGCGTATGCAATTAGGAAGAGAGGAAGTCAAATTATCTCTGTTTGCAGTTGGCATGATTGTATATTTAGACAACCCCATCATTTCAGCCCAAAATCTTCTTAAGCTCATAAGCAACTTCAGCAAAGTCTCAGGATACAAAATCAATGTGCAAAAATCACAAGCATTCCTATACATCAATAATAGACAGAGAGCCAAATCATGAGTGAACTCCCATTCACCACTGCTACAAAGAGAATAAAATATCTGGGAATTCAACTTACAAGGGATGTGAAGAACTTCAAGAAGAACTACAAATCACTGCTCAAAGAAATAAGAGAGGACACAAACAAATGGAAAAACATTTTATGCTCATGGTTAGGCAGAATCAATATCATGAAAATGGCCATACTGCCCAAAGTAATTTATAGATTCAATGCTATCCCCATAAAGCTACCAC
Organism: Homo sapiens; assembly: GCF_000001405.40. Taxonomy (NCBI): domain Eukaryota; kingdom Metazoa; phylum Chordata; class Mammalia; order Primates; family Hominidae; genus Homo; species Homo sapiens. The sequence continues at coordinate 6,031,989 of NC_000003.12, read as the reverse complement.
TGACTTTCTTCACAGAATTAGAAAAAACTACTTTAAATTTCATATGAAACCTAAAAAGAGTCCATATGGCCAAGGAAATTCTAAGCAAAAAGAATAAAGTTGGCGGCATCACGCTACCCCTCTGCAAACTACACTACAAGGCTATAGTAACCAAAACAGCACGATACTGGTACCAAAACAGATTATAGACCAATGGAACAGAACAAAGACCTCAGAAATAATGCCACACATCTACAACGATCTTATCTTTGAAAAACCTGACAAAAACAAGCAATGGGGAAAGGATTCTCTAATAAATGGTGTTGGGAAACTGGCTAACCATATGCAGAAAACTGAATGGGGACCCCTTCCTTACACTTTATACAAAAATTAACTCAAGATGGACTAAAGACTTAAAATGTAAGACCTAAACCATAAAAACCCTAGAAGAAGTCCTAAGCAATACCATTCAGGGCATAGGTATGGGCAAAGAGTTCACGACTAAAACACCAAAAGCAATGGCAACAAAAGCCAAAATAGACAAATTGGATCTAATTATATTAAAGAGCTTCTGCACAGCAAAAGAAAGTATCATCAGCATGAATAGGCAACCTACAGAATGGGAGAAAAATTTTGCAATCTATCCATCTGACAAAGGGCTAATATCCAGAATCTACCGGGAACTTAAACAAATTTACAAGAAAAAAAAAAAGCCCATCAAAATGTGGGGAAGGGAAATGAGCAGACACTTTTTAAAAGAAGACATTTATGGGGCCCACAAATGTATTTTAAAAAGCTCATCATCACTGTTTATTAGAGAAATGCAAATCAAAACCACAATGAGATGCCATCTCACGCCAGTCAGAATGGCGATCATTAAAAGTCAGGAAACAACAGATGCTGGAGAGGGTGTAGAGAAACGAGAAAGCTTTTACACTGTTGGTGGGAGTGTAAATTAGTTCAACCATTGTGAAAGACAGTGTGGCGACTCCTCAAGGATCTAGAACCAGAAATAACATTTGACACAGCAATCCCATTACTGGGCATATACCCAAAGGATTATAAATTATTTTACTATAAAGGCACATGCACACATGACTATTGCAGCACTATTCACAATAGCAAAGACTTGGAACTAACCCAAATAACCCATCAATGAGTGATTCTCACGCCGTCTGATGGTTTTATCAGCATCTGGCATTTCCCCTGCTTGCACTCACTCTGTCCTGCCGCTCTGTGAAGAAGGTGCCTGTTTGTCCTTTGCCTTCCACAATAATTGAGAGTTTCCTGAGGCCTCCCTAGCATTGCAGAACTGTGAGTCAATTAAGCCTCTTTTCTTTATAAATTACCCAGTCTTGGGTATTTCTGCATAGCAGTGAGAGAACGGACTAATAGATCCTGTATTTCTTTATTATGATTAATTCCTAAAAACAATTATATAGATGGCTAATTAATCTGGATAATTAACATTGTAGACAATATTTTAATCATTAGAAGTTAGTTCTGGATATTGATTCCAAGGATTGCTGGCAAGATGACCGAATAAGAACAGCTCAGGTCTGCAACTCCCTGCGAGATCGACGCAGAAGGTGAGTGATTTCTGCATTTCCAACTGAGGTACCCAGTTCGTCTCATTGGGATTGGTTGTACAGTGGGTGCTGTCCAAGGAGGGTGAGCCAAAGCAGGGTGTGGCATCACCTCACCCAGGAAGCACAAGGTGTTGGGGAATTCCCTCTCCTAGCCAAAGGAAGCCATTAGGGACTGTACCTTGCACTCCAGCCCAGATATGGCGCTTTTCCCATGGTCTCCGCAAGCTGCAGACCAGGAGATTCCCTCTGGTGCTTATGCCACCAGGGCCCTGGAGATCCAGCACAAAACTGGGCGGCCATTTGGGCAGACACTGAGCTAGCCACAGGAGTTTTCTTTTCATGTTCGAACTTGGCGTAGCCCACTGCAGCTCAGCAAGGCAGCTGTGGCCAGACTGGCTATCTAGAGTCCCTCCTCTCTAGGCAAGGTATCTCTGAAGGAAAGGCAGCAGCCCCAGTCAGGGACTTATAGATAAAACCCCCAGTTCCCTGGAACAGAACACACGGGGGAAGGGGCGGTTATGAGTGCAGCTTCAGCAGAATTAAACATCCCTGCCTGGCAGCTCTGAAGAGAGCAGCCCATCTCCCAGCACAGCGTTCAAGTTCTAATAAGGGACAGACTGCCTCCTTAAGTGGTCCCTGACCCCAATGCCTCCTGATTGGGAGACACCTCCCAGTAGGGACCAACAGACACCTCATACAAGAGAGCACTGGCTGGCATCTGGTGGGTGCCCCTCTGGGACAAAGCTTCCAGAGGAAGCAACAGGTAGCAATTGTTGCTGTTCTACAGCCTCCACTGGCGATTCCCAGGCAAACAGGGTCTGGAGTGGACCTCCAGTAAACTCCAGAAGACCTGCAGCAGAGGGGCCTGACTGTTAGAAGGAAAAATAACAAACAGAAAGGAAAAGTATCAACATCAACAAAAAGGACGTCCACTTAGAGATCCCCTCCAAAGGTCACTGACTTCAAAGATCAAAGGTAGACAAATCCATGAAGATGGGGAGAAACCAGCACTAAAAGGATGAAATTTCCAAAAGCCAGAAGGCCTCTTCTCCTCCAAAGGATCGCAACTCCTCACCAGAAAGGGAACAAACTGGATGGAGAATAAGTTTGATGAACTGACAGAAGTAGGCTTCAGAAAGTGCATAATAACAAACTCCTCTGAGCTAAAAGGGCATGTTCTAACCCAATGCAAGGAAGCTAAGAACCCTCAAAAAAGGTTAGATGAATTGCTAACTAGAATAACCAGTTTAAAGAAGAACATAAATGACCTGATGGAGCTGAAAAACATGGCACAAGAACTTCGTGAACCATACACAAGTATCAATAGCCAAATCGATCAAGTGGAAGAAAGGATATCACAGATTGAGGATCAACTCAATGAAATAAAGTGAGAAGATGAGATTAGAGAAAAAAGAGTGAAAAGAAATGAACAAAGCCTCCAAGAAATATAGGACTATGTGAAATGACCAAATCTACATTTGTTTGGTGTACCTGAAAGTGATGGGAAGAATGGAACCAAGTCGGAAAACACTCTTCAGAATATTATCCAGGAGAAATTCCCCAACCTAGCAAGGCAGGCCAACATTCAAATTCAGGCAATACAGAGAATACCACAAATATACTCCTCGAGAAGAGCAACCCAAAGACACATAATCATCAGATTAACCAAGGTTTAAATGAAGAAAAAAAAATGTGAAGGGCAGTCAGAGAGAAAAGTCGGGTTACCCACAAAGGGAAGCCCATCAGACTAACAGTGGATCTGTAGGGAGAAACCCTGCAAGCCAGAAGAGAGTGAGGGCCAATATTCAACATTCTTAAAGAAGAAAATTTTCAACCCAGAATTTCATATCCAGCCAAACTAAATTTTATAAGCAAAGGAGAAATAAAATATTTTACAGACAAGCAAATTCTGAGAGATTTTTTTTTTACCACTGGGCCTGCCTTACAAAGAGCTCCTGAAGGAAGTGCTAAACATGGAAATGAGCAACCAGTACTAGCCACTGAAAAACATACCAATATGTAAAGACCATTGTGACTATGCAGAAACTGCATCAACTAATGGGCAAAATAATCAGCTAGCATCATAACGGCAGGATCAAATTCACACATAACAATACTAATCTTAAGTGTAAATGAGATAAATGCCCCAAATAGAAGACACAGACAGGAAAATTAGATAGAGTCAAGACCCATTGGTGTGCTGTATTCAGGAGACCTATCTCATGTACAAAGACACACATAGGCAAAATGGAAAGTAAGAGAGACTGTTTGCTATAATTTCCATTCTTTTGCATTTGCTAAAGAGTGTTTTACTTACAATTATGTGGTCAGTTTTAGAATAAGTGTGAAGTGGTGCAATGGAAAGTAATAACAGCAGAGGTTGCAACTCTAGTCTCTGATAAAACAGACTTTAAATCAACAAAGATCAAAAGAAACAAAGAATGGCATTAGATAATGGTAAGGGATTAATGCAACAGGAAGAGCTAACTATCCTAAATATATATCCACCCAATACAGAAGCACCCAGATTCATAAAGCAAGTTCTTAGAGACCTACAAAGAGACTTAGACTCCCACACAATAAGAGTGGGAGACTTTAACACCCCATTGTCAATATTAGACAGATAAATGAGACAGAAAATTAACAAGGATATCCAGGACTTAAACTCACCTCTGGATCATATGGACCTAATAGATATCTACAGAACTCTCCACCTCAAATCAATAGAATATACATTCTTCTCAGCAACACATCACACTTATTCCAAAACTGACCACATAATTGGAAGTATAGAAGTAAAACACTCTTTAGCAAATACAAAAGAATGGAAATCATAACAAACAGTCTCTCAAACCACAGGGCAATCAAATTAGAACTCAGGAATAAGAAACTCAGTAAAAATGGCACAACTACATGGAAAGTGAACAAGCTGCTCCTAAACGATTACTGGGTAAATAACAAACTTTAAGGCAGAAATAAAGATGTTCTTTGAAACCAATGAGAACAAATACACAACATACCAGAATCTCTGGGACACATTTAACACAGTGTATAGAAGGAAATTTATAGCACTAAATGCCCACAAAAGAAAGCATGAAAGATCTAAAATTGACACCCTAACATCACAATTAAAAGAACTAGAGAAACAAGAGGAAAAAATTCAAAAGCTAGCAGAAGACAAAAAATAACTAAGATCAGAGCAGAACTGAAGGATATAGAAACCTGAAAAACCCTTCGAAAAATTCAACGAATCCAGGAGCTGTTTTTTTTAAAGCATCAACAACATAGACTGCTAGCCATACTAATAAAAAAGAAAAGAGAGAAGAATCAAATAGAAGCAATAAAAAATGATAAAGGGGGTATCACAACTGATCCCACAGAAATACCAGCTACCATCACAGAATACTATAAACACCTCTAGGCAAATAAAGTAGAAAATCTAGAAGAAATGGATACATTCCTGGACACATACGACCTCCCAAGACTCAACCAGGAAGAAGTCGAATCCCTGAATAGACCTATAACAAGTTCTGAAATGGAGGCAACAATTGCCTATCAATCAAAAAATGTCCAGGACCAGGTGAATTCACAGCCGAATTCTACCAGATGTACAAAGAGGAGCTGGTACCATTCCTTCTGAAACTATTCCAAACTATAGAAAATCAGGGAATCCTCCCTAACTCGTTTTATGAGGCCAGCATCATCCTCATACCAAAACCTGGCGGAGACACAACAAAAAAAGAAAATTTCAAGCCAATATCCCTGATGCACATCGATGTGAAAATCCTCAGTAAAATACTGGCAAACTGAATCCAGCAGCACATCCAAAAACTTATCCACCACAATCAAGTCAGCTTAAACCCTGGGATGCAAGGCTGGTCCAACATATGTAAATCAATATACATAATCCATCACACAAACAGAACCAATGACAAAAACCACACAATTATCTCAATAGGAGAAAAGGCCTTTGACAAAATTCAACAGCTCCTCATGCTAAAAACTCTTGATAAACTAGGCATTGATGGAACATATCTCAAAATAATAAGAGCTATTTATGACAAACCCACCGCCAATATCATACTGAATGGGCAAGAACTGGTTTTCCCTTTTAAAACCGGCACAAGACAAGGATACCCTCTCTCACCCCTCCTATTCAACATAGTATTGGAAGTTCTGGCCCGGACAATCAGGCAAGAGAAAGAAATAAAGGGTATTCAATTAGGAAAAGAGGAAGTCAAATCACAAACATTCCTATACACTAATAACAGATAAACAGAGCCAAATCATGAGTGAACTCCCATTCACCATTGCTACAAAGAGAATAAAATACCTAGGAATACAACTTCCAAGGGATGTGAAGGACCTGTTCAATGAGAACTACATGCAACTGCTTAAGGAAATAAAAGAGGACACAAACAAATGGAAAAACATTCCATGCTCATGGTTAGGAAGAATCAACATCATGAAAATGGCCAGACTGCCCAAAGTAATTTATAGATTCAATGCTCTCCCCATCAAGCTACCACTGACTTTCTTCACAGAATTAGAAAAAGCTACTTTAAAGTTCCTATGGAACCAAAAAAGAGCCCCCATAGCCAAGGCAATCCCAAGCAAAAAGAACAAAGCTGGAGGCATCACACTACCTGACTTCAAACTATATTACAAGGCTACAGTAACCAAAACAGCATGGTACTGGTACCAAAACAGATACATAGACCAACGGAACAGAAAAAAGGCCTCAGAAATAATGCCACACATCTACAACCATCTAATCTTTACACACCTGACAAAAGCCCACAATTTACTGAAGAACAAAATTACAATGTAATGCTTTAGCTGTGTCTCTAGTGGGGGAAGGTTATGTAAGGATTTATTGGAAATTGGAACTTCCATTTATGGTGATTCCTTCAATGTAGAGACTTAAATTAGGAGTAGGTATGAATCATGACACAACAGTCTAACATTAGTGGAAACAGCAAAGTGAGTATTTTGAGATGAAGTATTCAAAGACTCTTAGGGTGAAAACTGTTGATACTTTCCATTAAAGAACGAATAGGTCTTTGGAGAAGTTCCTGAATTGAACCATTTGCTTAGGCAGGAGAGTTGTCAAAGAATAAAGCATGCTAATGTGCTAATGAAGACAAAGGAAAAGCAAAAGGTGTCAATGTGGATAGCAAGGTGTGGTTTTGGTTTTCTGTGTCTAGGCTCAGTATGTCAGTGGTTTCAGTTCTCAAGTAACATCCTTTAAGAATTTTCTGTTTTAGTGCCCTACCTGGTCTTCATTTAGATATTTTAAAATATTCTAACTGATCCTCCAAAATATCAAAATGTTTTTCAGAGCCTGTGTGGCAAACATTCTTCACATTTGGATTAGAACACCACAGTATTATTGAAATTTCAAATGTTGGAGAGGAGTGTGCAAATACTTGCCCAGTCCTAGTCTGGTAGGTGGGAAATGAATCTATGAACTTTGCAAACCTGTCATAAGGATTCAGGCTAATGACATTAATGTCAGACACTAATTTCCTGATTAAAATAATATTTGCTATGGTTTGAATGTTTCTGCCAAAAAGCATGTGTTGGTAACTTAATCCCCAATACGTTTTCAGAGGTGAGGTCTCATGAGAGGTGATTAGGACGTGAGAGCACAGTGAAAGAATAATGCTACTGTCATGAAAGTGGGTTTATTATAAAAGGTGGATTTTGACCTCCTTTCATTCTCTAGCTCTCTAGCCTTCCCACCTTCCACCATGAGATGATACAGCAAGAAGGCCCTTGTCAGATGCTGGCCCCTCAATCTTTGTCTTCCCAGCCTTCAGAACTGTGAGAAATGGATTTCTGCCCATTATAAAAAGCACAAAATTGATAAGATAATTAAAAATATTTCAATTGCACTAAAACATATGTCCCAAATCTAGCCTTGATGTCTCTGGATCTTAACACTCTGCTCTTCAGAAGTGTGATTTGTATACCTGCCAAAAGTTTTCTGAAGATGCCACAGCTTTCCTGCTTTTACCATATGATACTCAGGTGTGTGCTATTCCTTCAGTGATGCATATAGAGGAGGTTAAGGTCAGTGATCTACAGTCAGACAGCCCTGGGTTTAATGTCCAGCTCTGTCACAAACCTAATATGTGACTTAAATATCTTTACTGCTGCTACCTTATCTGTTGTGTAGGGATAAGAATGCAAACTCTTTTGTAGGGACTTCTGTAAGGACTTAATAAATTAATATTTGTAAAATATATGTGAAGTTCTAAAATAGATACCTATTGATTTGGGGCTATCTAAAAATCTATTAAATCTATTTCTGTTAATAAACCTGAGATTTTACTCTGAAGAGTCATCCATCTCTCATTCCTGGTCCATAAGTTTCAGGCAGGTCCTAAGCTCTTCTTCTACAGCTAAACATGAAAACTAAGTAAAAGCTAATCATCTCATTATATTATATGCTCAATTCGCTTCAGGAATTGGCAAAATGATCAAAGTCAAAGGGCCCATCAGAGCTAACCCCTGGCTTGTTCTTTAATTGTAGGAAAATGGCGTCTGTCGCTAGGTTCAAATCAAAGCTTCGAAGTTCAAAATGCCACGGGCTGTCCTGGCCTCCCTGCTCGCCTGTCCCCAGTAAAGCTTGAGACTGACCTGAGGTCTTGTTACATTATTTGAGACCTTGGTCCAGTGTGTGGACAGTGGTCCCCGATGTCTGTCCTATTCATGGATTCTCAGTTATGTGAGCAGGCAAATCCCTTGTTTCATTTCTTTTACTTGCAATTGCAAGAATCCTAGCTGACACAAAAGGCCTGGCAAATAGTATTTAATACATTCTTTTGTAATTGTTATTTACAGAATTTCTTTGTGTCTCTGAGGGTCTCACCCTTCGATTGGAACAATGTCTATGCAAACATCTAGAAGAAAATGTATTGCTCCTGTATATGTCTGTAGAAAATGGTCATTGCTAGTTTCTCAGCTACAGATTAATATTTGTTGGCTTGGGAAAGAAAGGAAGTAAAAATTACTTTCTCTACTAAGACTTAGTGTGGAAGGAAAATTTGTCTTCTTGTCAGATGAAACATTAGTGAAGTTTTAATCAGATGAGTTTGCTTTCTGGAAATATCAAAAGTATAAGATCTATCCTTTTACAATCTCTTAAATGGAAAAGTGCTTATTAATTGCATCATAGATTTGTGCCTTTTCAGTTTCTGAGTCTTCTTATGGAAGGCAGAAAACCATCCACAGTTAGCTTCCCATGTAATAAATACACGAGTCTTCCTGATGTTGAATCCCATATTGGAAACTGTAGACACTGAAAAAGAAACTTGAGGACAAGCTTCACTTCATCAGTGGATTTCTTTGCTAATTCTCTGGCAGATCCTTTTTCCTAATTCTACCACATAGGTTCCCACTGAGTATTCTGTAGTATATTTTTTTAAGTAAAGAGTGACAGATATTAATGAAATTCAAGAGAAATAAGTGTGTAAGCATTTGTTGGGAGACAGGGTAGTGGTGTGTACTGGAAGCAGATTAAGCTGAAGTCATATATTAAACTGAATCAGCAAAGAAGTTACTCACTGTTCAGTCATCAAATAAGGTGGTAATGTAATCATGTGAGGCAGTTGGGGGTTTCCAGATATTAAGCACAAGCTGTGTTTCCTTCTTTATATTAGAAAGCACAAGGATAGGAACAGACACTAGAAAGCACAAGAATATGAACAGACACTTTTCAAAAGAAGACATTTATGCAGCCAACAGACACATGAAAAAATGCTCATCATCACTGGCCATCAGAGAAATGCAAAGCAAAACCACAATAAGATACCATCTCACACCACTTGGAATGGTGATCATTAAAAAGTCAGGAAACAACAGGTGCTGGAGAGGATGTGGAGAAATAGCAACGTTTTTACACTGTTGGTGGGACTGTAAACTAGTTCAATCATTGTGAAAGACGGTGTGGCAATTCTTCAGGGATCTAGAACTAGAAATACCATTTGACCCAGCCATCCCATTACTGGGTATATACCCAGAGGAATATAAATCATGCTGCTATAAGGACACATGCACACATATGTTTATTGCAGCACTATTCACAATAGCAAAGACTTGGAACCAACCAAAATGCCCATCAATGATAGACTGGATTAAGAAAATGTGGCACATATACACCATGGAATACTATGCAGCCATAAAAAAGGATGAGTTCATGTCCTTTGTAGGGACATGGATGAAGCTGGAAACCATCATTCTTAGCAAACTATTGCAAGGACAGAAAACCAAACACCACATGTTCTCACTCATAGGTGGGAGTTGAACAATGAGAACACCTGGACACAGGATGGGGAACATCACACACCGGGGCCTGTTGTGGGGTTGGGGGATGGGGGAGGGACAGCATTAGGAGATATACCTAATGTAAATGATGAGTTAATGGGTGCAGCACACCAACATGGCACACGTATACGTATGTAACAAACCTGCACATTGTGCACATGTACCCTAGAACTTAAAGTATAATAAAAAAATTAAATTAAAATTTTTAAAAAAAGAAAATAATTTCACCAAAGGCAGCAACATGTGTCTCAGAAGGTTTCACTTACGGTAAAATATGAAGTGGCAGTTTCTGAGTTCAGACACAGCTGAAGAAACCTCAGTACACAAGTGCAGAAAGAAACCTTCTTTGCCTTTAGGTTTTCTGAAAGAAAATAAAAAGTCACCCTGTATTTCCCCCAGCATTCAGGGTAGTGCCATGTGTGAAAAGAGATAGCAATGCTCTATCAGCCATGATGGCCTTAGTGACAGAATCCTGCATTTACAACTGAGAATGATTCTGGATCCTCCATGAGGTGCATTGTCAAAATAAAGTCATATTTTATGGGGACACGAGTTTTGCTCTCAGTCATGGAACAGTTTTCAGGTAGTCTCATCAGTACTTTCCACAAGTTTCCAGAAAAAGAGTCTAATTTCTAATTAAATTGGAATTGCTCATTTCAGAATGGCTAAGTTGAAAGCGTATAAGGAAAGAGTAGGATGACATTTCTTAGGAAGTCTGTAAATCTGGAGCCTTGAATCTTAGTTTCAATTATTCAACTAATTCAGGGTTTTAAAAGCTAACACCTCTTTGTATAGCAGCTCCGTGTGTGTGTGTGTGTGTGTGAAAGTGCATACAAATAACATGATACCCTAGTCATCTTTTATGAATCAATAAAAGAGGCAAGTTAATTAATATGATAAATTCAAGAAAAATTTTATCTGGAAAAAATTTTGCATCAAATGGTCTCTGATGGAGGAGCTTCTAAAAAGAGAAAAAATTCTGGCTGTCTTTTGAATATACAATCAAACATTGGTAATTCCAGGTACCTTGTTCAAATACTAAATCATATAAAAACAATTTATGTTTAGATGGATGTTTCCTTAAGGAAAATAAAGTGCTTGCTTAATTCTGTAATCCTTTGCCTTCCTCAGCTCAGGAAGCTGAAGAGGAAAGAAAAATCTCTCTCTTCTATGGCAAAATTACTAGTAGAGTTTCTATTTAATAGATAATCTACTCACAGATAATCAGTAGGCAATTTGATACATTATTTAGCACTTCAGGAGATCTGAGTATAAGCTCTTAAACAAAATCTAATATGTGCCCAATTAAAAGACAAAGCTTAAATAGTATAATTTTAGCTTTAGGCCTAAACAGTGTAATTTTTAGGGGGAAAATATAAGTATGACTTAGTTTATGATTGTAAGCTGTCCCAAAGTCCCTTTAAGTTAGAACACTGAAATAATTTCATCAACGAAAAAAAAAAATCAAACAGTGAGCATTAAAATTATTTACATATATAACTGAGTATCTATCTAAATGGAATTTAAATTTCCACATTTGTTAGCAGGTCAGTTAAAGAGTTAAATACAAATAATGATCCATGTGATTTAGTCTCCTAAATACCTTTGGCTATAAAATGTGTTATTTGAATATACTGCTAGTTCTGAAGTTTTAAAGGGTTTATTAACATTTTATGTTATTCACTCTGAACTAGAGTAACAGACAAATTATGTAAATTAAACAAAGGACTTAACGTGACTCACGTTCAGAGTGACTGCTTTAAGATAGCACTAAAAAAACACAATACTTCTTCTTAGGCATGCTGCCCATAATATCCCAGAGCTTCGCCTCATTAGACTTTAACTTCATGCAACAAATCCGGCTTTATTTCCAAGCCATCTTTCCTGCGACCCACAGAACTGTTAAGACTGTTAAGTTGGGCACTGTTCCTTTCTTGATCTGGTATTAGAATCCTCTAGGTCTGAAGCTACTTTGTGCAAATCGTGGTGTTTTCTGTTTTCTTTTTTTTTTTTTCCAGCCCATTTGGTAATGAACTGTCAACTTACTGCAGTGCTGAGCTTAGCTTATAGATGCAGAGCTGCAAAAGCTTAGCCTCTGCAGAAGCTGGGTCAATGGGAGACAGTGGGCAGGGGCAGCATACAAATATGTGACTAGTACAGAGAATGGTCTCACTTGGGGTCAAATATATTCTCTCATTTTGTAGAGCCCTGGGTGACTGTGTTTTAACTCCCAAATGTCTTTCAATTATCTGAAAATGAACTTTCTGTTTTGGAGGCAGGTACAGCAGCCAGGTAAAGGCTCAGGCCTAGACTTAAACCAACCTGGGTTTAGCTCCACCGAGAGCTACATGTGCAATCTTGGGCAAGTTAACTGAACATTTTAGCTTCAGTTTCATCATCTGTCAAATGGGGATCCAACTGGTATTTTTTCTCATAAGATTTTTATAAAGATGCCTGTCACATATGAAGCATTCAATAAGTCTATATTTATTTCAGTAAATGTGTATTATCAATGATTTCTTTCAAACTTTGCCTTAGATATTCCTTATCACAAATCACTACTCTGTATTTCTTTTACTATAAATATGTGTGGTATCATGTACTTGCTTTGAAGTTAGCAAATACAAGTTAATTTGAATGGTATAGGTTGTCAATACTGTTGCCAAAATAGTAGTTATGAAATGTATTCAAAACCAAAAGAAAATGGATTTAGATTATTTCCCTATTTTATTAGCTGGTCAGTGGTCCTCTCCCATTACCACAAAAAGTTAATAGTTATCCCTATTTTGCATAGACACTTGGGCAAGTGTTATCTAGATGAGAAAGACCCAGGTCAGTATTGCAGCTCTGGCCCCATTTTAGCAAGACTTCATAGGTTTAGAAGGGTACAAAGAGACCCGCAAACTTGTATCCCCAGCCCAGATGAAGGAGAGAGGAATTAGAAAGGTCAAGATTGGGGAGAGTATTAACTAGTTGTAAGATGCCCTGGGGATGGTTGCTCAGGTCACAAACATACTTCTCTGAGCAGTTTGCCAACCCCAGGCACATGGGTGAGCATCATTAGTAACTTAATGTCCTATGTTTGCTATCCCTGCCTCGAGATGACTCGATCGGAGTAGACACTCTTTTGGGAATTTGTAAATGTGGCTGACAGAGCTAAGCATTTTTTTTTTTTTTTGATCATTTGAATTAAAGAAATGCGGACTCAGGCACTGTGAACCAGCTATCTGCTGTCTTGTGCATAGAAAAGCCAAGAGGGCTCTTCAGAAAGAAAAGATGGAAGAGGAGTAGAAGGGAGATGGTGTGCAGGGCATCAGAGAGAATGCCTGCCTTTGTTTCTGTGGTGCCTTGTTCCTTTTCCTGTCCTCAAGGGGACCAACCTCCACTCTTAGCTTTGCTTAATAGGACGGCTTAAGGCCTTGTAACAATTCCCCACCACCCTCTGCCTTTTTCTAGCCTAAAGCAATTTCAGTAAGTTTCTGTTTCATATGACCAAATTAGATAGGAACAAACAACTGTTCTTGCCACTTTCCTTTGCCCCAGTAACTCAGAAAGATGAGTGTTTTCTAAGAGAGTTTGTTTATTCAATCCCAATAAGAATAAATTATGCCTTATGCCCCACATGAAAAATACGATTGTTTTTCAAAAGAGAAGAAAAAAATGTGAATATATTTGTGTGTGTGTGTCTGTGTATGTGTGTGTGTGTGTGTGTGTGTGGGTGTGTGTGTGAGAGAGAGAGAGAGAAGGTATATGGCAGCCACTATAAGGAAGGTTGTAAAAATTAATAAAAATGCATTTAAATTATTGTCTTCATTATTAAGGTTTGCAAAAATACACCATAAAAGAAAATATCATATAGAGAACCTACAAATCCATGCGCTCATTTTTAGTATTCCATTATACTTACTACAGTTTACCTCACCATGACCCTGGAAGAAAGACCTATCATACCCAATTTAAGGATGGGGCATGAGAAGGCAAGTGAACAGTCCAATGTCACAAGTCAAGTAAATCATCTGTCTTGGATGTAACTCCAGGATACATGACTTTAAAACCTTAGTATTTCTTTTTGTTGTTATGTTGTTTTCTCTGTTTCCCAAAATGTATTCTTTGTTACACTAGTCACAAGGAATATTCCATGGTCCAGCAAATTTGGGAACTGCTGAATACTCACTCTCCCTTTTGGAGATTTACAATGTACTCTTTTAAGCAGTCAGTAAAGAAATGCATTCATCTTGGTTTAACTCAGTGTTTAACAAATATATTTTGTAAAGAACAATTTTAAAGCATCATTAAACTTCGGTGCCAAAAGAGCTATTAATAAAATGAAACATTAATTATTACTTAATTTAAAATTTGGAAATATTGAAGAATAGTGCATAGCCTCTTTTCCTATGTATAGCCAATATTTCTTTTTAACATAATATCTTCTAATCATTAAAAAAATGCCAAAAATACATTAAAGTATTAAAAAAATCAGCTAAAATCCCATGGGCTTGAGACAACTAGTATCACATTTCATTGATCATACTATCATGTGTCTCCATTCATTTCTACATTCAATTATAAATAATTTTGCATAAATTAATTATCACAGAATGATTCATTATGACTATACCCTCCACCCCTTTGCTATTTTTCTCCAACTCCACCTGCAGCATCACACACCTCTAGATGTTAAAAATTTGATGAATAACTTTCCATGATTATACAGATGAGAGAGAGAGATGGTTTGATTGGTATTGATATTGTCATGATAATGAGATAATAACATATGCAATATTCTATACTATTTAACTTTTTTTCTCACTTAACAATAAAATGTGAAAATTCCTCCAAGTTGACTCGTATGGAACATTTTTGGCTTATATAATTGAATAATTCAGGAGAAGATATAGCTTCAGGCATAGCTGGCTGCAGGGGCTCAGAAAATGTCTCTCTCTCTCTCTCTCCCTCCCTCCCTCTTCTTCTGTCTACAATGATTACTTTCTTAGACGCACTTTTCCCTTGATAGGAGCAGAAAGTAGTTTTTGGCAACACCAGGGCTAATTCTCTGCTGAATCGCTTCTATTAGCCAGAAAATGAGTAATTATATCCCAGCATTCCCTACGCTTTCATTCTGACTTTCACTCTAATTGGATGGACTTAGGTCATCTGCTCTCCCCTCAACCAATCTCCATGGGGTATAAATATCCCCAATGACCTTTGTCTTTGAATTGGAAGTTCAGCCTTCACAGACTTAAAGGATCAAAATGAAGATGGTGAATCACCAGCAAAGATATGGCAGGGGTGGGTGACAGTAGTAGGGTAAATGGGGTAAATAGGGTAAATGCCAAAAATAACCAAGGTCCTATAAACATGCTAAAATATGGAGGACAAGGCTGGAAAACATAATATCCCACTAAACACCAATAAAATTTGGCATAGTTACATTTCTCATACTTAGAGGGTTCACTTTAATGTGCAATACTGGGACCAAATGAAACTACTTGCCAAATTCCATCCCTGGGTATTTTGGCCAGTCATCATGTGGCTACAAAGAACTGAAGTGATTTCAAGCTGGTTTAAGTTAGAAGGAACTTTATTGAAAGAGTACAGAAGAAATGTACAGAATCAAATGACAAGAAATATAGCAGATATTAAAGCAGATATTAAATATAGCCTCACACAGGAACTGGAGTTTCTCAATGAAATTATCTAAGATTTTACAATCTCCTACTTTTCTCCTCATACTTGCATCATTCTCTCCTCTGCAGATTAATTTCTTCTCTATTCTTGTAATAAAGATATTTACTCTGTTGCTGATAAAAATGAGGTTTCTCCCCCATTTTGTTCTATCTCTTGTTTAACTTGCCACTGGAATGTTGATTATTTAGTTTTTTATTGTCTTATTTTATGTTGTTATATATTTATTTAATGATTTCAACTTTTATTTTAGATTCAGGGTATACATGTGCAAGTTTGTTACATGGGTATATTGTGTGATGTGAGATGTAGGCTGGGAAGCTACACCTGTCTCATTGCTTCACGTTTTTCTGCCTGCTTTATACTCACTGGTAGCTCATTAGATGGTGCCCACCCGATTAAGGATGGATCTTCCTTTCCAGCCCACTGACTCAAATATTAATCTCCTTTGGCAACAGCCTCACAGACATACCCAGGTTCAATACTGCATCCTTCATTTCAATCAGGTTGACACTCAGTGTTAACCATCACAAGTCCACCCCTTGTCAACTTGAACCCATACCCATCTCCTGAGATCATATATAATCTACAAATAAAGACAATAATAAAGTCATAATTACACCTAACATAATACAACTATCCTCTGTACAACTGGAAATGCACCAATCCCCAATCCAAATACTATTACATAAAGCCAATAATACTTAAATGCTGATATGAGGTCAATAAGTCTTATGTCACATGATAAAGGCAAGGGAAATAAAATGAAGATATGTTCCTAGTACAAGTGTATACATACACAAACATCTTTTTACAAAAGAAGGAGGACATGACAATTACAGTCCTTGTTTCTGTAGCTGGTCACATGGTCATAGCTGGTATTGATGTCTACTTTTTCTATTACCCATTTTGTATTCCTTTTGCCTTCAGCAAACACCTCAGCAGATCATGGTTTTATTCCTGGTGGAGTGACCCAAACCTTCTTTCCTGAAAGGTCTGGGTCTTTTGTAGTCCTGCCTGGATTGGGTTGTTTTAGTTTCCCACTGACCTTACTCACAGGGCATGGTAATACTAAGAGACACCCTAATGGATCTCCTGTATTCCATGAATACTCTTCCTTACTTCTGTTGTAGAGTAGTAGAGTGATTTTATCTTGATATTCCAGGTCAGTCACCCCAGCCAACAATGTAACTCCCTTTTTAGCCTGTTGACTTAAAGGTAGGAGGAGCCCAAAGTGTCCAGGTGACAATCTTAACTTCCAGTTTAATGGAATTGTTGTTATGTCTCCTGGTGGCAGCATTCCTCTCTCTGGAACTAGGAACTCTAGGCCAGCAGAATGTAATGTCATGGGAACAGGAAGCAAAAATTTTGCTAGTGGATCATTAGGGGTGATGGTGAGTGGTGCCACTTCCACTTCCACTTTCACCCCTTGATTCCTGGACCGGTGAATCCTGGCTATGGGAGAAAGAGTACCATATATTGGATGCTGATTCAGAGCATACATGGCCTTCTAGAGAACTTTGCCCTAGCCCTGCAAAGTACTGTCACCTAGGTGGCATTGTAATTTTGACTTCAAAAGGCCATTCCACCATTCTCTCAATCCAGCTGCTTCAGGACGATGGCGAACATGGTAAGACCAGTAAATTCCATGAGCATGAATCCAATGCCACACTTCTTTAGCTGTAAAGTGAGTGTCTTGGTCAGAGGCAATGCTGTGGAATACCATGATGGTGAATAAGGCATTCCATGAGACCATGGATGGTAGTCTTGGCAGAAGCATTCCATGCAGGATAGGCAAACCCATATCCAGAGTAAGTGTCTATTCTAGTGAAGACAAACCTCTGCCCTTTCTATGATAAAAGAGGTCCAATATAATCAACTTGCCACCAGGTAGCTAGCTGATCACCCCAAGGAATGGTGCCATATCAAGGGCTCAGTGTTGGTCTCTGCTGCTGGCAAATTGGGCACTCAGCAGTGGCCAAAGCCAGGTCAACCTTGATGAGTGCAGGTCCATGTTGCTGAGCCCAATGCATAACCTTCATCCCTGCCACCATGGCCACTTCGTTCATGGGCCCATTGGGCGATGACAGGGGTGGCTGTGTAAATAGGCTAAGTGGCATCCACAGAATGGGTTATCCTATCCACTTGATTATTAAAATCCTCCTCTGCTGAGCTCACCCATTGGTGAGCACTCACATGGGATACATATCTTCACAGTTTTTGACCACTCAGAGAGGTCCATCCACCTACCTCTTCCCCAAATTTCTTTGTCAACAATTTTCCAATCATGCTTCTTCCAAGCCTCTGACCATCCAGCCAAACCATTGTTTACAGCCCATGAATCAGTATATAATCACACATCTGGCCATTTCCCCTTCCATGCAAAGTGCACAACCAGATGCACTGCTTGAAGTTCTGATCACTGGGAAGATTTCCTTTCACCACTGTCCTTCAGTATTGGGGGAACCACCCCCGATAATTTAACATAACTTCAAGTAAGTTCTTTTCTATTTTCCCTAAGTGCCAGCTGGTCTGAGAAATAAAGGGAAAGAGTACAAAAGAGAGAAATTTTAAAGCTGGGTGTCCGGGGGAGACATCACATGTTGGCAGGTTCCGTGATGCTCCCTGAGCCGCAAAACCAGCAAGTTTTTATTAGCAATTTTCAAAGGGGAGGGAGTGTATGAATAGGGGGTGGGTCACAGAGATCACATGCTTCAAGGGCAACAAAAGATCACAACGCAGAAGGTCAGGGCAAGATCACAAGTTCAGGGAGAAACTAGAATCATTAATGAACTTCCATGTCCCGCTGTGCACACATTGTCATTGATAAACATCTTAACAGGGTTCAAGAGCAAAGAACCAATCTGACTAGAATTCGCCAGGCTGGAATTTCCTAATCCTAGCAAGCCTGGGGGTGCCATAGGAGGCCAGGGCGTGTTTCATCCCTTATCTACAACTGCATAAGGCAGACACCCCCAGAGCGGCCATTTTAGAGGCCTCCCCCTGGGAATGCATTCTTTTCCCAGGGCTGTTAATTATTAATATTCCTTACTGGGGAAAGAATTCAGCTATATTTCTCTTAACCTTTTTCAGTAATAATAGAAATATGGCTCTGTTCTGCCTGGCCCACAGGCAGCCAGACTTTATCTCCCTTGATCCCTGAAAATTGCTGTTATCCTATTCTTAAGGTGCCCAGATTTCATATTGTTCAAACACACATGCTTTATGAACAATTTGTACAGTTAACACAATCATCACAGGGTCCTGAGATGACATACATCCTCAGCTTACGAAGATGATGGGATTAAGAGATTAAAGACAAGCATAGGAAATTATAAGAGTATTGATTGAAGAAGTGATAAATGTCCATGAAATCTTCACAATTTATGTTCTTCTGCCATGGCCTTAGCAGGTCCCTCCATTCAGGGTCCCTGACTTCCCACAACACTTCAGGAATGTCCTAGAAAGGGGCTGTAATGCTGCAGCTGTCCACTTTTGGGTAGTGTCTGCATATTGTGCAGAACCGTCTGTGAAACAGTCCCTAGTCTTCTCTTCCTCTGTCAACTGTTCATAGGGAACTCCCCATGAGGCCAGCAGTGCAGGCTGGGGGAGAGAGGGCAGGGTGACAGGAGTGGAGACCATGAGCATTTAAGCTACTTCCTCATGTAACATACTTGTGCCTTCAGGACCTGTACGAGTCCAATCACATATATACCACCTCCATTTCATGATGGAATGCTGCTGTGCATGACCCACTTTATGGCTAGATGTGTCAGAAAGCACCCAGTTCATGATAGGCAGTTTAGATCACGTGGTGACTTGATGACCCATAGTCAAATGTTCAGTTTCCACCAAAGCCCAGTAACAGGCTGAGAGCTGTCTCTCAAAAGGATAATAGTTATCTGCAAAAGATGGCAGGGCCTTGCTTCAAAATCCTAGAGGCCTCTAACTGTGATTCACCTATGGGAGCCTGCCAAAGGCTCCAAACAGCAACCCTATCTGCCACTGACACCTCAAGTGCCATTGGATCTGCTGGGTCATATGGCCCAAATTGTAGAGTAGCTTGCCAGCAGCCTGGACCTGTTGCAGATCCTTCTCCTCTTCTGGACTTCACTCAGAACTGGCAGCCTTTCAGGTCACTCAATAAATGGGCCATAGTGACACACCCAAATGAGGAATGTGTTGCCTCCAAAATCCAAGTAGGCCCACTAGGCATTATGCCTCTTTCTTGGTTGTAGGAGGGGCCAAATGCAGCAACTTATCCTTTACCTTAGAAGGAATATCTCAACAGACCCCACACCACTGGACCCCTAGAAATTTTACTGAGGTAGAAGTTCCCTGAATTTTAGTCAGATTTCCCATCATGTGGCATGCATACATCTCACAAATAAGTCCAGTGTATTTGCTACTTGTTGCTCACTGGATCCAATCAGCCTAATGTCATTAATGTAATGGACCAGTGTGATATCTTGCAATCAAGGTCTCTCCGAATAAGATTATGACACAAAGCTGGAGAGTTGATATACCCCTGAGGTAGGAGAGTAAAGGTATATTGCTGGCCTTGCCAGCTGAAGACAAATTGCTTCTCGTTGGCCTTATGGACAGGAATGGAGAAAAAGGCATTTGCCAAGTCAATGGCTGCATACCAGATACCAGGAGGTGTGTTAATTTTCTCAAGCAATAAAGCCACATCTGGTACAGCAGCTGCAATTGGAGTCACCACTTGGTTAAGCTTATGATAATCCCCTGTCATTCTCCAAGATCCATCTGTCTTGTGCACAGGACAAATGGGAGAGTTGAACAGGGATGTGGTGGAAACCACTACCCTTGCATCTTTCAAGTCCTTGCTGGTGGTACTAATCACAGTCCCTCCAGGGATGCAATGTTGTTTTTGATCTACCATTTTTCTAGGTATAGGCAGCTCTAACGGCTTCCCTTTGGGCTTTCCCACCAGAATAGCCCTCACTCTACCAGTCAGGGAGCCAATGTGGGGGTTCTGCCAGCTGCTTAGTATGTCTATGCCAATTATGCATTCTGGCACTGGGGAAATGACCACAGGATGAGTCTGGGGACCCACTGTAAGTCAGACTTGAGCCAAAACTCCATTAAATACCTGAACTCCATAAGCTCTTACTTTAACTGGAGGACCATAATGACGTTTTGTGTCCCCTGGAATCAATGTCAGCTCAGAGCCAGTGTCCAATAGTCCCCAAAATGTCTGATCATTTCCCTTTCCCCAATGCATCATTTACCACTCTGGTAAAAGGCCAGAGGTCTCCTTGGAGAAGGATCAGAGAAAGATTAACTGCATAAATGGTTGGTAATTTAGTGGGGTCCTTCCTTAAGGGGACCTAGCCTCCTCTTCATGCAAGGGCTTCTGAGTCTGTAAACTTGCTCAGGTCTGAAAATTGATTGAAGGGCCATGATTCTCTGTTTTTATAATTCAACTTAGTCTTTTGTCTATTCAACCTAGAAGCTTTCTGTTTGTATAATTTAAGTAGGAATGCAGTAGGCTTTCTGTCCATTTAACTTCTAGGAGCACCATGATTAATTAGCCAATGCCAGAGCTCTGCAAGAGTCAGACTATTCTGATTGCTGTTTTGCCTCTGCTTCCATTACGGTAGCTATGCCCACCTTGCCTTTGATAGTTGAGTGCTTCCAGTTGGCCCCTGCTACCTTGGAATCCAATTATTCCCATTGTATTTAAATTTTATAGTTGAGTGACTGTGGTTCCCACCGTTAGATCTGACATACAGAGAAGAGCAATTACAGGGCTCTTCAAAGATGCAGGTGCTGCCCTCACCTCTATTTTGCCCTCTAGTTCACAAGGCACTGTTCAAGGGTATATCTTCTGGACCCTCCCAGCTGGGATGAGTAGGTCTAAAGTGACTAATCCACTCCACCATCCCAATCTCCCTAAGCCTTTGGATCACTTCCTCCATATTAAACCAAGGGCGATCAGGCATTTTCAGCTCGATCACAGTGGGCCATCTTTTAATCCATATTTCAGCTAACCAAGCTAATAAACAATTAGAACCTTTTATAACTCCCCAAGCTGCAACATTAAATGCAGAGTCCCTACTTAGTAGATGCAAATCAATAAATTCAGCTTGATACAGCTCTATGTTCCCTCTACCATTATCCCATACCCTTAATATCCATTCCCATGCCTGTTCTCCAGATTACTGTTTATATAAATTAGAGAACTCAAACAGTTCTTTTCCAGTGTAGCGCATCTCCTCATAGGTCACACACTCAACCTCACCTCTAGGGACCCGCTAGACCTAGTTATAGGTCTAGAAGCAAATAGAGGTGTTGGGGGTGGCTTCTGAGGTGAATCAACATTATCTTGCCTGGCAATTGCCTCAGGGGAGGCCATCATGGTTGCCTCAGGCAGCGCAGGATTTATCTCCTCAGACAAAGGTGGAAAGGCTGATGGCAGCATGGGTTGGGGAGGGGAGGTTACCACTACTGAGGATGGAGAAGTTGTTCCTTCTGGCAAAGCAGGTTCATCAAAGTTTACAAACTCAGTGTCCCTAGCTTCATGAGGGTCCTCCCACACATCCCCATTCCAAGTTGCAGGGTCACATTCTTTTCCAATCAATGTCCTCACTTTAACAGTAGACACCTGGTGAGGCTGTGCATGCACCTTTCATTGCAAGTCAGCCACTCTCATGGTAAGAGCCTGTGTCTGTTTTTCACAATTTCAGCTCTTTCTGTACAGAAGACAAGACTCTCACTCAGGGCAATCTTAGCAGATTTGAGGCTCGGTATCTGCTTCTGAAGCCAAGAGACAGAATCCCTGAGTCCATCATTTTCTTTCATCACTTTGTCCACTGAACTTAGGAGCAACCAACCAGCTTCATTATGTTCCTTGGTTCTCCACATACAGTCAAAGGTATTATCTATATAAAGTCAATAAACTCCTTGCCTCTCACAAGCCATGAATCAGGAGTTTCAAATGCATTTATTTTGCGTAACTCTCTAAACAGTTCATGCCAAGGACTATCAGTGTTCTCCATACTATTAGAAGTAGAGCACTTAGCATTTTTGGGTCTGATCATATTAAGCAGCCAACTCCAGAAACCCCAAAACCAATGAAAGAACTCCATCCTTAATATTTTGTTCCTCTAGATCCACTCTTGGTACCAAAATCTGTATTAGTCAGGGTTCTTTTAGAGGAACAGAACTAATAGGAGATATATAATATATATATATATATGCACACACATACACACACACAAGTCCTGTATATCATTCATATATACTCTATATATATATATATATATATATATATATATATCTGTACCAAAATCTGTATTAGTCAGGGTTCTTTTAGAGGGACAGAACTAATAGGATACATTTATATTTATATCCTATCAGATATATATATATATATATATAGAGAGAGAGAGAGAGAGAGAGAGAGGGAGAGAGAGAGTTTATTAAGTATTAACTTACATGATCACAAGGTCCCACAATAGGCTGTCTGCAAGCTGGAGAGCAAGAAGAGCCAGTATGAGCCCCAAAACTGAAGAACTTAGAGTCTGATGTTTGAGGGCAGTAAGCATCCAGCATGGGAGAAAGACGTAGGCTGGGAGGCTAGGTTTGTCTCACCACTTCACATTTTTCTGTCTGCTTTACATTCGCTGGTGGCTGATTAGATGGTGCCTACCCGATTAGGTCCAGCCCACTGACTCAAATGTTCATGTCCTTTGGCAATACCCCCACAGACACACCCAGGTTCAATATTGCATCCTTCAATCCAATCAGGTTGATACTCAGTATTAAGCATCACACACATCTTAGATCAAATATACATTCCTAGTACAATCAGCTTCAGCTGAAGGGGCAGTTCACACGGCATCTAAAAAGAGGATATAGCTAGGGCAAAAAGTTGGTCATCTTACATGGACTCAAAACCAATCATTCTCAGACTCCAGCTTGGGGCATCATTGTTAAGATTGCTCCTGGGGCCATCATTTATTAGCTATATGACTTTGTGAAATTTTCCTAATCTCATATGCAAAATGGGGATAATAATAATGCCTACCTCACAGGATTGCTTTGAATAATACAGAAGCTAATAGGCTTAAAAAACTCTTAGATTCATGCTTGACAGCAAGCACTCAATAAACATTAGCTGTTGCTGTGGTTTAAATGTGTCCCTCAACTTCATGTTTTGGAAACTGCTCCCTAATGAAGCAGTATTGAAAGGTGAGCCTTTAAGAAGTGATTGGATCATGAGTGCTCGGCCTTCACGAATTGATTTATCCATTCATGGGTTAATAGATTAATGAGTTAATATATTAATGAGTTATCAAGAGAGTGGGAATGGTGGCTTTGTAAGAAGAGGAAGAGAGACCTGGGGTTGCATGCTTAGCCCTGTCACCATGTGATATTCTACACCACAAAGTCCCCACTACCAATAAGGCTCTCATCAAAAGCAGCCTCTCAACTTTGGACTCCTCAGCCTCCATAACAGTAAGGAACAAATTCCTTTTTTTATGAATTACTCAGTTTCAGGTATTCTGTTATAAACAACAGAAAACAGGCTAACACAGCTGTTATGAGAATGGTAGGTCCAAATACTCTGCAGCCAAAGTGACAATTTCAGACAAAACTCAATTGATGTCCTGAGTGAAATGAACAGTGAGAGCCCTGCAAAGAGATGATCCACAACCTTAGGTCTTAATAACCAGAAGAACAGGGCCTAGAGCTTAATGTTGACACTGGGGGCAAAACTCCCTTGTCCCCATGCTTATGAGCTCCAGGCTGACCTAGAAGCTGCTACTTTTTGCACCACGGAGACCTGTTCCAGCCTGCAATGAATTTGCTGCGTTCAAAACTCTTCTACTAAGCTGCTGAGGCTTTTGCTTGATCAACTTTACATGGCATGAGAACCTGTCCCACTGAAAAGTTGTGGGTGGGTGAAGCCCAACATGGCATACCTCATTAAGGTAGCAAGCAGGAGGCAAGAAAGCCAATTACAGCAGCCTAGAGTCCCGTGCCGGGGCTGGCATCAGAGGCTGCCAGCCTCTCTTGCCTCAGGGCACCAGATAATAACCTCAGAATTGGGACTTGGACAGCCAGCCAAGCTCAGCTTCAACTTCACAGTACAGAGACATAAAAGGCAACACCTTTCAGAAGAGCAAAAATGTCCTGAAAGCAGCAGAGAGATGAAGCGTTTAATAGGTATGTCCTCCTGGTAGGCAGGTGTCAGGAAAAATGGTCTCTGTTTGCTTATTAAATGCTACCACGACAATGAGGTAGAGATGGCACTACAGGCCTAATGAAAATTCAAACCCTTCTTCACAGCCAGGACAAGTGGGTGGGTTTTATTAGAAGAAACTCCACTAACTTGTAAGAGGTTTAGCATACTGAATGCACCACAGTCATGGAATAAAATTACAAAGAAAATGAAGAATAGTTTAATGAATTCACAGACGGTGTTCTTAATGTGGGTAGACAGAAGCAACTGGGCTCCACTTTCACTGTGTGTACAGTTCTGCCTTCCAGTGGGCAATGACAATACACTTCAATATTGGTAGTACAGTTTGGAAAGAATTTTTCATGGCATATGTTCCAATGCATAAGCTTCTTTTGAAAACCAACCCAAATAAAACAGGCTGACATAAAAATGTAAATGAAATATCAAACAGTGCCTGGCATATAGTATATATTCAATAGTGCCATTATGTTTTATCTCCCTTCCTTCAGTAACTTGCTCTCTGAATATGTGTTCCTTATTTATATTTATACTTATTTGTCATACATGTAGATAGTGTAATTATGTGCCCCATAATCTTCCCAGTGCTTTATACCTAAGGATGCGTTTAATCCTAACCACAAATATATAAGGTGGGCTCAATTATGGTCCTCATTTTAATAATAAAGAAACTGAGTTACAGAGATATTAACTAGCTAATAAGTGGTGAAGCCAAGATTTGAAGCCATGAATGTATGCTTTTTATCACTATTAGTCACCTTTTTGTTTTCTGAGGACAGAGGGGAGTCTATTTATCTCTGTTTTATTCAGGCACCACTAGTTCCTGACACATAGGAGGCATTCAGTAGTATATGCTCATTGAACATCAGGAAAAGCCTACATTCCACCGTGCTGGGTCCCTGGCAGAGAACTTTACCACACACACTAAAGGAGTTCAGATTCTCACTTAAGAAGCTAGAAGAGAAAGAGCTCGAAGGAAAAAGCAGCCTCTTCTTTGTCTGTCCCACCAATCCGGATGGAGACTAGAGAGCAAGGGGAATCATAAAAAATCATATAGATTTTTCATTTCATTTACTAGAAGCAAAAGCGAATAGATACTCTATGTTGAATAATCTTGTCCAATTCCCAAGATGTTTCCAACCCTTGACTTGTTTAGTCACTTCTCATGCCATTATGGAACAACCAAATATCTTCTATCAGAATGAATCTTTTCAAGGGTCCTTTGGTTGCAAGGGAATGATCCAGTTTCTGGTACAGCTGGATTTAGGGCTCAAGTGATGCTTTCAGTGTTTAGCTACGCTTTATCTGCCTCTTTTAATTTTGGCTGCACCCCCAGGTTCCTCTATGAACATAGTAAAATGGCCACAGTAGCTCCAAATTTTATACTTTCTTAGCCCTCTGGCCCATGAAAAAGACAGACGTCCTTAGAAATTCTAGCCAAAGTTTTATTATAATGCATAGCTTGCATTGGGTTATAGACCATCTATGAACAAATCAGCATAATCAATTTGGATTAGAGGAATCTGCTGTACAGATGATTTAGGCACTGCCTGATGCTCCTCTAGCTTTGGACAAAGAGGAATACATGGCTGGCACCACAAACAAATACTCCCCAATATAGACAATACATGTTCCTGCAGATCCAAACAACCCTACATGTAGGAAACTTAAGACCAATTTAGATGGATATTGGAGAACTTGAATAGGATATCTAACAGCTCTATTTTCTTTTCATCTCCCCTCCCACCTTTTATGTCCTCGAAGTTTATCTTTCTAAGAACGTTTACATTTGGCTTTAAACTTGCCATTAATGGAAAATCTCATCGCCATGGGCAGGATCCTGAGACACTTAAGAACTCAGAGTCTTGTCATCTTAAAAGAATCATCAGGCAAGGTATATATCTTGAACTATTTGAACTATTCAGAAATGTCTTTTCTTTTTCTCTCTCTTCCCAAGACACCATAATGAATCAATCGCCTGCAGACAGATAACTACACCTCTCTCTCTCTCTTTTATTTTTAGATTCAAAGCTAAGGCTCTTGATGAATTTTCTGTTCAGAAAAATTAAGGCATTCAAAACTGAGTGTGGAGATGATTGCCTATGGTCCCAGCTACTGGGGAGGCTGAGGTGGGAAGATTTGCTTGAGCCCAGGAGTTTGAGGCTAGCCTGGGCAGCATAGTGAGACCCACATCTGGAAACAGGTGATGAAGAAGGCATTTAAGGGGAGTCCTTGAGTTGTCAGTTTGGGGATAAATAACAGGTTACTACTGTACTTTAAAAATAATTGCTATAAACAAATTATAGAAGAAACAAAAGATTTGTTCTAATGTATAAGGATTAAAGATTCATGACAAACATTTGCTACACACCACACGGTCTAAAAGGACATTAACATTCTCTTTGAAGGCTCCTGTGTGCCCATCTTTTGTCCCACATTCTCCCGAGAATTCCCACAATTTAAATTTTACCACATGCCGATATTCCTAACATATTTATTAGTTTTGCAGGTTTCAAATTTACTTAATGAAACCTTAACAACTGTGTTTGACTGTAGCACTTTTTTACTCATTATTATATTTCTGAGAATCACTCATGTTTTGCACATAGCTGTAGTTCATTCATTTTCACTTGATCACATGACTAAACCTTGGTTTATCCAATCTACTCTTGATGGACACTTGGGCCATTTTCATTATTTGACATCTATTAACATGTGTCCTAGTTGAAGAGTGTAATCATTTCTTTAAGGACTATCCCAGGGACTATTTTTCTGGGTCATAGGGCTTGCTCGTCTTCAACTTTAACAAATAATACCAAGTTGTTTGCCAAATTGGTTGCAAATTCTTACTAAATCTTACTAAATCTGTATATTCTTACTAAATCTGTGTGTTTGTGTTTGTGTGTATGTCTTGCTTGCATTAGATCCACATTCTTGCTAACACCGATACTGAAATACTTTTCCTTTAATTAAATTTCTATTCTAGAACAGTTTTAGGTTTACAGAAAACTCATGAAGAGAGTACAGAATTCCCAGTATACCCCGCACCCAGATTCTCCTATTAACATTTGTTACATTTAACAAGCCAATGTTGAAACATTATTGTTTAAAAAGTCCATACTTTATTCAGATTTCCTTAGCTTTTACCTAATGTCCTTTTCTAGTTCCTAGATCCCATCTGGGATACCACATTAGAGACTCATCATATCACCTTAGGGTTTTGGCTGTGACAGTTTCTCAGACTTTATTTTTGGGATAATCTTGCCAGTTTGGGGGAGTAAGGGTCAGGCATTTTATAGACTACCCCTTAATTAGGATCTTCTGATGTGTGTTCTCATGATCTCATGTTTACACTGGGAAAAGACCTCTTCCTCCCAAGAATACATTGTCCCAGCGTAATACGTTGTCCCAAGTGCCATTTTCGCCACATCATATCGAGGCCACATGCTGTCAACACGAATTATCAGTCCTGATGTTAACCTTGATGAGCTGGCTGAGATAGTGTTTGTCAGGTTTCTTCCTTATAACATGACTCTTTTTTCTCTCTTTTCATACTGTACACACTCTTTGGAAGGAAGTCATTATGTGCAGCTCACACTTAAAATGTTGGGAGCTATGGTCTACCTCCTTGAGGGTGAAGTATATGCATAAATTATTTGGAATTTATATATTCAACCATTTATTTATTTACTCAAGCATTTATGTGTATCAGTACAGAGTCCTGAATATTTATTTTATATTTTGTTTATACTCCAATGCTACTTTATTTTATTGCTCAAGTTATTCCAGTTTTGAACACAGAGCTCTTGGAAAGACTTTTCAATTTTGTCAGATTGCTTAAGGACACTTGTTATCTCCTTGGGGTATTTTTTTGTTTTTCTGATTGTTTGTTTTTTGAGACAGGGTCTCGCTCTGTTGCCCAGGCTGGAGTGCAATGGCACAGTCTCAGCTCACTGCAACCTCTGCCTCCTGGGTTCAAGTGATTCTCATGCCTCAGCCTCCCAAGTAGCTGGGATTACAGACATGCACCACCGCACCCAGGTAATTTTTGTATTTTTTAGTAGAGATGGGGTTTCGCCAAGTTGGCCAGGCCGGTCTCGAACTCCTGGACTCAAGTGATCCACCTGCCTCAGCCTCCCAAAGTGCAGGATTATAGGCGTGAGCCAATGTGCCTGGCCTCCTCAGGCCTTAATTTGCACTTTGGTGATCTCTAGTCTGAAGATCACCTTTGCTAATTTTCCTATTGAATTGTGGGTTTTCTCATTGATTTCTTATTTTATTATACTGGATACAATGTTTTTAAGTTAGATGTGTTGGAGATTATCATTTCCCAAATCTTGGCTTCTCTTTTATTTATGGAGTCTATTGATTTACTGAAGCTCTTAGTATTAATGTAAATAAATATTGATCTTTCTCTTTATGCATTGAAGCACTGAGATTTGTTAAGAAACTTTACTTCTTGAGATCATAGAGATACTCACCAAGATAGTCTTTTGCAGAGCACCTTTCACCTAAGTTAAAATTAAATTGTAAATATAATGTGAGCTAGGGGGTCCAATTTTTATTTGTTCCTATTTAGATAATTGTTTCAACACCATTTATTGAGGAGTATTTTGCCAGTGATCTAACAATATTTTAGCTCTGTTATAAATTGAGTTTCTGTGTTTGTATGGGCTCTTGTCTAGGATTTCTATTCTGTTCTCATCTTCAATTATCTATCCATGGTGGAATATCATATAGGCTTAATCAGTAAAGTTATATTTATTTTTAAAATTGCTTTTAGTAAGGAAAGTCCCTCAAACTTGCCATCTTCAGGAGTGACTTAGATATTCTTCATCATTTCTTTTACCATATAAATTCTAGTGTCTTTAATTCCTACAAAAATCAAACCAAAACATAATGAAAGAGTTGATGGAATTTAATTAAATTTATAGATCAACTTGGGGAGAGCTGATTGCAATATGATATTGAGCTCTTTAAAATATTCCAATCCATGTATATGACTTACCTCTCCACTAAACTAGTCTTTATCATGTTTTCATAAAGTTTTAGAATTTCCTCCTAAATAATAGTCTGTAATTTTCCCATCTTTATATACCCAGCATCTATTGAGGTAATTTGGTCCATAGCAGAAACCACATAAATACTAGATAAAAGAAAGAACAGAGAGAGAGAGAGGGGAAAGGGTGGAGAGAGGATGAGTGAGAAGGAAGAAGGAAAAATAAACAGAGCCCATGTCTTAAATGGCCTTGAAAGCCAAATTTGAAATTTTGTCCAGTGTTTGGGAAATCAGTGAAGATTTTTAGTGAGTAAATAAACAAATTCAAATACATCTGGCAGCCTTGAGAAAAATGAATCAAGGAGGAGAAACACTAAAGGTAGCAATACCAGTTGAGAGAAAATTGCAGTGGTCAGATGAGCCATTTGTAGACAGTCTACACTTGTCAAACGGGAATGGAAAGAAGGTGAGAGATTTACATGTTTGGTTTGGAGATATAAGAGAGTTATTTATTTAAAAAGCAAACCATTTTCATAATATTTTACAAAGTAATTCCCTACAATTTATATATAAGACAAATATAAAGTTAAAGCGATTTAAACCTCCATTTACAGTTTTCTGTTCTTCACTGACAATTTCAAAGACTTGTTCAGACATTCATAGGATACAATCATCTTTAAAGGTGAAGTCCCTAAGTGACCAGAGTAAGTAACCTCAGTAAATTGTTTCCTCATTTTATATGGAATAAAGGTTTGATTTAGATCACTGAAGTTCCTTCAAATATTAAATGTTTATTACTATACATTTCCAGGGACAACAACAACTGTAGTATTGAAATTCAGGACTAGCCTAATAGGAGCTTGTGAGGTTTAGAGTTGCAATTTTGTAAGACATGTTTACTTTTTTTTGGTTAGAAGTTATAGGTAAAAAGGATGAAAATTCCTACAGATATGAATGACGACAGAGAGAAAAGATTGTGCTTCACATATAGATTCCTATCTTTCAATTATTCAACACTCCCATAATATTTTACTCTCAAGGCCCAATTAACATTCTACTGCTCTAAGAGAGCAGCCATAGTTAAGCCATTACTTGAAACGTGCTAAAGGACAACCTCAATGTCTGATTCATCTTTGAGCTCCCAATGTCTAAAATGGAGCTTCACACATAATCAATGCCCAATATAGCTGGTGTTGCAAAGAGAACGATTCTATCATTTTACCTGAAAGAGCCAATCATTCATAGGCACATGCTTAGTTGTTCCCTGAGGGCATAATTCAGCGCTGCAAATGGTTATTTCTGCGTGGGTTCCTGGGACCCCTACTAGGTATCAAACGGGTTCTTGTTTAGATCTACTCAAAAATACCCACAGAAGATGTCACCAAAAATAGGTCAGCTTGGCACTGAAAAGTATCAGGAAGTGGTGACAAATTTGTGTTTGTACCATTTGCACAAATATCAAAAACACTTTTGTCAGAAGATCAAAAAACAAAGTACCAGACTTTTTCTCCTTGAGAATGCATCTTCCATAAATAATTTCTCTGTCAGTAGCCAGTAAGTTGAAGCCGGGGGCTAACTTTTCTGTGACAAATTTCTATTGTTCTCCCTCTCGAAATGAAATATTTGAGAAGAAATATCACTTACAATTAAAATCATGTCACACAATTAAAATTTTTCAAGATTAAATTATGGACATTTTTAAACATAGAGCAAAATGGAAAGACTTTCACAGTGAGCACAAACGTACCCACCATCAGCTGGGCATGGTGGCTCACGCCTGTAATCCCAGCACTTTGGGAGGCCGAGGCAGGCGGATCACGAGATCAGGAGATCGAGACCATCCTGGCTAACACGGTGGAACCCCGTCTCTACTAAAAATACAAAAACATTAGCCGGGCGTGGTGGCGGGCGCCTGTAGTCCCAGCTACTCGGGAGGCTGAGGCAGGAGAATGACGTGAACCTGGGAGGCGGAGCCTGCAGTGAGCCGAGATGACGCCACTGCACTCCAGCCTGGGCGACAGAGCGAGACTCTGTCTTAAAAAACAAACAAACAAACAAACAAACAAAAAACACCCATCTAGATTCTACCATTAATATTTTACTATACCTTATTACATAACTACCCACCTATCCATTCCTCCATCCATGTATCAATTATACTTATTTGTAAGTATTCCAAAGTCAATTACAAGCAGTAAGCTTTTCCCTAAACATTTCTGCATGCATATCATTTTCTAGAAAACTGCAGGATACTGCATTGATCATCTCAGCAATTACATGCAGTGAGTGAGTAGTAGTTTCCCATTGTGGGTTGCTAGGCAAGCAACATAGCTCTGTTACCAGAAAGGGAGCCAAGATTCTCTGATTTCTTATGTTTGATGACTAACACTGAACCTTGCTTGATTAATTGCATAGATCATAGTTACCACTGTGTTTCACAAGATGAAGGAGTTCTTTGAAGAGAAGAAAAACTTTAATGTACAATATGTAATTTTGGCTGGTTCATGACCCTCGAGTAAGATTTCAAGACACCTAGAGCAACGTTCTACCCATAGGAGGTGCTTCATTAATAAATTTTAAAATTTGTTTTAATATTTTATATACTTTTCCCCCTCATTCAATACTCATCGAACGTGACTAACTTGAATTATTGTAAACATCTTCAGGGAGCTTCTACTCCCTGAAGCTCTTGCTCACTGCTTCTTTCCCTGATGCTCAGATATTATATAATACAATACAAATATAAAAATCAACTTCTTTCCCTCATTAGCAATGTGTTTCCATTCTCTGCTCCTCATGCTGACATTTTAATTATTGGGTGCACATTTTGCAAGGTCTAATATGTGTAATGTGATGGCTTTTCCTTCCTGTCCTATTATTTTCAGGAGTTGTAGTTTTTGAGTAAAGAAGAGAGAGTAAGTATTAGGACAGGAATCTAGCTAGTTGTTTCAAAAGTTAATACCCATGAAACACAGTTTGGATAACCAGTTTTTTGGTTTTTTGTGTTTTGTAATTTTTTTTGTCTGGCATGTTGATGGTACCTTTCAAATAACAATATGTTAATGCATGTTTTGTTTGCCTCCATTATGAATTCTCAGTATCGCTTTCACATTTTATAGAATAAAATCTAATAACCTGACAGGAGGCTTATCTAGAAATTGCCAGGTTAACAGAATTTTTTCCATTGCTGGGCAATATGTTGGTATACAGTAAGTCTCAGTTTCTCCAAAGTATGTGAGGTAAATTAGATATAAATTTAGTGAGAACAGGGACCAAGGCCGCTTTTGCCAATGATTGGCTGCTCAGCAGCTAACAGAGGGTGTGATACACAGTAAACATTATATAAATATTTTTCGGTGTGCACATTTTAATTATTCTAACTGCAAACCCATTTTGAAATATATAAATGTAACAACATGCTTTCATTTTATAATTATATCCTAAGTATAATAGCCTATAATAACAAAACTTGAAACAAAACCTACAAGAGTATACAGAATAATTACTGAGGTAATTTCCTACGGCTGCTGTAACAAATTACCACACACACTTTGTAGCTTAAAAAATATAAATTTACTCTATTATACACAGTTACTATATTTGTCCGTTTTCACACTGCTGACGAAGACATACCCCAGACTGGGTAATTTATAAAGAAAAAGAGGATTAATGAACTCACAGTTCCACATGGCTGGGAGACCTCTCAATCATGGCAGAAGGTGAAAGGCATGTCTTACATGGGGGCAAGCAAGAGAGAATGAGTGCTAAGAGAAAGGAAAAACTCCTTATAAAACCATCAGATCTCATGAGACTTCTTCACTACCATGAGAACAGTATGGGGGAAACTGCCCCCATGATTTAATTATCTTCCATTGGGTCCTTCCCACAACACATGGGAATTATGGGAGCTATAATTCAAGATGAGATGTGGGTGGGGACACAGCCATACCACATCAGTTATGGAGGCTGAAGTCTGGAATCTAGGTATTGGCAGGCCTGCACATCTTTTTGAGGCTCTAGGGGAAATTATCCCTTGTCTCTGTCAGCTTTTGGTGGCTCTGGACATTCCTGGGGGCTACATTACTCTGATTTCTGCCTCCATTATCATGTAACCTTCTCTCCTGTACCTCGGTCTCTGTCTCTTCTCTGTCTCAAGTTTCCCTGTTCCTTTCTCTTATCTTTCGACATTTGTCTTTGGATTTAGAGTCCACCAAATAATAAACCTCATCTGGAGATCCTTAACTGATTTACATCTGGAGAAAGCATTTTCCCAAATACGGTCACATTCACTGGTTGCAGTGATGAGAACACGGACCTCACTTTTGGGAGGATGCCATTCAACCTGCTACTCATTCGCTATTTCGTTATACACGCACAATACTTGTCATGTGAAATAATACAATTCAAGAGAATGTTGTGCAGCAAAGTTTTTAAATTAACATTTAAAATTAATTTAAGGAACTGACACATATGGATTTATATGGCATATATATATATATATATATATATATATATATATATATATATATTATTTTTATTTTAAGTTCCAGGATACATGTGCAGTATGTGGTTTGTCACATAAGTAAATGTGTACCACGGTGGTTTGCTGCAACTATCAACCCATCACCTACATATTAAGCCCAGCACACATTAGCTATTTTTCCTAATGCTCTCCCTCTCCCGACACCACCTGCCAACAGGCCCCAGTGTATGTTGTTCCCTCCCTGTGTCCATGTGTTCTCATTGTTCAACTCCCACTTGTAAGTGAGAACATGCAGTGTTTGGTTTTTGTTTCTGTGTTAGTTGCAAGGTTAAATTTCTGTTTCTCACTATCTCCACAACCTATAGTGTATCTATAACTCAAATCATCCAAAAACATCACCAACTGTTGCTGCAAAGAAAAATCTATAAATTTCCACCAACAAAGTTAAATTAAAACTACTCCAGATCCTAAAGCTGTACTTCTAATTAAAGAAATACTGTTTAGAACATGTCCTCTAGGAAGCTGAGGGCATTCGGCTCATCTTCGAATTTTTTAAATTCAAAGCTGTTGGGCACAGAGCTGAAATCAGCACAGTTAGGAAACACAGGAGCCAAAGTAAAACCCATATATTTGATAGCTTTATTGGTGCTTTTCTCTCCCTTTAATTGAAAGCACCAAGCGAAAGATATAAATTAAATACCTCTTGAGTCATTTAATGACAGTTGAAATTGGCACATTTTCAATATTTGTATGTAATCGGTAGTATGAATTCAAGCTAATTTATCTTCAGGTTTTTCTCCTTTTCTTTAGTCATTTTCTGAGCTACCTCTGGTTAATGGCCCTATAGGAACTTCACACAGTTATTTGGGTGGCTCGTCAGAAATCCATATACGTCAGAGCAATAGCTTGATATAAATTACATTTGATTTGAAAAAGTATTTCTCATGATTTTTGAGCTGTGAGATAACAGATGACTCTACTTGTATTCCGTGGACATTGCCCCTAGATTGGCACCCGTGATGGTTAATATTGAGTGTCAACTTGATTAAATTGAAGGAAGCAAAATATTTTTCCTGGGCGTGTCTGTGAAGGTGTTACCAAAGGAGATTAACATTCGAGTCGGTGGACTGGGAGAGGCAGACCCACCCTCAATCTGGGTAGGCACCATCTAATCAGCTGCCAGCACTGCTAGAATAAAGCAGGCAGAAGAATGCGGAAGGACCAGACTGGCTGAGTGTTCTGGCCTTAACTTTTCTCCCATGCTGGATGTTTCCTGCCCTCAAACATCAGAATCCAAGTTCTTCAGCTTTTGAACTCTTGGACTTACATCAGTGGTTTGCCACGGGCTTTCGGGCCTTCGGCCACAGACTGAAGGCTGCACTCTCAGCTTCCCTACTTTTGAGGTTTTGGGACTCAGACTGGCTTCCTTGCTCCTCAGCTTGCAGACGGCCTATTGTGGAACTTTACCTTGTGATCGTGTGAGTCCACACCCCTTAATAAACTCTCTTTCATATATACATCTATCCTATTAGTCCTGTCCCTCTAGGAAACCCTGACTAATACAGCACCCTTATGATGGCTGACTGACTGTTTTGGTTTTTCATGCCATTCTGAGCTCCTGTCTTTTTCCAATTTCCTTAGGTATTTTAGAAGGCTGTTAGCCAGATGCTCGCGAAACTTTGTAGAGTTTTGATATATGAAGATGGGGATAAGATCTTTTAGATGTAGTAAACAGGAAGTGAAAAGGTAGAGAAACCAAAGATATCCAAAAGGGCTGAAGAGAGGAGGCAACAGGGACAGGTGGTACATCTGCCAGATGCACCAATGCAGGATGCAAAAAGGAGTGGAAACATGGGATGGGAGTGGGACATGGGAGAGGGAGAGGTGTGTGTGTGCGCCAGGGTAGGGATGGTGGGACGATTGCAAAAAACATGTAGAGTGAATGCCTACCCCTTGCACCATCAGGCACCAAATGGTTGAAATAAATGTGGTATTTGCAAAGCCCAAAGGTGGACATTTATTTCAATCATTTAGAGTAGGGAGAGGAAGACATTTGTTTCATTTATTTCAACTCAGTGAAGAAAGAGGTGGGCGTTTTTTCCAAGTAGGGTGAGGTGGACATTTATTTCAGCCCTTTGAAGTACTTTGTAGGGAGGACTACAGTTACCTGGCCCAAATGGTGCTCTAGTATTTTGTTGTCTCAGGAATGAGGAAGCATAGCCTGTAGGTAGTAAAATGAGTTTATCCATTTAAAAGATATTTATCAGCTGCTTACTATATCTGCCTGAGGAAAAAACTATGCATACCTTCACTTTGCTCCCTCATTCCTTCCTCACTAGATGGTAAAGAACGACCCAGACTACAGAATCAACATGTACAAGAGACTCGTGAAAATGGAGAGGAACTTCTGTACCTCAGTCTATAGAAGAGTTGAATTCGATAAGATACAGTTTATTTTACACTGGCCTGGATTTTCTAATCCTAAAAGTCAGCCTATTTGTAAACATCCAAAAGTGTCTAGAGGAGCTATGTCATCTCTCCAAGATGTGGTGATACCAAATGACACACACCAGAAGGCACTTAAAAACGTAGAGAAAAATTAAGGGGCTACCTGTTTGCATTCTACTGAGCCCAGCCTACACTTACACTGGTTATAAGTTTGCAATTATAATATAAATGGAGATGAGTGTTCAGAGGAAAATAGGTGTGATCCTAAGAAGCAATAACACAGTTACTTGAGTTGGACTGCGGCTAAGAGAAGGCTTCATTGAAAGAGTGACTCCAGACCTGAGATGTAAAGAATGAATGGAATTTGCTAATGCAAGGGGCAGAATGGGGAGCTGGATAAGAGAGAATGGCCATGCAATGGCATCTGCAAGTGCAAAGGACTAGTAAGAAGTGGGAGCTTGGAAGAGGTAAGGAACTGGAGCTAGTGGTACCAGACATGAGAAGGTAAGGGCAGGACTTGAGGCTAGGGAGTAGGCAGAGGCCACTGCCTACCTGTCACTTTAAACCTTGAATAAGAATATCAGTGCCTTGAGAGAGTACACATTTGGATGTTCATTCCCTTCAAGGGTTAGTGGGATAGAAAAAGTTGGAAAAAATGCTATTTATTTAATACATCTTTCCAAATACATATTCTCCTTCCTTGGAGGCTTTATGCTAACTCTATGTGTTTCTCTTAACTCACTTCATTTACTTGAATCTGTCTGGTGCTATAGTTTTTGGTATTCTTCTCTAATCCTCTTCATTAGATTGTAAGCTCCTACCCTAGCACTCTTATAATAAATATTTGCTGAGCTCAAAGAAAAGGCATTACAAATGCAGTTGATCTGTGGCTTAGTAGATCACCAGGTCCATTGGGCCCTGGTGTCATTTCAAATTGTTCTTAAAATGTGTGAAATATATTTTTGGTCTTTGGGGTTTTTTGCTTCTTCATATATCAGTAATTTTTCATAGATCCTGTTATTATCTTTGTGCGATTGTTTCTGTATTTTATGACATCTTTTCAAATGTTCACTATCCCAGACTTTATATTCATTTATTTATTTATTCATTTATTCGTATTCATGAATGCATTCATATATGCCACACTTGGTACTAGAAAGTATTTAAGGCACCATTGTGGGAATAAATTGAAAGTTCTTTCATCAGCATGGGCATGTTACTCAGACTTTCTAGATCTCAATTTCCTGATAGTGGCAATAATAGTACTTCTCCATCAGTTCTTGTGAAAGTTCCATGAGATCAATGACACGATAGCTGTAATATAGAAGCCCTGGCCCAATGTCAGCAATGGTTATTATTTCTGTAAATCTTATAATGATAATGAATATATTAGTCAGGGCTCTTCAGAGAAATAGTGTGTGTATGTATACATATATATATATATCTACAGATAGATATAGTTCGATATATTTTACAAAGAGGATAAGAGGATGAGAAGAGGATACAAAGTATATCTATATATATATTTTTATATATATGTATGTGTGTATACATATATATATGTATATTTTGTATCTTCTTCTCAAAAGATGGTTAGAGCATTTTTGGTTGTATGTAGGATAGTTGAATCTTGCTGGGTGGAATTATAATTTTGTTATTGTCTCTATTATTTTTGGAGACTATATATGCTTTAAGGAGATACGTATGGGTGCCAAGTTGTCAAGAGGTAGACTTGCGATGGTTAATTTTATGTGTCAATTTGACTGTACCACAGTGTCCAGATAGTTGGTTAAATGTTATTCGGGATGATTCTGTGAGGGTGTTTTTGGATGAGATTTGCATTTAAACTGGTGGACCTGGAGTAAAGCAGATTGCCCTCCATAATGTGTGTGGGCCTCATCTAGTCAATTGAAGGAGAAAATAGAACAAAAAACTGATTCTCTCCCTAGAGGAAGGAATTCTCCAACAGATGGCCTCTGGAATTGAATCTGCAACATTGGATCTTCCCTGGGTCTCCAGCCTACTGACCCATCCTACAGATTTTGGACTTGCCAGTCTCCGTAACTTTATGAACCAATTCCTTAAAATTTCTTAAATCTCTTTCTTTACATGTATGTATGTGTGTGTGTGTATGTATATATAGATATATATACACACACCCGTCCACAAACATATATAATGTATACACACACATATACATATATATACACACACATATATATTCCACTTATATCAATTATATAAGTGGAAAAGACATCCCTGTGCCGCCGCCACCACCATTACCACCATCATCTTTATCATCATTGTCCCCATGATCTTATGCTTTGCTGATCAATAGGTCTTAGGTCCAAAGGAATGCTTCTACGTATACACACACACACACACACACACACACACACACATATATACATAAATCATTTAAATAATTATGGAATACAGAATACCTTAAGTGTCACACTCATTACTATTGATGGATTAACTATTTCATTACTGAAAGTATTTTACATATGTAGAAAGGACATCAATTATATACATACGTGTGTGTGTGTGTGTTTGTGTGTGTGTGTGTGTGTGTACAGAGAAGCATTCCTTTGGACCTAAGACCTCTTGGTCAGCAAAGCATAAGGTCATGAGGACAATGATGATAAAGATGATGGTGGTAATGGTGGTGGTGGTGGCATAGGGATGTCTTTTCCACTTATATAATTCATATCCTTTCTATGTATGTAAATTATGTTCAGTGATGAAATAGTTAATCCATCAATAGTGATGACTGTGACACTTAAGGTATTCGGAATCCCATAATTTTTTAAACAATTTAAAATCACCAGTAAGAATAAGTGCTACCATTCAATGAATGTCTACTAAATGTATCATTTTGGTCAGTGCTTTATATATATATTTAATCTGTTTCATAATCAACCTTGCAAAGTAGGTGTTATTAGCCCCATTTTACAGTAGAGAAAAGTAATGGTCAGATAGCAACATGCCAAAGGTATACCGCATGTAAATGGCAGAGCCAGGACTGGAAACTATGTCGGACTCCATTATAAAAAACTAGAATGATGTATTTGTGTGATTCCTTTAAACCACTTCAGAAAACACTCTCTAGGTCAAATTCTGAGTGATGTGCTTCTCTTCCTGTGCCACTGTACAACTTATTCTAGCATATTTCATAGTATGTTAATATCTTCCGTTTACTCATTTATTTTTCCAAAATTCTGATTCCTCCTTAAAGACAAGGAGAATGGAATTTGTGTATATATTCTCTTCTTTTCAGCACCCACACATTGAATACACAAGTGAGTGAGTGATGGAGAAAAAACAGGTAAGGTCCACGTACCCATTCATACATATAGTCAAATACTACCTGGAAATAGAAATCTAGTCATTCAGTTCTAATAGCTTAGAAATTTTTACAAAAATGGTATGATTAGAAGGCAGGTAGATATATTCCTGGACTATAGGAAAATGGGATCTAGTTCTAGATCTTATTCAGAAATATTTGTGATTTAGATGAATTTTTTAGCAACTCCGTTTTTGTTGTTTTTTATTTATTTATTTATTTACTTTAAGTTCTGGGATAGATGTGCAGAATGTGCAGGTTTGTTACATAGGTATACATGTGCCATGGTGGTTTGCTGCACCCATCAACCCATCATCTAGTTTTTAAGCCCCACATGCATTAGGTGTTTATCCTAATGCTCTCCCTCCCCTTGTCCCCCATCCCCCAACGGGCCCTGGTGTGTGATGTTTCCCTCCCTGTGTCCATGTGTTTTCATTGTTCAACTTTTACATGTGACTGAGAACATGCAGTGTGTGGTTTTCTGTTCCTGTGTTAGTTATCTGAGAATGATGGCTTCTAGCTTCATCCATGTCCCTACAAAGGACATGAACTCATTCTTTTTTATGGCTGCATAGAATTCCATGGTGTATATGTGCCACATTTTCTTTATCCAGTCTATCATTGATGGGCATTTGGGTTGGTTCCAAGTCTTTGCTATTGTAAATAGTGCTGCAATAAACATTCGTAAAAAAGATCCCATATAGCTAAGACAACCCTAAGCAAAAAGAAAAAAGCTGGAAGCATCATGCTACCTGACTTCAAACTATACTACAAGGTGACTGTTTTTTTTAACCTCTAAACTAAACTCATAGGACTAGCTTACCTCAAAAACCCCTCCTCGTTTTAACATTTTATGGCAGCAATTTAAAGCAGTTCTGCTCTGCTCCCTCTGCGTGCAGAACACTATACCTCCCAGCCTACCTTGCAGTTAGGCAGGAGACATGTGACTAGTTTTAATAAGCCATGGTGAACTGTACAAAGTGATCTTTCTGAGATCAAGGCATGTGAGTGTATATGATTGTATGTGTGTATATAAACCCGCCTATTCTCTCTGCCTCTGCCATAGCAATCAGGAAGCAGTTTGCTTAGATGGAAAACTTCTATGTAAGATAGAAGTGGACTCCCTGTGCTACTGCTTGAAAGGGTGCTGCCCTGGGAAATGTTTCCATTAGGGGGAAAAATCAGATTAGGACGCGCCCGCCAATGCACAATAACCTCATTAAGTTGAAAAGCATGGTGGATGAAAAAGCAAAAAAAAATAAAGATTTTTCAAAATCTGAGAACAAACACTCTCTGTGGTCACTGGTACATGGAATTCACTGGAATAGATGTATGAAAATCCTGCCAAGACTTTGGAGATCATTTTGTTGCCAAAGAAACCTGAACCTGGAGAAAAACAGAATAAAAATCCATGAGTTCATATGAGACCTAAAATGGTTCTTGAACCAACCACAATTCCCATGGGATGGAAAAACTATGTAGTTACCAATGAGGTCTATAACCCAATATCTACTTTGAATAGGGCCAAGAAGTAGAATGAGAATAAAGTGCCTCCAAGGGTGTGAGCTAGGACCACGGAGAATAATGCCTACCTTGAAAGCCAGGAGGGGAAGATGGAGGCACAACATGGAAGCACATGGAGACCTCTTAGAAGACAGGAGACCTGCAGTAACTGGTCCCAAAGTCAATGTTGTGTGAGCCAG
The DNA here is from genome assembly GCF_000001405.40 of Homo sapiens. Classification (NCBI taxonomy): domain Eukaryota; kingdom Metazoa; phylum Chordata; class Mammalia; order Primates; family Hominidae; genus Homo; species Homo sapiens. Next base: position 5,990,197 of record NC_000003.12, on the reverse strand, counting down.
GAATGTGCCCTTATGTGTTCAGCCACTGAGTTTTGGGGGTTGATGTGTTACCCCACCATAGGCTAGTTTAATTTGAATACTATGCATATATCTTCCATTTATATAGAAACGTAAGTTATTTCTTACAACTATTCAGTTGCTCTCTGATTTTGTGCAACCTGAAATTTGACAGCTTGTTCTCATAGACCTGAAGACTCCAAGATAAAAGATAAAGGAAGAGTTGCTTAGTAACATAAAGCAAACTAAGGTGCTGGTCCTCTCCAAAAGCTAGGTCTAATAAAACTTTCCAAAGCATTCAGTGTTGGAAATACGTGGCTATGTTTCAGGTTCATTTAAAAACAATTGTAGGGAAACCTAAGTGAACTGTACATAATAATCTTTCTGAGATCACAGCTTGCGAGTATGAGTGTGTGTGTGTGTACGTGTGTGTGTTTGTGAGTGTGTCCCAGGGACTACTATAAGAAGTCAATTTACAATCCAGTAAGTTACTTTAATAAGCTGAGTCTTGCTACTATAAGTATTACATGAAGATATTACGAGACCAATGTGAGAACAACACTTGAGCTATTGAAATGCAGCTTGCCTTTCTGTGAGCAGCCAGGTTTGTCACTTAGCAGTGATTGAAACCTTAGGTGTTGCAGTGCTACCAGTGGCCATGCCCTGAAGGTGTCAAACTGAGAGCCTACTAGAGGCCAAGTCCACCAACATGCAAGGGGCTCCTGAGTCTATTTTAGAAATCTCTTTCTGATCTCACTAACAGAAAGCGCCAATACACTCAATTTCCAAAAAGTAAGACTCATCTCTCATTTATCACAGGGATCAAATGCATTGGCTTTTGTTCATTGTAATTAGTGACTTTCCTTGTTTGTCTTTTCTTGCAGATGCCCCCTGAGAGGTCTGGGATATTCACCCATGGTCAATCAATGCTTATGAGGCACAGCAAGAATCAGTGTGGCAGATATTAAAGACTCAGGTAAGTGAGTGGGTCAGATCAGATCCATATACTGTATTTCAATTATCCTCCTTCATGCTGGGTGTTTCAAGTGCAGGAAACTTGGAAGGCCATTCTTTTCAGGCTACCACGCATGTTTCAATGATAATGGCATGCAACAAAGAGTCTGCTTAGAATACCCACTTTTGAGACAGCAGACACAGAAGCAGCAGCATCATAGCTACCATCTAGTGAGCGCTTACACCTTGTCAGATATTGCTCTTCTAAAAGCATACAATTTATATTTATTAACTATCATTATAATATATATTATTAGCTATATTATATATTAACTATCATATAATTTACTTCCTCCTTATAAATGACAAATAAACCAGCATCAAAATAGCCAAGATGTCAGGCCTTTCTCCTGACAGGTATTAAAAAGCTTACACCTGGAACTGCCACAACCAGCAGTATAAAAACAGACCATTGAACCCCAAGGAACTCCAGAAAAATTTTGCTTTATCTAGCCAGAATACTCTCTGCACAAGATTCCAGTGGTTTTAACCAGAATTGAGGACCTCTACCCTTGCACCCTGGATGTGAATAGCATTTCTTAAAACTGACTATCATATAGGAGGCACTGAAGGGCTTCAGTAGCTTGAGACTGAAGTAATTCAACTCATGGTTAGATACCATCCTTTCAGAGTTGGAAATCTGCGTTAAAAAGAAGCTTACAAACATGCATTTTCAAAATAACTTATTCAAAGAAGCCCTAAAGAACTTAAACAATAAGTAAAGTATATCTGATACTTCAAAACAATCTTTCCCATTTAAATCAATCTGAGTCTTAAACACAGGGTGAGTATCCATTATCTGAAATGCCTGGGACCATTAGTGTTCCAGATTTCACATCTTTTTGGATTTTGGAATATTTGCATATATACAATGAGATATCTTGAGGGTAGGATCCAAATCTAAATGTGAAATTCAGTTATGTTTCATATACACTTCATGCACATAGACTGATGATAATTTTATATAATGTTTTAAATAATTTTGTGCATGTAAAGAAAGTTAGGACAGTGTTTTGACCATAGCCCATCATATGAGGTCAGATGTGAAATTTTACACTTGCGGCATTGTGTTTTGAACTTTGGAGCATTTCAGATTTTAGATTTTCAGGTTAGGGATGCTCAACCTGTACTATAATAATTCCAGACTGGCTACATTCCACCTTGCCTTTGTAAATCATATCTTTGTAAATAACAACACCTAAGTTTATCTTAACATAGACACACCAGCTGTCTTCTGTTGGGATTCTGAAAGGACAACAAATATCTATGAACAATAATCCAGACTTTTATACTGTACTATGAGGACAGAGTGGTGACAGTGGGAAAAAGGGGTTGTCAATGGGACTTCACTGATCTTCAGTGATAGTATCAGGGACTAGTCTGTGGAAATAAAGAATCTATTTGCCAAGTAATTAAAACCACTGTGATTCTTACCAGAAAATTCTCCCAAATAACATGGTAAGAAATTAAAATATAAGAATATTCTTTATAATATTGCCAGGAATATAAAACAATTTGTTGTGTTCTCTTTTCCCAATTCCCCACTGGTAATTTACCCAAACTAACTCCTAAACAGTGCAGCAGTAATCCCAGAGATGTACTTTTAGATAGCCAATATATTAAACATTGATTATTTGGAGATTTTATCTAAAACTCGCTTAATCACAGCTTGTCATACTATCTTTATTGATTTGTTACTGGTCATTGTTCATTAAGATGCCAGAGAGCAAAGAATTCATTTTTAGTGCTCTCTTCCAGATACCAGATGTTTATCTCCTAACAGTATAATTCAAGGTCAAGGGTGTTTATTGTGTTTAGACAGAAAAGCAATCAAAGTAGTTTGGGATTTAAAACACACAGAGAGAGGGAAGTTTGCAGTTTCTGCTTACTCTAAGGATTGCTGCTTTGATCACAATATGCAATCTGAAGAGTCTCTGAATATTTGCTGAGGCTTCAAGGTTTAGAGTGGGAGGTGGTTTTTTTTCTTTTTATATTTCACTAGTTGCAGAAAGAGTGATAGTAATTATTGCCTTTTATTCCCAAGCAATTTTGCTTTCTGAGTGACTGCATTTTAAATTCTGTGATCTATCTCCAAGGTAATCTTAAAGTCAACAGACTGCTTAATTTGCCACTTTCTGGGGTAGGTGAATCAGCTTAGTAATGTCAATAGCCACGTTCTCATCCAATCTTAAGTTCCCTAGAAATAAGACATAAAATATTTCTGTATATGTTTGATCCCTATGAAACCTGGTAGACTTTTAGGTATATCAACTCAAAAAGGTGATGAAATAGATGCTAATATTCTTTTAAGGAGACTATACTATAAATTTTTCAGAGCAAAAATAATTAAAATTATATTTCTTGCTGTGTGCAAATACCAAACGCTCCATAGAAATTGATGAGAAAAAGAGAAGGAAAGGTTACAAGTAGACAATATTCAGAAAAGATAAGGCATAAAGTCAATACATACATTAAGTGCTCAAGCTCACTAATAGTGAAATAAGCATATTAAATGAAAAATGAGAGATTTCTCTTGCACATCAAAATGACAAAATGTATATAAAAAATTATCCAGTGCTGAAGAGGATATGGGAAAACAAGTACTTTTGTGCATAGTTGGTGCAAAATAAATATTGTCACTCTTTTGAAATGTAGTAATGTCTATGGAAATAGAAAAAACAAAATGCTATTTTTGATATTTTTGATCAAGTATGTTTACTTTTGGTAGCCTCTATAAAATGAAAATAAATATGCAAGAATATGTATTACTTTATTGAAATAGAAAACAATGAGAATTAATAGGTCTGAAATAAATGTATTATAACGTCAGCTACAATGTAAAGAATGACTTAGTTCCATTCATATCTACCAACCTGGAGAAAGGGTAGTGAAGTATTTACATGTGAAAAAATGTTGCAAATAAATGTATATAGCATCATTAGATTTTTTATAAAAACCAAAAACCCTATATGGATGGTAGCCAGCCTCCAAGATGGCCCCCAGTGGCCCCTGACTCTTGATACTCATACCCTTGTATAATGCATGGTATTAGAGTTGGTCTCGGGACCAAGACCACACAGCAGAAGTGATGGCATGTGACTGCAGTTTATGCCTGGCTCTTTTTACTGAACTGGCTTTTCTGGGGGAAACCAGGCGTCATGTTGTGAGGCCTCTCAAGCAGCTGTGTGGAGAGTTTTACGTGGAAAGGAACTGAGGCCTCCCACTGAGAACCAGCCCAGTGAGAAGCTAATGCCTCAGCCAACAGTGACATAAGAAGCAGATTCTCTTGCTCTAGTTAAACCCTGCAGCCCCAGTCAACATTTTAATGGCAACCACATGAGAGACTGAGCCTGAACAACCCAGCCAAGCTGCTCCTGGATTCCTGTCCTTCTAAAACTGCGGTATAATAAATATTTATTGTTTTTGTGAAGGCTAAGCCCCTGAGAAATTTGCTACACCGCAATCGTTAACTAATACAATATGGAAAACATTGTGAAAGGGAACATCATGGTATTAAATTGTTTACCTCAGTGAGTTAGAGGTGGAAAGGTTTTGAAATGTTTTAATTTCCATTTCATATTTTGTGTGCTACTATCACCATGCAGAAGTAGTTACATACTCCAGACAGCATTCTGGTGGCCTATCATTTAACCAACAAATACTACAAATATTGACTGAGTAAACCCCAAATCTCACTCTGAGTCAGGTGCTGTTAGGTGAGGAGGTTTAAAAGTAAGTAACATACTATGTTCTCAAGAAGACACATTTTGATACAGGCAGTAAAAACTGATACTTATCCTCTCTCATCTTAAAGCATAATAAATGTTATAATAAAAGCATGCATAAAATGCCATTGGAGAATGAAGGGAAAGAGGATAGTTCTGTGCGCAGAAGATTGCTGAAGACTTTACAGAGAAACTCACCTCTGAGGTACACTAAGACATCCAGTAGAGTCTTCCAGGAAGGGAAAATGGAGGAAAGGAGAAACCAATATTGGAAAATACTGGATGTTTGTGATTTATCTAAGTTCTGCTATTCTTTCGGCACAGATTTCTTCTGCTCACACCTTCACCATCAGAGAGAATAAAAATTAAGAACCTATATTACAAAGCATATGACAGGTTATTCTTATTTATTTATATATTGGTGTGCTATGAGTGTTAACATTAAAGAAGAAAACCTGCTGTTATTCAGCTTTAAAATGCATTTAAGTGGAATCTGATCATCTAGAACAGAATGGGAGGACATGGAGCTTCACTCAGGGGTCAGCCCTTTTACAGTGATGGCCAATGTCCAAACAGTCAGCAGAAGTGTACACTGATCTTCTCACCTAGGTACTCCAGGGCCTGTGCTATGGTCTGAATGTGCCACCTCCAAAATTCAGATGTTGATAATATGATAGTCATAAGAGATGTGGCCTTTAAAAGGTGATTAGGCCCTGATAGCTCCTCCCTCATGAATGGGTTTAAGGTGCTCTCATTAAAGGGCTTGACAGACAAAGTTTACTTCTTTTCACCCTTTCACCTTCTGCCATGTGATGATACAGAGTTCCTTACCTCCAAAGTATGCAGCATTCAAGGCACTTTTTACCAGCAGTAGTTGGACACTCACCACAAGGTGAACCTGTCAATGCCTTGATCTTGGACTTCCCAGCCTCCAGAACTGTGAGAAATAAATTTCTACTGTTTATAAAGTACCCAGTCTGTAGTATTCTGTTACAGCAGAATAAAATGCACTAATGTGGCCTGAAACTAAGGGACTTATGGGGTAATTCAATGGTACTTGCAAAGCTGAATGGTTTGGTTGAACCTTTTGTTTTTCACAGGTCTTCTTGGTTTTCAAAGACATCGGTGCTCATAAAGCATCCTTAAAGTTGTAAATGGTAATTACAGATGGGGCTTCTTTTCTAAGCTTACAGATGTGTGGAGATAACATTCAGCTCAGATATTTAGAAAACAGGATTTTGCATATAATATAGGACAAAATGACTTAAATAAATGAAAAACTGCCGTTCCCCTCCCCATCCCCAAATATCACTCTGAGATAATTAAGACCTTAGGAATACATCTCTATAAATTTTAATTGTATGGCATCCAATTTTTGCACTTATTGGAAATGAGAGTTGTGTCTATTTTATCAGCCTTATGCCATTTGGATAGGAATAATGAACTGGCAATATAATAGGAAAATTGACATCCCTTCTCTCAATGCAATTGTTACTGTTACATTTCTTAAATTCTAGTCACTTGAGAACAAGTCAGCGCTGCAGGGAGCAGCTGATTTTATGGACCAGTCATTTGCATAGTTGATTCCAAAGAAAGAGAATTGTAGAATGTTTGAATCAGAAGAAGGTTATATAAATAAGACTCTATAGATTGCAAATGGCAGAAAATCTCACTAGTTCTATCTCAGTCAAACAGAGAATGTATTGATTTTGTCATGGGAAGTCTAGAAAGCTGAATTACTGCAAGGAAGCTTTCAGTCATGCCTGGTAGGTCCTTTCTGTCTGATGTCTGGTCCCCCAATGAGTCGGGTTGACTCCGTTCTCAAAGACACTTGCAAAAATGATAGCACCCAGATAGCTGCAGAAGTTTCAGCTATGTATTCACTGAGGTTCAAATCCATCAGCACAGAGGTCCTGCCTCTCTTTTCCCTAGCATCTCCTGTATAAGACGATGTCATTGGCTCTGACTGGATTCTTACATCCAATATAACACTTAATCATGTGGCCCAGGAAACAGACTTCAGGTGCAAGCCATTTCTGGAGCCAAGGTTGAGGTTATTACCATAAGCCCTATTAGGACAGCGAATTCCAAACCCATAACTGAGTCTTATGAAAACAGCACTGCCTGTAATGTTGATGAAAAATATCAAAAGCATTATGAGGCCTTGAAGACTGCATTAACAGTTTGATTTCCAAACCTTGTCTGAGAGACTGCCAAATTGCTTATTTTCTCCATTTCTCTCTAACATTTTGTCACCTCACAGGCTTTCCAGAATTCCAAGAAGGAAAATAGAGCATATAAAGTCTGAGACACTCTGCTCAAATATTGAACATCAACATCAGCAGAGTACTTGCAACTCTGCATACTACTCTCTCCTTACAACCATCTAGACAGTCCAGGAGAGTGGGTAACAGACTACGGCCTGTGGGCCAAAGTAAGTCCTGTGTATTAAGAAGGGTTTTCATATTTTTAAGTGGTTAAAAAATAATTAAAGGATTTTTTACTGTGTCTCATGACACAGGAACATTATATGAAATTCAAATGTCAGTGTCCATAAATAAAATTTTTATTAGAACACAGCTACACTGATTTATTTTGGTATGGTTTGGCTCTGTGTCCCCACCCGAATCTCTACATAATTCCTACATGTTATGGGAGGGACCTGGTGGGAGATGATTGAATCATAGGGGCAGGTCTTCCCATGCTGTTCTTCTGATAGTGAATGTGTCTTATGAGATCTGATGGTTTTAAAAACAGGAGTTTCCCTGCACAAGCTCTATTCTCTTGTCTGTGGCCATGTGAGACATGCCTTTCACCTTCTGCTATGATTGTGAGGCCTCCCCACCCACACAGAACTGTGAACCCCAATAGACTTCTTTCTTTTGTAAATTGCCCAGTCTCAGGTATGTCTTTATCAGCAACCTGAAAATGAACTAATACAGTAAATTGGCACCAGTAGAGTGGGGCATTAATGAAAAGATACCTGAAAATGTGGAAGTGATTTTGGAACTAGGTAACAGGCTTGGAGGGCTCAGAAGAAGACAGGAATATGTGGGAAAGTTTGGAACTCCCTAGAGACTTGTTGAGTGGCTTTGACCAAAATACTGATAATAATATAGACAATGAAATCCAGGCTGAGGTGGTCTCAGATGGAGATGAGGAACTTGTTGGGAACTAGAGCAAAGATGACTCTTGTTATGTTTTAGCAAAGAGACTGGTGGCATTTTGCCCCTGACCGAGATCTGTGGAAATGTGAACTTGAGAGAGATGATTTAGGGTATCTGGGGGAAAAAAATGTCAAAGCATTCAAGAGGTGACTTGGGTGCTGTTAAAGGCATTCAGTTTTAAAAGAGAAACAGAGCATAAAAGTATAGAAAGTTTGCCACCTGAAAATGTGATAGAAAATTCAAACCAGCTGCAGAAATTTGCAGAAGTAATGAGGAGCTGAATGTTAATCCCCAAGACAATGGAGAAAATGTCTCCAGCGCATGTCAGAGGTCTTCACAACAGCCCCTCCCATCACAGGCACAGAAGCACAGGAAGAAAAAATGGTTCTGTGGGCTGGCTCAGAGTCCCCCTGCTGTGTGAAGTCTAGGGACTTGGTGTCCTGCTTACCAGCTGCTCCAGCCACGACTAAAAGGGGCCAAGGTACAGCTCAGGATGTGGCTTCAGAGGGTGCAAGCCCCAAGCCTTGGCGGCTTCCACATGGTGTTGAGCCTGCGTGTGCACAGAAGTAAAGGACTGAGGTTTGGGAACATATGCCTAGTTTTCAGAGGATGTATGGAAATGCCTGGATGTCCAGCAGAGGTTTGCTGTAGGGGTGGGGCTCTCACAGAGAACTCCTGCTAAGGCAGTGTGGAAGGGAAATGTGGGGTCAGAGCCCCGACACAGAATCCCTACTGGTGCACCGCCTAGTGGAACTGTGAGAAGAGGGTCAACGTCTTCCTGATCCCAGAATGGTAGATCCACCTACAGCTTGCACTGTGTGCCTGGAAAGGCCACAGACACTCAACACCAGCCTGTGAAAGCAGCCAGGAGGGGGGATATACCCTGCAAAACCACAGGGGCAGAGCTGCCCAAGTCCATGAGAACCCACCTCTTGCATCAGCATGACCTGGATGTGAGACATGGAGTCAAAGAAGATCATTTTGGGGCTTTAAGATTTGACTGCCTAGCTAGATTTTGGACTTGCATGGAGCCTTTAGAAACTTTGTTTTGGCCAATTTCTCCCATTTGGAATAGCTGTATTTACCAATGCCTGTACCCCATCGTATCTAGAAAGTAACTAACATGCTTTTGATTTTACAGGCTCATAGGCAGAAGGAACTTGCCCTGTTTCAGATGAGGCTTTGGACTGTGGACTTTTGAGTTAATGACGAAATGAATTAAGACTTTGGGGGACTGTTGACAAGGCATGATTGGTTTTTGAACATGAAGATATGAGATTTGAGAGGGACCAGGGCCAGAATGATATGGTTTGGCTCTGTGTCCCCACCCAAATCTCATCTTGTATCTCCCATAATTCCCATGCGTTGTGGGAGGGACCTGGTGGGAGATGATTGAATCATGGAGTGGATCTTTCCTGTGCTGTTCGGATAATGAATGGGTTTCATGAGGTCTGACGGTTTTAAATATGGGAGTTTCCCTGAACAAGCTCTATTCTCTTGACTGTGGTCTTGTGAGATGTGCCTTTTACCTTCCACCATGATTGTGAGGCCTCCCCAGCTACATAGAACTGTGATTCCAATAAAGCTCTTTGTTTTGTAAATTGCCCAGTCCTCGGGTATGTATTTATCAGCAGCATGTAAATGGGCTAGTACACATTTACATACTGCTATGTTTGTTTTTGTGCTGCAGTGGCAGAGTTGAGTACTCATAGGAGAGACCATGTGCCCAGCAAAGCTGAAAATATTTACCAGCAAAGCTGAAAATATTTACTATCTGGCCTTTTACAGAAAAGGTCTGCCAGCCCATGGTCTATTGCAGTTGTTCTCACATATTGGTCACAGCAGTCCCCAGGGGTGCTGATTCCTGGGCCTTCTCCACAGAGAGTTTGCTTCCAATTCAATACAACTGGGTTGGAACCCAGGAATCTGCATTCTAAATCCCCATGGATGATTCCATGTACATCTTCTGAAGCCAAGATTTCAGGAAAACCATGGCTTCCTCATAAAATACTCTAAGGAGAAGTATCTTACTATCATTTAGATTTTTCTTCAACACAGCATTTGTGTTAGAAGTCAACTTAAGGGCACTGACAATTATGAAGAAAGAAATAAAAGGCAAAGATTGTTTTTGTTTTAATAATACCATCCCCTCAAGGGGACTAGAAAACTACTGGCTTCTTTCCTGCTTCATTCAGAGAAGTTTCTAATGATGAGACCCAGACTGGCTGTGGTTTTCTAAATCAATCTTTTATGCTCCTTAAGAGCCAGAGGTTAAATAGAGACAAGAGATAACATATCGACCATGGACTACAGATAGTGGAGCTGAAGTAAAGCAAGTCAGTCATGAGAAAGCATAAGGGACCCCTGAGCTCAGCTTGCTTAGAAAATATGTCTAATCGGAGACCAGCAAGTCAACAGCCACCTGGAATAGGAATTGACTCAGTAGGATTTTAAAAATAGGTATCAATGGTGAGGAGAAGACTAGAGTCTGGAAAAGAAGAGCTCAAAAAATGCACCTTAGAAATAGACATTCCAGGCAGGAACACATCGTCTGTTCACAGGCAATAGTTAAGCTTCACCCGGAATTTTATTCACACATCCTCTCTTTCAACAAATACCTTGGCACTATGGGCCAGTACCTGAGCTACAGAATGACCAGTGAATAAGACAGACATGGTCTCTAGTGCTTAGATCATCCAGCTGCAAAGACAAACATTAACTGAGATACACTACACACACACATACACACACATATATATAAAATATTTCAGCAGCTCTCAAAGTGTGGTCCCTAGACCAGCTGCACATTACCTAAGAACTTGTTAGAGATGCAAATTCTCAGGTGCCACTCTAGATCAAGAATCAGCACTCAGAAACTCTTAGGGTGGGGCCCAGTCATTTGTTTTAATGAGCCCAGTAGGTGATTCTGACGCATGGGTCAGTGTTTTGGACCTCAGTTGCCTCATTTGGAAAATGGGGTTAATAATACTTTACTTACCTACAGATACAGCCTAGATTATATTGGGCATGAAATACTTGGTAGCAGCCCCAAGATGCTTCTTAACCAAGGCTGCATGGAGCATGGCTAATGGTGTCATACACAACTTTCCAAAGCCTCATAGAAGGAGAGATTATTTTCAATTCTCCTTGATCCTAAGAGCGTCTCCCTACCTCGGAGACTTCAAAACAGCATCCCATCGATGCAACACATAGAGATCACAGTCACGGAGCAGGACAACTCTGATCTATGCAGAGTAAAAACAGGAAGATGCCAAGCTGCTGCTTTACAATACCAGTCACCTGCTAAAAATACATTCAGAATCTTCTAGAACCATTCAGGAGCCCCTGAAGCCCAAAGCACACATCTCAGGGCATGTCGTATGAGAAAACAGTGATGCCATACTTCTGAGTTTTACTCCCTCACCATACAAGTTAATGGGAAGGTACTGAAGGCTAGACAGAACGCTTTACCTGGCAAACATCGTATTGTATTCTCCATAGGTGTTGTATACAAGTTGGTAGACTATGCTAAGTATGATTTTCCTCCCAAATTGACTCATTCTTATAAAATCCTTTGATTATGCGTGCAAAGACTGTAGGAGACACTGTTTATTCACCTCTCACATCCCCCAACCCACCTCTGAAGTCCCCTATTTGCACTGAGAGTCCCCCTGCCCCACCTCCTCAATAAGTGTCAGCCTTTCTCTGATTCTCTGTCTGGGAGTTTTCTGAGAGCTTTTGCAGCTCCTGGGCAGGACAGTTGGGCAGTACCTGGAATTTAACACCCCAGGAAGAACCCTCAGTTCTTGAGAAACAGGTATGGGTGAATACCCAGCCCAGCTTCCCCATCCCTCCATGTGGCTATTCCAAAGCACATTTTATAGGGAATCTCAGAGACGCCTGGTTGGATTGAGTCCTGGTTGTCCACAGCACTAACCAGTCATTGGCTTTTTTCCTTTTTCTTCATCTTGGAATCACTTCTCAGGTTAAGTACCTTCTTGGAATCACTTCCCAGGTTAAGTACCCACACCCAAGTCCCTGTCTCTGCGTGAGCTTTCAGAAGAATACAAGTTTACACAGATAGAACGCAGTGGAGCTGTGTTCTAAGCCCGGGCAATTCAACCCCACTGCCTATGGTTTTTCCACTGTGCGTACTTCCTCAGAACAGCAACTTGCTGAATCTGCAGAAGCAGTAATCCTTGTCCTACATAATCCAGGAGCTGAGAAGTTTGTCTTCAGTAATCTAGTCTTAAAAACTTTGTAAACTAGATCAGAACTCATTGAATCAAAGAATCAGAATTCATCAGAATACAATGAGTGCTTCATCACTAAAAGAGAAATCATATTTTTTTTTAAATTTATAAAACTACTGAGATGCTTCAAACATAAGAATGCCTCTATGTCATCAAACCAGCCCACCAACAAGAGCACTCTTTTGATGCATGTCTCTCAGGAGACCAGCAAGCATTGCGAATGCATTCCAGTTGTTCAGAGATACCCAGTGTAACAAAGGAACATTCAATATTTCCACTCACTGAAACATTGCTGATTTTATTATGCATTTCTGCATTTCAAAGATAGCCATTTAAAAAGCCAACTGGAATTACATACATTTTTAAGGAGCGGCACTTCAGCTCATCTAAATACTTTTTATTGTATAAACCTATAAAGTAAATAGCAGATTTCAGTAAGCCGAATAATCCCAGAGGAAAGTGGCAGGAAGAAATAATGCTCTCAGCCATTCTCAGAGACAAGTAGTAGGGGATTAAAACGCCTTCTGAGATCCCTTCTGTCTCGATGATCCTATGATAAAAAGAGTTGGCGGGAGGGGGAAAAAGCCTCCATACCCTTCCATTAGCTCTTCTTTTCTTCAGAAATCTTTCATTCTGAGACAACGAATGTCATCGGACTACAATACGAATTATTTGGCTTAAAGTTGGAAATGGTGCACAGAAAAATGGGGAATGCAGATTCGCTCCTTTGAATATTTACTAATTACCATCTACATCATCACTGTTGAAATAGTTTAGCATTTAATTTTACTCCACCACATTATTTTTCTACATTAAATTCAATCTTACTTGGAGAGTTCTCTAACCAGGGTGATAAGAAACCAATTTGACTCATGTTGTAAGGTATCAGTTTTAGGTGATCTTTTTAGGTTGTATAAGCTTCCAGGGACACTATGTGGTGTTTGGAAAATAGGTGGAGAGCCTGTTCAATCATGGTCAATATCACTATGCAAATTGTTCAGTACAGAGCACTGCAGACAGACTAGTCCTTTATGCTTACTATTGCTCCCAGGGCCATTTCAATAAAGTTATCAAAGCCACACCTCTCACACTTTAGGCCCCCAGGCTCCCCAGGCCTGTGCAGCTCCTCTGAAGTAGCACTGTGGGAATGGGCACTGGTGCTCACCACTCCTAGACATAAGAAGCATTTTCGGCCGGGCGTGGTGGCTCACGCCTGTAATCCCAGCACTTCGGGAGGCAGAGGCGGGCAGATCACGAGGTCAGGAGATCGAGACCATCCTGGCTAACATGGTGAAACCCCGTCTCTACTAAAAATACAAGAAATTAGCCGGGCGTGGTGGCAGGTGTCTGTAGTCCCACCTACTCAGGAGGCTGAGGCAGGAGAATGGCATGAACCCGGGAGGCGGAGCTTGCAGTGAGCAGAGATTGTGCCACTGCACTCCAGCCTGGGTGACAGACCGAGACTCCGTAGATCAAAAAAAAAGAAGAAGCATTTTCCCACTGTGATGGTTAGTAGGTTAGTACTGTCAACTTGATTGGATTGAAGGATACAAAGTATTGATCCTGGGTGTATCTGTGAGGGTGTTGCCAAAAGGGATTAACATTTGAGTCAGTGGGCTGGGGAAGGCAGACCCACCCTTAATCTGGTGGGCACAATCTAATCAGCTGCCAACGAATAGAAAGCAGGCAGGAAAATGTGAAAAGGTGAGACTGGCCTAGCCTTCCAGCCTACATCTTTTTCCCCCGCTGGATGCTTCCTGCCCTCGAACATCGAACTCCAAGTTCTTCAGTTTTGGGACTTGGACTGGCTCTCCTTGCTCCTCAGCTTGCAGACAGCCTGTTGTGGGACCTTGTGATGATGTAAGTTAATACTTAATAAACTCCCCTTTATATATGTATATATATAGCCAATGCTAGCTCCCTTTTCTGGGGATAGGACTGAGTAGGTGAGAGAAGAAGTACAAAATCTTATTTCCTTCAACTCACTGCGTTCCACCTGCAATATCTAATAATAGTGAAGAATAATGCCTCATTTATTAATCATTAACGATGTGCTAGGATTTTGTAGATATTACCTCATTTAATGTATTAATTACTGCCAAAATAATATTATCCATGCCATTTTGCAGATTACAAACTAAAACGGAGAGAAACTGAAGGCATGTTCAATGTTGTATTGCTAGGAAGATCCTATGCTGGGATTTGATCACAAACTGCCCGATCATGGGTATTTTATTCTTACTGAGTTAGACAAACAAGGGCTAATAAAATTTTCTAAAAGGTATTAAGTACTGAGCACTTACTATGCCCAGATATTCTTCTAGACCCTGAAGATAAAATAGAATACAACTCTGCCATCTTTGTACAGTACCCAAGACAACACTTGAGGGATTTTTGAGAATTAAAATTGGAAGATTCTAATCAAAGAGCTGCAGAGTGCATCCCACATAAAGTCTCCTGTCAGGTATGGAGGATAGAAAAACACCAAAGGCAATGGGGAAATAAAAACTGGGAGAGTTCATTAAGATTCTATACCTAGAAACAGATGTATTAGAACCGAGAGGCAAAGATTTGACTCACAAACACAGCTATTCAGTTATTACCTTATATTTGGATTTTTTCTCTGGACATTAACAATGTAAAATACACAGTGTCTCTTCTCTTCTCAGCCTAAAACCCCACAACATCTTTTTCTGGTATTTAAAATTAAATGCAAATTCCTTGCTATACTAGTCTATTCTCGTGTTGCTATGTAGAAGGTAATTTATAAAGAAAAGAAGTTTAGTTGGCTGAGAGTTCCACAGGCTGTACAGGCATGGCATCAGAGTCTGTTTGGCTTCTGGGGAGGCATCAGGGGACTTTTAATCATGCTAGACTGTGAAGGGATAGAAGGCACATTATATGGTGAAAGCAGAAGGAAGAGGTTGGGGGAGGGAGTGTCACACTTTACCACAACCAGATCTTGCAAAGAACTCACTACCATGAGGACAGCACCAAAGTATGAGGGATCCACCCCCATGGTTCAGTCACCTCCTACCAGTCCCCACCTTCAACACGGGGGATTATAATTCACCACCAGTTTTGGCAGGGACACAAATCCAAACCCTATCACTTACCATGTCCTACCAGACACTCTATGAGTTAGTCTCTGCCTACCTCTTTCACATCAAGCATTATTTCCAACACTCAACCTCAATGCAGCTGCGTGTCTACACTGTTCCTGAAACATAGAAACTCATTTCCTCCTTAGGGCCTGGGTGTTTTCTATTTCCTCCATCCAGAATTTCATATCCTTTTTCTGCTCTTGGCCACCTCCTTCTCATCAGTTATATCTTAGCTCAAGTGTTAGAGAAATCTCTGTTACCCAGTCTATGATAATATCTCTCTACCTTCTCATGCATTCACTTGAAGAAGGTTGAACACTATATTCAAGCACTGTTCTAGGCCCCGGGGATAAAACAGGGAACACACGTGGTCAAATATTTGCCCTCATAACACTTATTTTCCAGCGAGAGTGTTGGACAATAGGCATGGAGGAGAGCCGTCGAGGAGTGATACTTTCATGGCTTTCTCCCCCCGGCTGTACGTCTGTACGGAAGGTCCCAGCTCCTGCTGGATAGTTCTCGCTACACAGCCATGTCCCAAATTCCCATCACCTTTTTTCCCCTTGATCCCCTCCCATTAACGCCAGGGTACTACTCTGTTTTCTCTATAACCTGCCTATGTAACCATAAAACCAGCTCAACCTGGTTCAACTTAGTGTGATAAAAGTTGTGAGTTGTTTTTCAGTTGACACGGACCCTAGGTTGCAAGTTACACAACTGAGCATGAACCAAGTGTGCAACCACATGGAACCTAAGTGCTCAGACCAAGGAACGGGGACCAAATTAAGAGGACACCACATGGCATAATCCATGATCCAATTAGATTGAGCCCTGGTGTCACCCCATGGGAAGATTCCAATCAGATTATACCTTGTTACCCTCTGCCTGTAAAACCAGCCCCAGACCTCAGACTGGAAAGACAGATTAGGGTGTTTGACTGTCTCCTTGCCAGTCAATTCACAATAAAGCTTTTCTTTTCTCAAAAGCTACTACCATGATATTGGCCGCTATGCGCATTGGGCAGCAAGACCACTGATGGCTTGGTAACAACTACACTTTTACAGTCACTTTATTCAAATCCTCAAATTACCCAATATATGAGTGTCAGTCCACTTTGTGTTATGAAAGGCCTCATAACAAGATGGTAATTAATCAGAAACCTGCAGGAAGTGAGGGAGAAAGCCAGAGAGGTCTCTGAAGAATAACTGAGGAAAACATTCTAGGAAAGAGGAATGGCAAATGCAAAGAGCTTCTATTAGTTTTGTAGTTCTGCATAACAAATTACTCCAAACATAGCGGCTTAAAACAACACACATGTAGCATTTCATGGTTCCTTACAGATTAGAAGTCTAGGCACAGTGCCACGGGGTTCCCTGCCCAGGGTCTCACATGGCTGAAATCAAGGTGTTGGCTGGGCTGCTACATCATCTCGGGCTCAGGATCGTCTTCCAATCCCACTCAGGTTGATGACAGAATTCAGTTCCTTGTGGTGATCAGAGCCATTTCCTTGATGGCTGTCAGTCGGGGGCTGCTCTCACCTACTAACAGTCACTTGCGTTCACTGCCATGCGGCCCCCTTTATCTTTAAGCTAGCAACAGAGAAATCCTTAAACATCAAATCCCCTTGTGCTTTGAGTCTGACTTTCTCTGCTCCTGACCACTAAACCCAGATTTAAAGTCTCATGCAATCAGGTAAGTTCCCTTCTCTCCTCTCCCCCAGGATAATCTCCCTGTTTTAAAAGTTAACAAATTTGAGACTTTAGTTACACACAAAAAATCCCTTCACAGCTGTATCTAAATTCATGTTCGATTAAATAGCTGACAGTTGGTGTGTGTACATCAGGGGCCAGGAACCTTGGGGGACAATTTTGGAATTCTGCCCACCACAGAGCCTAAGGCAGGAGCATGGCTGCTGTGCTTAAATAATTACAAGGATGCCAGAATTTTAGAGCAGCGTGGGCTATGACAGGTCGCAGAGGTGGAGGGATGGCAGCCAGTGAAGGGCCTTGAAGACATTGCTGGGACTTTGGCGTTTACTCTGAGATCAGAAGGCATTGGACTGAGTAGCATGATCTGATTCAGTGTTAGAAGTATTACTGTGGTTGCACGAAAATAGATCATAGGGAAGATGAGGATTGAAGCCAAGAAAACAGTTAGGAGGCTGCTGTGTCAACACTGGAGAAAGAGGATGCTGACTTAGACCAGGATGTTTATGATCACAGTTTAGAATGAGTCAGGTTCTGAATATATTTTGAAGGCAGGGCTAACAGGTTTTGCTAATAGATGGAATATGGGATTTGAGAGAAGGGAATCAAGGTTTTTCCTTTGTCGCACTATCACTCTCCTTAAATATTCAATTAATGTATTTCTCACTCTCTTAAAATACTTTATGTGCTTATTTAATTATTGTCTCTTGGCTCCTACTACAAAGTAAGCACCATTAAGTCAAAAACACTGTTTTGTCTACTCCTGCATCTACAGTCTGCTGCAGACTGTGGATGCATCAAAAGAAATATGACATTCAAAAGAAATATGTTAGATACATGAGTGAATGAATGCATGAATAAATGAAGCGACTTCTGCACTTCAGGCATTCATGTTCTTTTCACTAGTTATTTCAATATAGCAGTAATGGAAGGCAGACATCTCATTTAAGGACAGAAGGCAGTCTGTACACCCCAGGGGATCAGATCCAAACCTAACAAAGTATTTTGTTCCAGTGTATTGGTGTCATCTGAGAAGAATAACTGATTTTGTAAAATGTTTACTTGACATGTATTTTAGATTTGAAAAAAAATGGATCATAGGCGCTTCACATCCCATTTTTCTTCTTCCTTTTTTTTTTTTTTTTTTTTTTTTTACCACTGGGGGTTTCAGGAAAGAGGCTCAAGTTTTGTTTTGTTTTGTTTTGTTTTCTATTTTCTTTTTTATCTTTGTGCTTTTTATTTCCAACAGTCACAGTTTTCAGCTTTCAATTTTGTAGGCTTTCTGCAAGAGAGTTCTATTGCGCTCACTAAACATAATACAGTGCTAGGTTTCAAGATAATATTCACTTGGTTCAGTTCTTGGGCAATATAACCTTCATAGATGGCAGAATTTTATGAAAACCTAGCCCTAGTGCATTGAGAAAAGCATGGAGGTTGGAAAGGATGATGAGTTCAAAGAGGCTATAGACTCACTAAGGCAGTAGAGGAAAGAAAGCCTGATAAATTGTAGGGCTACTAGGCAGTATATGAAATCCAGCCTAAGCCGGGCGCGGTGGCTCATGCCTGTAATTCCAGCATTTTGGGAGGCTGAGGCGGGCGGATCACCTGAAGTCGGGAGTTCGAGACCAGCCTGACCAATATGGCGAAACCCCGTCTCTACTAAAAATACAAAAATTAGCCTTGCGTAGTGGCCGGCACCTGTAGTCCCAGCTACACGGGAGGCTGAGGCAGGAGAATTGCTTGAACCTGGGAGGCGGAGGTTGCAGTGAGCCGAGATCGCGCCACTGCACTCCAGCCTGGGAGACGGAGTGAGACTCCGTCTCAAAAAAAAAAAAAAAAAAAAAAAAAAAGAAATCCAGCCTAATAAAGCCTTTTAATTAGCAACACATGTGACTCATTAAAATTATGACATGTTTACTGTAAGGCTATTTGCAGTAAATATATAAAATGGATTATGGATAATGAAAAGAAAATGTGTACAATGTTTTTTGCTCATTTTCATTAAAATGTTAGTGTGATTTGTTCTGATGAAAAAATAGACACTGATCCAGAGGACAAAAGATTTACAGTCAGTCCAGAAGTGAAATAATACTAAAGTGAGTGAACATAGACTACCTGTCATTTGTGGAAGTAATCATTTGCTCAGCTTTCTGAGTGTCTAGTGATAAAGCAATTTCTCAGCTTCTTAAAATCCAGATGAATATAATGTTGACTTTTATACACAAACAGGTTAGAACATTTTATGTGCTTAGTTGCTAACCCATTTTCCGGCTTAACTGACCAAAGAGAATGTTTAAGTGATGCTGTCTTTAAAGCTGCATCAGTTCTATCCAAGGGTGCTAAAAGCTTTAGGTGCTTGGGTAGCAACAGATTAATAAGTCTCCTACCTGCACACAAGGAGACCTTGCCGCAGGCAGTGTCCTGCTCTTTGGCTCTGCAGGCCAGGAGCCTTCTATTATCTCTCTATGCATGTAGAGCTTGTATTCTCCTCTGGTTTGTCTTATTTTCTTAAGCCTTTGATATTAGAACATTAAGCTATGATTGTCGATTGTCCAGAGGTAGAGAAGAGATAAGGGGGTGAGGAGCGGGGGGAGTGGGGGAGAAGGGAAGAAGGAAAGAAAGAAGGAAGGAAGACATCTCGTGCCTGCCCTAAGTAATAACCAGGCTGAAGGTTGTAAGAATTTCAGAATACTCCCCTCCGTTTTGGATCAAGTTAGTTCATAGCCAACTAAAAAATTAAATCTCAAGGATGCATTTTGTGGAGGAATCTCGAATAATCGTTTTGTCTTTGGTTGTCAGGAGAAAGCAGAACAGGTGTATTCTTACGGATGTAACCCCCAAAGCCAACTTAAGAATAGTCAGGAAATGTGTCATCTGCAGACCTGCAGAGTTGTCAATCCCTTTCTAGAAAGCACCTGCAAGTATCTCACTGTGTAGTTCTTTGTACATTGCAAAGGTCACACAGTGAGAACTCACTGTGTTAAAAACAGACTCTTTTTAAGACACACAAAGATATATAGACATCCTGCCTGTGTGTTCTTTAAACACTCAGTGTGAATAAACCCTCGTAAGACTTGACTGGTGGGGAAGCCTCTACAATTGCCCTTGATGCCTGGAACAAACAGGGAATTACTACCTTACTCCTCCCTTATCCTTAGAAACCATTCATTTCCAAGCCCGGCCCACTTTATCTCCCAAGTGCATGTTTTCTCTTCTTCGTCACCAATGCCACTACCTTAGGTTAGTCCAAAGTTCTCAACGTCTGCCAGATGATACTCCTAAAACTTAGGTATATTTTTTCTAAATATATAAATATTTGCAATGTGTTTGGTTTCTTAGGTTCCACATTCTCCTGGTTTCTTTTCCCCAGTGAGTCTATCTAGATATCCAACATCGCCCCTAAAACTTAGTTTTCTTTCTCATTCTGCACCAGGCCTTTTTCTCTGACCTTATATATTTACTACTCTCAGGGCTTCTATTATCATCTTCTACATGTTGATAGTTCCTAGATATTTAGCTTTAGTCCATTTTTTTCTTGCTGAGTTCCAGATATATATATATTGAACTTCCAACTTGTCTCTATTGACTATAACTTGACATTTCTACTGGGATATCTTACAGAAAACTCAGATTCAGTATAACCCAAACTGTACCCATTATCTTATTTCCAGATCCAATCTCCTTCCTTCCTTCCTTTATTTATTTATTTATTTATTTTTTGAGATGGAGTCTCACTCTGTCACCAGGCTGGAGTGCAGTGGTGTGATCTCAGCTCACTGCAACCTCCAACTCCCCAGTTCAAGCAATTCTCCTGCCTCGGCCTCCCAAGTAGCTGGGATTACAGGTACTCACCACCACATCCAGCTAATTTTTGTATTTTTAGTAGAGATGGGGTTTCACCATGTTGGCCAGGACGGTCTCGATCTCCTGACCTTGTGATCTGCCCGCTTTGGCCTCCCAAAGTACTGGGATTATAGGCGTGAGCCACTGCACCTGGTCCCAATCTCCTTCCTAAGGAAGGGTTCGCCTTCAGTGGCATGACAACCTTCCCTGTTGCCTAGTCTAGAAACCCGGAATTTATTCTGACTCTTCATGTTTCCATCCTTGACATCTAACCCATCAAATAAAAATGCCCTACATATTATAACTCCAGATTTTAAACATGTACACTTTTATTCATCACTGTCACCATCCTCATACTAACCATCATGACCTTTGTCCAAGATTGTCTCTACAGCCATCTCACAGGGCTCCTGATTCTAAGCCTGCTCCATGAAGATTTATTCATCATCTTGCAGTCGTAAGAGTCTACATAGAATTATCTCATTATTCCCAGGGTGCTTCATCTTTTCAATGGTTTCCCTTTACCTTTGAGACGGCCCACTTTTCCAGGCTTATTTCTCGCCATCATCTCCATCCAGGCATCATCCTTCCCTTACTGAACTTCTTTTGGTTTTTCAAATGCACATACCATTCTCTTCCTCGCCTCTAGATCTTCACACCTGCTTCCCTTCTTAACTTGTACTCTCTTCCTAAATCTGCCTTCACCTGGCTCACTCCAATTTGTCCACAGGTTTCAGCTAATACTTCACTTCCTTTAGGACAAGCTTGTCCAACCCATGGCCTGCAGGCCACATGTGGCCCAGGACAGTTTTAAAGCAGCCCAACAAAAATTCATAAACTTTCTTAGAACATTATGAGATTTTTTTGCAATTTTTTTTTTTTTTAGCTCATCAACTATCATTAGTGTTAGTGTATTTTATGTGTGGCCCAAGACAATTCTTCTTCTTTCAGTGTGGCCCAGGGAAGCCAAAGGATTGACACCGTTTCTTAGAAGATCTTCTCTAAACTCTTTATTGGATTTTGTATTTGGTTTTCTATCCTAATCCCTTATCTATAAGACAAAGGCTGTATCTACCTTTCTTATTGCTGTGAACTCCGGAGTCTGTCATAATCCTGGAAATACAGTAGGAGCTTGATAAATGTTTGTTGAATTAATTAATCAATTAATTTATATGTTTGCTTTTCTATCTCTCGCATGAGACTCTGATATTTGTAAGGGCAAGTCTTCTAACTCCTAACTTTGGATCGCCAGTACCCTGTACCTAATGGACACTTGACACATATGGGTTAAGTGTACTAATTCATGGATGGATGGATAAATGGATGATCCTTACAGAAAATGCTATTTTGAGAAAATGTTACAAACAGTCTTTTGGAGATTTCACAGTAATGCACATAGACATTTACTGAAGTTTAAAAAGGGTCAGAGGAAGACAGGATAGCCATGAACTCTATCAAGAAATAAGCAGAGGAGAAAATATGCATATTTTCACCAACTAAATAACATATTTATGATGCTTTAAGATATGATAAAATGTATCTATTGTGAAATACATCTTGGGGATGATTCTTTAACTCTTTCAGGCCACTTTGGTCCTATGCCAAGTTGTCCTACACACACCTAGGAGAAAGTGGGACTTTGGTGAAGCAGTTTATTTCCTGTATTTCTAGCAAAAAAAGTGTTCAGCTTGGCAGATGAGGAAGGAAGGAGGAAGTAGTGAAGGAAATAGAGAGGGAAGGAAGGAGGGAATGAGGGAGGGAAGGAAGGAAGGAGGGAAGGAAGGGAGGAAGGGAGGGAAGAAGGAAGGAAGGGGGAGGGAGGAAGGAAGGAAGGAAGGAAGGAAAGAAAGAAGGGAAGGAAGGAAGGAATGAAAAAAAGGAGGGAAGGAGGGATCAAGGGAGGAAGGAAAATTTATCCTTAATAGGGGAGTTTAATATTTTCCCCAGAATATCAGTTCTAATTCATGATATTAACATCTTTTCGTTGGTTTTAAAAATCAGCTAAACCTGGTCCAATTATTTACTGTCCCAGACTTTTTGTCCAAGCTTATTCACCAAATGATGTCTGGGCTCTAATGGCAAGTGTCCCAAGAAGAAGTTCAGGAGAAAGCTGTATTACCCTTTATGTCCTAGTGTCAAACATCATACCTAGTGTCAAAAAAGCTACTTCTGCTTCACCTATTCATTGAGACATTGACAAAAGCCCATCTAGTTTCAAGAGAAAAGGATAGAGATTTCATGTCTTGATCGAGAAGTGCCAAAGTTTAGTTTTAAGAGAGGGCGATAGAGACTTCATGTCTTGATGGGGAAGTGCCAACACTTAGGAAAAAGGTGGATAATATTCCTCTGGCCATTTTTGGAAGATACAACAAACCATTATATTATTTTGATCACTGTAAATGTATAATAATACTTTTAAACAAGGATTCAAATGAATGATGCCAATATCTGACTCCGTTGACTATATGTGAAATGGTCAAGCTTTCATAGTGGCCCCAGGGCTGATGGTTTGGATCCTCTGAGAAAGTAGGTCATAGCTACCTGATTTATTTAGATTTTCCCAAACCAAATAGGAAATATCTATATTTCATTGCAGACAGTTCACTTCTAATCAGATATAACTTATGTACTAGAAACCTGGAACCATTTTGTAAGCAAAATCATTGGAATAAAACTGGCTAGTAAAGCTGGCTTATAACTGATCTTTCATGGTTAGAATTTGGAACAAGGGCACCTAGTAGGGATCTCCACAGTGCTAAAACAATCCACTGTGGATTCGGGAACATTAAGAATTGAGGGAAGATTTACTTTTGTTTTTACTCCTGCCTCCCCTGTTAATAGAATGACATACACTACACTGCCTGCTTTTCTCCTGCCATCTTCTCTTACGTAGAATTGATAAGCAGAGAACACAGGGTGAGAATGAACCTCCTCCTTGCCCCACAAAGGAAAGAAAGCACAGGCAGCTGCCAGAAAAGAGTAATAAAGCCTATCATTAGGTCTGCCATGATGTAGCTTGGCAGATGACCTCCTCAGAAGACAGACACATGAAACTGAAGCACGGAGACTCAGAAACTGCAGGGAGAAAAGAGACAGACATAGGAGACACAATGCTGAATGTGATAAGGAAAGAGGGATTGCATCGTCCTTGCCACAATCTTGATTATTTTATTGGTTCAAGATAGATAGTAAAAAGCTGAGATAGGTTTGAAAAAAAGTTATGTTTATCCCTAACCCTCTGGAAAAAAAATGTGTCATCTAACTGAAAGCTGTAACCTTTCTATTAGAGGAAGGTCAGTGTTATCAGAAGGGTAGACTGAAAAAAGTTCCTTTGTGAGTTAAATCTAGTTCAAGCGTATTTACAACTTTGCACAATTCATACTTTATCCATATTTCTTTACCACAAACTTGTCCAACCTGCAGCCCAAGGGCTACATGCAGCCCAGTGTGGCTTTGAAGGCAGCCCAACACAAATTCATTAACTTTCTTAAAATATTACAAAAAATTTTTTTAGCTCATCAGCTATCGTTAGTGTTAGTGTATTTTATGTGTGGCCCAAGACAATTCTTCTTCTTCCAATGTGGCCCAGGGAAGCCGAAAGTTTAGATACCCCTGCTTTACCACATAGCCTGTCCTGCAGAACATCAATTTCCTTCATTTTCTGTATCCCAAGGAAAATTGGAAAAGGCCATCTAGGTGACGATGTGGGGACCTCCAACCTTGTAATATTCTCCATAGAAGCTGTGAGGTGTCGAGGAGAGAAAACTAGTGGGAATATTACAGTTCTAATTTGGATACTGGTTCCTGCTCCCTCTCAACTTCTCCTTGGCCATATGTAGACTCCAGGGCTTCTTCTGAATACATCCGGCTGTCCTTCTTGAAAGAAATGAGTCCTCTGTGCTCATTAGGAACCCACTTCTCATTCCACTCTCTTCCCACGTGGTTTGGGTGGGGGCAAGATCGCCGATGGATGTGTAAATCAGTAATTAGTTGTAGGTTCAGTATTTAACCCAAGTACTTCAAATCAAAGCTAGTAATTTTACTTTCTAGAGTAAATGTTTAATTTGATGCTGTGAAGATGTAAACCTGGAGCTGCCAGAGAACTAACAAAAACAGATGAGAGAGAGAGAAAGAGGCCGAATTCTGATGACACCATTTGAGCCTTTGAATCCAACTAGATTGAAATCTGCTCCTTAATTATGCATTCTCATCGATTCCCCTTTTACTGATGAATTGTTTTATCCTATTATTTGTTATTTGCAAAGCAAATTACAGCCATGCCTACTTTGATGGGATCAGATTTGTTGGCTTCTGTGCACAACTCCAGCTCTAACATGCTGTTCATGATCCTACTATAAGTACATCGGATCTGATCCCAATTCTACAGTTGAAAGTATGATGATAGCAGCAACAGGGTTAGTTCTTTTCTACACTCAACTCAGGTCTCAGCTTTGTCAACTGGACAATTCAAAGTTGGGAACAAGCTTTATTCCTAACTGCTTTTCAATCTTAGGCAATAGTGGGGGTAACAGTGACCACAGGAAAAACAAAAAAAAACTGATGCCAAAAGATGATGGAGACAACTTTTCTAATTGTTTATTGACTATCGTAGCTAACTTTGGAAATCAGATGCCATATTGAGAAAAGTATAGAGTTTAAAATTCTGTTCTAATCCTGATTGCAGATTCCCAAGCTATGTGAGCTAGGTCAAGTTACTTAACATAAGTTTCATTAATATAAGGGTAAAAACAGTATTATAAATTATTAATTGCTAAACATTAATGGTAGTATTACTACTAATACTAGTAATATCCAGTTCATTCTGACCGTCTCCCTTTTTGTCGTCATTTCTCAGGTGTAGAGAATGCTTTATATTTTTATCAGTCTTGGGAGGAAAATGTTGTCAGTAGAGTGAAAGCCAACACTAAATTCATGACGAAAAACACCTATATTTCTAGCTATTTGTTCTAGTATAAGTAAAGTTTTATTCCTCTCTCTATTACCTATCACTATCTTCAGAATACTGTAATACTTTAAACCTTAATTAAATTATTTTTATGGAATTTTGCAATGTTCCTGAGAATCAAATGTATCTACAAGGTCACATAACCTTGGAGGCGGACACTTTTAAAAAATTTAAGTAGAATCATGCATCTGGGCTGCACAATGGCTGTGGTACCATTTGCTGAGGAAACAATAAATTAAAAGATTATTATATGACATCATAAAATCCAGAAAAAGAACAAGACTTTTATCAGAATAGCTTAGAGACAGCATGACTCCATATCTGCTAAATTCATGTCCAAAGAGCAAATCATATTCTGTTTATGCAATTGCTAGCTAATGAGAGGACCAGATAGGATTTATTTTTTGTAACACTCTGTCTTTTTATATTTACTTGATTGGAGAGTAATTTTAAAAGAGCCAAAGATAATTAATTGCTCTGAGTGGGTGCACTGTATATGATTGAAGCAAGGAAAAAATAACTGTAGGCAGCCAGGATCTGAAGGAGAAGGAATAAGTATTTGTATTAGTCCCCTCAGTGACTTTGGGAGTGTGCATGGTAACCTCTGCTGGTGCACTGTGGACGTGGTGTAAATCATAAGCAACATGAGTTACTTTACTCTCCAGATCTGAGACACAACTGCCTGTGCTGATGTTGTCACCAAATAACACTCTCAAAACCTCACACTTACCAATGAGAAGCCAACCCAGTGACCAATATCCTTTTGATGATAGTTTTCTTTTTACTTTTTTACTATAAGTAAGTTCAATCATTCAAGAAAGTAGTTTTTAAATAAATGATGAAATTGTATTTAAAGGTCATGGGTCTGTATTCATCTGATAGTGTCAACTCTATCAACAAATCATACCTGCAGCTGCTTAGGTCTGTAGATGGTGCAAAGCTAATTCTTGGACGAAGACTTCTGATTTATCACTCTTCCTCTAAATCTCCTGTAGGGAGGGATAGAGATTAGGAACGATAATCAAAAAGTGAGTCTTTTCTCATCCCTTTCTGTAACTCCACATATCTAATTTATCCAACAAATCCTCCAAAAAAACATCTCACACCCTTCTATTACCCTGAACTTCAATATTAATTCACGAGTGCCTGGCTCTGTCCTTTCTCGGTGACTCCACTCTTGCCAAATTTCATTTTTACACATTTTGTTTAAAATCTGAACTCCTTTCTATGACCTCTAAGGCGCTTATGTGGTCTGGATCTTGCTTCCCTTCTTTCCTCATCCTATCCTTAATTTCTAACTAGCTTATACCCTTCCTCTTGTCTCTTCACATGACTGATTACCTTCTCCACCTTCAGGACTTCCAAAATGCTTTCTTTTCAGGGGCGCTTTCCCTGATCTTGTCTCCACAGCAAGCCAATGTGCTCTGTCAGTCTTCCTCACTCGGGTGGTGGCAGAGGGACGGGGTCAGGATCTTTTTTTTCTCAAAAAATTCTCTCACATGTGAGAGGCAAATCTTCTCACACGGATTTGGCAAATTCCTTGGACTCTATAACATGCTACCACGCTCCATTCAGAAAATCAAGACAACTTGCTGGTGGCTGATTGTATCTCAGTCTCCTTGCTCTCTCTCTCCCCATGTGTACACCTATTTGAGAGAGTCTCTTCCTGCTGTGAGACATCAAGACAGCCACTGGGTCCTATAAGAGAGAAAGATTAGAAATTACGAAAGAGTGATGTGTAAGAATAATAGTAAGTAATTAACAAATAGTAACATGTCAAGAAGAAATATGGTCTGTGCATAGTGAAGTCAGGAAATGCGATATATATATCAGGTTTTCCTGTGAATAGACTCTCTAGAATGTATTGATTGGAAATAGACAATAAGCTAAAATGAAATTCAGAGTCCAGATACTTATTTCATGAAGAAAAATACTGTTTCCTGGATGTTTGGGATATTTACATGCAAAATGTAAAAACAGTAAAAAAAATTGACTACAAATTTCCAATATATGTATCTAGAAAAAAAAACAAAAGAAAAATCTAAGTTCAATTCCAATCCAAACAATGATAAGCCATCCAGTATTGGTTAAAAGGTATTAGTGAACATTTGCTTAATACATTTGCCAAAACTTAAAGAGTAATAAACTCCAACTACAATATATTATGCAATTTGTCCCTTCCTGAAGAGAATTATATGAACAAATGGGGAGGGTACTTGCTATAAGCAGATTTTCAGAATGGATCTTGAAGTTTCTTGGCAATGCAATCATTTATATTTATGAAATTCTAACTTCTATATATGAGATTTTCTTTAAAGGAACACAATACCACTAAGAAAATTCCATTTTTGTTTCTTAGGCAAGTATTCAAATGAGGGGAGTGAGTAAAAGAGATTTTCTAAAGGCTTTGAAATACTGGGACTTCTATTTTATTATAGGGTGTTACTCTTCAAGAAAAAAGTGACCATGTGACACATTTTCTTCATTTAAAATGAGCTCATCACCGAACATAATTATTTAGTGAAGACTATTAGAACCTGCCATCTGATATCCAGGGTGAGATACTGCCCTGATTCACAAAGGTTTATCCATACTGAAATGTTGACTGTGTGGAAGATGTCAGTGCATCAAATGCCACACTCCTTTTTCAGTCTTATCTAGGCATACCCTAGATTCAGCTCTAGGAAGCAAATAATAAGGGAACAAGCGATGACTTAGGGAGTGAAGATACTAGCTTGTTCTTACAAAGTTAAGTTCAGGCTTTCTTCTACCTGGGCACACTGAGTTTAGAAAGAACAGAAAAATTAAATAGCATAACAGCACTGGTGAAAATGCCACTTAGGTTTGCCGCCCAAATATGTAAATAACCTTTAGGAATTCACTAGATAAATAATTCTATTAAATGAAGGATCAGTAGTGCCTAGAACACACCAGGTATTTAATATTTTTTTCTTATTTGCTTGATCATATTTCCACAGCATGTGCTATATCCTGCTCCATTTTACCCGTATACACAAAGAATGACCGGCTCCATGTAATTGTTTTTAATATCAAATGACTTAACAAAGTGAAAGAGGAATAAAATGAGTGCTTTGCTTCATTTCATTAATTCTCAGAGGGTGCTATTTATATCCCCAGTGATACACACTGTTTTTATGTAGAATATTGGGATTTTTAATTTTAATAATAGATTAGAAAAATATATAACAGCAATCTATACATATTACTGCAGCTTAATTTTAAAATAAATCCAGATAAACCCCCAAAATGAGTCAGTTTAAAGAATAATATTACCTTTAGTAGAGATAGTATGCAGAACCAGTAATAACTGTGGTGGTGGTATGTAAATGACTGAAGTTGGAAACAATGGTTTAGTGGAAGCAAGTAAGGAAAGATCAGGACCTAGACAATAACCACAGTTTTAGATGGCATTCAGCCAAAAAGTTCCAGCTTGTGACAAGTAGAAGCAAGTTTGGGTAGAAACTTAATAAACTGCTGAAATCTTTGAATGAAATCTTGCCTAGCAACCTGCAGAGAATTTCTTTCCATGAGGATGATTTCACCATGACATTTTCATCACGCGCACAAAAAATAATGGCAAGGCTGGGCGTGGTGGCTCATACCTATAATCCCAGCACTTTGGGAGGCCGAGGCAGGCGGATCACTAGGTCAGGAGATCCAGACCATCCTGGCTAACATGGTGAAACCCCGTCTCTACTAAAAATACAAAAAATTAGCTGGGAGTGGTGGCAGGCGCCTGTAGTCCCAGCTACTCGGGAGGCTGAGGGAGGAGAATGGCGTGATCCCGGGAGGCGGAGCTTGCAGTGAGCCGAGATCAAGCCGCTGCACCCCAGCCTGGGCGACAGATTGAGACCCTGTCTCAAAAAAAAAAAAAAAAAAAAAATAATAATAATAATAATAATAATGTCAAGTACTTTTTTTCTATGTCAAATCACCCCCACTCTTTCTTTCTTCTTCCTTCTTCCTCTTTTTTTTTTTTTTTTTTTTGACAGAGTCTCACTCTGTCACCCAGGCTGAAGGATAGGGGCGTGATCATGGCTCACTGTAAACTAAACCTCCTGGTTCAAGCAGTGACCTCACCCTTCCACGTGCCTCAGGCTACAG
Organism: Homo sapiens; assembly: GCF_000001405.40. Lineage (NCBI taxonomy): Eukaryota > Metazoa > Chordata > Mammalia > Primates > Hominidae > Homo > Homo sapiens. The sequence continues at coordinate 5,960,297 of NC_000003.12, read as the reverse complement.
GCAAGCACCATTATGCCTGGGTAGTTTTTTTTTTTTTTTTTTGAGACACAGGGTCTTGCTATGTTGCCCAGGCTGGTCTCAAACTCCTGGCCTCAAGAGAAAGAATGCAAATAAAGTTATACATGAGAGAGGAGAAATTATACCTGGTACTAAAGAAATGTACTGGCTTATAAGAGATTATTATGAAAAATTATACAACAGCCAACTGGATAACCTAGAAGAAATGGATGAAGTCCTTGATACATACAACCTACAAAGACTGAGTCATGAAGAAAGAGAAAATTTGAGCAGACCAATAAGAAATAAAGAAGTCTGAATCAGTAATCAAAACACTCCCAACAAAGAAGATTCCAGGACCAGATGGTTTCATGGGTAAATTCTATCAAACATTTACAGAATTAATGGTAAGCCTCAAAATTGTCAAAAAAAATGAGACGGAGGCAACGATTTCAAACTATAGGCTAGCATTACTCTCACACAGCCATAAGCACACTACAATAAAATAAAATTTCGGGTTTACATCACAGATGAATATCGATGCAAAGATCTTCAACAAAATACTAACAAATCCAATCCAAGAGCAAATTAAAAGAATGCTACAACACGATCAAGCGATATTTATCCCTGAGATGCAAGGATGGTTTAATGTATGCAAATTAATAAACATAATACACTACATTAATAGAATGAAGAATAAAATCATGATTATCTCAATAGGGACAGAAAAAGCATTTGAAAAAAATCAACATTCTTTCATGATAAAAACACCCAGTAAACTAGGAATACAAGGAAATTACCTTAGCATAATAAAAGCTATATATGACATGCTATTGCTAACAGTGAAAAGCTGAACACTTTTTCCCTATATCAGGAACATGTTACTAGAAGCGCTCACCACCACAATTAGGCAAAACAATGATGTAAAAAGCATTTAAATCAGAAAAGAAGATGTTAATGTCTCTGCTGGTGACATGATCTTACATGAAGAAAACCCTAAAGGCTCCAGTAAAAAGCTATTAGAATTAATCAACAAATTCAATAAAGTTGCAGGTTACAAAATCATCTTATAAAGACCAATTGTATTTCTACACACTAACAACAAACTACTCCAAAAATAAAATCAAGAAAACAATTCCACTTCTAATAGCTACACACACACACACACACACAAATGGCACTTTGTAATAAATTATCCAAGCAGGTAAAATTCCTGTACACTGAAAACTATAAAACATTGATTTAAAAAATTACAGATGACACAAATACATGGAAAGATAGCCCTTGTTTATGAATTGGAATTATTAGCCAGGTGTGGTTGCACATGCCTGTAATCCCAGGTACTTGGGAGGCTGAGGCAGGAGAATCGCTTGAACTAGGGAGGCAGAGGTTTCAGTGAGCCAACATGGTGCCACTGCACTCCAGCCTGGGCAACAATAGCAAAACTCTGTCTCATAAAAAAAAAAAAAAGAATTGGAATTAATACTGTTTAATAGAGTTAATAATGTTAAAATGTCCATAGTACACAAAGCAATCTAGAAATTTAATACAATTCCTATCAAAATCCCAATGGCATTTTTACAGAAATATTATAAATAATCCTAAAATTGACAAGAAATCTCAAAAGATCCTGAATAGCCAAAGTAGTCTTGAGAAAGAAAAGTAAAGCTGGATGCATCACCTACCTGAATTGAAACTGTATTACAGAGATATAGCAATCAAAACAGCATGGTGTTATCATAAACACAGACACATAGACCAATGGAACAGATTAGAGAGCCCAGAAGTAAACCTACACATATATGGTCAACAAATTATTGACAAGGGCACTAAGAACACACAATGGCAAAAAACAAAGTGTCTTCAATAAAAGATGTTGGGAAAACTGGATAGCTATCTGCATGCAAAAGATCGAATTGAACCCTTATCTCACACCATGTACAAAACTTAACTCCAAATGGATTAAAGTCTTACAGGGAAGACCTAAAACTGTAAACCTCCTAGAAGACAACAAAGGGGAAAAACTCCCTGACATTGGTCTTGGCGATAATTTTTTGCGTATGGCACCAAAAACACAGGAAACAAAAGCAAAATCAAACAAGTAAGACTACAAGAAATGAAAAAGCTTCTGCACAACAGAGGAAAAAACCAAGAAAATAAAAAAGATAACCCATAGAATGGAAGAAAATATTTGCAAACCATATATTCAATAAAGGATTAATACTCAAAATATATTTTTTAAAATTCATATAACTCAATAGTAAAAAAACCAAATAACTTAACTAAAAATAGGCAAATAAGCTGAATAAATATTTTTCCAAAGAAGACATAAGAATTGATATGTAGAGAAGTGTTCAATTGTGAATGATATTTTGTTCCTGATTTGGCTGTCAGCTTCGATGTTGTTGGTGTATAGGAATGCTACTTATTTTTGTACATTGATTTTGTATCTTGAAACATTGCTGAAGTTGTTTATCAGATCAAAGAGCTTTTGGGCAGAGACTGTGGGCTTTTCCAGATATAGAATTATCTGTACACTGGGATAGTTTGACTTCCTCTTTTTCTATTTGGATGTTGTATTAGTCAGGGTTCTCTACAGGGACAGAACTAATAGATGCTTATATAAAGGGGAGTTTATTAAGGAGCATTGACTCACACGATCACAGGGTGAGGCCTCACAATAGGCCCTCTGCTAGCTGAGGAGCAAGGAAGCCAGTGCGAGTCCCAAAACCTCAAAAGTAGGGAAGCCTACAGTGCAGCCTTCAGTCAGTGGTTGAAGGTCCACGAGTCCAAAAGCTGAAGAACTTGGAGCTCGATGTTTCAAGGCAGGAAGTATTCAGCATGGCAGAAAGATGTAGGCCAGAAGACTAAGCCAATCTAGTCTTTTTACCTTCTTCTGCCTGCTTTTATTCTGGCAGTGCTGGCAGCTGATTAGATAGTGCCCACTCAGATTGAGGGTGGGTCTGCCTTTCCCAGTCCACTGACTCAAATGTTAATCTCCTTTGGCAACACCCTCAAAGACACACCCAGGAACAATACTTTACATCCTTCCACCCAATCAAGATGACACTCAATATTAACCATCACAGATGCCTTTTGTTTATTTCTCTTGCCTGATTGCTCTGGCTGGGACTTGCAGTACTATGTTGAATAGGAGTGGTCATAGGGGGCATCCTTGTTTTGTGCTGGTTTTCAAGGGAAATGCTTCTAGCTTTTGCCAGTTCACTGTGATGCTGGCTGTGGTCTTGTCATAGATGGCCCTTAATATTTTGAAGTGTGTTCCTTTGATGCCTAGTTTATTGTCATAAAGACATGTTGAATTTTATAAAAAGCTTTTTCTGTATCTATAGAGATAATCATGTGGTTTTTGTTTTTAATTCTGTTTATGTCATGAATCACATTTATTGATTTGCATATGTTGAACCAACCTTGCAGCCAAGGGATATAGCCTACTTGATTGTGGTGGATTAGCTTCTTGATGTGCCACTGGAATTTTTTTGCTAATATTTTGTTAAGAATTTTTTTGTATCAATATTCATCAAGGATGGCCTGAAGTTCTCTTTTTCGGTCGTGTCTCTGCTAGATTTTGGTATCAAAATGGTGCTGGCCTCATAGAATGCATTGGGGAGGAGTACCTCCTCCTCAATTTTTTGTAATAGTTTCAGTAGGAATGGTATCAGCTCTTCTTTATACATCTGGTAGAATTCAACTGTGAATTCGCCTGGTCCAGGGCTCTTTTTTGGTTTGTAGACTTTTTATTACTGATTCCATTTTGGAACTCATTGTTGGTCTATTCAGGGATTCTATTCTGATTCAGTCTTGGGAGGTTGTATATTTCCAGAAATTTATCCATTTATTCTGGATTTTCTAGTTTGTGGGCATAGAGGTGTTCATGGTAGTTTCTGAGGATGTTTTCTATTTCTGTGGGTCAGTGGTAATGTCCTTTTTGTCATTTCTAATTGTGTTTATCCAGATGTTCTCTCTTTTTGTCTTTGTTAGTCTAGCCACTCGACCCTCAATCTTATTAATTTTTTTCACAAAGAAAAACTCCTGGCTTCATCGATCTTTTGTATGTTTTTGTGTCTCAATTTCCTTCCATTCAGCTCTGATTTTTGTTATTTCTTATCCTCTGCTAGCTCTGCGGTTGGTTTATTCTTGCTTCTCTAATTCCTCTAGTTGTAATATTAAAATTGTTAATTTGAGATCTTTCTAACTTTTTGATGTGAGTGTTTAGTGCCATAAACTTCCCTCTTAACAACAGCATACCTATGAATACAGCTAACCAGATAGGTAAAAGATCTCTACAATGATAATTACAAAACACTGCTCAAAGAAATCAGACATGATACAAAAACACGGAAAAACATTCCATGCTCATTTATAGGAAGAGTCAATATCATTAAAATAGTCATACTTCCCAAAGCAATTTACAGATTCAATGCTATTTCTACCACCAATGATATTATTCACAGAATTAGAAAAAAAATCTATCTTAAAATTCATGTGGAACTGAAAAATAGCCTGAATAGCCAAGGCAATTCTAATCAAAAAGAACAGAGCCGGAGGCATCACATTACTTGACTTCAAACTATATCAAAGGCTACAGTAATCAAAACATCATGGTACTGATACAAAGACTTCAAACTATATTAAAGGCTATAGTCATCAAAACAGCATGGTACTGATACAAAAACAGACGCATAGACCCATCGAACAGAATAGGAAGCCCAGAAGTAATGCCACACACCTACAATCATCTGATGTTTCACAAAACCTACAAAAACAAGCAACGGAGAAAGGACTCCCTTTTCAATAAATGATGCTGGGATAACTGGCTAGCCATATGCATAAGATTGAAACTTAACCCCTTCCTTACACTGTATATAAAAATCAACTCAAAATGAATTAAAGACTTAAACGTAAAACCTAAAACTATAAAAATAATGGAAGATAACCTAGGAAATACCATTCTGGACATAGGATCTGGTAAAATTTCAAGATGCAGATGCCAAAAGTAATTGCAACAACAACAAAACATTGACAAATTGGACCTACTTAAACTAAAGAGTTTCTTCACACACACACACACACAAACACACACACCACAAATCAACAGAGTAAACACACATCCTACAAAACAGGAGAAAATATTTGCATACTATGCATCTGACAAAAGTCTAATATCCAGAATCTATAAAGAAGTTAAACAAATTTACAAGGAGAAAACCAACCCCATTAAAAAGTAGGCAAGTGTCATGAACAGATATTTCTCAAAAGAAGACATACATGTGGCCAAGAAGCATATGAAAAAATGTTCAACATCATTAATCATTAGAGAAATGCAAATCAAAATGACAATGGAATACCATTTCACATCAATCAGAATGGCTATTATGAAAAAGTCAAAAAATAACATGCTGGTGAGGTTGTGGAGAAAGGAATGCTTATACACGGCTGGTGGGACTGTAAATTAGTTCAGCCAGTGTGGAAAGCAGTGTGGCAATTCCTCAAAGAACCTGAAACAGAATTACCATTCAACCCAGCAATCTCATTATTGGGTATATACCCAAAGGAATGTAAATGCTTCTAGGATAAAGACACATGCATGCGTATGTTCATTGCACCACTATTTACAACAGCAAAGACATGGAATCAACCTAAATGCCCATCAGTGGTAGGCTAGATAAAGAAAAAGTGGCACATATGAACCATGGAATACTACGCAGCTGTAAAAAAGAACAAGATCATGTTCTTTACAGTAACATGGATGAAGCTGGAGGTCATTATCCTAAACTGACAGTGGAACAGAAAAGCAAAAACCAAAAGCCAAACACTTAAGATAGCTTTTTTTCTAATTCTGTGAATAATATCATTGGTAGTTTGGTAGGAATAGCATTGAATCTGTAAATTGCTTTGGGAACTATGACTATTTCAATTATATTGATTCCTCCTATCTCACTTTTAATTGGAGCTAAATGAGAACACACGGACACAGAGAGAAACAACAGACACTGGAGCCTATTTGAGGGTGGAGGATGGGAGGAGGAAGAGGATCAGACAAAATTCCTGTTGGATGACAAAATAATCTGTACACCAAAATCCTGTGACAAAGTGTTTTACCTATATAACAAACCTGCACATGTACCCCTGAACCTAAAATAAAAATTATAATAAACAGAAAGGGGTTCAACATCACTAATCTTTAAAGAAATTATTAGCAAATCAAAACCACATGACATATCATCTCACACCTGTTAGGACAGTTACTATAAAATAGAGAAGAGATAGCAAGAGTTGTCATGAGTGTGGAGAAAAGGGCACTCTGACACTGTTAGTGGGAATGTAATTTGGCATATCAATTATGGAAAACAGTATGGAGGGTCCTAAAAACTAGGACTAAAACTACCATATAATCCAGCAATCCTGCTACTGGTTATATATCCAAAGGAAACGAAGTCAGTATTTTGAAGAGATAGCTGCAGTCCCATGTTTATTGCAACAGCATTCACCATAGCCAAGATATGGAAACAACTTAAGTTTCTATTGACAAGTTAATAAACAAAGAAAATGAAGAATTAAAAAAGAAGGAAATCCTGCCATTTGTGACAACAGGAATGAAGCTGGAGGACATTATACTCAGTGAAAAAAGCCAATTACAGAAGAACAAATACTGTGTCATCTCATTTATGATGAGATGATATTTTGAAATTTTAAAAAGTCAAACTCATAAAAGCAAAAAATAAAATGGAAGTTGCCAGGGACTGGGGGTTAGGGGAAGTGGGAGATGTTGGTCACAGGGTACAGAGTTTCAGTTAAAAGATGAATAACTTATGGGAATCTAAGTATACCTAATCTAATGGTGACTACAGTTAAAAATACCGATTGTGTACTTGAAATTTGATGATAGTAAATCTTAAGTGTTTTCACCACACACAGGCACACAAATGACAACTATGTGAGGTGACAGAGATGTTAATTATTTTCATTGTGGTAATCATTACACCATGTATAAATATATCAAATCACTACATTGTATGCCTTATATATAGACAATTTATGTTTATCAATTATACCTTAACAAAGCTAGAAAGGTTAAATAAATAACCATTTGAAAAATCCCTTAATTACAGCTTCTTATAATTCCAAAATAGGAGTGACACAATAAATTCGAAGTTTGCTTCAACATCTACTAACTTAATAGACCATTTAAGTATGTGATACATTTGCTTCCTTTATATTTGTCATTTTGAAATGAATTATGCTAAGTTTAATAGATTTGTGCGTCTCAAAGAAGCAGGTGGCTCCAGAGTTTGGATTTCTGATGAAGAGTATCTCAAGAATGTCACTGGGCATATAAAGCAGATTAAACACCTTGTTACGGCTAAATTCCTCTTCTGTGCCAAAGTCCCGTGGGCCTCCCCAAAGCCTTGCTGCACAGAAAAGGAAAAGTAGGAGAGTCTGGACGACATCGTCTGATAAAGGCTGCCAGTCAAGGGGACAATGGTGGACTCTTTCTTCCAAGCATTAACGAGAATGTTTTCAAACTTCCTCTGTACTTGTAGACAATTAAGGAAACTCACAGAATAACTGAGATAGAAAGTATTTAAAAAGCATGGAGTGTGATAGCATAGGAGAGGTAATTAGGAATTATATGTGTTATTTTGCAAATGAGAAAGTATAACTTTCTAAATGTCAAGGATAAAGATTTTTAAACAAAAGAAGGAGCAAGTGTATATAGACTGCTCTTCAGAGGATGAAGGCTGGAAGGCACTGCTTCTTTACTTTTTGTGCTTTTGAAGTCCTATATTCATTCACTGGCAGAAGATACAGGGCCCTGGATGTTCACTGGCATGTGCTTTTGGTGAATTTCATAGTCCTTAAGGGTGAATTAGGTGGTAGAGATGCCTCTGTTTAACTCAAAGTCTCTTTGTTTCTGTGAACTACACCTTGTAACACATTAACATTAAATATTATAATGGTTGCCTATTTGATTAAAATGCAGATTTCAGTTATGTTACAGATTTTTAATGATATCAAATAAAATCATAGAACAGGATTTCAGTTTGGGTCAGAGATTATTTTAAAATAAACTTCACAGTCACGAATTGCTCCATGAATATTTGAAGCAAGAAAGAAATGCCTTATTCTTCTTCTGCTCACAAACACTGGGCCAAGCTAAGTATAGAACAAATCAAGTATCTAGTAATCTGCTGGTGGGTTATTGGGGACAGTCTGATCAATCCATAAATACTTATTGAACATCTGTGAACTCCGAAAATTACCACAAATTCCTCAGAGAATTTTCTGAGACTGGGCATGGTTCCAGTAGGAAAACACATTTAGATATCAACAGTATCTTTTGTGCAGGGACAGTGGAAATTGTAGTTTCATTGTCATGAACTTGCTGTTCTTGTTCTAGCTATGTCAGTGATTTTCAACAATGGCTACACATTAACCTGGGAAGCTTCTACCACACTGATGCTCAGTCCCTACAAACTCTCCACTCACCAAAGACTATGATTTGATTGTTCCAGATACACCCAAGTATCAATATTTTTGTAAAGCCCCCCAGTATAACTCTAATATACAATAAGAATGATGAACCACTGTTAAAGATCATACAGAGTTCAGAAAATCTCCAGTCTTCTGGGAACAATTTAGGTCTTTTATAAGGTGTTTCCAGGAAGCTTCCCATATTATTTTAAACTCCTAGGAGACCACTGAAAAATAACCAACCATTTCAATGAACTTGGTAAATGTTACCTAGTTTCTGTCACTATATTTGTCATTTTAAAATCCTTATGAAAATAGAAACTAGTTAGCAGACACTGCATTTCCACATGTCCTCCCCACACTTTAAATGAAGAAAAGTCTCATTAGTGGTTCAAATTTTGTGCATTTATTAACCCGGCTTGCAAAACAAGTGAGTTATAATTCTAAGTGATGATTATTTCAAAATAGTAGTGATGCCTAAGAGCCTTTAAGGCAGCCTATTTTTTAATACACTCATTTAGCATTTACTCAATCTACTTTATTCTTCTGGGAATGCCACATCTCCAAAATAGCTTCCAGATTGTCTTAGGAAATTTGGAAATGATTTTAAAACAGACTTTCTTATGTGAAAATTACGTATTAAAATAGAAAAGGGAAAAGTCAATTCCAATAAAAGATGTTTTAATAAGTTAGTGAAAGTGTAAAACAGTTTCCAAATCTCTTATTTAGTGAAGCGATAACATTTACTATGATATAAACTCTCTCCCCTTTCCTGATCCCTCAACCCTGTCGGAATGCCTTGCAGAAAGCAATATGGAGGCCAGGCGTGGTGGCTCACCCCTGTAATCCCAGCACTTTGGGAGACCAAGGCGGGCAGATCACCTGAGGCCAAGAGATCGAGATCAGCCTGGTCAACATGGGGAAACCCCATCTATATTAAAAATACAAAAAAAAAAAAAAATAGGTGGTTGTGGTAGCAGGTGCCTGTAGTCCCAGCTACTTGGGAGGCTGAGGCAGGAGAATCGCTTGAACCCTGGAGGCAGAGGTTTCAATAAGCAGAGAGAACACCACTACACTCCAGCCTGTGCAACAGAGCGAGACTCCATCTCAAAAAGAAAAAAAAAAAGTAATATGGAGAGTGAGAAGCATAATTTTTGTCCTCAAAGACACCTACAGTTAGTATTGATTTTATACAAACTCCTCAGGGCTGTTTTCTGTCTTTGGAGTTGCTCACGGTTCCTACTTTACGTCAAACATCCTAACCACCTTGCATGCGATCACCCCTGTGCTTGGTGCTCAGTATTGAGAGATAAATAAGACATACCTGCTACCATTAGGTAGTTTATAATCTAACCCTTAAACTAGCTCTAGCAAATGTCCATTAAATATGCACACACACACACACACGCACACACACACACACACCTGACTCACCTTTCAGCATTAATGTGTGATCTATGTATGTTTAAAGATATTTGGATTTGTGTGTAAAGATATAATTAGATCATTTGCATTTTTCAAGTTAAGAATTTATATCAAAGATTTGAGTTGGAAATTAATTGAACAAAGAGGAAAGCACTTGAAAAACAGTGGTAGGGCTCCTCCAAATATAACTGTCTATCACAAAAAATATGTGCACTCATTGCCTCTTGATCCATAAGATGTATCCACAAGGGGAGAAACCACAGGGCTGGGCCTGTCATTTGGATGATTCATTGCATCATAGCAAATATTTTTTTACAGGTAATTTTTCTTTATTTTATAGGCAAGGAAGCTAAACCTCAGAGAAGTTGGGTGATTTATTAAGATCACACAGTTAAGAAGCCTAAACTATAAGCTAGGTCATTTCTGCAGATGTTGTGTGGGTGGTACCTCCACGGAGACTCACATAAAGGATGTGGCACCTGCCATGAGCCTTATAGCAAGTGCAGCAATCATATGCTCCTTTACTCCATGCCCCAATTAAAGTTTACATAAATAAAAAGCAATATTTATATTAATGATACATTAGCAGGAAAATAAGTATTCATCTCTAAATCTCCATAGGTTGTGTGTTTTATCTAAACTATTAATTTTGCTTAGGGACTATTACATGTGCTAATAAGGGGAGGCAGTTATTACCAAAGTTGATTGACTGTTAACGGAGGAGCTAATAAACTTTTCTTCATGCTGAGTTACTCATACTAAGTGGCCATTTATTCTAACTCTCTGAATACCTACGATGTCAGAATATAGTAGTACGATGAATCTTTTATTAGTAATTTTTTTTCTTCTTACATCAACATTTCTGATATTTTTGGATACAAATAAGAAATGGGCTCTGGCCTTATAATTTCCTTGGAGTCTTTAATATAACAGTAGCATAGGCCACATTTGAGTCGATACATAAATTTGGGTTTCATTTGTAGGGCTGTGTTTAACAGAACAAGACTGGCAGCTTGTTCCAGAATTTGCCAATCACATAAGTAGAAAAAGGGATCACTGTTACATAAACAAAATCACTGGTCATATATGGAGTAGATAACATCATATATGGGCCAGATAACATCACAAAAGTATTCAGCTTTCCAACGCCATCATTCAGTGTAGATCTTCAAAATCTGCAAACATGTTACTTCATCAGTCAACACCAGACTGAGTGAAAAGCTGCTGTCTCCTCCCTCCTAGTCCCCACTGAACAAAGAAGTTCTGGTAGGAACACTCAAAAACAGAGAGAATAATGCTGATATTTATAACTACCAATATTCTAACACTCTGACATGACTTAGCAGGCCTTACAGAGCCCCACCTTCTCTCCAGGGCTTCATCTTATAGAGCCTGGCCTAGGTGCATCAGCTCCCCAGGACTTTCTGTTCCTCAAGCCGGTTAGGGCCATGGGAATGACTCTTCTCTAACATTTTAACTTCTAAAGTTTACCTAAAGATTTAGAACACCCTTAATAAGGTCCCTGCCCACTCTTTCCCATCATGCTAACAGGGCTGGTTTCATTTCTGCTGTTGCCATGCCAAGATTCTTATTTTTTTATAGAAGAGCCCCACAGTTTCATTTTTCCCTGGGCTCACCAAACTTGGTAACTGCTAGTCTTACCCAATCTATGTCATCATCTTTTTGTCTTTAGATCATTTACAATTATAAAAGTGTTATTGTTCATTTATTTTTTGTCCCATTCCACTAAAATGTATACTCCATAAGAGCAGAAATGAGAAAAGTATTTGTCAAATGGAATTTTAAAAATTAGTTAAAATAAGTTTGCTTTAGTTTGAATGTAATGTCCCTATGCCCACCACCTAAGGCCTAGACACAAAGACAAAGACTGTGCAAAGTACTTGCTACTGCTAAGCATTGAAGGATTCTCAGTGGCTTGCCTTAAATTAAGTGTTAGTGACAACAGATTTCATATTGCAGCCAACAAATTTAATGTGTGATGAAAATGCAGTTCAAAATCTCCTAAGCTCTCTCAAGATCAAAGCGAGCAATGCATATGATCAGCATTCCCAGGATATATGTGTCACTGAAAATACAGATAATGAATTATTCAAGAAAAATTAGCCTGAGGCTTTTTACAGTCTTACAAATGCAGAGATATTATAGTGTGCAGGTGGGCTGAGACTGGACCAGTAAGTAAGAATCATCAAAAGTAAGTTGTTCCAGTTCCAAATACTAAAAGAGGAGAAAAAAATGGTTCAATCAGTAAAGAACTAATTACTTGATTTATCAGCATGGGAGGAATGCTAATTCTGAAAGTGAAAATGGAACTCTATTCCATACTGTAAAGCATAATAGCAATGTATAATGTGGTTATTAAATATTCTTAGGCTACATAATAATTATGTAATCTTATAACATGCTTATTAAATACACTTATTAGGGTTCAAATTAATGTCTACATACCTTACTCCTAAATTATGAAGTTGAAGTAACATTACACTTATTTTTCAAAGGACTACTATTTTTCCCTTTTATTTTGAGCTTATGAATCTGTCTTCAATTTCAGAGCAGAAAAAGTGCCCGTGGCTAAATTATATCCTGACAAATTTAACTACGGCTGTTCTATGCATATATGTATACAAGTACTACATTAACATTAGAGGTCTTTTATTTTCTGCTCAGTTGATTGGCATAACCTGTAAGAAATAAAATGAAAGAGTAATAACACCTGGATACTTGGGCTTACTTGTCTTTCTGCTCACAGCAACCAGCATGAGGCACCCAATCCAGAAAGGAAAGAATTCACAGAAAAGGTGGGAAGCAGGTGGCACACTAAGCTCGCCCAAGTGGCTGAGATTGGATAAAGCCTAGGATGTTGGAGTCTATGTTATGTGTCAGCGGATTTTTGTGTGATGTCAAATGCTGGGAAACACTCTACTGACAGGGAGTTTCCATTAGTATTGATATGTTTCAAAATTACAGCTGAGCACCTGCTATATTATAGGCCCTTAATAAATATTTACATAGATGGATAAAGGCATGGAAAGGACCTCAAGCCAACAAAATATCAGAAACTTGGTACTCAACAGACAAAATTTGGATATTTTCAATGATTCCTCTTTTTCTAGCCATCTAGCCTACTGGTTCTGTTTCTCTGGTGGAACAATAATGTACACACACCGTTGAAAAGTGAGCAGATGGGAAAGACACACCAAGCAAACACTAATAAGCAATCCAGCATAGAGCTATGTCAATTTGAGACAAAGTAAACGTTGAGACAAGAAGTATCATCAGAAATAAAGAGTAAGTTTTTTAATGATAAAAGGATAAATTCATCAGGAAGATACAACAATTCTAAACATGTATGCTTTTAAAAGCATATATTCAAATATAAAGAACAAAAATTGATAGAAGCGACAGAAGAAAAAGACATAACACGGCATTTTTTTTCTTTTTTTGACAGAGTCTTGCTCTGTTACACAGACTGCAATGCAGTGGCTGCAGTGGCATGATTTCGGCTCACTGCAACCTCTGGCTCCTTGTTTCAAGAGATTCTCTTGCCTCAGCCTCCTGAGTAGCTGGGATTACAGGCATGCACCACCATGCCTGGCTAATTTTTGTATTTTTAGTAGAGACAGAGGTTTTACCATGTTGGTCAGGCTGGTCTTGAACTCCTGACCTCAAGCAATCCACCCACCTCGGCCTCCCAAAGTGCTGGGATTACAGGCGTGGGTCACCTTGCCTGGCCCACAGCATTTAAATATTAATAAACACATAGAAGATGTGTACAAACCTACTACCCAAATTACTTTAGTTGATATTTTAGGACACTATGGCCAACTACTTCAGAATACAAATTTTAATCATGTGCAAATGAAATTTTCACCAATATAGACAGGTGATGCTCCACTTATTGAATGACACCTCAATAAACATACAGAGCATGATCTCCAACACAACAGAATTCAACTAAAATCAATGACAAAATAATATGAAATTATCAGATGATAAATTGAGTGACAGACTTTCAAAAATCTCATTAAATCAACAAAAATCATAATAAAAATAATGTCTTTTGATCTGAAAATAATGAAAATATAGCATATCAAAACTTACAAACAGTTCTGTTTGGATGCAGAAACAACAGAGAAAGCTGTTCCAGTCTAACAATTAGAAAAAGTTAAATAATTTTAAAAAAATCATAACCTTTTAATAATCCATCAAAAAACTAAGGTCTGCCAGGCATGGTGGCTCATGCCTGTAATCCCAGCACTTTGGGAGGCCAAAGCAGATGGATCACCTGAGGTCAGGAGTTCAGGACCAGCCTGGTCAACATGGTGAAATGCCATATCCACTAAAAATACAAAAAATTAGCCAGGTATAGTGGTGGGCACCTGTAATCCCAGCTACTTGGGAGGCTCAGGCAGGAGAATTGCTTGAACCCAGAAGGAAGAGGACACAGTGAGCCGAGATTGTGCCATTGCACTCTAGCCAGGGTGACAAGAGCGAGATTCCATTTCAAACACACACACACACACACACACACACACACACACACAAAAAAAAAAAAAAAAAAACGAAGGTCACAAGTCAAACAGGTGAATCAAATTCCGAATAGTAACAAGTCTGTCTGAAGAAACAGGACAGACAAATTGTGGCAGAACACAGGAGAAGGAGGCAGTCCCCGTGAAAGTAGGTAGCAAGAAAACAGAGAAAGTTTTAACAACAGCAGAAGATATTCCCTATTTCTAGATGATGTAATTACCACAAATTACTTAGGAATAAACCTAACAAAAGACATCTAAAAATGCTTTACTGAAAACCACAAAACATCGCTGAGAGAAATTTTAAAATATCTACACCAGGTTAATGGACAAGAAGACAGTATTTCTAAGATAGACATTCTCCTATAGTTATTCCATGGATTCAATGCAATCCTAATCAAAATTGTAGCAGGCTTTATTTTTAAAGAAATTGATAAGATGATATTAAAATACTTACAGGACCCAATATAAGCAATGTTATTTAAAAAATATAGAGAGGAACAAAATAGAGAATTTTATATGACTTCAGATTTATTCTAAAGCTATAGTAATCAACACAATTTAGTTATAGTGACAATACAGATTAATGGAAAATAATAGAGAGGCCAGAAACGGACCTATGTTTACGTATTGATTGATTTTTGGCAAAAGTGCCAAAGCAACTCAACAGAGAAAGAAAAATTTTCTGACAAACTGTGCTGGATTATGTGAATATAAATATAGAAAATAATGAAAATAGATCTTCATCTCTCACCATGTAAGAGTTAACTCAAAACGGATGAGACCTACCTAAATGTAAAATCTAAAACTATAAAACCTCTGTACTAAAACACAGAAGAAAGTCTTTTAACCTTAAAGTTTGCAAAGTTTTTGAATAAAACCTAAAAGAAAAAAAATTGAGAAACTGAATTCCATCAAAATTTTAAATTTTTTCCTTCTAAAGACAGCACTTAGGAAACAAAATGACTAGCCACAAATTGAGACAAAATATTTGCAATACATCTCTCAGATAAATAATTAAATCTAGAATATATAAAACACTCTTACAACTAAAAAGTAAGACAAATAACCAAAAAAAGTGGGGGGCGGGCAAAACCTGTGAAAATGCACTTTACCAGAGATCTTCATCCACGATGGCCAAATAGGAAGAGCTCTGGTCTGCAGCTCCCAGTGTGTTTGACACAGAAGATGGGTGATTTCTGCATTTCCAACTGAGGTATCTGGTTCATCTCATTGAGACTGGTTGGACAGTGTGGGTACAGCCCACGGAGGGTGAGCAGAAGCAGGGTGGGGTGTCACCTCACCAGGGAAGCCCAAGGGGTGGCGGGATTTCCCTTTCCTAGCCAAGGGAAGCCATGACAGATTGTACCTGGAAAAACAGGGCACTCCTGCCCAAATACCGTGCTTTTCCCACAGTCTTAGCAACTGGCAGACCAGGAGATCCTCTCCTATGCCTGGCTCAGTGGGTCCCACACCCACAGAGCCTTGCTCACTGCTAGTGCAGCAGTCTGAGATTGACCAGGGAGGCTGCAGCCAGGTGGGGGAGGGGCATATGTCATTGTTGAGGCTTGAGTAGGTAAACAAAGCAGCCAAGAAGCTCGAAGCGGGTGGAGCCCACCACAGCTCAGCAACGCCTACTGCCTGTACAGACTCCACTTCTGTGGGCAGGGCATAGCTAAACAAAAGGCAGCAGAAACTTCTGCAGACTAAAACATCCCTGTCTGACAGCTCTGAAGAGAGCAGTGGTTCTCCAAGCACAGGGTTTGACCTCTGAGAACAGACAGACTGCCTCCTCAAGTGGGTCCCTGAACCTGTGTAGCCTAACTGGGAGACAGTTCCTAGTAGGGCCTGCCAGATACCTCATACAGTTGGGTGCCCCTCTGGGACAAAGCTTACAGAGGAAGGATCAGGCAGCAATATTTGCTGTTCTGCAATATTTGCTGTTCTGCAGTCTCTGCTGGTGATACCCAGGCAAACAGGGTCTGGAGGGGACCTCCAGCAAACTCCAACAGACCTGCAGCTGCGGGACCTGACTGTCAGAAGGAAAACTAACAAACAGAAAAGAATAGCATCAACATCAACAAAAAGGACATCCATGCCAAACCCACATCTGTAGGTCACCATCATCAAAGACCAAAGGTAGATAAAACCACAAAGATGGGGAGAAACCAGAGCAGAAAACCTGGCAATTCCAAAAACCAGAGCACCTCTTCTCCTCCAAAAGATTGCAGCTCCTCGCCAGCAACAGAACAAAGCTGGATGGAGAATGACTTTGACAAGCTGACAGAAGTAGGCTTCAGAAGGTTGGTAATAACAAACATCTCCGAACTAAAGGAGCATGTTCTAACCCATTGCAGGGAGGGTAAAAACCTTGAAAGAAGGTGAGATGAATGGCTAACTAGAATAAACAGCGTAGAGAAGACCTTAAATGACCTGATGGAGCTGAAAACCATGGCACAAGAACTTCGTGACACATGCACAAGCTTCAGTAGCCAATTTGATAAAGTTGAACAAAGGATATCAGTGATTGAAAATCAAATTAATGAAATAAAGCTAGAAGACAAGTTTAGACAAAAAAGAGTAAAAAGAAACAAACAAAGCCTCCAAGAAATATTGGACTATGTGAAAAGACCAATTCTACATTTGACTGGTGTACCTGAAAGTGATGGGGAGAATGGAACCAAGTTGGAAAACACTCTTCAGGATATTATCCAGGAGAACAACCCCAACCTAGCAAGGCAGGCCAACATTCAAATTCAGGAAATTCAGAGAATGCAACAAAGGTACTCCTCGAGAAGAGCAACCCCAAGACACATAATTGTCAGATTCACCAAGGTTGAAATGAAGGAAAAAGTGTTAAAGGCAGCCAGAGAGGAAGGGCGGGTTACCCTCAAATGGAAGCCCATCAGACTAACAGCAGATCATTCAGCAGAAACCCTACAAGCCAGAAGAGAGTGGGGGCCAAGATTCAACATTCTTAAAGGAAAGAATTTTCAACCCAGAATTTCATATCCACCAAACTAAGCTTCACAAGTGAAGCAGAAACAAAATCCTTTACAGACAAGCAAATGCTGAGAGATTTTGCCACCACCAGGCCTGCCCTAAAAGAGCTCCTGAAGGAAGCCCTAAACATGGAAAGAAACAGCTGGTACCAGCCACTGCAAAAACATGCCAAATGGTAAAGACTTTCAAGGCTAGGAAGAAACTGCATCAACTAACAAGCAAAATATCCAGCTAACATCATAATGACAGGATCAAATTCACACATAACAATACTAACCTTAAATGTAAATGGGCTGAATCCCCCAATTAAAAGACACAGACTGGCAAAGTGGATAAAGAGTCAAGACCCATCAGGGTGCTGTATTCAGGAGACCCATCTCACAGGCAGAGACACATATAGGCTCAAAATAAAGGGATGGAGGAAGATCTACCAAGAAAACGGAAAGCAAAAACAAGCAGGGGTTGCAATCCTAGTCTCTGATAAAACAGAGTTTAAACCAACAAAGATCAAAAGAGATGAAGAAGGCCATCACATAATGGTAAAGGGATCAATACAGTAAGAAGAGATAACTATCCTAAATATATATGCACCCAATACAGGAGCACCCAGATTCATAAAGCAAGTCCTTAGAGACCTACAGACTTTGACTCCTACAGAATAATAATGGGAGACTTTAACACCACACTTTCAATATTAGACAGATCAATGACACAGAAGTTTAACAAGGATATCCAGGACTTGAACTCAGCTCTGCACCAAGTGGACCTAATAGACATCTACAGAACTTTCCACCCCAAATCAACAGAATATACATTCTTTACAGCACCACATAAAATTTATTCTAAAATTGACCACACACTTGGAAGTGAAGCATTCCTCAGCAAATGTAAATGAACAGAAATCACAACAAACTGTCTCTCAGACCACAGTGCAATCAAATTACCACTCAGGATTAAGAAACTCACTCAAAATTCCACAACTACATAGAAACTGAACAATCTGCTCCTGAATGACTACTGGGTAAATAACGAAATGTAGACAGAAATAAAGATGTTCTTTGAAACCAACGAGAGCAAAGACACAACATACCAGAATCTCTGGGATATATTTAAAGCACTGTGTAAAAGGGAATTTACAGCACTAAATGCCCACAACAGAAAGGAGGAAAGATCTAAAATTGACACCCTAACATCACAATTAAAAGAACTAGAGAAGCAAGAGCAAACACATTTAAAAGATAGCAGAAGGCAAGAAATAACTAAGATCAGAGCAGAACTGAAGGAAATAGAGACACAAAAAACCCTTCAAAAATTAATAAATTCAGGAGCCGTTTTTTTGAAAAGATCAACAAAATTGATAGACTGCTAGCAAGACTAATAAAGAAGAAAAGAGAGAAGAATCAAACAGACACAATAAAAAATGATAAAGGGGATATCACCACTGATCCCACAGAAAAACAACTACCATCAGAGAATACTATAAAAAGCTCTATGCAAATAAACTAGAAAATCTAGAAGAAATGGATACATTCCTGGACACATACACCCTCCCAAGACTAAACCAGGAAGAAGTTGAATCTCTGAATAGACCAATAACAGGCTCTGAAATTGAGGCAATAATTAATACCTTACCAACCAAAAAAACTCCAGGACCAGATGGATTCACAGCTGAATTCTACCAGAGATACAAAGAGGAAATGGCACCATTCCTTCTGAAACTATTCCAATCAATAGAAAATGAGGGAATCCTCCCTAACTCATTTTATGAGGCCAGCATCATCCTGATACCAAAGCCTGGCAGAGACACAACAAAAAAAGAGAATTATAGACCAATATCCCTAACGAACATTGATGCGAAAATCCTCAATAAAATACGGCAAACTGAATCCAGCAGCACATCAAAAAGCTTATCCACCACAATCAAGATGGCTTCATCCCTGGGATGCAAGGCTGGTTCAACATATGCAAATCAATGAACGTAACCCATCACATAAACAGATCCAATGACAAAAAACACATGATTATCTCACTTGATGCAGAAAAGGCCTTTGACAAAATTCAACAGCCCTTCATGCTAAAAACTCTCAACAAACTAGGTATTGATTGAATATATCTCAAAATAATAACAGCTATTTATGACAAACCCACAGCCAATATCATGCTGAATGGACAAAAACTGGAAGCATTCCCTTTGAAAACTGGCACAAGACAGGGATGCCCTCTCTCACCACTCCTATTCAACATAGTGTTGGAAGTTCTGGCCAGGGCAATCAGGCAGGAGAAAGAAATAAAGGGTATTCAATTAGGAAAAGGGGAAGTCAAATTGTCCCTCTTTGCAGATGACATAACTGTATATTTAGAAAATCCCACCGTCTCAGCCCAAAACCTCCTTAAGCTGATAAGCAACTTTAGCAAAGTCTCAGGATACAAAATCAGTGTGCAAAAATCACAAGCATTCCTATACACCAATAACAGACAAACAAAGAACCAAATCATGAGTAAACTCCCATTCACAATTGCTACAAAGAGAATAAAATACCTAGGAATCCAACTTACAAGGGATGCGAAGGACCTCTTCAAGAAGAACGACAAATTACTGCTCAATGAAATAAAAGAGGACACAAACAAATGGAAGAACATTCCACGCTCATGGATACGAAGAATCACTATCATAAAAATGGCCATACTGCCCAAAGTAATTTGTAGATTCAATGCCATCCCCATCAAGCTGCCAAGGACTTTCTTCACAGAACTGGAAAAAGCTACTTTAAAGTTCATATGGAACCAAAAAAGAGCCCACATTGCCAAGACGGTCCTAAGCAAAAAAGAACAAAGCTTGAGGCATCATGTTACCTGACTTCAAACTATACTACAAGGCTACAGTAATCAAAACAGCATGGTACTGGTACCAAAACAGATATATAGACCAGTGGAACAGAACAGAGGCCTCAGAAATAACACCACACATCTACAGCCATCTGATCTATTTTCTTTTTTTTTTTATTATCATTATACTTTAAGTTTTAGGGTACATGTGCACAACGTGCAGGTTTGTTACATATGTACACATGTGCCATGTTGGTGTGCTGCACCCATTAACTCGTCATTCAGCATTAGGTATATCTCCTAATGCTATACCTCCCCCCTCCCCCCACCCCACAATGGGCCCCGGTGTGTGATGTTCCCCATCCTGTGTCCATGTGTTCTCATTGTTCAATTCTCACCTATGAGTGAGAACATGTGGTGTTTGGGTTTTTGTCCTTGCGATAGTTTGCTGAGAATGATGGTTTCCAGCTTCATCCATGTCCCTACAAAGGACATGAACTCATCCTTTTTTATGGCTGCATAGTATTCCATGGTGTATATGTGTCACATTTTCTTAATCCAGTCTAGCATTGTTGGACATTTGGGTTGGTTCCAAGCCTTCGCTATTGTGAATAGTGCTGCATTAAACATATGTGTGCATGTGTCTTTATAGCAGCATGATTTATAATCCTTTGGGTATATACCCAGTAATGGGATGGCTGGGTCAAATGGTATTTCTAGTTCTAGATCCCTGAGGAATTGCCACACTGACTTCCACAATGGTTGAACTAGTTTACAGTCCCACCAACAGTGTAAAAGTGTTCCTATTTCTCCACATCCTCTCCAGCACCTGTTGTTTCCCGACTTTTTAATGATCACCATTCTAACTGGTGTGAGATGGTATCTCATTGTGGTTTTGATTTGCATTCCTCTGATGGCAAGTGATGATGAGCATTTTTTCATGTGTTTTCTGGCTGCACAAATGTCTTCTTTTGAGAAGTGTCTGTTCATGTCCTTTGCCCACTTTTTGATGGGGTTGTTTTTTTCTTGTAAATTTGTTTGAGTTCATTGTAGATTCTGGATATTAGCCCTTTCTCAGATGAGTACGTTGAGAAAATTTTCTCCCATTCTGTAGGTTGCCTGTTCACTCTGATGGTACTTTCTTTTGCTGTGCAGAAGCACTTTAGTTTAATTAGATTCCATTTGTCAATTTTGGCTTTTGTTGCCATTGCTTTTGGTGTTTTAGACATGAAGTCCTTGCCCATGCCTATGTCCTGAATGGTATTGCCTAGGTTTTCTTCCAGGGTTTTCATGGTTTTAGGTCTAACATTTAAGTCTTTAATCCATCTTGAATTAATTTTTGTATAAGGTGTAAGGAAGGGATCCAGTTTCAGCTTTCTACATATGTCTAGCCAGTTTTCCCAGCACCATTTATTAAATAGGGAATCCTTTCCCCATTGCTTGTTTTTGTCAGTTTTGTCAAAGATCAGATGGTTGTAGATACGTGGCATCATTTCTGAGGGCTCTGTTCTGTTCCATTGGTCTATATCTCTGTTTTGGTACCAGTACCATGCTGTTTTGGTTACTGTAGCCTTGTAGTATAGTTTGAAGTCAGGTAGCATGATGCCTCCAGCTTTGTTCTTTTGGCTTAGGATTGACTTGGCGATGCGGGCTCTTTTTTGATTCCATATGAACTTTAAAGTAGTTGTTTCCAATTCTGTGAGGAAAGCCATTGGTAGCTTGATGGGGATGGCATTGAATCTATAAATTACCTTGGGCAGTATGGCCATTTTCACCATATTGATTCTTCCTACTCATGAGCATAGAATGTTCTTCCATTTGTTTGTGTCCTCTTTTATTTCATTGAGCAGTGGTTTGTAGTTCTCCTTGAAGAGGTCCTTCACAACCCTTGTAAGTTGGATTCCTAGGTATTTTATTCTCTTTGAAGCAATTGTGAATGGGAGTTCACTCATGATTTGACTCTCTGTTTGTCTGTTATTGGTGTATAAGAATGCTTGTGATTTTTGTACATTGATTTTGTATCCTGAGACTTTGCTGAAGTTGCTTATCAGCTTAAGGAGATTTGGGGCTGAGATGTGGAGTTTTCTAGATATAAAATCATGTCATCTGCAAACAGGGATAATTTGACTTCCTCTTTTCCTAATTGGATACCCTTTATTTCCTTCTCCTGCCTGATTGCCCTGGCCAGAACTTCCAACACTAATGTTGAATAGGAGTGGTGAGAGAGGGCATCCCTGTCTTGTGCCAGTTTTCAAAGGGAATGCTTCCAGTTTTTGTCCATTCAGTACGATATTGGCTGTGGGTTTGTCATAAATAGCTCTTATTATTTCGAGGTACGTCCCATCAGTACCTAATTTATTGAGAATTTTCAGCATGAAGGGCTGTTGAATTTTCTCAAAGGCCTTTTCTGCATCTATTGAGATAATCATGTGGTTTTTGTCTTTGGTTCTGTTTATATGCTGGATTATGTTTATTGATTTTCATATGTTGAACCAGCCTTGCATCCCAGGAATGAAGCCCACTTGATCATGGTGGATAAGGTTTTTGATGTGTTGCTGGATTCAGTTTGCCAGTATTTTATTGAGGATTTTTGCATCAATGTTCATCAAGGATATTGGTCTAAAATTCTCTTATTTTGTTGTGTCTCTGCCAGGCTTTGGTATCAGGATGATTCTGGCCTCATAAAGTGAGTTAGGGAGGATTCCCTCTTTTTCTATTGATTGGAATAGTTTCAGAAGGAATGGTACCTGCTCCTCCTTGTACCTCTGGTAGAATTCAGCTGTGAATCCATCTGGTCCTGGAGTTTTTTGGTTGGTAAGGTATTAATTATTGCCTCAATTTCAGAGCCTGTTATTGGTCTATTCAGAGATTCAACTTCTTCCTGGTTTAGTCTTGGGAGGGTGTATGTGTCCAGGAATTTATCCAGTTATTCTAGATTTTCTAGTTTATTCATGTAGAGGTGTTCATAGTATTCTCTGATGGTAGTTTGTATTTCTGTGGGATTGGTGGTGATATCCCTTTTCTCATTTTTTATTGCATCTATTTGATTCTTATCTCTTTTCTTCTTTATTAATCTTGTTAGTGGTCGATCAATTTTGTTGATCTTTTCAAAAAACCAGTTCCTGGATTCATTGATTTTTTGAAGGGTTTTTTGTGTCTCTATTTCCTTCAGTACTGCTCTGATCTTAGTTATTTCTTGCTTTCTGCTAGCTTTTGAATGTGTTTGCTCTTGCTTCTCTAGTTCTTTTAATTGTGATGTTAGGGTGTCAATTTTAGATCTTTCCTGCTTTCTCTTGTGGGCATTTAGTGCTATAAATTTCCCTCTACACACTGCTTTGAATGTGTTCCAGAGATTCTGGTATGTTGTGTCTTTGTTCTCGTTGGTTTCAAAGAACATCTTTATTTCTGCCTTCATTTCATTATTTACCCAGTAGTCATTCAGGAGCAGGTTGTTCAGTTGCCATGTAGTTGTGGAATTTTGAGTGAGTTTCTTAATCCTGAGTTCTAGTTTGATTGCACTGTGGTCTGAGAGACAGTTTGTTATAATTTCTGTTCTTTTACATTTGCTGAGAAGTGCTTTATTCCAACTATGTGGTCAATTATGGAATAGGTGTGGTGTGGTGCTGTAAAGAACGTATATTCTGTTTATTTGGGGTGGAGAGTTCTGTAGATATCTATTAGGTCCACTTGGTGCAGAGCTGAGTTCAATTCCTGGATATCCTTGCTAACTTTCTGTCTCGCTGATCTGTCTAATGTTGACAGTGGGGTGTTAAAGTCTCCCATTATTATTGTGTGGGAGTTTAAGTCTCTTTGTAGGTCACTAAGGACTTGCTTTATGAATCTGGGTGCTCCTGTATTGGGTGCCTATATATTTAGGATAGTTAGTTCTTCTTGTTGAATTGATCCCTTTACCATTATGTAATGACCTTCTTCATCTCTTTTGATCTTTGTTGGTTTAAACTCCGTTTTATCTGAGACTAGGATTGCAACCCCTGCCTTTTTTTGTTTTCTATTTGCTTGGTAGATCTTCCTCCATCTCTTTATTTTGAGCCTATGTGTGTCTCTGCACGTGAGATGCGTTTCCTGAATACAGCACACTGATGGGTCTTGACTCTTTATCCAATTTGCCAGTCTGTGCCTTTTAATTGGAGCATTTAGCCCATTTGCATTTAAGGTTGATATTGTTATGTGTGAATTTGATCCTGTCATTATGATGTTAGCTGGTTATTTTGCTCATTAGTTGATGCAGTTTCTTCCTAGCCTTGATGGTCTTTACCATTTGGCATGTTTTTGCAGTGGCTGGTACCATACAACCATCTGATCTTTGACAAACCTGATGACAGAAACAAGAAACGGGGAAAGGATTCCCTATTTAATAAATGGTGCTGGGAAAACTGGCTAGACACATGTAGAAAGCTGAAACTGGATCCCTTCCTTACACCTTATACAAAAATTGACTCCAGATGGATTAAAGACTTAATGTTAGACCTAAAACCATAAAAACCCTAGAAGAAAACCTAGGCAACACCATTCAGGACATAGGCATGTGCAACGACTTCATGACTAAAACACCAAAAGCAATGGCAACAACAGCCAAAATAGACAAATGGGATCTAATTAAACTAAAGAGCTTCTGCACAGCAAAAGAAACTACCATCAGAGTGAACAGGCAACCTACAGAATGGGAGAAAATTTTTGCAATCTGCCCATCTGACAAAGGGCTAATATCCGGAATCTACAAAGAACTTAAACAAATTTACAAGAAAAAAACTAACAAACCCATCAAAAACCAGGCAAAGAATATGAACAGACACTTCTCACAAGAAGACAATTATGAAGCCAACAGACACATGAAAACATGCTCATCATCTCTGGTCATCAGAGAAATGCAAATCAAACCACAATGAGAAACCATCTCACGCCAGTTAGAATGGTGATCATTAAAAAGTCAGGAAACAACAGATGCTGGAGGTGATGTGGAGAAATAGAAATGCTTTTACACTGTTGGTGGGAGTGTAAATTAGTTCAACCATTGTGGAAGACTGTGTGGCAATTCCTCAAGATCTAGAACTAGAAATACCATCTGACCCAGCGATATCACTACTGGGTATGTACCAAAGGGTTATAAATCATGCTACTATAAAGACACATGCACACATATGTTTATTATGGCACTATTCACAATAGCAAAGACTTGGAACCAACTCAACTGTCCATCAATGATAGACTGCATTAAGAAAATACGGCACAAATACACCATGAAATACCATGCAGCCTTAAAGAAGGATGAGTTTATGTCTTTTGCAGGGACGTGGATGAAGCTGGAAACCATCATTCTCAGCAAACTATCACAAGGACAGAAAACCAAACACTGCATGTTCTCACTCATAGGTGGGAATTGAACAGTGAGAATCCTTGGACACAGGGTGGGTAACATCACACACCGTGGCCTGTCGGGGGGTGGGAGACTGGGGGAGGGATGGCATTAGGAGAAAAACCTAATGTAAATGAGAAGTTGATGGGTGCAGCAAACCAACATGGCACATGTATACCTATTTAACAAACCTGCACGTTGTGCACATGTACCCTAAAAGTTAAAGTATAATTATAATAAAAAAAGAAAATGCACTTTACCAAAATGAGACTGAGACACAAACACAGAGAGATAGGAAGAGAAAGGAAGAGATATTAATAGTCAATAAGTACTTGAAAAGATTCAACATTGTCAGTCATCAGGAAATCATTAATTAAACCTAAGATGAGATACTAATACACATCCATTAGGCAATCTAAAATGAAAACGGTTAATCATACAAAGTGTTGGTGAGGTTATGGCACAATTGGAACTCTCATGCATTTCTGGTGGGAATATGAAATGGCCTAACCACTTTGGAAAAGAGATTAGCATTTTCTTGTCTTAGAAAAAATATATACATACATTTATTATAGAGAGCAGCCATTCTACCACTAAGTACTTACTCAAGAGTAATAACATTTATTACCCAAACAAATCCTTCTAAACAAATATTCATACTGCTTTATTCATAACTAAAAATTGGAAAATAATACAAATTCCCATCAACAGATGAATATATAATCAAATTGTGATAAACGCATATGAAAGACATGTAGCAATAATAATCCATGATTATGCAGTTAACAATGTGGGGCCCGGCGCAGTGGCTTATGCTTGTCATCCCAGCACTTTAGGAGGCCAAGGTGGGCATATCTCTTGACCCAGGAGTTCGAGACCAGCCTGAACAATATGGTGAAACTCCATCTCTGCTAAAAAATACCAAAACGTTAGCCCAGTGTGGTGGTGTGCAACTGTAATCACAGCTACTTTGGAGGCTGAGGGGTGGGAATCACTTGAACCCAGGAGGTGGAGGTTGCAATGAGCAGAGATCATGCCTCTGCACTCCAGCCTGGGCGACAGAGCCAAAGTCCGTCTCAAAACAACAACAATGAAAACAATTTGGATGAATTTCAATATTATGCAGAATGAGAGAAGCCTGACTGAAAACAAATAAAAAGGCAATTACATACTCTATGACTCCAGTTATACAAAATTCTAGAAATCTAAACTAACCTATAGTCACAGAAAGCATATCAGTGTTTCTAGGGATGGGTGGAGGGAAGGATGGATTACAAAGGAGAAAAAGAAAACTTTTGAGAGTGATATAAATGTCTGTTCGCTTGTGATTATGATTTCATGAATGTATATATTTGTCACAATTAATCAAATGGTACGTTCTAAATACCTGCAGTTAATGTTACGTCATGTTTTTCCAATGGTGTATTTTTAAAATAAATGAATAATTCCACACACTTTCCTTAAAAAAATAAAATCAGCAAATGAGGTATAGAAGGAAACTTTTTAAATCTGAAAATAGATATCTATGAAAACCTACAGCTAATTTCCAATTTAATAGTATATACTGATGGTTTGCCCCAAGTGTCAGTAATAAGACTAATATATTTATTCAAACAACTTCTATCAATACTAGACTGAAGCCCTTAGCTAGTGCAATAAGATAAGGAAAAGAAAAACTATAAAGATAGAAAGGAAGAATTAAAACCCTCTTTATTTGTAGAGGATGGGATTCTGTACATAGAAAGACTGAAATACAAATTACTAGGATTAATAAATGAATATAGCAAAGTCACTGGATAAAAAGTCACAATGCAATACTCAGTCTTTCTATAAATTAGAACATTTAGAAAAAGGTATTTAAAATAACAATAAATAACAATACCATTTACAATAGCACTAAACATGATCAAATTCTCAGGAATAAATTTAACATACAGTCTGATTCCATTTATATGATGTTCAAGAATAGGTAAAACTAGGCTATGGAGTTAAATAGAATCGTGGTGACCTCTGGAGTGACTGGGGGGATTACTAATTTGAAAGTGGCATGAGGAAATTACCAATCAGATCAAGGAAAAAAAAAATTACATTACCTCAGAAAGAAATTACATTACCTCCAATTTTTAGTGACAAATATAGGCAAAAACTCCTCAAGTCATGTGCTCAAGTGTTATACATTTTACTGTATGTCAATTATGCTTCAGTTTAAGAAAAAAGGGTTGTGTGAAAGAAATTAAATATTTTCTGGTGTTTCTTACCCTTCTGACAATATATAAGCAGAACCAAGAAATTTATGGTTCAGTTGTCACTCAGTTGCTCATTTGTTCATTAATCCTACAAATGTTTGTATTTCCATTTTTCCTACATATGAAAATCAAGTGAGAGAAAGAGAATCAATGGCTTATTGTAGCAGGTGGTGGCATTTTACTGCCTGTGATTAGACCAATCTGTGTCCCTAGACCAGGACCAGGAATAGGGTCAGGCAAGTGAGACTCCCAGAACACAACATTTAGGGCAGCACTTAATGTCAGTTTCCTGCAAGTGCAGAACCTGCATGTGAGTGCATCTTTAAATGTCGCTCCCTAAGTGCCTCACCTGGCTCATCTTAGTTCCTTACATGGCCAATGCAGACAGTTTTACAGAATAGCTTTATAAAAATCCTTGGGACTTATGTTAGTTCTAGGCAAGAACTTACAACATCAATTTTAATAATGTTTACATAGAATTCATATTGGAGGCTCATTTCTACATGCAGACTCATGATTTGGGTTTGATTTGTTGAAAGTTATTTTAAATCTCAAAACATCAGATTTTATCTGATTGTCCATGGGAGACTTAATGAAAGCAGTGATTTCCATCTCAAGTATATAGATTTCTTTAAAGAATAAAAGAATATATTTACTAAGCACTTACCATACGTCATATTCAGCATTGTATCATTTAATGCATGCAAAAACCCTATTACTATTAATTTCCCCTCACTAGGAATGTCTAGAATCATAAGGCTATTAGTGGCAGGGCCAAGTTCTAAACTGAGAATCTAAGCGTGCTTAATAATTACAATATAATTTTGCAGAATTTACGTTGTAAGAGGTTTGTATTCTTGAGGTAATATTAGCTTGTTCATATTATTGGATTCTGAGCAAGAGATCTGAAAAATAGTGACTTAAATACAAAAGTATGTATTCCCTTTTGGTGGAAGTAGTCAAAGAATAATATGGCAGTTCCACGCATTTATCAATGAACGAAGTGCCTTCTATTCTTTTGCTCTACTATACTGGCATTCTCGGTTCTTGGCATCCAGCATCAAGATATCGCTTCATGATCCAAGATGGCGCCTCAGTCTCCAGCTGTCAGTTCTGCACTGAAGACAGCAGGATGAAAGAAGAGAAAAGAGAAGTACACTCTGTTTCCATTTTATTTATTTTTTGAGTCAGAGTCTCCCTCTGTCACCCAGGCTGAAGTGCAGTGGTGTGATCTCTGCTCACTGCAACTTCCACCTCCCGAGTTCAAGCCATTCTCCTGTCTCAACCTCCCAAGTAGCTGGGATTACAGGTGTGCGCTGCCACTCCCGGCTAATTTTTTGTATTTTTAGTAGAGACGGGGTTTCACAATATTGGTCAGGCTGGTCTCGAACTCCTGACCTCGTGATCTGCTAGCCTTGGGAAAGAACCTTCCCACAAGCACCATAGTGCATACACCTTTGCTTCCATCTTAAAAAAAAAAACAAAAACAAAAAACTTAGCTGCATGATCAGCAACATCAGCAAGAAGAGGAACTAGCAAATCCAGTGTTTCAGGTAGATAAATTTTCATTAAGAAATAAGGGAAGAATCAACATTGAAAGAGCTGGAGAACTTCCAGTTATGTTAGTCCCTGATGTACATGGACTCAGGTGCATGCATTTGTTTTACAAAAACATTCATAATGCTTTGGAATGGCCTGAGCTGCTTTGGGCACAGTTTTTGTCAATAATCCCTGTGAAACTCTACACTTTTTGCTTTTAAACAGTATGCTTTTAAATAGACATTGAAAGCACAGTGTTCTTGAATTGCTTTTGTTCTCTTAGTCTATGTGACCACTTGAAGTTTTAATTTCTTAATCTGAAATTTATTGTAGACTTTTTATGAATCTCTAACAAATATATCCTTATGTTGAAGATTTTTTCCATTGATGTGCCTGTATTTTATGTGTAAAAATCATTTAGAATTTTAAAATGTGCTTTGATCAATCCTAAGTGAAGATAGATTGACATATCTGGCTATACTGTCTGTTGAACATGAATACACACAGATCAATTTTGATAAGGTCATTGACAAATTTGCAGAAACTTTAAAAGCTGAAATTGTGTTATTATTCTCAAGTATGAGATCTTAATATGAGGTATAAGTTTTCCTCCTTTTGAAAAACATATGCTAATATAACTAAAATGTATTAATCCTTTACCTTTTTTATTTTATTTTTTGTTCATTTAATATATTTTTATCAGCATTATTGTACAACTTCAATTACACAAATATTTCACTGTCTGCATTTCCTTTTTGTCATTATCATTAATTGTTTTACTTAAGTTTACTACTCACAATAACTTTCTCATAGAAAGGAGAGGAAATGTTAAAAATGACCTGTTCTGGTTGTCAAATATATTAAGTATACTACTAATGCATACGAAGTTGTCCTGATCTTCATTTTCTCTAATGTGAAAAAAACTGGTAATTTTCTTCTTTCCTTAACAGAAGTAGAATGGTTGTGAGAGAAAGGCTCTCAGTTTTAATTCCCACTTTTTCCAGTGAGTATGTAATCTCTGAGAATCCAGTTAATCTTGCTGATCCTTTCTTTCATAATTAAAACTGATATAACACCACTTACTAAACATAATGTTATAAAACATAACTAATTAGTGCTATCAGAGTAGGATGAAATCCTTACAGGAATTGCAAAAAGAACAAGGATTACCTTTATTTTCATCTATCCTAGCCTCCTATATCTTTCTGCAAAGCTTACTCTGATGCATTTTTTGAGAGTCAAAATTTGGCAGGAAATTGAAGAATCCGTGTATGGCACACAAAAACCATTAGTTCCCCAACGTGCTGCATGAGATGTTCCTCTACAGTCATATATCACTTCATAATAAGAACGCCTTCTGAGAAATGTGACTTCAAGTGATTCCTTCATTGTGAGAACATCATAGAGAGCACTTACACAAACTTAGAGTTGCCTGCTGAAGCAAGATATTTCCCTGACCCCTTCGTGGAACTCATGACAGGTGTGCCTTACTTACCCAGCCTGCATCTTTTCAACCCCTTGCAGGGGCAGCATGCAGGTGTGCAGGTGCAGGAGCCAGGGTGAGCGCATTTGGCCACCGGCAGGAGCAAACTCTGGGCAGGCCCTGTGGCAACATCTATGGGGGATACCCATGACCGCTGAAGCCCCAGAGGGAGTATTACAGTGACTTTTTAGCTCTGCCATCTGCAGACGGCTTAAGTGTTAACAGCTCAGTGAGCCCTCTGCCTATTTGCGTGAGGCAACTGACTTCTGCCAGTGAGGGCAAAGGGCAAGTGTGACAGCCTTTTGTATGTGCACTCATGGCATCTAAGCTCTTGTCCGGGATCCACGAGAAAAGAGCTTGCATGAACGAATTGAAGGATGGTAAATGTGGAGGATTTTACCGCCAATGAAAGTGGCTGTTAGTGGGAAGGGGAGCTGAAAAGGGAATGGGTTGGAAAGGTCGTCTTCCCCTGGAGTCTGGCTGTCTCTGGCAGATTTTTCTCCAAAGTTACACCATCCAGTTGTCCCTCTGAAGTCAAGCTGCTTCTCTCCGATGCTCAGCCATAGTCTTTGATGTCCAGCTGCTTCTTCTGACTGCCAAGTATGGGGTTTTTATAGGCACAAGATGGGGAGTGGGGCAGGCCATGGGTTGTTTTGAAAAAGGCAACATTCGAGCGGGAAAACAGAAATATACTTTCTCACTTTGGGCTGTGGTCTCTGGCTTTTTGGCTTGAGGGCGGGGCCCTCGCCAGGGACCCACGTTTTTCTGCCTAGAATTTCTCTGCTTCCTGCCTCTATCATTGTATCACTACTCCACAACTATGCTATATAATATAGTCTATTGCTTCTAGACTATAAACTTGCACAGCATGTTTCTGTACTGTATATTGCAGGCAATTGTAACACAATGGTGAGTATTCGTGTATCTAAACATATTTAAACATAGAAAAGGTGATACATTGTGCTACAACTTTAAAATGGCTATGCCATCACTAGGCAATAGGAATTTTTTCAGTTCCATCATAATCCTATGAGATCACCATCATAGATATGGTACATTCATTGTTGACCAAAATATCTTTACGCATCACATGACTGTATTTGGTTCTGCCCATCACAAAGGTAAAACAACATTACTCACCTGACCACAAGGGAGTTAAAAATAATACAACAAAAGCAGCAACAAGAAAGAAAACTTGGAGACGATGACATATGTAGAATAGTAGAAGACACTAGAGCTAAATAGATTTAGAGAGAGAGCGGGTTCAGGTGTTGCTTTGTTTTGTGTTGTTTTTCTTTGTTTGTTTTGGTATTGGGCAAGTGGGAAACAGTGGGGTCCTGGAATGACTATAGTTTCCTCTTACTCCCCTGTTACTGCCAGTTGTTTGGTAATGTTTGAGAAGACATTTCTCAAAGCCTTATCTATAGCCTGTTCCACTAGCTTTTCGAATTTTGTCAGTATACAATTCTCTGTTTCAAAATATCTTTTTGCTAAAAGTAGCTACAGTCCATCCTGTTATCTTCAGCTAAATATTGCACTCAGCAAAATCAGGCTTCAGTAGTTATCGCTCTTATTATTACTACTATTAATTTACAGAGGCAGATTTTAGCCCTAAATAAGAAATTCCAAATAATAAAATGGAATGGGCTACCTATGGAGATTCTAAGTTAACTCCCTTCAGAAGTTTCTAAGCCATGTAGGCATAATGAGATATAAAAGAGATTCCCCACAAGGTATTTTGGTTTTGGCTCCGACCCTTAAATGGTTCGCATTGCTAAGATTTAGCAATTTTATTTTTCAGAAGTGCTTCTAGTGAAACTCACAGGAGCTGTATGGGTTGTGAATCATTTTATTCACAGAGACAGAAAAAGTGAAAATGAATTCTTTCCTCCCCTTGCACTTCCAACTCAATATTAACACTTGCTGATGAGGGATCTCCACCTGCAGTTAGCAGCTAGCCCATTGCCAACTGCAGATGCCAGAAAAAATTACTTTACAACACTGACATACAGTTCTTGTCTCCATCAGGATTTTGGGTCATTCTACTATTTGAAAATGTTTTTCTTTAATGGGCTTAAACATCCCATCACAAACACCAGTCTATTTCTATTTACATTAAAGAATTATATAGAATGAGAAATAATGAAATGGTTTTTACTTATTTTTTATAAAATTTAACAGACGCAGGTATTTATGTAGCAAACACAGCACAGTCTTCTCTGTGGCGTATTACACTACACTCAAATTTGTAGGAACACAGTAAAGAAAAAACAATCTTAAATTAACAAAAGTTCAATTAACCAGTATATTCCCCATTAACTGAAATCTCTTCTCAAATCACCATGTTGTACTAAGAAGTAAATCAATTCAAAAATGGATTTTACACACACACACACACACACACAGAAACACAAACACAAATTGACTCGAACAATTCAGGGGTTGGGGCACCAATCTCCCACACAGTTGAATATCCAAGTATAACTCCCCCCAAATTTAGCTACTAATAGCCTACCATTGACCAGAAACCTAGATTAAGACATATTTTGTATATTATATGCATTATATGCTGTATTTTTATAATAAAATAAGCTAGAGAAAAGAAAATGGTATTAAGAAAATCGTAAGGAAGAGAAAATATATTTACTATTCATTAAGTGGAAGTGGGTCAGCATAAAGGTCTTCAACCTCATCATCTTCATGTAGAGTAGGCTGTGGAGGAGGAGGAAGAGGAGGGTTTTGTCTTACTGTCTCACTCAGGTCAACTTGTAGAGAGAGAGAGAGAGAGAGAGAGAGAGATAGATAGATAGATAGATAGATAGATAGATAGATGATAAATAGATAAGTGATCTCCACAATCTTTCCAAGTTTGGCATATGGACACTTGGACTGTATTACAGAGGCCCAGAAGGACTACCCAGACATACTTTGAGAATAATTATATTCAAATAAGGATGAAGTTAGTCTAACTATATATAATATTTGTTAATAAGAGTTGACAGGAGAGAAGATTTCTAACATTTTGATTTTCAGTAGAATACCTGATCTCCTGGCTATTTGTGATAGTTGGTGTTACATGAAGGATAACATGGATGCTGGCCTCAAGGGCCAATATATAGGGCAACAAGACAACCTGGAGCATCTTCTTTGCCGGAAGGCCAAGACTTTGGTACACTTCAGCTATACAAATTCTCTTCTGCACTCATATTTTTTTTCTGTCTCTCCAGCCTTTTCACTGGAGCACTCACCCATCCTACTCCTTTAATTCTCACCATAAGTAGGTCATGCCAAACCCAAATATCCAACATCCCAATTCATCTTCCAAGGAGCAAGCATACATTTCCTTCTGCTCTGGAAATGTGGCTGTCCTGTTAGAGTCTCCACATCCTAGAGTGAATTGATCATTTTCTCATCACTGTACTGCTACACCTTTCCTGGGCTGTTAGTAGCACTACTGTCCAATAATGAACACTGGTCAAATGCTTAGAACTTGGCTGGTACACAGTGAGCACATTTTTAAAATGTTAACTATTACTTATGTCATTACTGAGTCTTCGGACTTCCAATTTTGGAGGCTTCAAGTCATTTGGCTCCTGCCTCTTGCCTATGACCATCAGTTAGTTGACAAGTGTTTTGGATCCTACCTATACATATCATTTATAAGCATCTCTTACTCTCCAATCTTTCTGGACCTCTGAATTAGAACCATCATTATCTTTTACTACTGAAAACAATCATAACTCTAATAATAGTAGTTATTGATATATATAATATACCAGACACTTTGTTAAGAACTTGTCCTATTTTGTTTTTAGTCAGGATCATGTTCAGCTACATGTAACAAAGCCAACTACAGTAGCTCGAACCAAATATGACTTTAATCTTCAATTACATGTCAAAACATTTGGAAGTACAAATCAAATCAATATAGGTAGTCAATTAGGTCATCAAAGATCCAGGTTCTTCCTTTACCACCATCTTTAACTTTTCTACTCAGCCAGAAGGGAATTCTGTTTAAGATCCAGACATCACACTGGCCTTTGAAGCAAAGGGAAAAATGAAAGGGAAAAGAAAAACGCATGTTCCAAATGATTCTGTTCCTGAATCTCTGTCATATATCAGCAAACCAATAGCTTTCCCAGAAGTTCCATCCATTAGTCATTCACTTACAATTCTCTGTCTGTAACATCTTTAAATGGCTACTCCTACATGCAAAGAAGCATAAATATGAGGTATTCTAACTGAAAAAAATTGCTGCCTTTCCCACACTCCCAAATAAGGTTCTGTTAAAAAGGCAAAACTGGATAATTGAGATTTGTTAGACAACAAATTGTGTCTCACATGCTATTAACTCATTTAATTCTGACAGCAATGCTATTAGGTGGGCATTCATATCCCCATTTACAGAGATGCAAAAGAAAATCTAGAAAATTATACAACTTGCCATAGAATATAAATGTATCAGGTAGGCATTATTTTATCCCCATTTTACAGACAAGGAAATTAAGTCTTAAAAAATGTAAGTAACTTGTTCCAAAATCAGAATTCAAGCCTTTTCTATCCAACTGCATAGTCATACAATAATACTAGACGTATCACCTGGACAATGACTATGATCTTCCTGACCCCACTCTGTCTGTTTTTCTATATCCTGCAGCTAGACAAATCATTCTGTTTTTGTTTTTGTTTTTGTTTTTTTTGAGACAGAGTTTCACTCTTGTTGCCCAGGATGGAGTGCAGTGGCACAATCTCAGCTCACTGCAACCTCTGCCTTTCCAGGTTCAAGCATTTCTCCTGCCTCAGCCTCCTGAGTAGCTGGGATTACAGGCGCCCACCACCACACCCAGCTCATTTTTTGTATTTTTAGTAGAGATGGGGTTTCATCATATTGGCCAGGCTGGTCTGGAACTCCTGACCTCAGCTGATCCACCTGCCTCAGCCTCCCAAAGTGTTGGGATTACAGGCACGAGCCACCACATCCAGCCGGCAAATCATTTTAAAGTATACATTCTATTGTTTCTTTACTAAAAAACCTGCCATAAGCCATATAGCAGCTGTTTTCGCAGGCCCTGTATCACAACTGTCTGCTCACTCTGGATTCCAGGCATGGATGTCATAGTTGGAGCCTGTAAATGCTGATAATACTACACCATAGACACCTGTCACATGTCTCCACTTTCCAGTCTCAGGGCTCTCTTTTAAGATGAAGGAATTGGTTCATCCCATGCACATGGAAAAATGGGGATTACACCCCTAGGAACAATCCTTAAACAACACAGAAAGTAAATTAGTGGATAAATGCTTCAGCCTCTCTTCCTTGGAAGGGACAATTCTGAGGTGAATTTTACTGGTTCCTGCAGTAGCCATGGGAATGTACCATGCAGCCCTTCAATTACAGGGTGCGTCATGGACTGAGGGCCCCAGCTGCTGTGCTCTAAAATCCATCTCTATGTTCACGATGAAGTCCTTTCTTCCACAGGCTGCTCCTGTTTAATTACTGAGTAGTGCATGGCTATTCCTGGAAGTCATGGGATTCCTTTGATAAATTAAGTCTAGGATTTCCCAAATGCCTTGTGGGGATTTCCTTAGACTGTGGGACAGCCTGGGATGCTGCACTCTCTTCATTTTATCCCAAAGACATTTCCTCTAATAAAATTATTTCATGTTTAACATAATCTTGATGTCTCCTTCTTGGAGGACCTAGAATAACATAGCTCTTCACTTCATTCCCAATGGGTTAAGCTAGGGTTGCCCACAGTAGTAACCAGCTCAATAATTCACCTGTCAATAGCTACTCTTTTTTTGTTTCAGTTGCCCTTTCCCTCAACCCTGTTTCCTCGGATCACCTCTCAAATAAATTACTTGCAGCCCCCTGGGCTCTTCTTTTACAGAAACCTAACCTAAAATGAACTTGTTTCTACAGAATGTCATTACTGTCTAAACCTCTTGGGCACATATTCAGAGCCTGCCACAATCTGCCCTTAAGCTACTAGTAGTATTCCTTTTTTCTATTTGTCTCCCATCCTAGGATCCAGCCAACTTCTCTTATTCTCAGTTTCCTTGGCTTCCCCTAGGTATTTATGCTTACAGCATTTCTAAATACAACAATGCTTTTTTCTGTCATCATCTGGCATCATGGTACAGTATCATTGTTTACGAATATTTACTACCTCTCCATAAAGGAGGATTATAATTCACCACCCATTCAACTATGGCAAGACTATCTTATGTGCGATGGATAATAAAATGTGATAGAAATTATAGGTATTACTTCCAGGTAGTGGCTTTAACAGCCAGCACCTGCTTCCCTGTGATTTCTTTTCCTTCTTCCATGAAGACTAGTAAAGCGTGAAGAATTTCCATTATTTTGGAACCCAGGGTGAAACAAGCAGTCACATCTGAACCACAATGTACATAAAGTACAAATCAGAAATAAAGATTTATAGTCATAATCCACTGAGATGGGGGGGTCATTTTTTACTGCAGCAAACTGAGCCTATCCTGACAGATACATCACAGTCTATTTGAGCAAGATAGAACCTTATAGACTGACTGATTCATCTCTTTCCCACCAAAATATCTGAAACATCTTTTTCTGTTATTCCCAAATCATCTTTAATTTTCTATGTTCCTTGGAGGTTTTCTCTTCATTTGCAACCCATCTGCTATTTTTCTAATAATATACTCTTGACATGACATTTCATTCTGCTTCAAATATTCATCCTGAAAAATCAAGTGTCAAATGGCTTTTATGAAAAGGTTTTGTCTGCCTTATTACGTTTTCATAGAAAACAACCTTATCCCAATTGTATTCGGACCATAGTGAGACTTGCTAAAATTGAAGCAAATACTTTGTTTTGGGAAGTTATATCAGCATTTGAACGTTTTTCTCCTATTCTTCATTGTTTAGAAGATATACAATAGAAATGGTTTATGTATTTAAAGGAATTATTACGGGGTTAGGCTCATTCCATAAATGTAGTGGCACATGAAGCAGGCTAGTATATAGTCACAGAAACTGTTTCTGAAACACATCTTCATATCTCAATATTAAATGTCAACTAAGTTGTTACATTCGAACAGTAAACATAGAACTGAATAAGAAAGCAAACTGCAGTATTTTTAATATTGCTTCCAACTGATGCACATACTTCACTACAATCTAACTCTAAGCATTCACTGTTTCTGGAGTGTCATTTTAGATTTCTATTATTTTTGTTTCTAATTTAAGAGTAAAGTGCTAGGAAAAGCAAAATGTGCTCTTTAAAACATATTTAATTGCCAAAAAGAAACACAAGGATGTTAAAATACAAATGTATATGAGGGCTCACGTGCCAAGTGTGTGGGCGTTTAATCCATCCTTTCCTTAAGACAAGCAGCTATAATGCAACTGAACTCTATAGGGTCAGAGCCGATCAGCACTTGTTGTATTAAATATTCCCATGTATTTTGAATCATGCAGTTTCTTATGAATCATAAGCAGCCTCTTTTCCCTGATGATGCCTGGCCTGCATCTATCGAGTTTTATGAAAATTTCTCTAAAGGTGTTACAATTTAAAGTAAGTATTTTGCTCATAGATTATGAAAAGAAACCAACTGTCAGTAAGAAATATTATAATCAAACAACTTCTGAGCTTAGGGTAATTTTGAGTTTGTTATTTAAAAATATAGACATGGATAATGAATCAATACTAATCAGTCAGTCAATACTAACCAAGTTCTCAATATATGCAAAATAACAGACTAGACATTGTTAAGAGATATAAAAATATCTTGGAATTTTGATAGTCTAATGAGTGGGGTGTATATGACAAATCAATATGAAAAATACATAAGAACGTACGACATATATGGAATGTATGTATGTATGTATACATGTATATATAGGACTGCACAAATGTGCAATATGTGTGTATGTCTATATTATGCATGTGTAACCACTTTACATGTTGAATATTCACTGTTTGAATTAATAATCAATTATTTAATTACTTGTATTGTTCACTGTTCTCCCTGGCACCTAACAGGGTGTTTGGCACACAGTAGGCACTAAGTAAAATTTTGTTTAAAAATAAGTTGATGAATTAGACCCTAAAATACAGAAACAAATTTTACATCTCTCTTAGCAGACTGTACTTCCAAGCTTTACAAAATTTGGTCACCATATTATTAGCTAGACTATGGCTTGAATGGCTATAGGCTATTTCTACAAGTTAATTCCAACCTCCAAGGAAAAAGATCTGCACCACTAAGCACATTTGGAAGGATGCATTCTAAGGGTGACTCCAGATACTCCAAACTGTTTCAAGCTTTGGCCATTAGTGCTGGAGTAAGAATTTAGCCCTACGAGCTGTTATTCGAAAGGGGATACACTTCTATTTAAGCAAATTCTAGAATACATATCATTTGCTCATCCAATACATTCTGGTTATTTATCAAATGTTATTTTCTAATAATCTGGGCTGCCATATAAAGAGCTCCTTCACAACTTAACATGAAGAGCCATATATGAAATCCGTGGAAGAAGTGGAAGAAATACCTGGAAGTATCATAGGAGACAGAAAAGGGCCATTGATAATTTTTTTTTTTTTTTGAGACTGAGTCTTGCTCTGTTGCCCAGGCTGGAGGGCAGTGGCTCCATCTCGGCTCACTGCAAGCTCCGCCTCCCGGGTTCACGCCATTCTCCTGCCTCAGCCTCCGGAGTAGCTGGGACTACAGGCGCCCGCCACCGCGCCCGGCTAATTTTTTGTATTTTTAGTAGAGATGGGTTTTCACCATGTTAGCCAGGATGGTCTCGATCTCCTGTCCTCGTGATCCACCCGCCTCAGCCTCCCAAAGTGCTGGGATTACAGGCATGAGCCACCTCGCCCAGCCTTGAGACAGTCTTAATCTGTCACCCAGGCTGGAATGCAGTGGTGCAATCTCAGCTCATTGCAACTTCTGCTTCTTGGGTTCAAGGGATTCTCCTGCCTCAGCCTCATGAGTAGCTGGGATTACAGGCATGCACCATCACGCTTGGCTAATTTTTGTAATTTTAGTAGAGACGGGGTTTTGCCATGTTGGTTAGGCTGGTCTCGAACTCCCGGCCTCAAGTGATCTGCCCCCCCGCCCCCAAAGTCCTGGGACTACAGGTATGAGCCACCGTACACAGCCATGAACCTTGATTTTTTTTTGTTTCTTGAAAATATTTCCTGATCATCATTCCTTATCAGTTGACAGATAACTTTCTTCTTCTTGTATTTTTTTTTTTACAGCTGCATAGTATTCCTTTTTGGGGACACATCCTGGTTAATCAGTTCCCTATTGATAGACACTAATTGCTTCCCATTGTAAACTAAAAATAAAATCCTGGGCTGGACCCGGTGGGTCACGCCTGTAATCCCAGTACTTTGGGAGGCTAAGGTGGGTGGATAATGAGGTCAAGAGATCGAGACCATCCTGGCCAACATGGTGAAACCCCATCTCTACTAAAAATACAAAAATTAGCTGGGCTTGGTGGCTCGCCTGTAGTCCCAACTACTCGGGAGGCTGAGGGAGGAGAGTTGCTTGAACCCGGGAGGCAGAGGTTGCAGTGAGCCGAGATTGCGCCACTGCACTCCAGCCTGGCAACAGAGCGAGACTTGTCTCAAAAAAAAAAAAAAAAAAATTCCTGGGCTGGGTGTGGGCATGGTGGCTCACGCCTGTAATCCCAATACTTTGAGAGACTGAAGCAGGAGGATCACTTCAGCCCAAGAATTCAGGGCTGCAATGAGCTATGATCTGCCATTGCACTCCAGCCTGGGCAACTGTGCTCGACTCTGTCTCAAAATCAAATAAACAAACAAACTAAGTCCCCTCAACTGACTAAACAGATCCTTCCTGGACAAAGAGATCCTAGGAAAATCTTTTTTTTTTTTTCTTGAGACGGAGTCTCGCCCTGTCGCCCAGGCTGGAGTGCGGTGGCGCCATCTCGGCTCACTGCAAGCTCCGCCTCCCGGGTTCCCGCCATTCTCCTGCCTCAGCCTCCCGAGTAGCTGGGACTACAGGCGCCCGCCACCGCGCCCGGCTAATTTTTTTGTAGAGACGGTGTTTCACCCTGCTAGCCAGGATGGTCTCGATCTCCTGACCTCGTGATCCGCCCGCCTCGGCCTCCCAAAGTGCTGGGATTACAGACGTGAGCCACCGTGCCCAGCCGGGCCATTGATAATTTTGAAGGTATTCTGATCAGATACGAACACATGCCCTGGATTCTGGAAATAAAAATTTGAAAATTTATTCAGAGTAAGAATCACCACAGTCTCTCGGCATAAATGCTAAAGAAAAGTTTTATGTAGGTTAAAGGATTGCTACTTCTATTGCACATGGGGTAGCTTATTGCGGATCAACTCTCCGGTTAAGAACTAGAAATTTTGCACAAATATACATATTTTTAGATGTGTTCAAGGTATTATAGACCTGGCAAGGCAATTCGACATGAGGACTCAGCATCACAGAGAGAAGGAAAGCAAAGAGATACACGATCTGTGTCATTTGCCCTCAAGGCATTTTCCAATAATAAGCGCACGGGGCTGAGACCCTAGGAAGCAAAGCAGAAAACAGTGGCTAATGAGCTGGAAAGCTGAGCAGATTTTCTACAGTTTCACAGAGCTGGAGAAACAAAAATTAGAGTTCAGGAGCAACCAAGGAGAGAGGAGTCTGACGAAGATCTAGACTTCAAATTAGTACCCCAAAAGGGATATACCCTAGGAGTGAAAGTGAACAAGACTAAGATAAGTTATAACAAAGACTGAAATTCCATTTCAAACAAATTCAATCCCAAACTAGATTAGGCACTCTATCCCCACTTTAACTGCCTACCAGAAGCAGAATAAATCCTTTCTGGAAGAAAATAATACCAAACAGCGCTTTAGATAATCTCAACTTTTCACGTGCAAAATCTGACATCTACCAATAGTCGTCAGGCTTCCCACGAGCAGGGCCATATAAGGAAAAATGAGAAAAAAGTAGACAATAGAAACAAATCCTTAGAGGATCAAGACATTCACTTTAAAATAACTTCAATTAATAGGCTTAATAAAATATGAGACAAAATGGAGAACTTCACTTGAAAAATAGAATTTATAAAGAATTAAATGGAAATTTTAGAACAGAAAAACATAATTGATAGTAAGAATAAAATAGGAAGATACAAAAATTTTTCAGTGGCCGGGCGCGGTGGCTCACGCCTGTAATCCCCAGTACTTTGGGAGGTTGAGGCAGGTGGATCAGCTGAGATCAGGAGTTCAAGGCCAGCCTGGCCAACATGGCAAGACCCTGTCTCTACTAAAAATCAAAAATTAGCTGGGCGTGGTGGCAGGCGCCTGTAAATCCCAGCTATTTCGGAGGTGAGGCAGGAGAATGACTTGAACCCGGGAGGTGGAGGTTGCAGTGAGCCGAGATCATGCCATTGCATTCCAGCCTGGGCAACAAGAGCGAAACTCCGTCTCAAAAAAAAAAAAAAAAAAAAAAAAAAAAAAAAACTTTCAGCACAGCAAAATAAAATAATAAGATAATAAGAAAATATTTACTCTGAATGAATAGAAGAATTGAAAATAGAGAAATGAGTATAAATGGCACGTGAGATGCTGAAAATTTGACAATCGACATCTAAAAAGGAGTCAAGAGGAAGAATGGTAAGGACCACTCTTTGAAACTTTCCCCAAACTTATGAAACATACCAAGTTAAAAGTTCAGGAAGCTTTATAAACCTCACACAGGATTTTTTAAATGAAAAAATAAATAAGCAAAGCTAGGCATATTATAACTCAAATTGCTGAAAACTATAGATTGGAATGAACTAACTGTTTCCGTAAAGAGCCAGATAGAAAACATTCTTTTTAATTGTGGTTTTCGCCATTAAACGTGATGACAAAAACTGCAATTACTTTTGCACCAACCTAATAGTTTACATTGTGAGGGTCATACTATCTTTGTCACAACTATTCTGCTGTAAGCAGCCATGGATTACATGTAATCAAATGGCCATGGCTGTATTCCAATAAAACCTTACAAATAGACACATTGGGCCAGATTTAATCCATGGGCCATAATTTGCCACAGACAAAGAGAAAATTTTAAAAGCAGCCAAAGAAAAGAAAACATCACTTTCAATGAAGCAACAATAAGACTGATAGTTGACTTCTCAACAGAAGTGATAAAAGCTAGAAAACAATGAAAATGCATTTTTAATTTGCTGAAGAAAAATAACTACCACATTTCAAATTCAATTTGATGGATTATAAAATCTCTCTTAAAAATGAAAGCAAAATAAAGATGTTTCCTGCCAAGCAAAAACTATTTGTCAACAGAAGAACTTCACTAAAATAAATACTGAAGAGACTACTTCAGGCAGAAGTAAAATGATGCCAAAGAGAAGCACAAAAATAAAGAAATAAAAATTACTAAATGAATAAATATGGGCATAAATTTAAATAACTCCCTATTATACTAAATAATAATAAGGGTTATGGTGACTAAAGTGTATATAGAATTAAAATACAACACAATAAATGAAAGAGATCAGAAAAATTAAAAAGAATTAAAGAGTACAAAAGTTAGAATTTTCTGGGAAGTGGCAAAGCTACTACCATATTTTGTACTCTATTAAGTTAAAAATGTATGTTGTGATCTCTGGGATAACAACTAAAATGAAAATAATTTTTAACTAACAAACAGAGAGAGAAGAACTTTTTTTAAGTTTGATTAGATAAAAGGCAAAATAGAAGAAAAGGAGAACATAAAACCAAAAAATATACAAAAGTAGTAAAATGATAGACTTAAACCCACTTAATTATATTACATCAAATGTAAACAGAGGAAATATTCTACAGGAGGCAAAAAAGACAAAGTTAGTCAGTATACACAAAAAGTTAAAATACTATGTAACTTAGAGGAGACATATCTTAAATAAAAAGATACAAAAGGCAAAAAGTAAAACAATGGGAAAATATTTGTCATACAAATACTCATCTAAGTATTTGTGGAGTAGATATAGTAAAATTAAATGAATTAGACTATAAAGCAAAAAGTATTACTTGAGATAAGAAAGAGCATTTCATATTGTTGATAGAGCCAACAAAATGAAAATTAAAATGTTATTTGTATGCACCAAAAATTATAGCTTAAAATATATAGGAAAAAATAACAAAAATGAAAGAGAAATAGACTGATCCACAATCAGAGTAGGAAACTTTTACACATATTTTCAAATAATTGTTAGAACAGAGTTAAAAAGTAAAGATATTATACATGTGAATAAATATCAGCCAATTGGCATATATAGGCAACTGTACTCAACGATGAAAGAGCATATATTTTTTCATGCACCTAAAAAATTATAAAAATTTACATTGTGCTAAACTAGAAAACTAGGGTCAACACATATGAGGGAAAAAATAGAACCATTTAAGACATACTTTCTGACCACAATGGAATTAAGCCAGAAATCCAAAAGACATGTAGAAATCCCAGCTGCTCGGAAAATAAATTTTGAATTTCAAAATAACCCCTACTCAAAGAAGATACCCTGTTGTAAATTACAAGGTGAAAAGTATTAAGTTTAAATAATAATTTCAAAATAATTTAATAGTAATT
Source organism: Homo sapiens (assembly GCF_000001405.40). NCBI lineage: Eukaryota > Metazoa > Chordata > Mammalia > Primates > Hominidae > Homo > Homo sapiens. The sequence goes on along the minus strand of NC_000003.12, from coordinate 5,915,753 downwards.
ATTGAGTAATAATAAAAATAAAGCATGTTAAGAATTGTGGGATACTTTTAAAGCTGTGCTTACAATGATATTTGTAACTTTCAATACAAACATTAAAATAATAGGCTAAAATCATTTACAGAATACACACCTCAAGAAAATAAAATTAACTAAACTCTAATAAAATAAAATAACAGAAATAATAAAGACAAAAGAAAAAATAATAAAATTGAACATAAATTTTAAATATAGAAAATCTAAACAGCCAAAAGTTGGTTCCTTGAGGAAACAATATAAAAAATAGACTAATCAAAAAACAGAAAGAGTTAAAACATAAATCACCAATAAAAGAATAAAAAAACTGAGATCATACAGGTATTATAAGGGAAATAAGGGGAAATTATGAAGAAGTTTATGCAAATAAATTCAAAGATACAGAAGAAATTGAAGAAGTATAGAAAAAATACAACCTACAAAACTAGTAAGGAATAAATAGAAAAGGGAAACTGTTCTGTATCTATTTTAAAAATTGAATCCTAAGAAAATTCCCAATTCAGAGAGCTTCACCAATAACTTTTATCAAAAGTAAATAAAGAAAAATACCATTCTGACACAAACTTTTCCAGAGAAGTAAAGTGAGAAGAATTCAACTTGTTTTATGAAACTAGCATAAACTTGATCCCACAAACTGACAAAGCTGTCACAGAAAAAAAGTTGCAAGTCAATTCTCTATATAAAATATTATCAAATCAAATCCAAGAGCATACAGAGTTAACAATGCATCATGACCAAGTAAGATTTGTTCCATAATTTCCATGTTGATATAACATTAAAAAGTCAAACAAGCTTTCTGCAAAGATGAAACAGACATAATTTCTCCTATTCCTCCTAGAAAGTACAACAAAAAAGCTTGGATATTATATATAAAACAAACATTAACAAAAAAAAAAATCTCTCAAATCCTGGGAACTCAAGCCCTATGGAATGGTGTGGTACTGATTTCTCTAGATTACCTTTTTGTTTCGTATGTCTTGGATTGCTGCTGAAGAAGCCAGCAACCTAATAAGACCAATAATCACAGTCAAAAAAGCCACATCAAAATTCTGTTTTCTCAAGCCATAGAAAGAGGAAAGGGGCAACTTAGGAAGACAGAAAACTTTTAAACAATGGCTACTCTATTCTAGGCAAAGATCACACAAAACATTTGACTTTCATCTCCACCCATCCTATCAAAGGCCAAGGGATATCCTAGACCTCAACTCTTTCCAAGTAGTAACAAGATAACACAACCTATCCACCAGGGTGGTAGCAGAGAGCAATAATAAGTCAGGAATAGGCAAATTTACTTCTACCGAACAGTAACTCAGACGCCCTCATGCTGTCAGTAAAGACTACATGGGAAACTTGGATTTCCACTCTCATACAAAAGTTATGAAGGGGCCGTTACCATTGACAAAATGTAAGAGGAGAGGAAGCGGAGAGTCGGGAATTTCACAACTGCCTATTTGTAATGAAACTACCCTGACTGTGGTGTCAGCAAAACTCATGAAGGAAGAAGTAATAAGACGTTCCTGTTTCTGCTAGCCAGAAAGGTATGGAGATTCAGGATTCCCACCAACACCAGGCAGTAATAAGGAAACTGTACCCTTTGGGTTTCAATTAATACAGAGAGGGGAATCTTGGATTCCACCCCTACCCACAGATATAAGGTGGTGTTCCCTCATTTACCTGATGAATTGATGTGAGAAAAAGATAGCAAAAATAGAATGGTTAAATATGATCCATAGTCTCATAACACAATATCCAATGTGTTTGGGTTCATTCCAAAATGATCCTCTCATCAACAAATCTCCTTAAGCTGATAAGCAACTTCAGCAAAGTCTCAGGATACAAAATCAATGTACAAAAATCACAAGCATTCTTATACACCAACAACAGACAAACAGAGAGCCAAATCATGAGTGAACTCCCATTCACAATTGCTTCAAAGAGAATAAAATACCTAGGAATCCAACTTACAAGAGACATGAAGCACCTCTTCAAGGAGAACTACAAACCACTGCTCAATGAAATAAAAGAGGATACAAAGAAATGGAAGAACATTCCATGCTCATGGGTAGGAAGAATCAATATTGTGAAAATGGCCATACTGCCCAAGGCAATTTATAGATTCAGTGCCATCCCCATCAAGCTACCAATGGCTTTCCTCACAGAATTGGAAACAACTACTTTAAAGTTCATATGGAACCAAAAAAGAGCCCGCATCGCCAAGTCAATCCTAAGCCAAAAGAGCAAAGCTGGAGGCATCACGCTACCTGACTTCAAACTACACTACAAGGCTACAGTAACCAAAACAGCATGGTACTGGTACCAAAACAGCATGGTACTGGTACCAAAACAGAGATATAGATCAATGGAACAGAACAGAGCCCTCAGAAATAATGCCGCATATCTACAACTATCTGATCTTTGACAAACCTGACAAAAACAAGCAATGGGGAAAGGATTCCCTATTTAATAAATGGTGCTGGGAAAACTGGCTAGACATATGTAGAAAGCTGAAACTGGATCCCTTCCTTACACCTTATACAAAAATTAATTCAAGATGGATTAAAGACTTAAACATTAGACCTAAAACCATAAAAATCCTAGAAGAAAACTTGGCATTACCATTCAGGACATAGGCGTGGGCAAGGACTTCATGTCTAAAACACCAAAAGCAATGGCAACAAAAGCCAAAATTGACGAATGGGATCTAATTAAACTAAAGAGCTTCTGCACAGCAAAAGAAACTACCATCAGAGTGAACAGGCAACCTACAGAATGGGATAACATTTTTGCAACCTACTTATCTGACAAAGGGCTAATATCCAGAATCTACAATGAACTCAAACAAATTTACAAGAAAAAAACAAACAACCCCATCAAAAAGTGGGCAAAGGACATGAACAGACACTTCTCAAAAGAAGACATTTACGCAGCCAAAAAACACATGAAAAAATGCTCACCATCACTGGCCATCAGAGAAATGCAAATCAAAATCACAATGAGATACCATCTCACACCAGTTAGAATGGCAATCATTAAAAAGTCAGGAAACAACAGGTGCTGAAGAGGATGTGGAGAAATAGGAACACTTTTACACTGTTGGTGGGACTGCAAACTAGTTCAACCATTGTGGAAGTCAGTGTGGCGATTCCTCAGGGATCTAGAACTAGAAATACCACTTGACCCAGCCATCCTATTACTGGGTATATACCCAAAGGATTATAAATCATGCTGCTATAAAGACACATGCACACATATGTTTATTGCAGCACTATTCACAATAGCAAAGACTTGGAACCAACCCAAATGTCCAACAATGATAGACTGGATTAAGAAAATGTGGCACATATACACCATGGAATACTATGCAGCCATAAAAATGATGAGTTCATGTCCTTTGTAGGGACATGGATGAAATTGGAAATCATCATTCTCAGTAAACTATCGCAAGGACAAAAAAGCAAACACCGCATATTCTCACTCATAGGTGGGAATTGAACAATGAGAACACGCGGACACAGGAAGGGGAGCATCACACTCTGGGGACTGTTGTGGGGTGGGGGGAGGGGGGAGGGATAGCATTAGGAGATATACCTAATGCTAAATGACAAGTTAATGGGTGCAGCACACCAGCATGGCACACGTATACAGATGTAACTAACCTGCACATTGTGCACATGTACCCTAAAACTTAAAGTATAATAATAATAAAAAAAAAAAGAACCAGGAAGATCCCAAAAATAATGAAAAATAAACAAACTGATAATAATACTGAGATATTGGAGATGCAAGAAGTATCTGACAAGCCATCATAAAAATGCTTTAACAAAAATGACAAACACACTTGAAACAAATGAAAACATACATTTAAGTCTCAGAAATAAAATCCTAGTAAAGAAATAAAAATATTTAAATAATAAAATGAAAATTTTAGAAGTAAAAGTATGTAACCAAAATTTTAAAAACTCTAATGGATAGGCTCAATAGCAGAATGGAGTGGGACAGATTTATAAAACAAGTACTTCCAGACCTAAAAAAGACACAGACAGCCACACAATAATAGTGGAGGACTTCAACACCCTTCTGACAGCATTAGATAGATCATCAAGGGAGAAAACTCACAAAGAAATTCTAGACTTACACTCCAAACTTCACCAATTGGACCTAACAGATATCTATAGAATACTCCATCCATCAACCACAGAACATACATTCTTCTCATTTGCACATAGGACATACTCTAAGATGGACCACATGCTCTGACATGAAGCAAGTCTCAATAATTTCAAAACAATTGAAATCATATCAGCCATTCTCTTCAACTACAGTGTAATAAAAATAGAAATCAATACCAAGAATATCTCTCAAAAACCACACAATTACATGGAAACTAAACAAGTTTCTCCTGAATGACTTTTGGGTAAACAACAAAATTAAAAAGAAAGCAAAAAATTCCTTGAAACAAATGAAAATAGACATACAGTATACCAGCATCTCTGGAATGCAGCAAAAGCCATGTTAAGAGGAAACTTTGTAGTGCTAAACACCCACCTCAAAAGATAAATATCAAATTAACAGTCTAATATCACACCCAGAGAAACTAGAAAAACAAGAACAAACTGACTCCAAAGCTAGTAGAAAAAAAGAAATAACTAAAATCGAATGAAACTGAACAAAATTGAGGCCCAAAAATTTATACCAAAAAACCAACAAAACCAAAAGTTGGTTTTTTGAAAGGATAAACAAGATCAATAGACTACTAGCTAGATGAACAAAGAAAAAAAAAGAGATAGACCAAATAAGCACAATCAGAAATGAGAAAGGTAGCATTACAACCAATCCCACAGAAGTACAAAAGATCCTTTATGCACACAAAACTAGAAAATCTAGAGAAAATTGATAAATTCCTGGAAACATACAATCTGCCAAAAATGAATAAGGAAGAAATTAAAATCCTGAGCAGGTCAATATTGAGTTATAAAATTGAATCAGTAATAAATAATCTACCAACCAAAAAAAGTCTCAGACCAGAGGAATTCACAGTCAAATTCTACCAGATGCAGAAAGAAGAGCTGGTATCAAATCTACTGAAACTATTTCAAAAAAATTGAGGAAGAAGGACGCCTTTCTAACTCAGTCTACAAACTGGCATCACCACGGTACCAAAACCTGGCAAAGACACAACAGAAAAAGAAAACTAGAAGCCAATATCCCTGATGAACACATACACAAAAATCCTCAACAAAATACTAGGAAACTGAATTCAACAGAGTATCAAAAAGTTAATTAATCATGATCAAGTAGGCTTGATTCCTGGGATGCAAGGTTAGTTCTACATACACAAATCAGTAATTATGATTGACTACATAAACAAAATTAAAAGCAAAAACCATACAATCATCAAGAAACACGGATAAAGCTTTCAATAAAATCCAACATCCCTTTACGATAAAAACTCTCAAGAAACTAGGCATGAAAGCAATATAATAATAACAGCCATGTTTGACAAACACACCCACAGTCTACATCATACTGAATGGGCAGGAAAAAAAGGATTCCCCTTGAGAAATGGAACAAGATAATGATGTCCACTGTCACCCCTCCTATCAATATAGTAATGGAAGTGCTAGCCAGAGCAATCAGGCAAGAGAAAGAAATAAGAGACATCCAAAAAGAAAAAGAAGTCAAATTATCTCTCTTCACAGGCAATATGACCCTATACTTAGAAAATCCTCAAGATTTCACCAAAAGTCTCCTGGACATGAAAATCAATTTCAGTAAAGTTTCAGCATACAAAGTCAACTCAAAAATCAGCAGCATTTCTATATACCCATAATGTTCAAGCTGACAGCCAAATCAAGAATGCAGTCTCATTTTCAATAGCCACCAAAAATAAAAAAAAAAAATACCTAGGAATACATCTAACCAAGGAGATGAAAAAATCTCTACAAGTAGAACTACAAAACACTGCTAAAAAAAAATCAGAGATGACACAAACAAATGGAAAAATATCTCATGCTCATGAATTAGAAGAATAAATAGCATTAAAATGGCCATACTACCCAAAGCAATGTATAAATTCAATGCTATTCCTGTCAAACTACCAACATCATTTCTCACAGAACTAGAAAAAACTATTCTGAAAGTTATATGGAACCAAAAAAGAGCCCAAATAGCTAAAGCAATCCTCAGCAAAAAAACAAACAAACAAAAAAAAAACTAAACAACAACAACAACAAAAAAACAACAAAGCTAGAACATTCCCCTACTTCAAACTATACTACAAGGCAACAGTAACCCAAACAGCATAGTACTGGTACAGAAACAGACACATAGACCAATGGAACAGAAAAGAGAATGAAGAAATAAAACCACACACAGCCATCTGATCTTCAACAAAGTTGACAAAAATAGGCAATGCAGAAAGGACTCCCTGTTCAACACATGGTGCTGAGATAGCTGGCTAGGCATATGCAGAAGAATGAAACTGTCCCCTACTTTTCACCATTTACAAAAATTAACTCAATGTAAATTAAAATTTTAAATGTAAGATCTCAAACTAAGAATCCTAGAAGAAAACCTAGGAAGCACCATTCTGGACAGTAGCTTTGAGAAAGAATTTATGACAAAGTACTCAAAAGTAATTGCAACAAAAATGAAAATTGGCAGGTGAGACCTAATTAAACTAAAGAGCATTTGCACAGCAAAAGAAACTGTCAAAAGAGTAAACAGACAACCTACCAAATGGAAGAATGTATTTGCAAACAACGCATCCAAAAAAGATCTAATATTGGGGATCTTTAAGGAACTGAAACAATTAAACTAGCAACAAAACCCAAATAACTCCATTAAAAAGTTGGAGAAAGACATGAATGGACACTTCTCAAAAGAAATACTAGTGACCAACAAACATGAAAAAATGCTCAACATCTCTAACCATCAGAGAAATGCAAGTCAAAACCACAATGAGCTATCATCTCATAACAGTAAGGCTGTTATTAAAAAGTCAAAAAACAACAGTTGCTGGCAAGACTGTGGAGAAAGGGAATGCTTATACAGTGTTGGTTCTACACACACAAATCAATAAATATGATTTGTAAATCATATGTAAATTAATTCAGCCACTGTGGGAAACAATTTGGAGATTTCTTAAAAATCTTAAAACACTACTACTATTTAACCTGTCAGTTCAATTACTGGATATAAATCCAAACGGAAACAAATCATTCTACCAAGAAGACACATGCACTCTCATTTTCAATGCAGCACTATTCACAATAGCCAAGACATGGAATCAACCCAGGTGCCCATCAATGGTGCATTGGATAAAGAAAATGTAAATATACACCTATACACCATGGCGTACTATGCAGCCATAAACACAAACAAAATTTTGTCCTTTGCAGTAACATAGATGCAGCTGGAGGCCATTATCCTAAGCGAATTAACATAGGAAAAGAAAACCAAATACTGCGTATTCTCACTTATAAGTGGTAGCTAAACATTGAGTACTCATGGACATAAAGATGGCAACAATGGAAACTGGGGACTACTACAGGGGGAAGGGAGGAAAAGGGCTGAAGACCTAACTCTTGGGTACTATGCTTAATACCTGGGTGATGAGATCACTCATAACCCAAACCTCAGGATTATACAATATACCCAGATAACAAACCTGCACATGTATCCCCTGAATCTAATGTAAACGTTGAAAGAAAAAAGAACCCAGATAAAGAAGAACAAAATAAACACAAAGCAAGCAGAGAGAAGGCAATGATAAAGACCAGAGCAAAATCTATGACACTGAAAACAAGAAAACAATAAAAAATCAATGAAATAAACAGCTAATTCTTCAAAGACGTCAATAAAACTGATCAGCCTCTAGCAGGGCTAACAAAAGAAGAGATAGAGAGAAGACACAAATTACCAGTATCAGGACTAACACAGGGGATATTACCACAGACATTGCAAATATCAAAAGGATAATAAATAAATACCCCAAACAACTCTACATATAAAAATTGGACCACTTAGGTGCAATGAAACAAGTATCTAGAAAAACACAAACCAGTACAATTCAGTATAAAATAGATCATTTGAGTAGTCCCATAACTATTAAGAAAATTGCATTTATAATTAAAAACTCCCAAAAAAGAAAATGGGCAAGTTCAATTGTTTCAAGGGAGAATTCTTCCAAATGTTTAAAAAATTAATTATGAACTTCTACACAACCTCTTGCAGAAAATAAAAAGGAGGAAATACTTTTCAATTAATTTTATGAAGCTAGTGTTACCCTGATACCAAAATTAGACAGTAAAAAAAACCTCTACACTAATATGTCATAAATATCAACATAAAATTCAACAAAACAAAAGCAAATAGAATTTAGCAATATATAAAAAGAATCAAACTGGTTAAGTGGGGTTTAGTGCACTGATGCAAGGCTGGTTTAATATTCAAAAATGAATATAATTCACTGCATTAACTAGCTGAAGAAGAAAGATCATGAGCATATCAATCAATGAAGAAAACAAATGAGAAAATTTGGCATCCCTTCTTGATTTAGGCTTTCAAAAAAAAAAAACAGGAATAGAGAGGAATGCCCCCAATTAATAAAGACTACACCTACCACTAAAATTATGTTCCTAATGTCATTGTGAAAGTTCTACCCAGTGCAACAAGTCAGGAAAAGAAAACAAAAAGCCCTATGGAGGTTAAAAAAAAAAAAAAGAGGGATTAAATTCTTCCTACTTGCAGATGAACTAACTGACAATGTAGAAAATCCCAAGGAATCTACAGAATCTCCTAAAATATTGAATGAGTCAAGCAAGGTCATGGGATACAAGATCAACAGGCAATACTATGTCACATTTCTATATACTAACAATACACATGCAGAAAGTAAATAGAGCACAATACCATTTTAACTGCTCCAAGGAAAATGAAATTCTTAGTTGTGTATTGAATAAATCACATACAGAATCTATATGCTGAAAATTCCAAAATGCTACTGAAAGAAATCGAAGAGCTAAATAAATGGAAGACACTAAGTTTATGGATTGTAAGATTCATATAGTAAAGATGTCAGGTCCCCCAGATTGTCATACAGGTTTGACACAATTCTTGTCAAAATCCCAAGAAATTTTCTTGTAGCTATAGACAATATTATTCTACAGTTTATAAGGAAAGACAAAAGAATTAAAGCAGATAAAATACTTTTGAAAAAGGAGAGTAATGTCAGAGAAACCTGTCTACCTAATTTTAAGACATACTGTCTAGCTAAAACAATCAAGGCCGTGAAATAAATACATATATCCGTGGAACAGAAAAGGAACAAAAATTCAAATAAATTAGAAATAGACTCGTATAATATGCCAAACTGATTTGTGACAAAGGTTCAAAAGCAATTCAACCGAGCCCTTTCAAAAACTGATGTGGAAAATTTAGACAGCTATAGGTTTTTTTAAAAAATGAACCTTGACCTTATATTCACATGTTATACAAACAACCCAGAATGAATCATGAGCTCATGAATCATGAGGGTAGAACATAAAACTCTAAGAATTAGGGGAAAAAATGAGAAAATATTTGGTATCTAAGGCTGAGCAAAGAGTTTGTGGACACAACACCAAAAGCATGATCCATAAGAGAAAACATTGATAAATTTACAAGACACATCATAGACAAAAATTAATATCCAGAATATAAAGCATGGTGTATTAGTCAGGGTTCTCTAGAGGGACAGAACTAATAGGATAGACGTATATATGAAGGGGAGTTTATTAAGGAGTACTGACTCACACGATCACAAGGTGAAGTCCCACAATAGGCCATCTGCAAGCTGAGAAGCAAGGAAGCCAGTCCGAGTTCCAAAACCTCAAAAGTATGGAAGCCGACAGTGCAGCCTTCAGTCTGTGGCTGAAGACCTCAGAGCCCCTGGCAAACCACTGGTGTGAGTCCAAGTGTCCAAAAGCTGAAGAACTTGGAGTTCGACGTTCAAGGGCAGGAAGCATCCAGTACAGGAGAAAGATGAAGGCCAGAAGACTCAGCATGTCAAGCCCTTCCACTTTCTTCTGCATGCTTTTATTCTAGCCATGCTGGCAGCTGATTAGATGGTGCAGACTGAGGATGGGTCTGCCTCTCCCAGTCCACTGACTCAAATGTTAATCTCCTTTGGCAACACCCTCACAGACACACCTAGGAACAATGCATTCAATTCAATCAGGTTGACACTTCAACCCCATCAAGTTGACACTCAATATGAACCATCACACATGGATAAAAAATTTAGAATTGTTCAATCATCAGTAATCAGGAAAATTCAAAATTTAAAAATGGCATACTATTTTATACCCATCAGAGTAATTTTTGCCAAAAATCTTAAAGAGGCAAGTGTTTGCAAGGCTATAAAGAAAAAAGAACTCTTGGGTATCCTTCTGATGGTACAATAACACAGTTTGAAACTCCACGGAGATGGAGGGTGCATCTGTTATCTGGTAACATTAAGTTTATGCATATCTTTTGGTTTAGAAATTTTATTTCTGGAGATATTTGCCTAGAGGAACCTCCAACCATGGAAATATGAACAGTGATGTTCTTTGTGATTATGTTTTATAATAATTTTTAAAAAGGAAACAAACTAATGAAAGATGGATAAATAAACCATGAACTATTCCCATGATGATACGTGTAGCATTTCAAATAAATTAGAAATATCTTTGTCCATATGGATTAATATAGATAACCATTTAATGAAAGACAAAGTCCTGCAGAAGAATGATACTATTAAAAATATTAAGTTTTTATGTATTAAAAATTTTTTTTTTTAGTTTCCACAGGTCATTGGGGAACAGGCAGTGTTTGGTTACATGGTTGAGTTCTTTAGTGGTGATTTGTGAGATTCTGGTGCACCCCCACCCGAGCAGTATACACTGCACCAGATTTGCAGTCTTTTATCCTTCACACCCTTCCCAACATTTCCCCGAGTCCCCGAAGTCCACTGTGTCATTTTTATGCCTTTGCATCCTCATAGGTTAGCTCCCACTTATGAGTGAGAACATACAACATTTGGTTTTCCATTCCTGAGTTATTTCACTTAGAATAATAGTCTCCAATCTCATCCAGGTAACTGCAAATGCCATTAATTCATTCCTTTTTATGGCTGATCAGTATTCCATCATATACATACACCACAGTTTCTTTATCCACTTGTTGATTGATATATATCAAAATAATGATGTTTTTTCCAAAGGGGGAAAAAGAAATTGAGAAAGAGAATGAAATTTGAAGTCATTACAGCAAATTATTAACAGCTGTTCATCCTAGCTAGTCTCTACATAGATGTTTACAACAGTATTTTCTTCAACTTTCCATTGCTAGCAGATTGGTAGCATAATGAATGAAATCAGCAGTCTTTCTCATTTATCTTCCATCAGCTGCCGCTCATCCTTTAGAGGCAGGATTTTCCTCACCTCTCTCTCAGCACACTACAATGCACCTACCATTCAATGCCACTTACCACCAACTTGTTTAAAAAATCATTGCATTCTCACATCTATGCGCTAATGGGGAAATCTAAATTTGGCAACACATGTAGGCATCTATTGTAATTTAAGCTTCATTTTAAAAAATTTACCAGTAATATATCAGCATAATCTCATTAATGGAAGCACAAACAGTAAAAATAAAGTAGAAGTTCTGCTTGAAGCCCAAAACTCTTAACGCCTAGGTTCCATTTGCCCCTCCAGAGAAAATCATTGTTATCAATTTAAAGCAGGGTTTCTCAATCTCAGCACTATTGACATAGTGAGGGAAATGATTTTTTTGTTGCAGGGTTGTCCTGAACGCTGTTTAGTCTCATCCTTGTTTAGGGCATTGTATCGCCTAGGTGTCGGTAGCATTTCCCTTGGCCCCATCTGCGACAATCAAAAATATCTCTAAGCATTTCCAAATGTCCCCGTGGGGGCAAAATCAGTCCTGGTTGGAAACTGCTATCCACAGTGTATCATTTGAGATGTTTTACCATACATTTATCTATAACACTTTATACACATACTAAAATATATAGGGATTTGTGTATATATTTTTAAATATGTTATCATACTATACATATTTTGAATCTTGATTTCTTTCATTTAATAGTAGGTTTTACAAATCTTCACTATTCTTGTTAGCTATGTATTATTCCTTAGTATGGATACTCTACTTTTTTTAACCACTCTGTTGACATAGAATATTTGAGTTGACTTAGGGACTTTCAACCTGCTAGAAAAGATGCTCCACATTATTGCCCCCAGTTGCGCCTAACATCAATGCTTTTCCAGCCTGTGTAAGATTTTCTTTTCCTTTCTACTTCTACCAGACGGAATAAAAATATGCAACACCAATATTTCAATATGCCCTCAGTAATCTCTTGCATGTTTCCTAAATTATTCTCCACCCCATCCTCTCCTTTCTGATGAAGGAGCCACAATGTCTAGGTATAAATAGGTTTTGGGTTTTAGTCAGGCGCTACCTATCAGAGTCTGTTTTCTTTCCTCGGGCATTTCAAGGCTAAGCGTTATTGCATCTATAAATCACCCATTCAGGGACTCGTTTCCCCTGAAAGGGCCTAAGAGCCTCTCGGGTGTCCTGTATTTGAGAAAACATTGATCTGAGCTGGAAGCTATGTGGCAGAGTGAAAAAGATTCTAGATCAGAAATGAAATGAGCCGGGATAGGAAATGAAAAGAGCCAGGTTCAGCCCTCATTTGCTGTAGACAAGTTTTTCTCTACTGTGAGCCTCAGTTTCCTCATCAGGAAGGATTTATGTAAGATAGTTTCTTAGCATTTCATCAGGGTGAAGATCATAGTTTAATGCAGATTTCCTTCAACGATCTGTTCATTCAAATATTTAGTGTTCCTCTGGCTCTCTGTATAGACAGAATTGAGAGTTACAGCAGTTTCCTGTGTAATTCAGTCAGACGGTCTAATGATGAAAAACAAAAACCCATTTTATGGTGGCTTATCTGAAATAGCAAGATTTTGCCACAACTCTCACCTTAGCCTTTATCAATAAATACCACCTTTTATTATTCAAAATGTTATTTCTTATATCATAATATAGGCTATTTCTCTATATGTAAATGTATGTATATTTCTCTATATGTAAATGTCTTAAAAGTTGAATTTAATTAATCATTTATTTTTTTCTTTTTTGTAAATCAGCTTGTGAAGGGTGCAAATACAGCTTTCTTATGTCACTTGCAAAACATGACTTTTTCTCCAAAACAAAAACTTATGCTAATAACCAAAAGCTAATTCTTTATCTGCATCTGATAGGGCTAATGGTCTTAGATGGTTTGCAGGCCGTATCAATACCCCTATTCTATTACTAAGAGTACTCTTTTATGGTACATTCAGAAGTATCCCAAGGGAATTTATTCAGCAAAAGTGATCATAATTTTGATTCTATAAACCCCAAATTCTGAACACAGCTGATTGGACCATGAGACCTAAAAGGAGTCAACTCATACACAGGGGAGTTACAAACAAGAAAGTCTGGATGGAGAGAATCTTCTCTATCAGGAGTGCTAATGGTCAATCCAATTCATGGTTGTTTGGTTTAGAGATAGAGAAAACCTATTTGTAGTGGGAGCAGAAAGAAATGCAGAGACAAGAAAGTATGTAAATAGCAAGGTATCGAATCTGAGAAGAAATTAAAACAACAGGTAAGCTGACATCATAAATTAGAAAAGAGAATTTCAAAATGAAAGGTAAAGATTTGTGGAACAGAAACAACGATAAACTGAGTTGCTCTCTTGTGGGAGGATCCAGGGACTCTTGCTCACGGAAAAGCAATGAGGTAGGCTGGGCGCAGTGGCTCACACCTGTAATCCCAGCAGTTTGGAAGTTCGAGGCTGGTGGATCACTTGAGGTCAGGAGTTCAAGACCAGCCTGGCCAACATGGTGAAACCCCATCTCTACTAAAAATACAAAAATTAGCCAGGCATGGTGGCAGGCACCTGTAATCTCAGCTACTCAGGTAGGCTAAGGCAGAAGAATTGCTTGAACTCAGGAGGCAGAGGTTGCAGTGAGCCAGTGGGCCAAGATCGCACCACTGCACTCCAGCCTGAGTGACAGAGCAAGACTCTGTGTCAAAAACAACAACAGCAACAACAACAACAACAAAAAATGAGGTAGACGGAAGGGCAGAGTGAATTCTGTTTCTAAATCTTAGTTGCTGGCACTGCAAATGCTGGGATCTCAGCTGCATATTCTTGAACTGAGTTGAGTAAACCACGGTACTGCAGGTTTAACCATGTGCATAATGGAAAAGAGAAAAGAAAAGGCCTCATATCCTAATACTAAGTCTCGGGTGTGTTCTCTTCCCATTCTATTCCATACCTTTGATCTAAAGAAAAGTACCTAAAACAGGAATATACACCTCTAAGATTATGGCTCATGGTAGGAAACAACTTCAGGTAGAGTGGGAAGCAAGTCAAGGAGAAGTCACCCCACACTATAACAGAGCAAATGCAATTTTTGGAGAGAGCTGCCCACACGATGCATAAGCAAGGTGACAATAAACAGCACAGCAAGTAGACTGAGAACTTTCTCCAATAAAGAGAAATTGAGATAATTGATAAGCCCAATCAGAAATTAAAAATAACTCAAGGATCAGAAGAAATTCCCCCCAAAATATTTTATGTTAGAGATTTTTAACTACCTAAATTAAATAAAATGCGACCTCTGAGATAAGATGATTTTTAAAAACTAAAAGAAGAAATTACAGAGCTGAAATAGCAAGTTTAATAATAAAACTATATCAGAAAATTGGGGGAGAGGTGATTGGAAGATGTAGAAAATTGCTAGTTTCCTAATGGTTTTTAGAAGGAAGCTAAAAGACAAAATTACAGTGTCATTTAAGACAATAATGACACCAAGTTCTTCATGTTTTTTTATAATACTACTTTTTAAATTTAGAGGGATTATTGAGAAAATTAATACATATATGGTAAAAACGTCTTGATATTCAATTCTTTCTATTCCTTTGAGTTTCTTTGATTTCTATTAAATTTATATAAAACCAAATTAACAATTATTTTAATTAACATTTATATAATGATGAATTTTTACAGAGTTTTTCTGGTCTTGTAATAATATGTCTGTCTTCACATGTATACAGAGAGATTTGGAATGGCATTCACCTAATGGTTATAAAAGCTATTTCTGTAGAGTGAAATTTGTTTTAAGTGAGTTTTTACTATTCTTTTATATGCTTTTATACATTCTTTAATTATTTAAATAGAGAATGTATCAGTTTTGAAAGAATAAAAAAATACATAAACAGGCAGAGTGTGTCTCAAATCCTGAGATGAGACATACAAATATCTTTTCTGTCTACAGTTGTAATCAGAGACAATTTCAAGGAGCATTAGACAAATAACGCAAAAAGTCTTTAGTGCTTCCCAAAAAATAAATGTCAAGACACTTTATATTATCTCACACCATCATAAAACATTTAGAAATGGAATTCCAATGAGTATCTGTTCACATGTTCACTTAGCTTTTTTTTTTTTTTGAGACAGAGTCTCGCTCTGTCACCCAGGCTGGAGCGGTGACGTGATCTCGGCTCACTGCAAGCTCGGCCTCCCAGGTTCACACCATTCTCCTGCCTCAGCCTCCCGAGTAGCTGGGACTACAGGCACCCGCCACCACGCCCAGCTAATTTTTTCTATTTTTAGTAGAGATGGGGTTTTACCGTGTTAGCCAGGATGGTCTCGATCTCCTGACCTTGTGATCTGCCCGCCTCGGCCTCCCAAAGTGCTGGGATTACAGGCGTGAGCCACCGCGCCCAACCCGCTTAGCTTTTTTTATTTGTTTAAATCAGGAGCAGAGAGTTAAGTGTCCTCTTGAGAAGCTAAAGAACACTATGGATCATCTACAAAGAAAAAAGAACCTATACTCACACAGTGTATTTCATACTACTTAAGAGGGTCCATGAGCTCTGTAAAGGTAGCCCACTGGCACCAGATAACAAATTCCTGTGTGTGCTGGATTTCTCTGCAAGTAGTGACATTTTGGTTCCCAGAGTAGTCTTTGCACCCCCTACCTGTTGTTTCTGAGGTTTTTATCCTCATGTATATTTCAGTGCCTCTGAGGACACATAATATAATCAGAGGCATGCAATCCACATGTCAAGAATGACACATTAGGACCAATAACTGAAAAGAAGATGTATTACTGATAAGAAAAAAAAATTGTCCTACACTAGAGCATAAATCAGCCAAATGATTCTCCGAAGACACATGTGAAGCTTTATAAATGATGCACAGAAACATACTAAGGTGATCAAAGATAGTCATTGAGCATTCTTTGTCTCTGAGAATCACAATATCTTAAGACAGGAAAAAAAAAATGAGAACAAATGAGTCTGCCTCCATTGCTGTCTGCCACCAAACCTAATTTTTCCATTCCAGTTTCAAATTCCCAAGGTGATAGCAATTCCGTCACTTGCCTCAGGAGATGAGTCTGTCATCTAGCACTGCCAGCAAGATGTTGCTGAGAATAAGCCTAAATGTTTTCATTATTTTCATCCCATTACTCCTAGTTATCCCCTACTGGGCCGTTCTGAATACTGTAATTTCACTCTCATCTGTTTTTATTTCTTTCAAATATTCACAGGCTATCATTATTTTCCCCTGTATTTGTCCCTAAGCTCTTTTAATCTTTCCTCATAAGTAATCCCTGTCCATCATTTCTGTTTCCCTGAAGACATAGTAGAGAGTAGAGGGTGGCTTTTATTTTTTTTTCATTGTGTAGGGAAATTATGGTCCATTTATAAAAGTTTCTTGGGAGATAAATCACCTAGATCTGGGTGAGCTGGAAGATTTTGACAATGCATTACTTGTTCTGCCAATAATGGTTGAATTTGGGGGCTATTCTCATGCAATTGATCTCAATGGATCATTTGACACAGTTTATGATGCTGACAATATCTCAGAAAACCTCTCGCTGGCTGGCTTTGTTGATGCTCACCACGGCAGTTCCATGATCCAAGTAAGTTGCAGTGAAGACATGAGCTTCAAAGTAAATGACAGCAAGAAATTCATGAGACGTATCGCTAATGAGAATGGAGAGTTTATTGAGCAGTGATAAGTTCAGTTTCAATTATTCAACTGTTTATCAGGCTTCCCCGACCAACAGTTATCCATAAAACATATTCCTTGCACTTGGGAAGCATCCATGATTCCTCCTCTCATTTGGAAAGCTCTGAGAAATGCTATGGATAGTGATAAACTGATGCTTTTTATGCTCTCTGAGCTAGAAGAGATCATTACTGTTCAACTCACCAATTCAAATTAGATACTGGGGCTTAGCTGCTTGTGTATCAAGATGGTGCAGAACACCCCTGTGACAATGAGTTGGAAAGCATCCATCTGTAACTGAACACTTCCTTCCCCCTCCATATTTTTCACAGTTGGGTCACAGAACTGGAAAAGCTATTGGCACCGTGACTTAGTTCATAACCCACAATGAACAGACGTCTTTAGATAAAGCCAGACTTCAAAACCCAAGCTTAATAAAAATAGAATATTCTGAAATCTGCAGTTATTCAAAAGAAAATGAAAATGAATTCTAAGAAAATGATAAAGACTATTCTTCATCCACAACTATTCCTCAACATTCCTATGTGTTCCAGGACACTGACCTATAGATTTTTCTCCTGGGCTGTTTGGATTTTTTGTTTTGGCTTATTTTTGTTTTTATTCATCCACTTTACTCGCTTATTTTCTTCTTCTTGTTCCTGTAATTGTAACTGTTCCCTAATAACTTTTTTCTGAAGTGGATGTTTGATTTCGTATCATTTTCTCATTGCGGATTCATATTCCCTCTCATCATTAGCTTCATATGTGTGACTCCAAATCTCTATTCTGTCCCTCAGAGACATATATGTTCAGCTGCTTGCTGAAAATCACTTGAAATTCTCAGAAGTAATGCCAAAGTGTACTAGCTCAAACTGAATTAAACCTCCCACTCTATTTTCTCTATTTTTGCTTAATGTCTTCATTTTTCCATTTACCACTTTACAAAACCTAGTATAATCTTTGCATCTTTCTTCCCTCCTTTTCTACTTTTCTTCCTTCCCTAATAAACCAATTTGCTACCCAGTACTACTGACTTTCAAAAGAAAATCCTTCGATACATTACCCAAGGTGTATTCAGATTTTCGGTATCAAATGTGTTTGAAAAATGTAGACTAAAAAGTATATTAAATTGCAGGAAATCTTAGAGCTTTTAATATCATAATATAGATTATAGAGTACAATATGCAGTATTTACCAAATTTCTTGACAATGAAACCCCTTTTTAAGAGCAGCATGTGTTTTCTGGAACACACAGTATGATGCTAGATTTATCTACCTAAAATATCTAACTTTTAAAATACAGTTTCAGTGACATTTCTTTTTAGAATTATTATTCTTAAATGTGTTGTTTTCTAAAATATGGTATCAACAGATGTAGCTGATATTTTTCTTTGCATTCTTTGATTCAGCCAAATGATCAGTTAGCATTCATCATTCATTTTCGTAACTGTATATCTTTACCTAGAACAGACCTTTCAACAAAGACCTTTCCTTCTTTCCCTTCATCCCATGTCTTAACTTTCCGTTAAAATGTATTCATCCTTCAAGGCCCATATTAAGCGCCACCTTCTACAAGATAATTTTTCAAAGGAAATTTTTGGAAAAATTAACAACCCTGTTCATTTGTTTTACAGGTTTACTGGGTATATGCAACTGCATGTGCATTTGTGTACTTTCCCCCTACTGTTAATTCCAATCTCTCTGAGGACCTGAAAAATATATTACTTATTTTTGCATCCGTAATGTAATTTCAAAATATGCAGAAGAATCACTTAATAAAATTGAAAATAATTTCACAATTCAAAAATTCCTAGTAAATTTGAAATAAAAAAAAGTCTTCAACCTGATAAAGGGTTTCTATCAAACAACAGCAATAACAAATAACAACCTAAATGGAGAAGTGTTTAAAGCACTTTCTTTAAAATCAGAATTAGAATAAGATTTTGTACCATTCAACTCAACATTGCACTGGATGTTCTAGCTGGCAAAATAAGATAGAAAAAGACATTTAAGGCATAACAATTGAAAAAGAAGAAATAAAATGTTCACTATTTGCAGATAACATAATAATCTTCATGGAAAATTCAAATGAAACTCCAGATAAATCGTGAAGAGGCATTCTTCAAACAAACATATATGCTAGTAAACATATGAGTAGGTGTTCATATAAATACTATCAGGTGAATACAAACTGAAACTATGGTAAGGGAGCATTATTTTTTTAAAAATCTATTGACGATAATTAGGAAATATAACAATACCAAATGTTGGAAGAAACATAAAGCATCAATATTTTTTAAACCTTGCTGACAAAAGCATAAACTGAGACCTTCACTTTGGAAAACAATTTAGAAGAATTTTGTAAACTGAAACATTTACATATCCTAAAAGCAAGGAAATTTCCTCTAGGTACATACACAAGAGAGATTTGTAAATGCACGTGGTAAATAAACACACGAATGTAAAAAAATTGTAATGTTTGTAACAGCAACCTAAATGCCTGATGAAAGAATGAATAAAATGTGATGTATTTGAAATATTGTGTGACTGTCGATATTTTTTAAAAACCATAGGGACATTCATTATCATGGAGAGATATTAACATTGCAATATGAAGTTCAAAGTCCTGGTTGGGTGTGCTGGCTCATGCCTGTAATCCCAGCACTTTGGGAAGCCAAGGCAGGAAGATCACTTGAGTCAGGAGTTCAAGGACAGCTTGAGCAACATAGTGAGACCATGCCTCTACCAAAATACAAACAAACGAACAAACAAACAATTAAATTAAATGATCTGGTCGTGGTGGGGTGGCATGTGCCTACACTTGGGAGACTGCGGTGTGAGGATCACTTGAGTCCAGGAGTATGAGGCTGCAATGAGCCATGATCATACCACTGCACTCCAAAGCCTGGCTGATACAGAAAGACCCTGTCTCAGGAAAAAAAAAAAAAAAAAAAGCCCCAGAAGATTACAAGTAGTCTCTCTTTTTACAAATATTCAAAAAATTAAATAACATGCTTTTGGGAATACATATATATGTGATAAAATGTAATAAGAAAAAGCAAAGAAAAGATTAAAGCTAGTTATCTTCAGATGGGGAAGTAGGAGGATGGTATCGGGAAGGCCACAGAGGGTGTCATAAACCAAGCATTATAATTCATTAAATTCTGCTTACCTGTGTTTGAAATAAATGAACAAAAGACAGGAGATGTAATGAACTGGACGGGAGAGTTAGGGAAGGGACTCTCAAGTTTCCGGCTGGAGCAATTCAGTGGATAATTATGCCATTTGCTGAGATAGAAGATTTTGTTCTGAGGAGTATGAAACAACCAAGTGGACAAGTGAGAAACTCAGGGTGAAACTGGGGCTCACCTGGGTAAAGATGGCATGGAGGAGAAGCTACCACTGCTCCAATTCTCATCCCTCTGTGCCTGCCCACATGGCTGGACCACGTGTCCCGGCCAGCCTTGCAGCTAAATAATAATCATGTAACTAAGCTCTAGCCAATAATATGTGAGTGAAAATCTTATGACTTCTCCAGTTTCGTTTTTCTTCTTGAGGCCTCAGAGGTGGTGTAACCTTAGGGTGGAAGGAGAGCCAATATCTTATAATCACTCTAACGAGCAAAGCCACTCAAATTATGCCTGTCTGGGATAGATATATAATCAAGAAATAAACTGTGTGTGTGTTTGAACCATTTTATATTTTTAGATCTGTATGTTAAAGTCGTCCCATCTATCCTGTCTAATATGGGAATTAGCACTTTCCAGTGAAGTACTGCTTTAACAAACTGATAAAATGCATAGCAATGTAGAACTCTTTGGATTTGCAACAGGTAGAATAGGAATAGATTTCACAGTTTAGAAAGATGGAGAAATGTGTGGTAAAACCATC
Source organism: Homo sapiens (assembly GCF_000001405.40). Lineage (NCBI taxonomy): Eukaryota > Metazoa > Chordata > Mammalia > Primates > Hominidae > Homo > Homo sapiens. Next base: position 5,894,707 of record NC_000003.12, on the reverse strand, counting down.
ACCTAAAATCACTTCAAAGGAAGATTGAGTACATACTGAACATACTGTTCTGGAAGCAGCAGATTGAATGAGCTAGAATATTAGTGCTTGTTGATTGTTTCTTGCCGCTTACAGCAAGAAATCACAAGCAACCATTTGCAGGCAGAAATTAAAGAAATTTATAGGGTTGAAGAAACAGTTTTCATTCTTCTGGACTACAAAGAATAGGAGACAATTTAAAGAAGGCCCATTAAGACTTCTCAGTTAAAAGAAACATAGGAACTAAGCCTTGTGAGAAATATAGATTAAGGTTGTTATATTTTTACCCAACTCTTTTGTTTCAGATAGCCTCATGATAAATGCCATTAATCTGACAGAAAGAAACATGAGGACAAGGAAGAAAAGAAACATGGGAGACATATCTAGGCAAAAACTTAGGGCATAGTTGCTGCCACCCAGAGCTTCCTAGAAGCAGATAGATCCAAAGCCCACTAAGTTTTTCAGAGAATTGTATTGTCAATGAAACTATTGGCCTGGCCTTAAGATGTCTTTAACAGCTCAAGTTATAAAATATCCCAAGGGCTCAAAACCTGCACTAGCAGCAAGCAGGCTGGAAAAGTGCAGAATGAGCACCTATAAGCACTTTAGAAGTGGCCAAGGGAGAAACAGACAAGGAGGAACATCCTAGAGGGAGTGCCTCCCAGACAGCCAAATGAAGTCTTTTATTTTTTTTCCGTTGGAGACACAGAGTAAACTGTGTTTTGATTGCAATCTAACATGAGGTCAAGTGTGGAATTTTCCACTTGTGGTATCCAGATTTTGGATTTTTGGATTAGGGATGTTCAACCTGTACCACATGTTCTCATTTACACGTAGAATCTCAAACAATATAACTCAAAGAGACAGAGACTAAAATGATAGTTACAGAGGCTGGGAGGTGAGGGAAATGGGGAGATAATAGTCAAAGAGTATAAAATCTTAGGAGGAATATGTTTTAGTTTTTATTTTTGGTGATCTTTGGTACAGAATAGTGAACATAGTTAATGATAATGTGCTGTACCTTTCAAAATTGCTAAGAGAGTACATTTCAAATGTGCTCACCACAAAAAAGGTAAGTATTTGAGGTGGTGGATATGTTAATTAACCTGATTTAATTACTCATTATTTTCATAAACCTTGATAACCCCCTGTACCCCATAAATATATACAATTACAAATTGTCAATTTATAATAAAATAAAAAATAATAAAGTTGGTACATTAATACACCACCTGAAGGTCTAACACAATATTGGTTCTCATTAGACATTTTTTTCTCTATTTATTTATTTATTTATAGAGACAGTGTCTTGCTCTGTCACCAGGCTGGAGCGCCGTGGTGCGATCTCGGCTCACTGCAACCTCCACCTCCCAGGTTCAAGCGATTCTCCTGCCTCAGCCTCCCGAGTAGCTGGGACTACAGGTGCGTGCCACCGTGCCCAGCTAATTTTTTTGTACTTTTAGTAGAGACGGGGTTTCACCATGTTGGTCAGGATGGTCTCAATCTCCCGACCTCGTGAACTGCCCGCCTCGGCCTCCCAAGGTGCTGGGATTACAGGCGTGAGCCACCGCACCCAGCCTCTATTTATTTGAGTGTATATTTTATTCAAATAAATGTTTCATGTATTCAGAATTATGAAAAGGCTGCAAACACACACAGTAGATAACATTGTCTCTGAACTTAAGGCGCTCACAGATAATTGAGGAAATAAGATGCTTAAAATAAAAGCCAATGATATCGTATGGAATTCAGCCAACTGTTGCCTTCAAATGCCACACTTGATTTTTTCCTACAGTTTCCATATACAACAGTAATTATAAACTTAAATACCACCCACAACTTTTGCATATTAAATGCCACCATTTACTCCCTAGTCCCACATTTGTAATAGAAGAGGACATTCCATGAAATGATAAAGAAAAAAAAAGCGTGAAGGAGAGAATCTGCTGTTTGCTTAGGGAAGACTTATCCAAAGACAATTGCCTTGGAAACTTTTTCCTCTTACCCAACTTGATGGGACCAGGGAGCCATGCTGAGTTGTCACTAAGGAACCATCACGGGCTGAAATTCCAAAGAGAACAAGGTATTTCCAAAATCTAAGAATATGAGTCTCACAGAGGAACTAGGATTAATATGGAGCAGTGCGTGAGACACAGCTGTTATTTGGGCCAATAATCAGCAGAACAAAAAGGAGAAAACTGCCATGATTTTGCAGGGTTTTTTTTTTTTTTTTTTAAACAACTCCCACTTACTGAGCACTCAAGATGAGCTAAGCATTGTGCTCAGTGCTTTATATGCAATATTTTATGTTTAACCCCAACACTGTTACTATGTATTAATTACTCTATTTTACAAAACAAGAAAATTGAGTTTCAGAAAAGGGAAATGATATGTCCAAGTTCACACACCTAGTACAAGGTGAAGCAGAGAGTCAAGGCAATCTCTGTGACTCCAGAAATACTGTGGCCATATGGTCAATCATTGGAGATTCGAAACTTGTATTTTTATAAAGGTCATTAGGCAGTGAGCACAGCATTGCAGACAGAATACACAAGCTCAAAAGAATTGCCCAGAGCCCATTCCTGTTAGCTATTCCTGCACAACTATTCTAAACGTTGTGATTTAATTTGTTCACGTTTATCTTGCTCAGAATCTTTGCGCCAGGAATTCAACAAGGTCTCAGCTAAGCTGTTTGAATTTGAATCACGTGGCATCAGCTGGGGTGGCTGGGGCTGAAGAATTCACTGTCAAGGACTCTTTACTCACACTCTGACACATTGGTGCACCTGGACTTCTGTCTCTCTCTTTCTCACTACATTGCATCTCCACACTAGCTCAGGCCTTTCACAGCATGGGAGCCTCAAGATAGACATGATTCATATCAGATTGCTGGCTTCCAAGGGGGAGAAACATGAAGCTGCCAAGACAGCTAAGGCTATGCTCAAAACAGACACAGCATTACTTCCACCAGATCTGTTAGTCAAAGCAGTACAGAAGCTGCCTGGATTCAAGAAAGTGGAGAAATAGACCTGGCGTCTTGTTAAGGGAGTGGTCAGGTCACACTGCAGAAGAGAATGAAAAGTGGGTGACCGTGAGGCCCACCTTGGAAAAGACAACCTACCCCACAGACTGACAGCCCAGGAGTCAGTGCAGCAGGACCAAAAGGAAACCAGGACAGTACAGGAAGGTTATCAGACTGAAAGCAAAAGTTTCCCTGACTATAAACACTTGGCCACACTTGATTTTTTCCTACAGTTTCCATATACAACAGTAATTATAAACTTAAATACCACTCATAACTTTTGCATATTAAATGCCACCATTTACTCCCTAGTCCCACAGCTGTAAGAGAAGAGGACATTCTATGAAATGATAAAGAAGAAAAAAAAAATACGTGGAGGAGAGAATCTGCTGTTTGCTTAGGGAAGACTTAACCAAAGACAATTCCCTTGGAAACTTTTTCTTCTTACCCAACATGATGGGACCAGGGAGCCATGCTGAGTTGTCACTAAGGAACCATCGTGGGCTGAAATTACAAAGAGAACAAGGTATTTCCAAATTCTAAGAATATGAATCTCACAGAGGAATTAGGATGAAGATGGAGCAGTGCATGAGGCACAGCTCTTTAGTTGGGCCAGTAATCAGCAGTGCCAAGACAATGTCCAAATAAGCAAACACAAAGGTAAAGCAATAAAAAAAGGAAATTTACAAAGCCGAAGTGACTTTTTTAAAAAAGTAAGAAGACAACTACTTCAGAAAGTGGACTTGAGCCATTTGAATGCAATGACTATTTATATTGGCACTCACATGCCAGACCCAGTTTTACATGCTAGGGATACAAAGATTTTAAAACACAATTCCTGACTTCTAGAAGTTCGAAGTCCAAAGGGAGTGTTTTAAGACCTTTTAATCAATATTCATATTCTCTACCGACACCTGATCAAGGTTGAAATTGTGTAAGTTAAAGAAAAGAGAAAGCAAAAAAAAAAAAAATCAAGACAAAGAGAATTTTCGCTTCAAAACACCTGGATTAGAAAACAAGTTTGCTGATTCCTTGGTGAATTGGGATTATTTATTAAATATAAATTTTGCCTGAATTAAACAAAATTTAAATACTTACATATTTGCTAATTCTGAGTGGAGCAACACATAGCATTTAGAGCACCATGCATTCTTCCCCATCCTTAGTAGATCACAGCACCATATGCCACCGAGACCACATATGGCTTTAATATCTTTTTCAATATTGTGCTCCAAGAAGCCACTCCCAGTCTATGAAGTTGCCATACAAGAGGAAATCAACTTGCCATCATGTTGTTGTGAGGGATTTCTCAGTTAACGCTTTTGATTTTAATCTTCTGATCTGACAACCGTACACATCTAAAGAAGTCCCTGTGAAGTTAGGGTAAGTAGTAAAATCACCTACCCGGGGCTCTTAAAAAAAAATCCCATCGCCCAGCTGCACCACAGACCAATTAAGTACAAATCACTAGAGAGCAACAGTATTTTTTTTAAAAGCTCCCTAAGAGATGACAATATTAAGTCAAGGTTGGGAACGATTGTGCCTAAACAAGAAATGCATATTTGAATTTCCGGGAAGAAAAGACACTGATTTTTATAGCAGGCTACCAAAGGGGAACATCTGCTGATTAAGGTTTTGTCAGATGACTGGGTTTTATATCCAATAGGTTTAAATGTCCAACTAATCTCCAAGTGTAGTATGCTTCACAATTGCATCCATAGTTATATGCTGATAAAACCGCAGAATTAATCACTGCATTACAATCACAATTTTGATGTATTCTTGATCCTATTAATTTTTCATTTTACCTTAAGCAGACCAGGACAGCAAGGAGTTTTTAAAATCTAATCATAATGAGAAAAGGAGTGCAAGGCTGTTTTGTTTCTCCTCTGGCTTACTTGAAATATTGACATTATTGGAAAAAGCCACCAAAACAAAAACACCAAAGATAATAAAAATGCCCCCATTAGAAAGGAATTTATCACATCAAAATTAATGATTTTCAGCCAGTAACAATGCCACTCTTTGGTTGTCAGGTTAACTCAATTTCAATTTAACTGAGCCACTCTATCTTCTGAATCAGGACAACAGACAGAGATGAATTAAGGCGATTCAGAGGCTGCGTATATTATGTGCCTTGGGTAAGAATTAATCCTGGGGAATGTTTTCATCTTTTCATTTCTCTGTCTCTCCCTCTCTCATGTTTCTTTAGAAATCGGCTTTCTTAATTGCAATGATGTGTCATTCAATGTATCTTTTCTGTTGCTGTGATGTTCCTTTTCTTTATCTAAAAAGCACTCTTCTTACAAGGGAGAGTATTACCACACTTTCAAAAAGAATCTATTTATTATGGGGGTCTTTCTTACACCTACCATTAGAATCTCTCCCCTGCCTTCTCATGGAATCCATGGTATTTTAACAGATACCTTAAGCGAGTCTCTGTTTCATTCTTTATGACATTAAAAAGCTTTCATCAGTATGCAAAACCAGTTCCATATCTCCTTTTTTGTGAGATGAGTAAAACTAGGGTTACAGGATTCACAGGAAGCTCAACTTGACATTAATTGAAACATTGATTCAGCAGTCATTTCCTGAAAGCCTAGACATCAAGGCACCCTCTTGGGCCCAAGGGATGAAAAGATGAATAAGACATAGTCCCTATACTCAAGAGCAATTATAGCCTCACTTGATAAATCTGACAATATCACCCTGACAAGGTCAAAGAATAGCAAGACTGACTAGTGGTTGGAGAGCGCTTCTCTCTCCGTTTTGCTGCTAGTTAGCACCAAGGGTGGAATTTGAGGCCAGTTTCTGCACCTTTGGGTACAGTTGTACTCGTTCCATTCCTGTAACCAGATATGAACATCTTGAGAACAGTTTAGTTTCTTGTGTAACTGTAATACATTTAGGAGCTCTCACGTGGCTCACTGTATAGATTACATTTGAGAAACTCTTAGTATTAAATAGTAGAAGAGCAAAAGTAACTTAAATGAAATGTCTTAGTTCGTTCAGGCTGCTATTAAAAAAAACTCACAGACTGGGTGACTTATCAACAGAAACCATGTATTTTTAACAGCTCTGGAAGCTGGGGAGTCCAGTGTCAAGGTGCTGGCAGATTTGGTGTCTAGTGAACACGGCATCTTGCTGTGTCTCACATGGCAAAAAGAAGCTAAATTGTTCTCTGGGGTCTCTTTTTACGAGGGCTATTTTTTTTTTTTTTTTTTTTTTGAGACGGAGTCTCGCTCTGTCGCCCAGGCTGGAGTGCGGTGGCGTCATCTCCACTCACTGCAAGCTCCGCCCCCCGGGTTCATGCCATTCTCCTGCCCCAGCCTCCCGAGTAGCTGAGACTACAGGTGCCCACCACCACGCCCGGCTAATTTTTTATTTTTAGTAGAGACGGGGTTTCACCATGTTGGCCAGGCTGGTTTCAATATCCTGACCTCGTGATCTGCCCACCTCAGCTTCCCAAAGTGCTGAGATTATAGGCGTGAGCCACCATGCCAAGGGCTTTTATAAAATCTCCACCTTCATGACCTAATCACCTCCCAAAGCCTCCACCTCCAAATACCATCACATTAAGGATTAGGTCACACATATGAACTTGGGGAGAACAAACACATTCAGTCTACAGAGCAAATTCCATTCTTTATTTGAGTCTTTCTAAGATCACGAAAAAGGGCCCAGCCACAACTCACAGCAATACATCTCCAAATTTCTCTTACCTCCCCAATGGTCTCACATTTCACCACTGTCCTGTTGCCAAAAATATTCCTCCAGTCCAGTTCATTTCCTTCCCTCTACTCTCTCTGTCCCACCTTTCTCTCTCTCTCATCTCTTCCTCATTTTTTCCTTATATACATTGACTTAGTTTTCTATTTCTTTTCTTTCTCTGGCTTTCTTCGGGATTCAAGCAAGGAACCCTTCCTTTCTCTCTTACCTTTTTTGTCTTTTCTTTCTCTATCCACCTAGTCTCCCGATTCTGTTTCATAAAATTTCTGGGAATCGGGCATGGAAATACAGATAAGAGTAAGGAGAAATGGCCTGGGGATGTTTACACTTTGATCTCCTCTCTGAATTCTAAAAGCTCAGGGCAGTACTTCTCAAAATCTGATCTTTAGACTCCCTAAATCAGAATTATTTGGAGGGATAGCTAAAAGTGAATATTACCCAAGTCTTTTGGTTCAAAATCCCACCTCAGCCCTATTGATTCAAAAATCTCTGGGTAAGGAGCTCAACCATCTGCATTTTAGTAAGCACCCAGAAGGGTATTTAAACCATCTGAGAATCTCTGCTATGTAAACAGGAAGGGGTAAGGAGATGATTGAGAGCTGCAGTTTCCAAGGAAGTCTGCGTGGAAGACAATGCTTTTCGGTCAAGTCTGGAAGAGTGAGTAGGATTTAGATAAGTGGAAGATATAAAGGAAGTACAAAGGTAATCCAGGGCAGGACCCCTGGGCCATGGACCTTTATCAGGGTCTGTGGCCTGTTAGGAACCAGGCTGTATAGCAGGAGGTGAGTGGCAGGCGAGCCAGCATTACGGCCTGAGCATTAGATTCTCATAGGAGCTGAAACCCTATTGTGAACTGTGCATGTGAGGGATCTAGGTTGTGTACTCCTTATGAGAAACTAAAGCCCGATGATCTGAGGTGGAATAGTTTCATCTGGAAACCATCCCCTCCAGCCCCACAGCCGTGGAAAAAATTGTCTTCCACAAAACCAGTCCCTGGTGCCAAAAAGGTTGGGGACTACCGTTCCAGGGAAATACATGAAACAGAGAGGAATGTGATAGTTATAATTTATATAAATTACATGAGGAGTGAGAGAGCGTGTGTGTATGGGGGGGCGGTGGGGAGAGAGAGAGATGAGTTCTCCATAACTGAAAGAAATCTTTATGGCTTCCTAAGTGTCCAATGTCTTTCAGACTCTGAATGTTTATCTTCAACTCCCCTACCACAACTCAGAAAATTATTCCTGTTTTCAGTGTCTTTGTCATTGCTTGCTAACAATCTTCAAATGTTTGCTTTTAGTTTCTCATATATAGAGAATGACTAAAATTCTAGTTTAATCATCTCCACCCATGTTTTAATTTATCCAGATTTTGTGCTAAGCTTACGTAAGAATGTGAACCACTAACTTGACATTAACCATGTTCTGCTACAGTGAAGATGTTTAGGTAAATGTCTCCTCTTGCTGTAACCAGCTCTAATAATATGAAGTATTTAAAAAGATATTCTACCAGTGGATAGTCTTCTGAGAATAAAAGTCACGATAAAGTGTTCAAGAAGACGGTCTTGGTGTCATGCAGATGGGATTCCAACTTTGAGTCCTCACTATGTGACCTTAGATAAGACTCTTAATTTCTCTAAGCCCTAGTTTCCTTATCTATCAAATTAAGATGAGAATAACTACACTGTAATGTTATATGAGGATTAAATGAGATCTTATATGTAAAGCACCTGTCACAGTGTCTGACACACAGCAAACATTCAAGGAGTGGTATTATAGTTATCATTATTTAGCCCCTTGTCTGTTTGTTACCATTATTTAGCCTGTTGCCTGAATGTTAATATATTAATTCATGTTAATGTAGCTAATGTATTGGGATGGTAAGCATCAGGTATTTGAAGGGGTTTGTGTAGTGCTTAATAAAGTAGTCTCTGGAATCAGGCTGTTTGACATCAGATCACTCCAGTCTTCACCAATATCAGGTGAATGACCTTAAGCAGCTCACATAACCTCTCTCTTCCTCAGTTTCCTCAACTTTTAAGCAGTGAGACTGTCTTCATAGGTGGTTGTAGAAATTTAATTAGATAATTCATAGAATGCATTCAGAATGTCTTCATAATTGTTAGCTAAGATTATCATTATGTTAACAAATGTCTAGTTAATATATATTATATTTTATATCAAATTCTGATGAGGAAGGTGTCCAAGTATAAGTTTAAAACTTGCACCATGACTCTTATACAAACATAGAATAAATACACGACAGAGATTTATTAACTCATTAATGAAGAAATCAATAAAGTGGTAAACTGGTCCCAAGATCGTGAAAAGATAATTTACGACAAAGAAAAATATTAAAAATAAATAAGCACTTTAATAATCAATGTTATAATCAGATTGCCAAAAAAAAAAATTAGTTAATGCTCTACAGGACAATAAAACCATAGCTCTTGAAGTCATCTTTTCTACTATACACAAATCTATAAGTAAACATGTAATTTCATAGTGTCCAGGTCTAGTCAATCAGTAAATTTTCCTAAAGTAATAAATCATTCTTGGGTGGGCCTGTTAAACAATGCACCAGTGTGACATTGAATGAACATACCATACACACTTTTGCTTTAAGTTTCAAAATTTTTTAACAAATAAATTTATAGTGGTAATTAGGTTATGAACAGCTTGAAGTAGGGATTTCATCTTCTATATTTTGAATATTTCTTGCAGTATTTATTCAACATCATTTAATAAATATCTATTATAGGTTTCCATGTTAAGTTCTGGGCATAAGAAGAGAAGGAAGAAAAGATCTCTGCTCTTGAAAGATTCACAGATAGGTGGATATACTCAATACATTCTTGTTGATTGATGGACAAGATACACACTATATTTGTTAAAGTATTTCAGAGTCTACAGCCTGGAATCAGGCTACTTGAATTGGATACTATCTGACTGTATTGCCTTGGTGAGTTTTTTACTACCTCTGAGGTTCAGTTGGGTCAACTGTAAAAGAAAAATTAATAACAGTACCTCATAAAATATGTAAGATTATTAAATGAGTTAATACTTATATACCCATTAGAACATAGTAAGTATACAAGAAATGTTAGCCAGCATTGTTATCACTACAATAAAGTAATGCAAACTGCTTAGCTGGGTTTCAAAGACAAAACTTGCTTGATCCTAAAATCTTGACAAAAAACTTAATGTCTAGCTGATGGAAGACACTCAAATATTTAGCGAATCAATGAATGAAGTGAAAGATTGAATGTTGTTTTTTTCTTTAATGGCTGCAAATAAGGCAACCTATCTCCCCTCATCTCCATATGACAACAATTTTCCAACGTAAATAGCACATGATAGTCAAAATTTCACCTGTCTGAATTTCTACAGCTTTACCTTCAAATAGGTCAGTTTAACACAGTTGTTAGTGTATCCATAGGCCCAGCATTTTATGACTTGCAAATAATTATTGAAAATTAAGTTCCAAACAAATTACTGAGCTGAGACTTAATTATAAGAACTAGGAATACCAAATAGAATTGTTCTTGAAATGTTGTTTACTTTTCAGCCCATTGTTTGCTTATAACCTTCTTATCCTTCTTCCAATTATCAGCAGAAACCAGATTCCCTCAATCCATTTGGCTTTCAAACTACAGAAGCTGGAGTCTGCAGTGCTTACATTGCTCAAAACGGAGGTGTGTACTATGATGAATGTTTCCCAAAGAGTTTAAAAACTCTTTGATTCTGGATCTTTCTTTTTTTTTTTCTCCTAAGTTTCTCAAACCTCCAAATCGTCAGCTACAATGGCAAGGCTAAATAGTGCACATAAAAGAAGCACGACTTTTGAATCAGAGCACGGTAGAACTTGATTTGCAGGAAAGACAATTGACAGTTTGGCCATTTAGAATTTTTCCCATAACATTTACACACATTTGCCTGAAGCCAGTTTTCTGATCTGAGCACTATAATGGGGAAGAGATTATATGTATGTCCAGGAACCCCGACCTAGATGATATCCTTTATCCTTTCTTATTCCCACTAAGAGATCTGAACATCTCTGTTATTGTGTGAGTTACTTATTTAATGACTAAGTTACTTGTTGGATTCTTTCAGCAGGCAGTGAGATTACTGAGTACCAAATTCTATTTATTTTTATAACCATAATTCTTAAAGTGGTATCCAGCATACAGTTGGCGTTTAATAAATGTTCAATATACTACAATCTTATTGTTGCCTACTCTGTAGCTCACACTATCTAAGTCATCCAGCAGAAATCTCCACTGTAGCTTACAGGTAGGGTTTACCCATCGATCCTAGGGGCCTTCTGCACCTATAATTCTTTTTTTCTCTTGGTACTTATTAGAAATATTCTATTTTATAACATTTGTTCAAGCTCCACCCCACCTGACCTAATCCCTCTTCCCTCCAATCACCCTAAGTGCCTTACAGTGGTGCCACATTTGTGTCCCTCTCTGTCCTGCTCTGAAATGTTCTGCATATACCGATTGTGTGCCCCATCATGATGTCTCCTTTTTTTTTGTAGGCTCCACTACACCCAGTGCTATGCACAGAATAAGAGCTCAAAGATTTCTTTTTTTTCAAAATGAGTTTGCTCACATCTCATAAACCAATCTCTTCCAGCAATTGCAATTGAAAGTGCCTCGTGTAAAGCTGAAGTCTCAAGCATAAGGATGCCTAGAATATTTGATCATGATCATAAAGCCAGTTAAATAGATCCCTTTCACTTTCAAAAGCTTAAGAAACTAGTAACTGATTCAAAAATGTTAACTTGTGGCTCAATTATAAAACAAAACTAAAAATATTACTTTTTAAAACCTGCTCCTCCTCTTTCTTCCTCCCACCCAGGGTCATCTCATTACTAAGGTGTGTTTAATGCAAAAGCTAGTTTGTTTCTTTTTTCTTTATTTTTTCAAGTTTTTAATTTAGAAGAAAACTGTTTAGAACCAGTTTTAAAGACATTAAATCACATTTATATGCTTTTCAAAGGGGGAGAATATTGATTGACTGATCTCATGTCTCTTCTGAAATCTTCCTTATCTCCTGCTAATTCATTTATGCAATCATCACACTCCTTTTCTTCCTAGTGTCTCTCTCTGTCTGCCCTCCACCTCTAAAATTTGAGGGTAATCATTTTGACCTTCCTTGGAGCAAACCTAACTCCACTGAGAAATTTATAACCCACAGAGGCTCAAAATAAATACATTAAAATGAAAAAAAAAAAAAACATGCCAAGCTGCCTGGAATAACTGTTCAGTGATGTCTTTCTGCAAGTTCTTATAGATCCTGAAACTGATGTGAAAACCACTATACATCAGAAACTATAGGAAAGTATATCACTTCATCCCATTAGCAGTGTCTGAGCACTCCAAGCCACAAGTTATAAAAATAGCAGACATCTTCCAGTAATATGCATGTCTGGGCCACAGAAGGTACCACCTAAGGTACCCCTGTAATGGAAAGAAAAAGACAAAAATGACTTTGCTATTTTCAAATAAAGTAAAATACAAGCCTTGTAACATTTAAGTATGAACTCATAAATGCATGGTCAGGTCTAGATGAGAATAAACACTTCAAGGACAGACTGTTGCTGGTTACTGCTATTAAAGTTGTGAGGATGGAAATACCCGATTTGATTTATTCAGGGCCTCTCTTCCTGAAAGCTCAAAGGGCATGTACACATTGATATATCTCATTTCACCCCACCATTTTTATACTGGAAAATTCCAAGACTATCAGAACAAAATTGCTTCAAGTGTAAAACTCGATTTGGAGGCAAATGTCTTCTCTTAGGAACTAACAGTTTCCCTAAAAATGACAAACTGGTAGTGAAGGAAGCAATAACTCAGAGGAAAGAGAAGGAGGAAGATGGCTTTTTTCAGAAATGAAGTTGCCATATAGATATACAGAGTAGATGGGCAAGAGAGAGCCAAGGGTTGGATTAGGCATGAATAGAAGAGAAGAATAAGATAGAGGATAAGAAAGAGAGAGAAGAATATATTGTGGAGAATTAGTCAGTTAAATTGGAGCAAATTTAGAAGACTAGCTAGCTTTGGCATCCACCAAGACTCTGTTTTCTAATTGCTCTGACATTCCCTTCTTAATGAGGAACAGTCATAAATGATAATGACCAGGTAGTTTCATAGATAATTTTCTAATGGGTTCTGGTAGCTGCTTTAGCTCCTCAATCAGGAACAGTCATAAATGACAATGACCAGGTAGTTTCATAGTTGATTTTCTACTGGGTTCTGGTAGCTGCTTTAGAACTGCTAACTTCTGAGGGTTTCTGTGTTTGAGGCTGGTTGCAGACCACTGCAACTGTTACTTACCATAGTATAGTTAGAAAAGGACAGAGATATATATTTCTTCTCCCAAGTATGCAAAGGATTAGTAACTTTGAGTTTTGGTTTCATGGTCCAAGGTGCTTCAGGGTCTGGCATAGTCTGTTTTAAAGGACTTAAATTCATGGCAAATTGGAGGACAAAGTTTCCCTTGAGAAGTAGGCATCAGAAAGCTCTTCTTCTAAACCCTTCTCAGGTGGGTTCCTTTCATGAGGGAAGGAAGATTAGAATAAAACTGGAAGTTTCACAAGTGTCCACCTCTGACTTAGGTTTTGAGCAGGACATCGCTCACTCCCAAGGTTTAATGCATGCCTTGTGACTGATAAACTAAAAACTGAGTTATTTTACTTCAAAGCTTTCTGTCTCTTCTATGTTATAACCGAACATTTAAGAGTCACAGATACTGGGCCACAGAAACATTAACAAAAAAGTAGATAAATGACGAATGATGTATTAGTCTGTTTTCACACTGCTGATAAAAACATAACTGAGACTGTGGAGAAAAAGAGGTTTAATTGGACTTACATTTCCACATGGCTGGGGAGGCCACAGAATCATAGCGAGAGGTGAAAGGCACTTCTTACATGGTGGTGGCAAGAGGCCTATTCACGATCATGAGAATAGCATGGGAAAGATCAGCTCCCATGATTCAATTGCTTCCCCCTGGGTCCCTCCCACAACATGTGGGAGTTCTGGGAGATATAATTCAAGTTGAGATTTGAATGGGGACACAGCCAAACCATATCAAATGAATATGCTAGAAATGAGGAAAACAAAAATCAAAAGGTACAAAAAAGGAAAAAAAAAAAAAAAAGAACAGAGGATGCATAATGAAGAGAATTAATTATGGTAAGGAGAAAAATGAACAGAAATATGGTTAATAGCCATGATTGGGAACCAGGGCCAGCTTCATAGGTGTACAACCTGCACAACTGCACAGGGCCTGCACTTAAGATGGTCCTCATGCTTGCCATAATGTTTCTACTACCATCTTGAAATAATTTTCTAACAAGGGGCCTTGCAAATGTAGCTGGTCCTGCTGAAATCATATCTATTTTCTATATTCTGCACCTGAATGGACAAGTTACTTAATATTTTTCAACCTAATCTCCTCATGTGTGAAGTGGTGATAGTGGTAGTATCTAGCTCATCAGACTCCTGGGAAGATTCAGTGAGATAATGCATGCAAAGTGCTTACCGATGTGCCTGACGAATATTAAGTCCATAATAAAGGTTGGCCTTTGTCTTCATTATTACAGGTTATATTGGATAGTGAGGCACAGGAGAATGCCACCAACTACCTGGAGGGTCAGGCAGGCACATTGCATCTATTCTTATAGCTGTATCATCCCAGCTCAAGGAATAATGACAGCAGTATATGGAAAATATGATCCAGGCCACAAGGCCAATCGCTCTTGCTCTATGGAAAATGTGTCTGCAGGCTTTCTGAACTCCCCATCCATAAAATACGTTCTAGGCCTTCTTCCTCAACTTCCCAGTAGCACAGGCACCCACATTCTCAGCCAAACGAACCCACAACTCTCACTGCTGCCCTGACTCATTACATCTCTCTGCCGACTTTCGAAAGCATAACATTTGCCCCTCTGCTCTGAATTTAAAACGTGCTGTGCTCTGATTCCCAAATCAGAAACTGGGAGTAAGAAATTTGCCTTCCCAAATGCTTATTTTTTAAGCCGATATTTCTATTTTCCCTTCGTTTTCATTGGAAGACATATTTGCACCACATTCTCTGAAAACAAACTCCAGACTCTTCTGCTGTGACATTTCTTTACCTCACCTTGGGCTCACTCATCCCTAAAGCCAAAGTCCGCAAAGGGGAGATCCTAGGGCTCCAGCCTTTGAATCATTTCCAAAGACCCAGAGCTATACACTCTTTTTCTCTCCATGTGGGCTGGAACTCAGGGGACTGTTGCCTAGTTGCAAGGGGCTCTGGAAATTCAGCAGCATCTTTAAAATACTTGAAACATAATAAGAAAATTCTGCTGTTTGATTTCAGAAAAGATTGGCCCAGCAGGCAATATGAAAGGATGGTGGGAATATTGAAAAGAGACAGGCAGGGGGAAAAACACAAAAATGAAAAACGAAATGATACAGGATATTATTGTAGCTCTGTTCTAGCTTTATATGACAACTCAAACACACACAGAAAAAATACCAATGTAAGACAATGAAAGTATCTCAACAACTTCAAATGTTCTATTTTTCTTTGTGGAATGTTGCAAAAGGAAAATTACTTTTGATTATATACCTGTATCAGAACCTGCTTTCTTACTTAGGGGTTGACACCTACACCCCATTCAAAGTCTAGAAGGAATAATTTATGGAGGAAGTTCAAAAAAATTGTTTAAAGATAATCTCTAGGGTCAGGTTCAGGCACTACATTCCAGGGTCCATACTAGAAGTTCGAAATGGGAGGTAGTAGAAGGAACAATATATTACAGGTCTATGTAAAACTGAATTACAGTTTTACTATACAACCAAGTCCTCTTCCTCCTGCCCGTCATCTCTCTTTGCTATGGGACAATTGACAGACAAATGTGATTACTTTTGATTCCATAAAGTCACACAAAAGGGTGTACCATATGGGCCTTTTTTTCGGGTTTACGCCAGTTGACTATAGGCTCAAATCTAAATCTTTATGGCATCCTTACCAAGAGAGGGATGCAGAGCTTTTATGGGCCTCCATCTACATAGGAAACAATCAGGTCTTAACATGTAGACTCAAAGGTTAAGTGAAATTGTAGAAAGCATTCTAAGTTACACTGAGTCTTTCAATCCCCAGAGTTAGGAAATTAAAATCACAGTAGTATTTACATTATTTTTTGTGTGACTTTTAACCTTTGGCATGTACACATTAGGACTTATATAGTTTAACACAGCTTTCCAAATAACTTTATGGAATCAAAAGTAATCACAATTGTCCGTCAATTGTCCCATAGCAAAGAGAGATGATGGGCAGAAAGAAGAGGACTTGGTTCTACAGTAGAATTCCACTGCAGAATTATTTTTATTGCCCTGTTTAATCAAACACCATATTCTGGGTAGAACACGTATATCAATAAAGGCAAAAGCAGAACATTTTTCTGTATAGTCTTTTATTTAGGGAATTGTGAAGTTTCACTTTTGAAACCCATCAACATTGTTTAAAAACATCTTGGGGTCATAGACCCCTTTGATGTTCAAATACCTAATATGTACCCCCCACTCAAAAAAAATCATGTTTTTAGGAGAATGATCTTTAAAGTATTTCCATACCCCTCCAGGGATTTGAAAAAAAAAAGTGTTTAAGGCTGGTTCCATTCCTCCAGAGCGGCTCTAGCAGATGGGAAATATGTACAAGTAATAAAACCAGAGATAATTTCGTATAAGAATGTCACCACCCAATGGGTTCACCTTGCCCACTGCCTAGACAGAGCTGATTTATCAAGACAGGGGAATTGCAAGGGAGAAAGAGTAATTCACACGGAGCTGACTGTGCAGGGGACTGGAGTTTTATTATTACTCAAATCAGTCTCCGCCAGCATTCAGGGATTGGAGTTTTTAAGGATAAATTGGTGGTTTAGAGGCTAAGGAAGTGGCGAGCGCTGATTGATCAGGTTGGAGATACTATCGTAGCTGGTCAAGATGAGTTTTTCTTGCTGTCTTCTGTTCCTGGGTGGGATCACAGAACTGGTTGAGCCAGATTACCAGTCTGGGTGGTGTCAGCTGGTGCATCAAGTGCAGGGTCTGCAAAGTATCTCAAGCACTGATTTTAGGTTTTACAATAGTGATATTATTCCCAGGAACAATGTGGGGATGTTCCGATTCTTACAGCCATAGGCTGCATGGCCCCTAAACCATAATTTCTAATCTTGTAGCTAATTTGTTAGTCCTACAAAGGCAGACTGGTCCCCAGGCAAGAAGGGGATTTTTTGGGGAAAGGGCTATTATCAATTTTGTTTCATAGTTAAACTATAAGCTAAATTCCTTCCCAAGGTTAGTTAGGCCTATGCTCAGGAATGAATAAGCACAGCTTAAAGGTTAGAAGCAAGATGGAGTTGGTTAGGTCTGATCTCTTTCATTGTCATAATTTCCTCAGTTATAAATTTTTGCAAAGGCAATCTCAGGTAGTGTCAAAGTAGTCTCCAGAGAAGAGATATGCACTCTTCCCAGACTGAATGGGGTAATCATCCCACTCATAGAATATAGCAGATATATTTAAGAGAAAATTAATCTTTATGGTATTAGGCTATGTTTTCATTCAAATTATTTCAGAAGGAAACTATAGCTTCAGGATACAGAGAAATCAAATTCGAATTACCTGCTCTATCCCTCTGCCAGGGGAAGCCTAAAGAAACTCTGCAAAACACAAGAAGTACCTGGCATCTTCTAATTCTGTGGGAAGGGAGATGGGTCCTAAGAAAGGTTCCAAAGACACTGAACTTAACTAGAGGCTGGAATGGAAACAGGTGAGAAAGAGGACTTAGAAAATTGAACAGAGGCCTCTTGGAATTTCCTCTGAAGGCATCCTTCTTTATGGTCTTGCCCTCGTGTGATGGCTAATTTCATGTGTCAACTTGACTGGGTCATGGAGTGCCCAAATATTTGGCCACACATTATTCTGAGCATTTCCATGAGGATGTTTTGGAGTGAGTTTGACATTTAAATTGATAGACTGAGTAAAGCACATTGTGCGCTCTAATGTGGGGCCTAGAAGCAACAGGAACTCCTCCTGCCTGACTGTCTTGAGGCAGGACATTGGTCTTTTCCTACCTTTGAGTTTACACTGAAATAGCAATGCTTCCTAGGTCTTGATACTGCCAGTCTTAGCACTGGAACTTAACACTGTCAGCTCTCCTGCGTCTCCTGCTTGTTGAATCATTCTGCTGATTTGGACTTACTTGCCTTCTTACTTATGTGAGCCAATTTCTTAGAATACATTTCTTTATAAATATACATACTTATTACACACACACACACACACACACACACACACACATACACCTTATCGGTTTTTCTTGTTTCTCAGAAGAATCCCAATTAATACCCTTCCCTTAAAATAATAATGGAACATGTTATCTGAGTAAGAAGCACAGTTCTTAACATCCTGACTTGGTACTGCTTGGGGCAAGTTTTTGAACATTTCCTCAATAAAAAACCATTTTAATGATTTATTAAGTCAAAGTATTTTCTCACTTAAAAAAAAAACAGTGCTCTACAAGGAGGATAACATTGCTCTGTGTTCGTCTGTTGGGCACAAAATGAGTTCTTTACAAATTACTGGGATATAGGTCGATACCAGCAAAAGGTATTCCAGTTAAGAGGAGACATAACAATTATTTTTATTTTGTCTGCTTCACATTTACATAAAAACTTGGAGCAGAAAATGTGTGGCAATGTGGAGGATGGGTAGTGTCACAGGGGTTCCATGCACATATTGGCACAATCTCTTTCTTGATTCCCCCTGAATCCCAGTTAATGAACCTCTGCCTTCTATATTTTTATACCTGTATTTGTCAATTTATACTTTTCAGTTCTCCAGAATTAACATTGAAATTTCTTAACTATAAACTGACTCTCCTGGAGATTTATAAAATAGGATTTTTATTTTCAGAACAGGAATCTTAAAACCTGTATCCTAGTACAGCTCCTCATAAAGAAACAAAATTAGATCCAAGTGGATGCCCCAAAAGAGGAAGACAGGACAGTTAATGTTTCTCTCCTCTAAGCCCTAAGCCTATCACAGCCTTACCAATTCTCCCTCTAGCTGTCACCCAAAGCTGTGAACACAGGAAAGCTGCCCTTCAACAGATTTCTGTGAATGAATGAGCCAGCTTCAGAAAGGGTCAGGCTTTAAGTGATGAATATCACAGGTTAGAAGCCACCAAGGAGCTGCCCACATTATCATATCTCCATAAACCTGTGTTATGGCTGAAAAGTTAGACAGTTCTGAGAAAGCTCTCAGACCTCCAGGGTCCTGGGGTCTCCTTGGCTCTGTGGTGCAGGCAGAAGAAACACTATCATGGAAGTCACAAGGCCCGGACTTCAGTCCCAATTCCCCTATAAATGAACACAAAGGGATAAATAAAAATAATACCTTAAAAAAATTGTAGCACATTCCTTTTTTTAAAAATGAAGCCTTACACCAAAATTTAGAATATAAAGGGATGAAAGTGCCAGGCACTTGATGGATTGCTGGTAGCCCTTAATGTGCTTCCCTTAAGCAATTAGTACACAGTATGCAAACCAATGAGCTTCATTTAGAGAGTATTCCAACCTAACTGAAAAGCCTTTTTATATAATATGAATTCCTGGGCTCCACTCCAGGTCTACTGACTTAGAGTCTCAAAGGGCTGAACACAGAAAATTCCACTTTCAGCAAGCTCCCTGGGAATTCTTAAGGTGCTCAGCTGTCTGCTATGAACCGGTGTTTGGAATTACTACAGTAGAACCGCTCTAATATTTTTTTCAAGTGTTCAAAAAGACAACCACTACCAAATAAATAACATATGATTCCTTCTTCACAGTATCATATTATTTTTATTAGCTTCAAGTTACCATATTAAAAACAGATGGCTTGCAAATTGCACCATCATTCCACCTGGGTTAGATGTGCTTAAGCAATAAGAGGCAAATCATGGAATTACTTGCAAGGATTTTCCATTCCTATCCTCTTCTCAAAAGTTTCTCCTTTTCCACTGGTTCTTTCAAAGGATGCTATCTTTTCTGAGAGAATAAAAGGGGCCACAAATACCCCTTGAAAATGCATCCCACAAATACATGAGATGCACTGCAGGGGGTCTAGACTCTCAGATGAGGACATTGAGACACTATTTCCAGGACTGGTTACCAAGGTATTGAAAACTCATTCCACAGAGACATTCTAATCAAAACAAATTTTACACTGCCAACTTTCAACACGGAGGTAATACAGGTATACCTCTGAGATACTGCAAATTTGGTTCCAGACCACTGCAATCAAGTGAATATTGCAATAAAGCAAGTCACACAAGTTTCTTTGGTTTGTTTCCCAGTGCATATAAAAGTTATGTTTACACTATACTGTAGTCTATGAAGAGTGTGTTGTGCCGAACCCCTATTAACCTCAATAGGGAAGACAACAGGTTTAAGGGACTGAAGAAGAGACCCAGAGCCAGCAAACAAGTCGTGAGATTTTTTATTAGGAGCCTACAAACAAGGGAGAGAGCATAGTAGTGGCAGTCTAGAAAGGAAAACAATCTTATATACAGAAACATTTCAGTGGCTGTGGGCTGGACAAGACACCTGCCTTACCTATAGTCCAGTGGCCGTAGGCTAGACAACATATCTGCATGTCCCAGTGGCAGTGGGCTGGGAAGGAAAACTGCAACCCCTTATTAACAGCATGCAGTTTACATACCATTTTTACTTAACACTCTTTCCTTAATGACCTTCACCCAGCAAACTTCATTTATCCCCAAACTCAGGGCCATGATTCCCTGTACAGTCTGTATTCCACAGGAAAGGCCAGAGGCTCAGATGTTCCTCATAGTCAATGAGGAACGAATCTCTGGGTTGGCCACTCCTGGATTCCCTTGCTCAGAGCACACACTCAGGTGTGTCTATCATACAGGATCTTTCTAAGGTTATACTGCTCTCAGGTGCATTTACTCTACAGCATACAGTAGCCTTATCTCTAATACGTACATAATACATCCTTCATATATATATATATATATATATATATATATATATATATATATACACACACAGACATATATATATGGAGGATATATTATATACATAAGGAGATATATATATATTATATATAATTTGTATTATATAGAGAGGATATACATAATTTTTATAATATATATATAAAATATATTATATATATCCTCCATGTATATATATATATCCTTAATTTAAAAATACTTAGTTACTAAAAAATGTTCATGATCATCTGAGACTTCATCAAGTCATAATCCTTTTGTTGGTGAAAGGCTTTGCCTCGATGTCGATGACTGCTGACTCATCAAGGTGGTGGCTGCTGAAGATTGGAGTGGCTGTGGCAATTTCTTAAAATAAGACAACAATGAAGTTTGCTGCATCTCTGACTTTTTCTTTCACAAGAGATTTCTCTGTAGCATGCAGTGCTGTTTGATAGCATCTTACCAACAGCACAACTTCCTTCAGAGTTAGAATCAATCCTCACAAAATCTGCCACTACTTTATCAACTAAGTTTATGTAATATCCTAAATAATTTGTTGTCTTTTCAACAATATTCACACCATCTTCACCAGAAGTAGATTCCATCTCAAGAAACCGTTTTCTTTGCTTGTCCATAAGAAGTAGCTCCTCATCTGCTCAAGTTTTATCATGAGGTTGCAGCAATTCAGTCACATCTTCAGACCCTATTCTAATTCTAGTTCTATTGCTATTTCTACCATATCTTCAGTTGCTTTCTCCACTGAAGTCTTCAACTCCTCAAGGTCATCCATGAACTTTCAATTAACTTCTTTCAAACTCCTGTTGATATAGACATTTTGACCTCTTCCTGTGAATCATGGATGTTTTTAATGACATCTAGAATGGTGAATCCTTTCCAGAAGCTTTTTGATTTACTTTGCTCAGATCCATCATAGGAATCACTATGTGTGGCAGCCTTACAGAAATGTTTTCTTAAATAAGACTTGAAAGTCAAAATTACTCCTTAATTTATGGGCTATAGAATGGAAGTTGTGTTAGCAAACAAAAGCAACATTCATTTCCTTGTACATCTCTAACAGAGATCTTGGGTGACTAGGTGCATTGTCAATAACCAGTAATATTTTGAAATAAATATTTTCTGAAGAGTGGTTCTCAACAGAAGGCTTAAACATTCAGTAAACCAAGCTGGATGTACTGTCATCCAGGATTTGTTGTTCCATTTATAGAGCATAGGCAGGGTGAATTTAGTGTATTTCTTAAGGGCCCTGGGGTTTTTGAAATGGTCAATGGGCACTGGCTTCAATTTAAAGTCACCAGACTCACTAACAAGAGAGTCTGACTGTCCTTTGAAGCTTTGAAGCCTTGAAGCCAGTTATTGACTTCTCCTCTCTAGCTATGAAAGTCTTAGAGATTTCTCCTAGGCATCTTTCAATATAGAGCAACTTTGTCTACATTGAAAATGTGTTGTTTAGTGTAGCCACCCTCATCGATAATATTACTTAAATCTTCTGGATAACTTGCTGCAGCTTCTGCATCAGCAATTGCTGCTTCACCTTGCACTTTTATGTTATAGAGGTGGCTTCTTTCCTTAAACCTCATGAACCAACTTCTACAAACTTTCTACTTTTATTCTGCAGCTTCCTCACCTCTCTCAGCCTTCATAGAATTGAAGAGAGTTAGGGTGTTGTTCTGGATTACGCTTCAGCTTAAGGGAATATTGTGGCTGGTTTGATGTATCCAGACCATTACAATTTTCTCCATACCAGCAATAAAGGCTATTTTGCTTTCTTATCATTTGTGTGTTCACTGGAGTAGCACTGCTCATTTCCTTCAAGCACTTTTCTTTTGCATTTACAACTTGGCGAACCGGCACAAGAAACCTAGCTTTCAGCCTATCTCTGCTTATGCCTTCCTTACTAAACTTAATCATTGGTAGTTTATGATTTAAAGTGAGATGCACAACTCTTCCTTTCACTTGAACACTAAGAGGCCTTTGTAGGGTTAACAATTGGCCTTATTTCAATATTGTTGTGCCTCAAGGAATAGGGAAGCCTGAGAAAAGGGAAAGAGACAGGGATCTACCTATTAGTGGAGCAGTCAGAACACATAGAACATTTATGAAGCAGGTTCACCATCTTACATGGGCACGGTTTGTGGTACCCCAAAACAATTACAATAGTAACATCAAAGATCAGAGATCTCACAGAACACCATAACAGATACACTAATAATAAAAAAGTTTGACATACTGAGAGTATTACAAAAATGTGACAGAGATAAGAAGTGAACTCACGCTGTTGGAAAAATGGCACTGATAGATTTGCTCAACATGTGGTTTTGTAAAACACGCATCTGTGAAGCACAATTAAATGAGGTATACCTGTACATGTAAAGAAAGTGGTAAGGTTCCTGACATATAAGTGCACAATGAAGGTTAGCTATCATTAGCAATATTGTTTATTGTCATATTATTAACAGAAATAGGTTGAGACACTCCCAGGTTGTCTAGGTCTGGAAAGTTGTTTACACAACTTTTCATATGATAATGAAAATTATCACATGAAAAATTTTTATGTGTTAGTGTTCCATAATCAGCATTTAAGATATTCCTTGATTAGCTCTCTTCAAAAATAAAATAGAGAAAATCCTGAGAACCCTAAAATAGTGGTTCTCTAAATTTAGTGTGTATCAGGATATGTTGGAGGTCTAGTTAAAACATAGATTGTGGTTGAAACTCTTACAACCATAAGTTGAGGTCTTTGCATTTCATTATATGTAAATTATACCTCTGTTAAAAATAAAAACAATCTCCAAAACTCTCAAGGTCATAAAAATCAAGGAAAGCCAGAGAAGCTGTCACAGCCTGCCTAGGAGACATGAGGACTAAATGTGATATCCTAGATGAGCGCCAAGACCAGAAAAAGTGAAAATAAATGAAATCCAAACTAAAAAAAAACAAAAGAAAAGAAAAAAACAGATTGCTGAGTCCGGCCCCAGAGTCTCTGATTCAATAGGTCTGGGGAAGGGCCCAAGAATGTGCATTTCTGATAAGTTCCCCAGTAACACTGACGCTGCCAGGCGGGGGACTCCATGCTGAGAATCACTACACTAGAGCAAGCCTCACACTCCGTGATGCCCAGAGGGGTATACTGTGTGGCCAAGCCCGACTACTATATTTGGAGGAGTATTGTCTGTAAAATGTTCAGGGACTTGTAATAACCCTCTCCTGAGTTGAAACTGGTTAGTCAAAAGCATTTTCAAATGTCCCAAGCTTTAGAATGTGTGGTATTATAATCAGATCATTTTCTGTTAAAAAAAAAAAAAACCGCATACAATCTATACTCCTTGATGCAGTAAGAGGAATTTATTGGCTTGTGTAATTGGGAAGTTTGAGGCACTGCTGTATCCAGAGGACAATACAATATGACCCGAGCTCCCACTCTCTCCATCTCTCTTCTTCTGCTTCTCAGCCCTTCTCTTTGTGAGCTGACCTTAGCACCTGTTGCCACTGACAGCGCTCTCTTCAACAGGAAAGATAGAAGGCATCTCACAGCGCACAATTTATAAGGAAGAGAGCTACAATGTCTCCTGGTATCCTCAAGTGATATCTCATAGATCTATGATTGGCCCTAATGGAAACACATACCCACATTTTAGACCAATCACTAAAAACAGAGGAAACAAGTACCATGATTGGCTAGCACTTCGTTACATGACCCATATGATGGCTGGAGAAACACTCAACACTTTGAGGTGTGTGGCAGGGGCAACTGTATAGTGGTAGCCAATTCCACAGTCAGGAAAGAAAAAAATCTAACAAAGAGGACCATGCTTTGAAAATAGAGAATGACCTCTAAGAATGGAGAGAACAGTAGAAATGCTGAAGACAGGGAACCGGGAATAATAGAGCAGGCAACCCCAGTTCCAGTGAATTCAAAACTGTAAGCTCATCCTTGCCACATCACCCTACAACAGAAAACTTTTAATAGGAAGCCTACTCTTTCAGTTGCTTGATGATACCACATTCCTGTCACTACCACCACTTCTGCTACCTGGAATTCTACATTCTGCCACTGCTATTTCCAAACCAGTTAAGTCTCTGTAACACGGCAGACACTCAATATATGTTATTAAATAAATGATCAGAAGAAAGAAGGAATAGACACACCAAGTTGAACCTGGGTAGGTCAAGTGAGCTTTCTGAACCCATTTGCTCACCTAAAAACAAAACAAAGCCAGAATATATTTTCTGATTACTCTTGAGGGTGGATTTGAGAATTAAATATAATGAAAATGTGCCTCTGAAAATTGACAATAAAAATACAAATGCAAGGTACTATTATTAACAATGCTGTGTAAGATTTGTTGGTTTTCAGCATAGCAGTGACCAAGGTACCTACTAACATTGCAAAATAGAAACCTAGCGATGTTGCCTGATTTACCTCTGTCAGAACAGCTCGACTGTTATGACTGCTCATCGAATTCTTCACCTAAGCTGGCAGTTCTCAACCCTGGCAGGATGTACAAATGACATGGGAACTTTGTATTGCTCTGCTATCCAGGCTTGGCTTAGAGATTCTGTTTAAATTGTGTGGGCAGGCAGCCCAGGCATCTGTATGTTTCAAATCTCCTTAGGTGATTCTTATGTGCAATCAGGGGTGAGAAGCACAGACCTCAGCTTGTTATAGCCTCATTAGAACATAAGTGCTTCTCTCTGGCTCCTGGAAATAGGCTTCTTGGTTGACTTCAGGTGAGTTTCTTAAACCTCAGGAACAGTATATGAACTTCTCATTTCCCTTAACTCAACATCCTCCCCTTCAACAATATGACAGGCCACTTTTGTAACAGTCTCTCAAGAAGAAATTATCTTCCAAATATGTCTTTTTGCAGGGATCTGAGCAGAGCAAATAAAGTAAACCAATTTAACCATGTAGCTAAATTGATGACATACACTAGAAGTGAAATTTTTTTGTCTAAGAGATTTGCAGTTATTAGAATTTACTACTGCTTCTAAATAGTAAATTAAGAGAAAGCACCTGGGAGGCTAATTTAATTCAAATTTGAGACACTGAATTCTGAGTTCTAATTACAGATGCATTTCCTATTTACCAAATATTCCTTGCAAAGGTTAACTGGGGTGGGGCGGGAGGAGACAAATCATTTCTGTTGCTGCATTCAATTAATCAGAATATTATTGACTGCCTACTGTGTTCCAGGCAAAGTGCAACTGCTGGAGTTAGTGGGAGCCAAGAGAGGTAAGCAAAAGTAGGAAAGAAACACAAATATTCAAGCCGTATGCTCCCATGGGAAAGTTACAGAGACTGATTTTGTAGGGTAATGTTTCTCAACTTCAGCACTATTGACATTTGGGGCAAGATACTTCCGTGTTGGGGTTTGGAGGTGTCCTGTGCACTGTATATGCTAGCAGCATTTCTGATCTCTATCCGCTAAATGCCAGTAGCACACCCCCCCAATCAAAGTCTCAACAAAAATCTCTCCAGGCCTTGCCAAATGTCTCTCGGGGGAGCAAGATTACCCCTGCTTGAGAACCACTGTTGTAGAGTGACCACAGAATTAAGGCTTGACCAGTTTAGGAGACATTATTGTGAAGAGTTAATATTAATAACAACAACAGCAATAACTTTAATTATCACATCACTATGTACTAAGCAATGCACCAAGATTGTGTGTATATAATTCCATTTAATTCCCACAACTCAGAGAAATGAGATTATTTATTCATGGTCACAGTGGTAATCACAGAGTGAGGATTCAATTTCAAGTTCATCATCCTCTGGGACTCTTTTTTTTTTTCTTTTTTAGAAAGCTGGAATTCTAAGAGATAAGATACGCGTGAGCCGCAGGGATAGACCAGACCAACGGGTTTCAATCTGTTTTAATATTATGGCAGGTGAGTCCCGGTCTTACATAAAAACCCTGGCATAAAAGCCCATGTGTTCAATACCCAGGTGACAGCTGCCATCCCAGCACACTGTGAGAACACTGTAAAACAAATTCCGGGTGCACCAGGGCTGGGGTTGGCACTGTACATGAGGTGGGCTCCTCCCTTCCAAAGGAGTACGGCCCAATAAACAAATCCCAGAAAGTTGGTCTACCCTAGTAGGAAATTATGCTTTCTCAAACTGGACGTTTTTAATTGGTCAACTATACTTATTTCTTAGGACCCTGAAGGAACCAAATGTCCAGGGGGCATGGGTGGGTCTTGAAAACGCATTAGAATTCCACATAGTTTTGTTTAAGACTCCCCACGGTAGCTCACACCTATAATCCCAGCACTCTGGGAGGCTAAGGCAGGCAGATTGCTTGAATCCAGGAGGTTGAGACCAGTGTAGGCAGTATAGTGAGAACCCCATCTCTCCAAAAAAATAAAGAGATTCGCTGGGTTTGGTACCACATGCCTGCGTTCTCAGCTATTCGGGAGGCTGAGCTGGGAGGGAGGCTAGAGTGAGCCATGGTCGTGCCACTGCACTCCAGCCTGCGTGACAGAGAGAAAAAAAAAAAAGTTTTGTTTAAGGAAAAGTATTTCCCTGAGAAATAATTTCGAAACAGATCACCTCCTATACTACCAGTCCTCTTACTCTGTTAGCTCCTGCATTGTGAGCATTCTGTTTGTTCCTTCAGTGCAACAAGTTTCCTTCTGCTTCTGGGTCTTTGCATAGACCATTGCTCTTTCCAGAAATACTAACTCCATCCTCAACTTTCTGCTCCCCACCACTTACTCTTAGAAAGAAAACCACATTATGCCTACAAAGTCAAGCCATTATTCAATTTTCCCTTTCACAGGGAAGCTCTCCTAACTTCTCTAACTATGCCCAAATCCCCCTACAATTAGCTCATAGTCTCCATTCATTCATTCATTCAACTTGGGGAATATGCTTTTTAAGCTTCTTCTGTTGGCATTGTTCTTGGCATTGGGGAACATATAATATATGACAAACCAGGTCTCTGCTCTTAACAAATAAAAACATTTTAGATGTACTAGGCTGAATCATGAGAAATCAATAATTTTTATTTTTTTAGATGGAGTTTTCCTCTGTCTCCCAGGCTGGAGTGCAGTGGTGCAAACCGGTCACTGCAACCTCCACCTCCCAGGTTCAAATGATTCTCCTGCCTCAGCCTCCTGAGTGGCTGGGATTGCAGGTGCGTGCCACCATGCCCGGCTAATTTTTTGTATTTTTAGTAGAGACGGGGTTTCACCGTGTTAGCCAGGATGGTCTCGATCTCCCGACCAAGTAATCTGCCTGCCTCAGCCTCCGAAAGTTCTGGGATTCCAGGCATGAGCCACCGCACCCGGCCCAATTATTTCTTAAAAAAGTAATTTTTTGTGGTTCAACTGATGTTAAATAAAATGAATAAAGTAAAATAGGGTAATGTGATTGGGCATTACTAAATATCCCTATTTTAGATGGAGGCACAGAGAAAGCTCCCCAGCTGTTTGGAACCCGAACTGTGAGAATTCAGCAATGGGAAGAATTGTGTAATTGTTCCAGGAGTGAAAAATAAAGGTTCAAAGGCTCACGTAGGAGTAAAGGTATTATGACTGAGTCAGAGAAAAAAAGATGAGGCTAATAGAGATGGAGAAGCAAATATGGGAGTTTGGAGGGAAGGCTGAGCCAGATTACATGTGATTCGTTGGAAGTGTAAAGGAGTTGGTAGTGATAGAAAGTCAGTGGAGGGTTTTAAGTAGTATGTTCATAAATTTTATGCACATTTTAAGAAGCTGTTGGCTGCTGAGAGCATTGCAGCAAGGGCAAGAAGCAGAAAAGAAAAACCAACTAGGTGGTAAATTCATCAGCCAAGTCAAGAAATAATGACTTCAGTTAGGGTGACAGCAGTATACATGAAAGGAAGCTCGGGAATTGGTAATATATTTTGGAAATTTAATCAACTGAACTTCATGGTGGATGACAAAGGTGCAAAAAGGTGCACTAAAGTACTGAAAAATCCTTGGTTGTTTGGCCCGAGTACTGTTGGTGCCATTTTCCAAAATGGGGAAGTCCAGGGAGGACATAGATTCAGGAGCTGGGGCAGGGGAATCAATAGTTCTATACTGTATTTGTTCAGATACATGTTACACAGGCAAGTGGTAATGTCATGTGGGTGGTTGAATCCTGAGTTGGAGAACAGTCAAGACCAGAGATATAGTTTGTGAGTCTACCCATAGATGACTTTATAGCCATGGGACAAAATCAGCTCACTTTGAAAAAGAACAGTAAGTTAAAAGATTGAACCCCAGAGCACTCCAGTGTTAAAAGTTGAGCACAGACACAGAAAATGAGACAAAGAGAAAACAATCAGTGAGGTATGGGGAAAAAAGAACAGCAGAAAATATGGTATCCTTAAAGCCGAATGATAATATCCTCAAGAATGGGAAACACTTGTAGTTCTTACTGCTAACCCCTTAAACGGAGGCTGGGCTGTTTTGCAGATGAGATGGATCCAACATATAAGCCTCAGGGAGAGAGCACACCAATGGGCCTTTAAAGGGGATGAAGGAATATGCCATTGATTTCCTGGAGTTTGAAGGATTAAAAAAAAAATCCAAGAATGATAAATGATCATTTTCCTTAGAGACTAGTCAGCCCTGAGTAACGGACCCTGCATGCAGGAAAAAGATCTCTGGGCAGAGAGTTTGTGTACATCACAAAGAGATAGAGCTGACACATATATTCCCAAGAAGAAAGCATTTCATGGTTGTTGGTCCAAACTTTTCATCTCTACTTAAACTCTGTACCCTCTACTACCAATTGCCCAGTGCCCCAGTTCTCACTGCCATCTGCACTAACCTGTGAATTGTG
Source organism: Homo sapiens (assembly GCF_000001405.40). NCBI lineage: Eukaryota > Metazoa > Chordata > Mammalia > Primates > Hominidae > Homo > Homo sapiens. Next base: position 5,865,074 of record NC_000003.12, on the reverse strand, counting down.
ACCACATAACATTTACCTGGAAAGCTAAATAAATATATATATATATTATTGCTGTATATTTATTTTAATATCGATTAGATATAGATATAGACATGGGGAGAGTTACCTAAAGAGATATAGCTCTTAGCTTTTTTTCTCACCCGATCGATATGTCAGCAATACAACAATGACAATGACTATAGTCACGAATTTTTAAGCCTATACTACATCAGGTTCTGTGTTGGAAAATTTATGAATCATGAGCTTTTCTGGCAAGCTTAACTATATTATCCAAATAATTTAATCAACTTGCACGGCTAGTATAATTCCCTCTAAAAATGAATGTCCTTTCTCTATAATAACTTTCTTTTGGACTAATTAAATAACTCTCTCAGGCCTCCATTTTGTTTTATCTCAGTAGACTTAGCCCATCTCTTATGACTTCTAGATACCTAGAGAAGAATAAGTCATAAAACTTTTCCCTTTCTTCCCCCCAGAAACGTACTAAATTTATAGACTGGCAAATACAATTTGCAGGCCTTTATTTTTTATTGTCCTTATCCTTTTCACACTGACTAATGCCATTTTCACTATCAAAATAAGGATTATATGTGCAGATTTGAGTTTTAAAAGGTAGGCTGCTTCCCACTTGCTTCCTAATATTTATATGAATAATCATTTTTACCCCATCGGTGTAATTTAGTTTCAGAAAATTAAAACCATCCTCAGTAATAAGTAGATGTAAAATAGACACACAGACTGTTTTAAAAGAAAGTCTTATATGACATCTTTTTGAGACTATATTAAGGAACTTTGAGATACATCTAAAGGGTCTTGAAAATTACTCACAAACGGTCTTCAAGTAACTCCATACTTGATAAGTAAAACTATACCAGAAAAAAAATGTGTATTATCTGTTAAGATTTCTACTTTGAAAATAGTATTTCCCTCTTGGTTGAGTATAATTAAAAATTTCAGAGCAGAAAAATGGATGCACAAAGTCAGCTTCTGAGCTTCCTTTCAGTTTGACAGTGTATAAAATCCCATATTAATCAGGTTTTTTTTTTAATAAAAACTCCAACTGAATTAAGCTAAAATGAAACAAATGTGCACAGTTGGTTGGTTTTAGGCCTGGCTGGGACTTGGGGCTCTTTTCCCATCTCTGGGCTTCTCTTTCTTCTATGGAGTTTTTCTATCTCAAGTACCTTTCTCCCAAACCATGGTATTCCTACTAAATTCCACAATCCCAGTGGAAAGAAACCCTCTCTTTTCTCAAAATTCTAACAAATTCTTGACATTTTCTTTGTTCCAATGGATGTGGGCCATTTCAACTGTGGTTGGACGCTGGAACTTTCTGATGAGCCAAGCTTCTACCACACAGCAAGCATCCGAAATACCAAAATAGATCATGGTTGACAGACAGTTTCCCAAAAGAAAATGAGAACATCATCAAGAGAATCACGGGGAGTGGATTTTGGGTAGATTTAAAATATAGATTTAGGTTTCTACTAGGGAACCAAGAAAAACAACTCTTTTGTTTATATGTTTTTTGTGGACAAGTTTTCTTAGATATCTAAGACAAAATACCTACTCACTGATTACATTGTATTGCTTCATTAGCATGATTTCAACTCCAAGTTCTTCTCTGTGTAGGCCAAACACCCCCCTTCTGATAATAATTTCAATCCCTGATTTATCAAATAACATAGCTCTACCAAAAAAAAAAAAAAAAATAGACGCTTGCTGTTTTTATTTATAAACAAAGATTCCACCCTCTTCCATCTGAGATCTGACTTTCCTTAAGTTTCTTCCTTTTCTTATGTTGCAACCTTAAGGAAACAAAGATTTTATCATTCATAATTCAAAAATGCCAATCCACACAATATCCTCAGGGGCACCAAGGCCTACTGGATGAGAGAGCTCACACTCAGCAATCTGCCTGTTGGGATCTGCTGAGTAAGTTTCACAGAGCTTCTGCTTCTTCCCATTGCTGAAGTTCCAATTCTTTGGGGGAGTATTTGTTACATTTAGATGTCCTGACATGTTTTCTTGATGAAAGGCAATGGCATCTCCCCGTTCAAGAGGGTGACAAGATAAAACAAGTTCAGGGAGAAGAATCTGTGAAATTGGTAATCATTGCAAGATTTCATTTGCACACAGGACTTTATATGTCTGCGGAGAGAATAGAGAATAGGCACTAGAAAAGAGGTCTCTAGTTCCGAGTGAATTAAAGTGCCTGAGGTCTGAATTTCTCAGCAAAATCCTAAATGGTACTTAGGCCAAACTTTCTAGGATGGAAATTCCTCTAGGAGGTATGTTTCGTGCTTGATGAAATGCATTCACCCAGGATGTGTTACTAGGTAAACTAATCAATAAAATTAAGGGCAATTTGTTTTAAAAAGACAAATTGATGTTTGTCTGATGTTTAACATGGCTACTCTATATTTTGATACATCTCTAGAGGCTTAGTTGTAATAATGTGGGTGCTATTTTTGCATTTGTTCTTTTCACTTAACATGCTTTACAAGTTTCAACACAGTCTTTCTAATTAACATTTAAGAACCTTCCGGGTTGTTTCAAATCTTAGCTGTTATAGATAATATTTCAATGAATGTTTTTCTGCTTATCTATTTTTAGTTTTGAAATGATGCTTTAAGTCCCTAGGAGTTGCATATCTGTGCCACACAGACCAAAACACCATAGAATTGTGTCTCTGAAACAATATATTGTCTTCCAAAAGTGCTGGGTAATTCACTCTCTCAGACACAGTGTAGGAGTACAATGGTTTCAACACAAGGTTGACACTACAGGGTGTTAAGGAAGTAATGGACCCTGGCATGGGTTTAACCTCTTGAGGATATCCAACATACATGTATGAAGGTTTCTTAACTTGAAAAAAAAAAAATAAAGGAATGGCCACTCTCACTTCATCATAGAGTGGGGATCACAAACCTAAATGTCCTCTTGGTTCTGGCAGGGAGTGTGAATTAATCAAGCAAGGTGTTAGGGAGCCTGGAGGAAAAGACGAAAACTATGGAAAAATGAGGATGTGTGCTCCATCTGCCCCTCTAAAGAGCTGCCTCTACTCAGCTTCAGCTGAGTTGTCCCAGTTTCAAAATGTGGGCCACTCATTCAAATTCAATGTATATGAAACATATCAATACTTATCAGACAAGAAAGGAGGGAAAGGAGGGAAGAAAGGAGGTAAGAAAGGAGGAAGGAAAAGAAAGAAAAAGAAATGAACAGTTGCTTTGAAACCCCCATGTACAGACTTTATAATGTACCATTTGCAATGAACTTTTCTTTATGGAAGTAAGGCAAATTTCAATAAAAAGATGCCTTGTAAAACTGATTGCTGGGATTGGTACTGATGGAAAAAAATACAAAACAAAAGTGCTAAGCAACCGGCATCATCCAAAAGAAATGTCATTTATGATGATGAACAGTATGCATGCACAAAAAGCAGAATTTAATGCTGGGCTTTAGCAGATGTAATTATATAGCATGACAAAGTAAGGCACAAAAGGAGTTGAACCACTCTCCAAATTACAAAGCTGTAAAACATTCAGCAGTCAAGTAATAAAAAGAAAAAAATGGTTTTACTTATTTGAGTAACTTATTTTTCTCCAACAACAAAATTCCTAGGATGAACAATGAACTCAGGAGTTGCATTCTGACTGGTGCCCCTCTCCACTCATTTTCCAAGTGATTTCATTTGCTCAATAAGATCAGCCACCACAGGATCGTGAGAAATCTTCGTGTGTGTGTGTTTTCCCAGGTTTGCCTTTGTGATGTGAGAAACTATAAGTGACAGCAGTAAGGGGAAAAAAACCTCTAATTCAGGGTAAGATATTGACAAGGGTAAGAATTCAGCCCTCTGACAGCAAAGCTCTCCCCGCATTTCTCAGTATCATATAGTTTATTAATGCATGTTTAAGTAGAAGGCAGGGTATATATGATATGCATCACCACTTGAAGTTGTCCACAAGGCTGTTTGCTATCAAAAATGTAAGTGGACCGTAGAAAAAAGATTTGAAGGAATAAGGGGCAGGATGTGACAATGGCCATCAAGCCAAAGACCCAGATGCATTTCTTGTTGGAAAATACTTCCAAGCTAAGAATGTAAGTGAAAAGACAACTATGAAGTTATGTAAACAGCCTTTTGCTAGGATCATGAAAATCTCAGGACTGGAAGGAAAACAACCAGGGCACAAATTTAGGTCATTGTTCTTTGCTATTTTTTTTTTTTCTGCTATCTTTTGACAGAGTTCTCAGTGTCTTCATTTTCGCAGCTAAGTACGTTTATGCTCAGACAGTTCACCGGGTTGTCATTAAGAATACATGGATTTTAAATGAGATACTGGGTCAAATATCCAGGTAACTCAAGCCAAGTTAATCTTGAATCTGAAATAGCTTTATAGATGTCTTGATTCTTAGGTGTGTTTTTCCAATGAGTTACTGGAAATAAATTATTCTACCACTAATGTTTTGCAAGCCTATGTGATTTGCTGAAGTTCTCAGTAAAGGACTTTCCAAGGCTTTCTTGGAGTAGTAAATAGTCCTGTACAAGTTATTTTAATCAAGTCAGATTATCACTCTCCTTTTCTCTTGTTCCTTGATCTAAATGGGTCTGCTCCCATGCCACATAAGGGTATCTCACATTGTACCTCTCCTCCATGTCTGTTCCTCAATTTAGTTTAATTCAACCATCATTGTATTCGGGTGGTGGAATCTACTCCAGGCCTTGCCCTGTGAATTCAGAGATGAACCATATAATAGAGATGAATAATCTGCTCTCATTGTCATTATTACTTTCATAGATTGGGCACGTACAGTGTATCAGGCTCCACACTAAAGGCTTGGTTGGTATCCATCATCTCAATTGATTATCACAACAATTGAATATATTAGGGCTATTTTTATTCCCAATTTTAAAGTGGCAAAACTGAAGGTAAGAGATATGAAGAATCTTTCAAGGTTGTATGCCTCTTGAGGGAGAGATCCAGGACAAGATCTCAGGTCTAACTCCAAACTCTAGACTCTTAGCTGCTACTTAATAATATAAATGACAACGAAGAAGATAATAATGACAGTTAATATTTATTGAGCAACTTTTTATGTTTCCGGTAAAGTGCAAGGCACTTGACATAGATTATAATCTTGTTCCATTAGAACAATCATCATGCAAGGTTAACCATGCTGCCACCCTTGATTATTAGATGATTAAAATTAAGGTGTTTGGAAATTATGCTTTATGAAAGATCATTCAGTGCAGTCTCAATGAACAAGGTGGGTCTCTCTGCTGTGGCAAAACCAGTACTTCTAAATGTCATCCAGCAGGTACTGCACTAGTCTGGCTTCTGATGAATCAAAGGAATAGGAAGAAATTATATAGCAAAACACAATGAATAGCCCTGTTTGCTTGCAGTAATTTGGGAAATAACCAAATACAAGCAAACTAAATACAAAAATCATAACTTCTTCTACTAACACTATTATAGAACTCTTTGGGGAATGTCATTGTCATTTAATTAAGTCAAAGAGCTAGATCTATTTTGTCTGATGTTGCCCTTAGAGATTCACACCAAAAGTTGGTTGAGACGACTTCGTTTCAAGGGCCCCAGCTTCCAGGTAAACTGAGGTAATGATCCATGTGTTTTAGGATCCCAGCACCTAGCAGAATGTCTCACAAATACTGTACTTAGTAAACATTTGTTGCTTGCAATTTTTGATGCTCAGATGTCAAGTAGTTAACAATTAGTTTCCATTGACAAAAGTATTCTTTCATACCCCCGAGGCGTTTTTCGCTTTAGAAAAAATGGTAGCAGTACATGGTTATTTTTGATCCATGAAAATATTGGTTATCATATTCTTCTTTTCCCATTCCATTACTGTAAAACTTATTTGAGAGCTATTAAATAACAGGAACATGATTTTTTTAATAAGATGATTTAAAAGGAGGGGCATGTTATCATTATTGTTTATTTATTTGACAAACATTGTGAGAGCCTGTTATGTGCTAGGCACTTTGCTGAACATGCTGAGGAAGACAAAGATGTATAAGGACATGTGGATAATCCTGCTAATAAATGTTGGTTTCAAGCTTCAGTATGCTGAGGATAAGCATCTTGTCTCATCTACAATTTGTTACCCACTTCATGAGTCTCATTTGCAAAAGCAATTAATGATCCTGTTAGCAAATGTGTAAACAATGGCTATTAAATACATAAATATACCCATTTAGCTACATATTTCCTTTTGCCAATAAAATAAATCTTCTCTTCTCTATTAATAAATGGCTATACACAAAAATAGTTTATAGATAAATTGCATTTAGACATGAAAAAATGCCCTGAGTGTGCAGCAGTAGAAATTATATAGGTTTCTAGAAATAGGAGACACTAGAAAAATTAATCACATTCCTTCAAGTCTAACTGCCTGTGGTCTTCCTAGCAACATTTATTAAAGAGTTAAAAGTATATTTATTTTCAAGACTTTTGTTACAAAAATCATAGCTTTACTATACCTTTAGAAATTATATCTGCAATTATATTACTTAATACTTTGTTTTAACACATTTTCTCTAGGAAATGTTTCTGCTCATTCAGATACTGACTATAAAAGCAAAATGAAGTGTGGAGTTTAAGTTATGATTTTAAAAACCCTATTGCTAAAAAAGGAGAGGTGGTAGTTTTATATTCTCATTGCCTTCTTTAAATAACTGTCCAATCTTTTACTTCACACTGGCAATATAGGTAACGAATATAAATGCTTTATATTTGTAGAGCACTTGGATTTCTATATGCAGTAGTAAGGCAGATGAGGTACTTTGGCCAAACCAATGAAAACTGGAGCATTACATATTTTTTATCTTATTGAGGTACAAGATACACACATTAAAGTGTGTAAAGTGCACTAATCCTGAGTGTACAGCTAGGTAAGCTTGTATACCTATATAACCACCACCCAGATCAAGACCTAGACTATTTCTAGAGCCCCATACATTTCCTCCATGTCCCCCTCAGTCAATAACCAACATTCCCCCAACTCAGGATAACCAGTAATATGGCTGCTATTAACAATGATTGTTTTTGTCTACTCTTAGACATCATCTGAGTGGAATTATGCAATATGCTCTTTTTAGCTTCTAGGTTTTTTTTCACTCAACAAAATGAGAGATTCATCTATCTTGTTGTGTGTAATTGGCTGTTGTGTGTAGTTAGTTCTTTTTAAATTATTGCTATATCGTATTATATAGTATGGATACAATATGATAATTTATTCATTCTTCTGCTGATTGATATTTGAGTTGTTTCCAGTTTTTGTGTATTACGTGAAAAAAAAAAGTCTTACTGGATAAAGAAAATGTGGTACATATACACCATGGAACACCACAACCATAAAAAAGAACGAGATTTTTGCAGGGACATGGATGGAGCTGGAAGCTATTATCCTTAGCAGACTAACACAGGATCAGAAAGCCAAACTCTGCATGTTCTCACTTGTAAGTGGGAGCTAAATCATGGGAACACATGGACACAAAGAGGAGGACAACACACACTGGGGCCTATCAGAAGGTGGAGGTTGGGAGGAGGGAGAGGATCAGGAAAAATAACTAATGGGTACTAGGCTTAATACCTGAGTGATGAGATAATCTGTACAACAGACCCTCATGTTACAAGTCTACCTATGTAACAAACCTGCACATGTACCCCTGAACTTAAAAAATAAAATAAAATCAAAAAGTTGTCACTAAAAAAAGAGAAAAAAAATCTTAAAAAAATGTGTGTTGTTTGTTTGGTTGTTTTGGGGTTTTTTTGTTATTATTATTATTTTTTTTTCACACTCTGTGGCCCAGGCTAGAGTGCAGTGGCATAAACATAGCTCACTGTAGCATCTACCTCCTGGGCTCAAGTGATCCTCCTGCCTCAGCTTCAGCTGGGACTGCAGGCATGTGCCACCACATCTGGCTTTAAATAAAACTTTTTAAAGGTACAAATAAGTTGAAACAAAGTAAGGAATACTCAAAAGACCAAAAAGTAAATTAAAAAAGACTAAAGCTGGCTTTTAACTTTGGAGTATTTGCTGATCCTGGTGAACTTCAACTTTAATTGTCACTACCTCTCAGGCTGCATAGGATAGAACAATTCTCATCCATTTAGCCAGAGGAAAAGGATTTTTCTAGGAACTCCCCGCATTAAGCTAAAATGAGTTTTAGGGTAATGATAAATAAGCCTAGCTCTGCAGGAGGTTGCAGAAAACCAACCCATCTTAAAATGTAGTACGAAGTACAGAAGTATAAGAAATCCATTCTGAAAGTCTATGTCCTCAAATCAGACCCTATGGGTTTGAAGCCCAATTTATACCCCCTAGTTGATCCTAAAAACCTCAAGTCTAAAATTTTGATTAGTTTTCATAGTACCACCCAGGTTCCTGGATAAAACAAATGCGAATTCTTTCCGGGAGAATTCATTTTCAACTGAGGCCTCAAAAATTTCCACAAAGTTAACTAAAATAATATAAATCATGAAACACACAGGAAATAAATCACCAGAGGAAGAACAAGCAGAAATAGATTGATAAAGATATTGTGTATTAGAATTATAAAATACAGATTATAAAATGATGACTATGATGAATGAAATAAGAAATTGAAAATATGAGTCAGAACAAACAATGACAAAAGGATTAAGCATTTTTTGCAAAGAAGAACCAGGACAAGCTCATAGCAATAGAAAATGTGACAAAAATAGGACAAAATGGAATTGAAATATACAAATTACATTTAATCAGAATTCCAAAAGGAGGAAAGAAAGAATAAAAAGATAATATTCGAAGAGATTACAGAAAAAACTTTTTGGAATCGAGGAAAGGCAATTTATTCATTTCACAATGCCAATAAAAAGGAAAGAAACAAAATAATACACACCTGTATACATGATACTGACTAGGCAGAACACAAAGACAAAGAGAAGATCCTAAAATCAGTTAGACAGGAAAGGTGTACTATTTTCAAATGAATGAAACTGAACCGGCAGCTGGCATCTCAAAAGAAACAGTAGAAGCCATTAGGACTGTAATAATGTCTTCAATGTGCTTAGAGTAATTAACTCCACTTAGAATTGTATACTAATCAAAAAATATCTTTTTGAAACGTAGGTAAAATCAAGACCTATTGAAATGAATAAAAACCAAGAGTTTGCCACCAACAGATTTGTATTCAAGGGACTTTGGAAAAGTGTACTGTAGACAGGAGGAAAATGATTCCAGATGAAAGGTGAAAAATATAAGGAAAAATAATGAGCAATAAATGTTGAAAATATGATGGGAAGTATAAACATTGATCATATATAACAATATCCTATAAGATTAAGAAATCACAAATAGAAAATAATATTGTATAAATTGTACTTGCAGTGTTCCAACGTCTTTCTGTTGCAAAGAAGGGTAAAGGTGTTGATTAGTTTTATGTTTAATAATTAAGTGTGCATGTTAAGATACTAGAGTGACAATAACAGAATAAAAATAAAATTAACTTCTAAAACAGTATAGGGAAAAATTGAATGAGAAAAGAAAATATAAAAGAAGGCAAGAAAAGAATGAGCAACAGAAAAGGTAAGACAAATAAAAAAACACAAAATAAGATGATGGAAGCACATCCCAAAATACAAGTAGTTTTTTTTTAATGGATTAAATGCTTTAGATAAAAAACATAAATTGGCTGGGCAGGGTGGCTGGCACCTGTAATCCCAGAACTTTGGGAGGCTGAAGCGAGAGGATCAGTTGATGTCTGGAGTTTGAGACCAGCCTGAGCAACATGGCAAAACCCTGTCGCTACAAAAAATGCAAAATTTAGCCAGGCCTGGTGGTGTACATCTGTAGTCCCAGCTACTGGGAAGGCCGAAGTGGTAGGATCACCTGAGCCTGGGAGGCAGAGGTTGCAGGGAGTGGAGATTGTGTCACTGCACCCCAGCCTGGGCAACAGAGTGAGACCCTGTCTCATAAAATAAAATAAATTGTCAAAGTAAATTAATAAAATTCTAGCCACATGCTGTTTATAAGAGGCAAATCAAAACATTAAGACACAGGAGGGTCAAAAGAAGGAGAATTGAAAAGATTTATTGAGCAAATATTAATTTTAAAAAGCTGAAACATCTATAATGTCTATATTAATATAAAACATAATGGACATTAGGTCAAAATAAACTACCAGAAACTAAGAGGGTAACCACACTATGAATAAAAAGCTTAACACAAATGAAGACATAATTCCAAATGTGTGTGTACCTGTAAATGTAGGTACAGAAATTAACGGAATTATAAAAATAAAACCCAGAAATAGACCCACGAAAGTATAGCCAATTGATTTTTCACAAAGGTCCAAAATCTGTTCTGTGGAGGAAAAAATCATCTTTTCAACAATTGTTACTGGAGCAAGTACTTATTTACAGATAAAAAAATGAATTCAAACTAAAACTCACACCTTACAGAAAAGTTATTTCAAAATGGACAGGTGACCTAAATGTAAAGCTTAAAACTGTAACGCTTTTCCACATTTAAAGGAAAACATAAGGGAAAATCTTTAGGACCTACATTTCTGTGAAGCATTCTTAGGCTCCACAACAAAAGCCCATTTCATAAAAGAAAAAAAAATCAATAAATTGAATTTAATCAAAATTTAAAATGTTTGCTCTGCCAAAGACCCTATTAAGGGGATGAAAAGACAAGCTATAGACTGGGAGAAAATATTCGCAATCCATGTATCTGGTAAAGCACTCTTATTATCTGGAATACATAAAGAAGTCTGCAGAGTCTCCAGTTCCTCCCACCTTTATTCTGTGTCCTGGTCAAAAATCATGAAGTGCCTTTACTGCTCTGTGACCAGCCAGCTTCAGATTTTTTCCCAGGGGGAAAACCAGGGCCTTGAACATTCCCAGGCACTGATAAAGATATCTATGTTGTTGCTCAAAGCACTGAAAGAAAGTGGTCTCAGCCCTGGGCCAAATTCCTTAAACTTTCACATAAAGTACATACCCCAAGCCCTGGCTGCAAACATCCTAGGTAGAACACCCCTTTTCTCTTGCTGTTCATCATGAGGACCACTGCAGCACTCTAAGTTCCCCTAGTGAATGTTTTGGACTGATCACTTTGGCATTTAGTGTTTCTTTGTTGGAATCCCAACTAGCCCGATCTCAGCACAGTTTGGGGCACTCTCTTGTGGAAATTCCCCTGCTTCTGCTTTTGGGGAGAGTCCCAAAAGCAGTTAGGCAGGATGAAACAATTGACATTTGGTCAACAGGACCCCAAAGAAATGGGCTGGGGCAAAGAGGAACTGACCGGGGACGTCCTGTAATGGTGCAAGGTTCTATGTGAGGCTTCTGTGGCCAGCTTGCTCCATACTTGCAGGCCTCCCTAGGAATACCAAGGTGCTCCAAAAATTCCAGCTTGCTTGATTAGCCTTATGGAGGGTTTAAAATTGCAAATGGCCAGCAAGGAGGCCAGGTTCCTAGCAACTGGGAAAGTCTGACTTCTGTTGTGGCCATCCACCTAGCAACAGAGGCTTCACTGGCAGCAGAAAGGAAGGTGGGCAAGTTAGAGGAGAAATTACAACTGGAAAGGGATGTACGCTCCACTCTGTCAGTTCCCAACAGGCTGGATAAAGTGGAAGAAGGGGAGGATGAACACAATGGCATGCTGCTATGCCAAGTGATGTGGTGAGAAAATACCTAAAGCCCTGCCATTATCCAGTCCCCCAGTTGGGATGCCAAAAAATGGTAACCCTTAGACAGTGAAAGTGTCTGACAGATCCAGATAATGGAGGGGAATGTCTGAGGACTCACTCCATCACACAAAGTAAATTAAAGTAAGCCCACCAGGCAGGAGCCTGAGGCCCTCCACTACTTGCCAATCAAACATACCCCCTGAGCGAATATACTCCTATAGAGTTAATGGATCTGGCTAGCCACTTTTGGCAGAACCCGAAGGAGTTCTTAGCCACTTGGATGGGAAGATTATGGGATAGTGGCACCGATGGGGTGGTTCTGTCTGGAAATGATGCCATCAAGATTATCAGTGTTACAGCTCATCCTTCTATTGGGCAATGCCTACATGGCTCCTCTGCTATTCCTGGGATAGACGGACACACCCTAACCTGTAGGGAAGCCTGGCCATCCAAGGGGTATACACCTGGGGATCCAGCACCTTGGAAGACAACTGAGGAGACACAGGCTTTGTTTCACGAGTTGGCAATGCAGGTAGCCATCTATGCCCCTGCTTTCCAGGGGCATAATAATGCCACATTCATGGCCAGTATGTGCAATATGTTCCTAAAGGCCGCTCTGCCTGGGTGGTAGCAAACACTTCTTCCCATCTTAAGTCCCTTAGCAGGAGCTCTGGTTGAAATAAGGGAATTCGAAACTACGGCAGTGCAGCTTAAGTGAGGAGTGCTGTAATGATGGGGGGAACTTAAGGAGACAAGGAAAGGGAAAAGATAGAGATACAGCAAAATGGATGTCAAGGAGTAAAATATGGCAAGACCTTCTGAAGACAGGTATGGAGAGAGAGAAAATAGACAAACAACTCAATGCAGTTTTCCTTAGACTTTGACAAGTCCTAAAGCCCAAGCAGCAGTGTGCCTAAGATTAATCCTAAACCCTCAGCACTACCTCTGGAAGAAGAATCCAAGGTAAAAGGGTAGTGAGCACCACAGCCCCTACCGTGACAGGACGGCCAAAGTTCTTCTCAACATAGAGCCGTTTAGGGGGACCAAAGGCCCCACATAGAAATAGTGATTCACTGGTCCCCTTAAAACAAAGAATTTCAGTTCTGGCAGATACAGGAGCTGAATGCACTGCTCCTAATGTATAGAGATGGATACAGAGATACATGCATCTCTGTGAGATGAGCACATCTACTGTTACAAATTAGGCATCTTACACCAACCCCATGGTGGTTCTGTATCTCCCCAACCCCTGAGAACATTGTGAGGATAGATACTCTCCTAGGACCCGCCCTTGAAACAACTAAAGGTTAATTCCATCTCTAGGTAAGGATACTAAGAGTCATGCTCCAAAAGGAGGCTAGATGGGAGCTGGTGGTATTATTCTGCCCAAGACAGGTGGTATGTATCAAACACTGTCATCTCCCAGGAAGGCACAGAGAGATAATAGTGACTATTCAGAAACTGGAGAGGGTGGAGATTGTGCATCCAGCACAGAGCCCAAACAGCCCTATATGGCTGGTGTGAAATCCTGATGGCACCTGGAGGATGACAGCTGATTACTGGGAATGCATAAGGGGACTCCATCTCTACATGCTGCTGTATCAAATGTGGCTCATATAGTGGACAGGCTGACTCCTTGTTTAGGTATATGTGTACTGTCCTGGATTTAGCAAACACTTTCTTTAGCACACCTTTAGATCCAAAGTCCCAGGACATGCCTGCCTTCATCTAGGAGGGCCAACAATGAATTTTTAAAGTGCTCTCCTGGGGTGCTTTTATTGCCTTACTGTGCCTGGTTTGATGGCTGGTGACCTGGAGGTTTTGGGTGATATCTTAGTCCATTTGTGTTGCCATAAAGGGAATATCTGAGGGTGGGTAATTTATAAAGAAAAGAGGTTTATTTGGCTCATGGTTCTGCAGGTTGTACAAGAATTATGGCGCCATCATCTGCTTCTGGTAAGGGCTTCAGGCTGCTTCCACTCATGACAGAAGGTGAAGGGGGGCAGACATCACATGGCAAGAGAGGAAGGAAGAGAGAGGAGAGGGAAAGTGCCATGCTCTTCTCAATTACCAGTTCTCATGTGAACTACAAGAAGTTATGCACCCCCCCAAGAATGGTACCAAGTCATTCACAAAGTATCCCCCGCCACGATCCAAACACCTCCCACCAGGCTCCACTCCAAAATGAGGGATACAATTTCAACACGGACTTTGCAGGGCCAAACAAACCATATCCAAATCATAATAGGTGATATGCTCAGCATTCACCAGGAACATTACATAAAGATTTTGCTAATTTATACAGATTTAAATATTTTGCACAGGCTACCCAAAAGCTTCTAGAGCACCTGTGGTCCAGAGGATGGGCCATCAACCCACAGAAAGTCCAGAGGCCAGGGGCATCATAAAATTCCTGCGCATGGTTTGTTGAGTAAGACTTAGGTTTGCTAACAGCTGCGATTGAGTAGATTCAGGTATACCCATGGCCCCAAACAGTTAAAGAACTACAACCCTTTGTCTGCTAGGATATTGAAGGACCTTCATTTCCCCTTGGCCGAATGTCTCAGGCCTTTATACTGCCTGATAAAGATGGGGGTACATTGGGACTGGAGCATTAAAAAAGAAGAAGTGTTTACTCAGGCAAAGGCCTTAGTGATGTAACCACAAGCCCTACAAATGTTCACCCCTGCAAAAACATTTGAATTAGATATTTCTGTGACTGAGGAAGGAATAGGTTGGGCCCTCTGGCAGAGGGAGAGCAACCAGCAAATGCCCTTTAGCTTCTGCTCGCGATTGTTCAGCGGGCCTGAACAATGCTATCTCCTGTTGGAAAAATAGTTCCTTGCAGTTAACCAGGCCATCTTGCAAACAGTGTCACTAACTGGAGATACATCGGTGGAATTAAAAACAGCTTACCCTATTAAGCGTTGAGTGGCTGGCCTATTTGCCATGTCCACATCAGCTGTAGCACAAAATGGTACTCTGGTTAGGGGTCATACAGATCTCCAGCAGAGCAGGCATCTTACATCCAGCCCTCTGTCTATAAAACTATAGGCCCTGATGGGACCTAGACAATAAACTATAGATTTAAAATCAGTCCCAACACCACCCCCAGAGAAATCTTATCAAATAAAGGAAGGAGAAAAAAACCCACCCAAGGGTGCTTGGTACACAGATGACTCCAATGTGGGTCAGCGACACAGATGGACTTCCGTGGCTACGCAACCAACTATCCACACCATATGGGTGCAGTCTGGAACAGGGTATAGCAGCCAGTGGGCAGAGCCCTGAGCTGTCTGGATAGTGATTATGAAAGAGCCACACCCAGTAGCTCTGTGTACTGATTCCTGAGCATCTGTGAAAGGGTTGACACTGTGGATAACTCTATAGGAAAAGGATCAATGGTCCATAAATGGAAGGCCACTTTGGGGGCAGAACTATGAACAGACATTTAGGACCGATTACAACAACCAAGGCTAAAGTCGCAGTGTTCTACATAGTAGCTCACCAACAGTCACCCCCTGTAGAAATATGAAAGCAGAAACTCTGTCCCAAACCTGGTCAGTGGTCACCTGAAGAAGCAGGTATAGCATATTGAATACATCAGAAGGGAGCTCACAGGGGTTCTGCATACTATTTGGAAATTGGCCAAGCACTCTGGCTTACTAGTGTCCAAACAAGACAGAGAAAAGACAATACAAAATTGGCCCAACTGTTGCCAGACCCCTCCTCAGCAAGCACCAGAGGCCACCACTGGAAATGTAAAAAGAAGGGAGAGAGCCATTGACACATGGCAACTAGATTCTATTGGCCCATTCCCTAAATGGTAAGGGATACCAATATACATTGACATGCATAAACACTGAGTGGCCCTTTGCAAGCTTTCCTCCACTGAAAAGCAAATCAGACCTTGACTATATAGAGTCTGCAATGCTTGCAACTAATGTCTAGTACCCTAAAAACAATCATCAGTGACCAAGGGAACCATTTCCCAGGCTCCCTCATCCAAGATTGGGCAGAGAAGGAGGGCATGACATGACGATTTCATCTGCCCTACAGCCCACAGGAAGCAGGACTGTTACAGAGGAAAAAATGACCTCTTCAAAGAACAAATTAAGCTCTTGACAGGACTCCCCTCATTGAGAAATTGGACTGTGGTTTAAATGGAAGTCATATGTGCCTTGAATGAAGCTCCCATTATGGGAGGAAAGTTGGCTTATGAACATGTAATGGATATATAAAGCCAGGTGCAAGCCACAGGGGTATGGAAAAAAACTAAGCCTGGAATTCAGTCCCACATGGACTGGACTGATTTTGTGCTCTCCTTGTCCCATAACCCCTGGGCAGGGAATCCTGAAGTGAGATCTGGGGTAGAAAGTACCACTGCACTGGACTAGTAATCCTTCTTCCCATGAGGTGGGAGGCCGCCACTGCCCTGGACTTGACCCCCACTTTCCTTTTCCATGAAGGGCCTGGGGAGACACACTGACAGTGGGCAGGCAGTGCCCCCATACCGCTGGGCACCAAAGTGGCACTAGTACAGTAGATTTCACCCAGACTATCACTGTGGAGTCTACAACACCTCTCGCACTGGGACAGAAGGTCTGTATATCCCTCCTGGAAATGTTCCCAAGGCTTCTGAGATTATTGCAGAGGGGGATTCTAGTACAAGTTTTATTACACAGTTAGGGCAGGAGGTCCTAGCCTGTATTCCTAATCTTTTTTTTTTTTTTTTTTTTTGTCTTTTTGCTGTTTGCTTGAGCTGCCTTCTTCTTTGCGGTTATATCATCCCCTCCAGAGCTCGGATATCCTCTGAAAATGTTTTCCTGGCCTGGACCCATCACACAGCCCATAGCCAAGGCTGATCTAATTGGCAGATACACGGCCTTATGCCCCTGAGTAGCTAAGGAGGAATGCTCTGGTAGACTGAGCCACTATGTACAAACCCATGTAACTGAACAACACATGGAAATGGGTACTCTAGATACCTCTGACATGCATGCAAATGCGATAGGGATGCGACATCCAGCAACCCTGAACACAATGTAACTTCTTCCCTGAACATGTCCCACAGGGAGGCAACAACCAAAGCCAGGACTTCCCTGAAGAGCACCACATCCCTGCAATAGGGATCGTACTGGCAAATGGGGGATGGCTTTGTGTGGCTCACCCCTACAGCAGGGATGCTCTCTGGGGTTACAGAGATCTGTCAGGAACAAAGTAATCACTCCAAGGACACTCAGGTAAACAATACCAGATACTAGGGCTCCTCCCAACTGCTGGATGAAAACACATTGTTATACTTAGGGACACAGACTGGTTTGCCACAGACTGGTTTTGTAGGGCAGCAACATATTGGACTGCCTTGATTGGTGACCAGTAGCTCAGTAGTACTCACCTCTGACCCTAGGTTCTCCTAAGATGGCTTGGATGATATGCCCTTGGCTTCATGTAGGTACCCTGCAGGATCTCTGACCCTATCCCTGTCCCCCTCACTGAGCCCATCTGTAGGGGTTGGTGAAGTGGGTCTGTTTTTGTTTGTTTGTTTGTTTGTTTTTGGTGGGATGACTGATTGACTGTATTTGTACCCCTGGAAAGCTCTGTTGATATTGTGCAGAAGGTGGAAGCCCTTCAGAGATGTGTCTCCAGAGCTCTGAATGACACTGAGCATGGTTTGGAGTCCTTCAACATTGAAACAGCCACAATGAGGAAAGTGTCCTACAGAACTGAATAGCTCTAGAAATGCTGACAGCTGAGCAGGGAGGAATCTGTGCCCTTTTAAAAACTGAGCATTGTGTATATATGCCAGACAAAGAAACTGATATTAATCAATCCCTCTTCATTTTTAAAAGCAATTACAGCTAATTGACCACAGGGGTTTGACTCTTGGTGGTCTACAATAAAATCATAGTTTTCAGAATTGGAGCCTCAGTGAAAAGCACTGCTAGTAAGCCTTTTGGGAACTGTGATTTTAGGTCTCGTCACATGCACCTGTATTTACTGTTGCTGTTTTGTTGGCAATGTGTCATAAAGTTAGGGAAAAGGACCTGACAAGCAATTCCACCCTTTCCTGCCAGCTCAGGGAACATCTCAGAAGAGATGGGTGTGTGAAATAATAAGAGCCAGTCAGGGGTGTAAATTGTAGTCCCCCGAATTTCTTTCCATGTCCTGACCAAAGATCACAGAGTGCATTGACAGCTCTGTGACCCAGAGAGCTGCAGGTTTTTCCTAGCTGGCTTGAATGCAAACTGGAGCCTTGAACATTTTCAGGTACTAATAAAGGTATCTAGGTTGTTGCTCAAATCACTGAAAGAAATTA
The DNA here is from genome assembly GCF_000001405.40 of Homo sapiens. Lineage (NCBI taxonomy): Eukaryota > Metazoa > Chordata > Mammalia > Primates > Hominidae > Homo > Homo sapiens. The sequence continues at coordinate 5,847,054 of NC_000003.12, read as the reverse complement.
ATGTGGTCCCAAGCCAAATTCTTTAAACCCTCATATAAAGTCCATACCCTGAACTCCTCACTGTGGACATCTCAGATAGAACACCCTTTTTCTCTTGCTGTCAGTAGTGAGGACTTCTGCAGCATGCTGTAAGTTCCCTTAATAAATGCTTTGGACTTATCACCCCAGCATTCAGTGCTTCCTTTTTTGGAATCTCAACCAGCTTCATCTCTGGAAGGCTCGGGCACTCCTTTGTGGAAACTCTTCTGCTGCCCCTTTGGGGTGACTCCGGGTGCAGATTAGGGAAGTTGAAACAGTCCCAAAACTCAACAGTAAAAATGAAGAAATCCGTTAGAACATGGGCAAAGGACATGAAGAGACATTTTAGCAAAGAGGATATACAGATGGCAAATAAGCACATAAAAAGATGTTCAACTTCACTATTCATTAGGGAAATGTACATAAAGACCATAATAAGAAATGATGATCTATTCTGTTAAAAATTTCTATTACAACAGGTAAAATAAAAAATATTTACAATAGAAAATGCTGGCAAGGATGCAGAGAAAGTGGATCTGTTATACATTGCTGGCAGAATGCCAAATGGTACAGCTGCTCTGGAAAATAGTTTGACAGTTTCTTAAAAAACTAAGCATACACTTACTAGAGGACCCAGTAATTGTACTTCTGGACATGTATCCAGAAAAAATAAACCGTATGCCCATATAAAAACCTGTAACAAATATTAGTGACAGCTTCATTTTCAATAGCCAAAAACTGACAGCATGTTGCTCAATAGCTAAATGGTTAAACAAAATGTGGTACATCCATACCATGCACCACCATCAGCAACAAAAAACAGTAAACTATTAATACAACAAATTTGGATGTGTCCCAAAAGTATTATGCTGGAATTAAAAAGCCAATCTCAAAAGGCTGCATACTTTGAGGTTCAGGTTATATAACATTCTCAAAATGACAAAATTATAGTGATGGAAAAGAGCCTGGTGGTAGCCAGGGGTTAGGGGATGGCAGTAGGCAGGATTTGAATATGATTATAAAAGAGAATAGAAGACCTTAATCTTCTATCCCCCTAAATAGATCTGTGTCTTAATTGCAGTGGAAGCAGTGTTGAGGAATCTACACATGCAATTAAATGACACAGGTCTAGGCACACACGTTGTACCAATGTCAATTTCCTTGTAGAGATTATATACTATAGTTATATAAAAATATAACCATAGGGGAAAACTGGGCGAAGCATAGGCAGAATCTCTGTACTGTTTTTGCAACTCCTGTCACTCTATTATTTTAAAATAAGAAGTTAAAAATAAATTAGATAAATCCACCATCATAGTGGGTGACAATGTATGGCTATGTCCAGACCCAAATCTCATTTTGAATTGCAGCTGCCATAATTCCCACGTGTCTTGGGAAGGACCCAGTGGGAGTTCTTGGGTGGGTCTTTCTCATGCTGTTCTTGCGATAGTGAATAAGTCTCACGAGATCTGATAGCTTTATAAATGAGTGTTCCCCTGCAAAATCCCTCCGGCCCACCACCATGTAAGAAGTCCCTTTGTTCTTCCTTCATCTTCCACCATTATTGTGAGGCCTCCCCAGCCATATGGTACTATGAGTCCATTAAACCTACTTCCTTTATAAATTACCCAGTCTTGGGTATGTCTTTATTGGAAGCATGAGAATGTACCAGCTTACTAGTACCAAGAGTGGGCTCCTGCTATAAAGATACTCGAAAATGTGGAAGCAACTTTGGAACTGGGTAACAGGCAAAGTTGGAGCTGTTTGGAGGGCTCAGAAGAAGACAGGGAGATGTGGGAAAGTTTGGAACTTCCTACAGACTTGTGGAATGGCTTTGACCAGAATGCTGATAGTGATATGGAAAATGAAGTCCAGGTTGAGGTAGTCCCAGACGGAGATGAGGAACTTGTTGGGAACTAAAATAAAGGTGACTCTTTCTATGTTTTAGCAAAGAGACTGGTGGCATTTTTCCCCTGCCCTAGAGATCAGTGGAACTTTGAACTTGAGAGAGATGATTTAGGGTATCTGGGGGAAGAAATTTCTAAGCAGCAAAGTGTCCAAGAGTTGACTTGGGTGCCATTAAAAGCATTCAGCTTTATGTATTCACAAAGATATGGTTTGGAACTGGAACTTATGTTTAAAAGGGAAGCAGAGCATAAAAGTTCAGAAAATTTGCAGCCTGATGATGTGATAGAAAAGAAAAACTCATTTCCTGAGGAGAAATTCCCTGCTGCAGAAATTCGTATAAATAATGAGAAACCAAATGTTAATCACCAAGACAATGGGGAAAATGTCTCCAGGGCACGTCAGAGGTCTTCACAGCAGTCCCTCCCATCACAAGTGAGGAGGCCTAGGAGGGAAAAATGGTTGCGTGGGCTGGGCCCAGGGCCTTGCTGCTTTGTGCAGTCTTAGGACTTGGTGCCCTACAACCCAGCCATGGGTTAAAAGTGGACAATGTGGAGCTCAGGCTGTTGCTTCAGAGGATGCGAACTCCAAGCCTTGGTGGCTTACATGTGGTGTTGGGCCTGCAGGTGCATAAAGTCAAGAATTGAGCTTCGGGAACCTCTGCCTAGATTTCAGAAGAGGTATGGAAATGCCTGATGTCTAGACAGAGGTGTGCTACAGGGGTGGAGCCCTCATGGACAACCTCAGCTAGGGCAGTGTGGGCAGGAAATGTGGGTACAAGCCCCCACACAGAGTCCCCACTGAGGCATTGCCTAGTGGAGCTATGAGAAGACCACTGTCCTCCAGACCCCAGAATTGTAGATCTACTGATAGCTTTCACTGTGCACCTGGAAAAGCTGCAGACACTCAACACCAGCCCATGAAAACAGCCAGGAGAGGGGCTGTACTCTGCAAAGCCATAGGGGTGGAGCTGCCAAAGACCATGGGAGCCCGCTTCTTGCATCAGCATGACCTGGATGTGAGACATGGAGTCAAAGGAGACCACTTTGGAGCTTAGGATTTGACTGGATCTTAAAAATCAACATGGATATTCTAGCTTTACTGATGGTAAGATTCAACTAGCATCTGACAAAGTCTACAAGAGTTCCCCAAAGGTGAAATGACCACATCCACAACTTTCCTTACACAGAGGTATAGAAATAGTTTGTCAGGTAGATGCCTGATTACAGTGCAATGGAAAATGACAGGCTTTAAAAACTTGGCTCTAAGGCTGTAAAGACTTTTCAGGAAATCATCTATAATATGGTAAAAATAAACTGGGCTTAACTGAAATTTTATTCCAAGTTCTGATATTCCATTTTTTACACAAAATCAACTCATTTAAAAACCAGATGGAAGAATTTGGGAAAAAAAGGAAAAAATGCAGAAATATCTAAGGAAATAGGAATCATCAACCATATCAGAAAACTGAAGCTTTAGGTTAAGCTTTGGCACCCTTGTATCATTTTTACTCTCCAGTCATTTGTTTCCAATCCTTGCTGAATCTTTAAGCCTTCTCAAGTCCCTCAAAGCTCTCATCAATACTTGAACATGGGCCAGTATACCACTAGCAGTCACATCAAACAGGAAACAAAGACCATTAGCAAAGGACCAACTACAAATGATGCTAAGAAAAATTTATAGAGCACAAAAAAATGCTTCATTTCTTGGCTATTTATTTTTCTGGATACCACATTGATTTTCATAGCAGTATCTTTTATTTGTTTTATTCGTTGTTGGTGTTATAATCCTAAGGAACTTTGAATTTCAGCAGCTAAGCTCTATTTCAGGTAAACAAAGCAAAGGTGTAGCAAAGTATCTTTCAAGTTAGTATCTTCCCTCATAGTCTGAGCTCCTTGAGCCATGTTATTCAATCCCTTGTATGTCTGTGCAACCATTAATATTTAGAAAAATATTTTGTATCTGTTGTCTCACCCCCAAAAATGGAGCTTAGAAAATATTGTATGCATTATTTTAACAAGTAAATGTTGATTATCTAATCTGTGCAATGTATTTTGCTAGATGCTGGATTGATTTTTCTTCAGAAAATGGAAAAATGTAAGTGATAGCGTCCAGTGAATGTTAGAAGTTGAAATTTTCCCGACCATTTTATTCCATTGAGCAAGCTTGCATTCATTCATTCATTCATTCACGTGTCCATGTGCAGTCACCATGTACAAAATCCTCTTTTTATGCTGGATTCCACAGAAGGACTTAACATCTCTGTACTTTAATTTCCTTATCTGTAAAATGGGAATGATAATAATGATAGTATTTCATTAAGTTTTTTGCCAGGAGTAAGTGAGTTAATGTGTCTGACACAATGGGTCTGGCACACAAGGCCTATGCATATATTGATTACTGTTTCAGCCTCAGAACTTTAAGAAGTATTACATGAGGCACCCCATCGAGCACCCCATTATGGTAGCATACCTTTTATTTGGAAGGTGTAAGCCCAAAAGAGTGAGGGTGAGATAAAAAAAAAAAAAAAAAAAAAAAAAAAAAGAGAGAGAGAAGTGAGGCAAAGAAAAAGTGATGTGAAATGATGTTTCTCCACTTTACAACAAGCTGCCACGAGACCAACAGGACACTCAGGAGATATGTTTGCTTGTCACATACAACTTCTCCAGAAAGACTGCAAAGAAGAATCACATCTTGGGGCAGTCTGTTAGAGAGAGGAAGGTGGAGAAATTAATCTGCCCAGGTCTCTTCCACCTTTCATATTCCATTGAGCAATCCTCATCCCTCACATCTTTGCAAGTTGCAATACCTGACTCCTCTGAGGCTTTTCAGAAAACTAGATCCCACACTCGGTGCCGTTGTGTTTCATCCTCACAGTTTTTTCTTATATGCTACTTGCTATGAATTAAGCTATAGAATGAGGACCGAAAACAACACTAAGGTTGCCTTTGAATCAAACCTCATTTTCACAGCTCTCAGCATAGTGTAGCAGATAAAAAGCAGAGCCTTAAAATTAGTCAAGCAATTTTGAACTCTAGATGTGCTACTTGCAGTTGTGCAAATTTTTTGAGTCGTCTGAGTCTTGTTTTCTTCATCTATAAAATGGAAATGTTAATATCTACCTCATAGAGCCATTATAAAGGATGAATGAGCAGTAGAGTAATTAGAGCTGTGATTGGCACATAAATGTTCAATAAATGTTTACTACAACCATAATTATCATTGCATACAAATGAGAAGACAAGGAAAGCCCATTCAGCCCACTGACTGTGAATCTACTAGGATCACACTAAAAGGAACATATTACAGCCTACAGCTACACAGGAAATGTAAAATTGAGTAACAACTAAGATGGATTGGATTAACATAGAAAGCCTGAATAAATAATTCAGAATCCAAACTATATATTTCCCTCACTTTCCTGAATTACCCAAAACGTTGCCACTTCCCCCACTTCAATTTTCTTTATGGATGCCGCCATAAAGTCACCTTCTACATGCTTATTTGCTTCTTTGACAGTCATGCTCACAAATGCGTCACTAGAATCAAAATGCATTGAGATCAGATGTTGTAAAATCCTATTTTATTCTCCCCAAACAGAGTCATACAGAGCCTTAAGACCTGCAGCAATGCTCACTGCAACATATTTATAACAACATTGCAGCGAGCAGTGATATCACTACAGTCTTATTGATGGATGCCTGTATGTGAGATGCTTAAATTTGTAAAATAGTCATCTTTTTGCAGATTGTGCTGCACCCTCCCTCCCTGCTTGCTTGGGGCTTCACACGGCTATTTTTTGATATTAAAACAAGCAGGCTATACAAGAGACCTATTTTACATTGCAACAAAACACAAACTTAGGTTTTTAAACACTGTTGGACTTACCTTAGGCAGAGAAAGAGAAATAAAAAGCTTCAATTTATTTAATCTTCTTGCTTTTTAATAGATGTGTGTTTTACTCCTCTTCACTCCTCTTTCTTTTGAACCTAGAGAAACTAGAATTAAAGGGGATACATTAGGAGAAAGAAAAAACTCAGACTAATTTTCTTTAGATTCCAATGAGCTATGACACCACGTCTCTTAGTTCAAGCCTAATACATTAACCTGTATTCCAATGATTTGACAAGCATATCTGGTGTAACTAAACTGGGTGAAGTTTAGGCACAGGTCTAAACACTTGTTCTCAATATTACTATCAATTATGCTTGTTACAAATTTCAGATTTTCATGCATTGCATCCCACATTGATATTTTTATTCAGGAAGTCTGGGGCGACAAGCAGGTATCTGCATTCTTAACGAGTACTCCAGGTGATGATCCTGCTACCGGTAATTGACGAACCACAGTTTGAGCAACTGATTAAAGTGTGTATCAGCCATTTATAAACCAGTGTCAGAAGAGAAGGCACATCTCTCTTCAGTAACTCTGACGTAATAGCACAAAACACCTGGTAGCTGAATACTAAGACTGCTGAAGTTCAAGAATATTTGTATTTAAGGTAATAAAAAGCTAGTGTTTTCTCCCAGATTCAATGAAAATCATAGCTGCCTCATCCAAAAGCAAGTGATTCGTTTCTCAGTACTTTTTTACATCCTTGCTGATGTGCTTGCATTTCCAGATCAAGAAAATTAAGCCAAGCTTCTTTGACTGGTTTCTAAGAAGACTCTCTGTTTTATACAACTTTCTATGGTACTGAGGAAGAAACGATGACTGATTCATTCCAAAGATATTCCCCTACATACAACTAAGAATGTTTCAAGAAACTTCTAGTGAATTCAAAGCATGTTTCCCTTTGAATTTTTTGTGATTCATGACCTTTTTCTTGCTATTTGAATTTTCCTACTGAGTCTTTCCTCCCCAGTGGTTTAATGATGTTCTGTGGTGACCTCCCACAGCTTCAAAGCAGCGCCAGTAGAAAGCCCACAGATGCATGAGATAAATACATGGCTAATATGTTCAACATAACGGTAATGAGCACATATGCTTCCAGGCAGAATGGCTGCAGAGCAAGTGTGGAAAATAGATTGTGCCTCCATGCTAATTTCAATTAATTGATATTGGCTTCCATGTAGGATTTTATTATGACAGACTGTGGGGCCGGATTCTCCAAGGAAGATTTTTACCTGAAGAATAGAAACTAAGTAAGAAGCAACCTACTATTTTATTTTTACTTATACTAATGCTCAACATACTACATGCAGGCATCAGATAAAGCTGAATTGGGATTACCCAATTTGGTACAAGTGATAAGTAGGCCCTGTTGCTTTCTTATATGCCTATCATGATATAGGAGACCTCATTTTATTACATTTCACAGATACTGCATTTTTTACAAATTGAAGGTTTGTGGACACCCTGAGTCGAGCAAATCTATCAGTGACATTTTTCTAACAGCATGTGCTCACTTCAGATCTCTGTGTCACATTTTGGTAACTCTCTCAATATTTCAAACTTTTCTATTATTACCATATCTGATATAATGATTTGTGATCAGTGATATTTGACGTTATTATTGTAATTGTTTTAGGCACCACAAACTGCCCAACATAAGATGGCAAACTTAATTGATAAATGTTGTGTGTGTTCTGACTGCTCCAGCAACTGGCCATTGCCCCATCTCTCTCCCTCTCTTCAGGCTTCCCTATTTCCTGAGACAACAATATTGAAAGGAGGCCAGTTAATGACCCTACAATGGCCTCTAACTATTCAAGTGAAAGGAAGAGTCACACATCTCTCACTTTAAATCAAGAGCTAGAAATGATTAAGCTTAGTGAAAAAGGCATGTTGAGAGCCAAGATAGGCCTCTTTCACCAGTTAGCCAAGATACCAGTGCAAAGAAAAAGTTCTTGAAGGAAATTAAAAGTACCACTGCAGTGAACACATGAATGATAAGAAAACAAAACAGCCTTATTGCTGATATAAAGAAGGTTTGAGTGGTCTGGATAGAGCTACAACATTCTCTTAAGCCAAAACCCAATCCAGAGGAAGGCCCTAACTCTCTTCAATTCTATGAAGGCTGGTAGAGGTGAGAAAGCTACAGAAGAAAAGTTTGAAGCTAGCAGAGGTTGGTTCAGGAGGTTTAAAAAAGCAGTTGTCTCCATAATGTAAAAATGGAAGGTGAAGCAGGAATTGCTGATGTAGAAGCTGTAGCAAGTTATCAAGAAGATCTAGTTAATATTATCGATGAACATGGCTACACAAAACAACAGGTTTTCAGTGTCCATAAAAACAGCCTTATATTCAAAGAAGATGCCATATAGGACTTTCATAGCTCATAGAAGTCAACGCCTGGCTTCAAAGCTCAGAAGGGCAGACTGACTCTTTTGATAGGGGGTAATGCCGCTGGTGACTTCAAGTTGAGCCCATTGCTCACTGACCATTCTGAAAATCCAAAGGCCCTTAACAAATATGCTAAACCTACTCTACCTGTGCTCTATAAATGAAACAAAACTTGAATGGCAGCACAGCTGTTTACAATGTGGTTTACCGAACACATTAAGCCCACCGTCGAGACCTACTGCTCAAAAAAAAGAGATTCCGTTCAAAATACTAATGCACAGTGACAATGCACCTAGTCACCCAAGATCCTTGATGGAAATGTACAAGATTAATGTTCTTTTCATGTCTACTAACACAACAACCGTTCTGTAGCCCATGGATTAAGGAATAATTTTGACTTTCAAGTCTTATTTAAGAAATACAACTTGTAAAGCTATAAGTACCATAGATAGTGATTCATCTGACGGATCTTGGCAAAGTAAACTGAAAACCTTCTGAAAAGAATTCACCATTCTAGATACCATTAAGAACATCGATGAGGTGGTGAAACAAGATGGATGAAGAGAACCCTCCAATGATCATCCTCCTTGCAGGAACACCAAAATGAACAATTATCCACACAAGAAATTACATTCATAAGAACCACACATCAGGTGAGCAATCACAGTACCTGGCTTTGATATCATAGCAAGCAAAGAGGCACATAGAGGGTACAAAAGACAGTCCTGAATTATCTACACTGCCCCTCCCCACCCCATCCTCACCCCCTGCAGCATCGTGCAGCATGGAGAGAGAATCTGTGTGCTTGGGGAAGGATAGCAAAATGATTGTGGTACTCTACATTGGAAGTCAGTGCTGCTCTGTCATACTGGAAAGCAACACAGGGCAGAATTCAGCCAGCACGTGTGAAGGGAGTATTTAGACCAGCCCTAGCCAGAAGGGAATCATCCATCCCCAAGTTCAGAACTTGAATTCTGGCTAGCCCCATCACTGTGGGCTAAAGGGCTCTGGAGTCCTAAATAAATTTGAAAGGCAGTCTAGACCACAAGGACTGCAATTCCTGGGTAAATAAGGCCTGGTGCTGTGGAAGGCTGTGCTAGGGCCAATGGACTTGCGGTGCACACAACCCAGTGAGACACCAGCTGGGGTCACCAAGAAGTGCTTGTATCACCCTTTCTCCAACTGCAGAGAGGGCAGCTTGTAACTTGTGGAGAGACTCCTTCTGCTTGGGAAAAGGAAATGGAAAAGTAAAAAGGATTTTGTCTTGCAACTTGGGTACCAGCTCAGCCACAGTAAAATAAAGCACCAAGCAGACTCATAAAATCCATGATTCCAGGCCTAAGCTTTCAGATGGCAGTTCTAGACCCACTCTGGGCCAGAAGAGAACCCATTTCCCAGAAAGGAAAGATCCAGGCCTGACAAGATTCACTACCTGCTGACCAAGGAGTCCTTGGGCCTTGAATAAACAACAGCAGTAGCCAGGCAATAGTCACCACAGGCCTTAAGCAAGACCCAGTACCATGCTGGCTTCAAGTGTGACCCAGCACATTCCCAGTGGTGGTGGTCACATGAGTGCTTGTGTCACCCTTCCCCCAATTCTAGGCAGCTCAACACACACACACACACACACACACACACACACACACAGAGAGACTTTATTTGTTTGGTGGAAAGTAAGGAAAGAGGAGAAGAGACTCTGCCTGGTAATCCAAGGAATTCTCCTGGATCTTAGTGGGACCAACAATGCATTACACCTATGAGTCTGCAAGAGTCACAGTGTCACTAGGCTTGAGGGCCCCCTAATGCAAATATGGCTGCAGTGACCAAAGTCTTAAGACTTAGATCACAACACTCACTTCCCTTTGAATACTTGGAAAGCCTTCTCAAGAAGGATGGGTATAAACAAGCCCAAACTGTGAAGATGAAAATAAATACCTAACTCCTCAAGCCCTAACATTAATGAACATCCATAAGAATCAAGATCAGCTAGGAAAACATGACTTCACCAAATGCACCAAATAAGGAACTAGTGACCAATCCTTGAGTGACAGAGACATGTGAACTTTCAGACAGAGGATTCAAAGTAGTGGTTTCAAGGAAGCTCCAAGAAAATTCAAGATAACACAGAAAAGAAATGCAGAACTCTATAAAATAAATTTTAAGAAGAGATTGAAATAATTTTTAAAAATCAAGCAGAAATTCTGGAGCTGAAAAATTCACTTGGCCAATTGAAGAATGCATCAGAGTCTCATTAGAGCTGATCAAGCAAAAGAAAGAATTACTGAGTTTGAAGAGAGACTATTTGAAAATACACAGTCAGAGGAGACAAAAGAAAAAAGAATTAAAAAGAATAAAGTGTGCCTAAAAGATTTAGAAAACAGCCTCAAAAGAGCAAATCTAAGAGTAATTGGCCTTAAAGAGGAGGTAGAGGGAGAGATTAAAGTAGAATGATTATTCAGAGATAATCATAGAGAACTTTCCAAACCTAGAGAAATATATCAATATTCAAATACAAGAAGGTTATAGAACACCAAACAGATTAAGCCCAAATAAGACACTTAATAATCAAACTCCCAAAGGTCAAGGATAAAGAAAGCATCCTAAAAACAGCAAGAAAAAAGAAATAAATAACATATAAAGGAGCTTCAATACATGTGGCAGCTGACTTCTCAGTGAAAATCTTTCAGGCAAAGAAAGAGGGTCATTATGTATTTTAAAGTGCTGGAGGAAAAAAAAAATTATCCTAGAATATCATACCTGGCAAAAATATCCTTCAAAGATAAAGGAGAAATAAAGACTTTCCCAGATAAACAAAAGCTGAGGGATTTTGTCAACACCAGGCCTGTTCTACAAGAAAGGCTAAAGCGAGTTTTTCAATCTGAAAGAAAAGAACATTAATGAGTAATAAAAAAATCAACTGAAGGTACAAAACTAACTAATAATACTAAGTATACAGACAAATACAGAATGTTATAACACTATAATTGTGGTATATAAACTACCCATATCATGAGTAGGAAGACAAAAAGACAAACCTATCAAAAATGATAATTATAACAGCTTCTTAAGACGTAACAGTGTAATAAGATAGAAATAGAAATAGCAAAAAGTTAAAAAGTAGGGGAGATGAAGTTAAAGTGTAGAGCGTTTATTAGCTTTGGCTTTGCTTGTTTCTTTGTTTGTTTGTTTGGTTGGTTTTCTAATTAGAGTTAAGTTTTCATCAGTTTAAAATAATGGGTAGAAAGATGTTATTTGCAAACCTCACGGTAACCTAAAATCAGAAAACTTTCAGCAGACCACAAAAAAATGAAAAGCAAGAAATTAAGTCATACCACCAGAAAAAAATCACTTCACACTAAAAAAGATAGGAAGGAAGAAAAACGTAAGGCAGGAAGGCAGGTAGGCAGGAAAGAAGGAAGGAAGGAAGGAAGGAAGGAAGGAAGGAAGGAAGAGAATACCAAAAAACAACCAGAAACCAAATAACAAGGAGGCAAGAGTAAGTCCTTACTTATCAATAATAACATTGAATGTAAATAGAGTAACTCTCTAATCAAATGACAAAAGGCTAAATGGGTTTTTAAAAATCCAACAATCTGATGGCTACGAGAAACACACTTTACCTAAAAAGACACACATAGACTGAAAATAAAGGTATGGAAAAAGATATTCCATGCTAATGGAAACCAAAAAAAAGGGAAGGAGTAGCTATACTTATATCAGATGAAATTAATTTCAAGACAAAAACTATAAAAAGAGATAACGAAATTATATAATGATAAAACAGTCAATTCAGCAAGAGGATTTAACAATTATAAATCCATGTATAACCCAACACTGAAACACTTAGATATGTAAAGCAAGTATTCAAGCCAAAGAGAGAGACAGACCCAAATACCATAATAGCTGGAGACTTCAACATCCCACTTGGACAGATCATGCCAACAGAAGATCAACAAAGAAATGTCATACTTAATTTGTACTATGGACCAAATGGATCTAATAGATAACTACCGAACATTTCATCCAATGGCTGCAGAATACATACTCTTCTCCTCAGCACATGGATCATTGTCAAGGATGGATCATATGTTAGGCCACAAATCAAGTCTTAAATTTTTTTTAATGGAAATTATATCAAGTACCTTCTCTGACTACAATTGAATAAAACTAGAAATTAATAACGAGAGGAGCTTTGGAAATTATACAAACGCATGGAATTAAACAATATGCTCCTGAATGACTAGTGGGTCAATGACAAAATTAAGAAGGAAATTAAAAGCTTTCTTGAACCAAATGAAAATGGAAACAGCACATACCAAAACCTATGGAATATAGCAAAAACACTACTAAGAGGTAAGTTAGTAGCAATAACTGCCTACATCAAAAAAGCAGAAAAACATCAAATAACAATGCATCTTAAAGAACTAAAAGAGCAAGAGAAAACCAAACCCAAAATTAGTATAAGAAAAGAAATAATAACGATCAGAGCAGAAATAAATGAATTTGAAATTAAGAAACCAATATAAAAGATCAGTAAAACAAAAAGTTGGTTTTTTGAAAAGATAAACAAAATTGACAAATCTTTAGCCAGCCTAAGAAGAAAAAAGACACAAGTAAATAAAATCAGAAATGAAAAGAGAGAGATTACAACTGAGATCACAGAAATTCAAAGGATCATTAGAGTCTACCAGGAGCAACCATATGCCAATAAATTGGAAACTGTGGAAGAAATGAATAAATTTCTAGACACATGTAACCTACCAAGATCGAACCATGAAGAAATCCCAAAGCCTGTTATTGAATAGGCCAGTAACAGGAAACGTGATTGAAGCCAAAATAAAACGTCTCCCAGCAAAGAAAATCCAGGACCTGATGGCTTCAATGCTGAATTTTATCAAACATTTAAAAAAGAACTAATATCGATCCTACTCAAACTGTTCCTAAAAATAGAGGAAGAGAAAATACTTCCAATCTGTTTATATGAGGCCAGTATTATCCTGATACTAAAACCAGACAAAGATGCATCAAAAAAACAAAAGCACAGGCCAATATCCCTGATGAACATTGATGTGAAAACCCTCAACAAAATACTAGCAAACCAAATACAACAACACATTAAAAAGGTTATTCATTATGACCAAGTGGAATTCATTCCAGAGATGCAAGAATGGTTAAACCTATGAAAATCAATCGATGTTTTGTTGATACATGATATCAACAAAATGAAGGACAAAAACACATGATCATTTCAATTGATGCTGAGAAAGCATTTCATAAAATTAAACATTCCTTCATGATAAAAGCCCTCAAAAAACTGTTCATAGAAGGTACATATCTCAACGCAATAAAAGTCACATATGGCAGACCCACAGCTAGTATCATACTGAATGGGGTAAAATTGAGAGCCTTTCCTCTAAGATCTGGAACAAAACAAGGATGCAAATTTTCACCACTGTTATTCAATGTAGTCCTGGAATTCTTATCTAGAGCAATTAGACAAGTGAAAGAAATAAAGGCATGCAAATGAGAAGAGAATAAGTCAAATTATCCTTGTCTACAGCCAATATGATCTTATATTTGGAAAAACCTGAAGACTCTAACAACAAAAAAACAAAACAAAAAACTATTAGAACTGATAAATAAATCCCGTAAAGTTGCAGGATACAAAATCAACATCCAAAAATCAGTAGCATTCTATTTGCCAACAGGGAACAATCTGAAAAAGAAATCAAGAAAGCAATCCCATTTATAAGAGCTACAAATAAAGTAAAATACCTAGGAATGAACTTAACAAAAGAAGTGAAAGATCTCTACAATGAAAACTGAAAAACATTGATACAAGAAGTTGAAGAGGACACAGAAAAATGGAAAGATATTCCACATTCATGAATTGGAAGAATCAACATTGTTAAAATGTCTATACTATCCAAATCAGCCTACAGATTCAATATAATCTTCATAAAAATACTAATGATATTCTTCACAGAAACAGAAATAACAATCCAAAATTTATATGGAACCAACAAAGACCCAGAATATTCAAAGTCATATTAAGCAAAAGAAACAAAACTAGAGGAATCACATTACCTGACTTCAAACTATGCAACAGAGATATGGTAACCAAAACAACAGGGTATTGGCATAAAAACAGACACACAGACCAATGGAACAGAATAGAGAAACCAGAACTAAATCCTTACATCTACAGTAAACTCATTTTCAACAAAGATGTCAAGAACATACACTGAAGAAAGAATAGTCTCTTCAATAAATGACACTGGAATATCCATAGGCAGAGGAATGAAACTAGATGCCATCTATCACCATATACAAAATAAAATAAAAATGGATTAAATATGTAAATGTAAGACCTCAAACTATGAAACTACTCAAAGAAAACACTGGGGAAACTCTCTGGGATATTTGTCTGGGCAAAGATTTGTTGAGAAATACCACATGAGTACAGCCAACCAAAGCAAAAATGGACAAATGAGTTCACATCAAGTTAAAAACCTGCAGAGCAAAGGGAACAATCAATGAAGTGAAGAGACAACCCACGGAATGGGAGAAAATATTTGCAAACTATCCATCTGACAAGTGATTAATGACCAGAATATGTGAGCTCAAACAACTCAACAGAAAAAAAAAATCTAATAGTCTGATTAAAAATGGGCAAAAGATCTGAATAGAAATTTCTCAAAAGAAGACATACAAATAACAAATAGATATGTGAAAAGGTGCCCAACATCATTGATCATCAGAGAAATGCAAATCAAAACTACAATGAGATATCATCTCACCTCAGTTAAAATAGCTTTTATCCAAAAGACAGGCAATAAATAAATGCTGGAGAGAACATAGAGAAAGGGAAACCCTCGTACACTATCAGTCGGAATGTAAATTAGTACAGCTACTATGGAGAATAGTATGGAAATTTCTCAAAAACTAAAATTACAGCTACCATACAATCTAGCAATCCCACTGCTAGGTGTATACCCAAAAGGAAGGAAATCAGTATATCGACAAAATATCTGCACTCCCATGTTTATTGTAGCACTGTTCACAATAGTTAAGATTTGGAATCAACCTAAGTGTCTGTCATCCAACAAACGGAAAAGTAAAAATGTGGTACTTGTACACAATGGAGTACTATTTAACTATAAAGAGGGATGAGATACCACCATTTGCAACAATATGGATGGAACTGGAGGACATTATGTTAGGTGAATTAAGCCAGGCACAGAAAGACACATTTCACATGTTCTCACTCATTTGTGTGAGCTAAAAATTAAAACAATACAACTAATGGAGACAGAGAATAGAATGATGGTTTCCAGAGGCTGGGAAGGATATTATGCAGGTAGGGGTGGAGGAAGTGAGGATGGCTAATGAGTACAAAAATATAGTTATAATGAATAATATCTAGTATTTGATAGCACAACGGGGTGACTAGAGTCAAAAATAATTTATTGAACATTTTAAAATAATGAAACGAGTATAATTAGAAAGTTTGCAACACAGAGAAATAACAAATGCTTGAGGTGATGGATACCCCATTTCCCCTGATATGTTTATTACACATTGTATGACTGTATCAAAACATCTCATATATCCTATATATATAAACACCTACTATGTACCCATAAAATTAAGAATAAATCTAAAAAAATCCATAATTCATGGGAGGAGGTCAAAATATTAACATCAATAGAAGTTTGGAAGAAGTTAATTGCAACCCTCATGGATGACTTTGAGGTGCCCAAGGCTTCAGTGGAGGAAGTAATGGCATATCTCGTAGAAACAGCAAGGGAACTAGAATTTGAAGTGAAATCTGAAAATGTAATTGGATTGCTGCAATCTCATGATAAAACTTGAATAGATGAAGAGTTGCTTCTTATGAATGAGCAATGAAAGGAATTCCTTGAGGTGGATCTACTCCAGGTGAAGATGCTACAAATATTGTTGAAATGAAAACAAAGTATTTAGAATATTACATAATTGTAGTTCTTCATAAAGTATAACAGGGTTTAAGGGGATTTTTTTTTTTTGCTTTTATTTTAGGTTAGGGGGTACATGTGAAGTTTTGTTACATAGGTAAACATGTGTCATGAGAGTTTGTTGTACACATTATTTCATCACCCGGGTATTAAGCCCAGTACCCAATAGTTATCTTTTCTGCTCCTCTTCCTTCTCCAACCCTGGCCCCAAAGTAGATCCCAGTGTCTGTTGTTCCCTCCTTTGTGTTCATGAGTTTTCATCATTTAGCTTCCACTTACAAGTGAGAACGTGCAGTACTTGGTTTTCTGTTCCTGTGTTAGTTTGCTGAAGATAAGGGCCTCCAGCTCTATCCATGTTTTCGCAAAAGGCATGATCTCCTTTTTTATGGCTGCATAGCATTCCATGGCGTATATGTACCACATTATCTTTATCCAGTCTGTCATTGATGGGCATTTAGGTTGATTCCATGTCTTTGCTATGGTGAACAGTGCTGCAATGAATATTCGTGTGCATGTGTTTTTATGGTAGAATGATATGGTTTAAGAGGATTGACTCCACTTTTGAAAGATATCGTACTGTGGGTAAAATGCTATCAAACAGCATCACATGTTGCAGAGCAATCTTTTGTGAATGAAAGAGTAAGTTCATGCAGCAAGCTTCATTGTTGTCTTACTTTAAGAAATTGCCTCAGTCACTCCAAACTTCAGCAACTATCACTGTAATCAGTTGGCAGCCATCAATACTGAGGCAACACCTGCCAAAAGATTAGGACTCACTAAAGGCTCAGATGATTGTTGGTACTTTTGGCAATAAGGCATTTTTAAATTCAAGTATGTGTATTTTTTAGACATAATGCTATTGCACACAATGCTATTACAATAGACTACCTTGTAAACATTTTATATGCACTGGCAAAGCAAAAAATGTGTGCAACTTACTATTGCAATATTTGCTTTATTGCAGTGGTCTGGAAGCAAATCATCAATATCTCCAAGAACTGGGAATATTACTACAGCGTTTGGAAACATTACCACTTTCTGAATGGACACAAGTACAGAAATCAAAAGCAATGTCCAGTAGGCATGTAGGTTTGATAATTAGATTGCCATTCTACCACATAGATGGGAAAACATGAGCACTTGTTCTGTCTTCCACAATGACCCTGTCCACTAATATGTGTGAATAGATGACATCAGTATTCTCTCCTCCTAAAGAGAAATGAGGGAGGAACAGAACAGAGGTCAAAAAAGGGGCAGAAGAATTTGGGGATCAGGAAAAGGGGGTAAGGGATCACCTTCCCCATGTAAGTCTGTATTATTTCAATTTCTAGAAAAAGACTAGAAGAATAATGTTTTTATCGTGTTTTTGTTTTTTTAAATCTATCCAACTGTTAAAACGCAGCTTAAATATTTTTCCCCATGGAATTCATACTAGTTCTTTCACTTAGATATGTTCTTATGATTTTTCATTCCTATAAAATGTTAATGTACAGCGTATACATCTCTTAAGAGATTATTCCTATTCTACTCTAGGTTATGGATATTGATGAAGATGAATTTTTCCCCATCATCTGTTCAGATGAGTTTGTCCAAGTACTAAGTAATAATTGCCACAATAAGAATAAGGACACATAAACAAGTTAATAACTGAATATATCCCCACCATCACTTGTACTATTAACTCATATTCCAGTGTGGAATAAAGATGGTACATAGTCACAAAACAGTGTGAAACTGTATGCCACAGCTAATTCAAAACAGGATTTAGAGTTTCAGTCTGCAGAATTGATGAAGAGGTAGTTACTATGCATAAGCCAGGGGTAGGTTTATTTGCTGTTGTTTGATGTTTGGATCTTGGCTATAAGAAGACGAAACCAATTTTGTGATGTTTATGCTATTTTATTTTGCTTTTTAAACAGAGTCTCAATGCCAGTATCTTCCCTTAGTAATCACAGTCTCTCGTTTTATTATTTTGGATTTCTCTTTAACACTGATGCTCTTATTAAACTATTTTTATTTTTATTTGCAGTCTTGCTTCTAGAATAGGGGACAGTATATACAGTCCATAGGCTTGTAGCCTATTTTTTAAAATAAAGTTTTATTTGAATATAACTATGCCTATAATTTATGTATTGCCTATGTCTGCTTTTGTGCTATAACAGCAAAATTGAAGAAGTTGTGATGGAGGTCATAAAGCCAGCCCATAAACCTAAAATTCTTACTCTCTTGCTCTTGAAGAAAAGCTTGCTGACCCCTGCTCTAAACAAGGAATCTATGAGGGTGAAAACTACATCTTGGTAAACTTTGTAATCTCAGCACTATGCACAGGAACCGAGGACTCTTGAACAGAGATCCACCACATGTACATGGATGCATTTACCCCACAGAATTGCCTCATAAATTGCGTATGTGTTATTGTGCATATTCATTTGCACATGCACATTTATGTTTATTGGGAAAGATTTCTAGCTTGCTCTTAATCTCAAAAGAGAATAGGACAGGTCAGCAACTATCAAATCAAGCCTCCCATAGACAAAAAGTATGAATTCTGGATATAAAACAAAAATGAACTCCCTGAAGGCCCTAAAAGTGAACAAGAGCAGGCAGATTCTGGGAAGGATGAGAAGAAATCAAAACCTGGAAGAAAGGAACAGCACTCAACGTTCTCTCTTTCTCTCTCTAGCTTTTAAACTATCCACAGTAAGAGCCAAGAAAGGAGTCTAAAACTCTGATTGAAAAACCCATGATTGAAAACCCTGAAGAACAAGAGGACAAATTATTTTGGGACATCTACAGTATCTGGAAAGTGAGGTGAAAGAGATCGTGGAAAGAAGACAGGAGGACAAATTATTTTGGGATATCTACAATATCTGGAAAGTGAAGTGAGAGGGATCACAGAAAGAAGAGAGCTAGAAAAGAAACACCAAAATTCTCTGCCCAATCTCTGGCTCAGCCCCAAACCACACACGTGTGGGGCAAACACAAAGCAACCAACTTTCAGATAAAATAATTGAGTTTTCAGCTTTTAACCAAGAGGCAGAGTATTCACTTTGAGCCCAACCAAGTTAACTGTCTGCCAAAGCAAAATTTAATGCTCTTCTGAGGAATATAACAGAATACAGAAACTACAATATATGACTTCCACAACGTTCAGGATAAAATTAGAAATTACTCAACATGCAAAGAGACAGGACTGTAAGACTAACATTTAAAACAAGAAAATCATCCAAATTATCTAAATTTTGGAATGAGCAGACAATTACAATGAAGCAGCTATTATAACTATGCTCAGTGAGGCAAAGGAAAATATGCTCATAATATGCAAAAAGTTGATAATTCTCAGCAGATAAGGGCAAATGATAAAACCCAATGTAACTTCTAGGACTGATTAATACACTATTTCAAAGGAATATGTGGCTCTCTCCTAAAAATTAAACTTCACTACCTACCAGGTCACTGTTGATTTCATTTGAGAAACTTGAGTTTGGGTTTCTCTAAAGGAACATGTCATAGTAGAAAGAAACAGTCCTGAAACAGCAATTGAACTAAAGATTTAGAATAGTAAAAAAAAGCAACGAGTTGTTGCCTAAGCAAATTGACCTTAAACAAGTCTATTTATCTTATTTTTCTTAGCTGAAGAAGGGGGATAATAATGGTATTCCTAATATTCCAAGCATAGTTTCTATAACATGGTAACACTTATTGTATTATCTGTAATGATAATGATGATTGTTTTTAATTGTGTTCTGAAAGTGCTTCTTTTTAAAACAGGAGTATCTAGGGAGATGACACATCCTAGCCGGGTTTTGGATGTTACCTAAGAGGACAGAGGCCAGGACCCAAGAGTAAAGTAAGCAAAAGAGAAACTTCCAAAGGCATAGATCCTATTTCTAAAACTCAACTCAGAATGCTCTATAGAATTTTTCCGGTACTAATTAGCTTTTGACATCTGTGCCTCTCCTCTCAATTTAATGTGAATAGTCTTTGTCAAATGATTCCACTAAAGTGTCTCGTTAACACTAAAATAGTGGTGAAATGATTAATTTCTAGGTACTGACTTGAATAACATTAATCTTGTTGAAATCATTTGGTATGAATGTGACTGTCATATATATTTTAAAAAACAGAAAGCAACTGATTGTTTTTGATCTGTCATGTCACTGCATTTGATGTTTGAAGGAACTGTGGGGTCTGCTCTCTTGGGAGGCATATCCCACATGTTTGACACACTGATAGCAGTTGTAATTGTCGTGCAGAGGGAGGGAAATCAGAATTTTTAACTGCAATCAAGAAGTTCTCTCCCAACCTTCCTCCCCCATAGGAACTGAGATGTATATTCAGAACATAAATTGCAATAATCTCCTGCTATTAACCTCAGGCAACTGTTCCAAAATGCAGCTTAAATAATGGAAATATTTAACATATGATACTAAGTGTGGAAACAAGATTGTCTTTCTGCCCTCACACTCATAGTTGCAACAACAAAAAAGAGACTTCTGAAAGCTAAATAATGAGGTGTGTACATGTTAAATTTGAAAAGGTAGGGATCACCTGTGGGACATATATTTATCAGGTTATGCTTATATATTTGTGCTTATTATAATAGGTAGCAGGAGCATCATATTATCAAGCTCCCCCTAACAAGTAGGGGTAAAGAATTAAGTTTTAGAAAACTTATTAGCCACATATCTACTATGTCATATACAAAAATTTGAATTAATCCTCATAAGCATCCAGGTAAGATAGGTATTATCGTTTTCATTTCAAACTGGGGCTACTGGCTGGGCCCAGTGGTTCACACCTGTAATCCCAGTACTTTGGGAAACTGAGGCAGGTGGGTCACTTGAGCCCAGGAGTTCAAGACCAGCCTGGCCAACAAGGTGAAACCCTGTCTATACCAAAAATACAAAAATTAGCCGGGCATGGTGGCATGCACCTGTAATCCCAGACACTCAGGAAGCTGAGGTGGAGGATCACTTGAACTCAGGAGGTGGAAGTTGCATTGAGCTGAGATCACACCATTGCACTCCAGCCTGGACGACAGAGCAAGACCCTGTCTCAAAAAAAAAAAAAAAAACTGGGACTACTGAGTCTCAAAGAAATTTACATAGATTAAAAAAGTATTATTGTAGCCTAGGAGACAGATTACAGTAACCTGAATTTAGAAAATGGCAATAAGGCCTATTACCAGTACATTCTCAATAACTTATTATGTGATCACTGTGCAGGGTCATTAGCAAATAAGAGCTGGAAAAATTTTAAAACTCAATTGTGAAGTTATATATAAACATGAGTACAAATACACAGACATAGCAGGAACCTTGTTTTTTATCTTTTTATCAAAGCCTTGAGAATTGAAGAAATGTGTTTATTTTTGTCACTGCAAAAATCAGTGGCTACAAAGAGTTGATGAAGGCCCTGAGACCGTGGTAATTCCTTTATAAACTATTTGATTACATATTTAGATATAACCCAGCTACTGGAAGATCACTGTTAAAATTTTCAATTATTTTGATTTAAAAACAACAGTTATCTTTTTTGTTACCTTTTACTATTTGTCAGGGACTGAGATCTGAGATGAGCATTTTACCTACCTTTTGTAATTTAACATGTATACCACCACCAAAAGGGAAGGGATTAGAATTCCCACTTTGGAGATGACATAGCTGAAGCTCAGGGAGGTCAAAGAACTTTTCAAGCTCATAGAGATAGTAAGTAGCAAACCAAAGATTAAATTTTATGTAGTCTCACTACAAAAACCTCCGTTCATAAATTCTGCCTCCCTCTGAGTGGGAATTGGTTTTGCATTTAATCTAGAGAGCAGGCGTTGACCAAAGAGAGTGAGAGAAGAGTAAGAAGATAGCAGCCCCAAAAAGAAAAACTATCTTCCATAATTAAGACCTTAGGAACACGGAAATCAACCCTCTGTGGCATAACTATTTGCCAAAATAAGACAGGATGTATAACTACCCCTGAAGGGCAACAGAAACCATAATATGCTGGATACTCTTATTATCCCTGTCTTATACTGGTCAAACATAATACCACCTGTGGTATTATGTCCAGTTTGGAGCATAATAGAAAATATTTTTGTTAATCTATAACATGCCCAGATTAATGTCCCCAGGTTGACAGACAGGTGCTCAAACCCAATGATGGTATATGGAGAACACCTGAGTAGGGTGGGAATGCTTAAATCTGAGAGGAGATAGTTTGGTTAGGGTGGTACAGAAGGAAGATTATGAAAGCATGAGACGTGTTTTTAATTGTAATGTGTGGATATGCAAAAAAGAATGATTTAATTTATTCTGTTTATATACAAAAGGTAAAACATATCACTCTAGGTAGAAATTTCAAGATGGCTGGATTCAACTCAACATTAACACCTCTTTGTAAGTACAACGTTTCCATCATGGAAGACTGACTCTTAAGATTCTGTTTACCCCATCGTGTGAGGTATGCAGTAAGACAGACCATAAGTCTCGTGCTGAACATGATATAGTAAAGATTCTTATTTAGATAAATTCAAGCTTCTTACTTCCAAATTCATAAAATCATGTTAAAATACCCACGAGGTGGTTGGAAATCTAATGAAGTGGTTGAAATCTGGCTTTTCTCATCAGAAGATTCTGGTCTTACAGTTTCTGATTATGTGAATTTGGGAAAATTATTTAATTTCTCTGAGCCTCAGTTTATTCATCATATAAAACTTGTATCATAGTGCCTCCCAGGATTATTGTGAGGAATAAAGTAGATCATCTATGTAAACGCTTAGCACATTTCTTGACATATTATAAACACAGCAATAAATTGGAGATTTGTGTACTCAAGAGTGGTGTTAACCATTATATGCATTCTCATTTTACAAATAGAGAAATTGAGCATCAGAGACATAAATGACAGAGGTGAGGTCCAAATCTGAAACAACTGCCTTCAACTATCCTTTGATAGACCAATACCAAATAGCTAATGTTGACCTTGAGGAAATAGCGTAAGTTAATCATTCATTCCAAAGTTATATTTTTTTTAAGATCTAGAATGTCTCAGGATATTTTAGAGGTACTGAAAGAAAAAAAAAAGAAAATTGTTGCCCTTAAGTTGCTCATAGTTTACCTAGAAAGAGAGGCAATTAGAATATAGTATGATAAGGACAGAAATGGGGGAACCTGTAAGATATAATGGAATCCCATAGTACACGAGATAGATCTGCTGGGTGAGGGTTGTGAGGTGACTTCTGGGGTCAAGAGCCCATAGTATAGGTTAACAAATGGGAACAGAAGACAGAGACCTGAGACTGCCTTTGTTAATATGACTAAATTATCTCCAGGAAATTATCATTCAGGAAGATAAGATTTTAAACAAGTAAGAAACTTCAGAAAATGATTGCAATTCAATTTATCTTAGCAAATGGTGGGCTCATATGGACATTAGATAGCTCTTCTCTCAGAAAAACAGTTTCATTATCTGGGCAAACTATTCATTATCAGACAAGAATTTACTTATCAAGACTCATTTAAGAGCCTCACCTTAAAGTGTTCAGCAACTCCAAATTATTATTCTAATACAAATTTTACCCATTCTCAATCATTGCTCTTTCTTGAAAGATCTAGCTTGAACCTCTTGATTCTAGACCTCAAAACCTTGAAACTGATCTTCTCTGACCTCAGTTGTCTAAAGCACTTCTAAGATTCTGTCAAGGTGGTGTTCTGCCCTACTGCAGTAAATCTAATAAACTCAGCTTTGCTTTATCAACAGGCTTTTTGGTAGGTTTCTGGACAGCTGAGCAATCAACAAAGCTCTGGCTCAACTGTTGACAGAGCTTAGGACAAAGTTCATACAGAGGAAAAGTGATATTCTTTGTTTTGGTGCTGAATCTGAGGAAGGTCACTTTACTGAAGCTTATAAGGCACACATTTCTTATAATTACTGTCTTTATCTTCATAATAAAAAAGGCTTCTCCCCATTATAGCATATTGGCATGTTGGTTATTACACCTGTTTATGCTCTCTATATAATAGCACCTTACCTGGTATGTCTCGAATCAGTAATGCATTGCAGCTAGGTATATAAATGAAGAGTTAAGGAAGGGTTTCTCTAAAAGCAGTTGATGTCTATGGAAGGCCCCAGACTGTCCTTGAACTTTTTAGGACTAGAAAGGGTCCAATTAATGTATTTACTTTCTACAACAACTTTGGTGCTTCGGAAGAATAAAGAGTAGCTATAAAATTATGCAACAAGACTCTGTGGAGCATATTTGTAATGTGATTTGAAGAGTAGATCCTACGTGGCATTCTTTAGACTTTCCAGTTGCCTTAACCATATCTCTCCATTTCCAGTTGGATTTAAAGAGCTTAAAAATGTGTACCAGGTACCACAGATTAAAGCTAGCTCAACACCTGAGGGATAATTCTCCTGGGTCTGGCTCCTTGAAGTCATGTTTACTTTACAAATTAGTGAGAAATGATCAGGGACATCTGCATGGCTGTGTAGGCTGCTCCCTGCATATGGTCACCCAATTTGCGGAATAGATGGGGGCTGAAATCCAGACTACAGTTGGATCACCAATGTGCACACCCTAGCAAAGGGATGCATCTACCTGGAGGCAGCACCTGACTTTTATAACTCACACAAAAGTGCCACATGGACTAATATAGACTTGGCTGTGATAGTGACTGCATTTACATTGCTACACTAACACCCAGGGTAGCAAGAGGTCCAAACCTGAGGGTGCTCAGTCACAATTATGTGCTTAAAACGTTTAGCATCTTGCGAATGTGATAAAGTAAACTAACGGTGATACTATAAAGTAGAGTATAGTTCAAGTCCTAAAAGGTGTACAGACAAATGCTACTGAACACTCTGAGGGTGACATATATGCTTTATGCGCAAATGTCAGTTCTCAACCAAACTGTCTCATAATTATGCATTAACATTCCAAAGAATCCCCATGACTTTTCACTTCAGCCTTCTTTAGTTTGATGTTGTTGATGCTCTTCTGCACGTTGCCTCTATCCAGGTGCATTCAATATATTACAATTAACAGGTAATTGGAAAAAGCAAAAGTCTCTGGCTTATATCCTCCAATAAGAGGAGACTCCTCTTGACACTTGTTATACAAACATCCTAAATATTTGGAGGAGAAAAATCCTCAAAGGTTTTTAAGTTTTTAGCATGACAGAGATCATAGGTAGAAATTCATAACACAGTCACCATTATTGCTAATTCCAGGTGATATTGCTTTCTCTTTAGTTATGTTGTAACTTTATTGTTTGATGAATGTAATATACATTTATATGAAACTTCTTTTTTTTTTTTTTTTTTTTTTTTTTTTTTTGAGACGGAGTCTCGCTCTGTCGCCCAGGCTGGAGTGCAGGGGCGCGATCTCGGCTCACTGCAAGCTCCGCCTCCCGGGTTCACGCCATTCTCCTGCCTCCGCCTCCTGAGTAGCTGGGACTGCAGGCGCCCTCCACCACGCCAGGCTAATTTTTTGTATTTTTAGTAGAGACGGGGTTTCACCGTGTTAGCCAGGATGGTCTCGATCTCCTGACCTCATGATCCGCCCGCCTCGGCCTCCCAAAGTGCTGGGATTACAGGCGTGAGCCACCGCGCCCGGCCTATGAAATTTCAATTTTAGATCGTTTCCAAATTTGATTCTTCAACTTACACAAAAATGTCTGTATATTTTTTAAATTATTCAGTCTCTCATTTTCTTATAAAGGTTGCTTTTAAAAAAGCAACCTTTAACATTTGTGGAGAACTAACCATACTTGAAAATTAATAAGAAATTCTGCTTATGCTCCTTAAAGCAACATTAATCATAGTTTGATCAAGAGGTGAGGGACTGAAGAAGTCAATGTCTTGTTTTAAGTGGAATGCTGTTCTGACTCTCTGTAAGAACTATCCATTATTGTACTAATTTTTCCTCCCTATAATCCAGAGAAATATTCTAGAAGAATTGATCAATTTTAGCAAAAAAAAAAAAAAGAGATTTGTCCTATAGGTCCACTGTGAAGAATGTTGTAATTTCATATCAAATTGATTTTATGGGGCAACTGCAAGTTTGAAGTTTTCTAAACACCTACAAGAGATGGCAGCAGAATTAAGAAGCCAGACCTCACAGGAGAAGGGGTAATTAAAAAATGGAGGGAAGGGATCCAGAAAAGAAGGACACGTGGGAGTTTCGAGAGAGACAGGATGGACACAGACAGAGGGCACATTTGAGCAGTAAAGAAATATTTAAACTATCCTCTGGATTTTTAGATTATATAAGAAATACAGCACTCTTTCCAGTAATGGATTGAGCCAGGTATCTTTCTAGCTGTTATGAGGGATGATGACAGAACAGCTCTTCATAGGGCAGAGTGTGACTACAGAAGAAATATTAGACCAAACTTGTTCAGCATTGATTACTGCCCCTGCTGGCTTTGTTCCTGCCTTATGTGATACATCTTGGGTCCAGCCAGAATCTTGGGATGTTGCAGCAACATCAAATGGCAAGAAAAGCCTTGCCAGAAAGTCTAGAGTTTCCTGTTACACGGGCAGAAGTTGCTGTTATTGGAGCCTGAAAGTACAGAAATGGTGGTATAGTCGGCCACCGGCAGACTTCCAAGAAAGTCAGAGTATGGGTGTTTTGATCAGCTCTACTACAATGCATTCTGGTAGAAGAAAAGGATCCTAACAAAGTCTAAACCTGACATGGGTGACAGAATGAAGGCAAAAGAAAGTAGGCTAGCATGTTAAATATTTAATATCTGTTGAATTGCTTTTGATCTCTCAATCACAGTGGCCAGTTAGCTGTTTGCCATGCTCTTTTTAGCATTCCCCCCAGTATTTTCTTAATAGTTCCTTTTTCTCTGATATTAATGTATCACATATTCAAAATAAAAAATGGGGGAAATATTGACAAGCATAATGTAAAACACAAATCAACTTTGAGGTAAGCAGTGTTAAAATTTGTGCATTTTTTTCTAGTTTCCATGTACATATTTTTTCAGCACAATTGTTATCTTGAATATGCACTTTCATAACCTGTGTTCATATCAGGCCACTTAGGAGGATTTTCCCATTTTTAAAACAGTATTTTAATGTCTACAAAACATCTCATGCTACCATTTACCATAAATTACCTAAAACTTCTATTTGGGAGACACTTAGGTTGTTTTCAAATTATGATTATGAGTTACATTAAAATAATTCTTTCTTATACATCAATTTAGAACTTATCTCTGAATAATTTCTTGGAATAAATTCCTAAGCTAGGACAACTGTTTCTGAGAACACGGTCATTTTTAAGCTTGTTAAACTCGGAGATTGGTTCATTAAAGCCAAATAGTACCATTGAGTATAAATTGGAAACAACTCAGCAGTGCCCAGAGTCCCTCTTTTCAAGAGAGGATGACCAAGCTCAAAGTACCGTAAGTATTAACTCCTATTTCTTTTTTTTTTTTTTTTCTGAGACGGAGTCTCACCCAGGCTAGAATACAGTAGCACGATCTCCACTCACTGCAACCTCCGCCTCCCAGGTTCAAGAGATTCTCCTGCCTCACCCTCCCAGTAGCTGTTAACTCATATTTGTATGTTCATTTACAAAATATGGCATTGTGAATCCATACAGATACTAACTAGGAATACTTTTCTGATTGTTTTGGTAGAGTTGTTCTCTTATTTATTTGTTTGTTTTCATAAAGCCAACCGAATATGAACTTTCCTTCTAGCTTATAATAGTTATATCAGAGCAGCTTGGTCTGTCTGCTCAGAGATGTCTATGCAGGACATGGACAGCTTCGCACATGACATATATCAATTAAGTGCCTACTCTTTGACAGGTAGTTTCACATATATTACTTCAGAGATTCCACCTTAGCACTGTACTTCCAAAAATATGGGCCAAGACTGAGCAAGGTGATGGTGAATTCATTAGGAGGTCTTAATGAAGGCTTCAGGCTCATGGTCATGGAAGTAGGCAAAAGCAGCATGGTGAATACTTCTTACAAACGCTCACCTTCATGTCTTCCTCTGGCCTTTGCAAGGCTTCTAGCCTGCCCCTTATACCCTTCATTTCCTGCCTTTGGATTTCATTAGTGCTATAACATGGGGCTCAGGTAGAACCACTCTTAACTCCCCAGGCTGAAAACACAAGTGACATGGAAACATAGTGATTGATGCCTGTGGAGCCACCCTTAACCAATGGAGTATTGGAATCAACAAATAAATGCTTCCCTTTCTTCTCCTGGGCAGATGACTGTAAGGATTTTCTGAAGACTCTGGCAAGATTGAGCACCAGTCTCTCAGAAAGGAGGTCTAAGGAGCCATCTCAAAAAATCAAAATGGAATCTTATTGGCCTTCCCTGCTTTCTAAAGGATTATATTCCCAAACAAATTACCTGTATGCAAACATTTGTCTCAGGCTCTGTATTTGTCAGGAGCTAAGCTAAAGCAAACAATATGCCTGAATGAGTCTGAAAGTAAAAGAAGTACATCTTCATTGGTCACTTTTCCTTTACAGCAGCCTTTCATGCATCTCTATCTCTGCTTGTCTTTCCCTATCTCTGTCTGTCTCTCTTTCCCATTTTCTCTCACTCTCACTCCCACTCTTTCTTGCACTTTCTATTTTCTCTTTCTACACACACACACACACACACACACACACACACACACATACACATTCAAAAGAATGCTAATGGGTTACCAGAACCCCCACAGGCCCCTGGGAAATTAGCAAAATTGAAGGTTAGCATAAAATGGTACAGCAGAAATCATTTTCCAAATGTTGACGATCTAAGTAGTTTTCAAAGTTTGGTTTGCATACCCTGGGAGTTCCCAGAACCCTTTCATGGGGTCCATGAGGTCAAAACTACTTTCCTAAAAATATTCAGACGGTCGAAGCCTTTTTCGCTGGTTGACATTTTTATTAATTGGTGCAAAAGCTATGGTGGGTAAGACTACTGTTGCGTTAGCACAAATCAAAACACTGAAACTAAACCATACTACTATTCATTGTATTCTGCACCAAAATGCACTTGCAATTTTTTTTCAGTGCCAGTTTTGCCTAAGATTGTCCTTGACAAAGCAGTAAAAGTTGTTAAATCTTAACCCTTGAGTACACCTGTTTAACATTTAAGTCACATACCTGGAAGTAATATCCTTTCATATACTTCTGCATAATGAAATGTGATGGTTATCTTGAGAGAAAGCTCTTCTACCTGGCTGAAATGGCTGCCTTTCATGTGGAACATCAATTTTACTCAAAAGAACAATAGACAGAGTACGATTATTCAGCATTGTGCATTTGACAGATATTTTCTAAAGATAAATAAATAAATAAAGTGAGCCTGTCACTTCAAGGAAAAGGTGAACAGTGTTTGGCACCAGTTATAAAATTGAGCCTTAAAGTCAAAATTAGAACATTGGAAATCTCTGCCACTATCAGCATGACAGCTTCCCGAAACTTAAAGACTTTTCTGATGAATTTAGTTGTGGTGTTAACAACTGTGGATTTCTGAAATTGTATAATGAAATATGTCAACATTTGAAAGATGTTAACACAGATGATCTTCTTGACCAAACTTTAGTCAGGACCCTCTGAGCCCTCTTCTCAATTAATCCTCAGCCTTGGCTCCCATTCTTGCCAGGCCTGCACAGCCCAGTTTTTGCAAAAATCCTGCTAAGTCAGTTTAATGAGAATCACCCCACTGATGTTTAAGTCTTTGACCTGCTTTCAGTAAGAATCCTGTTAAGTTGGTTTAGCAAGACTCTCCCTATTCTTGATGTCTCCTCTTAGTAATTTTCCATGCACAGACTCTGCCTGTTGGCTGTAAATCCCCAACTGTCTTGCTGTATTCAGAGTTGAGCTCTGTCTTGCCTTCCTATTACAATAGTCTTGACAATGTGCATAACAGAGTGAACCAATATCCTTCAAAATATCAATGCATGATGCTGTAAACTGTTTATGGGTAAAAGGACCACTTAAAATATGAGGAAGATAAAAGATTAATAAACCAGAGCTCAAAAAGTTCATTGATAATATTTCAGATTCCACATTGCAACTAACATTTAAGAAAGTACCACTTGTCAAGTTTTGTTATAGTATCAAAGAAGATCATCCACAATTATCTATGCACAGGATATTAAAATACTCATCTCCCTTGTTCAGCTACTTACGCATGTGAGGCCAGGTTTTATTCCTATACATCAGCCAAAATAACATATTGAAATAAATGTAATGCAGAAGCAGATGTGAATCTAGCTGGCTTCTATTAAGCCAGCCATTAAAGAAATCAAAAAAAAAATATGAAACAATGCCACTCTTCTAATTTTTGCTTTAGAATATTGAAGTTTTATTTCTAATATAACTGTTATTAATGTTAGCATGTAATAGGTTTATAAGAATTACAAAAAATATATTTCTTGTCAAATTTAATTTTTAATTTGGTAAATATCAATAGGCATGATTCACATGAACTAAAGTTCTTTAGGTTCCACAGTAATTTTCAGGAGTATAACAGATATTGTGAAAACAACACTTGGGCGTAGCTTATCTAATGTATCAGGGGTTTAACACTCTCTATCAGTGATTAATAGTTCTTTTCTTTGAAAAGAACAAACTGACAAATCGGGTCATTGTTATTGCATTGATGTTGGTTACAACAAGAAAATATGTTTAGGTTTCTAGAATAAAATATCAAGCTTTCAAAAGGAGGAGACAAGGGGGCAATACATGCCAAGAAAAATAGACCTGGCCTTGGGAAATCTAATCACCAAATCAAATTGAATTCACTTGATCTCACTATACTATCCCAGGACATAAAAGTGTTATTGTTTTTTCAAATGAAAGATAATTAAGTTAATTTGAATTTGGGTTAATACTAAAATGAATTTATGATACCCAGTAAATATACTGATCACCAGAATTATGTTTCAAGAGGTTGCTTTCATCGGGTTAATAAAATGTATTATTAACATTTCTAGAACTTTTTAACAAACCTCAAACAATAGAAAAATCAAATCACTTTCTCTCAATGAGCGTAAAATCTTAGACTATGTCTTTTCCAAAAATATTGCACTACACACACTCTAACAGATATCTGTGATTTCATATTCATAGAAAACCACCATAGAATCTTGAATGTCTACATATATAAAGAAAGATGATTCTCTTTATATATGTTCAGATTTCAGAAAGTCCTGAGGAGTCCAAACCATAAAAATAGCACAATCTGAAGCATAAAGAATACATGATCAGAGCTCTATGTAAGATGATTAAGAGATTACTTTTGTGTGGGATCGATGCTGCTTGAAATATATTCTAGGGCAACCTCTCCATGAGACTCACTCTCTCAGCTTCTGCAGTTCTGCAGGTGAAGTCCAGAGTACAGACTCCACTTTAGAGATATGGGCAGAATTGGCACAGTTAAAGAGAACCACTTGGGCTCGGTATTGAAAAAATTCAAAATTAGCTATTATTTCCTGTAGTATCATGACTTCTCAACATTCAACACTGGTCTATTAAATATTTCAATCTTTGTACATAATAAAACCATTTTAAAGTACCTGTTTATATTCTTGATGTTATCACACCCTAAAGAAATGGGACGTGTAGTTGGTTGCTTACTGGGGCAAGCTGTAGGAGACAATGAGAGAGTCTTTGATGTTCCGGGCACATGGGACTCTGTAGCATGTGCTTAAGGGATCTCCAACTTTACTCACCCTGGCCTGATTTGGTCTGTGTTTAAGACAGAAGACTTACAGTCAGTTAGGTTGATGCAACACTAAAATTAGTCACCAATGTTCCTGAACTTTATTTGTAACAGCAGAGAGTAGTAATACCTGAAATGTCCAACATAGGAAAATCATTAAGCAAACTGCAGGAAAATTCTGTGGTGGAATAGCATGTAGCCATTAAAAATGATGCTAGCAAAATATTTTTAATATTATTAGGATAAAGGTACATAATAACATTAAATAAGAGTAGAAAAACCCCACATGTATGAAAATCTAAAATTTATACAAACTATACAGAGGTGAAATAGTCCCTTGATATATGTCAAAACCTCAACATTAATACATCATTGAGGATCCTTTGATTATAAGCATCAGAAACCAATGCTCTTGAAAATGTAAATGAATGTACTAAAAAAATTGGGTATCTCATTGAATCTAAGGAAGGGTAGGAATACAGTCATTATCAAGAAACTGAGTAGGAGGAATTATGGACAAGTTCTTCAAGGGTTTTCTTAAAATGCTTCTTTTCTAGCCATTTTCTGTTCTTAAGATTCAGTTCCTCGTAGGGACATTCTGAGTGGATGAATGTGGGTCAAGTACCTACTTCTCAGCCAGAGAAAAAAGAGGTAATTTGATTGGCAGCACTACCAGAAAATACATGGAAGAGAGGAAGGAATAGTGGATTAAGAAAATGAAGCATGTTGTTTACTACAGAAGAGAAAATGAAGCATATTGTTTACTACAGAAGAGAAAAAGTTATTGGGCATATTAAAACTGCCTGTCCTGCATGTATGTATATAATGACCCTAATAACAATAGCTACCATTTGTTAAACACTATAATCTCAATACTTTGTTTTCTCTGCTTACATGAATGTTCTCATTTAAATTTCTCAACACTTAAAGGTGGATTTTCTTATTAATCTCAATTACATAGGTGAAAACTGATGCTCAGAAAGGTTAAATAAATTGCCTAGTGTCATACAACAAGAATGTGGTATCTCTGGAATTTGATCTATGGCTTTTGGCTGACCAGCTATACAGTCCAATAATTTGCCTGAATAGAATACACTATAGATAATGATGTATTGTCATCACCACTGTAGTGTTAATTTCTTCCAGTGCTACTTCACTCAAACAAATGATGAACTAAAGATTGGGGCCTAAAGCCCTTCTCCTAAGCAATACTTCTATAATCTGTTATCTAAGAAAAATAAGTTTATCTCTGAATATAGCTAGAAATAATCAAACAAGAGCAATCTGGAAGTATCCACTCAAAAATATTTGAATTTTAGTTTAACACCATATATCAAGCACATTTCAATTGTTTTATTGTCATAAAAGATAGAGCACATTTCAATTAGTCATGTAGAATAACCACAGAATGTTAGTATGAATGGGTGACGCATTTACCCAGGAAAGTTAAAATCCTGACATTCTCAGAGCTCTGACTAGAATGAAAAATAATGTATCTTTTTCACTCCAATAATCTTAGCCATCATGCCCTGGACGTTTTATTCCTTATCTCCCAAATTGATTACTAAGTTTTCAGTGCTAGCTTTGTTTCATACAGTTTAAGCTACTGAAGATCTCAGAATTACCCCTAGTTTAAACATTGGAACTCACTTCAAATTCCACCATCATTTACTAATAAAGCCTCAAACATTAGCTTGCATAATAATTATCTTGTGAGCTTCTTTAAAATGCAAATTCCCAGGGCCCCACTTGAGAGAACTAATTCAGTAGGTCTTGGGCAAGATACAGGTGTACGCATTTCACTCAGAATCCCAGGTGATTCAGATTGTGTGGACTGTATTTCGAATGCCACACTGGTTTTTATAATAGTCGAAATGCATACTAAGAAGGAAATGGTGACTAGGAAGCCTACAACCCATTCTCACTCATTCCTGTGTGGGGAAGGTGGACAGGAAATTACCCAGGAAGGAAATAAAGCAAAAAGGCCAAATCTTCTTGTAACCATACTAATAGCATAATAATAGACTTGGCAAACATAAAATTGATGTTTGCTAGCAGAAGCCTTATTAATGGAATGCTTTTAGTGAGACGTACCTAGTCTTTCTAGGATTGCTTATGGTAAACAAACATAGAACACTATAGATTTACGGAACACAGCTCCCTGGAAAACATCATGTAAGCTATCTGACTATGTAAGTGTAAAATTGAGATGATGTATGGCCAAAACTGCTTTGTTTTGCATAAATAATGTAACTGCGGCCGGGCACGGTGGCTCATGCCTGTAATCCCAGCACTTTGGGAGGCCGAGGCGGGCAGATCACGAGGTCAGGAGATCAAGACCATCCTAGGTAACACAGTGAAACCCTGTCTCTACTAAAAATACAAAAAATTAGCTGGGTGTGGTGGTGGGCACCTGTTGTCCCAGCTACCCGGGAGGCTGAGGCAGGAGAATGGTGTGAACCCAGGAGGCGGAGCTTGCAGTGAGCCGAGATTGCGCCACTGCACTCCAGCCTGGGTGACAAAGCGAGACTCCGTCTCAAACAATAAATAAACAAATAAACAAATAAAGTAACTGCATACATTACTTAAAAATCACATTTGTTGACCTGGGCCAGAGTGCATCCTGCCTGACTCAGCAAGAAGGGACTGGGGAGCTATGCTTGTGTCCTTGGACTGCTCCCTTTCTTGCATTAGCCTAATGATTAATTGCATTCTTTAAATTAATAGTAAAGCTTGATGCTAAGTAGGGCTTCTGATTTGTTTGAAAACGCTTGACATTTGGATCTTTTGTGCACCTTACATACAAAGTTCTTCATGATCTGAGTCCTGCTTCCTTCATCTCTCCCAAAACTTGTCCTTCACACCAATATCCACTAGTCACATCAAACGACAACTTGAAACTGTGCTGGCTCATACCCAAATGCTTTTCCATTGGACTATATTCATGTTGCACCCTTAGCCAGGAATTACTTTTCTATCTACTGCCTGATTCCATAAGACTCAGGTCAAGTATCACCTCTCCAAGAAGTCTCTGGAGGGGAATGGATCACCCCCTCCTCCGTGTTCCACAGCACACCGAACCTTGATGGGCCCTCTATCACTTTACTATACCTACTTGTTCTTACTGTTTCGGAATCTGGCCTTATAATTACAGTAAGTATTAAAAACTGTTTTCATTATCAAATAACATGTACAGACATGTACCCATACCAACTTCTCTCCCATCACCCAAGCTCATTTCAGCTTGAAGCCCTAGTCCAAACTTTTAGCTCTGTCATTATCTGCAATTTCTAGAGTTTTTACGTTATACTAAAATGGTGCCTTCTTGTGGGTCCTTCCACTAAATGAGGCAGAACTGCATATATATCTGCCGCTTATCTTTATGTCCCTACTGCCCTACACACAGAAGACCCTGTGTAAGTCTGAAAGGAAGGGAGAGATAAGGGAGGGGACAATGCTCTTCCTCTGGATTTGATCCAGGGATCTAGTACCAAGTGGGGCTGATGGGAAGGAGAATGACTTGGATTCCATCAATCCTTGGATAAGGGCCAGAACTACTGTTATAAAACTCAATAATTAAATGAGCAAAGCCACCTGGAAAATTCATCTAAGATTACAGAATGTTATAGTGAAATGTCATGCTTTCTGTGTACTAAGACCACAAAAGCTTTCCTGTGGAGACGCTGGCATTATTGAGTGCTAAACCAAAGCGGAATTTATAAACTGCAGCCTTGATCCTGTACATTCTCTTGGGAGAAATAAGCCTTTGTGAACACATTCTCTTTCTGATTTGAAAAGGATTCAGTTGCTGTGGACCAGTTCTCAGGAAGCAGGATCGGAGGATGTGCAATGGGATAGACTCGATTACATGCAAAGGCCAGGGGGTCACACTGGGAATACAAACCACTGACTGGGAAAACCCAGCCCCAGTGCTACCACTGCTGTTAGCGACTGCAGTGTTTCCCAGAAGACCTGTTTATAAGGCTTGAATGACTTTGGAAGTTCTACTCTGGAGTGATGATGCAGTGGTTAAAGCTGACAGGAATCCTGGGGGACCCTTGAGTTTGCAGCTGTTATCACTAGACTGCAGTGCCCAGGATGGCACAGAGTGTTTGTTTTTGTTCACCACCATATTCCCAGCACCTAGCGTGGCACATGGCACACAAGAAAAGCACCGAGTACATTTTTATTAAAAGATAGAATGAATAAATAATCAGCCAGAAACAATTCTTCACAAAATCATTTTCTCTAGACACCTGGGTTAGCAGAAAATTCTTGCTGGCTGGATGAAGCAAAGGGATGCAAAATAAATATATAATAGATAATTTGGCAAATGTTTGGTCTTTGATTGCTATGATTGGAGAAGGAGTGATTAGTGAATAATGGCAGGGCCAAGGTAAAGACAGCTACCCGAATATGAGATGAATGAACTTCAAACTAGATGAATCCGAGCACATAATCTTCTCCAGCTAGACAGTTGTGAATACAATTAAGGAACTCCCAAAAGAAACACATATAGGATTATGGCTGTCACCATCATCTGCATTTTAGCCAAATTTGATATTTAGCTTCATGCATAAACAAGCATTTTATTACCCATACAGGAGATTAGGTCTTTGCAGTAGACAGGCAGGGTCTCTCTATGAAGACATCAAGCCCTCATGTCACACCTTTGGAAAAAAAATACATTAGTAGCTCCCCTAGGAGGAAAAAGCCAAAGTGCACCCAGGAAGCAGCATTAACTCTTTCAGGCTGAAAGAACATTCACTGAATTGAGGCTAGACACTTGGAGAAGGCATTGGCATAAATCAATAAATGAATGCTCCCAACCCTTCAGAGCTTCAGGCTATTTAAAACCAAGGGTCTTTAGGCTCCTACCAGTTTTCACACCCTCTAAATCTGAAACCACATATTTCCTAGGTGATCCCTTAAAGAGTTCAGAGCAAAATACACGTTTCTTTACTGATAGTAAGAAATCTGTTCTAATGAGAAAAAAAAAAACAAACTTTTTTCTCCCATTAAACTCCACCCTTGCAGCAGTGTTTGCATAGTGCTTACGCGGGAGGTTTGCTAACATCAGGCTTTGACAGCTGTCTTCACCCAAACAGCCCTACATTAGCCAGCAGCTGCATCCTAAATGACAAAAATCCAGAGCAGCTGTCAGCCCATTCTCCTTTCATTAACTTCTCTTTCTGTTCCTTGACATGAGCCCATCTCGTCTTGCTACAAATTCTCCTCTCCCCCTGTTCCCAAACCCTGCTCTGTCAGTCTTGCCCCTCAGATTGTTCCCGGCCTGCCCCAATCCAACCCTCACTGATTGCTTCCCAGTCGCCTCCCTGTACCCCTCTCCTTACTACTCTGGCTTCAGATGGTTTCTTCTCCTCAGCCCCAGAGGCTGTGTTCCACTCCTCCTTCAGCTTTCAGCACCATCGTCCTGGATGCTCACAATCACTTAGTAACGTTTGTCTCCTACTTGGCCTCCTGACCATCAGAAGGGTCTTTTTTGGCTGCTGTGCTCCTCCCTCCTCAGGGTGAGGTGGGGGGTTACTCGGTGAACTGAAATACTATGAAGATTCCAGTGACATTCCAACTGAATTGGAATTCAATTCAGTGAAAATTCCCACTCCCGGAATAAATGCCACCCTAATGCAAATTCTAATCTGTTTTTCTGAGAACCACTGTAGTTAGAGCTTCGTTAGTTATAACCCCGCACCAGGGAGCAATCATTTTTAAAGGTTTATGCCAGAGTAGCAAAGCTGTCAACATATAATGGATGTGAAAAACACACAGGACACCACCTATACAACAAAGCAAAACAAACGACAAAAACGCATGGAGATTATGCTTCATTTCTATGAGTCCATTAACATGGCAATAAAGGAGATAATTAACATGAAGAGCTTAGTTTAGTATAAAGCCTGAACATAGAAAGCATTCAATATTACCTGTTGTTGCTAGTATTATGATTTTTTAATTATTTCAAGACTATAGGAATGATATGATAAGACAACGCCCTCTACAAGGACTACAGACTGGAAGAAGGGAAATAGAGATACACACTGACCTGGAGAAAAAAGATAGCAAAAGATTAAAAAGTCTTGGCAAAACTGTTTTAGGCATCAGTAGAGGTATGCTGGGACTGGCTAGGGAGAGGGCACTCTGAGCGGGGATAACTTTTCTGCAGTGTTGGCTCATTGTATCGATTTGCTAGGACTGCAGTAACAAAGTACCACGAACTCAGTGGCTTAACCAACAGAAATGTATTGCCTCACAGTTCTCAAGGATACTACTCTGAAACCAAGGTGTTGGCAGCGTTAGCTCAAACCTTCTCAGAGCTGTGGGAGAAGGATCTTTCTCAGCCTCTCTCTTTGGATTGTAGATGTCCATCTTCTCCCTGTGTCTCTCCATGTTACCTTCCCTCTGTTGGTCTGTACCCAATTTCCCCCTTTGGATAGGGACACCAGTCATATTGACTTAGGGGCCCACCTATTCCAGTGTTACCTCATCTTAACTTATTGCATCTGCAACGACCCTGTTTCTAAATAACATCATATTCTGAAGTGCTGAAAGTTCAGATTAAAACATATAACTTTTAGGGGAACACAATTCAAGCTATAACAGTTGGTGAGATTTAACAAGATGCTTAAAAACAGACGTAGCCTCAATTCCAAGTTCAATTCCAAGTTCAAGGCACAAAAATGTGCGGAATAGTAATTCTAATATGTTTTTTAAACTGAGCAATACTAACTTATCCTAAATAGCCAGTAATAAACATATAATTATATCAATCTTGGTACACTCATTACAGTGAAATCTTGCATAACCCTCGAAAGCAATGTGTCTAAATCTATAATGAAACTCAAAATGTTCATAATATATTGTCAACTTAAAGAAGCAGATATATTTATCTCAGATTATATGAAGTAATTGTGATAATTTGTATATAAATTGGTCAATATATTAACTGTATTATTCCTGAGAAATGGAATTATAAAAATTATGAGTTGGATTTTTATTTTTTTTTTGAGATGGAGTCTTACTCTGTCACCCAGTGTAGAGTGCAATGGTGCAATCTCGGCCCATTGCAACCTCCGCCTCCCAGATTCAAGCGATTCTCCTGCCTCAGCCTCCCAAGTAGCTGGGATTACAGACACCTGCCACCATGCCGGGCTAATATTTTGTATCTTTAGTAGAGATGAGGTTTCACCATGTTGGCCGGGCTGGTCTCAAACCCCTGACCTCGGGATCTGCCCGCCTCGGCCTGCCAAAGTTCTGGGATTACAGGCATGAGCCACTGCGCCCAGCCAGATTTCTTAATAATACCTATTTCTGTCTTTTCCAAGTGTTGTATGTTTGTTACACGTAAATTGTTTATTAGAGAGATGTTTTAAAATATAAAGCTAATTTTATTTTAAAAAATCTTTTTTAAAAAACATTGCATCATGAAACCATTCCTGGTTCCAGTCTCACTCAGGTTTCTTCTTAGGAATATGTTTCTACCTTAAGAAATTCTATAAAGAAGAGGCTTGTTTTGATAAATATCAGTTTATTTGCTGATATTTTAGACCAAAAAATGACAAATGCACTGAGTGTTACTTGTTTCATTGCATAGAAGTCACATTGCTGCTGTAATTATAATGCTACAATCTTTTCTGATAATAACAGAACTGCTAATTGATCTATTTATTCAAGATCCTTTTGCTGCTTGCACTTTGTCAGTGCCAGGCCAACGCCAGACTCTTCAGGGTACAGAAATAACCGATCACTATCACCAAGTGTTAACAGCATGAAAGGTGATGGGAAAAATATATTTGATGAAAACTTAAATGTGAATTCCCTTTTGGTGAAGACTTGTCCACATAGATTTTGGTCTGCCTTATCATGGCCAGCTATTTTTCTTTTATTGATGAAACCTGTCTACTGTGTGTTTAGGTTTCCATCTATGATACGCTAGAAGTGTGTTAAGGCCTGGCTATAAATTATTGGCATTTCCACTCTGCTTTAGTTTGACAACTTGAGCAGAATAAATAGTTAAAATGATCCATTGGTTTTCTGTAGACAAAGGAAATAATTTCATACAGACTGAAGGTAATGGTGATATTGAGAAAAATTATCTTTTTTGGTGACTGTTCTACTGGGATAGATGGGTAACGTTCGAGCCTTAATAGACCTCATGTAATTTCTCTCTACAGTCTGCCCAGATGAAGACGATATCACAAACAGATGAACTATGAGTCAACACAAGACTCGTTTTCCTGCAGAACACGAGATGGTTGTGTCTCAAAAGTGCAGAATAGGGATGTCTCCTTTAGGTAAGAACATTTTTTTTCTGGTGATTAATGCCACATCATTCAGAAAAACACATTAAAGTTCCCTCTAAAAATGAACCAAATATTTTTAACAAACTATGAACTTCTTCATCTCATTTGGCTATCCCTGGAAAGGCAAGAAAACACATCTCTTGTAGGTGATTTTATCACTGCATATTCCCTTTGGTTTTCAAACCATGTGAAGAGTTTATCATTCTCTGGAATAACTTGAGTAGAGTCAGAATTAATTATCTAAGTGCATGAGGTATTACTAACAGGATAACCAGTTCCTGGGTCTTTGCCTACACAGCCTCCCAAGGTGAACATAAGCAGTACAAACTTACTTGGTGAAGTAAAGCAGTGGTTCTCAACTGGTGTTGATTTTGTCCCCCAGCAGACACTTGGCAATGTCTGGAGACATTTTTAATTGTCATACTGTGGGGGCTACTACTGGCACCTAGTGGACAGAAACCAAGGAAGCAGCTAAACATCTTAGAATGCACAAGGGAGCCCCACGCAAGAAAGAACTAACCTGCAAAAATATCAATAGTGCTGTGGTTGAGAAACCCTAATCTAGTTATTTTACTCACATGATAGCTGTAATTTTTCCCCATTGTCAAATATAACACTAACTCATTGAACACCTGGAGAGGTGAATGAATCTTCAGTGGTTTACCTGAAGAGAATCATGAGTCTCATTCACAGGAATTACAAAAATAGGCTCTACTCCAGCAATTCTCAATCATGATGTAATGACACAGCATAGTGACCCACTTTGGGTCACATTCAGTTTTGAGTTAATAAGTGTTAAAGGATCAGGGTAAAAAAAAAAAATGAATGACTTTCTAAATATAAAGTAGTGAAAAGTCAAGGTTTATAATGTCTCTCACAGTCACTTGCAATATGCTTTCTTGGTGGTGGAGGTATCATTTAGCTATGATACGTATAACCACGTATGCTGCCAGCCATGGCTATAGGTGAGCATGATCACAGTAATAGCCCCACAGGCCAAGAACATACTGTGAGCTGCTAGTCTACAGCATATAGGGCAACATATAGAAAACTCATTTATTCTTCTTTTTTTTCAATTCAGATACTTGTGATGGCTGTCAACTGCCTTTAGAAATTCCTTGCTTTAACAATTTATGTTGCCAAAACAATTAGGGTTCCCAACACCAGCAGGCTTTAGAGATGTTTTTTGAATGTTAATCCTTCTTGGGGGTTTTCTGTTTATGCCAGATTAGATAACATGGTAAACTGATTTGAAAAGAATAAATCCGAAACTCATTTGCATTAATGTTTTCTACTTCCTAGGAATGTTTCCCTGGTTAATTGTTAGCCCGTGGTAAGCAAGTTATCAATTAATTGCTGGAAAATGCAGTATGTATATTACTTTGGTCTTTAATTGACTACAAGTTTTCTTGCTCATTAAATGTTAATTTAATTGTTTAAATAAACAAGACCATTAGGACACTAGTCAATTCGTTGAAAAAATGTTTAATGAAATATAAATTTCACTTATAATTATGAATCAATTTTTCTATAATGAACAGGCCTAAGAGTTGGACTTCTTTTTAATTACGGAAGTCGAATAGTCTGTCTCCAAGAAGGCAATATACCTAAAACAGAATGCTGCAGTTTAGATGGTGTGGTTTGTCCCAGTCAAAACTCATGTTGAAATGTAATTGCCAATGTAAAATTACAAGGAAAGAAAAAGGGGGTTTCAGAAGTAGCAATAACTTGCGACACACAGCAAAGTGGTTCATTTTGGAAATATTTTCTGAAATCTGTGTTGGAGAAATAGAATTTGAGTCACTCTCAGATTTTGTAACACAATAGAAGTGTATAAAAGATGAATAACAATAATAATATATGATTAACACATGTTAAGTATGGACAGAGGAATTGGGAGCTTACAGGAAGGAGTAACCAACATCTTCCTAAACTGAGGATGAAACTTTTAACAAAGCTAATGGCATTACAATAAAAAAGAATTTTAAGTAACCAAATATTCTTAGAAAATTAGAAAGAACACCATACTATCATAAAAGTAAATCTAACAAAAAAGTTCAAGACCTACAAGAAAGAATACATAAACCTTTATTGAATACATGAAAAATGACAAAATATTGGACAGGAATACTTGAAGACTCAGAAGTATAAAGAAGTCAATAACCCCCAAAGGTATGTATTTCCCATATCAATACAATTCCCATAAACATACCACTGTGTATTTTTGTAACTTAAGAGGGTTACTCTAAATTTTATCTGGGAAAATAAGTGCATAAAAATAATCAGTACCATTGTAGGAAAGGAAAATTACAAGGGGCACTTTAATATCAAGTGTCAAAGTCATGTTATAAAGGCATGGTAATACGAATAGCCTACAGACCATAATCTGTAGATACTAGCAAAGCAATATCTACAGACTAGTGGGACAAATGGGAAGTTTCTTAACATGCCAAATGTACAAATAGATTTTGTCAAATGATAAGTACAGGAAAGGAAGACTTCTTCAAAATATGACATTGAGACTGCTGGCTTTATTATGAGGGGGAGTTACATTTATATTTTACATTACATAAAAACTAAAACATAAAAATATGAACATGAGGTAATGTTTAATCAAAACACTATAAACACAAGAATAGTAGGAGGAGATACACAAGGAGTAAATCCAGAGAATAGACTCCAGAAAAATAATAAAACTACGATAATAAAAACACAATAAATAACAGGCAAATGATAAACTGAGAAAAACAAATGCAAAGGCATATGTACACTAACAATTGATAGCCTCATTTTATAAAGCATCATTTCTTAAACATCTTGGTCTCAGAATTCTTTAAATTATTATTATTGAGAGCTCCCCTACAGGACTTTTGCTCATGTGGATTAAATATTTACTATTTCATAATTGAATACCCTTTATTTCTTTCTCCTGCCTGATTGCCCTGGCCAGAACTTCCAACACTATGTTGAATAGGAGTGGTGAGAGAGGGTATCCCTGTCTTGTGCCAGTTTTCAAAGGGAATTCTTCCAGTTTTTGCCCATTCAGTATGATATTGTCTGTGGGTTTGTCATACATAGCTCTTATTATTTTGAGATACGTCCCATCAATATCTAATTTATTGAGAGTTTTTAGCATGAAGGGCTGTTGAATTTTGTCAGAAGCCTTTCCTGCATCTATTGAGATAATCATGTGGTTTTTGTCTTTGGTTCTGTTTATATGTTGGATTACGTTTATTGATGTGCGTATGTTGATGAGGCAGGAGAAAGAAATAAAGGGTATTCAATTAGGAAAAGAGGAAGTCAAATTGTTCCTGTTTGCAGAAGACATGATTGTATATCTAGAAAACCCCATCGTCTCAGCCCAAAATCTCCTTAAGCTGATAAGCAACTTCAGCAAAGTCTCAGGATACAAAATCAATGTGCAAAAATCACAAGCATTCTTATACACCAGTAACAGACAAACAGAGAGCCAAATCATGAGTGAACTCCCATTCACAATTGCTTCAAAGAGAATAAAATACCTAGGAATCCGGCTTACAAGGGATGTGAAGGATCTCTTCAAGGAGAACTACAAACCACTGCTCAATGAAATAAAAGAAGACATAAACAAATGGAAGAACATTCCACGCTCATGGATAGGAAGAATCCATATGGTGAAAATGGCTATACTGCCCAAGGTCATTTACAGGTTCAATGCCATCCCCATCAAGCTACCAATGACTTTCTTCACAGAATTGGAAAAAAGTACTTTAAAGTTCACATGGAACCAAAAAAGAGCCCGCATTGCCAAGTCAATCCTAAGCCAAAAGAACAAAGCTGGAGGCATCACGCTACCTGACTTCAAACTATACTACAAGGCTACAGTAACCAAAACAGCATGGTACTCGTACCAAAACAGAGAGATAGACCAATGGAACAGAACAGAGACCTCAGAAATAATACCACACATCTACAACCATATGATCTTTGACAAACCTGACAAAAACAAGAAATGGGGAAAGGATTCCCTATTTAAATGGTGCTGGGAAAACTGGCTAGCCATAGGTAGAAAGCTGAAACTGGATCCCTTCCTTACACCTTATACAAAAATTAATTCAAGATGGATTAAAGACTTAAACATTAGACCTAAAACCATAAAAACCCTAGAAGAAAACCTAGGCAATACCATTCAGGACATAGGCATGGGCAAGGACTTCATGTCTAAAACACCAAAAGCAATGGCAACAAAAGCCAAAATTGACAAATGGGATCTAATTAAACTAAAGACTTCTGCATGGCAAAAGAAACTACCATCAGAGTGAACAGGCAACCTACAGAATGGGAGAAAATGTTTGCAATCTACTCATCTGACAAAGGGCTAATATCCAGAATCTACAATGAACTCAAACAAATTTACAAGAAAAAAAACAAACAACCCCATCAAAAAG
Source organism: Homo sapiens (assembly GCF_000001405.40). NCBI lineage: Eukaryota > Metazoa > Chordata > Mammalia > Primates > Hominidae > Homo > Homo sapiens. Next base: position 5,802,409 of record NC_000003.12, on the reverse strand, counting down.
TAGGCAAATGATATGTACAGACACTCTCAAAAGAAGACATTTATGCAGCCAAAAGACACATGAAAAAATGCTCATCATCACTGGCCATCAGAGAAATGCAAATCAAAACCACAATGAGATACCATCTCACACGACTTAGAATGGTGATCATTAAAAAGTCAGGAAACAACAGCTGCTGGAGAGAATGTGGAGAAATAGGAACACTTTTACACTGTTGGTGGGACTGTAAACTAGTTCAACCATTGTGGAAGACAGTGTGGTGATTCCTCAAGGATCTAGAACTAGAAATACCATTTGCCCCAGCCATCCCATTACTGGGTATATACCCAAAGGATTATAAATCATGCTGCTATAAAGACACATGCACACGTATGTTTATTGCGGCACTACTCACAATAGCAAAGACTTGGAACCAACCCAAATGTCCATCAATGATAGATTGGATTAAGAAAATGTGGCACATATATACCATGGAACACTATGCAGCCATAAAAAATGATGAGTTCATGTCCTTTGTAGGGACATGGATGAAGCTGGAAACCATCATTCTCAGCAAACTATCGCAAGGATAAAAAACCAAACACCACATGTTCTCACTCATAGATGGGAACTGAACAATGAGAACACATGGACACAGGAAGGGGAACATCACACACCAGGGCCTGTTGTGGGGTAGGGGGAGGGGTAGGGAAAGCATTAGGAGATACACCTAATGTAAATGAGTTAATGGGTGCAGCACACCAACATGGCACATGTACAGATATGTACCAACCTGCACATTGTGCACATGTACCCTAGAACTTAAAGTATAATAAAAAAATAAATAAATATTTACTAATTCAGAAGTTAAACATGAAGATTTTAAAAAGATTTTTAATTTGTATAAAGACAACAAAATCACTAAATATTGACATAAATAACATTTGTGTTAAAATAATTTTTCCAAAGCAAATAATATTAATAATGAGAAGAATGGCATTGTTTTATATTTTTGCTAATCTTTGTAATATCTGGCTTTGTAGAAGACCATTGGATTCTCATATATGCTTCTGCATTCAAACTAATGTGAAATTCCTATCACATGGCCTCTGCAACCATGGTTGGTAAAGATAAGGAAAACGACAAGGAAACTCCAGAGATGCTGTCCTCAGCATCGTTAAAGACTAGAACCAATGCCAGCAAATACCTACCTTCAGACTGGTCATTATTATTTTTTTTTTTTCCCAGAATTCGCTGACACTAGAAAAATCAAATCATCAAATTGTGTAAAAGTCAGTAAAAAAGAAGGAAGGGAGGGAGGGAGAAAAAGAGGAAGGACAAAGGAAGGAAAAAAGAAAGAAGGAAAATGAACCTGTACCATTTTAAGCCACGGTTCCTCAGGTGGTGCAGAAAGCAATCTTAACAGACAGAGCTCCTCATACCTAAGCAGTTCCATCTTTCCATCAACACTCCCAGGCCCTTCTGAAGAAGGTGAAAATAAGGTAAAACCAGGGTTTCAGAATACTTTTGGTACTCTGTGAATCAGATGAGTGGAGACTGGCACTGTCATTATTTTTGCATACAAGGGAAATGAAATCTCTTTGGTGTCACAGACTTAGTACATTGACATTATATAATACTTATAAGAATCATGCAAAAAATAAGTAATAAATAATAATAATATACTTATAAGTATCATGAAAAAATAAATAATAATAACCTGATCTCAGATCCCAGGTCCAAAAATGAGAACCATACTCATCCTGTTTTAAAGCGCTGCTTTAATGTGTCTCAAGGGCCTTGTGATCACAAGTGAAACCATGAAGCTCAAAACAAATAAAATTTTTTTAAAAAAACACACACTTCTGTTTCTGGCAAGTTAAAGAGAATCTGTCCTAGAGCAAGTCTCACTCTACCAAATGGGAATCTCCTCCCAACCTATGTTTTTTGTTTTTTGTTGTTTTTTTTTTTTTTTTTTTTGAGACGGAGTCTCGCTCTGTCACCCAGGCTGGAGTGCAGTGACCCGATCTGGGCTCACTGCAAGCTCCACCTCTCGGGTTCACGCCATTCTCCTGCCTCAGCTTCCCGAGTAGCTGGGACTACAGGCGCCCGCCACCGCGCCTGGCTAATTTTTGGTATTTTTAGTAGAGACGGGGTTTCACCGTGTTAGCCAGGATGGTCTCGATCTCCTGACTTCGTGATCTGCCCACCTCGGCCTCCCAAAGTGCTGGGATTACAGGTGTGAGCCACTGCGCCCCGCCCAACCTATGCTTTTAGAAAGGGCTCTGATGTTTGCTACGCAAGGGAAGTATGTATTTACTCGTGTGGTAATCAGCTAACATAACCCTGAGACCAGTTCAAATAAAATGCAATAAGAGGATTACTCCAAGCAGGAATTATGGGCTTTGGAAATTTTATCATCATGCATGACAAAGGCCATAATTTCTTACTATTTAAATAAAAGCAATTATTCGGGCTCCTTTAGAGATGAGTGATCTACCAATCATTTAGTTTCGGTAACAGGAAAGATTTAATCTTTGATGACAAACATCAGATTGAATACTTCCTAATTTTAGAACAATACTATAGAAGCAATATTGTTGTATATTCCAACCAAATTTATTTGTGGGATTTATCAAAAATAAGATGCATGACTCTTCATTTCCCTCCATTAGATCTGGTAAAAAGCATTAGAGCTAATTCAGTGGCCCAAATTTGGTTCCAGTTCATTAGTCTGCCTACCTCTAAGATAAAACACACTAAATTTTTTATTTTGTAGTGCTAAAGGAAATAATCCCACCACTAGAGGAGCCACAGCATTGAATTATTCATAAGCTTCTTATTTCAAAGACTATTATAGCTCAGGGTGCCTCTGGGACTCAGGTACTTCATTAACAACTTGGATAGGGCTTCTGTACCTCAGCTATAGGAAAAAAAAAAAAAAAGGTGTATTTAAGTAGAGATAATGAGTATTAATGCCAAACCAGGTTTATAGTTTCTGTAAAGGAAAGGAAGTATTTTGGTAACATCAAATGTAAATATTATGATGAACTGTTGTGTAAAACAATATTTCAGGGCCTCTATTCATTTCAATTTTATCACATGTGTTTGGATAAATGTGAAATCTGGAAATGCTTTGAAAGTTGGGCATTTAAGAGGTTCAAAATAAAAATAGAGAGAGTGAGAGAATGAAAAATATTGCTCCATGGGTTATTTGCTGTCGAGAGTAGGATTTCTTAAATCCTCATTTTCAGAACTGCCCTGGAACCAGCAATGTTCTAAGTGAAAGTCATCCATAAGAAAAGTTAGTTTTACAAAAAGACATGTACTTTTGTGTTGACATCATTGTATTCATATTTTCTCTGCCTTTGGCACATTCTTCCCTGCTTGGAGGTAATATTGCAGTGAGAGTGTTTACATTACGTCACTGGCCATAGGTGAGTCACTCATTGTAAATTGATGTACGCCACTGAAAAATTTCTATTAACAGTCATTTTGGTTTAGTTGCTGGGTTTTCAGAGCTGGGTACAATCAAGGAACCCTTGTTTGTAGTTGGAGCATTGCTCAGTTCTGGTTAACTGAATATGCTTAGGATCTGATTATTCTCAACATCAAGTATGTATGATACGCATTGATAAGAGTATAGACTACACTGAGCTCTCTCTTGCTATGAAGTGACATTGCCCATGCTCAACATGTACATGATATGTAATTGTTTGCCCTGTTCTACATAGTAGTTTCTATACATGCAATGCCCAAAACACAGTATTGGTCTCTAAAAAGAGCAGAAATATATATTCGCATTTATTCTGGACAGTTTAGGCAAAGTACATAGGTATAAATTTTACATTCACATGAAATAATCTTTCCTGTTCAGTCATAGGATCAGGAGAGTGAGTCTGACACCTGTGTAGAGTGGATGACCTCACCCTAATTTACCTTAAAGTAGAAACATCTCTTTTAATATTCACCTGTGAGGTAAGTATAAGAGGGCAGAAATGGAAATGTGTGATCTTCTGTGACATACACCCCCCCAAAAAAACTTCAGTCCCCCAAAATTTGCATTTTCATGTAAATTACCATATTGGTGACATTATAGCAATGACAATAATGAGAATTAACTTTTACTGAGCACTTTACAGGCCAAACACTATCTTCTATCTCATTTAATCTTCATAACAATCTATGAGATAGATATGACTACTATCCCCCATTTTGTTGACAAGGAAACCAAGCTTCAAAGAGAGAAAATTAGTCTAAGGTGACATGGCCTAAAAGGCCGGACCCAGCTTTGAACCCAGGTAGTCCAGCTCCAGAGGTCTTGTTTTAACCCCTATGTTAACTTTCAAGGTGGTCCCCCAATCATCTGCACCTCTGATACTCACACTCTTCTATGATCCCCCTCCACACAAGTCAAAGCCAGCCTGATGTACCTGTTGGATACGGTGGAAGAGATGCTGAGTGACTTCCAAGACTAGATTATAAAAGGCCTTGCCACTTCCACCTGGGTCTCCAGAATATTTATCCTTGGAGATGTGAACCACCGCATCCAACTACCTCAAAGCCACCTTGGAGAGGGACAAGATGGAGAAATAGAGAGAAGGCCTGAAACTACATGGAGAGAAATGCCTCTAGCAATTTAAGTCATCCAATCTGAGCAGAGACAAGTCACTCGCTGTGAGGCCCATCCAAATTGCAGATTTATTGGCAAGCTAATTGACTGTTGTTTGTATTAAGCCACTAAGTTTTGACATAATTTGTTACAAAGCAATAAATAACTAGAACCACCACTGCAAAATACAGGCTCTTCCCACCCTCCCAGGATGTCTCTCTTTCTTCCTAGTCCTCAAACTATGAAGGTCTTCAAAACCTGTCTGTCCCACCCCAACTCACACATTCACAAATGTACACACCCAACTGAGTGGAAGTGAAACCTGATGAAGCACCAAGCTTACCTGTAGTCATAAATGTGGTAACAGTAAGAAAAGAAAAGGAAACTAGTATTTCAAATTAAATATTTATGCATACATGAAACATTTTCCTACTTCTTAAAGGATGTGTGCTCTCAATAATTTGTTGGCTGATTTCTATATGCCCAATCAAAATTTTCTTAAAAAATAGTTTTTAATTTTCAGCAAAAACATCCTAGTTTCTGTTAAAAGTACAAAAGTATTTTAAAAACCCTCAATGGTTTTATGTTCACATTAAAATATATTCGGATATGTTAAAAACCAACTTGCTTATACCATCAGTAATCTACTCAGGTGATTTGATTAAATATATAAAAGACTTTCTTCATCTAGGTAGATTTCTAATATTGTAAACTCAAACTGATGGGTGAAATGGAACAGAAATCACATTAATGCCACAAACATCCTACTTATAAAATGAGACAAACTGAAATAAAATTTTAATCAGGACTTCTGAGAGTCATTAGCCTGGAGGGAAAAGCAATCTTTGCTCATATAAACCATGAGTCCTGAACTTGTTTCATACTGCACTTTAAATTGTCAGACCTCTGAGTATTTTCTACTTTGCACTCAATTCAGTGGAAGCTTGCTGACGCCTTCAGCAATAGCTTTGGTGCTTTACTTTTTGTTGTTCTTGACAGAGAGCTTGGTTGTTCAGTCACAAAACTTTATTCCTTGTGACTCCGAGTGGCTCTCATTCTCCAGTGCTGCAGAGTGTGAGAGGGAATTTGCCCTCCAGTGTTTTGCCTTCATAAATGACTCCTGCTTAAAGCTAGTTAGTCCCCTGACCATGTCACTGATACCTTCACATGTAGAACAAGTAGAAAATGGAAAAGCTGCTTGTGAGCAACTTGATTCACAAAGCCCCTGGGGGACCTCTAGGCTTCAAAGACCCACTTGTGACCTTGAAGGGTTTTAATTCCTACCAATAGACAGAATATGTGACGGTGTTTTTCTGAACCTGCAATGTAACCACTGGGAAAAGAAAGAAAGAAAGAAAGGAAAGAAAGAGAAAGAAAGGAAGGTAGGTAGGTAGGTAGGTAGGTAGATAGGAAGGAAGGAAGGAATGAAGGAATGAAGGAAGGAAGGAAATCAGCGTTTATCCCTAAAATTTAAACTGAGACTAACAAAACTTTCACATACATAATTGGCAGGGCTCAAAAGTCCTAGTTTTTCAGAATAGGGACTTCACATATTTGCTCCTATGGAACTCATATCTACTAATATCTTTTTACCAGTCTAATTATATATGCCAAGTTTTGTTCCAGAAAATGCAGCCACATGCATATATAATATGCAAATGTAACATGACATTTTAATTATAAAAATGACAGAGGTTTTTAGTAATTCCTAAACAAAGCATATAAGCATTAAGTAATAAATACCATCACTGCAAATATATGTATCTAGTTACTACATGAATTTTCTATATACGTATATATTACACATTTTAACGAAACTTTATTACATTTTTTATCAACTCTGAAAAAGTGCTCACAAACCTGCTGAGAGCTTTGAATTTTTAGGAGATCTAAGCATGTAACCGCAGAAGTACAGCCTAAGCAAGGCCAGACAGCCTTGCAAAACATGATGACAATGAGACTCAGTGAGGGTCTACATCAGCATCTAGGCCAACAAGATCCCTACATAATGCCCAAGCCTTCTGATAAAGTGGCTTCACTTCACAACTACGATCTCTTCTCTCAAGTAGAAATTATTTCCTTTTTTTTTTTTTTGGCTTAACAAAAGCTAATAAGAGGGAATATAAGTAGGGTGGTGCAGGGTTTAAAACTATAAAATTGTACCACATCATCCAAAATCCTTGTAACAAAGGTATCGAGGCCTGAGAAAGGTGAGAACTCCTGAAGCTAATCCTCTCTGTCTGAGACATAAATGGGGCTCCAGTTCTACCTGGTAGTGTTTCTTCAATATCTGCTACTTTCTCCCACAACCCAAGGCCCAGGGACCAATTGGAAAACAGGAGGAAAAAGCAAGACTATAATTTTGGTATCTCCGTTGTTGGCTCAGTGACCAAATTCAGAGTAAAAAGTTTAAAATTTTATACTCCTGTTTATAGCGGACCCAAGCATGAATATATTCATAATTCTGAACAAGTGCAACACTCTGGTAGCAAAAGAACATCAATCATTTCATAAAATGCTGTTCATTTCCATGTTTATCCAACGGGGAAACAGTGAAGTATAAGATGGTCTATGATCTCAACTTTGTTAAGTAAAAATAAAACTTCTTTAAGGTAAGAAAATTACATGATGGCTAAATGAGAACACATAATTATTGACATCTTCTGAATAGGAGAGAACACAGAAGACCCATTGTTTCCCACAGGTCCTTTTCTATTTCTACCCAATATTCTCCAAAGATTCAAAATTCTTTTTTTTTTTTTTTTGACAGAGTCTCACTCTGTGGCCCAGGCTGGAGTGCAGTGGCATGATCTTGGCTCATTGCAACCTCCACCTCCCAGGTTCAAGCAATTAGTGTGCCTTAGCCTCCTGGCATAGCTGGGATTACAGGTATGCGCCACCACACCTGGCTAATTTTTGTAATTTTAGTAGAGATGGGGTTTCACCATGTTGGCCAGGCTGGTCTCAAACTCCTGGCCTCAAGCAATCCTCCTGCTTTGGCCTCCCAAAGTGCTGGGATTACAGGCATGAGCCACCACCACACCCAGCCTAAAATTCTTATTGTAACATCACCTTCATTCCTACACCAAATTTACAAAGAAAGGCTGAAACTTCCCAATCAGCTGTAGGACTGTTGCCCTTTCTCTCCACTGTCACATTCACTCAGATATTTAACAAATAGAGCATTTAACAAATGTCTTCTATGCATGAGACACTGGGCAAGAAATGTAAGACAATTATCTCGCCCTTTAAAGAAAGATTTTATAAAATGACAACTATGTGTCATATTAGACAAACAAAAAGAATGATCGCAGAGCGGGCAAGGTAAAAGTACAGGTGTGTTTTTCCCCAAAAGATGTATTCCTGAACTTTCCTTTAAATTCAAATATTTCCATCACTTTGATACACAGTCACAAAACAAAACTTATCAGCTTCCCATGTTCACATAAAACCTTTGAATTTAATTGCTTAGTACTCTGCAGAATCCTTATGTTCTTTTGGCAATAGGGTTTGATTTCTCCCAAGCCATTCACCTATCCAATCACAGGCTCCTCCTGACAAAGGATAACTAATATGAGCCATTATGCTTTCTTGCAAGAAGGCCAAGGTCCAGAACAGCAACTTAGGCTGCCAGAGTATTACACAGTTAGTGAGTATCTCAGCCAAGCCTCAAATGACTATCTATCTGTAGATTCCATCTTCAATGATACTTTGACCATGATACATGCCTCCTTGGTCATGTACATTTAAGGCTTTATGATATGTATTGCAATTCAAAAAGATCAATTCCGCCTCACCACAGCCATCTGACCCTACCTATGAATCTACTGACACCCCCAGTTAAAACTGCTTTGATCAGGTCCCCACCCTGCAGCCAGGGTGAGTTTTTCAAAAGGTAACCAGTCTTGCCACTGTGGAACCTGATGATTCCTCGAAAAGCTCAACATGGCTGGGTGTGGTGGCTCACGCTTGTAATCCCAGCACTTTGGGAGGCCAAGGCAGGCGGATCACGAGGTCAGGAGTTTGAGACCAGCCTTATCAACATGGTGAAACCCTGTCTCTACTAAAAAAAAATACAAAAATTAGCTGGGCGTGGTGGCACGCACCGGTAATCCCAGCTATTCAGGAGGCTGAGGCAGGGGAATCGCTTGAACCCGGGAGGTGGAGGTTGCAGTTAGCCAAGATCGTGACACTGCACTCCAGCCTGGGTGACAGAGCAAGACTCCATCTCAAAAAAAAAAAAAAAAAAAAAAAAAAAGGCTCAATACAGAGCTGATTTGATCATTACACACTGTATATTTCTATCAAAATATAACATGTGCCCCATAAATATATACAACTATTATGTATCCAAAATAATTTAAAATAAAAAATAAATTTATAACACCAAATGTCAACATAGAATTGCCAAATAACCCAGTAATTCCATGCTTAGGTTTGTACCAAAAAGAATTGAAAGCAGAAACTCAAATAGATACTTACATACCAATATTCTTTGTAGCTTTATTAGCAATACTCAGGAGGTGGAAAGAACTCAAGTATCTATCAATGGATGAATTAATATGCAAAATATATTATATATGTACAATTAAATTTTACTCTTCTGTCATAAAAAGAAATAAAATTCTGACATATGCTACAATATGGATAAACCTTGAAAACACTGTGCTAAGTGAAATAAGCTAGACACAAAAGCACAAATATATGTGTCCAATTTTATGAAATATATCTGACATAAGCAAATTCAGAGAGACAGAAAATAGATTAGAGTTTACCAGGGTCTGGGAAGAGTAGGGGATAGGGATTTACCACTTTATGGGTAGAAATTTTTTGTTTGGGATGATAAAAAAATTTCTAGAAATAGTGTACATAAAATGGTAACTTTTATGTTACATACATTGTACTACAATTTTTAAAAATAAAATGCCAAAAAAAAAAAAAAACAAGTCTAAGTGACTGGTCTGATTAAGCTCTTTCCATTGAAGTAATTAGAATGAAGACCACAATGGCAGCATGGCCTAAGTGTTTTGCACAGTGTGGCCCTCACTGAGTGCTGTGCCTCCTTCTACTCTCCATTCTTTCTACTCTGGCTTTCTCTCAGTCCCTTAGAAGCATTATGTTTCTTCTCTTCGCAGGGCCCTTGTACATGCTATGTCCTCTGCCTGCATCATTCTTCTGTGTTATCTTCTCCTAGTTAACACCTATTTATTCACCCTTCAAATTTCAGCTCAATCCTCACTTTTTTTTTTTTTTTTTTTTTAGGGAAGAGTTCCTAATCCAACTGACAATTCAAATCCTCTTATTCTACTCTCAATTTCTTTTTTAAAAAAACAATGTCCTTTTTAGCACTTAATATACTGTATTTTAGATTTTTATTTATATGGTTTTTAGTAGCAGGCTTTCAAGATGGTGCCCAATGATCCTTGCCTCCTTGGAGTGGCCCCCTTATGTACTCCCTTCCTACTTTGTTCCAGGATTGATTTGTGTGATAGAACATGGTAGAAATTTGATATGTCCCTTCTGAGATTCGGTTTTAAAAGTCTGCCAGTTTATTCTTGACCTCTGTCTCTCATCACTTTCTCTGAGGGAAGGTATATCGTGAGCAACCATGGAGAGACACACATGGTGAGGGACTTAAGCTTCCTGCCAGCCACCACATGCGTGAGCTTGGAAGTGCATAATCTAATCCTAGTCAAGTTTTCAGAAACTGCAGCCCTGGCCTACAGCTTGATTACATTCTCAAAATAATCTCTGAATCAAAACCACTCAGCTAAGCTATGCCCAGTTTCGTGACCCTCAGAAACTGAATGATAATAGATGTTCGTTGTTTTAAGCTGGTAAGTTTGGGCATAATTTTTATATACCAATAAATAACTAATATGTGATTATTTAATATTCTCCCATCGAGTTCAAAGAAGGTAGAAACTGATCCTTATTATGTTCACCAGTCATATACCCAATGCCTACTGCAGTGTCTGACATATGGTAGACACTCAGTAGATATTTGTTTAAAGAATGAAAAATAATGAATGGATGACTCAACCCAAATGACCTACTGGAAAGGATGAGTAAATCTTTCCTCATTGCATGCCTAACTTTGCATTGAATGGAGAGGTCAGTTGGCAGCAAGCTCTGTTAACATAACCTCAAGTGTAAACTACACTTTATCCACAAGCACCTCAGGGAAGAAAAATCAGTACTCATATTTTCAGTTAATAGATCATGCAATTTGACAACAGAAAAATAATAAATTTCAATGTTTTTACATGGAAAAGAGAATGAGAAAGAGGAATTTTTGCACCCAACACAGAGCCATTCCTATATAAAAACTGAAGTTCCTGCCAGCCATCAGAAGGCTGAAACAAATGAAAAGCACAAGGTGAAAGTGAGGGAGAAATTTATTTGGAAGAAATATACTTCCTGTCCATCACTGTGACTGACAGATTTCTCATGAAAATAGCTCAAATCCAACTGATGCATTTTTACTCTCTTACTGCACAGATAATTTTAAATGATTTCCCAGGTCCAGGAATGATAGTTTAATGGACCACAAAGAAAAAAAAAATGTGGTAAGATTTAATAAAATAAAACCCAGAAAGCAAAGACTTTAGCATGAACTTGACATTGAGCCATTAGAAAAAGATGCCAAAGTTAGACACTGAAACATGATCACTTACTTTCCCTTGAAGAATGGTGTTTCTAGTTCAACAACGAAAGTCACAAACACTTAAACCACCTTTTCATCCAAGCAAGCAATAGATCTCTCCTGGCCTCTTCCATTGGACCAACTAACTCCCAGAACAGGTCTCAAACCAATGGAGAGGGAGAGCATACAATATGTGGATGAAGAAAGCACAGAAAGGCATAAAACTTGAAGTTAGGAACATCTGAGCAAAATCACTGAGAGATGATGAATGTAGTGTTGGGACAGCAAGCTCGAACATATCCAAAGATTGTCAAATGGTAGAATGACTAGTACTTACGGGCAATGGTTGTGCTTTCCCTGCACAGACACTGATTTGACACTCAGATTTTCATAGACTAAAATTTTTGCTGTGCAGAGGCCCAAAGACTGGCAGCCAGATATATATGTTCCTCTCTGCCCCAAGTTGCTATATTCCCATTGCATGTCAATAGGAAAAATCAAGATGGGACAAGATTTGAAGCATAGAACGTAAGAGAAAGGGTCTTACATCTTATTTACTTTTGCATCCACATTTTTAGAGGAAAAACACTGAGACACCCATTGCCAGTTCCCCAATGTTATTTCTCCAGTTCCCATTCTAATGACTGCCTATATCATTTGACTCCTCCTTTCTAATTTGAAGGAAAGTAGAGATAGCTTTTGAAAAGTATAAGAAGTCCAGCTGAAGAATTCAGACACAGACCAGTGCGGAACTGAAAGCATTGACGATTTTTAACAAGGATGTCTCAGCAATGGAGTAGGATTGTTTAGAAAGCAATATGTAAGGTGGGCTAAAGAAATGTTTAAAAAGATGAATAGAGCAGTTAATCCTTGGGGGAAAGGGAAAGTAAGCCACAAAAATTAACTTGGGGCCATTTAAGTTATTGAAAGGATTTTTAGTAGGTCGTAGAGTCCAACAGAATGTCAGAACCAAGCTTTGGAAAGGCTCTGACGCAAGGCAGTTCAGGAAAATCAGGTACACTGGACACTCCCTTCGCAGTCAGCCAGTAGGAAGAATCAAGATCAATTATCTTCTTTCTTTGAGTTACTCTTCAGGGATCAAACTCCGAACAGAGCTTGGTTTGCATGTTTACTCCTTGTCCAGGAGAGGGAGGGCACCCTGACTGACAGTCCTCTCAAAACGTAAAGTGTTTCCCCCTTAACATTAAAAAGGAGATTGGATACTGGGCAGACAAACAAACAGCTGTCCAAATGAGAACCAGCAAAGTAACTCTTTTCTTAACTCACTCCAGAAAGGATAGAAAATTTCTGAGGGTAGAAACCAGGTGCAGGGTTACTGTCCAGCATGATTCCTGCTGTCCAGTCTTGATGCACCTATTGATAGCAAACATCATCCTTAGCATTAGGTGCAAGGAAAGTATTTTATTTTCTCCTAAATCCCCACTTCATATGATTATATTACATTTATATGAACAGTCAAGTAATATGTATCCTGGTCCTCTTGTCTAGTGCTGTCACCTGGGCAGACCCCTGCCAACCATCTCTGTTCCAAGACATTTCACTGTCCTGCTCAGCAGGGACACATAGTTTCTGTGCATTTCACTTGTCATCCCAGTGGCCATGACCAAAAAGAATGATCCTTTCATTTTCTCTTTTATTTTTTAAATTTTCTCCAGGTGATGGGATGGGACACTAGTGAGCATGCGAACCTATCAGGAATGAGCCTGCCCAGCGAATGAGACAGCAGAGGAACTCTGCAGAGATGTTACTTGGCCTTGTTTCCCTTTCATCTTCTGTTTTCTTTAAGAACAAGCTGGTTTGTGTAGTCCCAGCTACTCAGGAGGCTGAGGCAGGAGAATGGCGTGAACCCGGGAGGCGGAGCTGGCGGTGAGCCGAGATCGCGCCACTGCACTCCAGCCTGGGCGACAGAGTGAGACTCCGTCTCAAAAATAAATAAATTAATTAAAAAAAAAAAAAAGAACAAGCTGGTTTGTGGTAGAGACAAGAGAAAATGCTAAAAAACACCTTTCCCCTCATTCATGGAAGAGACATCATCCCTGTATGAGAGAAGGAACAAAGGTCCTCAAACAAAGCCAACATTTATTCCTGTGCATTTATTCCTGTGCATTTATTCCTGTGCATTTATTCCTGTGCATTTATTCCTGTGCATTTATTCCTGTGCATTTATTCCTGTGCATTTATTCCTGTGCATTTATTCCTGTGCATTTATTCCTGTGCATTTATTCCTGTGCATTCCCTGGAAAATGATCTCAAAAGATCAGGGGAAAACAAACTAACGTTTTGTCTCGACTGACTATTGTAAGAAGAGATTTCGTACCAAAGTTTTCTTAGTATCTAAAAAGGTGTGTGTAAAAAAAAATGAATAAATAAATAAATACGCTATTTGTGTGAAAATAGAATAAAGGAAAGAGAACAAGGTTTAGGTAAACCTTCTCTTTTTTTTTTTTTGTTTTTTTTTCTTCCAGAGAAAGAGAGACACCCTGTGGATTTCAGAAGAACCCAACATAGCTCAATTACTTCAATTTTCTAAAAAGAAAAAATATTATTGCTTAAGGAGATTGTAGCAAAATAAAGCACAAAGATAGATAAAGAGGACGTTAAAGTGTCCAGCACTGACAAACAAAAATCTATAGTTTCATGGTTTTGAGTAGAAATTCCTCAAAGACAATTTTCCTTTACTAGGTAGCAAAATGACAGAGAACATGAGGAATTCCTACAGTTTTATACAGTTTGAAAGACAAAGACTGGAGAAAGTCAGAATTCCAGGTAAGACCCATGTTCCCCTTCTTGATTTTGAGATGTCTCGTAGACCAACCTGGAAGCAGAGGCACAGGAAAAGATTCATCGGGAAAGTAATTCTGATTCATCAACTCCCCTTGTATCCTTGCCCTCGGGACTGGATGACAGGACCATTAGGGGACACAGTCATGTAAGTGTACTTCCAATCATTTCCCAAGGAACAGATATTTTGATTTGATTTGAATCAGCACTGTAGAGAATGGAAACTGGTTTGAATCTGATCTCATCTGACACATACATAGATGCAAGAGTACAAAGCAATTTAGTCTGGAGCTCCCTCTAGTCGTGCCTGGGAAATAACTGCAGAGGGAGGGAGGGGAGCCTGGAGCCTGGAGCCTGGAGGGGGAACTGAGCAGGCAGAGAAGAGGAACAGATTGTCTTCAATGCTGAACACGGTTGAAAATGAGCCACGTGCTTCCAGTGGAACTTGTTTTGGTATCCCATCTGCAGCTACCAGAGGCACTGAATGCTATGTGATTTAAATACTTCCCCAAAGGCCTGCAAAATAAGGGAATGTCCATATATGCTATGAGTTCCTGTCACAACCTTCAGAGGATTCATAGTATATGATGCTCTGCTAGGCTGGTCAGCTTCTCTTTTTATTCCTGCATGAGAGACTTGCTACCTAGACCTAAAAAAACAGCCTGTAAATATAAAGCAAAGACAAACAACACCCAAACATGTGAATATAAACATTCTTACACTAGAGACAAAAGTGCAACATCACAAAAACATAGGACTAGGAAAACAACCCAGTGTCTCCTTTCACAGATTTAAAAAAGGAAGCAAAGGGGACCAGAGAGCTCATGGGGCTAGCCTAACATCAGACAGCAAGAAATGAAATTCGGGCCTCTATTCTTTGTCTAATATGGTTTCCATTACAAAATGTGCCATGCCATTTGTCTTAGTCTGTTTTCTGTTGCTATGACAGAATAACACAGACTTAATAATGTATAAAGTAAAGAAGTTTATTTAGTTTACTGTTCTGGAGGCTGGAAGGTCCAACAGTGTTTCACCAGCATCTTGTGAGGGCCTTCTTGCTGTGTCATAACATAGAAGAAATCATCACATGGCCAGGGGGCAAGAGCCAGAGAGCAAGAGAGCACTTGCTCTTATAACAAAGCCACTACTTCAGTAACAAACCCACTCCAGTGATAGCAACATCAATCCATTCATGCAGGCAGAGGGATTAAGTTTCCAACACATGAACTTATGGGGGACACATTTTGTGTCCAGATACAGAAAACCATTTTCTAAATCAAATATTACACAAGGTATTCTTTAAGTTTTTTACTAAATGTGAAGAGTTACAATAAATTTTAAAAAATAAATAAAAACCGTAACAGACATACCAGAATTTATACACCCCAAGAGATCTTCTTTTTAAGTGGTTATCCCAGAAAGCCATTCTGAGGTTTGCTATGGTTCACAATTTGGGTGTGCCACTCTAGACACCATCATACAAGCCAAGACTGAGACAGACAAGAAAACCATGCTCTTTACTTTAAATCATATATGTTGCATAAATCAGAGTCCCATAAGGAAAAACATGCAATACAGATGGCTCAAATGAAAGATTTTAAGGAAAAGACAACAGAGAATTATGGCCACGGCTAAAGGAAAAAAAACGAAAGATAATGAGCTACACAAAAACTAGAAGAGCTCCCAGGGCTGAGACTGGGAAGTCACTGGGTGACCTTAACAAGGGGAGGAAATAATGTTACTAAAATCCAGTGAGGGACGCAACCATGGAGACTGTCTCCTCAGGGAAACTATAGACCTGGAAGGTCTTATAATGTCTATTAAAGCAGCATATCCCAACCTCTCTCTCCTCCTGCCTTCCAATCTTCTGCCAGTGCTTCCCATCGGAAACCAGATGGCAAGAAAGCCTGGGTGATCCCATTCACAGGGGCCTAAATCAAGGCAGAGATAGCTGCTTTAGAGGGACAAACGCAGTAACCAGGACGCATATCACTTCTGACCCAAAATGACTTGATTTTTCACCTTCTCTATGATCCCAAATTACTGCTGCTCCCCAAAATCATACCTACTCCAGTTTATAGGAAGAAAACATATGTGTGCATGTTTCTTTATAGTGGAATGATTTATAATCCTTTGGCTATATATCCAGTAATGGGATTGCTGGGTCAAATGGTATTTCTGGTTCTAGATCCTTGAGGAATGGCCACACTGTCTTCCACAATGTTTGAACTAATTCATACTTGCGCCAACAATGTAAAAGCATTTCTATTTCTCCACATCCTCTCCAGCGTCTGTTGTTTCCTGAATTTTTAATGATCACCATTCTAACTGGCATGAGATAGTATCTCATTGTGGTTTTGATTTGCATTTCTCTAATGACCAGTGATGATGAGCATTTTTTCATATGTTTGTTGGCTGCGTTAATGTCTTCTTTTGAGAAGTGTCTGTTCATATCCTTCACCCATTTTTTGATGGGGTTGTTTTTTTCTTGTAAATTTGTTTGCATTCTTTGTAGATTCTGGATATTAGCCCTTTGTCAGATGGATAGATTGCAAAAATTTTCTCCAATTCTGTAGGTTGCCTGTTCGCTCTAACGACAGTTTCTTTTGCTGTGCAGAAGCTCTTTAATTAGATCCCATTTTCATATATATTAAGCCATATCTTGCATGAAGTGAACAGAAATATTTTCCTGATGGTCACAGTTCCAAATGAATAATCTATTTTCTAGTTCTAAATGTATCAATTATAAATACTATACATAAAGTGCTTACATAATAACTATCATATAGTAAGTGCTTCGTAACAACTTTTCTACTTTTGTTTATTATTGTGAACCAATGTATTGCAGTAAATCATTTCAATGAAAATAAATTAGCACAGTCTGGTATGCACTGCCCTTCCCCCCATCTCCAACATATTTGGGCATTATCTCTGGAAGGTCATCCAATGCTGATCCGGCATCCTGGAATTAATCGGCACTGCTAGATTCTGCAATGCTGGAGAAACACATCACGTTAGACGAAGTGCTGGTCCTCATAGATAAAGTGTGCTTTGGCCATAACCCTTTTGTAATGGAACCAGTGGCAATGGAGTGTCATATAAGGAGCCCACCTTATAAAGGTATAAGAGGGGAAACACTTGATTTTGCTCCCATAAAGCATAAACTATAGCAGCAAACTTTTATAGACTACACTGCAAATGGGTATAATAAGTTCATTGTCCCATGGTATCTGCTACATAATTGTGTTCATTCCCTTTGTGTATTTTAGTAATGAGAGTATAATTGTCAGTGCTTATAATACATATAATCTCATTACTGTCACTCCCATTAGTATTCTTTCAATTCAGCCTATACACAGTGTGTTCCACTTTCCCTCTCATTGAAATACATAAACACTTTTCCTCTCCTGCATCCAGATTTCAGTCTAATTCCTAACAGTTACCATGGCTAATCACTGAGACAACACTGCCTGCCTTGTTTTTAATATGTTTAATTTACCATTTTTGACACAATGCCAAGAAGTCAGCATTGCATTCATGTTGAATTGCCATGACCACATTCTTACATTTTTACAAGGATGGTTGAGACTTCATTTGGAGCAGAAACTAATTTAGACATGCAAAGAACCACAGTCTTGACAGTGACTGTGTTTGGAGAACTCCACTGCTACACACAGCTATATCATGTCGTAGGTTTCTCATCTATCAAAGGACAGATGTTGCCCCTGTTATTCTCCTAGATGCCTTCTACTTCCAATAATTCTTTTCATATGTAAAAGACTAAAATCAGTAAAACTTATTGGACATTTTTTTTTTTTTTTGAGACGAAGTCTTGCTCCGTTGCCCAGGCTGGAGTGCAGTGGCCCTGCAGTGGCGCAATCTCAGCTCACTGCAAGCTCCGACTCCCGGGTTCATGCCATTCTCCTGCCTCAGCTCCCGAGTAGCTGGAACTACAGGCGCCTGCCACCATGCCTGGCTAATTTTTGTATTTTTAGTAGAGACGGGGTTTCACCTTGTTAGCCAGGATGGTCTCGATCTCCTGACCTCGTGATCTGCCTGCCTCGGCCTCCCAAAGTGCTGGGATTACAGGCATGATCCACCGCACCCGTCCTTTATTGGAAATGTTTAAACTTCTTTATTTTTTCAAAGTAATATATATACACAGTTTTAAAAGTCAAACAGTATTAACAGACATGTAAGAAGTAGCAAAGTTGTCTAACATTTCCCTATTAACCCCCAACTCGTCACCAGATGCAATAACTTCAAATATTCTTAATTAGTTCCTCTGAAATTTACAGATCTTAAACTTCTATGTAAATTGCTGACTTTAAATGAATTTATTTTAGGCATGGCCTTTTGACTTCCTATTTGGTAGATGAGGGTGTATCTCTCTTCTATCACCTTTCTGTGTCTCCTTCCCTAAATTCCAAATACAGTGATACTCAATTTTCACTAAGTATGAATTTTTTCATGCATATTAGAGTTCTCAGTGCTTCTCTGCTTTTAGAATCTTGCTTTCTCAGGTTAATTTAGTCAATTACCTCTTTCAGCCTATCTGCTTTTCAGATTTCAAATACTATGAATTTATGCCTCTTAAAAATATCTGCACCGGGGGCATGGTGGCTCACACCTGTAATCCCAGCACTTTGGGAGGCCAAGGTGGGCAGATCACGAGGTCAGGAGATCGAGACCATCCTGGCTAACACAGTGAAACCCCGTCTATACTAAAAATACAAAAAATTAGCCAGGCGTGGTGGTGGGCGCCTGTAGTCCCAGCTACTCGGGAGGCTGAAGCAGGAGAATGGTGTGAACCCGGGAGGCGGAGCTCGCAGTGAGCCAAGATCTCGCCACTGCACTCCAGCCTGGGCGACAGAGCGAGACTCCATCTCAAAAACAAACAAACAAAAAATAGCTGTATAGTAGTTCCTAGTATGTTTTTTGGAGAGAATGAAATTAGATACACATATTCAATTTGCCATCTTAATATGGAAACTCTTGAAATTTCTACCATCCTACCACAACACAGATCAGTTGCAGGGGTTAGAGAGTTAACGCAGAGTTTCTGGAGTAGGTGTTCAAAGACAAGAGAAACATTTGATGATAGAGAAGAGAGGATAAAAATGGTATGAAAGAGAACCCAACTGGAGAAATGATCAAGGAAGTCAAACAGATTAGAGTAAGTAGATGGGAGAGAAAAAGTAGGAGGCAGGGAATGATGTGAGATTGTAAAGTTGAGTAGATTGGTTACTCAAAGAAATTAAGTAAAAGGAGAAGCTGCAATTGAATTAATGAACAGGAGGAGATCATTGTAGACTTGTTCAATGGAATAGAAACTGATCCAACAGAGTGCTTAAGAGATGCTAATCTAAGTTACTTGAAAATTGCTTGAAACAGGGAACAGACCCAAAAAAGTTCAACTTAGATGTTATACTGTTGTGTACATTTTAATGGTGGACTATTTGACAGATATTGAAAGCTGAAAATCCAGAATTCTAAAAATAATTATTGATGCCATCCTCCTACATCATTCTAAAATTTGTCTGCCACTCCTTTCTTTTACTTGCTAAATGTCTGTCTGGAATCTATTCATTTCTTCTAAATCTACCACCAATACTGTGGTCCAGTTGAAAATCATCTCTAGCCTGAATTAACAAAATAATCTACTAACAGTTCTTCTTGAAATTATCTTAGCAATTATTTTGTGGGGTTTTTTTTTAATGTGCCTATGGCTTGCTTCTTCTAGTGATGAAGATGGGCAGAGTTTTGCTATTGTACTCCCTATTGTACTCCCATCGCCTAGAGCCAGTCGCTGGAATGTGATGAGTTCAATAATTATTTGTTGACGGAGAGACTAAATAAAACATTCTTTCCTCCCTTCTTTCACCGAATCTTTCTATTTTTCTATCAAAGCATAATCTTTATATTATTCTTAGAACTTATCATAATTGCAGCTGGGCGCAGTGGCTCAAGCCTGTAATCCCAGCACTTTGGGAGGCCGAGGCAGGCAGATCACAAGGTCAGGAGATCGAGACCATCCTGGCTAACACGGTGAAATCCCATCTCTACTAAAAATACAAAAAATTAGCCAGGCGTGGTGGCAGGCGCCTATAGTCCCAGCTACTCGGGAGGCTGAGGCAGGAGAATGGCATGAACCTGGGAGGCAGAGCTTGAAGTGAGATGAGATTGCGACACTGCACCCCAGCCTGGGTGACAGAGTAAGACTCCATCTCAAAAAAAAAAAAAAAAAAAAAAAAAAAGAACTTATCATAATTGCAATTTTCATTTTGTAGACTTTCATTTGAAAATAATTTCATACTGACATAAAAGTAGCAAAATAGTTCAAAGAACTCTCATATACCTTTCAACCAGATTACTCAATTGTTAAAACTTTCCACAATTGCATATAATTTTCTCTGTACATAAATATGTATAGTTATTTTCTAAACCACTTGAGTGGAAGTTACAAACATGATTCCACATTACTGCTAAATGCATGTGTTCTTCCTATGAACAGAGAAATTTTCTTATATCACCATAATTAATGGATAAAAAATCAGGAAATTGGTATTAATATAAAATTATTTACAGATTTTATTTATATGTCACAAAGTTTCCAATAATTTTCTTTATAGCAACAAGAAAATTATGATTCAAAACCCACCAAGGATCACATGTTATATCTCAGTGTCAAGTCTTTTTGTCTGTTTTGATCTGGAATAATTCCCCAATTTGTCTTTGTCTTTTGTGACCTTAATATTTTTGAAGACCACCAACCAGTTTGTTATGATTAATTTTATGTACCAACTTGACTGGGCCACAGGATGCCCAGATATCTTAGTAGACATTATTTCTAGGGATGTCTCTGAGGATATTTCCATAACAGGTTAGCATTTGAATTGGTGGACCAAGGAAAGCAGATGGCTCTCCACCATGTGGGTGGGCATCACCCAATCTGTTGAGTTCTTGAATAGAACAAAAAGATTAAGGAAGGTTGAATTTGTCTTCCCTCTACCTGGCTACTTGAACTAGGACATTGATTTTCTCTTTTCTTTGGCACTTCTGGTCCTTGGGCCTTCAGACTGGGACCAGAAACTATATCACCGCCCCTCCAGCAATCAGGCCTTGGAACCACATCACAAGTTTTCCAGATATCTGCTTACAGACAGCAGATTATAGGACTTCTCAGCCTTCATAATTGTATGACCCAATCCCTTGTAATAAATCCCTTTCTCTGTGTGTATGTGTACATAAATGTATATCTATTATTAATTTCTAATACCATTTTCCAATAAAACACTGCCTAAAATAAGGACTTTAGTTCATAATAATATATCAAAATTGGTTTATTCATTATATAAACATACCATTCAAATATAAGGAGTCAAGAATGGGGAAACTGGGCGTGGGGTTCATGGGAACTCTCTACACTACCTTCACACTATTTCTGTAAATCTAAAACTGTTCTAAATACTAAAGTTTATTTTAGAAAGAAAACAAGCAACAATACAAGTAATGTTCATCCAAACTTTCATATGTTTGGGGAAAATGTATAATTTATCATTAAAAGCATTGCAAAAATGTGATCCTATTTTTTATTCAGAGAATAAAACTCACCATACAAAAAAATTAAAAACTTTACAAATATTGCAATTAATTGTGGCTAAGGAACACAAAAATTAGAATTCATAGAGCCCCTGTTCAATCATCACCATAAGCCCTTTATCATCCTGATAAAGAGCAAATTCAAGGGCATGTTTCAGAGTTGACCCTACAGCAGAAACTCTGTCCCTTTAACCAAGCAACTTAAGATACTTTTCTACCATAAAAGTTTCTGCACAAGGAGAAAGTCTCTTAGATAACCCTCTGTATCATCACATCACAACCGATTCTCACAGTAAGAGATATCAACGCACAAAATATAGAGCACAAGTGTCTGCTGGCATTGTTAATGTAGAAGAATTCTCAGCTTGGTTAGAATTCCTTCAAAGTAGTTTTTTTAATATATCCTCAAGGAAACAGAAGAAAAAACTCAAGCTTTGGGAGCTGAAATAACTTTGTGAGTAACTTGGGAGCAGTAGTGTCAGAAGTCTCGAAGTCTTCAAAAGGAATACGGAGAGAGGAATAGTTGCTCAAACGCTGCAGATAATAGTGTAAAAACACTAGAGTGGGCATTTCAGCTTCTCACCCCTTGAGTTCTCTTCTCTGATAGCACTCTAAAATTATCAGGCCATAAGTGTCAAAGAAGTCATTCTGTAAATGGTAAATTCAATTTTAAGAAATAGAAAAGCTTCTGCAATACCTCTTCAAAGAGGAAAAAATAGCTATTAATGGGAAAAAACATGCTTAGGGGTTACTGCTGCTAAGTCAATGGTTTAAACTTGCGTCATCAGCAACTTTAGATGGAATACTAGAAACTGAAAACAGTAGAAATCTGTCCCCTTTAAAGCACTGCTGCAAGATCTCTTACCATGTTGATTTCAATTTATAATTTAAGGAGGTACCACTGAGTAGTGTATGGCTAGTCACCTCAAATTACACATTAATGCCAACTAAGGAACTTAAAAATCCTCATATTCTTGTCAGAATGCATTGAACTGGATACTAGAGATTTGTGAATTTCACTGTATGTAAATTTTACCTCAGAGAAAGAACTGCAAACAAATATTAAACTCTAGTTAAAAGAATCTCTTCTCATAATGGTTTTCAGCAATCCTGAAACTACTTTTGGTGCCTTCTAGGCTTGAGCAAATGAATATGTAATTGTATCCTGTGGTACTGGATTGAATTTTTAAATCTTGGTATTAGCTCATAGCTTTTAATAAACATAGATAGGTAGGTTAACAGATAAATAAATAAATATCAATATATGTATATGGGTATACATGAATGGACACATACACATTTTCTAGTCCTTCTCAAACAAGGAACCTAGAAGCAATCTATCTGCCAGTAGAAATAGCACTTAGAATCCATATCTTCATTTTAAAATATCTTTCTCCACTTGAAGGAATCAGAAATCCTTGAAGGAACTGATTCCCGGGCTAGAGAAGGAGAAACATAAGAAATTTTGTCTTACCAGAAACATTAAGACATAGGAATACGTCAGGAGGACACATAAGCCAGCTTGAAGGAGCTCATGCTAGCCAATTCAAAAACGAATTGATGCTAAAAAAAAAATCCCTAAACAATAACAAAACTACTCATTACAGAATAATGCCAGCTCATAAATAATGAAGAAATGACAAGGAAAGAAAAGCATTGTTTTGTAATCCATTTTATAATGGATTCATGCAGAAATCACCCATGGATAAACCCCCTCTGGGTGAAAAGGTAGGGTGTTGGGGAGGAAGAGAAAATATTTGTACATTGTCATTTTAAACAGGCAGACTTATCACCTCCCAAAAGTTCACAAAACTTCCATCAAGTCTCCATTCAACTCAGTTCCTGTAGAATTAAAATGATCACCTATTATTCTATCTGACTAGTACAGGTAAGATAAATTCTTTCCCCAAAAAATTTTCACCTGGAGCCCCTAAAATTGTTTTCTATAGAATTGGAAGTATCTATTAAAAATTATTAAGCATGTCAAGAAACAATACCATTCAATGGAAAATCAAGAGAGAATAGAGTGGAAGAGAACAGGACAGAATGGAATTGAATAGAATAATAGAATAAAATAGAAATACAATAGAAACAGATCAACAGATGATTCAGATATTAGAAGTAATAAAAACTTTAAATAACTATATTAAAAATAAAATTATACAATGTTAGATAAAATAATGAACAATTTAACTAGAGGATCAGAATAAAAAATTAAATTGAAATTTTAGAATTGGAAAGTGTATCTAAAATTAAGAATTCAATAGAAAGATCTAGCAGAATATTAGACATTAAAGAGGATAGGATCTGTGAACCAAAAGAGAGTCAATAAGAAATATGCAAATAGAAGCAAAGAGAAACAAAATATTTTAAAAAATTAAATAATACTCTATGTTTACAGAAAGAATTCTGATATGAAGAAAAACGAATCCTGTACACAACTGGTGAGAATATAAATTGGTATAGCCACTATGAAAAACAATATCGAGGTCCCTCAAAAACTTAAAAATAGAACTTAAAAATAGGTTTCAGCAATCCATCTTCTAAGTGTACATCAAAAGGAAATGAAATCAGTATGTGGAAAACATTCACTGTCATGTTCACTGCAGTGTTATTCACAGTAGCCATGATATGAAAACATTAGTGTCCATGGATGATTGAATAAAGAAAATGTTGTATGCCTTAATATATATGTGTAATATTCAGCAGTAAAGGAATAAGACGCTGGCATTTCCAACAAGATGGATAAATCTGTAGGATGTATACTAAGAGGAATCAGCTAGACACAGAAAGACTACTGCATGATCTTAGTTATATGTAAAATCTAAAAATAAAAATTGAACTCAGCAGCAGTGAATAGAATGGTAATTATCAGAGGCTGGGAAACTGAGAGTAGCAGAAAACAGAAGATGTTGGTCAAAGAGCACAGACTTTCAGTTATAAGAGGAGTTAGTTCTGCAGTCCTAATGTAAAGCATGGTGACTATAGTTAACAACAATGTCTTGTATACTTGAAATTTGCTAAGAGAGTTGGCCTCAAACATTCTCACTACCCACACAAAAAAGTAGCTAGGTAAAATGATGACTATGTTAGTTAGTTTGTACTCAAAAATAAAAATAAAGATCATAAGAGACATGAGGGACAGAGAGAAAATAACATGCTTAAGTGGAAAGGAGAGAGAGAATGGAAGAGAAGCAATATTTGAAAATATAATGGCTGATAATATTCCAAACCCTATAAAAATAAAAATCCAGAGATCAAAAAAAACTTCAGAAAATTCAAGCAAGTTAAATACAAAGAAAAACAAAGCTATATATATCATAGTAAAACTGTTGAAAATCTTAAAAAAAAGAGAAAATCTTAAAAACAACCAGAGGGATAAAAAGGACATACCACCTTCAAAAGATGAAGCATATATCCAGAAGTTGACTTCTCTAAAGGACAGTAGAATCAATGAGATAATGCATGACATGTTTAAAGTGCTAATGCATAGCAAATTCAAGTCTAGAATTCTATACCTGACAAAAGTATACTACAAAAAATGAAAAAAAATTTAAACAATAAAAGCAAGGAATTACAAGTAATACTAAAATTAGTTCCTCAAGCAGAATACAAATGACCCCAAATAAACTAAGGCATAGTTCCAGGAAGTATTAAAGAGCAGAAAAAAGTAAAATATGTGGGTAAATCTGAAGGAAAATTGTATAAAACAATAATAGCAATGTCTTGTAGGGTTTAAAATACATATTATTATTAAAATGCATGTCATTAATAATCCAAAATTGGGAACAAAATAAATGATGTTGAAGTTTTCAAATAATGTTCAATAAAAGACAAAACAGCCAGAGAGAATATTAATGAGAAAATAAGACTTTGAACAACAATATAGACCAATTGGACCTAACAGACACATACAGAACACTCAACCCAAGAACAGGAGAATACACATTTTTCTCAAGTGCACATGGAACATTCTCCAGAACAGACCATATAGTAGGCCACAAAAAACTCTTAATACATTTTAAAAGATTACAGTTATACAAAGTATTTTTTCCCATCACAATAGAATGAAACTAAAAATTAATAGCAGAAGTAAAAGTGGAAAGTTCACAAATATGTAGAAATTAAACAACACATTCTTAGACAACCAGTGGGTCAAAGATCAAATAACAGAGAAAGGAAAATGAAAACACAACACACTAAAATAGAAAGGATTCATTAAAGGCAGTGCAAAGATGGAAATTTATACCTCTAGACACTTCTTAAAAAAGAAGAAAGGTCTTTTCACAGAATTGGAAAAAACTACTTTAAAGTTCATATGGAACCAAAAAACAGCCCAAATAGCCAAGACAATCCTAAGCAAAAAGAACAAAGCTGGAGGCATCACGCTACCTGACTTCAAACTATACTACAAGGCTACAGTAACCAAAACAGCATGGTGCTGGTGTCAAAACAGATATATAGACCAATGGAACAGAAAAGAAGCCTCAGAAATCTAACACCATACATCTACAACCATCTGATCTTTGACAAACCTGACAAAAACAAGAAATGGGGAAAGGATTCCCTATTTAATAAATGGTGCTGGGAAAACTGGCTAGCCATATGTAGAGAGGTGAAACTGGATCCCTTCATTACACCTTATATAAAAATTAAATCAAGATGGATTAAAGACTTAAACGTATGACCTAAAACCATAAAAACCCTAGAAGAAAACCTAGGCAATACCACTCAGGACATAGACATGGGCAAAGACTTCATGACTAAAACACCAAAAGCAATGGCAACAAAAGCCAAAATATACAAATGGGATCTAATTCTGCACGGCAAAAGAAACTATCATCAGAGTGAACAGGCAACCTATACAATGGGAGAAAATTTTTGCAATCTACCCATCTGACAAAGGGCTAATATCCAGAATATACAAAGAACTTAAACAAATTTACAAGATAAAAACAAACAACCCCATCAAAAAGCGGGCAAAGGATATGAACAGATACTTCTCAAAAGAAGACATTTATGTGGCCAACAGACACATGAAAAAATGCTCATCATCACTGGTCATCAGAGAAATGCAAATCAAAACCACAATGAGATACCATCTCACACCAGGTAGAATGGTGATCATTAACAAGTCAGGTAACAACAGATGCTGGAGAGTATGTGGAGAAATAGGAACACTTTTACACTGTTGGTTGGAGTGTAAATTAGTTTAACCATTGTGGAAGACAGTGTAGTGATTCCTTAAGGATCTAGAACTAGAAATACCATATGACCCAGCGATCCCATTACTGGGTATACACCCAAAGGATTATAAACCATGCTTCTATAAAGACACATGCACACATATGTTTATTGCAGCACTATTCACAATAGCAAAGACTTGGAACCAACCCAAATGTCCATCAATGATAGACTGGATTAAGAAAATGTGGCACATACACACCATGGAATACTATACAGCCATAAAAAAGGATGAGTTCATGTCCTTTGCAGGGACATGGATGAAGCTGGAAACCATCACTCTCAGCAAACTATCACAAGGACAGAAAACCAAACACCCCATGTTTTTGCTCACAGGTGGGAAATGAACAATGAGAACACGTGGACACAGGGTGGGGAACATCACACACCAGGGCCTGTCGGGGGGTGGGAGGATGGAGGAAGGATACCATTAGGAGAAATGCCTAACGTAAATGATGAGTTGATGGGTGCAGCAAACCAACATGGCACATGCACACCCATGTAACAAACCTGCATGTTGTGCACATGTACCCTAGACCTTAAAGTATAATAAAAACTAAATAAATAATAAAAATTAAAAAAAGAAGAAAGGTCTCAAATCAACGACCTAACATAACATCTTAAAGAACTAGAACAATAAGAAAAAGAGAACAAAACACAAAGCTACTAGAAGAAAGAAAATAATAGAGATACATGAAACAGAGAATAGAGAAACAATAGAGTGTAAGAGTTCAAGAAAGAGGAAAGAAACTCAAAAAGCAGCTCAACAGTCAAAGACAGGTTTCTTTTGGAGAATAAACCTGAGAGGAGCTTCTGGCCGATTTTGGTCAGGAGCATTCTCTCTTACAGACTAAGAGTGTTTAAGGGTTCATGGCGGGAGAACTTATCACAGGTTCAGAACGTTTGTGTGTGGAGGAGAAATTTATTGCAGGGTTGGAATATCTTTGGTCGGAGGGGAAATTATCTTGGGGCTGGCAAGTCCCCGGTTGGAGGGGTGGTTATCTCGGGGCTGTCATGTCTCTGCTTGGAGAGGGGCTTATCTCAGAGTTAGAATGTTTCTGGACAGAGGTGTTATTTGTGGTTTATGGTCATGCTGAAATTAGCCATTAGGCTGATGTTTTAGGGGCTGGATTTAGGTGGTTTTTAATCAAGGGGAACTTAAAATGGCAGTGCTTGTCCATATGGCGATGCTCCTGCTCTGTCACAGAGAAAATCAACAGATCTGAAAGTTGGTTCTTTAAAAAGATTGACAAAAAAAAAAATGGACAAACCTGTAGCTAGATTGACTAAGAAGAAAAAACAGAAGAGGCAAATAACTAAAATCAGACATGAAAGAGAGAAGGTAACTACTGATTTTACATTAATATAAAGGATTCTAAAAGATTACTATGAAGAACTATATGCCAACAAATTGTATAACCTAGATGAAATGGACAAATTTCTAGAAATATAACCTATCAAGACTGAATCATGAAAAAAATCAAAAAATAGAAACTACAAAACATTCCTGAAAGTAATGTTTTAAAACATAAATAAGTAAAAAGACATCCCATGGTCATGGATTGGAAGACTTAATATTGTTTAAATGTCAATATTGCCCAAAGAAATCTAGAGATTCAGTGCAAAAACCTAACAAAATCCCAATGATGCTTTTTGCAGAAATAGAAAAATTCCATCCTAAAACTCATGAAATCAAAAGGAAACCCAAATAGCCAAACAATCTTGAAAATAAAGAACACAGTTGGAGTACTCATACTTCCTAATTTCAAAACTTGGCACAAAGCTACAGTAGTAGGAAACTAACATACTTCTTTCAATGGTCAGTAGAATTAGCCAAAAAAAGACAATAATACAGAAGATTTGAAAAACATGATCATAAAATTAGCCAAAGTGACATAAAAAGTGAACATAAAATATGTAGCAAAATTGATCATATGTTCATCATGGGCAAGCCTCAAAAACATCAAAGAACTGAAATTTGTCAAGAGTATTTTCTCCAACCCTGGTGAAAATAAGCTAGGGATCAGTAACATAGATATAACTAGAAAATCTCCAACTGCTTGGCAATTAAGCAGTACACTTATGAATAATCCCGGGGTGAAATACAGAAATTGGAAAATGTTTTTAATGGAAGGATGATAAAACATGACATAAAAATTCAGGAGCATATAAGTAAGTTTGCAATTTTAAATGTGTGTATTAAAATGGAAGAATGCCCCCTTCACCCCAAAAAAGTGAGCCAAGTTTCAATCTCAAGAAGATAGAGAAACAAAATAGAAAATCAAATCGATACCCCATTGATTATAAATTTCAAAGAGAAAAGGTGCCTTTACAATGGAGAGATTTGTCAGGCACCACCTGAACCAGGTGATGGAATAAACCAGTATTGTACAACACCTGATTTGAAGCAGTAGAAAGTTTATAACATCGCCAAATTCAATTCTTGCCAAAAGTATTTTTTCTGAATCTAAAAATTAGGAAAACATTCCAGAGGTTGGAATATTTTACTACAAAACTTGGATTTTTAAAAAATATCTAAGTCATAGAAATATTTAAAAATAAAATAGTGAGTGAAATGTTCTAGACTGGGGTCAGAAAACTATTCAATGAAAACCAAATTCAAGGTGTGATCCCTGATTGGATCCTGAATTTACAAAACAAATAAGTAATAAAATAAAGTACATTTTGGAAATTTGAAAATGGACAGTATGCCATATGTAAAATAAGCATTTTATCATTCTTAGGTATCTTGGGTATCAAAATAATATCATGGTTGTGGAACAGGATATCTTTCTTCTATATAAATGCATGCTGAAGATTTAAGAGTAAAGTATCATGATGTCTACCACTTACTTCTAAACAAACCAAATAGAAATAAAAGAGTTAAATAGATATTTGTGTATGAGTACAATCATCCCTTGACATCCCCTTGACAAGCAGGATTGATTCCAGGATTCCTGCAAATGCCAAATTTCTCTGATGCTCAAGTTCCTTATGTAAAATGGCGTAGCATTTTCATATAACCTACGCACTTCCTCCCATATACTTTAAATTATTCCTAGATTATTATAGTACCTAAAACAATATAAATGCTATGTAAATAACTGTTATACTGTGTTTTAAATTTTTATTAGTTGTTGCTTTATTGTTATTTTTTTCAAATATTTTTGAGCCAAGTTTGGTTGAATCCTCAAATGAGGAACCTGCAGATAGAGGGCCAAACGTGTGTGTGTGTGTGTGTGTGTGTGTGTGTGTGTGTGTGTGTGTGTGTGTGTGTAGAGAGAGGGTGCCAGGGAAGGGAGAAAGGAGTGAAGATTAAGTAAATGAGGCCAAATATTATTACTTGATAGCTTTAGATGAAGGAATGGGTGTTCATTGTATTATTCTTTCAAATTTACTGTGGGTTTAAAATTTCCAAGAAAAAATGTTAGAAAAAAAATAAATAACATAAAATACCATGTTCAGACCTTACTCCAGAATTCTGAATCAACTAGCCTGTTGTGAAACCCTAAACATCATACTTTTTAATGGTAAAAATTTAAGGTGTACAATATGATGTTTTCATAGACATATGCATAGTGAAATATTTGCTACAGATAATCAATTTAACATATCTATAATCTCACATAGAACCTATTTTTTGTGGGAAGAGTACTGAAAATCTACATTCTCAAGCAACTTCTAGTATACAATACAATATTATTAACTATGGTCCTCATATCGTACATCTGATTTCTAGATTTATTCATCCTACATAACTGCTATTTTACTATTTTCTAATGTGAGTTCCAGGAGGAAAATCAGTAATGCAGGATAAAGAAAAGGTATATCAGGGTCAGAGAGATTTAAGTTGTTTCTGTCACTCATCTTCTCAACCTTTCTCTAAGCCTTATTTTCTCTGTCTGTAAAGTGTAAATAATACTACCAATGGCATAGAGTGTTATTATTAAATTAGATCATTACTGAAGACTACAAAAACAGCACAAAACATATTGCTTTTTCTAACATTGTCCCTACCTATTTGAGCAGGTTGTTAACAATATGAAAGGCAAGTGAGCAATGAACTAAGAAAAATGCGACAACCAAGAATGAGCTACAACAAGGAGAGATGGTCTGGAAACACATGACAATTACAATCTCTTGTCAGTGACTGGCTGTTAAAACTGCCAATAATGAAATCAACATTTCCAAAAGTTTAGGGCTACTGCATTTTTTTTGCCTTGTCCACATAGCATATGTTCTATCGATTACCTATTACTCTAATTTATATTTTAAAGCTTTTTACTCTTCCTGGTATAACCTATAGTTTTATTCTCATAGACATTAAAATGTATAACAGAATTTTAAATGTTTGATGTATCTAAATATATCTCATAAATTCTTGCAATATATGTACAACCTGATTATTTGTGTCCTGTTAAGAAACTGAAAAAAAATGTTAGTCACCATGATCCTTTGCTTCCTAAAGCATGAAGTTTCAATTGCTTTTGATTTTGCTCACTCATGCTTATTCAATCTTATTGGGTAGCAACCAGTATCTAAAGCCATATTCTTGAAAGTCATCATAAGATCATAGGATATTCTTTTATAAGCAAGTGAAATGTGCCCTGCAGCAGAACAGGAGACAACCAATCCACACACATAGTCATTAATTAAAAGAAAAGACATTGTTACTATAGTACTAGTGAAGAAAGTCAATCCATTTAAACCAGAAATTAGTTACTCGCCTTCAGGTTCGTATAAATAGACAAACAAATATAACATCATATATTCATCCATCCATCCATTCGTTTATTTATCTACATGTACATATATATACATATATGGGTGATACCAGAGGAGGGCAGGGAAGTGCTGGGTAGAGAAAGCGGAGTCCCTGGTGAGGGCTCCACCCTCGGGCCTATGCCCAAAGACCTAAGTGAGGACAGGCACTCCAGTTTTCCTGCCCAAATGTTTCATCTTTCAAGACCACTCTGGCCCGCTGCATCCCCCATCCTGTGCCTAAAAAAACTCCGAGACCCTAGCAGATACAGACACAAGTGGCTGGATGTCGAGAGGAACACACCGGCAGAAGAACACACGACAGACGCCAGCAGGTCATCAACGGCAGAACGATGGACAGCGTGGAATTCAGCCAGGGGCAGTCAGAAGAACAGACTCCAGGAGAGGACCACCTTCCCACTCCATCCCCCTTCTGGCTCCCATCCATCTGTTGAGAGCTATTTCCACCACTCAATAAAACCTTGCACTCATTCTCCAAGCCCACGTGTGGTCCAATTTTTCCAGTACACTAGGGCAAGAACCTGGGATACAGAAAGCCCTCTGTCCTTGAGATAAAGCAGTGGGTCTAACTGAGCTGATTAACACAAGCCACCTGCAGACAGGAAAGTTGAAAGAGCATACTGTCATACATGCCCACTGGGGCTTCGGGAGCTGTAAACACTCAACCCTAGAGGCTGCCATGGGTTCAGAGCCACAGAATGCTCCCCACGACCTGCTCATCTGCAGGCTCCCACTAGGGGTTAGAGCAGCAGGGCACCAAAGAAGCGAAGAAGCCAGCCACACCCTTGTCACACGCTTTGCAAGGGGGACAAGAGAACTTTTCCCGTTTTATGGGTGTGTGTGTGTGTGTGTATGTGTGTATTTATTCATTCATTTATCTGTTCACTTATTTATCCATTTATTCACTAAGCTACTTAGTCCTTCAATTATTCGTATAATATTGTAGTCAAAAAATAATTATTGACTCTTTACAATGGGCCACTTAATTTTTCTAGAAGCTGTGAAAAAGGAATTAAACAAAACAGACTATTATCTCTGCCTTCTTGGAGCTTACCTCCACAAGGAAAGACAAACAATAAACAACAATGATCAAAAAATAATATATATGTAAAATATATAGCAAATTAATTAAAGATTAGTACAAAAGAGGGGAAAAAAAGAAAGTAAGAAAGTGGAATAGCAAATGTTATATCAGCTGAAGGTGGTAAAAATTTAGTTAGGTAACCAGAGAAGTCTCACTGAAAAGGTGACTTTTGAGATAACTTTTAAATCAAGGACTAAAAAAAAAAAAGGTAGGCAAATTAAAAATACACACAAATGCTTATATGTACTCACACACATATACTCATACACACATATGCATATATGTGTTTATACATATATACATTCAGTGTATCCCTCCTCATGGAGAACATGTTTCTACAGAAAAAAAAAAAATGTCAGCTGACTTAAATGGTGCTTACTGATATTGTTGACTTGGATTCTGGGACAGGCCCTTTATCCTGAAGGGTACCAGTAAGAGTTTGTGGACTGGCACTGACAACACATCAAGTAACACTGACTAAAGGCAGTGGAGGTCAAAGTAAGATTCAAGGTCTTTACATTGAGACAAACGGCAGACAATTGAAGGGTTTGGGGCAGAGGAGTGACATGATCTAACATACCTCTTAGAAGTTTCACTTTTACTTTGAAAATCTGTATTTCCTGAGATTCAAAATAAAGGTGGGGGGGTTTGGTGGGGGTAGTCTGTGCCATCACCATCTCTTCCTAGAATATCATATTAACTGGAAACACTTCCTCCTATTCAAGAGCACAGAACTCTGAAGCAGGTGTCATATTTTAAAGCCCAGCTTCCTGTGCATAGACAAGTCTGGTTGAGAAACTGAAAAATAATTGAACCATCTCAAATCCCTAGCATCCAAATGTCACTTGGATTGAATTATCTGCCTCTCTCAACTACACTATCTCTGCATCTCATTTCCATCTGCTCTGCTCTGTTTGCAAGGAACTGGATCTGAAACCAACCATGCGCATCTCTGGCTTTGAAAACTAGCCTGCCGTCTAGAAAAGTGGAGTTAATTACTTATATGAAGTGACTGAAGAATCAAGGGAATGTACTTTTGATGGTGCTAATATATCGGCTTTATTGGAACAGGGTTTTGTTGGTCCCTTGATGAGACACTGTATAATACACGAAAGGCAAATTTCAAGCTTAGAAATGTCAAAACTGCAGCCCACCAAAGGAGCTGTGACATCTTAAAGAGCTATTTGGGGAAGTTCGTGGCTCTGGCAGGATGATGGACTGCATTTGTGTTTGATGTTTAATTCTCCAAGCTCAAAATAGGGATTTGACTCTTTGTGTAGTTTGTAATTCGTAATACTTTTTTACATTAAAAAAAACCCCAAAATCAAAACAGCATTTCCTCATTTGGGCTCACCTCCACTTTTACTCTTATCCTCCAGCTAACCAGCAGTAACAATGCTTCCCAGGAAACCATATCATGGCTGCCTACCTACCAGTTAAATGTTGAATTCATCTATTATCTGAAAAAGTGTGGTCAACAAGGGACATACAGCCAGTTCCAACTTCTGCCTCTTCTGTTCCTCATCTACTGAAAGTAACTATTTATAAAAATCATTCCTTGGAATGGTTAATAGAATGAAGCTTCTCTGGATTTTAGAGAAAAGAAAAAGACCAACCGTTGTCAGGTGATCCGTGGTAGACAGACTAAATCTCATCCCACCTCTTCAAGATCCCTGCATCCTTATCTATCCCTGGAACCTAAGAATATAGTTGCATTATATGGCAAGAGGGACTTTGGAGATGGAATCAAAGTTACAGGTCTGAAATTAGGAATGTTATCCTGAATTATTCCAGGGAGCCCAATGTAGTCACATGGCCCTTTCAGAGTGAGAAGGGCCAGCTAGAAAAAATAAAAAAAGCACTGACAGAAAAAGGACCAAAAAGAGGCTGGAGAGATTGGACACTTGGAGGAGCTTGACCCGCCATTGCTGGCTTTGAGGACACAGGCCCAGGGGCAGAGAGAGAAAGAGAACAATTTCTATAGTTGTGATCTTGGGATACCACCGTGCCACTCAATGGGCACACGCCTTCAGGGAACCTGAATCTGGTGCTCATGAGTGACTCCCAGGCCCTAAGTAACTCCTATTATATGAGCTTCTTGTTACACTGAGTGTAGTGTAGGAGTATGACCTCAGCATTTAAAGAGACATGTTTTCCAGAAAAAACTATGGCCCTCAAGTATAAGCCAACTCCATCTGCTGGCAATCAGATAAAGAAAATATGACTCATCCCAATACTTAAGAAAAAGACAGCTATCTTGAGCTACACATTGCTTATATTTTATAACAAAGTGCCTGCTAAAAAGCTTCAAAAGGTAAATCAAATAAATTTTTGCCTTAAAACCTAATCTCAACTAAAAGTGATTCCACTCTGAAGATAAATGATCAGGGAGAACAGTATCTCTTATTTACAGAAATCTTCAACAACAAACAGCAAACATTAGCTTAAGAAAAATTCAATTATTCCTGTTAAAGTCTAATAGAGATACAGCTGATAGATTCACCAGCTGCCAAGAATTAATCTCGACCTGAGATCTCTTTCAAACACACCCACAGCCAAGCTGCTAGGCTCCCAGGACTGACTATTGAGTGCCCTTGCCAGAGTTGGCCAGAAGCAGCTCTGTGACATCTCCCATGCTCAAGTTTGAACCTTTGCTACTCCCATTCAGTGACACTTATCTAACACCAAACCACTCAGTTGCCCAAAATGGCCCCACTAAGGTGTGAGCTGATAAAGATTTACTAATAGGAAAATTTCAACTAACAAAAAATGCAAAGGAGTGCTCCTTTTCAACTGTGAAATCTCAGACACTCTGACAAACAGGAGGAGATATTTTAGAACACAGTAGTTTCTGAACACTCTACAAATCATGTCACGTAATCATGATGCTTTGTTTGGAGGTATGAAATCACATTGATCAGGGAAATGATCTCGAAGACTTTGAAAAGATATTCTGATGTGATCCCTTTAATGATTTTACCTACAGGTCCTATCATTTTCACTCTTTAATTTCTTCACTATTTACATATTCAACAAATATGTAATGAGTACCTGTCAAGCACCGGTTCAAGCACTGCAGATTTAGCCATACAACGTATGGCATGGTGACAATTTTTGACTAGAAATATGTCTTCTTATTTCCCAATGTTTAAAATCAAACAATGTTTAACATGCCCTTTAATTACCTCTCTATTTCTCCATTGAGCTGCTTATATGTCTAACTAAACTTTTTTCATTGTTTTTTTTTTATTTCTTCTAAAAAAATGGGATACATGTGCAGAACCTGCAGGTTTGTTACATAGATGTACATGTGCCATGGTGGTTTGCTGCACTTATTGACCCATCCTCTAAGTTCCCTCCCCTCACCCCCCAACCCCCAACACGCCCTGGTGTGTGTCGTTCCCCTCTCTGTGTCCATGTGTTCCCATTTTTCAACCCATGCTCCCCCCAATAATCCCCAATTACTATTATTCTCATGTTTATATCCATATATACTCAATGTTTAGTTCCCACTTATAAGGGAGAACCTGTGACGTCTGGCTTTCTGTTTCTGCATTAGTCTGCTTAGGATTATGGCCTCCAGCTTCATCCATGTTGCTGCAAAGGACATAATTTCATTCTTTGTTGTGGCTCTGTAATATTCTACAGTGTATATATAATTATGTGCCACCTTTTCTTTTTCTCATCTTTATCTAACCCACCACTGATGGACACCTAGGTCGATTCCGTGTCTTTGCTATCCACCACACAATGAACGAATAGCTATTACTGAAAAGTAAAAACAGCAACAGTTGTTGGTAAGGCTGCGGAGAAAAGGGAATGCTTATACACTGTTAGGTTGGTGGGAATGTGAATTAAGTCAGCCACTGTGGAAAGCGATTTGGAGATTTCTCAAAGAACTTAAAATGGAACTACCATTTAACCCAGCAACCCATTGCTGGCTACATACCCAAAGGAATATAAATCATTCTACCAAAAAGACACATGTACTCATATGGTCTAAGTTTTATAATTTGAAATTAATAGCCAAAGAAGAATGTCTAAGCATAAAAAAAAAATGAATTGTTGTGAAGTACTTACCATAGCCAAGCATCCATCCAGGAGTTCATGGTCATACATCAAAGCATATGACAGAGTCCTTTTATTTAAAAAGATATTTAGTACCACAAGATATGCACCTTCAAAATGGAACACAGGAACATGTAGGAAACAATTACATTGAAACAAGCAAATGCAGAGCCTATTCAAAATAAATGCTAGTTCAGAGAAAGTTTCTCAGGGAGGATGGCACATGACCTCCATTTTCATAATGGTTAAAGTAGGGCTGGCTAGAAATGGATGTGCAGGAAATTCTAGGAGGGAGACTAATATGAGAAAAGTAAGCTGGGAGGCAGGAAAGCTTAATGTGCATTTGGGAATAATGAATTGGCTCTATAAGTAGCTGGCCTATGTTATTTATTCAATGTGTATATTTTCCAAATTTGAGCAAAGAAGCCTTCTTTATGTTGGAAGTATTGGCTAGAAGCAAACTCTGCTTCCTCTCCTTTGATATCTGTTGCCGTCTTTACACTGAATCCACAGGTGAACTCTTCCACCTCACATCTTCTCCAATAAAGAACAAATTTTCCTCCATCAACCTGAAGGGCTTTGCCTTTATTACCTAAAGCCATATAGACATCACAAACTTTCTGTAGATCTAACGAAACCACATTTTACACTGGTATGCACCTTGTTTTTAATGTATGTGAATAATTTATATGTGGAATTTGCACTATCCTTTTGTCATTCTGGGTTTTCTTTTTCTTTCAATCAACTGATACCAAAGGAAATATCATCAAGGCAGGGTTGGGATGTTGACAGACCCTCCTAAATTATAAGAATCTTAACTGCCACTATCATCAAGACAGACAGTTCTTGGTTGCCTGACCTACCAAAGAGTCACTGCAGTCTCTATGGATTTAGAAATAGTCACTTTTGCCTTCTTTCCTGGGGAAAATGCCACACTGGAATTATTCAAAAATCAGTTAACAAACTGCCTTAGACCCCAAAGATCATGATCCTTAAGTCAAAAAGCTGACTCAAGGGCCAGCCCATAACTTTGGACATCTTTGCTTAAAGCCAACAAACATTAAAGCCTGGAGTGGAGTTCACTTTGCATCGCTTCATTTGCCTTCTTTGGGTTTTCCTACGTGATTAATTTTTCTGTTTCATCATTCTTGGAGAAGATGCTCTAGCTGACAGTCTAAGCACCAAAAGTTTACTGCAAAAATTAGCATCTGATCATCTCTATCTGTAGCTGGTCACCCCAAATGACACTTACAAAGCTAATCTTTTAGCTCCCCACCTTTCACACCTTATTAATAGGAGAATGGTTGGTCCTTTCTTTATAAGGCAAATACATATAAGTTGTTCACGATTCCATGAGACCGAATGTAATGTGTTTTAACCATGAAGCTGAGAACAACAGATTTTAAGGTTCGAAGATATCATATGTTTTTTTCTTTTTTTACCTAATTAACCTGAGAAAATAGTTGATTCTGATTTTTTAAAGGTCACAATATTTTTTTAAATTGAGACTAGCTGTTGCAGTGCCTGCTCATTTGGTTCAGTTTTTCCTAGTAAGCCTAGTTCAAAAATCTCCTCAGAGCAAGAGGTAATCACAAGCCCTAATTCCCAAGGAAAGAGGATTCCCACCAATCTTAAGATTTTCCTCCTGGGTCTGCTGGGAAACATTTCACCCAGGCTCCTGACAGGCAGTGCCAACTTTTTGGGCATGCAATCTAGACATTCGCACATACTCCTGCGCTTTGAAGAATCCCTCATTTAGTTTAATAGACTGTTGCCACTGTCTTGAAATTCTTAATAATTTTTTAATTAAAAGCCCCATGTTCCATTCTATAGTGAACCCCACAAATTAAGTATCTGACCCTGTTCATAAGAACCGTATGTCAGAATTCTTTGGGTTGCAAATAAACCCAGCCAAAATTGGCTTAAAACATGGAGAAAGCTATCTCAAATAGCAAGAAATCACAAAATCAGTTAACCTCAGGACTGACACAATTCAGAAATACTACCAGTCAGGTACAAAAACAGTTATAAAATCTTTTAGGTACATACGCTCAGCCATTCCAACAAGGACCTTATGCGAAAATTTCTCTCCAAGGTGGTGGCTGCACCAGTAGTTTGAAGGCATGACCAGTCAACCATATAGTTAAATCATACAACAGGGCTTACTGTGATGCTGAGGATCGAAAACAGAACTAACAGAGATCTAGACCTTGAGTGCCATTACAAGGTTATTAGACATCTGGGCTAGCTAGTTACTTTACTTTGGAAGAGACATAACTCTCTAGTCAACTTATTGTGTCTATCCCCAATGAACAGTTATTTCCAACCTCTTTTCTACTTACTTGGAAACCTTCTTATATAAACTTCAGTAACCATATTTGAAGTGATTACATATGCTACTCTATAATGTGGATTTGCTTTGGAGGTACATCAGGTATAAAGCTACCTTACACAAACACACAACTTTTGTTATAGTGATGTATTTTTTAAGCAATTTGCCATACATACAATATAACACATTCTTTTTTTAAGAGTGAAAGAAACCCACTCAGCTCTTTTCCCCTCATGTCTCATTACCTAGAATCTGAGTATCTTCCCATACTTAAACAGTTACTGGCCTGATTCACCCTGGAAGCTATGGCAGAGGTCAAATTCCCTTAAGCACCTGTCCAGTGGAAGGAAGGTAGATAAAACGAAGGTTCTAATAGAAAGGAGGATGGGAATCAGTAGTCACAGGAATGACAACTCATAGTAACTGCCACATCCCAAACTCCTCTTCCTACACTAGAAAATACTCTTGCCAAAGTCAATGCAATTCCAGATACTCTTGGGCTACCAAAATATAGCTGAGTAAGAATAAGTCCATATGCACATAGAGATCAGTTAATCTCACAAGTTGTATCAGGAAGACTGTGTACATGTATGCTTTGAGAGATAAGGTGAGGAAGGTATGTTGGAGATGGACTCTGAAGAGGCTTGGAAATCAGTCTTTATGTCATTGTACTAAAGCAACATGACCGAGAAACTTATAGTACTGCCATCCCACTGCTGCCGCTCATTAATTGTGTAGCCCTGGACAAGTTGTATGAGTCCTCTGATCTTCAGTTTTCTCATCTGCTAAGCAGATGTCATAAAAGTAGCTGCCAGCACAAAATGCATGTGGCCATTAAATGAAAAAAAAAAAATGAAGCACTGTCTGACACCCTGGTGGGCATTCAATTAACATTAGGTTATACTATTAGATATTGGATGGCAATATGTAGCCACTGGAAGTGTTTAAGCAGGTAGGACAGTGGTTTCCACACTCTGCTTCATATTAGAATCGGGAGATTTTAAGACTCCCGATGCCTTGCCACACTCTATTCCAATCAAATCAGAGTGCCTTGGGGTGGGAGTCAAGTAGCAGTTTTTGAAAAGATCTCCAGGTGACTCCAATGAGCTGTAAAGTTTGGGAACTGTGAGTGGCTTGATCAAAGCAATATTTTAGTCCTGAAGGATAATTTCCCCTTGCTTGGGTCATTGAGACAATTAAAAGCACAGCTTTGAGTCACCTCATAACTGCTTCCCTTCTCATTGCACACTGAGAATTTGAGTGACGTCCTCAGGCCACACACACAACAATGGAACAGAAGATGAAGGTATAAGTCAAAGGAATTTTGTCTGAATTGCCTCTTCACCATTGGGAGCAATATTCAAAGATGGGCTGTTCAAGAAAACACTTTCCCTTAGTAACTCATCTCTTAAGGAATTGTCCCATATGTAAAACAAAGAGGGTGGACTAGAATCTCTCTAATGTAATCTCCTTCCAGCTCTGACATTCTTCAGATTAATTCCTTTTGATAATCTAATTTCACACTCACCATGTACTCTGCAGTGTCACCACCATGTCCAGTACCCTGGCTCCACATTTACATCTACACAAGGGTGCGTGTGTGTGTGTTTGCATGCTCATCTATACTGTATAACTGCTTAACTCTATCAAGTATGCTTTACCCATGCTACACTTCTAGAATTTTTGACTGTTAATTCAGTTTCTTAATAAGACAGGGATCTGCCTGCAGGAAGATGCAAGGCAAAGAAATCACTCATTGACCCAGGATCACCAGCAAGTACTATGACAGTCTGGCTATTTCCTATTGATAAGCCTCTGTCCAGAGTTAGTCACTCGCAGACAGAAAAATCTCTGCATTCGTGATTTTAAAACCCAGCTTCTCAATCTAATAGCATTGTGACTGTCCAAGTTTCATCCCCATTAAAATGGGGACCATAACATTAGCTTTCAAGACTGTAAAGAGGGTTGGATAAGCTAAGTCATGTAAGTTTGCAGCACAGTGGTAGGCATATGATAAGGGCTCAGTAAATATTGGTCGTTTTTGTAGTTGTCCTTCCATCTGGTTACCTGTCTGTAAAATAGGAAGAATGATTCCTGTGTCTCTGCATTTTTTTGAGAATTTAGTAACACGATGTAAGCACAGTGACTTGAGCAGTACCTGGCCCATCATAGACACTGGTGAAATTTTGCTTTCTGTTTCTTACCCAGATGCACTTTCCTCAATAGATGTTTCCACTGATAAAATATTTGGTCCTAGAGGCTGGCTATGGTGGCTCATGTCTGTAATCCCAGCACTTTAGGAAGCTAAGGTGGGCTGATCACTGAGGTCAGGGGTTCAAGACCAGCCTCGCCAATATAGTGAAACCCTGTCTCTACTAAAAATACAGAAATCAGCTGAGTGTGGTGGTGCATACCTGTAATCCCAGCTACTTGGGAGGCCGAGGCAGGAGAATCGCTTGAACCCAGGAGGCCAGAGGTTGCAGTGAGCTGAGATCGTGCCACTGCACTCCAGCCTGGGCGACAGAGCAAGACGCCAACTCAAAAAAAAAAAAAAAAAATTGTTTCTAGAATATCTTGTTCCATAAGAGAAGAGACTACTGTGCTTACTACTTTATCTCCAAAGTTTGGCACAATGTCTGATTACAGTAATAGGTACTTCATAAATATTTGTGGGAAAAAAATGAAAGAAATTTTTTTTCAAAAAGACAAAATATTGGCCATACCACAGAGATACAGCAACAATAAACACCAAAGAAAGTCATTTCCATCCTTATTTTCCTTTAATTTCAGAGAATATATAGCTATCCAGAAGAAAAAGTCCCCAAATACACTTTAAGTGCCCAAGTTAAGCCCATTTCTCTACTGGAAGGTAAGGACTTGGCAGCATTCACCTCAAGATTTCCCACTCATAGAATACCATCTTTGACACAGAATCCCAGCTAAGCTCTATGTTTCTCCACCTCTACTTTCTGTGCCTCCTCTCCTCCTATAACGTTAATCCACCTTCCCAGCACGTTTGGGACCCAAGTGCAAGGCTATTTTGGCACTTCTTTAAAAGACAGATTGCCCTTGACTTGGTAAATGTCAATAGTTCTGAAAACAGCCATTAAAACTGGGTAGGAAAACCTTCCCAGTGTGAAGATTCACAGGTGATAGCCTGTAATGGATGATCTGAAGCCAGGACTGGCTATCATTTCAGTGGAAATGCTTACCTGGGGCCTGTGCTGAGGCAATCCTGGAAGGGGAGTGTGTGTGCTTGTGTGATTGTGGGCAGGGAGAGTGGGCGGGGGCGGGGGGTTTCTGATGGGCAGGTTTTTCTAGTTAATCCTTGCGGACAATTTAGTGAGGTGCAAACTAAACCAGTAGTTGGTCATTTTCAAATTTTCCAACACACTGTTACAGATTAATGGGCTGAAAAATACCCATTTGAAATGTGTGACTTATATACAGAAAATGCTCGCTTAATATCTGACACTGGGATTTCTTCACATACTGACAGCTAGGAAAGTTCAACGAACCACATATTACATTTTTTAAAAAATCACCTTGGCATTTATCACTCTGTGATCCTTTACACTTAAGGGCTTACCAAAGCAGGATTTTTTTTTCCCATTCAAAAATCTAGTAAATAGGGATCTGTCTCCAAAACAGCAAAGCAATCTTAATAATAGCTATTCAAACAAGGCTGCTGTAATTCTCTATTGCACCAAGAAAAATGCTCTGAAGTCAATAAATCATGTTTTCCTTTTAGAAAATTCTAGATAACTCACTAACGTTTTTGAATACGCTATTTGGAAGGTGGCTTCTGATTCAGGCTAATTAGACTGTCTTCTAATGAAATTTCAGACAAGATTTAACTCCACATTCCATACTGAGCAAACATTCGGGGTCAGAGCATTTGAATGCTGGTATTATAGTACAAAAATAAGGCCTATGAGATAAAGCAGCTGGCTTTGCAACAATTCAACAAGCTACACAAAACTGAAATTAAACAATGTATGACTTGAATTACTTTTGCCTTTTATTCCCTGCCTTGTGTAAGAAGGACCAATAAGCTAATCTGTTATCATGAACACACATGTTCACAAACACGTAAATACAAACATGAGCCATTCTTTTCTAAAATATTAGTTGGTGCAGTTTTTTTTTTTTTAATCTCATATTATCTTGTATCCAAGAGCCATTTCCTTATTGAGCCAGATAAGTCTAGCTTCACCAATCCCGGCTTCAAGGATGTGGA
This sequence comes from Homo sapiens, assembly GCF_000001405.40. NCBI lineage: Eukaryota > Metazoa > Chordata > Mammalia > Primates > Hominidae > Homo > Homo sapiens. Next base: position 5,759,018 of record NC_000003.12, on the reverse strand, counting down.
GGACGAGCAGAGAAACAAAACAGCTCTTCCTGGCTTTGCCTTTCGAGAGTTTAGATCCTGCAGGGAAAATAAAATGTCCCAGCGGAGACAATGGTTTTGGGAACACATATGATGACTCAGAGCAAGACTTTGCACCTCCCACGATAAATGATGATTCTCTAGGTAATGGAGGATATGGAAGGGAGAAGAAAGAGCTGAAACCTAAAGCGGGCCTGAGCCATTCAGACTGAGCTTCAGGGACAAGGAGAAAATACTCCCACATGGATAAGGAAATATTTTCTTCATGTTGTAACAATACATGTTTCTGTGTTTATGAAATCCAAAACCTAGACATAAACAAACGATTTCGGAAGATATGTGATATCGGAGGCAATGTTTTCTAGTCCTCAAACTAGATGGGCTTGTCTTTGGAGTTGCAGGGCCAGAAAACAAAGAAAAGAGAAAGGCAATGTAAGCCAGGGTCCTTGGGTTTCCCAGCACACACTGTAACTGGGAAAAGTTACAGGTGAAAGTACCCACCTGTAACTGATACACCTTGAGTTCTTGTTTCAGAAAAGTTCCGGGAAGAAGCCCACCTCCAGCAAAACAAAAAAAACGGGTTGGATCCTCAGATACTTCAGCTGGAGATGAGGTTTGGCAAACTCCCCTCATTTCCATACTAAAAACCCCACCAGAGGAGGAGCTTATTCTCCATTGTCCATACATGCGCCCTGTCTAGAAGCATGATCAGCAACTGCGTCTGCACTGCCTTCTCCACCTTTACGTACTAACTAACTTAACTCAGCTAACTAACTAGCCCAATGAAAGCCCTGTTTTCACCTTTGCTCAGGGAGGCACCACTTTGGGAACTATTCCTGGTGTCCTCGCTTGTTGCAAGTAATAAAGTCCCCTTGTTAAATCTTCCTTGGTTGTGGTCATTGGACTGTCACCCGGCAGGCAATCGAACCCACCTGCCTTGTGGATAATGGTAACTTAGACGCTGAGGGGGTCCCTGAGAATGTTTCTGCACTTCATCTCCAATAATAAGTCTCATTTGTCTTGACTAACAAAGTCTAAAGACAATATAAACTCACTGAATTTGGATACTTCTTAGTTGGACAGTTGAACTGATAGGGGAATGAAATAATGAATTGGTTATTTTCAGTATTTCTTACTGTTTCTTATATTTGGGAGACATATAGTACAATAGTTAAAAGTCTAGAATTCTAGGTTAGTCCTGAGTTTAAATTATTGCCCTTCTGCTAATTATATGATCTTAGGTAAGTCATTTGATTATTTAGATTCGGTTTTCCCATCGGTAAAATGATGACACTAGCTTTGTTATGAGGATCACATGAGAGAATATATTAAGTGCACAATGCGAAGCACATATGTGCTGAATAAATGACAGCTACCCGCTGTGGCTGTGGCAGTCATGATTCTCATCAAAATACTTTAGAATCAATAAAATTGCAAATTGTCAGCTTAGTCAAGTCAGAGCAGAAAATGTGGCTGAAAAAGCAGAAGCTGAGAAGCACAGATCACCAGTCTTTCATCGCAAAGTTAAATTCAGCCCTAAGTTTAATTTCTTGCAGACTTTCTGGTTGTGGGCAATGTGGCAAGAACAGAAAATGAATAACTCATGGTATCTGTCCTCAGGAGTTCACACGGATGTGGGAAGGTGAGACACCCACATACAGCATTGAAATAACTTTGTGCGGGTCTGTGCCAAAGGGAGAGCTATTTAAAAATATTAATAAATAAATGAACAAGGAACTGAGAAGAAGAAAGAATCAGTATAAGCTGGAGTGCTGGGAGAAGACAAGTATAGGCATGAGTGTGTTATGGATATTCCCAGTGTGGAGGAGGGGGACAACACTGAGCAAGACAGATTTCTGGGAATCTGGGAAAACCGGCCCGGGTGGTAGACTTGAGCTGAGAAATGGAGTGAAGATGTGTGTCCCACCCATATCCTCATGGTGCCTACCATTGCCATGCAAGCAGGCTGACTTTCAACTGCCAGCCTCTGTGATTTGGTGCCAGAGACTTTCCTGCAGCCATAAAGGCAGGGCAAAAATGCTAGATTAATGTTCCTCCCCAAGAAGCTCTCAACCAATGGTAGTTGATGGATAAATATTCCAGTTCTCTCTCACTGCTGTATCTCCCAAGATGTCCCCAACAGGATTAGGTTCTAGTGTGCTATAGATAAAACATCCCTAAATGGCTCCTTTCCCTGTTCTCTCACACTCCTCCACACCCCGATGGCTGTTACTTGGGATCATTTCCTAAATAAACACTTGTTTTTAAACCCTTGTATCAAGTCAAACCAAGACTTGGAAGATGATGGCATTCTGTTCCACGTGAATTTCTTGAGTACTTTCCACAGGCCCACACTAGGCTACCCACTGCAGATTCAGAGATGAATCAGATGTGTTTCCTGACCACACAGGATTTACAGTCTCGTTAGGAACGTGAAGGTGTTGGAAATGAGTTGTATTGAGGTCACCTAGATCATAAATTTCTTAGGTACAGTATGATGCTTGATTTCTCATTATGGCTCCCTCAGGAATGAGTACAATTCCCAGCAGATTGTACTTGCTCAACTATTTACTGAATAAATAAAAAGCATGATAATGACAGTACAATGCACTTTAAATGTTCTACAGATTTTCACAGAGCTAAGTGCTTTATAAAAATAAACACATTTATTCCCCCACTAAAACGTTTTAGATAGAAATCACTATGCCCATTGTAAAATTAAAAAGCTGAGGTTCAGAGAAGTTGTGTCACTAGCTAGGAGGTCACCAAGCTGAGATCTGACACAATGCTCTTAGATTCTAAATTTAGCAACCCCAATAGCTTTATCATCCTGGCCTTCTCTGCCCTGTAGCCAGGTAAGCAGGTTGTAATTAGGGAGAAATTCAGGAAAAGAAGCTTCTAGAAGCTCAGGCTGTGGTGCAACAAAAATGTGACTATTAAGCTCTTTAAACATCTCCTGGATGCTAACAGTTGGGATATCTGCCTCCTTAGTTGTAAGCCTAACTTTCCTAAGAAAGTAGCAGCTGTATCCAGTAAAGGAGGCGCTCATTTCTTTTTTTTTATTATAATACTTTAAGTTCTAGGGTACATGTACACAACATGCAGGTTTGTTGCATAGGTATACATGTGCCATGTTGGTTTGCTGCACCCATCAGCTCGTCATTTCCATTAGGTATTTCTCCTAAAGCTATCCCTCCCTCAGACCACCCCACCGCCCTGCCACAGGCTCCAGTGTGTGATGTTCCCTACCCTGTGTCCAAGTGTTCTCATTGTTCAATTCCCACCTGTGAGTGAGAACAAGGAGGCGCTCATCTCTTTACTGCCATTTGTGGATGACCAAAGGGAGTCCCAGAGGGTTTATGTGTTATGCCCACTATCACGATTGTTCCTTTCATGCCAGTCCTCTAACAAGCTGAGGCAATTCCTTCAGATGAGAATGGCCCATTGCAGCTCCTGGGCCCTAGGACTGAAGCAAAGGTGGGAGAATTCAGCCTACGCATCATATGGAACAGTGCTTCAAAAACTATCTAGAGTTAAAGACCAGTTCACAATTTTATAGAAAAACAGTCTATGTTTTTTAAATAAATTTTATTGTGTATGTTTAAAGTATACAACATGATGTTATATATGTAGTAAAATGATTATAGTGGAACAAATTAACATATCCATTATTTCATACAGATACCCATTTTTACCCCGGGGCAATAGCCCCTTTAATCTTCTCATTTAGCAGAAATCGTGACTACAATACACCATTATCGACTATAGTCCTCATGTTTTACATTAGCTCTTTCTACTTCTTCATCCTATACATCTGCTACTTTGTATTCTTTGACTTACATCTTTCTGTTTCTTCCCCTCCCCCACATTCTGGTAACTATTGTTTTATTCTCTATGTGTGGTTTGACTTTTTTTTTTTTATTTATTTTTTACATTCCACTAAATGAGATCCTGCAATATTTTTCTGTGTCTGGCTTATTTCACAAATTTTTAAATGTCCAATTTATAGCAGACCAATACTTCTGCCAACACACAAAAATACTAATTACTAGATGTCACAGCAAGGGCAAATTGCTCTAAAAATGCCTAAACGCTCTCGATTTCTACACTTATCTTGACATGGGCCACTGGGACAACAGTTTGTGGTTTGGCCCTGGGCCTCTGACCACTGACACTTTGAGCAGCACAATACAGGGAACAGGAAAGAGAGAGAATATACATGAGACAGCATACAATTCTCAGTTCTGCAAGAAGCAGTCTGGTGGCCCTCCCCTGTCCTTCAGAAACAATGCACCTCTCAGAATTGCTTCCCTGTGCCACCTCTGACTCCCCCCACACACTAAGTTGGGTCTCAATGCCCTCAAACTGTCTCTTGCACACCCAGAATCCTTCCTTCAAGTTCCTCGCACCTAGATCTCCCCTTATCACCTTCAACAAGATTTATCCTGTAACCCATCTCAGCTAGTATTTATTCTCTGCTAGAATAGAACACGTCTATCTTAGAGGTAAACGTAATAATCTGCATCCTATAAAACATTAGTTTTCAAAGTAGAGTGCTTACAGCCTGTGGGGTATGCAGAATGACCCCCTGTGTAATATGGCAAGCAAATATAACTCTGTTTATATATATCCTTTCTCTACCCTTTTAAAATTTCCGTTTTTGAGGTATCATTTATAACACACTTACTATATCAGGATAGTACATAAACAAACAGATATATGACAGGGTGCCAGCTTTTTTTTTTTTTTTTTTTTCTGACAGTACTCAAGGAAAAATGTTGTGGTTTTTTTTTTTTTCAGCTTTAATGTATCTAAGACTAATTGGACTACCTTGTTTAAAATGCAAACTCCACTGGGCATGGTGGCTCACACTTGTAATCCCAGCAGTTTGGGAAGCCAAGGCCGGTGGATCACTTGAGGTCAGGAGTTCGAGACCAGCCTGGCAAATATGGTGAAAACCTGTCTCTGCTAAAAATACAAAAATTAGGCGGGCATGGTAGCGTACACCTGTAATCCCAGCTACTCGAGAGGGTGAGGCAGGAGAATCATTTGAGCCTAGGAGGCAGAGGTTGCAGTGAACCAAGATTGAGCCACTGCACTCCAGCCTGGGTGACAGAGTAAAACTGCCTCAAAAAAATAAAGCAGCAGCAGCAGCTCTAAGGATCCTATAGATTCCGGTTTGTTGGTCTGCAGTGGGGACCTGGATTATGTATTTGTAATAATCACCTCTCCCCACCCAAATGATTTTGTTGCAATTGTCCCAGGACCATCCTCTGCACATAAAAAGGCAAACCATTTTGTTGGAAGAGATTCATATAATCTTTGTGAGATTTTATGTGGTGATAATTCATGAGTGAGAACAGGGTGCTGATATTCCTTTAAACAGTGACATTTTTAAAGTAATTAATTCCTACACTTGAAAACAAGGTCACTGTCTCCAAAACTCAATGCTCATTAAGATTCTAAAAGTAGAAATTAAGGGAGAGAAAGTCATTTATTCTGGAAAATGCAGACATCAAAGGGAACATGCTGTTCTTTTTGGATGAGTCCAAATGAATGTCAGGTTGACCTGCAGAGAAACTGTTAAAATGTGATAGAAGAACTTGAGTCTGGGCGCCTGTAATCCCAGCACTTTGGGAGGCTGAGGCAGGCAGATCACAAGGTCAGGAGATCAAGACCATCCTGGCCAACATGGTGAAACCCCTTCTGTACTAAAAATATTTTTAAAAATTAGCTGGGTGTGGTGGTACGTGCCTGTAATTCCAGCTACTTGGGAGGTTGAGGCAGGAGAATCACTTGAACCTGGGAGGCAGAGATTGCAGTGAGCCGAGATCACACTACTGTACTCCAGCCTGGTGACAGAGTGAGACTCCGTCTCAAAAAAAAAAAAAAAAGAAAAACAATTTGAAGCATATTTTGAAACATTTCGAGTTTGTATTTTGAAACTAGGGCATCTTGGGCATTTCCAGGTTGGCAAAGGGATTTATTTCCCAGAAGAGACCATGTATTTGAAAACCCTGGTTTTGGTAATGGAAGCTAGAGGAAATTGAGCTAATAGGCTTGGTATGATTTTCTGAGAGTATGGCAGCAGGTAAGAGTTCAGGCTGTGGTTAGTGAAAGGGAGGTCTAACAAGAGGTGACAGATAGGGTGGTCAGGGAAAAATGTTCCTATAACAGACAGCAGGGATACAATCATTAAGCCAAGGTTTGGAGACATGAATGGACTCCATTGGATTGATGGGGACAAGGCAACTTCTCCATACTGAGTTCATGGGATGCACTGCAGACTATCAAGGCAGAGACCCTGGAACAGCAAAGAAATATTATAAATGGAAACCAGGTCACAAACATGGCAGAATCTAAGTAGCTTGATTTGGGAAATTCAATCAGACAAGACAAAAAGGAAGTTAACTTGGTGCAGTTGAACTAAGATCCCATGAAAAGTCCTTTAGGAAAAGGTGTATTCTATATCCCACAATGGCCTAGGTCTTACCTGTGGGAGGTAATGTCATTGTCTCATCATCAAATATGTGCCTGGTACAGTGCTATGTGCTACACTCTAGTAAAATCTCAGAAAAGTCCCTGTCTCTGCCCATTTGGGACAGTCACTGTAATGGAGAGAGAGACTTCATTAAATAATCACACAAATAGATGTAAAAGGTCAAATATGTATGTCCTACAAAGTACTTCTCTAGAAGAGTGGATAAAAGTGTGTGTATGTGAGAAGGTGGGTTGTATTAGTGAGGGTTCTCCAGAGATCTATTATAAGCAATTGGTTCATCCAACTAAGGAGGCTGAGAAGTTCTCAGTTCTGCCGTCCTCAAGCTGGAGATCCAGGAGAGTCAATACGTAGTAGCGCCCGTCTGAGTCCCAAAGTCTGAGAACAAGGAGAGCCAATGATATAAGTTCCCGTCTGAAAGCTGGCAGGCTCAAGACCCAAGAAAAGCCAGTGTTTTAGTCAAAGTCCTAAGACCAGATGAAACCAAACGTCCCAGCTCAAACAGGAGGAGTTCCTTCTCACTTGTCGTGTTCTATTCACATCTTCAGTTGACTGGATTAGACCCACCCATATTAGGGAATGCCAGATCTGCTTTACTCAGTTTATTGATTCAAATGTTAATCTCATCCGGAAACACCCTCACAGACACACCCAAAATAATGTTTGACCAAATGCCGGGGCACCCCAAGGCCCGTCAAGTTGACGCATAAAATTAACCAGGGTACTAAACAGGCAACTGATGGCTAAGTTACAATCTGAAGGGTGAATAGGAGTAAACTAGGTGAAGATGGGAGGGAGGGAGGAAAGGGCATTCTAGGCAGAAGGAACAGCATTTACAAAGCATCTGTGGTAGAAAGACAGTTTGTATGGGTAAACATGGAGGGCAACAAGATGCCCAGTGAACCATGTGGCTGGAGAGACTGGTCCGTTAAATGTATTCTAAGAAAAATGGAAAGCCTTGGAAATGTTTTAAACAAAGAAAATGACATGAGAGAATTTGAGATTTGAAAGTGTCCCTCCGGATCTAGTTGCCGAGAACAGCAGCTTAGAGAGAGGCACAGATGGATGAGAGTAATCAGATGGCTGTTAGAGTAGTCTTGATGAGGGATGATGGTGGCTTGCACTAAGGAGGTGGCAGCAAACAAAGCTGTAAGATGGAATTGAAGGATAAACAGACCTTGCCACAAGAAAGGAGGGTATCAGAGCAGAAAACCAAAAACATGATTCAGTGTTGTCTCTATAGCCATTATTTTATCTAAAACATATCCTTATCAATACAGTCTGGACACACATATGATACATTAATTAATGAATGGATATATAGACATTGCTATGGAGCAGATCCTATTCCTAGCAGAAGTGAAGTGCCACTGCCTGCATTATCCAAATATTTTAGGGTGATCTAAAAAATGCTTTGTCAGGAAAAAAAAAAAAACTTCTAACTTTTTGCTGAGTTAAAATTTTTAAGAAAAGTTTCTCAGATGCCTGAGGATTCTGGATTGCACTAAAGGAATTCTTTCAAGTAATTACTCTCAGTGTCCTATAGCAGACAAGGTAAAGAGCCAAGAAGTGGAAAGACAACAATTAACCATGGCTCTCACATTAAAAAGGGAAGAGATGGTATATAACAGAAGGTTGTCATGATAGAAATCTACACAGGCTCAGTGTGGGTCATTTCCATCTGACCTGAATTTCCCATAGAGATTGTCTCTTTCATTAAAGTCAATGGCAGCTCATCCTCACTCTGCCCTAGTGATTTCCCCCAGCCGATTGTCCTACTAGGCATCCTGGTTGCACTTGCATCTCTAAAGCACTGATGTCAGTCAGGTTGGACATCTCAGGCCCCTGAAGCATAAGCCCATGAAGCAAACTCCCTTCATGAACTCTTTGTCTCAGAAGACATCAAAGTAAATGAGTGATCCATTATTTGATCCAATCTAAAACTTGCAAATTTCCCAGAAGATAGCCCAGTCCATCAATGATATATACATTTGGAAAGGAACATTTCTGATTGCATTCTCTTCATTCATTCATTTATTCAACAAATAGTGTGTGATGAACATTTTGTGCCAGATAAGCATGGTACAGCAGTGCCCACATGGAGACAAAGTGAAACAAGATATTTGAACAATTACAAAATGAGGAATTCAGACGCTGATGTAAACAGCAAAGATAGATCTCAAGGAAAACCCTACGGGACTTTCCCTAATGAACAAATCCAGCACTTTATGATTTGGTATAATTGCTCAACCCTTAACCTTACAGGGGAGATACCATGTTTAAGTCAAAAGAAAAGTCATAATGACATAGAAACCACCAAGAAGGCAAATGGATCAGCATCTCGAGTCATACACTTACTCATTTATTCACCAAAAACATATTAAATACCTGCTATATGTTGACTGTTGTATCATAGGATGAATTTTGAACAGTCATGGTTGAGGTGAAAAAGCCAAACAATAAATAAATTAGCCCTTGAATAACTATAAAAACCACAATGGTATTTAAGCACAATGAGTAAAAAGTGAAGGGTGCTCCAGCAGATGACAGGGGTCAGCTGGGAAGGGCAGATAAATAGGAAGATAAGTAGCAAGGATGTGCGGGAGGTAACAGGAGAGGGCATTCCAATCAGAGGGCACAGCACACCCAGACCTTGAGGAGAGAAAGTGTTTGGGGTGATAGAGAAGAAGGGAAGGTCCAGGCAGCTGAAGTACAGTCAGAAAGACAAGGCAGTCATGTGGTGAAGCTAGAGACAGGTAGGAACTAGCCTGTAAACCCTGCAGAAAAGGCTATAGATTTTGAATTTGTATAGGGAGGGCAACCTCGTTATAATAGTTTACATAGTTTCAAAAACACTATGTAGATATTTCTAGCTGTTCTCCAGTAAAACCTCACTTAAAAAAAGGGAAACAGAACATTTCCAGACATTCTAATTTGAATGAATAGGTTATACTACTTGAGTAATTATGTTTTATAATTTGTTAATGGGAAAATAAATTAGAAATAGAATAAAATGCTATTGGTTATTTTCTTTCTATTGTCCTGCCCCATTGCCTCCCACAAATGCAGTGCTGGAGGTCAGCCAATTCAAAAGTTTGAATAGCCCTGTTTATAGCAGAGCTCAAGCTCATCTATATCATGTTTTTGCCTTTAGGAGATGAGGGCCAGAGTGTTCCTGAAAATGAATAAAATAAACTTTATAAAGGACAGCTATATATTTCTCTAAGGTAAAAAAAAAAAGTTGATACACACTTCCCTTCAAATTTCTCATAGACAAAGTGAAAACTGTTTTACTTATATACCATTTTTATCCTAATACTTGAGCATTTCTAATGGAGAATAGAATTGAAAGAATAAACATTGTAATCTATTGATCTATCGGATGACTTTTTTTCCCCTCCAGTTTGATATGCATTATAGTTCTTCTTAAAATACTTTAAAAGTTTGGTGTTGTCAATACTAGAAACAGACCGCCTTCATCTATATTAATGGGACAAAATTTGCACTTACTGCTTGTAGAGAACATTTACACATTTTAAGTTGGCCAAGAAGAGGAAATAATTGTGTTTTCCATTAAGCTTGTTTGTGGGAAAATAGCAAACTCTTGGCCTCAAAACTGCTTTTCATCTCTACCAACAAACCTTACCCTTGCCAAATTGTTTCACAATAATTACAGCTTTTCAAATGGTTTTTCAACAACACTCAAAGATCCATTTTCTTACGAGTACACATTCATATTACAATACTTGAAAAACAATGTTAGTTGGGATGGGTCTATATGCAAACAAGCCTGTGGTATAAATTTAGAATTTTCTTTTATCCACAGAAAGCAGACTGCCATCTTCATTAAATTCTTATATGCACAGTTTTCTGCGTCTACTGGATTGGGACCATTATCTTATAATAAACACATCTGTCCTGTTTACTGCTACAAAACTAAAGAGTGACTTCTAGCCACAGCACTCCATGCGACACTTAGCTTAAGTTGTTGGTATCCTGCCTACACTCCCTTAACACTCACCCTCTCCAAACCTATGGACTGCCTCTGATTGCATGTGGCCACATCTCAAGCTTGAGTGCTTTCCTTGGCTGGTAGAAGGGACCCCTCAGCCCTCACCCCAGGAAGATAGAAGATCTGGGAAATTTCTGACCCAGAAATGGCCTCCAACCCATGACACATAAGAGTTGATGGCTTCCTCGCCCTTCACATGGGACAACTCTGAGACATGATCTATGTAGTCTCCCAAAGAACCAACAGCAATAACCTGCTCATTAATCTACCTTGAACTTGCTTTCCTTTTGTCCTTGCCTTACTTCTCCACTTCCCTACGGGTGCTTCCTGGGTTGCCTTGCAATTAAACTACTTGCTTTCATATCATTGTTTCAAATCCTTAGATTTGAGAGAATCCACCTATGCAAATACATTTTCCAAATGAGTTCCAAGTTGTCATTTTTTCTCCAAAAATATGTTTAGTATCTATGCAGAAAATAATGACCTATAAATTTTCATAGGTGATGATCTCAAAGACATTAAATGACAAAATTTTTGGAGGATGCCAACACTGCATGTCAGATGCTGGGAATAAGATGGTGAATAAGGTACCCAACCACTGCCTTTACCTAGATATAGTTTCAACCCTGTGATAATGAATCCTAGATTTCTTCTCCGAGGATTTCAGAAGTGAGGAAAGGTCTTGCATTTTACCTTCTAAAATTCCACTTTAAGGTCTCATACCCTTCTATGAAAGACTCTAGACCAATGGTGACTACCCTTGTTCTGTATCACAAATTCTGATCAAAAGTTACTGATACTCTTTCAGAAAAATTCACATATGTAGATGCATATAACATGGGGCATATAATTTCAGAGATTTCCCAGTCTTCTAAAACTCTATACATGGATACTTTTACAGGTATTGGAACCGAAGCAAAAACCCATGCCCTAGATCAGAGCTATCCAATGAAAACACAAGGAAAGACATGTGTAATTTTAATTTTCTAGTAGTCACATTTTTTAAAAGCAAAGAGAAACGGGTGAAATTAAGCTTAATACTATATTTTACTTATCCCAATATAACCAAACTCGTGATTTCAATATGTAATTAATACAAAAAATACTAATAAACCACTTTACCTTATTTTTTCTGTCTTCAAAATCCAGTGTTATATGTGACACCTATAGCACTTCTCAACTGAGGCTATCTACATTTCAAATTCTCAGTAGCCACCTATGCCTGGTGCTACCATATTGGACAGTGCAGCTCTAAAGAAAGAAGTAATGGAAGGTTGTTTTCCTGAACTTCCTCTTTTCCCTTTACAATCCCATTTGCCCTTTGAGCATCGTCTCATTATACAATAATTCACAACTTTTCACCCCATCTCAAGGCAACAGTTATCTCATTGCCTGTCTTCACCTTGCTGTGAAATACTCTTAGCTAGCTGTCATGTGAGCAAGAACTCAAAAACATACTCGTTGGGTTGATTAGTGCAGCAAACCACCAACACACACATTTACCTAGGAAACAAACCTGTACATCCTGTACACATACCCCAGAACTTCAAAGTTGAAAGAAAGAAAAAAAGAGTTGACATACCTGGTTGTCTAGTGGCTAGAAAAAATAATTAAAAGAAGGAAAAATAAGAGTTGACAGATTTTAGAGGAGAAATTGCAAACAGGCTCTGCTCACACACCAACTCTGATCATTTTCTTGTGATGTCCAGCGTTGAGGATTCTGTGTCTACATTTAGACACAGTGAGAAAGAATGCCATGATTAGTTAGCCGTGTTCTTTACTGGCGTACAGATGGGGATAATATATGAGCTACATGTTCTCTGATAAGAGGTGTTCACAGTGTATCAAACGTTTCTCACATAACCCAAAGATGTTAGTCTTCAATAAATTTCAGTCATGTGCACTTAGTAATTATTAATCTATGCTTAGATTTCTGTGGTCTGTTTTTTAAGAAATTTGTAGACTATGCAACAATTAAAATATATTACTATGAACACAGATATAGATATTCCTTCAGAAGGAGAGTAAGCTAATTTATGACACAGACAAGAACAGAATTTGGGGAGGGAAAAAAAATAGAGCTAAAGAAAGGTCTATAGCCAAGCTTTTGGACTAGTAAGGATCAGCAATACCATTGGAAACTGTCCTCTGACCCCCACTTTGGGCAACTATAATGTAGGGTTCATCTACCCACTCATTCTTTAATTTAATTCTCATAAAAACCATATAAGGTAGGTTGGAGAAGAGAAACTGTCCAATGGTCAAATGAAGATTCTGGAATGAGAAAATGAACAGTGTTCCCAATTTTAGGAGTATTCATGGACCCTGGGGACATTCTTTCCGATAGACTCCGACACCTCTCTCTCAGTATCTTTTCCAAAATGGTGGATATTCATTGTCTAGGGGAGGTTATCCTTTCTACCCTGGTTTATAAGTGTTTCAAGTTAGCAATCCCTCAAATGGCCTTTAGCTCTCAGGAGCAGAATTAGGTACTTAATTGGTTCTAATCATGGTAATTAAATCCATTCTTTTTTTCTCCTGCATGTGAAAGGAGATATTTTCAGGCACCCTCCTCTTCTGCCCCCCATAGGCTGTCAATAAATGAATTTTCTGTTCTGCCCTGTTTTTAGCCCTTTTTCTCAGGTTATGCCAATGAAAAACATAAATGGAAAGAAACACTTTGGAGTTAAAGAACTAGAAATATTTGCTTCCTGCAAAGCTAACTATAGACCATTCAATGTAATAGAGAAGCAAGCAGAGCCAGATGTCAGCTGGGTTCACTCAGTCCTTCCCAATTGAAATAAAATCGCTCAGGGTTCTATCTATCTATTAAATAATGGGACATCCATCTACTCCCTAAAATGCTTTGGAAATTTGGGAGATGGTACATATATTTCTCATAATCATCACTGGCTGCAAATTCCTGATTCTAATGAATTATTCCAGTTTACAGATTTCTTAAATGCAGCATTTTTGCTCCAGGACTCTTTACAATTAGACTCTACCTCCCAGTTTTACTTCCCCCAATTCTCCCAGCACGGGGCTATGTGTGTAGCAGACAAAGGTTCACAGCATCAAGCTAAAGAAGAAGTGGTTGACATTGCAGCAAATAACTTAGAATGGAATGAAAGACATACCTGCTAGGGGGAATATAGGATAAAATTCCATGGGAAATTTTGTTTGACCATCCGTGTTTCTTGGTCTCATCTCTTCTGTCCTCCTTATCCCTTGCTATATGTTCTATCGTGCAAGCACCCATAAATTTGTTATGTAGGACAGGTGAACCACTGTTTTTTTCAAGATCTCCTTTAATGATGAGTTAGTCCTTCAAAGTCTCCACCAAAACAACTGGTCTATTTTCTCTCTCTCTCTCTAAATATATTTTGCCAGCTCTGTTTAAGTAACAGAAAACTGTATTTACTTTCATCCTGCCTCTGGTCAGTTTCCTCAGAAGCAGACCCTGAGACAAGGATTTGTGTACAAGTGATTTATTGAGGAAGGGCTCTCCCAGGAGAGACAGACTTTTTCCTTTTCACCCAGGGAAGAGGAAAAAGTTAAGCAAAAATGAGATCTCATGCAAAATTGTTCAGAGGCTATGTTTCGCCTGATTTCACAGGGAAACTCTGGAATATAAGCTATGGCTCAGAGCTGTCCCAAGTAGGCAGCAAGTGTGAGTCTTTGGCTAAGGATCATTGTATTAGTCTGGGTTCTCCAGAGAAACAGAATAGATAGATAGATAGATAGATAGATAGATAGATAGATAGATAGATTGATAGACAAATACAGATATGAAGATAGGTAATAGATTAAATTATCATATTATATATTATATACAGAAATAATATTTATTATAAGGAATTGGCTCATGTGGTTATAAAGATCAAAAAGTCCCAAAATCTGCAGTCAGTGAGCTGGAGACCCAGTAGAGCCAACGGTGAAGTTTCAGTATGAGTCCAAGTTGAAACAGGAAAAACCAAGTATCCTATCTGAATTAGAGAGAGAGAATTCTCCCTTGCCCAGCCTTCTTGCTCTATTGAAGCCTCAAAGGATAGGATGACGTCCACCCATCCTAGGCAGGGCAATCTGCTTTACTCCGTCCACCAATTCAAATATTAATCTCATCCAGAAACAGCCTCACAGACACTCCCAGAATAATGTTTAGCCAAATATCTGAGAACACTGTGGCCTAATCAGGTTGACACATAAACTTAACCATCTCAAGCCCACCCCTTCTCAACTTGGCACCTATAGGCATATCCCTAAACCATACATAATCTCCAAATAAAGACAATAACAAGATCCTAATTATGCCAATTATGCCTACCGTGATACAACTATCCTGTGTACAACTGAAAATACATTGAACTCTTCTCCAAAGTCATTAAGATGATTACTCTTCTCTTTATATCCCCAAACTTTAATATTATGATGTAAAATTAATAATACCTAAATATTATGATATAAATACAATACAGCTTATGTTATATAAGAGGAGAATAGAGGGGTAAGAAAAGTTTTCTCATATATGCATAGATACACACATGTATATCATATATATATACACCAACATTAATGACAAAATAAGGAGGAAATACTGATGATAATTACAGTCATTTCTTAACTGGTCACATGGTTGTAGCTGGTATTTATACTTACTTTCTTCCACTACAAAATCTGTATTCCCTTTGCCTTCGGCACACAGAAAATTAACCATCACAGTCATCCAGGCACTTCTTGGGCATTTGTGAGTACAAGTTGGCTCAAGTACCCTGATGGAAGTTCTCCAAGAATAGGCCATGAGGGTTGGTTGTTAGAACCAAAATCATCTAGGAAAGGGGTACACAAACGTGTTAAACAGGAGCTAGGTGAAACACTATTTTTGACGACACCCTGCTTCACAAGACATTTGTAAACTGTTGAAATTTTCTTGGTATCTCTTTCCTCCAAGTTTTCAATACTCTATCATACAGGTACACAGGTGCCACAATATCCAGGCTTGTCCTTTCTGCTTTGTACTCCTCTCTCCATCTCCTGCCCTGGAAAAATTCATCCCATTCAGGGTCACACAATTCTGATAATTTGATGTGCCCCATACAACAGTTAGTGAATCTGATCTTCAAATCCATGGATCTGAATTTTAACATGTGACATTTCCCAGGTAACATTCATACTTTGATTAATGTTTATCCCAGAAAGTGTGTTTTAAGGAATTGACACTAAAATGGTGTCAAAATGTAGACAATGTAACACAAAATAGGAGAAACATTTTTGAACAGTTCTCCCATACGTGAACATCTCCAGTGGTTTCTTTGAAACAGTAAACACTTTCTACCCATATAGCTAAGCCCTTGGTAGAGACAGCAAATGTAGTAATAAGAACTATGTGAACTATTAATATTTATCATGGCTTGCTATATGCCAAGCACAGGCATCATGCAAAATAATTGTATCTCATCTAATCCACACAATGACCACCCTATGAGGTAAGCATTACTATCTCCATTTAACAGAAATTGAGGGTTTATAAAAACTGTGGTTTAGAAAATTTAAGTAACTCACCAAAAGGTAGGAGCTAAAAAATAGCAGAGCTAAGATTCAAAGTTTGTGATACATGAAACCAAAGCTCTTGCTCTTCTCCACAATGCTACCTTGCCCCCAGGAGTTAATTGATATTACCCTAAAAGTCAAATCAATAACCCAACATCGGGGTAAAGAAAGAAGCAGGAGAATATTGGCACTGCAAGGTCTTCATGAAAACCCTAATGGACAACTCACATGTAAGCTTCTTAGTTACATATAAATGTATGTGTGTGTTGTATGTTGCTTTCTTAATTTCTCTTTCTCTCTCACACACATCCCTACTCTTCACTTTCATCTCATGGGAATAAAAGATAAACTTAGATAGGAAAGGCAGGTTCAACAGAAGCTACCTAAGAACACTTCTTAACTCCCCAGTCCTCTATGCTGAGAGAAACTGAAGAAAATAAGAAAACTGCATCCAACTTCTCCATATTTTGTTAAAAGTGTAATCAAAGAAAAACTCCCTCTCCAACTTACAGAAAACTGTGTGAACAATTGCATGCTATAAATGCCTATCCACTATGTAATTTCTCAGAACCCAGAAGTTCAGAAAAATAAGTCCATAAATACTATACTGTGAAGAAGAATTGAGGTGTAATGTTTGTTGCTGCTGGGCAGTTGACAACTGCAAAATGATATGTAGACAATGAAAAATGATTTCCAGAGCCCTCTGAAGTGACACCCAAATGATAAATGTTTAATAAGAATCATATCAATGTTAAAGAAATTGATTATCACTGACTGACCTTTCATCTTAAACTGCCCTTTTTTTAATAAATGCCTTAAATATTTCAAAGGGAGCATTACAATATATTTTATTTGTGGCCTTTAATCCTCTTCATGAAAACGTTTCATTTTGATGAACGGCAAACGGAGAAAATACAGAACCTGATTCCGGGTATTTTACTGATGTCTCCATCTGCATGAACTCTGAGCCACAATTACCAGTGCTGTGAGATTGGAGGTTGTTGCTTATCCATTTGAGATCCTCGCAGTGATTAAGAAAAAAAAAAAAAGACTATCTTTTTTTTCATTTTTAATGAGACTTCATGGTTTGAGAGATCTGGAAACAATAGTTGAAACTATAGTTCTCCTATATAGACAAAATATTCTTATTTCTTAAGGTTAATCAGGACACTTATAACTAATATTTTCCCTCTAGAAGGAAAATGTAACTTAATACTGCAAACAATAAAGTGGAGATAGGTAGTCATGTTCCTTAGTCTTAGCTGGAATTTGAAGACTACAAAAAGTCTGAATAGGGGTGTGTGTTGGGGGATGGAGGAACAGGTAAAGAAGAAAGGAGGTTTAGATCTTCTGGTATTTTAACAAACATAAGTTTGAGTTTTCCCAAGCTCTGTATTCAACTGTGTTCCAGGTACTCTGATTGCATAACAAACTATTGTCAAATGTCATGTTATAGGGTAACTACTTATTATGTTCATGATTTCTGCAAATCAGGAACTCAAGACACAGCAGGCATGGTTGTCTCTGCTCCAGATTACCACACCTTAATGGAAGACGTGAAGGCTGAGAGACAGGAGGCAAGACATTTTTCTGTAAAGAGCCAGAGAGTAAGTATTCTTGGCTTTGCAGGGCATAGTCTCTGCCATGACTACCCATTTCTGCTATTGCAGGGTAGTAGAAGCCATTGATCATATGTAAATGAATGAACATAATATGTGCCAATAAAACTTTATTTATGAAAACAAGCCGCTGGCTGGATGTCGCTCCCTGGAGCCCTGAATGCTCATTTGCCTGCATGTCAGGAGGTTAATGAGAGCTGTCACTAGTGACAGGGGCTGGGGGGTCTCAGTTCTTCTGTGTATGGACAACTCCGTGTAGGCTCACTGTAAGTTCTTCATGAAAACCCTAATGGACAACTCACATGTAAGCTTCTTAGTTACATATAAGTGTGTGTGTGTGTGTGTGTGTGTGTGTGTGTGTGTTTGTGTGGTACACTGCTTTCTTTATTGCTCTTTCTCTCACACATACATCCCTACTCTTCACTTTCATCTCATGGGAATAAAAGATAAACTTAGATAGGAAAGGCAGTTTCAACAGAAGCTTTCTAAGAACCCTTCTTAACTCCCCAGTCCTCTATGCTAAGAGAAACTGAAGAAAATTAGTAAACTACTTCATATTTTACATTTGAGATAGTTTGGCCTTCCTGTCATCAAAGAGTCTGGGATCCAAGGATGTGAGTCCTAAAAGAGAGAGAAAGAAAGAGAGCATCAAATGGAAGTTATATGACCTAGTCTCCAATATCATGCAGCATGACTTCTATCACATTGTATTCATTGAAGCAGTCACTAAGTCCAACCTGGGTTCGAAGAGACACGGAAGAGACTGTCTCTCACTGGGGAGCATCAGGGTTCCAGAAGTGCTTGTAGATTGGAAATATTGATCTGGCTATTTTTGGAAAGTACAGCTTTACACTGTCTCACTCAAAACACCAACACATTTTAATGAGATACTTGCCAAGTCCCATAGTAAACAACAGGTAAATAAAAGTTAGTATTTGCCTCAGAAAAGATCACAACAGAGTGAAAAGACACCTTTGCAAAAAGATTTTCAAAGATAATATATTACAGAGATTTGAGCCAAAAAAAAAAAACATGGAGGAACGACAAATAAATGCTACCAACATAGATTTAAGATGTAACATTTATGTTTGGTCTAGAAGAAATGTCAGCAAACTATAGCCCATAGTCCCATCTGACCTGCTGCTTATTCTTGTTAAATAAAGTTTTATTGGAACACAGCACATTCATTTGTTTATGTACTGTCTATGGCTGCTTTTGCATTACAACAGTAGAGGTGAGTAGTTGCAACAGAGACTGTCCCACGAAGATGAAAATGTTTCCTTTCTGGCACATTACTCAAAAAGTTTGCCAACCCTAGGTGGTCTAAAGAAGAAGTTTGCCAGGAAACTGAGGGGAAGGGAAAGAGGGAAAAGCTTGTACAAATGTGGAAAGTCACCAACAGGCCTGGGTCCTACTCAGAGTCTATGGACTCTATTAACCAAGAACTGTGCAAGCTTTTCCTTCTTCAGGACAATGTTCGTATATTTTATTTATGCAGGAGCAATGAACACTTATCGGCTTGTGGGCTAGCCTTCATCTGTGTACAGAAAAGGATTCAGAGACTCATAGGAACAAGGAAGAGGGGAAAGGAGGGGAAGGGAGAGAGGGGAGGGGAGGGGAAGGGAGACAGGGGAGGGGAGGGGAAGGGAGACAGGGAAGGGGAGGGGAAGGGAAGGGAGAGAGGGGAGGGGAGGAGGAGGGAAAGGAGAGAGGGGAGGGGAGGGGAAGGGAAGGGAGAGAGGAGAGGGGAGGGGAGGGGAGGGAAGGGGAGGGGAGGGGAAAACATATCTGTTAGATACTTGCATCTTGGATTTTGTCTTCCTTCCAAAAAGCGAAAAGGTTTTTGTTGATTTTGGCAAGAACCAAATCACATTTTCCCCTATCTTTTCATTCCCCTTGTTTCTTGTTTTTTTTTTTTTCCTTTCCCCAACCCCCACCCCCCACAAAAAAATAGAAAGATATTTGTAAAGATAGCATGAGTTCTGGAATCAGAATGGACAGGTATAAACCCCATCTCTACTACAAACTATGGTATAATCTCAGGCGGGAAATTCACTAAATTTTTCTATGCCTCAATTTCTTCCTCTCTGAAGGAATAATATTAGTATATTATTTAGATATTAAACATTTAAGGCATAGTGCCTGGCTTTAAACAAGCATGAAATAAATGTAGCTTTTACCTCACTGCATTCTACCCCTTTCACCCTGTGGACCACACAAAGTCTAGTAGAACAGAGATTTTTCCTTCTGTCAGGAAGTTAACCAGGCCATCAGGTTATTAACTCAATATATTTTCCCCTTATCCCTTTACTAAAAAATCATGAGTTATCTCTTTAGTGAGCCTTCCCACTTTACAACCTGTGCTGCCCCCTCAGGTTCTCAATGGTGGCAACATCTCTTCTCTGAAAAGATGGAAAGTGCTTTAACATGAACTAGAGGCTCTGCCTCCTCTCCAAGCCCACCTTGGTCATCCTCATGGCTTCCCTTTAGTTTTACCATCCTCACCTCTTGGTTCTTCTCTTTCACGTACTCTGCTCCTTCCACCCCTCAGTATTCAACTCCTTGACTCCAAAACTCTCTTGAAGACTCAATGCAAATGACCCTTTCTCAAAGCAACTGTGACCTCATATGCTAAACTAGATAACAGCCCCTCTTGCCCTCTCTCACAGAACCAATTTCCAATTTAAAAAAATTTATTTATGGCCGGGCTCGGTGGCTTACGCCAGCACTTTGGGAGGCTGAGGCGGGCAGATCACCTGAGGTCAGGAGTTCGAGACTAGCCTGGCCAACATGGTGGAACCCCTGTCTCTACCAAAAATACAAAAATTAGCTGGGCGTGGTGGCGTGTATGTAATCCCAGCTACTCAGGAGGCTGAGGCAGGAGAATCGCTTGAAACCTGGAGGTGGAGGTTGCAGAGCCAAGATCATGCCACTGCACTCCAGCCTGGGTGACAGAGTGAGACTCTATCTCAAAAAAAAAAAAAAATTGGCCGGGCGCAGTGGCTCACACCTATAATCTCAGCACTTTGGGAAGCCAAGGCAGGTGGATCATGAGATCAGAAGATTGAGACCATCCTGGCCAACATGGTGAAACCCTATCTCTATTAAAAATACAAAAATTAGCTGGGCATGGTGGTGCGTACCTGTAGTCCCAGCTACTCAGGAGGCTGAGGCAGGAGAATCACCTGAACCCAGGAGACAGAGGTTGCAGTGAGCCAAGATCGCACCACTGCACTCCAGCCTGGCCACAGAACAAGACTCCATCTCAAAAAAAAAAAAAAAGAATTATTTATTGCACTTAACAAAATGAACAGTCATATATCTATATGTGTGTTAATTAATGTTGGTGTTTCTCACTAGAGCAGGGATTGATAAACATCAGCCTGTGGTGGCCCAATGCCTGCTTTTGTACAGCCTGCAAGCTAAGAATGGTAACATTTTAAGTGTTATCTATGTACGTACATAATTCATTTTCCTCTTGGCCCAGAAGTCTAACATATTTACTATGTGGTCCTTTGCAGAAAAGGCTTGTTGATCCCTTCACTAAGTTAAGTGCTTTTTCTTCTTTTTTTTTTTTTTTTGAGATGGAGTTTCACTCTTGTTGCCCAGGCTGGAGTGCAATGGTGCAATCTCAGCTTACTGCAACATCTGCCTCCTGGGTTCAAGCAATGCTCCTGCCTCAGCCTCCTGAGTAGCCGGGATTACAAGTATGTGCCAACACACGTCCGGTTAATTTTTCTATTATTAGTACAGGCGGGGTTTCACCATGTTGGTCAGGCTGGTCTTAAACTTTTGACCTCAGGTAATCTACCTACCTCAGCCACCCAAAGTGTTGGGATTACAGGCATGAGCCACCAGACCCGGCCTTGATTTTTTTTTTTTTTTTTCAATTCCAACATGTCCAGCACTTAAAAGTGTCTGTTCCAGAGTAAAAATACATAATACAGAGAGATGAGAAAATAATAATTTTGACATGTTAAAGCTCTCATTTTGAGCACACTGTGTGTACAGGGCATCACGTGTTGAAGGAATACTGATTGTATAAACAGAGAACAAAGAGTTTTAAGCCAAAGCATAGCTGACTGGTGTCATCTCTGAAGGAACACATCTTGAAGTCTAAGTATGAAACATAAACCTGTGATCTGGGGGGACGTTCGCTCTATGCCTCTGCTCTTCTGCTCTGAAAATCTTTGCTTCCTGCTAAGATGCCATGTCCCTTTCTTGCCTCCAGTTCTACTCATTCTTTCTCCTGCATCCTTCTCCATTTGCTCTGTCTCTCTTTGATCCTTGATCTGTCTGTCTGAATACCACCCCTTATTCCAAAGTCTTTCTCTCAAGCTTTGGAGGGCACCTTCTAGTTAAGTGCTGGGTAATAAAGTCATACTCAGTCTGTTCAAATCCTTTAAGACCATGGTTCTCTAGTACAGTCCCAGGGCCAGAATTATCACCGCCTGGGACATCGTCAGAAATGCAAAATCTCCGGCCCCAACCCCAGCCTGGCTGAATTAGAAACTCAGCAAGCCATGGGGGCAGCAGGGAACAGCAATCTGTGATGTAACACAGATTTTTGCTTGCTTGCTTTAATGAATGAACGAATCCATTCATCTATCCATGCATCCATTCCCCAGGCCACTCCCTTGAGCAGCCAGAAATGATAATTATTCTTGTATCTTCACAGTCCAGGTCACTGACCAGGCCTATGCTGGAATAGCCAACAGTTCAATAGCTTTCTAGTAGAACAATACTTTGTTATAGGTATAATATTGAATGAAATAATTAAAGAAATAAAAATACTAACTAGGACATCACATCATAAAGGAAAGAAGAGAAAAGAAAAATTGTTTAAGATATCAACAAAAGCAAAATCAAAAGAAACCAATTAAAATAAGCCCTCAATTTTCACCATCATCTGTACTTTGCAAACTAATCCCCCTGATTCATATTTGTCTAAAACCTTATGTATTCACAATTCACCAGGAAACAGAAAAGGAATTCCATTCAGCTTAGGAATATGGTCACTTCAATAACTTAAAGAAAAACAGTATCAGGTTAAAAAATATATACCTGCCATTTGCATGAATATATTAGTCCCACTTGGTCTCCCAGTTGCTTTTTCCAAGTTTCTAAAATATTAATTTTATAAATATCCTCTTCATCGGGATGGAATTTTTGTTTTTGAGCATATAACATCACCACTAAAATCTCCTGGGGAACTAAGCAATGTATTTGCCAGGAAAACCATCATTTTAATAACCCAACATGAGGGACGTTCTGCAAAAAATACACACCCGGCAGGCGTAGGAACTTGACAAGTGTCTTCTATTTCCTAGATGGAATCGAATCAAATAATATTCTTAAATTCACCCATGATTGGAGGGGAGGGGTACAGAGGCAGGGCAACGGAAGTATTATCTTGTAAACAAGTGATAACTAGTAACATTGAATTGGCCTTGGTTTACTGTAAACACTTTAATTCGAGTTGTCTCTGCCAAGTAACCACACTCTCATAACCACTGGAGGAATAATCAACCTTCAGATTAACACTCCTGTTTAGAAATGAACGAGTAAAACTCATACAGAAATGGGAACACAACTGGAATGACCTCCCAAAGGGTAGCAGAGTTTAGCCAAGCCTCCTAATGTTGCTTGTCTATAGCACCATGCTGTCTGACAAAAACACAGGGACGGGGTCGGTCTCCGTGAAAGTTGTGCAAATGGATTCCTGGGCCCTCCTTCCCCTGCCTTGCCCACCCACCCAGGCTGACCTCATATTGTCCTCTACAAACCCGTTCAGTGCAGTCTCTGGGCCTTTGTTCATAGTGGTCCCTCCTCAAAAATGTCATTCATTGCTCCTAGGCTTATCCCTGAGCAGTTTCCCTTCCCCAGGAAACTTTTCTCAGTGAGACTAGGCCAGTGCTTCTTAGTCTATGGTGATTAACCAGTTATTTGTTTCTTTATTATTTTAATCTTCAATTCATCACAGATCAATAATTTTGTGAAACTCAATTAAGATTAACTACTAGAAAAATTATATTTAAGAAGGCACATAAATACGTGTCCAATTTTTTAAATTGTATCAACAGACATAAATTACTCTGTTCAATGGTTATAAATGTTTCTCCATGCTTCCTATCCACTTTTGTGCAGATTAGCATGACACAGTTTATAGACCAATACAAGCTCATCAACCACATTTTGAGTGGCTCTGTTCTAGGTAATGCTGATATTGTCTTCCTCTCTCCTCTATTAACTATAAACATTTTGGCAACTTCTCACTCAGTTATTAGATCTCCTGAATATGTCATATAATACTAGGTAGGGTGAAACTCTTAAACAAAGACTGTCTCACTAAAGTTTTAGTCAAAGGATTTGTTATCTGGCCTAACTTCAGTAATCCAAAACAAAATAAAACAAAACATTTTCTTCCCCCAGTGTATTAACCAGACACAGAAATATATAATTCCAGTCCAGATAAAGGGTAATTATTTACCCTCTGATTCAGTGAATGTTCTCTCTACTACTACCCAAGGCAAGTTCTGAAAACACAAGTTCCACAAGAGGCTGAACTAAAAGAAGGCTTATGAATATTTGATGATATCTTTGTCACACCAGATATCAGTATATTAAGTATCCTGAGAATGCATACAATAAGACAGTTTAACTTATATAGGTCTGGGGATTTTTACACATTTTTTGAAAACAGCTTTTTAGCATTGATAAGTTATATTTTAAGCATAGTACAAATAGCATCCTTTGGGATGTGACAGTCTCATGAAATGCCAGTTTTCTGAGCAGTCACTGTTTGCAGAGTACTAGGTACTAGGAACATGCAAAGATGAGTGAAACATATTCTCTGTGTTCAAGGAGATAATGATATCTATCTTAGGGTTCTCCATAGAAACAGAACCAACAGGTTGTGTAGATAAACAGACAGATTTGTTTTAAGAACCTGGCTCACGTGATCATGCAGCCTTGCACGTTTCAGTCTGCAGGAACGGCTAGCAGGCTGGAGAGCTGAGAAAAGCCAACGTTGCAGCTCAAGTCTGAGTATCATCTGCTGCAACATTCCATCCTACTTAGGGAATTTCAGTCTTCTGTTCTATTCAGGCCTTCAACTGATTAGATGAGGCCCACCCACATTACAGAAGGCAATCTGCTTTACTCCATCAATTTAAATGTTAGTCTCATCTAAAAACAGCCTCATAGAAACATTCAGAATAATGTTTGGTCAAATATCTGGGCACTATATCTTAGCCAAGCTGACAAATAAAACTAGTCATCATAATATCCTAATTAGAGCCACAAACCATGTATACAAAAGACAATAATGCAAAGGAGAAAGGATTAAGAGCCAAAGAATGGAATGAAGTTCCTCACAGCTTCCTCCCATTGCTTTTAGGGTATAGACCAAATTCTTGACATGACCTTCAAGGCTTTGCATAATTTTGGGCCCAGTTCCCTGTCTAGCCATGTCTAGCTTCACTCTATCTCTGGCTTTCTGAATTACAGCCACCTGTCTTTCTTCCAATGCCTCAATCATTCCATATCCTCTCCAGTCACTAAGCTTAAATCGGGCCCCCTCTATCTGGAACACTTCCTCATGCCCCACCACCTCTCTATAGCCTTTTAACTTTGACCTGCTACTTATCCTATGCTCTCAGCTGAAACTTTACCTCCTCAGGGAATCCTCTCTGACCTTGAGCCCAAGACCCTAGTCAGTCCCAGGGTCCTTTACTTTCTCATTAAACTGTGATCCTTTTCTTCATTGCACTAATACCGCTGTATAATGATAGACTCCTGACTGTGATTAGTTGATAATCGCCCGTCTCCCTCCACTAGATTGCAAGTCCCGGAAGAACTAAGACTCTCAGGTTTTGCCCACCATGGCAACCTCTGTGCCTCACTCACCGTTTTGTTCCCAGAACAGCAGGCACCTAATAAATACGTGTTGATTGACTGACTGACTGAATGAATGAATGAACTTCAGAAACAAAACATAAAACGTCCCATAGATTTGCACAGTTGTTCAGGATGAAAGAAAGGGAAGAGAGAAAGCTAGAATAAAATGGGATTTATATATTAAAATTATAAGTGGCAGTTCTTTCTCATTTATCAGTAACCATTTACCACTAAAGGAAGACACAGAAGAGTTCTAAAGGTAAATTAGCTGTGTGCCTATACAGTCGTAGAATAAATCTCCTAGAACAACTTCCTTCCCAGCCCTCTCCCCTTTCCCAAACCAGTATTAGGTCATAAAGTCCTTCAAAATCCTTTGGCTTGGGTTTACTTATATTTTTAATTACTTCTTTGGCATTTTGCTAGCACTTTAAAAAATACGAATGCTAGTTAATTTTTGAGATTAAATATATAAATCTGAGAGGTAACTGTGTAATAACACATCAACCAAATAAAATACATAATACGATTTAATAATATTAATAGCACACTAAAAATATCAGCTATTGCGCATGTATGTCAAAAGAAGACAAGGATAATAACACTCAGAAGTACTGTACAATAATAACATACCCAGAGGAACAGCAAATGAGGCATCTTTAAATAAACTACTTTGAGAACAAGGGCCTGTTGTTGCAAATTACAGTATCAAGAATGCAGTGAAAGGAACTGAATGCTCTAAAGGTTTGTAAATTGAAGCAAAAATGAGAACTTTAAGTATCGCTCATTATCCTGGTTTAACAGAGATTTGGAAAGTCAGTCACAATTACCAAGCTAAGTTGCAAAAAAAATTCAGTAGAATAAGCTTCCAAAAGAAAGGTATTGCTGATGGGGAAAAAAATTCATCAAAGGCATCCAGAAATTTTTTTAAGCCTAGATGATGGCAGGATTACAGAAAATTTTATCTTCCCTTCCGGGTCTTTCTACATTATAATTTTTCTAAATTTAAAAAAATGTGGAAAAGCAATAAAGAAGCAATTTAAGTAAAGAGAAAATACAACATATCTTTAAAGTTGTGGGGTTTCTAAGTAAATAGACAGAAAACATTTTTCTATTCACTTTCATTTCTTGATTTGCTTACTTGACACTTTTTGAGGGTCTACCACTCTCTGGACATTGTCCTAGGTCTTATAAATACAAAGATGCCAGAGTTTCCGCCTGTTATCTTTCCTCCCAGGCAGATTATAGATACTGACAATAAATAAGGGAATAAGCCCTGTGATTTTATCCTCATGTCATTGCCCAGAAATTTAACCAGTCACAACCTTTACTAAACAAACACTGTACATATTTAGTAAGTATTTATTTGCTGAGTATTAACTCTGTGTCAAGCATTGTACTAGACATCTGGAATACAGCAATGACCAAGATAGGGACAGTCCTTTTTTAGGAAATCATTTGACATGAGCTACAGATTAAATATAGAAACCAATCACATTTTTTAAAGTTGCATTCATTTCTCAAAGCAATACTTTTATGACTCTGTTGAATGTTTCTTGATGACCCTGACTAGACCTAGTTCAATCTCCGAACGAGAGTATCAGTGAGGATTCCATTTGCCTGGATGCAACAAAAAGCCTAATGACTGTGGCTTATCCATTTGCAGCTTATTTTTCTCACAGAAAAAGGAATCAAGAAGCAGTGCATTCAGAACTGGTAAAATAGCTCCTTGGTGACACCAGAGACTCAGGCTCCTTCTTCCCCATTTTGCCATGCACTTGGTATCTTCCATAATGGTACTTCTGTAAGAGGAGATGGTGTCCAACAATATATTTTATTAACAAAGTTAGAAATAGGAGTCACATACTAGTTAATGTTAACCTATAAGAAACAAAAAAAATCTGAAGGCTTAAATAATACAGATGCCAAAAAATGAAAACATGACTTTAGCCAAGGTTTGAGGAAAATTAGCAAGATAGTCCACATGATTTAAGTGGTGTCTAAAGAAACCAAAATGGATGAATGAGCTGTTCATGTGTCAGTAGGTGCCACAGGCACAAATAACCAATAAGGACAATTTAGACCAAATATTACAAAGCAGTAATAATGATGAACATGACTGGGTACACCCACTAGATGACAGCACTGAGCCAAGTACATTATCTGCATTCTCTCCATGTATTCTCACCACAGTTTTAGCCGTGAGGGCCCCAGCATCAATTGAGGGTACTGTCAAATGGGCCTTCACAAAGCACTATTTACAAAAGTGGCAGCGAGGTTAAAGGGAATGAACAAGGAATAGTGTGTTTCAGTAAATTAACCACAGACAACCATCACTATCCCTAAGCAGAAGGCACCAAGGGCTGAGTAGAATTTCAAGAAGACAGAGACAGGAGGTCTGGCTGTAAGACAGCACTAACCAGCAGTAGGCTTTCTGAGAGGGACACAGCCAACTGTAGTGACCCCACAGAGGATGAGCAGGAAACACCTAACTCCTTATTTCATTCTCCTTTCACACTTTGAGCTCCTGCTGGGATTCCTTCTGGGGTGAACCCCACCGGAAAGCAAAGGACAAAAGGCATTGCAAAATGGCCAAGGGAAGAAAATGCTACTGGAGACAAACCAAAGATCTCCCACACAAACCCTAAGAGGGAGGCATTTTTGTTGTTCTTGGTTTATAGATGTAGAAAATCAAAGAAACTCAAAGAAGCTCAAAGATGTTAGCTAACTCACCAAAAGACCACATTTGAAACCAGTTCTGACTCCCAAGGCCCATCACTCAACTATCAAACCATACCATTTCTCAAGATAGACTTTAATCTCCAAACTGGGTAATATGACTATATTTCTATCCCTATTCTCTGATGTTTAAGAGGAAAGATAGATGGATGGTCTACTTTTATATTCTTAATCACAGGATTATAGTCTGCATTGGAAAACTGCCCCTAAAATCATCCTATCCCTTAAACTATAGACCAGTGATCCTGAAGTCTGGTACCCAGACCAGTAGCATCAGCTGCACTATGCACAGACTCATCCTCACTCCCAAACCTACTGAATCAGAAACTCTAGGCCAAGGGCCCAGCCTACTTATATTAACAAGCCCCAAGCCAAGGGCTTGTTTCTACTGATTCACAAACTCTGGGTCTGAGGCCGAGGATCCTCCACGTGATTCTGATGCATGCACCAGTTTAAGAACCACTGCAATATATATTTTCTGTATAAAAGAAAAAGTCGTAAACACCTTGAGAATCACTTCTCTCAACCTTTACAGCATTAGCAGCTGCTTCCAGTAGGGCTGCTCATCTTAACACATCCCAGTGTGGTGCATTCACTGGCAGATGGAGAGGACGTTGTGATAGGCATCCAAGCCAGTGGAGGGCGCATGCTCCTGAAGGCTTGCTACTGTCCTGTTTCTCAGTTAACCTGAAGCAGCCCGAGTCATGAGAGAATCAGTTGATGAAGAGAGAAAAAGTAGGGAGTGTGTCCTAAGCAGCAGTAATCTCCCTCCCATTGAGTTTTGTGTTTTGTCATAGTCTGTAGCAATTGCCCCCTACTCCTCTAAGGATGGACTGGACTATACCACTTCGCACGCATATCGTCCAGAGTGGAGTCATCATTTTTAGGTTCCATCTGCCGTGTAGCTGTAATCTCACTGATGGACTTCTGTGGGTTGAATAATCACTTCAGCACTATGCTGCTTCTGCTGTTCTCCATGAACGGTGAAGGTGGTTAAAATGCAAGTCCCCAAACCTCACCTTCAAAACTAATTTTGTATGCCACTAGTAGAGCTCAGTGATCTGTATATTTAACAAGCTCCCTAATTGATTCTAGTGCCTCTGTTCTAAAGACCATACTGGATAATACTGAGTGGTTACAGATACACGTTCTGGCCAAGTACAGTGGCATGTGCCTGTAACCCCAACTACTCAGAAGGCTGAGGTGGGAAGATCACTTGAGCACAGTTCAGGACCAGCACAGGTAACATAGTGAGAACCTGTCTTAAAAAAAAAAAAAATGTAGGCTCTGGGGTTGAACAAAGCTATTCCAACCTCACCTCTTACAACATCTGTCCCTTGAGTAAGTTACTCACCTCTATGCACTTCTGACTCTTTCTTTGTAAACTAAGGATAATTTAAAGTACCTAGATCATAGATTTGTTGATAAAATTTAAAGACAATAATCCATGCAAAGCACTTACGAGTGCCAAGCACATAGTAATCACTCATGAAGTGCCAAGTCTTAGCCACTCTTACTTCTGTGATGAGAATGACAACCATCATTGTCATCTAAATCAACTACATTTATTGAAAAAGAAGAAAGAAGACAAGTCTGGCTTCTTTCTTCTGATCATATCCTTCTGATGTGTCTGAATTTTCACTTAGGCTGGCTCTTTGTAATATGTTTCTTAGAAAATGAAAATTGAATTTAAACAGGTAGCTGCCCCCCCCCCCCCATTACAAAGGCGGGGGAGATAATGAAATGGCTTACTAGGGGACTTCAGGGGAAATTAGACAATCAGCCTAAGTTTCAGTTCACTGCCAAATCGAGGTGCGGGTAGCAACGATGGAGGTGGAAAGAGAATAGGCACAGCCAATCCTCCAGGGTGTCTGTGGAGCTGTGGAGAGTGATAATGGCAGCGAACAAGCTTTATCAAAGTGTGAAGGACAAAGTAAATGTAAGAGATTACTCTCAAACTCCTTACATTTGAAAGAAACTCTTCAGAAAATAAAAGGTTTCAACATTTTGAATGACACACCACATCCCTCAATTATCTACCCCTTCCCAAAAACTAAAGTGAAGAATATAGAAGGAATTTTATTTCAAAAGGGATGGTGTTGAGAAGAGATGTATGGATGTATGGGATAATTTTTTGAGATCTTTAAGTATTTTAACTCATTTCTTTATATGCTATTAAACCAAAAGACCATTCTTCTTTCTTCCAGCAGACCAAAGTGTACATCTACCACCTCCTCCTCACCAAAAGCTCAAGTAATATTTTCTAAAATATAGTTAATAGCACAAGAGGACAATCACAGTGTAAATCTCGCACCTCGGAGAGAAAGCAGTGCCATATACATCTGCTGCTAGCACACATGTGACTCCCTTCTGAAACTGCCTTTGCGAAATTATAACTGAGGAAATCATGACAGAGAAAAAAATCAGACCTAACCGACTCCATCTTGCTTCTAACCTTTAAGCCGTCCTTGTCCATTCCTGGGCATAGGCCGAACTAACTTTGGGAAGGAATTCAGTTCATGTTTTGACTCTGAAACAAATTTGATAACAGCCCTTTCCCGAACAGACCCCCTTCTTGCATGGGGACCAGTCTGCCTTTGCAGGACTAACAAATCAGCTACAAGATTAGAAATTACAGTTGAGGGGTATGCAGCCTCAGGCTCCAAGAGTCTGAACCTCCCCAGATTGCTTCTGGGGATAACATCACTACCGTAAAACCTAAGATCAGGGCTTAAGATATTTTCCAGACCCTGCACTGGATGGATCAGCTGGCCCCACCCAGAAATGGCGCAACCAGTTCTGCCATCCCATCCAGGAACAGAAGACAGCAAAACAACCTCACTTCAACCCCTATGATTCCATCTCCAACCTGACTAATCAGCACTCCCCACTTCCCAAGCCCCTACCCGCCAAATTATCTTTAAAAACTCTCATCTCCAAATGCTCGGGGAGACTGATTTGAGTAGTAATAAAACTCCAGTCTCCCACACAGCCAGCTCTGCTCTCTGCTTAAATTATTCTTTCTCCATTGCACTTCCCCTGTCTTGATAAATCAGTTCTGTCTGGGCAACAGGTAAGGTGAACCCACTGGGTGGTTACACTTTGACTTTATTTCCTTGTTTGTGAGGAAGAGAAAATTTCTCTTCCTGTGTCAGCTGATTACTGGAGTTCCCTTTGTCTCTGATTCCACATAAATATCTGAGACTATTTCCCAAAAAATCGGTCCCGATAAATTCAAACCCTTGTGCTGCAAAGTCATTTGGTGGTCACCACTGATCTCACCGTTAATGAGACACTCTATGCACAGAGCCAAAGAGGCAAGTTTTTAACGTTTATTTCAGCACTGTGGCTTCCTTTAACAGGGAAGAACGGAGGGATAAAAACTGGATATTACAGACTCAGCTCAAGCATCTGCCCGACCTCCCTGATGGAAAGCCATCAGCAGCTTTAGGTATCAATAATCCCATCTGCATGGAACATCTCTGAAATAGGAGGACTTGGTTTCTCTAGAACTCCTCCTCTCTGAAGAATCCTTCACGCCCTTATAATCTCTCTTATTCTATTGTCATTTTTTCTTTTTGTTTATCCTTTCATGGCCCTCCCATCTGAACTGTGAGAAGCATGAGTGCAGGAAGCATATAAAACACCTTATCATTAGCCATAGTGCTTTGGACCTTGCTATGTGTATAACAGACCCGTAAATAAGTTGAACTGTGTGAAACAGTTGACGCTCAATGATTTTTGACCTTTAAAAGTAGCAATTACGTATGGTTCAACCTAACACACGCTGTTTCCTCTGCCTGGAAGGCTCTAATCCATGATTCTTTGCCAATTAACTCCCACTCTTGCTTCAGAAGTCAGTTTAATTCACCATTTCCGAGACCAGCTTTCCCTGATGAGGTCAACTCCCTCTATGACAGGCTCATATGGTACCAACCACTGCTCCTTCACAGCTGTGATCATAGTTGTAATTTCCTCTTTTTATGTATACTTATTTTAATATTTCTTCTTCTCACAAGATGAGAAACTCCCTGTAATCAGAGACTGTGCTTTTTGCACTGCTCATCTAGCACAATGTCTGGCACTTAGTAGGTATCAGTAAATACATCTGGAATAATAAAATGGGTTTCACTAACTCACACGCACCTGGTATAACCAGAGTATTTTCTTGCTATGGTAGAGAAAAAGCTATTCAATATTCCACCTTTTCTCCGTATTTAGGCAGCTTACTGGAAGTGAGAATCCCATAAAAGTTTAAACAGACCCATTGACTCACTTAATGATCTATGTGATATTTTGATCTCATATTTGCAATTATTTAGCTTCCATTAATAAGTTCTGTTTCTATTTTCAGCACTGGGATTCACTTCCTTCTGAGCTTGGGCAGATTTAAGAAGTTTTTAACTTCAAATGGCTTTGAACATTCATGAATAAGATATAGTGTATAAGATTTTCCCCTTTGAATTTTTTTTTTTTTTTTTTTTTTTTTTTTTTTTTTTTTTTTGCTGAACTTCTGATTCACCCATAGGTCTGGTAAGTTGCCATGATTCTTTTAGCTAAATCTTGCCAGATGTTTTGGTCCTAACGTCTAGATCCCTGTGTTATAGCCCTGTATCCCTCATCTTTTTTTCTTCTTATCTATAGCAAGATAAGAAGTGGGTGCCTGTTTTTCAACTGAACCCCGGTTTGCATACCAGCACATCCTACCAGAACCCTCTGTCCAAAGTTAAAGATAAGATGCCACATGGAGTCATTCAATATATTTAGTAACATTTAAAAGAAATGAAAGATGGAAACTCACAAATATTGAATTGTAGATCTTAGCACAGTTAGCTGGATTCAGAGAGAATGAACTTAAAGGCTAACATGTACCTTTTTAAACCTTTGGTAGTTCTTCAGGCTTTCAGATAATAATATACTTATGTCATTAAGCAGTTGGGAAGACTACATAAGAAACTGTGTGTGTAGCACAATACTTGGAAATATAATAAACACAGACTAGATAGTAACTATTGTTACTCCTATTAATAAAAAGAGACTGTGACTATATAAATTATGCTTTCTTCTCAAATAGCAGAACAAAAAGTAGACTGTTTTCTCTCCAAAGCTTTTACTTTATTGTCTCTTTCATGGCATACAGTTTAATGCACGTGACTAGACTTGGTCAATTACAAAGCAAGTGGTCATTAAAAACACTGGTAGCTAAAATTTTTACTGTTCACCAAAATCAAATAACTATTTTGTTTCTAATTGCCTTCCTGTATTTTTCCTTTTAATCGCATCCTAATTCTCAGCTGTGAGTAACCTGTAGACTGAGGCTTTTGGCAAGCATCATCACCATTAGCAAGCACACCCCTAAGCTCTGGGATCTCCAACTTACCTTTACATCTACTGCTTGGCGCCCATTTGTGTACGGGCTGATGCTTCTTTCCAAGCAGTCACCAAAACTACTCCTTGATATAAAAACTGGTCCACTGCATATGAGAATCACTGACCAATATATTAGCTTTGGCACCATTAATTCTTAAACCATGCAGCAGTTGCTCCCTAAGTATTTGTCCAGGCAGTAATCCTCCTGATCATATACCCCTTCTGCAAAGGGCTCATACCATCTTTATTTGTTATGAGTTTAATTTATTGGTTTTTTTCTGTATCATATGCACATTACTGCACTTTGTATCATATAAAACTTCTTTTTGAGAGAGTTACTAAGTTTAAAGTGACTTAATTTCCTTTTCATTTCTCTGCAGTATTTTTTATGCCTTTTCTTTTTCTATGTGTATAGGTTTCTCCCCTTTGATTTTTTTTTTAAAGAGGCCATCCATTCAACAAGGCTTAAACATCAAAGTGTACAAAAGGTATGCAATGAAGAATCTCCCTCTCAATCCAGGTAATCACTGTTGTTTATGTCTTGTCATTCCAGAGATTTTTATTCATAAACTGACCAGCACAAATATGCATTCTTTCCATTTTTACACAAATAGTAGCAACTATACCTGCTGTCCTGCACGTTGCTTTTTTTTCCACTTAAATAAATTTTAATATCTTTTCACATCAACGTATACTGAGCTTGCTTCTATGTGTGTGTGGGTGTGTGGATTTTTGCTTTTTAACAATTGGATATTCTTTTATGGTAGAAATATACCATAATTCATTTAGTCAATGCCCTGTGATAGATATCCAGGCTAAACCTAATCCTTTACTATTACAATGATGCAATTATTTTACATAGGCCATATCATGTGTATTCGAGTGTAATCATAGGATAAATTTTTAGAGGTAGACTTGCTGGGTCAAAGGGTACACATACACATTTCAAATTTTGACATATACTACAAGCCCTTCACAGGGTTGTACAAGTGAGTGCTTCTTTCTCAGTAACTCACAACAAAATATATGTACCTTTTGGATTTCGTCAATATGATAGGTGAAGAATTAGATCTCAGCATGGTTTTATTCACACTGTTCTTATTGCAAGCGAGGTTTAACATCTTTTCAAAGGTTTAAGAGCAATTTTTATTTCCTTTTCTGTCATTTGTATATTTATACATTTTGGCCATTTAAAAAAATTGATATGTAACTCTTTCCATTATTAATTTCTAAGCCCTCTTTATATATTGGTAACATTGGCTCTGTGTCTATGATATGTGTTGAAAATATTCTAAATATGTTTTTCATTATTTTGCTTATTTTCTTCTGGGAATAGTGGGGCAAACAGAAGTTTATTTTTATCTCTTTATTTTTCATTTCACTTATTTTGTCGCTTTTTTATGACTTCTGAATTTTGAGTTCACATTAGGAAGGCCATCCTCATCCTGAGGTTTAAACACATTCTCCCACGTTTTTTATAGAAATTTGACAGTTTCCATTTTCATTCGTTTTACCACTTAAAACTTTTATCCATTGGAATTTTTCATAGTGTATGAAGTATGGACCCACATTTATTTTTTTTCTAGATGTCAACTCAGTTGTCCTAAGATCACTTATTAAATGGTCAGACTGGGCCGTGTATGGTGGCTTATGCCTGTAATCCCAGCACTTTGGGAGGCCCAGGCGGGCAGATCACCTGAGGTCAGGAGTTCAAGATCAGCCTGACCAACATGGTGAAACCTCGTCTCTACTAAAAATACAAAATTAGCCAGACGTGGTGGCACGTGCCTGTAATCCCAGCTACTAGGGAGGCTGAGGCAGGAGAATCGCTTGAACCCGGGAGGCAGAGGTTGCGGTGAGCCAAGATCATGCCATTGCACTCCAGCCTGGGCAAGAAGAGTAAAACTCCATCTCTAAATAAATAAATAGTCAGGCTTCCCCCCGTGGTTTGAAAAGCCACTTTTCTCAAACACTAATTTTGTGTTTAAATGCTTCTGTTCTTCGACTTTAAACTCTAGTCCATTGATATGTCAGCTCATGTGCCAGTATCACACTCTTAACGAAACTTTGTTGTACACTCTGATGTATAATAACACTTTTTATTTTGTAATATAAACTTTACAATACCTTGTCCAATTCAGAAAGAGAGAAACTCACCTATTGGTATTTTAACTGAAATCATGCCTAATTTAGTAGTCACTGAGAGAAGTTTGAGATCATTACCACATTCTTTCTACTCAAGGGTATAGTATGTATTCAATTTGTTCATGCTTTCTTCGAAAAGATCTTGTGTATTTCTTGTTAATTCCTTTGTATTTTATCTTCTGTGTTGCAATTAAGGAGAGTCTTCTTTGCAATATATTTTCTAACTGGCTTGTGTGAATATATGACAATTATTGATTTATATATACACTTTTTAATCCCAACAACTTGTTGAATTATTCTTAGAGTTGACTCTCTTGTATTTTCCAGGGATACAATTATTTCATCTGAAAATAAAGATATTTTATATGCTCCTAACACATTTTTTATATCTCTAACCTTGTTCTTGACCGGATTACATTAGCTAGCACTTCTAATGCAACATGAAGTACAGCACTGCAGTGATGGTACCTAATGCTGCCTGTTCCTGACTTCATGTGGGAAACCTTTCAGTGTTTCTCCAGTAGGGACCATGCTGGTTTATAATGTTTTATCAACTTAAAGAAGAATTCATATATGTTTATTGATTGTATTTATTCTGAATGAAAGTTGGATTTTATCAAATGCCTTTTCAGCATGCATGAAGAAAGTAATGATTTTTCTCTTTAGGTCATGACCAATGTGGTTAATATTAGGAAATCTTTTAATAGTGACTATTTATAAATATTGATTATTTACAAGGAGGTATTATTGCATTTGGTGAGCTATGGTATCATTTTTCTCTCTCTTCAACAATCTATGTCAGATTTCAGGAATAGTTTTGTATTCTGTCTTTTAAAACAAGTAAAATTTTCTGTTAATCTTTTCCTTGTGTTCTGAACCATATTCAACAGCATTGTAATTTTTCTTTCTTTTTTTTTTTTTTTTTTTTGAGACAGTCTTGCTCTGTCACTGAAGTGCAGTGACATGATCTTGGCTCAATGCAACCTCCGCCTCCCCAGTTCAAGTCATTCTCCTCCCTCAGCCTCCTGAGTAGCTGGGCTTACAGGCACATGCCACCACGCTGGCTAATTTTTGTATTTTTAGTAGAGATTGGGTTTTGCCATGTTGCCCAGGCTGATCTCTAACTCCTGGCCTCAAGTGATCCACCCACCTCAGCCTCCCAAAGTGCTGGGATTACAGGCATGAGCCACTGCGCCTGGCCAATTTTTCTATTCTTTAATAGTTTGGTAGCACTACTCTGTGAAACTATCCTGCTGCTTTTTTGTGAACATTTCCATCACATTTTTTACTACTTTTTATATGGAAATCACTCTGCCCTTATTACATATTTTTCCTGTGGACACTTTTAGCAAATATTTTTTTCTATCAAAAAGCCCATTTTAATTGTGTTCAGTTGTTACAAAAAAAAAAAAAAACTTTAAAAAATCCAGAAATATAGATGTTTCGTATGATTCTTCATGGAGACCCACTCTCATTGTTTCCTGAACCATCCTGGATCCAGATAGTTCTGCTGTCACCTAGTTCATCTATTTCCACAGTGAGTATTGAAAAAATGAGTATTAGTTTTTGCCTTTCACCATCAAGAAATATATCTTTTGATAGTTTCTGAGCTCTGTCAAAACGGAGCTCTTTCTCTTCTGCTTTTCTCTAGTTCTTTCCAGATGGTCTCTGCAGGAATGCAGTTGTTCTTGAAAGTCTTATCAATATTTTGGAGCTCTTTCCAGATCTGACCAAACAATGGAGTTTGTATCTTTGTTTCATATTTTTTCCTGAAGTTTTTGGATGATTTGGGGGATTGATTTTTTTCATTCTGTCTATGCATTTTTGTAGTGTTGAAATCATTGTGGGTTCTTTTTAAACTTGAAATAATTAGAATTTGTTTTAGAAAAATTTAAAGTATCTAGGAAAGAGTCTAAGACCATAAGACACAAACTCCATTTTAAAACAGAACAAGTCTAATAAAATGCCTCCTACCTACCTCCTCAAGTCCAGTATTTCTAGATTTACAGTGAATGGGTGGCAGGGCTTTAAACTGGACATTAAGAGAATAAGGAAAGGGAGTGGGACAGTTCCCACTATGTAATTATAAAGAAATTATAGGCTGTTTGAACACAATCTTCAGGTCTTAATAAAAATAACCTTTTTGGTACTCTGCTCGTACCCGCTCCCAGTCCCCAAGAGAAGAAAATC
Organism: Homo sapiens; assembly: GCF_000001405.40. Taxonomy (NCBI): domain Eukaryota; kingdom Metazoa; phylum Chordata; class Mammalia; order Primates; family Hominidae; genus Homo; species Homo sapiens. The sequence goes on along the minus strand of NC_000003.12, from coordinate 5,720,983 downwards.
GTTGCCTCCCTGACGCTAATCAGTCTCCCAGCAGAGTAAGGCAATTACCCGCTTCTGCTATTCCCTAGGTACAGCTCCCAAGTAGCAGAAAATCTGCGATTCAATCTCTGGTCATGGAATGTGGGCTGTGCTTGCAGAGGTAAAATGGAATCACTCAGAAGTCAGGAAATGGGGAAGTATTAGTACATTTTATAAGGTGCCAGCAAGACATAAAAATTTCTTCACCCATAAAAGAGATTAGAAGCCACTTGGTGGGAACAAATGCATTAATCAGGTTTTCACAAAGGCCTATCAATCTCTGTGCACCCTATGCATTTCCTGCATAGCATGAACTAGCTGATTAATGGACCAGACTTTCATGGTTCCTCCCATCTCTTCTGCAGACAAAGGGAGGCCCAATACTTTCCAACAAATCAATAGATTCAGAATGTCCTGAGCTTTGACAGTTAGTCTTAAAAATTATAAACATGGGTTGCTAGATCTTCCAGAGATCACTAGGTTATCTTTTTGAAAAGGACACTCAACCCATTACTCAATATTTGTTGCATCGACTGGGGTAAGGACCCGGCAGGCAAAAGCAGATGTAAAGGTTGATATTTGTTGCTGCTAATGCTGCTGTTATCTTAACCTAACAAAGTAAAACTGCCAAGTTATGAATGAGGGAAGTTGGAGGTAATAAGCATACACTAAATCAGGAAAAGATTTTTTTCTTTTATGATTCACAGCAGGAATTCTTCTAAAGATCCTGCTTTTCTAATGCACTGAATTTTTATTTCAAAAAATCAAATATTTTTCAGAACCTCTCTATTTTTTATTATACTTTAAGTTCTGGGGTACATGTACAGAACATGCAAGTTTGTTACATAGGTATACACATGCCATGGTGGTTTGCTGCACCCATCAACTCATCATCTACATTAGGTATTTCTTCTAATGCTATCCCTCCACTAGCCCCCCATCTCCCAACAGGCCCTGGTGTGTGATGTTCCCCTCCCTATGTCCATGTGTTCTCATTGTTCAACTCCCACTTATGAGTAAGAGCATGAGGTGTTTGGTTTTCTGTTCCTGTGTTAGTTTGCTGAGAATGATGGTTTTCAGCTTCATCCATGTCCCTGCAAAGGACATGAACTCATCCTTTTTTATGGCTGCATAGTATTCCATGGTGTATATGTGCCACATTTTCTTTATCCAGTCTATCTTTGATGGGCATTTGGGTTGGTTCAGAACCTCTCTCTAACATGCATGTGAAATTCTAATTGTAGTATAAATTACCACTGGTTGGAAAAAACTATTTCTTTAAGTGTTGGAATCCAATCTGATTTTGGAACCATTAAAATCAATTCTGAATTCTGTACATGTTTCATCTTTACCAAAAACTTTTTTCTCTACTGTTTCTGTCTTTCTTAATGACAATGACATATTCCCAATTTTTCACACAGAAAACTACAGTCATCTTCTATGTGCCCATGTTTCCCAATTTGTTGTCAATTCCTAATGATTTTTTCCTCATATCACCAGTTTATTGCTGTTGCCATAAACCACATAATGTTTTGGGGTTTTTTTTTTGAGACAGAGTCTTGCTCTGTCATGGAGGCTGGAGTGCAGTGGCACAATCTCAGCTCACTACAATCTCCACCTCCCTGGTTCAGGCTATTCTTCTGACCCAGCCTCCCGAGTAGCTGCAGCTACAGGTGTGTGCCACCACACCTGGCTAATTTTTGTATTTTTATTAGAGATGGGGTTTCACCATGTTGGCCCAGCTGGTCTCAAACTCCTGACCTCAGGTGATCCACCTGCCTTGGCTTCCCAAACTGCTAGAATTACAGGCATGAGCCACACTGCCCAACCCATAAACCATGTAATGTTCCATTAGCATTCACTTTCATAGACCCTTTCTCACTGGCTTTTAGGCTTTCAGCATGGTCTAAATGTTGCCTATTTCAATTCCCCATCCAGGCTTCTGCGGCAGTTCCTATTTTCTGTTGTCCAAAGCCTCGGTGCCTAGACTTGACCTTCAAGTTCTCTAGGACTCATCCCCACTTCTTTCCAGCATCCTTCACTACTTTGTCTTACCTCTGCCATGCTATGCACTTACAGGCAGTATATGGTTTTCACTAAGGCTTCCCCATTAGAGGAAATTTTATAAAAGTTACGGTAATACTTGTTTTGCCATGAACCATGCAAATGCTTCTTACATACTTACCTGCGCCTAGGATGATTACAAGAAAGTGGGAAAGGAAAGGCAACACAATTTGCATTTAAATATTTCCTATGTTGCAGGTACTGAGACAGGATTAATATGTTTAATAAGTATATTCGGATTTCTGCACATATGTATAAAAATGGATACAATTTTAAAGTAAATAAGGCATCAGTATTTCCATTTATAGATAAGAAAACAAAGGCCCAAGGAGGTTGATTAATCCATGGTCGCACAACAAGATAGATTTGAGTGTATAGGTGCCTGTCTTATGCTAAATTTTGTCTCATTTTTATATCACCACACAGTCAGCCTATAGATGCGAGTTTCCCTTCCTTCTGCTCACTGGAAGTGACTTGTTCACGTTATCTACCTAACAATAAAATAATCATAACAGATCTTAAACTAATAGAAAGGGTTAAATGGCTTGCCAAGTAGTAGCCAATGAGAATCAAGTGCCCGACTTTCAGCTGAGGCCTCTCTTTCCCCAGTTGGATGCTACCTTGAAGTTTTGTGAATCCAGTGAAAATCAATCACAACATCTGTAATGTTTTGTCAAGTTAGGGAGGAATAAAAGATGTCAATCTGAAATCTATGAGCACCCTGACTCTGTTACAACCTTGGGCTGCATTTCGGAGAAAAATATACTACAGACCAGAGACTCCATCAAAAGATACATTCATCAATTGGGTATAACACTACTTACTGTCATCACACAATTTTGTTATTTGTTTTGGCTTACATTATTAAGGCAATTCTACTTACCTCCCTCCTCCCTTTGCCTGTGTAGACACCCAAGGAAAGAGTTAGGAAGAGTGTTCAGTAAATGGATTGCCACGGATAATTTAAATGATGCAACAAAAATTGACACTTACAAGTGTGAGCCCTTAACTTCATTAAATGTAGCTTTTCAATTGTCCAGGGAAAAGTGTGGTTTCAAAAAGTAAAAAGATTGAGTGACTGGAGTGTGGTGCTGATTCAATTACCAACGCAACGCAATGTAAACGATATTAAACATTTAAGGTCTAAGCCACTCCAAGCGATATCAAATACTGCCTGAGAATGTAAGTAAGCAAGCTCCCTAGTTATTACAAAATCATCCTTAAATGAAAAAGCAGGAATTCAGTAGAGTGAAAAATTATGTAATCACCCAACATATAGTCATTAAACTTTTATTTCTAGTAAGTAATTTTGGAGAGGAAAGGGGATAAAGTATATGAATTAGGAGTCTGAATCACTTGGCTCCCTGTATTAACTATAATGAAGAGAATAATTTGTTCTTTGTCAATAAATGTAATGGGCTATGACTTCAAATCCCTTGTGGGGAATAACTCTGTTTTATTGTTTATCTGCAGTGCGAAGACTCCCTCTGAAGACTTTATACAATATGTCATTCAAGCAGATGTAAAATGCACTCTGTAGAAGTGCTACCTGCACCTTCTTTGTAAAGAATAGCTTTCAGCAAAAGAAAACTATACAAATATTTGTCATACATTTAGTCCTAAGTAGCACTGACTGTGTGAGCAAATTATGAGCTAAACATGGACTCCCCTCAATACAGATGGAAATATGGGAAAAATCATCTGTAAGAAATGTCATTGCCTAAAATAAAACTTTTGAGATTCTATGTGAATTTATCCAAAAAAATTAAGTGATTTTAGCATTCAAATGGGGACATAGTAGCTTATCATGGCTTTGAAGAGATGCTCCTGGCCAGATGTTCTGGAAAAGGAAGAATGTTAGGATCTGAGATTGAAAGTAGCATGGCGGTAATAAGGTCATTGTTTAAAGGGGGTAGATCTAATGAATCACACCAGGAATCTAGGGATGCATTATCGAACAATAGAGAGAATGTTCTATCTCTGTCTACAAGTTACTCTTTTAATTATCCAAATGAATTGATTTGATGGAATCAACCTAAATACCCATCAATGATAGACTGGATAAAGAAAATGCGGTACATACATACCATGAAAAACTATGCAGCCATAAAAAGGAACGAGATCATGTCCTTTGCAGGGACATGGATGGAATTGGAAGCCAATAGTCTCAGCAAACTAACATAGGAACAGAAAACCAAACACTGCATGTTCTCAGTTATAAGTGGGAGCTGAATGATGAGAACACATGAACATATGGGGAGGAACAACACACACCGGGGCCTGTCAGTGGGGTAGGAGAAGGGAGAGTATCAGAAGGAATAGCTAATGGATGCTGGACTTAAGACCTATGGATGGGATGATCTGTGCAGCAAACCACTATGGCACGTGTTTACCTATGTAACAAAGCTGCACATCCTGCACATGTATCCCAGAACTTAAGAGTTGAAGAAAAAAAAAATTGGTCTGAAGCACACTCAGATATACAGAAGTCCAGAATCGTGGGTATGCTAGTCCACGTGCATTGCTATAAAGAATACCTGAAGCTGGGTAATTTAATTTATACAGAAAAGGGGTTTATTTCAGCTCATAGTTCTGCAGGCTATACAGGCAGCATGACAATACCATCTGCTCCTGGTGAGGGCCTTGGGAAGCTTGCAATCATGGTGAAAGACAAAGGGGGAGCAGGAATGTCACATGGTGAAAAATGGATGAGAGAGGGAAGGACGTTCTAGGCTCTTTTAAACAAGATCTCATAAGAAGTCACTCATTACCATGAGGATGGGCCAAGTAATTAATGAAGGATCCACCTCCATGATCCAAACACCCCTCACCAGGTTCCAACTCCAACACTGGGGACTACATTTTAACATGAGGTTTTGAGGGGATAAATTTCCAAACTATATAATTCTGTCCTGGCCTCCCAAATCTCATGTCTTATCACATCGAAAATATAATCATCCCCTCTTAATAGTTCCCCAAAGTCTTAACTGGTTCCAGCATCAAACCAAAAGTCCTATGTCCAAAGTCCAAAGTCTCATCTGAGACTCATCTTCCTTTCACCTATGAGCCTGTAAAATCAAAACCAAGTCATTTGCTTCCAAGATACAATGGGAGTATAGGCATTGGGTAAGCTTTCCCATTCCAAAAGGGACAAATCATCCAAAAGAAGGGGGCAGTAGGCCCCACATAATTCAGAAACCCAGCATGACAGACATTAAACCTGAAAGCTCCAAAACAATCCTTGACTTTATCTCCTGCATCCATGGCTCACTGGTGCAAAGGGTGAACTCCCAAGGTTTTGGGCACGTCTGCCCCTATGGCTTTGCAGGGTATGGCCCCTGTGGCTGCTCTCATGGGCTGAAGTTAAGTGCCTGTGGCTTTCCCAGGCACAGGGTGCAAGCTGCTTGTGGCTCTACCATTCTCAGGTTTAGAGGGCAGAATCCTCCTTCCCACAGCTAGACTAAGCATGTCCTCCCTGGTGGGACACTGTGGGGGTATTACAACCTCACATTTCCCCTTGGCAATGCCTTAATAGAGTCTCTCTGAGGGCTCTGCCCCTGCAGCATGCTCTGCCTAGGCACCCAGGGTTTCCAATACATCTTCTGAAATCTAGGTGGAAGCTGCTAAGCCTTCTTCACTCTTGCTTCTGCACACCGGCAGAGTTAACACCATATAGAAGCCACCAAGTCTTATGGCTTACACTCCAAGCTGTACTTGGGGCTCTTTGAACTTCAACTAGAGCTGGAGCAGCATGTATGTTGGGAGTAGTGTTCTGAGGCTGTGCTAGACAGTGGGGTCCCAGGCCTGGCCCCTGAAACCATTCTTTCTTCTGAAGCCTCTGGGCCTGGGATGGGAGGGACTATCCTGAAGACTTTTGGAATGCCTTTGAGGCCTTTTAAACTCTTATTTCCTCCTGAGTCATGCTAATCTCTCTAGCAAGTGGTTGCTCCACAGTCCTCTTGAATTTCTCTCCTGAAAATGCTGTTTCCTTCTCTTAATACAAGGCCAGGCTGTAAATTCCCCAAACTTTAATATTTTGCTTCCCTTTAAACTATATATTCCAACTTTAAGTCATGTGTTTGTTCCCTGTATCTGATCACAGGCTATTAGAAGCAGCCAGGCAACATCTTGAATGCTTTGCTACTGAGAAATTTCTTCTATCAGATACCCTAAATCATCACTTTCACAAAGCCCTAGGACATGGGCACAATACAGCCAAATTCTTTGCTGTGGCATAGCAAGGGTTACCTTTGCTCTAATTCCCAGTAAATTTCTCATTCCATCTGAGACCTCCTCAACCTGGCCTTCACTGTCCATATTTCTAACAGTATTTTGGTCATAACCATTTAAAAAGTCTCTAAAAAGTTCCAAACTTTCTCTCAACTTCCTTTTTCTGAGCCCTCTAAACTCTTCCAACCTCTGCCCATTACACAGTTCCAAAGACATCTCCACATAATCAGGTATCTTCATTGCAATGCCCGACTCCTTGTACCAATTTTCCATGTTAGTACATTTGCATTACTAAAAGGAATACCTGAGGCTATGTAATTCTTAAAGAAAATTGGTTTACTTGGCTCACAGAACTGTAGGCTGTACAGAAATCATGGCTCCAGTGTTCGCTCCTGGTGAGGGCCTCAGGAAACTTCCAATCATGGCAGAAGGCAAAGGGGGAGCAGGCATCTCACATGGCAAGAAAGGGAGCAAGAGAGAGAGGAGGAATTTCCAGGCTTTTAAAACAACCAGATCTCATGTGAACTCATAGAGTGAGAACTCACTCATTACCATAAGGATGGCACCAAGCCACTCATGAGAAATCCACCCCCATCATGAAAACATCTCCCACCAGGCCCCACCTCCAATACTGGGGATTACATTTCAACATGAGATTTGGAGGGGACAAGCATCCAAACCATATAGTGAAGTAAGCTATCTGATTCTTCAAGCCAGAAATTTGCATCACAAGGGGGGTTCTGTAATAATGAGAAGCTACCTCACCATAGGGAGCTGCCAAACTTGAAGTATAAACAACAGATAATTCTGGAATGATAAGGCCTGGGGAAAAATAGAGGAATCAGCAACATCTGTCTAGTAAATGTTATTATGAAATTGCTTTTTCAGGCAAGAAATGTCTACATTTAAATCACAAAATAACTAGGACTGTATATATTTTATCTCCTCAAAATTGATCATGAACATGATATACAGTAACTCAAGTACCAAGTATTCTCAATTAACCAAAATAATGAATCTTCATTAATTCATTCATTCATGAACTCAGCCAGTATTTATTGAGTACCTTCTATTAACTTAGCACTTGGATGGTAACGAAAAAGATAAAAACCTTTACTCTCTTGGCGTCACATGCTATCACCTTACTCATCCTAGAGAAACCAGTTACTGCAACTAGACTTAAATCAATATGTTTTTTTCTTAAGAACTGTCTATTAACAATACCTGACTGATTGCTGAAGATTTCGTAATTCCCAAGTTCTAAGAACATTCATTCAGAAACAGCAACTGATTACTAACCCTTCTAATGCATTCAGAGCTCATTCATATTTTACAAAGCTAGCTAACAAAAACATTTCCTCCTCAGACCCAGAAGTCTTCTACCTATAAACACAGGAACCAGGGTGATCAGAAAAAAATAGAACAGATATAACAATAAAGTCTCTCAACTCAGCACCAAAAGCTTTATCTTTTAGGCTAATAGATAATTTTCTTTCTAAATAATCGTAATGAAAAGTCTCAGCAACAGCTTATTAAAAGCTTTCTAAAGGAAGAGAGAAAGAGAGAGAAAAACAATGGAACAAGAGACATAGAGACAGAAACAGGAAAAGAGAGACACATAGAGAGGCCAACAAAGATAAAGACAGAACAAACCAAGCCCATCCCACGTACAGCTATAAGAGAATTGGATATAGTTTTAGACCAGTAGGTATTACGGGAGAGGGGGTATCAGACTCTTCAACTGCAAATTAAAAGTAGTCTACCCACACATGCTGAAGTAAAAATGGGTATTTATCTGTTAACATAATAATAATGTCAGGAATATTGTTGGTTTCAGATACAGCTGTTCTCAAACCCTAAATAATGTAATCTTGATTCAGTTTCTCTCATCCTTTCAGTTCAGCCTTCCAGGTTGTTGGCTTCATCCTCAAAGAAGTTCCACCACTGTGGCTCAAGGCCACAACAGCAGCTCCAGACCTTATCTCCTCTTTATTCAAAGTACAGCAAACCATGAGAGTCTGTTGGCCAGGATTCCTAGGAAGAGGGTCCACTCTATCTTCTTAACTCTGATCAGACCAGGTTCCTCTATGGTCGGAGAGGCACAATGCTCTGACTTAGTTCTATGTCATACATGTTCCTACCCCTGCCCAAAACCGTTTCAGAATTCTTGGGCTGAGCATGCGGGAGGCAGTGACTGTCCATAGAGAAATCAGAGAACAGTTACGAAAAGAGGAAGAAATGGATGCTGAAAGGTCAAAAAAATAATTAACATCCTCTAGAGATAGAATTTATCTGCACGTAGATAGGAAAACTAAATTAAGCTTCCTTTAAATTTAGGCTCCTTGGAAGGTAAGAAACAATGAAGACAGAGAGATGACTGGATGGAAAAAGAAAGAGATTAAGTTAAAACTATGATATGGGGAGTCAGGCCTGCAGCTTGCACAACTATGCCTGTGTGAATTATAAAAAGGTAGCTGCTCTGGGTGGACAAATTCAAACCTCACCCAGTCTGAGCAGATGAATTACCAAAAGGCATTCCTTCCTATGGCCTTTCTCCACAGCCAGCCAAGTGGAGGAAGCACTGGCAGGGTTACATCACCTCCTTTGACCAAGCACCTTCTTGCAGTACATAAACTGACAATCAGTGAGGTGGCCCTGCCAGGAATCTCTCTCCAGAGGAAAATTAATTGTTATTAAATTGGGAGGAAGTTTTATGTTTCATACTTTCAGGACACGAAGTTTTGAAGAAATAAAAGCATTGCATGAGACCTGATATTTGGGCATCTGGGGACCTGCTAGGCTATTACAGAGGTATGCATCATGTTCTGCCAAATCCAAGACACCACTGACAGTAAGAGGTACCATTCATTACCTTGTATAGCACTGAGAAAGAAAACAAAGCTGGCAATTAGACTGTGGCTTAGTACTTATTGTAAGATGCAACAAATTATCACAGATATTAAAAAAGAAAAAGTACTGATATGGTTTGGCTCTGTGTCCCCACCCAAATCTCATCTCAAATGTAATCTCCACTTGTCAAGGGAGGGCCCTGGTGGAAGGTGACTGGATCATGGGGGCTGTTTACCCCATGCTGTTCTCATGATAGTGAGTGAATTCTTATGAGATCTGATGGTTTTATAAATGGCAGTTTCCCCTGCTCTCCCCCTCCTGCCACCTTATAAAGAAAGTGCTTCCCCTTCAACTTCTGCCATGATTATAAGTTTCCTGAGGGCTCTCCAGCCATGTGAAACTGTGACTCAACTAAACCTCCTTTCTTTATAAATTATGCAGTCTCAGATATTCTTTAGAGGAGTGTGAAAGCAGACTAATACAGGAAATTGGTACTGGTAGAGTGGGGTACTGTTTTAAAGATAACCTGAAAATGTGGAAGTGACTCAGGAATTGGATAACAGGTGAGGACTAAACTCTGATTTTTCTTATCTGGCCTAAATTCCTATCTAAGGAGTCTGGGGACTCATACCCTACAAATCATAAATTCTCATCAGATGGGTTTCATTTAACCCTGTATATTGTGACTAACTTTCCCATCTGACTCTGGCATAACAAGGAAGAAAATCAAAATGTTTTACCCCAAAATGTATTTCCTTGCTATACCCTGAAATTGCCCTGTGAAGTCTCTTACGGGAAAAATCCACATTCTATAGCGAATCCCCTTTCCCTTTTTTTTTTCTTTCCTTCCTTTCCAGATCCAACAGATAATCAGCTAAGAGCCAGGCACCCTTTTAAGGCAGATAAGAAATATTTTACAACGTGTTCTCTCTGAAGTCTGCTATCTGAGAGCTTCTTCTGCACAATAAAACTTGGTCTGCACAATCTTTTATCTTAACCTGAACACTTCATTTCTATTGATCCCAGGTCTTCAGATACACTCAACCAATTGTCAACCAGAAAATCTTTAAATTTACATATAGCCTGGAAGCCCATGCTTTGAGTTGTCCCACCTTTCTGAACCACACCATGTATTTCGTAAATGTATTTGATTGATGTCTCATGCCTTCCTAAAATATGTAAAATCAAGCTGTACCCTGAGCACCTTGAGCACATGTTCTCCGGACCTCCTGGGGGCTGTGTCACGAGCCATGGTCACTCATATTTGGCTCAGAATAAATCTCTTAAAATACTTTACAGAGTTTGACTCTTTTCATCAACACAGGCAGAGGCTGGAACAGTTTGGAGGGCTGAGAAGAAGACAAAAGACAGAGATATGGGAAAGTTTGGAACTTCCTGGAGACCTGTTGAATGGCTTTGACCAAAATGCTGATAGTGATATCGACAATGAAGTCCAGGCTGAGGTGGTCTCAGATGGAAATGAGGAACTTGTTGGGAACTGGAGTAAAATTGACTCTTGCTTTGCTTTAGCAAAGAGACTGTAGACATTTTTTCCCTGCCCCAGAGATCTGTGGAACTTTGAACTTGAGAGAGATGATTCAGGGTATCTGATAGAAAAAATTCCTAAGCCACAAAGCATTCAAGGAGTGACCTGGATTATTCTGAAAGCATTCAGCTTTATGCATTCACAAAGCCATGGTTTGAAATTGGAACTTGTGTTTAAAAGGGAGGCAGAGCATAAAGATTTGGAAAATTTGTAGCCTCACCATGTGGTAGAAAAGAAAAAACCATTTTCTGGGGAGGAATTCAAGCCTGCTGCAGAAATTTGCATAAGTAAGGAGAAGTCAAATGTTAATAGTGGAGACAATGGGGGAAAATGTCTCCAGGGCATGTCAAACATCTTCCTGACAGCCCCTCCCATCACAAGCCCAGAGGCCTAAGAGGGGAAAACGGCTTCATGGGCAGGGCCCAGGGCCCCCACTGCTCTGTGCAGCCTCAGGATTTGGTGCCCTGTGTCCCAGCCACTCTGGCTTCAGCCATGGCTAAGGGGTCAAGGTACAGCTTGGGCGGTTGCTTCAAAGGGTGCAAGTCCCAAGCTTTGGTGGCTTCCACATGGTGTTGGGCCTGCAAGTATGCAAAAGACAAGAGTGGAACAGTTACAGTAGTATGAAAATGGACTAATACAAGTATGGATATTAGCACTAATAAAATATGATTTAAAAAAGAAGGCAAGAAGACCACCATCAATGAAAATAAAGCATCTTCTAAATTAGGCAGGCAAAAGTTGCAAATAAGTACGGGGTATGATTCTGGTCTTCAAGAAATGTTAAATAATTAATCAGAACTATCAAACTAGGGGGCAATGAAAGGCCTAAAATGAAATTCAAACTCCTGTGTGTTCGATAAATGTGAATTCTTCCAAGGAGAAGTGTAACAACTTTCATCAGACAAATTCTCATTAGAACAATTTCTTTGTGACTCTAAGAAGTTGAAAAATCACGCCTATAAATAGTCAGTGCAAATTATTTTGAAAACATAACCATTTAAATCACAGGTAAACCAGATGTTTAACACCAAAGGCAAAAGAGGAGGAATTAGAATCCTTCTGTAACAATGACAACATCAACAATGATGGCTGATATTTATTGCATGCTTATTGTATGCCTCACCACTATTTTATGGCTTCTCTGTATATTATCTCATCAATATGTTTAGATTACAGTAGAAATTATATTCCCAAATGGAAATTATAGGAAGGCTTGACTAAGTTACAACCATGGTAGTTTTCTTTCAGACCCTGGAACTCTTCATGCTCACTTTCTACCTTGGGGCCACTGTAAACATGTTAGATATGAGTTCTAAATTTCTTTTCAAAGAATCAATATGTCAGTATGTTCAATTCTTTGCCTTCTACTTTTAAACTGAACTTCCTCCTAAAGCAACCTTTTTTGATTATCTGCTCCATCCTGACTCATTCCGAATACCTGCTACCTGCTCCACCCTAACTTATTCTTCACCCTGCATAACCATTTTTCCCACCAAGACACTCATCCCATCACTTTCTTTAAATTAGCCAATCAGAATTAGTTTAGCCTGGTACAGTCTAACCTAGCCAATAGGGGAACGACACAGCAGCACCGGCCCACGTGCATCAGGGATAAGAACCCATTCCCCTCCCTTGTCCAAGTCTGTGCTCACCATTGCTCCATCTGTAAGGGCACACCCTTCTATAGAAGTAACTTCCCTTGCTGAGAATTACAAAGAAAATTTTGTATTTGAGTGTTATTTCTTTTGCAGCACCAAAGCTTTATTGATAACAATTTGGGGGCTCTCCCACGATTACATTCCCCTCTGGGGGCGATCTCTTTTCTTGTTCTCTCTTGTGAGGAGGTGCACCCCACCCCCTTGCAGCGGCCTCAGGGGTGAGAAATCAAGACCCACCCAGTGCAAGGAATAACCCAAGCTCTCAGCAATGCAAAAATAAATAAATAAATAAAATAAAATAAAAATGGCCAGCAGCCTAGCTTAAAGGATCCTCACATACTGCGGTGACAACTCTGTGCCCAGACCAAGGAAGGAGAAGCCACAGGAGCCAGTAAAGTACTTCCTTGGTGGTCAGGACTAAGGAAAAAGCCATGGGGCAGTAAAGCATTCCTTGGTTAGGACATACCAAGGAAAGACAAATTGCAGGGGTGGTAAAGCATTCTTTAGTTGGGACTAGGGAAAGAAAGCCATGGGGGGGTGGTGAACTATTCCTTAGTTGGGATGTCTTGGAGGTTAAAAAGAGGTGAGAAATCCCCATGGTGGGGGGTTGAACCACAGAAAGAGGTGAGAAATCCCCACGACAGGGGGGTTGAACCTCACAAAGAGGTGAGAAATCCCCAGGAGGGAGGGTTGAACCTCAGAAGGAGGTGAGAAATCCCCATGAATGGGGGTTGAACCTCACACTAACCTCCGGTAGTAAGAAAAATATTCAGAACTCCCCTTTCCTTTCCTTTAAGGGAAGAAAGAGTAGCTCCAATCCCACCAGTCCCTCAAGGGGAAGGGGAAGGAGAGGGGAGAACAGCAGCATTAACAGCTGGCAGAGACAGGGAAAGAACAGCAGAGAAGAAGGGGGGGGAGGGAAGACAAGGAGAGGGGAAAGAGAGAGAGGCAGAGAGAGAAACAGAAGCAAAGAGAGGAAGAGACAAAGAGGGAGTCAAAGAGAGAGAGAGAGACAAGGAGAAGCAGAGAGAGAGAGGAAGAGACAGAGAGATGAAGAGGGAGTCAAAGAGACAGAGACAGAAAGTCAAGAGAGAAAGAGAAAAAGAGAGATATAATAGTAAAGAGAAAACACTGTACCCTATTCCTTTAAAAGCCAGGGTAAACTTAAAACCTATAATTGACAACTGAAGATCTTCTCCTTGACCCTGTAACACTTCAATACCACCTTGTTGTCAGTATAAACAAGGGTGTAGCCCAAAAGCACTAAGGCCACTGACAACCCGTAGCCTTCCTATCAAAAATCCTTAACCCAGTAACCCATGGATGGCCCAAATGCATTCAATCTGTAGTGGCAACTGCTTTGCTAGCAGAAGAAAGTAGAAAAATAACTTTTAGAGGAGACCTCATTATGAGCACACCTTACCAGTTCAGAACGATCCTAAGTCAAAAAAAAAAAAAAAAAAAAAAAAGCAAAAGGTAGCTTACTAACTCAAAAATCTTAAAATGTGGGGCTATTCTGTTAGAAAAAGATGATTTAACATTAACCACTAGTAATTCCCTTAACTCACCAGGCTTCCTAACAGGGGATGTAAATCTTAATTAATTACCATACAAAGGTCCAACCTGACCTAGGAGGAACTCCCTTCAGGACTGGAGGATAGATGGTTCTTCCTGGGCGATTGAGGGAAAAAGACACAATGGGTATTCCGTAATTAATAGGGAAACTTTTGTAAAAGCAGAGTTGGGAAAATTGCCTAATTCTTGGTCGGCCCAAAGGTGGGAGCTGTTTGCACTCAGCCAAGCCTTAAAGTACCTACAGAACCAGGAAGGAACCATCTATACCAATTCTAAGTTAATTTGGACTAAACAAGGTCTTATTAATAGCAAAGGATCATTGAAATCCCAAACTTACAAGGTTTTCAACAAAACAAAAGATTGCTAAAAGTTAACAGTGTAACATGTATTATCCTAACTTCTAATCTGGTGGCCTTAGGCAGTCTAGTCCACAGATATGAAGGAAGTTCACTTTGGAAAAGAATGGTTATCATCTTTGGGAAAAAAAAAAATGGGGTTGGGGGAGAATTTATGTAAAAAGAATGTTATATGGTAAATTCTTGTCCTAAAATAAATTAACCGGTTGTTTGAAGAAAGAGATGTTAGAAAAGGCCTTCGACAAAATTCAGCAGCCCTTCATGCTAAAAACTCTCAATAAACTAAGTATTGATGGGATGTATCTCAAAGTCATAGGAGCTATTTATGACAAACCCACAGCCAATGTCATACTGAATGGGCAAAAACTGGAAGCATTCGCTTTGAAAACTGGCACAAGACAGGGATGTCCTCTCTCACCACTCCTATTCAACATGGTGTTGGAAGTTCTGGCCAGGGGAATCAGGCAGGAGAAACAAATAAAGGTTATTTAATTAGGAAAAGAGGAAGTCAAATTGTCCCTGTTTGCAGATGACATGATTGAATATTTAGAAAACCCCATCATCACAGCCCAAAAGCTCCTTAAGGTGATAAGCAACTTCAGCAAAGTCTCAGGATACAAAATCAATGCGCAAAAATCATAAGCATTCCTATACACCAATAACAGACAAACAGAGAGCCAAATCATGAGTGAACTCCCATTCACAATTGCTTCAAAGAGAATCAAATACCTAGGAATCCAACTTACAAGGGATGTGAAGGACCTCTTCAAGGAGAACTACAAACCACTGCTCAACGATATAAGAGGACACAAATAAATGGAAGAACATTCCATACTCATGGATAGGAAGAATCAATATCATGAAAATGGCCATACTGCCCAAGGTAATTTATAGAGTCAATGCCATCCCCATCAAGCTACCAATGACTTTCTTCACAGAATTGGAAAAAACTACTTTAAAGTTCATACGGAACCAAAAAAGACCCTGCATTGCCAAGACAATCCTAAGCCAAAAGAACAAAGCTGGAGGTATCACACTGCCTGACTTCAAACTATACTACAAGGCTACAGTAACCAAAACAGCATGGTACTGGTACCAAAACAGAGATATAGACCAATGGAACAGAACAGAGCCTTCAGAAATAATACCACACATCTACAACCATATGATCTTTGACAAACCTGACAAGAACAAGAAATGGGGAAAGGATTCCCTATTTAATAAATGGTGCTGGGTAAACTGGCTAGCCATATGTCAAAAGCTGAAACTGGATCCCTTCCTTACATCTTACACAAAAATTAATTCAAGATGGATTAAAGACTTAAATATTAGACCTAAAACCATAAAAACCCTAGAAGAAAACCTAGCCAATACCATTCAGGACATTGGCATGGGCAAGGACTTCATGACTAAAACACCAAAAGCAATGGCAGCAAAAGCCAAAATTGACAAATGGGATCTAATTAAACTAAAGAGCTTCTGCACAGCAAAACAAACTACCATCAGAGTGAACAGGCAACCTACAGAATGGGAGAACATTTTTACAATCTACCCATCTGACAAAGGGCTAATATCCAGAATCTACAAAGAACTTAAACAAATTTACAAAAAAAAAATCAAACACCCCATCAAAAAGTGGGTGAAGGATATGAACAGACACTTCTCAAAAGAAGACATTTATGCAGCCAACAGACACATGAAAAAATGCTCATCATCACTGGCCATCAGAGAAATGCAAAGCAAAACCACAATGAGATATCATCTCACACCACTTAGAACGACGATCATTAAAAAGTCAGGAAACAAACAGGTGCTGGAGAGGATGTGGAGAAATAGGAACACTTTTACACTGTTGGTGGGACTGTAAACTAGTTCAACCATTGTGGAAGACAGTGTGGTGATTCCTCAGGGATCTAGAACTAGAAATACCATTTGACCCAGCCATCCCATTACTGGGTATATACCCAAAGGATTATAAATCATGCTGCTATAAAGACACATGCAGACGTATGTTTATTGCAGCACTATTCACAATAGCAAAGGCTTGGAACCAACCTAAATGTCCATCAATGATAGACTGGATTAAGAAAATGTGGCACATATACACCATGGAATACTATGTAGCCATAAAAAAGGATGAGTTCATGTCCTTTGTAGGGACATGGATGAAGCTGGAAACCATCATTCTGAGCAAACTATTGCAAGTACAGAAAACCAAACACCACGTGTTCTCACTCATAGGTGGGAATTGACCAATGAGAACACCTGGACACAGGATGGGGAACATCACACACCGGGCCTGTTGTGGGGTGGGGGGATGGGGGAGGGACAGCATTAGGAGATATACCTAATGTAAATGACGAGTTAATGGATGCAGCACACCAACATGACACATGTATACATATGTAACAAACCTGCACGTTGTGCACATGTACCCTGGAACTTAAAGTATAATTTTAAAAATAATAATAAAAAAAAAAAAATAAAGGGATGTTAGCAACAAGTCAAAAAGTTGAGGCATGTGAAAGAATTGTCCATGAAAGTTGTGAAAAAAAAATGTGTGTTATAAAAAGGAATTTATGCAAGTAATGTTGTATAATTTTAAAGTAATTAGGCCTCCTGAGTGTAAAACTATTGAAGAAACAGTTTATGTGCAAGATGTATAAGGAAAGTAAAATAAACTTTTGGTAAAAGGATTATAAGGAGGCATAAGAATGTGGATTTTTACCTACAATAAAAGGTTAAAAAAATTTGTTTGGAAGGGTTAAGCAAGTTTTAAAACATTAATTGTAAAGGAAATTCTGTGTGTAAACATACTGGCTAAAGTTAAAAGGGTATCATCCAGTTTTACTGTCAACTGGACATTAAAATAAAAGCACAACGGGTTTTTCTTAAAGTGCTAACCTGCTCTTTAACAAAAATTAGAAAAGGTTAAAAAGAGTCTATAAAAATCTTACCTTAAGGTCAGACGTTAAAATTGGATAAATATGTCTACAAGGTTTTATTAAAATTGAGTTTAACATTGATAGCACACTAATGTAAGGGTGAAATTCAGCTTAACTGGTATAAAAATCATACAGGAAGCATTGTCAAATATAAAATGGTGTTTGGCTTTCTGTGGTCTAAAAACTAATAAAAATAGGTGCTAAAGGAAATTTCTCAGTAAGAACACACCAAGGACTATGAAGTCCACTGCTGATGTCCCCAAATTTTTTTAAAAAAGATCAATTTCTTAGAAATGTTATACTTGGTTTATCTTCCACTTTCCTTTCTCTCAAGACTAAAAGTCTTTTAGCACAGGTACCACCCCTAGAATTTCCAGTAAACCAGCACCATCCTGAGGATGACATTCTCATCAAAGGGGAGAAAGAAAGAAAACTAAAGCCAGCCTGGGAAGGATCCTACCTTGTGCTGCTAACCACTGAGACTGCTGTTCATACAGCAGAAAGGGGATGGACTCACCACACCCAAGTCAAGAAAGCGCCACCCACTCTCGAGTCATAGGCCATGGTCCCAGGGGAAAACCCTACCAAACTAAAGCTAAGAAAAATTTAACTCTCTTTCATCTATTTTATTCCTCTTTCTTCTTTCCTCACTCTATTGCTGACCATCTAGTTGTAACACAACCAAGTCAATTTCGCCTCAAACTACCGCATTGAATGCTTGCCTTGTTATACCCTGTGGGGACTCGCCAAGTCAAAGACTGCTCTCTACTTCAGAAAAGTACCTCTGTCCCTTGTGACTCTCCTCAGACTGGACCTTAGTAAATTGGGACCATTTAATCCGGGGAGATTTCGATAAAGACCTCAGTGTCAATGAGGAGTCTTGCCCCCTAATGTAGAGCTTTTATGCTGTCATTGGACCAACATTCTGTGGACCACTAAAGAGCAAGGATGGACTGCCCCAACTGGTTTTTGTAATTTCCTAAAACCATACGTTCATTTTACTAGAGGATTGTAGAAGTTAAAGACTTAAAACAAACTTTGGCAATTAAGACAGCATACCAAGATGCAAATGCCTGGTTGGAATGGCTCAAATATTCCATCTGCACGTTAAACAAAAGCAATTGTTATGCTTGTGTGCATGGCAGGCCTGAGGCCCAAATTGTCCCCTTTCCACTAATCTGGTCCTCCAGTTGACCAGGTGTGGGCTGCATGGTAGCTCTTTTCCAGGATTGTACAGCCTAGAGCAACAAGTCATGCCAACCTCTCTCTCTGCTATATCCCGAAGTCCAGCACCCTGTGGGTCAGCCCCCGAAGGCCATCCAGCTTCCATCTCCCAACACTAAGTTCACTTCCTATCTCTCATGGCAGAGAGGAAACAGCATTCCTTGGGGACCTGAAGGGATGCAGTGAGCTTAAGAATTTTCAAGAGCTTATCAATCAGTCAGCCCTTGTTCATCCCTGAGCGGATATGTGGTGGTATTGTGGTGGACCTTTACTGGACACTCTGCCAAATAACTGGAATGGCACTTGTGCTTTAGTCCAATTGGATATCTCTTTCATGCTGGCATTTCATCAACCAGAGGAAGGAAAAAATAAGACATCATAAAGTGGGAGAAGCCCCTTATGGGTCTTTTTACTATTTAGACACAGTTTTATTTGACATCTATTTAGACACAATTACAGTCCCAAGGGTAATACCAGATCAATTTAAAGCCCAAAATCAAATAGCTGCAGGATTTGAGTCAATATTTTCATGAGTGACAAATTAATAAAAATGTAGATTGGATAAACTACATCTACTACAACAGCAATTTATTAACTACACTACAGATGCTGTTAAAAGAATAGCTGAGCAATTAGGGGCTACTAGCCAGATGGCTTGAGAAAATAGGATAGTCTTAGACATGATATAGCAGAAAGAGGAGGAGTTTGCATCATGATTAAAACTCAGTGTTGTACCTTCATCCCAAACAACACTGTCCCTGATGGAAGTATAACAAAGGCATTGCAGGGTCTGACTGCTCTGTCCAATGAGTTAGCCAACAACTCAGGGGTAAGTGACCCCTTTACGGGATGGCTAGAAAAGTGGTTCGGTAAATAGAAAGGAATAATAGCCTCAATTCTTACTTCCCTCGCAGCCGTAATGGGTGTACTTATTCTTGTCGGGTGCTGTGTCATACCATGCATCCAGGTGTTGGTGCAGAAGCTCATAGAAACAGCACTTACTAAAACCTCCCTTAACTATCCTCCACCTTAACCGGAGAAGCTTTTTCTTTTGGAAAATCAAACAAAACAACTGAGCCAAGACATGTTCAAAAATGTTTGAAAGAAAGAGCTGTAAGAAAATGCAAGAGGAGGGCTTGTTAGATGTGAGTTCTAAATCTCTTTTCAAAGAATCAATATGTCAGTATGTTCACTTCTTTGCCTTCTACTTTTAAACTTAACTTCCTCCTAAAGCAACCTTTTTTGATTACCTGCTCCATCCTGACTCATTTCAATCACCTGCTCCACTCTGACTCATTCTGATTACCTGCTCCACCCTGACTCATTCTGATTACCTGCTACCTGCTCCACCCTAACTTATTCTCCACCCTGCATAACCAACCATTTTTCCTGCCAAAGCACTCACCCCGTCATTCTCTTTAAATTAGCCAATCGGAATTAGTTGAGCCTGTGCATCTAACCCTAGCCAATAGGGCAATGACACAGCAACAGGGGCCACATGTATGAGGGATAAGAACCCCTTCCCCTCCCTTGTCCAAGTGTGTGCTCACCATTGTTCCATCTGTAAGGGCACACCCTTCTATAGAAGTCACTTGCCTTGCTGAGAATTAAAAAGAAAATTTTATATTCGAGTGCTATTTCTTTTGTGGCACCAAAACTTTGTAACACACACTATTCCCTTTGGCTAGAATGTTCTTCCAAACTCTACTTGCAGACTTTCCATTTTTCAAATCTCAGCCCTTTCTCAAGGTAGTATTGCTAAATTACTTAAAGCAGGTCTCTCCTTTTCATTTTCTCATGGACACCTTTTCCTTTCCTTCATAACAATTGTCCCAACCCAAACATATATTTATTTGTATGTTTGCTTAAAATGACAAGCATTAGCATTTATTTCCATTTACAGTGTGAGGACAATATTCCAAGTGCTTGGAGTCTAGCATCTCATTTTAGCCTCACAACACAAAATGAGATATATAACCATTTTATATGCATGGAATCAGAGGCACTAGATTATGCAGTTTTAAGAAGGTGATTCAGCTAGTAAGTGGAGATGCTGGGATCTGAACAGCCTGACTCCACAGGTGTAACAACTTGATTAGTGTCTACATCATTAGATGTAGAGATCTCATGAGAGCAGAAGATGTCTTGTTTTTGTATAGTAATATTTTAGGCCCTTAACACAAAACCTGGCACATGTTCATAGTAGACTTATCAAACACATTTGTTTAATAAATGAGCATAAAGATGAATTAATAATAAAGGGTAATGTTGCAGGAATTAAATAATTCAGAAAAGTTTAAAGGAAAGAGCTTGACATTGAGAGTACGTATCCATTTTTTCCCTATAAATTAAAACTGTCACTGTTCACTTGTAATGATGGGCACTTTGGTTTAACTCATAGAACACCAGTTTTCTTTGCCAGTGTAGAGGCACCGGACTAGATGAAATGTGAAATCCTTAGGGTGTGTGAATCTGATATGCCTGCCTATAAATGCCTCACCCAGCCCAGCCCAGGCACATAGATCCTTGTTGGACTGGCTGCATGAGGAAGAAAGTTGCAATGTGCTCTTTAAATATTTATCCCATAGAGTTTAGCACCACAAGAGGCCTCAGGAACCCTGAGCAAAATTTTCCATGGGATCCCCTAAGATGCTTCTCTACTAATAAGATGGCAATGGGGTGCAAAGCAGTTATTTAGGCTACTGGTGACAAATTCCTGTAAGACGTAATAAATTCCTCTTCAAAGGTTTTAGCCTGTAAATTGTTAAGTATAATGAGTTCTGAGATCCTCTCCAAGAAATCAATGTATCAGTATGTTCAGCTCCTCTGTTCTTTGTTCTTCATTTTAAAGTTTGACTTCCTCGTTCTTTACGTCTCCTTGCCCCCAGTTTCAGTGAACAACCCCCTCCTAGCCTCTATCACCTGCTCTGATCTTAGTCACCCTTGGTCACCTACTCTGTTCTTAGTCATCCTGAATCACCTGCTCTGTAACCATCCTTCCTGCCAAACTACTCACCCTGCCACTCTGGCTCATACTCCCGCTTTCTTTAAAATAGCCAATCGGAATTAGCTTAGACTGTGTGGTCCAAACCTAGCCAATAGGGAAACAACACAGCAGTAGGGGCTACCTGTGTCAGGGATAAGAACCCCTTCCCCTCCCCCTTGTTTAGGTGTGCTCTCGCCATTGCTCCATCTGTGAGACGCACCCTTCTTTAGAAGTAAAATTTCTTTGCTGAGAAAATTCATATTAGAGTGCTATTTCTTTTGCAGCACTGAAAATTTATTTCCAACAAATTTGGGGGTTCATCTAGGATTCCCATTCTCCTCTGGGAAAGGGTCTTCTGCCTCTCCCATGAGAAGGCGTGCCCCACTGCCTTGTTGTGGCGGCCTCAGGGGTAAGGAATCAAGACCCACCTGGTGTGATGAATAAACCTGGACTCTCAGCGATGCAGGAAGAAACAGGCTGGCAGCTTGGGGAAAGGATTCTTACATACCACGGCGACCAGGTAACTCTGTGCACAGACCCAGGTAAGAAACATCGCAAAAGCGGCAAAGTATTTTCTTGGTGGTCAGGGCCAAGGTAAGAAAAGCCGCAGAGGCAGTGAAGTATTCCTTGGTCGGGACATACCAAGGCAGGAAAAGTTGCAGGGGTGGTGAAGTACTCCTTGCTCAGGGTGTCCTGGAGGTTAAAAAGAAGTGAGGAATCTCCACTGGGGGGATTGAGCCTCACCCCAAAAGGGGAGAAATTTCCAGTAGGAGAAATTGAGCCTCACCCCAAAAGGCAAGAAATTTCCAGTAAGGGAAATTGAGCCTCACCCCAAAACCATCAAGGTGTGAAATACCCCAAGTAAGGTAAGAGATAAAAAGGATAAAGCTAGCAACAATAATACTCCCCCTAATAATCCCCTAGGCCTAATATTAAAATATTAGAAGGATAAAACCAAAAACAAGAAAAAGCAACTGCTGTTTCAGAACATTCTCCTATCCCTGTTGTCCCCCTCCTTATAACCCTGCCTCTTGGGAATCATCCCAAAGGCCCACTTACTACCAGCTTGAGTTCCCATTCCTAAAAGGACTTCAATGTGAGACAGAGCAATGTAAAAAGGATGGTCAGAGCTTTCCTTTCCCCTCTTCTTGGGAGAAGAAAGAGGCATAATCCATAGAGCTGCAATGGGAGGTCAGGTATGTGAATACCCTCCCAGCCAAAATATTCCTACAGCAGATCAAAAATTTCCCACCCAAGAGCCCCGGTGGGACAATAACAATGCAGCCAACCAAGAAAATATGCAAGACCTTAGGGAATTGATAATAAAGGGCATTAAAGAATCAGTACCCCGAACCCAGAATCTTACCCAAACATTTGACGTACAGCAAGGGGAAGATGAAGGGCCTATAGAATTTTTAGACAAATTAAAGGAACAAATGAGAAAATATGCTGGTCTAGGTCTTGAGGATCCTCTTGGGCAGGGAATGTTAAGACTTCATTTTGTCACTAACAGTTGGCCAGACATTAACAAGAAATTACAAAAGATAGAGAACTAGAAAGATAAACCTATAGAAGAGCTTCTAAGAGAAGCCCAAAAAGTATATGTAAGAAAAGATAAAGAAAAATGAAAGCAGAAGGCAAAAATTCTGCTTTCAACCGTATAACAAAGTATCCAGGGGGCCAGAACCTATAAAGAACCTAGACCTCCATCCTCCAGGCAACATAAAGGGTACAAGAGAGTAAAGCCAGGAGACTCAAAGGTGGAAAAAAAAAATCTTAGAGAGAAAAGGACTGACAGAGGGAACAGAGGGAGTCAGGGAGAGAGAGAGACAGTAAGAGAGAGAGAAAGAGAGACAGAGAGGCAGAGAGAGAGAGGAGGAGAAAAAAGAGGCAAAGAGAGAGGGAGGAGCAAAGGGAGAGAAAGAAGACAAAACAAATGTTTCAAATTAAAAATAGGTCACTTCAAAAGAGAATGTCCCAAATGGGAAAAAGAACAAAAGTCATATATAAAAGCAAATCAGCTAATATTAGATGCCTGTTAATTCTGGAAGCAGAGAAAAATCTTTTAGGAAGAGATTTAATGCTAGAATTAGGCTTAGGCCTACAAATCAATCATGGAAAATTCCTCCCCTCCCTAAACTTGCTCACCACCGCAGACGAAGAACACATTTATCCCAAGGTATGGTCAATAGATGGGAATCAAGGAAAGTTACAGATTCCTCTGATTCATGTTAAATTAAAAACCCCTGGGGAAGTAGTAAAGCGAAAGCAGTGTACCCTATTCCTTTAAAAGCCAGGGTAAATTTAAAACATATAATTGATAATTGAAGGTCTTCTCTGTGATGGGCTTCTGAAACCCTGTATGTCTCCCTATAACACTCCAATACTGCCTGTAAAGAAGCCAGATGGGTCATACTGGTCAGTACAAGACCTTACAGCTATTAATCAAATAATCCAAACTACACACCCTGTTGTTCCCAATCCTTATACTATTATCAGTAGGATCCCAAGCTGTCACCACTGGTTTACAGTAATAAATTTAAAAGATGCCTTCTGGGCTTGTCCATTAGCAGAGGACAGCCGGGACCTATTTGCCTTTCAGTGAGAAGACCCTCACTCTGGTCAAAAATAGCAATACTGATAGACAGTCTTATCCCAAGGGTTTATGGAGTCTCCAAATTTATTTAGTCAAATATTTGAACAAGTCATTTAATTAACAAAGGCAAATGGAAAACTGAGTTTGAATGGATTGAAGGCATCATATCCTTGCCTCTGCCGGAGACTAAACAAGAACTTAGAAAATGTTAGAATGAGTCAGTTACTGTCATCTATGGATAGACTCTTATGCCTTAAAAACAAAACGCTTATACAAAAAGCTCATGAAAGACGGGCTAAACCGCCTCATTGGGCAATTACCAGAAATCCAATAGGTGGGAAGATTAAAACATCTATTAGTAACTGCCCCCGTCCTAGCTTTACCCTCCTTAAGCAGCCTTTCCATCTTTTTGCCACTGTAAACAAGGGCGTAGCCCTAGAAGTACTTACCCAAAAGCATGGAGGCCACTGACAACCCGTAGTCTTCCTATCAAAAATCCTTAAGCCAGTAACCCACGGATGGCCCAGATGCATTCAATCTGTAGCAGCAACTGCTTTGCTAACAGAAGAAAGTAGAAAAATAAGTTTTGGAGGAAACCTCATTGTGAACACACCTCACCAGGTCAGAACTATCCTAAGTCAGAAAGCAGAAAGGTGGCTTACTGACTCCAGAATCTTAAAGTATGAGGCTATTCTCTTAGAAAAAGATGATTTAACATTAACCACTGATAATTCACTTAACCCAGCAGGTTTCCTAACAGGGGATCTATATCAAAAGAGAGAGCACACATGTTTAGTTTTAATTAATTACCATACAAAGGTCCGACCAGACCTAGGAGAAACTCCCTTCAGGACGGGACAACACTTTATAGATGGTTCCTCCCAGGTGATAGAGGGAAAAAGATACAATGGGTATTCAGTAATTGATAGAGAAACTCTTGTAGAAATAGAGTTAGGAAAATTGCCTAATAATTGGTCTGCTCAAACATGTGAGCTGTTTGCACTCAGCCAAGCCTTAAAGGACTTACAGAACCAGGAAGGAACCATCTATACAGATTCTAAGTACGCCTTTGGAGTGGCTCATACATTTGGAAAAATTTGGACTGAACGAGGTCTTATTAATAGCAAATGCCAAGACTTGGTCCATAAGGAATTAATCACCCAAGTATTAACTAACCTTCAGCTGCCAAAAGAAACAGCTATTGACCATGTCCCCGGACACCAAAAAAGCCTTTCTTTTTAAAGTCAAGGAAATAACCTAGAAGATCAGATAGCCAGACAGACTACCATTTCTTAGCTGTACAACTGGCCTGCTTTGCAGCTAGGTAAAACCTAGGACACATGGAGTTAAATTTTAGAATAAGCCAGACCTTGTCTGCACTTCTCTCTAGATCTTAGGCTGTACACCTATCACATAATTAAAATCCCAAACTTAAAAGGTTATCAACAAAAGTAAAATTTGCTAAAAGTTAACAGTGTAACGTGTATTATCCTAATTTCTAATCATGTAGACTTAGGCACTCTAGTCCACAGACATAAAGGAAGTTTGCTTCGGAAAAGAACGGTTATCATCTTTGACATTAAAAAAGGATAATTTATGTAAAAGGAATCTTATATGGTAAATTCTTGTCCTAAAGTAAATTAACTGGTTGTTGGGAAGAGATGTTTACAACAAGTCAGAAGGTTAAGGCATGTCAAAGATTGTCTGTGAAAGTCATCAACAATGTTATAAAAGGAAATTTGTTCAAGAAATGTATAATTTAAAAGTAATTAGGCCTCCTGAATGTAAAACTATTGAAGAAACAGTTTATGTGCAAGGTGTGTAAGGAAAGTAAAATATACTTTTGGTAAAAGGATTATAAGGAGGCAAAAGAATATGGATTTTTACCTACATTAAAAGGTTAAAAAATTATTTTAAAGGTTTAAGCAAGTTTTGAAACATTAACTGTAATGGAAATTCTGTGTGTAAACATATTGGCTAAAGTTAAAGGGGTATCATCCAGTTTTTCTGTCAACTGGACATTAAAATAAAAGCACAACAGGTTTTTCTTAAAGCACTAACCTGCTCTTTAACAAAAATTATAAAGGGTTAAAAAGAGTCTATAAAAATCTTACCTTATCGTCAGGCATTAAAATTGGATAAATATGTCTACAAGGTTTTATTAAAATTGAGTTTAACATTAATAACACACTAATATAAAGGTGAAATTTAGCTTATCTGGTATAAAATCATACAGGAAGTATTGTCAAATATAAAATGGTGTTTGGCTTTCTTTGATCTAAAAACAAAAATAGGTGCTGAAGAGAATTCACAAGGAAAATGGATATTGCCAGACCACAGAGAAATGTTATCCAAACCCTTATGAGAAAAATCTTGTTCCAGCTGCATCAAGGGACCCATTGGGAGCTCCAAGCCATGTGTGATTCATTCCTCAGAGTTTATGGGTGCATAGGAATTTATACCCTGGCCAGTTACAGACAGTTGCTTAGTATGTAAGAAAATGAATAAACAAACTATAAATAGATTGCCCCTTGGGGGAAGGAGTCCAGGCTTAAGGCCATTCCAAAGTATCCACATTGATTACACAGACATGCCTCCAATTGGTCGTCTAAAGTATTTATTAGTAATAGTAGCTCACCTTACTCATTGGGTAGAAGCTATTTCCTTTTCAAGTACAACTGCTAATAATGTAGTTAAGGCATTATTTGAAAATATTATACCCAAGTTTAGATTAATAGAAAACATTGATTCAGATAATACAACTCATTTCACTGCACATGTCATTAAGAAATTAGCCCAGGTACTGGATATAACATGGAAATATCATATTCCCTGGCACCTACCTTCATCAGGAAGAGTGGAAAGAATGAACCAAACTATAAAAAAAGCCACCTAACCAAATTAGTCTTAGAGACTCGGTTGCCATGGACTAGATGCCTTCCCATTGCCCTGTTGAGAATCTGAACAAGCTCCTTGGAGAGATGTTGGCTTATCCCCTTATGAAGTGTTGTACAGGTTGCCCTGTTTGCATTCCACTGATTACATTCCCACATTAAAAAAAAAAATGATCAGTTTCTCAGAAATTATATACTTGGTCTTTCTTCCACTTTCTCTTCCCTCAGAACTAAAGGTCTTTCAGCACACGCGCCACCCCTAGAGTTTCCAGTACACCAACATCAGCCTGAGGACCACATCCTCGTCAAAAGTTGGAGGGAAGGAAAACTCGAACTGGCTTGGGAAGAACACTTCCTAGTGCTTCTAACCACCGAGACTGCAGTTTGAACAGCAGAAAGAAGATGGACTCATCACACCTGGGTCAAAAGAACACGACCCCCTCCAGAATCATGGGCAGCTATTCCTGGGCCAACTCCAACGAAGCTAAAGCTTGGTTTGATCCTCTTACATTGCATCTCTTTCTTTTCCCCTTCGATTGCTAGACCTCTCATTAGTAATGTAACTAGGTCAAGTTCACCCCAAACTACTACTTTTGATGCTTGCCTTGTGATGCCCTGTGGAGATTTGCCTAACCAGAGGTAACTCTCCACTTCAGAAAAGTATCTTTATCCTTCCTAGCTCTCCTCAGACTGGAAATCTGTTAACTGGGATAGGTTAGTTTGGGATGAGTTTGACGAAGATTCTAGTATGAACTGGGAATCTTGTCCTCCTAGAGCAGAGCTTCTCTGCCGAAGTTGGTCCAATGCTCTGTAAAATACTGAAGAGCAAGGATGGACCACCCCAACTAGTACTTGCAGTTTCTTAAAACCATATATTCATTTTACTACAAGAGTTAACCCTCCCCATTGTCAGCTGAACCAATGTAATCCAGTACAGATTACCATCGCTGCTCCCCAGAGTTCTTCCCCTTCATTAAGCTGTTTCTATGGTATTGGAGCAGAAGTCTCAGGGAAGGACCCCATGGGATCCTTTGCAATGCACTTCGTCGCCTCCTCACCTCCTGCACCCACTTCTCCCTCTCCTTAGTTCTCCGGTAACCAAACCTTCTCTCGTTATATACCCAATGATAAAACCAAAGTAATTGTTGTACAGGTTAAAGATTCAAAACAAACCATAGCAACTGAAACAGGGTATCAGGACGCAAATGCTTGGCTGGAATGGATTAAACATTCTGTTTGCAGGCTAAACAAAAGCGCCTGTTACACTTGTGTGACAGGCAGGCCAGAGACCCAAATTGTTCCCTTTCCACTTGGGTGGTCCTCTCACAGACCGGGCACGAGCTGTGTGGTAGCTCTCTTCCAGAACCCCACAGCCTGGGGTGGTGAGTCATGCAAGACTCTTTCACTGCTGTTCCCTGAGGTCAAGAGCCCTGCGGGTCAGCCCTGAAGACTATCCGGCCTCCAGCCCCTGATGTTAACTTCACCTCATGCCTTTCACGGCAGGGGGAAAAGTTAGCATTCCTTGGAGACTTAACAGGGTGCAGTGAAACCAGGCCTTTTGAAGAGCTTACCAATCAGTCTGCCCTTGTTCATCCCCGAGCAGATGTGTGGTGGTATTGCTGGGGACTACTGCTGGGTACTCTGCCAAGTAATTAGAGCAGCACTCATGCTCTAGTCCAACTGGCCATCCCTTTCACCCTAGCATTCTGTCAATATGATAAAAAAAAAATTGTAAAAGAAGTGCCTCACGTGGGTCCTTTGACCCCCATGTTTATATAAACACTATTGGAGTTCTATGAGGAGAACCAGATGAATTTAAAGCCCGAGATCAAATAGCTGCAGGATTTAAGTCAGCATTTTCATGGGTGACAATAAAAACATAGATTGGATAAATTACATCTATTATGATCACCAGTGGTTTATTAATTATTCCACGGTTGCTGTCAAAGGGATAACAGAACAACTGGGGCTCACCAGCCAGATGGCCTGGAGAAACAAAATGGCCCTGGATATGATATTAGCCACAAAAGGCGGTGTTGGTGTTATGATTAAAACTCAGCGTTGTACCTTTATCCCAAACAACACTGCCCCCACTGGGGGCATAACAAGAGCCTTACAAAGACTTACTGCTTTATCCAATAAACTAGCTAAACTTCTAGAGTCGATAACTCTTTCTCAGAGTGGCTAGAAAGGATGGTTTGGTAAATGGAAAGAAATCACAGCCTCAATTCTTCTCTTGCAGCCTTAGTAGGTGTACTCGTTCTCGTTGGGTGTTGTGTCATACCATGCATCCGTGGGCTAGTATAAAGACTTATAGAAGCAACACTTACTAAAACTTCCCTTAGCTCTCCTCCACCTTATTCAGATCAGTTTTTTCTTTTATAGGATTAAATTGAACAACAAAGCCAAGACCTGTTAGAAAAGTTTGAAGAGAAACTACTATGAAAATTGAAAAGGGGGAAATTGTAGGATAATAATAATAAATTCCTGTCCAAAGGTTTTAGCCTGTAAATTGTTAAGTATAAAGTTCTGAGATCCTCTCCAAAGAACCAATGTATCAGTATGTTCAGCTCCCCTGTTCTTTGTTCTACATTATAAAGTTTAACTTCCTCATTCTTTATGTCTCCTTGCACCTAGTTTCAGTAAACAACCCCCTCCTAGCCTCTATCACCTGCTCTGACCTTAGTCACCCTTCGTCACCTACTCTGTTCTTAGTCATCCTGAGTCACCTGTTCTGTAACCATCATTCCCACCAAACTGCTCACCCTGCCTCTCTGGCTCATACCCTTGCTGTCTTTAAAATAGCCAGTCAGAATTAGCTTAGACTGTGTGGTCCAACCATAGCCAATGGGGGAATGACACAGCAGTAGGGGCTACCTGCATCAGGGATAAGAACCCCTTTCCCTCACTTGTTCAGGTGTGCTCTCACCATTGCTCCATCCAGGAGATGCACCCTTCTATAGAAGTAAAATTGCCTTGCTGAGAAAATTCATGTTTGAGGGCTATTTCTTTTGCGGCACTGAAAATTTATTTCCAACATTCCTAACAGTACAAACACTTGGAATAAGTAGCTCCTTTCTCCCTTCCCCTTTTCCAGCGGCAGCAACACCTCCAATATGAACTTGGAGATTGGCATCTATCATCCTTCCATTTTAACCCATCCAAGGACTCTTTAGAAACCATCAACAAAGGCTATTCTCTAAGACATATGGCATAGGTCAGGGGCTAGGAGATGTTTTCTTTGAAAGATTACATAAACATCTTAGGCTCACAGGCCATATGCTCTCTGTCACACCTATTCAACTCTGCCATTCTAGCATGAAGGCAGCCATAGACATATGTAAGCAAATGGATGTTGCTGTGTCTTAATAAAACTTTATAAAAAGGGCCAGATTTGGCCTATGGAGCTGTAGTTTGCTGACTCCTGGGAATAGACCTTATTTAATTAATAATTGCCTTAGTTAGATTTTCATCTTATTTCAGATAATTTCTATCTCATCTTGGTTGAATTTGCATTCTGTTCCACACTATCTTCTTTGGAAGGTCCCAGGAAACGTATAGATAAAAGAGACTGGGCAGATACAGATAATGAAATAGTATTTGCATGAAAAATGTTACAATTTCTATGGCTGGCTCTTTGCCTGTCAAATAAAACAATGTGCGTGTTGTTTCTTTAACAGACTAACTCAGAATTATCCCCATTACTTTAAATGAAATATGGGATGTTCATTGTTGAATTTCTTTCCTTGCTACATACCTTGATGCACAAAGAAATCAAAGGAATTATTACCAATTCTGTTAAGTCAAACTCTGAATTTACAAAAGATAAATTAGTATTCAGAATCTTTTGATTTACTGTTCTGTAGAAATTCCATTCCATGGATGATAATTAATGGAACTGAGAGGTCATTTTAATTGTGTCATTTTTATAAGGTTTTTTTTTTTTTAGAGTTTTAAGAGGCTGAGAGAAAGAGTCAAAGGATATAATTCTACTTCACCACAGAAACAGTAATCTTGTGGTTCCTTTCCAATTACTGTAGGATGGTGTTAGCTTCTTAGAGGGGTTTTAGGTGATATAATGATGACCTATCTTATTTCCAAATACTTTTTTGGCATTTCTAAAGGATTATCATTCTGTCCTTTTTAAAGCATTTCTGTACCAGGCTCTTAAGACAAGATCCAATATAAGATATCTTTTGAAGACTTTATGGGCTCAACCTAACAGACCTTAGGATAAATGTCAACTGAAACCACCAGGGTTCCTAACATCCAGGGCACACCCACTCTAGGAGTCCTAGGTGTACAGAGTAGGAGTAAAGGAAGCAAACTAACACCCATAGAACTGCATTCTACAAGCATCACGCCCAGAGCTTTAGAAACATACTCTCTCAGTGCATGATTAAGGCAAGTAAGAATAAAATGCGAATTTCAGGTTGCCTCAGATAAGGAACTGGTCTGGGAAATGTGCATTATACTTCTTAGCATCTGTTTTCCAAGAATCTTTTCTTTCATGTCCAATAAATTTGGCAACTAGGATAATTAAGTGGCTTGATGAATATTTGAGAATCTTGATTTTCTAGTGTAAACAGGATTTCTTCAACTTCCATCATGGCCTATGTAATCCTTGGCCAGATGTAAGGCACTCATTTATGGGTCTATTATTTGGCTCTTTAGATACCTCTTCCATTTCAGAACATAGCTATGCATAATAATTGTATTCCAAGGTTAGCTCACAAATGGCATGTTAGGATGAATGTAGAGGAACATTTATAGTCATTGTGTTAGGGAGTATTAACTGGGCGTTACAAAGAATCTGTTCTGCTCCCAACCCTGTGTCAGGTTTTACACTTCTACCTTCCTGACCTTAATATAAGCACACTAACTTTTGCAAAGAGGTGGGATTAATAATACTTATTATGTATTTAGTGCTATGTGCCAGGCATAATGTAAAATACTTCATACAACCCTGTGAGGCAGAAATTGTTATCCCCAGTTTGCAGAAGAAAAACCAGCAGCCCAGAGAGAGGTTGTGATTTGAACAAAGTCAAAACCTAGATAGTGGCTGAGACAGAATTTATACCAGGTCTGTCTCACCCCAAAGCCTGGGCTCTTAACCACAATGCTATGATTCTCTCTTATTTTCTTTCTTTATTTGTTTAAATTGTGGGAAGAATACTTAACGTAGAGATCTATCTTCTTAACAAAAGTTCAAGTGCACAACACAGCACTGTTAGCTGTAGGCACAATGTTGTGCAGCAGATCTCCATCACTTAATCGTCTTGCATAACTGAAACTTTATACCCATTGAACTGCAATGCCCACCTCTCCCTCCCCCCAGTTCCTAACAACCACCAGTCAACTCTCAAAATCTCCCATTTTATAATGATAGCTTTCAACTTGAGAATCCTTCCCAATCAATTTAATCCTCAGCCTCAGTACTCCTAGGAAACCCCCTCCTCCCATCATCTACCTTAAAGAAGGCTCTTTCCTGTGCCCTAGTTGGCTTTCCAATCATTTCCTCCTAATCTTCAAGGGTAAACAAAGCCAAAATGCTAGAATTAGAATCTCCAGTCTGTCAAGTACCAGCTGAGTGGCCTTGGGCAAATTACTTAACTTCTCTGGGCTTTCGTTTTCTTTACCGCAAAATTGGGATCCATGTAGGTAAAATTCCCCAGAAGCAAACTCTGAAACAATGATCCACATGAAAACTTGGATTTGTTAGAAAGTGTTCCCAGGAAAAAACAGAAGAGTGGAGAAGTGGAGCAGTGATGAGAAGGGAATATGATTTCAAGAGGAGTCCCACAGAAGAAAACCTTGGATTGATCTCATCAGGGAGCTTTGGAGATAGTGCAGGTCTTACCTCGAAGCCATCTTCATCAGGCACAAGGGAACGGAAGTGTTTATACTCCTATGCCTCTCAGCCATTGGTTCAGTGCCACACCACAGAGACATAAATTCCCAAACGACTCTTTATAAACACAGACAAAGCAGGTTTCAGCAGACTGGAGGAAGGTCTAT
The DNA here is from genome assembly GCF_000001405.40 of Homo sapiens. Taxonomy (NCBI): domain Eukaryota; kingdom Metazoa; phylum Chordata; class Mammalia; order Primates; family Hominidae; genus Homo; species Homo sapiens. The sequence continues at coordinate 5,688,023 of NC_000003.12, read as the reverse complement.
GTCTGACATGCAAGTGTTGGTTATTGGGGCTGAAAGTTCATTGGAAATGGTATACATAAAAAGGCTAAAGAGATCTGGGCAGAACAGTGATACCAGCTGCCACAGGAGTACTAACAGTTCCTTCTCTGTTTCTATGAGGGTTTTTATTGGTAAAATGCTTATGAGAATGCCTAGTTCATAGTAGGCACTACTAAATATATGTTACATGAAACAAATAAAAAGGCTACAAGGTGATAATATGGAGAGTCCACAAAACGGTAATAAAAAAAATGAAAAGAAACTCTAGATTCAAAGTCTAATCTTTTCTTCTTTTGGGAATGATCTTGCAAAGTTCTCAGGCAGGTTTTGTAGGTTCATCACCTCCAGGAGAAGGAAAAATGAGAATCCAGGGCATGGTAGCATGGAGCTCTGGAGGCCTAATTCCCACTCCCTGACTCGGCTTAACTCTAACATACTGAGTTAAACTAAATAAATCGATTCAAGAGTTCCAAAATCACAATATAATATTGAGCTCTCTACCAAGGCTGAGGAAATATTGAGCTCTCTACCAAGGCTCTACCAAGGCTGAGTGGCCCTATGGGGACTGAAAGCAGCGTTTTCTCACCACAGCACCACCACAAGAGAAGTCACACAGCTGAAGTCACACAGGGAATCTCACACCTCCCACTGTCCTCCCATATCCTTTTGCCACCCTCCCAGCTTGTTCACATCCTTTGCCCTGAAGCCCAGTTCTAATGCTAACTCTTCTGGCAACTCACCCCTAATTCCTCCACACCCAGCTATGAGATAGCAGCTTCCTCTCCTTGGAATGGCCACTGTACTTTAAAGGAAAAATAAATTATGAAGTGTGTCTCATTTACCTGCAGTTAGAGTGGAATTGTCTCCAACTACTTGCAATGATCTCTGCTTGTAGACAGTTCCTTCTTAAAGAAAAGCACTATGTTTTATTTATTATTCTACACCACCAGGAATCTAGCGTTATAGGAAAATCAAATGATTTTAGTTTCTTAGAAAAATTTGTAATTGGAGAAGAATGTTGAAAGCAAGGTCGTACCGACAGGTGTCAAACAAACTCTACTGTCACGGTTATGGCCTACAGTACCCCCACTAATAGTAGTAATCTTAATACTCATATTCAAACCCTATATTCTAAAACTTCTTGTGAAAGTTATCTTTTCTCACCTAGAAGCAGCTAAACTCCAAATGGTGCTGCAGACAGAATCACGCATGAACATACTCTTCTTCCAAGGATCTTCAGATCAACCTCAAGGAGCAGCCCTAGAGGCTGTCCCCAACACAACACCCCTTTTCAGCAGAAAGTAGCCAGAAAGAGTCATCGTCCAAAACCCCCTAATAGCAGAGTTACCACTCCAGAGGGTTAAATGATAAAGGAGTTAAAAAGAAATTATTTAGGCAGACAATGAGGTTAAGGAAGTCCTTAGGAAGGTTTTCCTTTTAATGAAAAGCAGCCCCCCAAATCATTTCTTTTCTAACAAAAGAAGCCTGTAAAATCGAGCTGCAGACATAAATAAGCAAGCTGCAAGCTTTCATAGGTAAATGCCGGCAGCTGTGCCAATAGGAAAAGACTACCCGAAGGCCAGGCATGTTCAACATGGCGGCTCTATCTTCCCTTTCCTTTGTCAACCACATGTACAGTGAGGAACAGACAACATGACACCAGCCAGGTAGAGAACCCAGCTGCATAATAAAAAATTATGGTGGGATGGCCAGCTTCCTCACGCACTAAGCAAATGTCACACCTTCTCGGAGCAGCCTCTTGAGCGCTATGTAAATCAGATACCACCTCTTCAAGCTCGTCTATAAAACCCCATGCATTTCATCATGAACTGGAAGACCCACTCAGGTGCCCCTCTCTCTCTGCAGGAGAGAGAGTCATTCTCTTTTCTCTTTCTTTTGTCGATTAAACCTCTACTCTTAAATTCACTTCTTGTGTGTCCACGTCCTCGATTCCCTTGGCATGAGACAACAAACCTTGGGTATTTACCTCCAACAACAACACCACTTCATTACTTTGAAAGACACATAAATGACCCTTATATCTATGGTTATTGTCCTGGTCTCAAATCTTACTCAAAATCCAAGAATGGCTGTGTCCAAGGAGTGAATTATTACCCCTGTGAAGTGATTTGAGCAAGGAGACCTCTCTCCTCCAAGGCTGCCAACCAAATTGCTAACATTCCCAAAGAAGTAGGTTAAGGCATTAAAAGAGATCACAGCTGTGATTCAGAATTTATTCATTTCCTAATATGAAGCCATACCCCACTGGTGGTCTTCAAAATGATTTTAGGTAGCTTATACATAGCCATTTTTCAAATTTGAGCAGTAATATACTAATATATCCAAATATAATTGTTATCTATAGGCTACCTAAAATCATTTTAGAGACTAAATGATTTAGTATATTAGAATATACAAATGTATGTGTGTATATATGTATGTGTGTGTGTATGTGTGTATATTTCAAACCTGTAATTTTCAAATCCATTCTTTCAGAGATTATAAGAACAAGTCGATTAGAGTCTACTAGGTATGCACATATAGAGCAAAACTTGTAAAGGGGGCATTGGAGATAATTAAAATTTGAGAAATATTGATATAGTGAAAATTACATTCGAGTTATAATAGAAGACCCAGATTCAAATCCTGGGGCAAAAATAAAACCCATATGACTTAGCAAGTCACTTACCTTATCTGAGTTTCAGTGTTCTCTTCAATAAGATAGTTTTTATAGCCTGTGTTTTTAAATATCTGTTAAATGTAAATGTCCTTCTATGGTGGACACACGTATTCCCTTATCACTAATTTCATCTTAGCACAAAAGAGTTTATCATAGCATTTGTTCTGGCATCTAGCTGGGTCCTAGAGAACTCTCACAAAAGCCAGGTGCATTTGTATGTGGAAAGCTAAAAACATGAAAAATTTAGGACCTAACTGGGAGCTGGAGGGAGTCAGTCTAAAATAAGACCAAAGCCTTAGGTAAAGATGAAGGTACAAAGACTGTATAAAAGATGGAGGTGAGGTGAGTAAAGATGACTTTCATCTAATTTACAATTTGACTAAAAGCCGCCAAAACTACAGTGGTGGCTCACACGTGTAATCTCAGTATTTTAGGAGGCCAAGGCAGGTGGATTGCCTGAGCCTAGGAGTTTGAGACCCACGTGGGTAACATAATAAGACCCCATCTTTACAAAAAAATAAACAAAAATTAGCTGGGCATCATAATGCATGCCTGTAGTCCTAGCTACTTAGGAGATTAAAGTGAGAGGATCACTGGCACCCAGCAGGTTGAGGCTGCAGTGAGCTGAGATACCCACTGCACTCCAGCTTGGACAACAGAGTAAGACTGTGTCTCAAAAAAAAATTACATATATATATATATATACACACACACACACACATATATATATCACTTTATATTTCTCTTGATAGCAAATGTGATCCTTTAAGCAAGTAAGACAAAGCTTAGGGGAAAGACAGAGTGACTTAAAAATAAATAAGAAATTATCCTGAGAAGATAAAGTTGTTTCTGAAATTATATTATGTCCAATCTATATTAATAGCTTTTATAAACCTAGATGTGCTCTTGTATAGTCCCACTTTGGAAACTTACTTCTCTGAGCTTAAACTGAACAATGAAGGACTTGACATCTGCCACCCTGAGTCTCAGTGTCCTGTGACTGGTGCACCTAGACTAGCTCTGACCTACTGTAAGGAGGACATATGCTGGAGTCTGTGTTGTGATGTCACAGTGGCTTTAGACTAAACAAGCCATATTCCTCATCCAGAGACCTCCCCCACCTGCCCTCCCACCCCACCTTCAGACCTGCACTAGAACACCCCATGGATTTAGGAGCCACTGGTAAGGTTATGGCTTCCCCCACTGAATGAAATAAATGGACTCAGGAAGGAATAAAACCCAAGGTGTCCTCTTCACCAGCATCATTCAGAACCACCTCACTCCTCAGGGGCCACAGAAGTGCTGAATAAAATGAAAAGGTATCATATGTCTTTAGCAAGAAAATCAGATTCTATTAGAAAGAGAGAGAGAGAGAGAACTCTAAGTGTATTTAGAGCCATGGTCTTGTTACTCCAGAACAGGATTAAATCTACTACATATCAGACATCTTTCGTCATCTGGCAAGTGCTTCAGAGATGCAGTAGGCTTCTTCTGAAAGACATTTAAAATTCACTACCAAAGCTCTACATTAAAGACAACCATTCTGTTCACTTTGTGCAGATTTCTCAAGAAAATGTTGTCTACTTCAAATCACAGAAGAGGATTTATATAATTTCCCCCAAAGAGAGGAGGAGCAGTTATTAATCTTTGCACAAGTATGCTAAGGCTAGAGAATTCCTATTACTTCCTGGATTTACATAGTGGCCCCCTAAATTCTGGGGATTAGGGAAAGAAAAATTAGGTTGGCCAAATAGCAGGGGGAAGTCTTTCCCTGCCAGCATCTCCATTTCAGAGAATTATGATTCACCATGTATCAAACTAATCATGGCAATTTAGGACAGAGTAAACTCATAATTCTGTGTGTAGAAGGCAAGGCTGCACTGTCTTAAACATCTGTATTAAACATCTTCATACCATGGTTACTATGAAAAGACTGGGTCTTTGCCCTTAGCCTGCTAACTCTGATATATAAGACAAACAGTACCCGTGTCCATTAAATACAGGTGAAAGTGACATATTAAGAAACACATGGAAAACCTACAACTTAAAAGCAGATGTTGATGGTTTAGGTAGATTTGAGGTTGCTTTCTTGTGCATTCCTATGAAGACAATAAGACATTTTTGAAGTAACAGAGGGTGAGTTACAGTAAGAAAGGAAAAGCAGCAGAGAAAATAGCAGGAGATAAAGATAGCAAAGAGGTGAAAAGCAGAAAGCAATTTTTTAAAAAGCAGAAAGCAATTTCTTTGTTCTCTTCCAATATATTTTTGTGTTCCAAATTTAATTTGTCTTATTCCATGTATTTATGGGGACCTCTTTTGGTTTCCGAAATATTTTTATCACCTCCACCATGGGAAAAAATATGCATCGTAATACTAGAAATGCAGCTGAAGGAATCACAGGATAAGCTTGTTTACTAGTGGACCCCAACAACCCAAGCTGGTAACCTCTTACCATATCCAGCTTTTGGGTTTTCTCATGGTCCAGGTACTATTTCAAAAATATCTTTATTTGTAGCTTCTAAGTTATTAACTAAATCCACCCTGTAAAACCCCGTTTCTCCAACATTACCATTCCCTTAGAAACAGCGTTGCTAGGTAAAATACAAGATGCCTGGTTACAGTTAAATTTCAGATAAACAACTAAATTTTTAGTATATGGGGCCAAATATTGCATGGGGAAAAGCATCCTGGTTTTTATTTTTTGTACTGTTTTAATTTCATTTGGTTTAGTTCTTGCTAAATCTGAAAACCCTGCTTAGAAGACAAACTTAACTCATCATGATAAAATTACACTGAGTGCTGAGTGGCTTGGGCAAGGATGGAATAGAAGTTTGAAGAGTCAGGGGCCAGATGTAAGAATATGATTGATGTTTACAGTAGGACAAAAACATGTTTTCTACTATTACATATACCCTCAATACTGCACTTCCGACACCAGATGTGAGGGCTAGGGGTTGTTCTATACCAACAATTCTCTGTGGATACCAATCGGGCGCCCTACATTCAACTCAGTTCTGGCAGTAGCAGGAGTTAGCATAGATGCCACAAGCTGAGAGCTCAGTCTCACAAGACTGCCCCCAGTTTCAGGTACCAATCACAAGTTCTAGATTGTTACCTGTGCTTCTGACCAACCAGCTAGAAACTGGAGGTTCCCACAACCTCCTTGAGTTTGATCATTTGCTAAAGCAGCTCACGGAATTCAGGACAATTCTTACTATTACCCACTTGCTATAAAACTACATAACTCAAGAACAGCCAGATGGAAGAGATGCATAAGGCAAGGTATGTGGGGAGTGGTGCAGAGCTTCTGTGCCCTCTCTGGGTGACAAGGTTTAGAAGTTTGATCCCTACAAATCTCATGTTGAAATGTGATCCCCAGTGTTGGAGGTGGGGCCCAGTGGGAGGTGTTGGATCACGGGGGTGGATTCCTCATGAGTTACTTAGTGCCATCCCCTTGGAGATAAGTGACTTCTTGCTCTGTTAGTTCACATGAGGGCTAGTTGTTTAAAAGGAGCCTGTCACTCTCCTCTCTCTCTTGCTCCCTCTCTTGCCATGTGAGAGGGCAGCTCCCTCTTCACTTATCACCATGATTGGAAGCTTCCTGAGGCCTCACCAGGAACAGACACCAGTACCATGCTTCCTGTATAGGCTGCAGAACTATGAACCACAAGAAACCTCTTTCCTTTATAAATTACCCAGTCTTAGGTATTCCTTTATAGTGATGCAGATGAATTAACACACTGGTATTCTACCGTGCACATGTACCACAACCCAGAAGCTCTGTCAACCCAGTCCTTTTGGATTTTTATGAAGTTTCCATTACATAGGCATGATTGATTAAATGAGTGGCCATTGGTGATCAATTCAACTTTTAACCCGTCTCCCTCCCCTAAAATAAGGGGTGAGGCTGAAAGTTCCAATGCTCTAACTACAGGGTTGGTTCCCCAGGCAACCAGCCCTCATTCTGAGGCTCTTCAGGACCCTGAGCTGTCAATCATCTCCTTAGCATACAAAGAGACACTTATCAGTTCAGATGTTCCCAGGGTTTTAGGAGCTGTGTGTCAGGAAACTGGGTCAAGACCAAAATATATTATTTATGATATCCAATATTAGAATTTCTGAATGAGTTGAGAACCAAAATTTACAAACCTCCCAGACAGGGAGGATATCTGCTATTTTTACAACAAACTCTCAATTTTCCACTTTACTTTTTTTTGTTTTCATGACGCAGACTCAGAGAAAGGTGTAAAGAGAGAGAGATCTTGGAGAAGACAGGATGAGGATATAAATCAGACCAGAAAGTGCCAAGGTTTCCTCGGGAAAAAAAAAAAGAGAAAGAATGGATAAAGGATGAAAGAACAGGGGGTAGAAAAGAGTGGTGAGGGCTTGGTTTTCAAACTGTTTATTTTTTTCTTTTGCAATAAGGAGAGAACTTTAAGATGTTTTGATGAGTATACAGATGTATTTTCTTCCTACTCATAGGCTTTGGAAGAGACATCAGTAAAGACTAAATGATTATTTTTTTTTTCCACTTTAAATTCTGGAATACATGTGCAGAACGTTTAGGTTTGTTACATATGTATACATGCGCCATGGTGGTTTGCTGCACTTATCAACCCATCATCTAGGTTTTAAGCCCCACATGTATTAGGTATTTGTCCTAATGCTGTCCCTCCCCTTGTCCCCCACCCCCCAACAGGCCCCAGTGTGTGTTGTGCCCCTTCCTGTGTCCATGAGTTCTCATTGTTCAACTCCCACCTATGAGTGAGAATATGCAGTGTTTGGTTTTCTGTTCCTGTGTTAGTTTGCTGAGAATGATGGCTTCCAGCTTCATCCATATCCCTGCAATGGACATGATCACATTCTTTTTTATAGCTGCATAGTATCCCATGGTGTATATGTACCACATTTTCTTTATCCAGTCTATCATTGATGGGCATTTTGTTTGTTCCAAAGTCTTTGCTATTGTAAATAGTGCTGCAATAAACATACGTGTACATGTGTCTTTACACTAGAATGATTTATAATCCTTTGGGTATATATCCAATAAGACTAAATGATTCTTAACTACTTTTTGCTAAGTATGTTTCTTTGAAAGTGACACCAACATGGAGACTGTGCAATGTAGAATTCCACTTACATATTAGGGTTACACACAGCCTCATACACTGTGGACTGACAGAAAACTGAATGGGATTAGAAAGAGGTCCTTATTCTCCCCTACTCTACAATCCACGTATGTCCTTGTATGTCTCCCCAGGTTTGCAGGTTTATCACGGGTGCAAGACCCCATGAAAATAAGAAATACATTCACACTTCTCCAAGAGAAAAAAAAATTATTTTAAAAAACTCATTCATGACAGAAAGGTAATTCAGAAAATGCCAACAATAAAGCAATGTGCAATTTGAAAGACGCTTTTTCTGATTTCTCCAACCTTCCCTCCTCCCCCATATCAAGAAGGCCAGACTTAGGACAAGGTTTCACCTCACTTATATTCACATGAACTTCAACTTTGCTGTCACCCTAATTAAGCTGGTGTGATGCATGCATAGATAGGACTTTTTAAAATGCACTGCTAGTAAGTGGCTCTTCTTATTCCTTCCCACCTCTCAATTACATACTACCATTTAATTCCATTTATGATTTACATATGTACTCTAACATCAGTATTCAGTTCTAACAGACATGAATAAAATGTCCATAAAGTGATCATAGCTTTATTAGTCCATTTTCACACTGCTATAAAGAACTTCCTGAGACTGGGTAATTTATAAAGGAAACAGGTTTAATTGACTTACAGTTCCACATGGCTGGGGAGCCCTCAGGAAACTTATAATCATGGCAAAAGGGGAAACAGGCACGTCTTACATGGTGGCAGGCAAGAGAGAGAAAGCATGTGTCAGTGCAGGAAAAACTATCATTGATAAAACCATTGGATCTTGTGATAATTCACCATCACGAGGACAGCATAGGGGAAACTGCCCCCATAATCCAATCACTTCCCTCCAGGTCTCTCCCTAAACACCCGGGGACTACAATTCAAGATGAGATTTGAGTGGGTACCTAAAGCCTAACCATATCAGTAGCCCACTATGAACCTCTTCACACTGCACCTCTTTAGCATGCGGCTGTAAGAGATGGAACTAAAGGAGGAGAAAAGGGGGAGGAATTGCCTGGAAGTGTCAGGGGCCTCCCTCTGTGCCTGCTTTGGTATGGAGCCACTTCCCCAGTTTATTTTATTTCTGTATCACAGAGTAAGCATGATAGACCAGGGAACCACAGCAGGATGAAGGGTCAGAGGAAAGGAAAACCCTAGCCGTGCTGTCATACTTCCTCGTTCCGATAACCAAGCCCTCCAAATGACAAAGTTAACTAGAATTAAATGGAAAAAGATTTTTTTTAAGTTGCAGGTCACTTTTCCTTTTAAAAATCAGAACAGATCACACGTGGACTTGAAAAAATACACTAATATTTTTGTAGGTACCGTCAATATCAACCACCATATTGATTTTTTTGTTTTTTTAGCGCATCACATCTGGTAGTTGGACAACAAAAAATCAACTTGACAGCAAGAGAGAGAGAGATGGGAAAATGCAGAAACACTTATACAATTAGCTGATACAATAATTTCTGGTATAATTAGAACCTTGTGAAAATTAACATTGACACAAGCAAGGCTGCAAATATTTCATTAAGACAGCAACAATTCATTCTTTTTAATGTTCATTATTTTCCCTAATTTAACACTATCCAGTTCATGTTGACCTGTTATAGGTGAAGTCCAACTCTACTGCCAGAAATATTTTACATGTCTAATTCTCAGAAGTATAGAAAATGAGAGGAACGGAGAAATGAAAAAGATAGAATTGAGTCACTGAGGGAAAAAAACACAGTCTACAAATGAGCCAGAAAAAGCCAGGAAGGGGCAGGAGGTTAGTCACTGGGTTTTAAAAAATGATCATTATACTCCTGACAAAAATAGCAACAAGAGGAAAGGTTTTGAGATATCAAGTTGAAAGTGAATTATAAATAGCGGAACAATATTATTAAATCCTGATTATCCTTAGGAGAGAGCACAGCTCTTCTGTCCATAAATACAGTGCTGGGAGAGCAGTAGAGAGGCACTCATGGTTAGGAGAGACTTTAGCTACGAGTGTAAACTCTAAAGTCTTTCTGTGTTCAAGCCCTCATTCCTGGCCATTCTCAGGGTACCAGTGTCTTTCCTGAGCATTCTTTGTGTGCTTAGACAGAATTTAAGAAACAGAACCAGGCAATGTGTTCATCGAATTCCAGCCTCACTTGGTGTTAATATTTTTATATGATTAAGGAAAGCTAAGCATCAGATGTCATTGCAGACACACGATCCAGATGGTGACCCTGTAAAGCCACCACCTGCTTGCAAGCCTGTCTCTGTGCTTCTGCTGAGAAACAGAATGCCATTTCCCTTAGTGCCTGTCTTGTAAATAATCACCGCTCCCCAACCAGCCATTCCCCAAATGACAAGAACCATCCTGTGGCCTTCTCCGCTCCCCAGCCTGGCCTGGCCTCATTGTGCCTTGGAACTCTGTCCTCCTGCCTCACTCAAAAGGTACATGATTTGTATCTTACTCCCACAACAGCGTGATCCGATGTCACCACAGGCGGGGACTTTTAATGGGGTAAGTAACCATTACCTGTCCCAGGTTACATTTGCATTCTAAAATGTGTTCATGAGTTCTGGCAATTTCAGTGGTCAGGAGGTGCGCTGGGGAGGTGGCTGTGGAGCATTTGCTGGCATTTCAAAAAAACTACCTCATGGATGAATGCCGATCCAATCTTGTAAGAGATGGCTTGTGTTTAGGGATGTTTCTCAGAGGCCTGGGGAGAAAAACAAGCTCACAAGTGGCTTAGAAAGCAGCAGCTCCACATGGAATTAATATTACCATATAATTGGCCAATTTCATTCCAGGATTTTTTGCAGAAAACCCAGCTGCCTTGAAGTGCTATGCTTTGGGCCACTTCTAGGAGAGATGATACCCTTCCAGTAGGAACAAGATGTGGAGTTTTCTCCATCTCTATCTAAACATTTCTCCCACATGAAGCTGGTTACCGGGATCTCTCTCAAAAGTTATTCTTTTATCATTTCCTCCCTCCTTTCCTCCTTTCTTTCTCCACCCATCCACCAATCCAAGAAAGCTATGATGATAACTGGCAGCCTGTGGGGGCGGGGTCAGCTGTAAGAGGCCTTTCTTGCCTTGCTATAAACAAACACCTGAGGCTGGGTAATTTATAAAGAAAAGAGGTTTAATTGGCTCATGGTTCTACAGGCTTTCCAGGAAGCATGACACCAGCATTTGTTTGGCTTCTGAGGAGGCTGCAGGGAGCTTACAATCATGGCAGAAGGTAAAGGCGGAGCAGGCATCTCACATGGTGACGGCATGAGGAAGAGAGAGAGGGGGAAGATGCCACATACTTTTAAACAAACTATCTTGAACAAACTATCATGATGAGGACAGCACCAAAAGTTTGGTGTTAAACCATTCATAAGAAATCCACCCCCATGAACCAATCACCTCCCACCAGGATCCACCTTCAACATAGGAGATTACAGTTCAACATGAGATTTAGAGGGTGCAACATCCAAACTATATCAGCAGCACTGAACAAGCCAGACAAGGTTGCTGCCCTCACGGAGTTTACATTCTAATCCCAAGGGGAGGGCACAAAAAAATTACAAAGTATGTGGACATAAATAAACAAGGCAATATGATGTGAAAGAAACTGGAAGAAGGGGTGACCATTTTCAAGAGTGTGGTTAGGAAGGGCCTCTTTAAGGAAGTAAGATGTTAGCTGAGACACAAAGGAAGAGAAGCAGTAGATCATAGGGGGAATTGAAGAAAATAACGTTTGAGAAGATATAGCTTGTGACAAGATTTTTGAAGTAGAAATGGTTTGACATGTTCAAGCAACAGAGCAGAACAGTTGCTTGGAGCATGGTGAGACAGAGGTGCATATAAGGTAGAGGGTTTCAATGAAAGGGAACCCATGGGACCCTGTAGAACTGGAAAAGCATGTAGATATTATTCTCAGAGTCATGGGGAGCCACAGGAAGATGTTAAAGTGGGGAATGGCAAAATGGGATTTGCACTTTTAAAAATATCCCTCTATCTAATCTATGGAGGAGAGGCTGGGGAAGGGCAGGGAATCATTAGGTGGAAACGACCTGGAAATGACTGTTCAGGTGTGTGTGGTGGGGGGAGGTGGGGTTGTAGCAGAGGAAACAAAGGCTTGGCTTAAGTGTGCCCTGGAGAGGGACAGAAGATTGAAGGAGAAAAGCATTAAATTAATTTTGGATGTGTTAATTCAGAGATGTCTGTGCAGAACTCAGAAACTGATAAAGAAACTAGTCTGGGCCAGGTACTGTGACACACACCTGCAATCCCAGCATTGTGGGAGGCCTAGACAGTGAATCACCTGAACTTGGGAGTTCAAGACCAGCCTGGGCAACATGATGAAACCCCCATCTCAAAAAAAAAAAAAATTAGCCAGGTGCCATGGCATGCATCTGTAATCCCAGCTACTCGAGAGGCTGAGGCACAAGAATCACTTGAACCTGGGAGGTCGATGCTGCAGTGAGCCAAGATTGTGCCACTGCACTCCAGTCTGGGTGACAGAGCAAGACCCTCTCTCAAAAAAAAAAAAAAAAAAAAAAAGGAGTCTGAAGTGTAGGGAGGGATTGGTACTGGAAGCCTCCTTCTATGTAACCACCAAGATTTCTGGGAACCTGCCAGGATGTCTTAAGCAACCTGCTATGTACCAGATGCTATAGCGATAGAAATGCTGAGAAGCTAAGCAATATGGTTTGGATCTGTCCCCACCCAAGTCTCCTGTCGAATCATAGTCCCCAGTGTTGGAGGTGGGGCCTAGTGGGAGGTGATTACATCATGGGGGCAGATCCATCAAGAATGGTTTAGCACCATTCTCTCAGTGTTGTTCTCACGATAGTGAGTGGGTGAGTTATGAGATCTGGTTGCTTAAAAGTGTATAGCACCTACCCTCTCTCTCTCGGCTCCTGCTCCTGCCATGTAAGATGCCTGGCTCCCCCTTCACCTTCCGCTATGATTGAAAATTCCCTGAGGCCTCCCCAGAAGCAGATGCTGCCATACTTCCTGTATAGCCCAGGCAATTATGAGTCAATTAAACCTCTTTACTTTATAAATTACCCAGTCTCAGGTATTTATTTATAGCAGTGCAAGAACGGACTAATGCACCAAGGATGTAGTAGTAATGTCTCAAATAACATACACATATTTAAAAGTACATAGAATATGTTGAATGCTAAGTGAATTGCACAGAAAACAAAAAACAAAGAAGAGCTGATTGGGAGGCCATAGTGTCACTGTGCAAGGAGCAGCATGCATGAAATTTAGTAAACCTGAGTTTTATTCTTAGCCCCTCGCTGGCTGTGTAAACTTGAGCAATTCTTTTAGGCTTCCTAAGCCTTGATCCCTTCATGCTAAAATGGGCACTCTACCGCCATCCCCAGGTGTTGATATAATGTACAATAGAACATGTTTGGCTGGCATAAGACTGGCATCTACTAGGGAGAGGAGCAATCCAGCAGAGTTCCCAGAAGAGGTTGTATTTAGGATGGGACTTGAAGAACAACCAAAGTTGAGAACAACAAAGAGGAAAAATGAAGGCAATAAGATCCCCCCATAGCAACCCGATTTTTGAAACTCAATGTATTAATCTTTGAAATGGGTCTCAAAAAAATTTAGATAAGTGATTGTATCTTCTTCATACCAGAAGTCACCAAGAAAAGAATTTCAGCCCACTAAGGCATAATATAAAAGTTCATTATAGAATTATATAAAGAATACATATAGTTACACAGAGAGACTATATACAATTACACATATAGGGAGACTATACATACATATACATACATGTATACATACTATACATGTGTAACAATAGTTACACATATAGAACATATACATTATACATATATAGTTATATATGTTTAAAAAATATAAATACATTTAAGGCTCAATACATCACTATATAAGTTCTGATATGGTTTGACTGTGTCCCCACCCAAATCTCATCTTGAATTGTAGCTCCCATAATCCCCACATGTCATGGGAGGGACCCTGTGGGAGGTAATTGAATCACGGGGGTGGTTTTTCCCATGTTGTTCTCCTGCTAGTGTATTAGTCTTATGAGATCTGATGGTTTTATAAAAGGGAGTTCCCCCACACATGCTCTCTTGCCTGCTGCCATGTGAGACATGACTTTGCTCCTCATTTGCCTTCTACCATGACTGTGAGGCCTCCCCAGTCACACGGAACTGTGAGTCCATTAAACATCTTTCCTTTATAAATTACCTGGTCTTGGGTATGTTTTCATTAGCAGCATGAGAACAGACTAATATAACTTCTCAATATAGCCCTAGTATAAATGCAAAGAATAAAAACTCTTTGTATTTCTTGGAAGTCAGAGTGAACTTGGCCGTTTGAATACAGTAAAATGTGAAGGTTATAAGATACAGGTGGGTCTTGTTCAGGATCATCCCTGTAGCATGCAGTTTTAATTTGCCAACCTCCTTTTATAGGTATTTGCACAGTGATTTACAACTTGAGGGCAACTGATCCTCCTGAGAAAGAAACCCCCATCTGGACGTTCTACATTGAGTGACATGAAGGTTGTGTCTGGGACTGTAGAAATGAAAATATCATCATAACACTCTCCCTGGCTCTGCAAGAAAAATATTTTGCTAGGCACAATAATGAAAGCGCTGTTTATTTGAAACCAGTCTATAGAAGACCTGCAGAAGATTTAATTTAGGTTATACCATAGAATGTAAATATTATCAACCTTAGCAACATTAAAATTACAGTATGTCTGTTAGAAACTGGAAGGATGGGAAGATCGTTGGTATAGGGAACTGTTCCATCCATTAGGGCTTCAAAATATTATTTGATTTTTAATCAGAGTTCTTATGACTATATATAATCATGTATATTATTTTAAAATTAAATATAATAGAAAAATTCTTGCTGAAGTGAACATCACCTTTGTATAGTCAGTGGTCATGCTTCCTAACCTACACAATCCTATTTTTCTTCTGTAAGCAGAATACAACTGTATTTTATATATTTGTGGAATGGTCACAACTGTGACCTCTGTTTAGCACTACTGAGGCAGACTATTTGTACCCTCTGGTAGAGTATCTCAAAGTGTGATCCATGGACCACCTGCCACAGAATCACCTGGGGCTTCTGTTTATTAAATAATAATAGCACCACCACCTTCTTAGACACTATTTGAAACTAACAGATTTCTATGGCAGAATCCATACCTTTAACAAACTTCCCCCAAATTATGTTTATAAATGTTACAGAGCTAAGAATCATTGCTCTAGTGTTCCATTTCCATCAAAGTATCCTCCCCTTGGGACCAAAGATACTCAAGTATTTTTCTAAGAAGCTGGAATTAAAAGTGAAATCTCAAACTCTATCCCATAGCTCCCTAAATCAAAGGTTTTGTTTCGTTTTGCTTAATTTCTATCAGTTTTGTTTAAGAATCATACAAATTTTCTGAAGCCTAACAACCACAGTGCTTTGAATTTATCCTTAGAGAGAATTTATATTTAGTTAATTTACCACCAGCATAGACAGGGTACTAATGAATCAGAAAAGACTCAGACCTCAAGCAAATTTTAAAACAACAACCCCAGGAGCAGCGTACTGGAGGCCTTGTGCTGTTCCAGTCTTTACGCTGCTACTGGCTTGACCTGGAAAAGGCCCAGAAGGGAAAACTTGGGGTGCCCAGGGTAGCGGGAGTCACTCAAGGCTGCTTGGGAGGCTGGATAATTACCAGCTAGTGTGGAGTACATTCATATTTAAACAACCAGTGAGGCTGAGCAAGCGCAACTAACACACAGCAGCTGAATATCAGCCTGATCTCTAATGAGTCCAAGGTGGTAGCTCAGAGAGGTGATTTTACCATGAGCTATGAAGGGCATGATTAATCCTTATTGCCTTGGTACATGTTACTTCTCTAACAAGTGAGAAGCGATATGTTTGTGAAGGGTGTGAGGGAAGCGGGGGTGGAGTAGGTGCAAAGATGAGAAAACTAAGGATTTTCCATACCACTTCCACAGTTATTTTCCAAAGGGTAACTGATTATGTTTCATCTGCATAAAGATATTTCAGACTCTTTTGCACCTCCCAGATTATGTTAAAACTTCATAAGAAATCTCCTTTACAACCTGCTTTATGCTTATCTGTCAAATCAAAGCAATGACAAAAACTTAGCACTAGTACCACCCTCTTCACCCCTACAGTCATGACAGACTTCACCACTCAATCAGCCGTGCTCTCCAGTAGAGCACCAAGTGACAGTAGCTTCCTCCTTATCACAACTCCCAGGAAATTCCTGCCATTTAAAATAGTTGGCACAGGAGTCCATACCTTCTTTCCCCTGTTCTAGGTCACA
This sequence comes from Homo sapiens, assembly GCF_000001405.40. Classification (NCBI taxonomy): domain Eukaryota; kingdom Metazoa; phylum Chordata; class Mammalia; order Primates; family Hominidae; genus Homo; species Homo sapiens. Next base: position 5,671,842 of record NC_000003.12, on the reverse strand, counting down.
CAGAACCAAGATTCCCCAAATCTGCTCCAATCTTTCTCTTGCAATGGCCAACCCAGCTACCTAGACTGCTCACCCTCGACCATTAGGTAAACTTCCACTCATCCTTCAGTAAGTCAGTTCACACATCACCCCCTCTTTGAAACCCTTAACCATGATTCTTTGATCCTAGGATGTTTGATCTTCTATGCCCACATAATATTTTGTAAATATTATAGGAGACCATCTTTATTATGTGCTGTGATTACAAACTGGCGTACCCTTCTCTTGGCTAAAGTTTGAATGCCTTAGACATACATACTTGAACCTTGACAACTCACAGTTTGGAGATAAGCAGTATATTGCTGTAAAATCTCCAACTACTAGAACCAAATCAAGTATGATCAGGATCAATGGCTTCCCACAGATGGCCAGCAACCTTTGTCAGTGACATGTTGGAGACCATATAACAGTAACCACTCTGTCTTTATTCCTATTTGTTAGCGCTGGGTCTCAGATCAAGGCCTGGGTTGTACTCACTAGTTGAGAATTTGGCTGATGTAAATCAAAATACTTGAGACTGGATAATTTATAAGGCATAGAAATGTGTTTCTCACAGTTCTGGAGGCTGGGAAGTTCAAGATCAAGGCACCAGCAGATTTCGTTCCTGGTGAAGTTTTGCTGCTTCCAGGATATAGCCTCTTTGCTGTGTCCTCACAGGGTGGAAGACAAAAGGGCTTAGCTAGCTCCCTGGAGCCCTTTTATTTGGGTATTGATCCTATTCATGAAAGCAAAGCCCTCAAACTTAATCACCTCATAAATGCCCCACCTCTTAACACTATCACATTGGGTCTTAGTTTCCAACATTTGAATCTGGGGTGACACATACATTCAGGTCATGACATATGGCAAAAAGTGGCTTAACACTTAGCCCCTGCCCTGCAAGCAAAAAGATCCAGAATATACATATCTAATTAGTTTTATATAAGATTAATATACAATATAAATTATATGTGATTAATAGTATTGATAAAAATCATATATATTTAATATATTTAACATTTCAAAATTTCATCTTTATCAACGAAAAATGATATAGAAACACTTAAACCAAAAATTAATAAAGGACATCTATCAACAGTTAATTTCCAGAAGAAATTCTAAGTGGTTAACAAATGACAAAGCAAAGTTTTCCAAATAATAATTGTTAGTGATAGTGATGTGATATAATAATACAGTGGCTAACTTTATTGTGTGTTTACTCTGTGCCAGACGTGTTTCATATATTTTACTCATTTATTTTTCCCAAATTAATTAAGGGAGATACATCATTACTCCATTTTCAAATGAGGAAACCAAGTTACAGGGCATACATGAGATACAGACACATTGCAATGGTTAATTTTATGTATCTGCTTTGCTGGGCCACAGTGCCCAAATATTTGGTCAAACATTATTCTGCATGTAAAGATGGTTTTTGGATGAGATTAACGTTTAAATCAGGGAGCTTTAAGTAGAGCACATTATCTGCCATAGCGTGGGTGGGTGTCATCCAACAAACTGAAAGCCTGCATAGAACAAAAACAGACCCCTGAACAAGAATGAGTTCTGTCAGGCGGAAGCCTGCAATTCTTCCCTGGGTTTCTAGCCTTCCAGCCTACTTCACCAAATTTTGGACTCACCAAGCCTCTACTGTCTGTTCTATTGTATAAGCCAATTCCTTAAAACCTCAATCTCAACCTCCCCTTATCCCCTCTCTCCCCACCTTTCTTTGCATGTATCTATATGCATGCACATACACACGTACCTGCACACACACACATATACACACCCTGTTGGTTCTGTTCCTTTGGAGAACTCTAATACACTATACATTTAGCAGGTGATAGATCCAGGTTTCAAACTCAGATTTTCTGACTCTCCACCACTACCAATAGCTTCTCTACCAATGTTTTATTGATATGAAAAATTCATGCAGCCTTTAGGGATAACAGTTTTGCTATATACATCAAGAGCCCTTTAAAAGTTCATACATTCTAGGAGTCTCTTCTAAGTAAATAGTCAAATTCAGATGAAGGTTTATGTACACAGCACTTTCCTTAGAGTAAGAAAACTTGAATTCATTTAAGTGTCCGACAGTGAGAGCATTAAATAAATTATGATGCATATATAAGAGTAAATATTAGGCAGTTATTAAATTATGTTTCTGAAGACCAATGCCATGGAGAATTATTCAGAAGATAATATCAAATCTTTAAAACAAGCTAAGTCATTATATATAGGGTGTGATCTGAATTATGTCAAAAATAAATGTGTATTCATAGATGTATGGAGGAAAGAGAAAATTGTATCAAAATGTTTATAGTTTCATTTCTGAGTGGTGTTATTCAGACTCATTTTCTTCATTCTCATTTTCTTCAGCCAAGGCAACAAAAGGTAGCAGTGTGTTCCACAGACCTTTGTGAGAGAAATATGTGACGGATTAGGAAAAACAAGGTGTCTGGAGCCTGAAGACCTATATTCCCCATCAAGGTTTCTTTACCTAATTAGTATGTGTGAGAACTTCGACAAGTCAGTTGACTTGTCTAAGCTTCAGTCTCCTCAATGGTAAAATTGAGGTACTCTGCATACCTGCCCCATTATTTCACAGCAAATAGGAAGAGACAGAGTTTGGGGACTGAATGGTGCTAATTTATACAAATTGCTTTATAACAAGTATGAAGCACAATTTGTGATGATTTTTCACAGCTCTATTAAGATGTAATTTACATACTATACAGTTAACTCTTTTTAAGTGTACAATCCAGTGGTTTTAGTGGGTTCACATAGTTTAAAACCATCAATAGAATTTTAGGGCATTTTTGTTACCCCGGAAAGACATTCATACTCATTAACAGTCACTCCCCACTCCCTAATCTTCTCAGCCCCTGGAAGCCATTAATCTATTTACTTTCTCTGTAGAGTTGTCTATTGTAGACATTCCATGTAAATGGAATCATACAATATGTGTCCTTTTGTGACTGGCTTCACTTAGCATAATATTTCCAAGGTTCATCCGTGTTGTAACGTGTATTTCATTTATTTTGTTGTCAAAAAATATTCTACAATATTAATATACCACATTTTATTTATTCATTGGTCAGCTGACAGACATTTGAGTCATTTAAACTTTTAAGCTATTATGAATAATGCTTCTACAAACACGTGTATACAGGTTTTTGTGTGAACATATGTTTTATTTATCTTGCATAAATACCTAGGAATGAAATTACTGGGCCACATGGCAACTCCATGTTTAGCACTTGGAAAAATTGCCAAAGTGTTTTTCAAAGTGGCAGTATCATTTTATAATACTACCACCAGTGTATAAGTGTTCAAATTCTATTCAATGATTTTTAATCATATATTTTTTAGTTATTTTCTGTTAACTTTTAAGTTCATGGGTACATGTGCAGGTTTGTTACATAGGTAGATTTGTATCATGCAGGTCTGTTGTACAGATTATCTCATCAATCAGATATTAAGCCCAGTATTCATTATTTTTCCTGATCCTCTCCCTCTTCCCACCCTCCCCTCTCTGATAGACTCCAGTGTGTGTTGCTCCCCTCTATGTGTCCATGTGTTCTCATCATTTAGCTCCCACTTATAAGTGAGAACATCCAGTATTTGGTTTTCTGTTCCTGTGTTAGTTTGCTAAGGATGATGGCCTCCAGCTCCATGCATGTCCCTGCAAAGAACATGATCTCATTATTTTTATGGCCGCATACTATTCCATGGTGTATATGTACCACATTTTCTTTATCCAGTCTATCATTGATGGGAATTTAGGTTGACTCCATGTCTTTGCTACTGTAAATGGTGTTGCAATGAATATATGCATGTGTCTTTGTAACAGAGTGATTTATAATCCTTTGGGTATATACTCAGTAATGGGATTGTTGGATCAAATGGTATTTCTGTCTTTAGGTCTTTGAGGAATCATCACACTGTCTTCCACAATGATTGACCTAATTTACACTCCCACCAACAGTGTACATGCGTTCCTTTTTCTCCAAAACCTCGCCAGCATCTGCTGTTTTTCGATAATAGCCATTGTGAGTGGTGGGACATGGTATCTTACTGTGGTTTTGATTTGCATTTCTCTAATCAGTGATGTTGAGCTTTCTTTCATATGCTTCTTGGCCACATGCATGTCTTCTTTTGAAAAGCATCTGTTCATGTCCTTTGCCCACAGTTTTATGGGGTTGTTTTTTCTTGTAAATTTGTTTAAGTTCCTTATAGATGTTGGATATTAGACCTTTGTCAGATGCATAGTTTGCAAAAGTTGTCTCCCATTCTGTAGATTGTCTGTTTACTCTGTTGATAGTTTCCTTTGCTGTGCAGAAGCTCTTTATTTTCTTAGTGGTTGCTCTAAGACTTTAAAAGAGCATCTTAACTTTCATGCTAACTTAATTTCAGTGATATATACAAACTAACTCTTATACATCTCTATTCCTCCTCTCCCTCTTTTGTTCTATTATTGTTATACATATCACAGATACATATGTTACAAGCCCAACTATATACTGTTGTAATTTTTACCTTGTATAATTTCATGTCTTTTAATGAAGCTAAGAGAAAGAGGACAAGTACATATTTACACAGTTTGTAATACTCACTTTATTATTTGCCATTTCTGGTTCTCTTCATTTCTTCTTGCATATTTTTGTTTTTATCTGATGTCATTTTCTTATTCTAAAATAGCTTAGTTTCTACTCACAAGTTCCATGTTATTATTTGCAAATGTATTACATGTCTACACACTATAGGTGTAAAAATACAATTATATACATATTATTTATGCAACTGCTTCTTAAATCAGTTGAGAAAAGAAAGGTTAAAATTAAGAAATGCAATATTCATTTATACCATCTTTTACAATTACCATGTCATTACCTTTAGCAGCCCTCTTTGCTTCTTTCTGTGCATTTGAATGTAAATGTGGTGTCACCTGCTTTCAGCCTGAAGAAGTTACTTCAGTGTTTTTTCTCACATGGGTCTGACAGCAACAAATTCAGGTTTTGTTCATTTTGGATGTCATTATTTCACCTTCATTTTTGAAAAATAACTTCGATGGATGTAGAGTTGTAGGTTGGCAGTTGTTTTCCTTAACCACCTCGACTATGTCATCCCAGTGCCTTCTGGCCTTCATTGCTTCTTATGAGAAGTTACCTGTTAATCTTATTCAAGTTCCCTCATGCTATGGTTTGAAGGTTCCCTCCAAAACTCATGTTGAAATTTAATTGCCATTGTGATGGTATTAACAGGTAGGACATTGAAGATGTGATTAGATCATAAGGTCTCTGTTCTCACGAATGGATTAATGGATTATCATGGGGGTGGTTTCGTTATCACAGGAGTTTGGTCCCCTTTTTCAGTCTCATGCATTCTTTCACTCTCTTGCCATGTGATGCCTTCCACCACGTTATGACACTGCAAGAAGGCCCTCACAAGATGTGATGCCTTGATCTTGGACTTCCCAGCCTCTGGAATCATCAGTCAAATAAACTTGGATTCCTCATAAATTATCCAGTCTTTGGTACTCTGTTATAGAACACAAAATGGACTAAGATACCTAATACATAATGAGGCTTTTTTCTTGCTTTCAAAATTTTATTTTTGACTTTGACTTTCAACATCTATGATGTAGGTTACTGATGTCTTAGCATTTATCTTATTTAGAATTCTTTAAGCTTCTTGGGTAGGTAGATATATATTTTTTCATCAGATTTGGAATGTTATCAGACATTATTTCTTTAAATATTTTTTTCTGCTCTTTTCTCTGTAATTTCCTTCAGGGGCTCCCATTCTGCATATTTATTGCGCTTAACAGTGTCTCACATTTCTCTGAAGTTCTGTTCACTTTTCCTCATTCTTTTTTTCTCTCTGTTCTCCAGATTGCATAATCCATAATCTCTATTGATCTGTCCTCAAGTTGCTGATTCTTTCTTCTATCAGCTCAAATTCACTGTTGGAACCCTCTAGTTAATTTTTCATTTCAGTTATTGTATTTTTCAATTTCATGACTTCCATTTGGTTTTTTATAATGTTTATATCTTTAATATTTTCTATTTAATAAGACATAACCATTAATATGCAAGCAAATTTTATTTCTTTGAACATATTTATAATCTCTGTTTTGAGGTCTTTGCTAAATCTAGGCTCTCTTCCAGGCAAGTTTCTATTGCCTGATTTTATTCCATGGTGCATGTGACACAATTTCTCATTTCCTTGTATATCTTAATTTTGTAAATAACTGGACTTTTAAAATAATATAGCAACTCTGTATGCTGAACCACCACTATCAGCCTCTTTCTAAGGCATGTTATTTTCTTGAGTTTTTAAATTTGTTTAATGACCTAGTGGACTATTTCCCTGAAGTCTGTTTCCTCCACAGTGTGCAACCTCTACTATCACTACTCAGAGGGTACAGCCTTGGGCATACACAGTCTCCCTGTGAATTTGGACTGGTCTACCCATATTGGTATCCCACCAAGCTTTTAGTCTCTACTAATTGCTATCTGATTCCTTTGTTTTTGATATTGCAAAGACTTATCCAGATAAGGGAGGACCCATTTTCAGAACAAAGTTTTGCCAGTCTTTGAGGGTCCTTCAGACTCAGAAGGGCTCTCCTTAGCTGTCTTTTTTTCTGGTTCTCTCTCCTAAACTTTAAGGAGGTCTACAATTATGCTTGTTGATATGATGAGTGTCATAGAGCTACCAGCCTAAGGGCACCACCACTAATTGGTCAGCACCACGATCAACACCCTCAAGCATAGACTTCCTTACACTTTATTCCAAATAAAGTAAGTCCACTTAGGAAGATCTGTGGAGCTCTCTAGCCTTATAGCCTGCCTATCTTCATGGGCAGAATGTCTATTTTAACACAGTGGAGCTGGGGGTAGGGACAGTGGCCTGCATCTTCCAGAGGGTGATATCCTTGCTCTATGAGCAGGGCTTTGAGCAAGGAGAGTAGCCCCCGATCTCAGGTTGCTTTTCCTGTTATAAAATTCCCACCCTATAAGAAAGATGGGGTGGGTGCTTCAGAGCCCAGTATTCTTGGCCTGTCATTCCTTGATACAGTTTGGATATGTGACCTGTGTAAATTCCATGTTAAAATGTAATCTCCAATGTTGGTGGTAGGGCCAGGTGGGAGGTGTTTGGGTCATGCAGTCGATCCCTCATGACTTGGTGCTCTCTTCACCATAGTGAGTGAATTCTAATGATATCTGGTTGTTTCAAAGCATGGGGCACTTCCCCCTTCTCTTGCTCCTGCTCCCACCACATGATGTGCTAGCTCCCACTTTACCTTATGCCATAAGTAAAAGCTCCCTCAGACCTCCCCAGAAGCAGATGTCAGTGTCATGCTGCCTGTACAGCTGCAGAACCATAAGCCAATTAAACCTCTTTTCCTATAAATTAACCAGTCTCAGGTATCTCTATAGCAATGTGAGAACAGCCTAACACATGCCTGAGTGGAACTCCAGCCATAAGAGTGAGTACTGGTTTTGGGTAAGGAGACTAGCTAGCTTGACGGCATCTGCCCAAAATGGAGCTTCTGCAGCACAAAACTGAGGAGACAGGATGAGAGATGTCAGTGGCATGCCCTCCTGTCGTAAAACAGCAGCACTAGACTAGGAGTCGTGGAAGAAAGAAACTCATCTTCTTGGTTACACATGCCTGGAGTATGGTTTCTACCACACTGAGCTGGGGGAGGGGGATTGAGGAGGCAGATCATAGCTCAAATGATCTCATAATTCTTACCAAGGTTTAGTAGATTTTTCATGTCTCTCCATTTTCTATATATCCTTAGGACAATCTCCGAAGACTTTTTATTTAAAAAAAATAATTTTCAGCAGTGAAATAGTTGTTTCACTGGGAAGAAGGTCCACTCTGCTGCTCATACCACCATCCTGGAAGTCAATCTGATTGAGTTTTATAAGAAAAGAAAAGTCATGGATACCTTGAAGTCAACAGCACTCAAAGAATCATAGTGCATGACATCAGACTGTCAATGTGGGAAGTGAAAACACGTAATGGGAAAGTCTCATTGTTGACAGTTTTTCTATTGGTGTCATATGCCAGTGCTCTCTTTCATAAACTTGGTGCACCCAGCAGAAGAAAACAATATCACTGAAATGCAGCTAAGAGTTGATCCAGAATTCTCTCCTGCTTTGGAAATGAAATCCTTGATACCTAACTATGAAATTTAGCCATACTGATTAAAAGCACCTGCTAGAGGCTGCAGAGAATAAAGCAAACAATTACACTTAAACATCTCAGAATCTGACTCTTAGACCTTTGAAGCCCAAAAGCCTAGCAAACCCACTTTAAAATCTCACATTGAAAAATCACATGTAATAAATATATATATACCTTTCAATGGAAGCTCTCTGAGGCAACAATAAAAGGCCCATATACAAAAAGGTAAAAATCTTTTAGAAAAAAAAATTGGTAAGCAAGTAACTTAAACATCAGGCAGAAAATGCAAAGTTAGGCCATTTGGAAGCTTATAATTCCAAATAATAATTTGGAAGCTTATAATTCCAAAGTTAGGCCATTTGGAAGCAAAGTTAGGCCATTTGGAAGCTTAATGTCGAAATTTCAAAATCAATTTTTTACTTCAAGTTAGAGAAGTTATCACACCATAGGGGCAAAATACTGGAAAAATTTCATTCTCCAAGTACTATAATTTAGCTATAGAATACCCACCTAATGGCAGAGGACCAGCAAGGAGTAGTACAAAGAATTACAGTAATAAAAATATGGCAGACCAAAAATGCAGGAAGATACTTCAAGTGGTACTGCTGAGAAAGCAGCCTTGGGGGTAGGGAGCTGAGAAAGAACTGGAGTGACAAAAATGACTAATTCATGAGCACTTCCACAGGAGGCCCGGATATGTACCACCATCCCCTAGGAATCAGCCCTGTCGAACAACATCAGCATCACCTCAAGAAGCCAGAAGGACAAGATCTCCTTGTTGCATCTCAGGAAGAACCCTCCAGAAGGTATCTGAAAACAAAGGCCCCTCTACTTTAACATGAGCCATCACCGTGATGCCAGAGTTTGAGATTTCAAGACAGAGCTCTTCACCTAAGTCTCATCATCTTCCACTCCATATACTTCCTCCAGTTGTGATCACCAAGAGTTTAGTGATAGTCTTTTTTAAGGGTGTAAAGCCAGCAGTTATTTACAGGTGCTACTTAAAGGTCATACTATCTACCTACCTTAAATGGTTTGGATCTGTGTCCTTGCCAAATTTCATGTTGAAATGTAATCCCCAGTACTGAAGCTGGGGCCTGGTGGGAGGTGTCTGGATCATGGGAGCAGATCCCTCATGCATGACTTAACACCATCCCCTTCGTGATGAGGTGAGTTCACATGAAATCTGGTTGTTAAACAGTGTGTGGCACAGTTATCCTCAGCAGACTCACACAGGAACAGAAAACCAAACACTGCATGTTCTCACTTATTAATGGGAGCTGAATGATGCGATCACATGGACACAAGGAGGGGATCAACACACACTGGGGCCTGTCAGTGGGGTGGGGTGGAAGGAGGGAGAGCATTAGGAAAAATAGCTAATGCATGCTGGGCATGGGTTAGGTGAGAACTATAATGGGCATGCTGGGTGATGGGCTGACAATTGCAGCAAACCACCATGCCACACCTTTACCTATGTAACAAACCTGCACATCCTGCGCGTGTACTATGGAACTTAAAAAAAGAATAATTTTTTTAAAAAGTGTTTGGCACCTCCTCCTTCTCTCTTTTGCTCCTGCTCCTATCATGTGAGACTCCTGCTATCCCTTTGCCTCCATTATGATTGTAAGCTTCCTGAGGCCTCACCAGAAGCAGATGCTGGTGTCATGCTTCCTGTGTAGGCTGCAGAACTATAACCCAATTAAACCTCTTTTCTTATAAAATACTCAGTCTTAGATATTTCTTTATAGCAATGCAAGAATGGCCTAATACAGTACCTCATCATCTCCATCCAGATAGTCCACTACAGGTACCAACCCTGTAGCCATAGAAGGATACATACAGTATGGTCTTTGTCCTCCACAGCTGGACTGGCTCTTGTGCCTGTAGAGTCCTTTTACACTTCTTCTACCAAGTTACACCCTACTCTTTTTAGGGCTTATCCCTGGCAGCGATGGTCCAGAGTTGCCTCAAGTTAGGGAATTCCTCCTCTGGGCTCATCTGGTACCTAGGGCTTTCTTCTGGCTCACCACTGTGGGCTTATTAAACCAGATAGCTTAGCCCCACTCTCAGAATATCTAATTAAGTAGGTCTTGAGTGGGGACTAAACATTTGTATTTCTAACAAGTTCCAGGTGATGCTGATACAGCCGATCCAGGATCACACTTGAGAACCACAGTTCTAGACTATGAGCTCTTTGCCTGCATGCACTCAATTCTGTGTGCATTTTTGTGTCACCAGCATATATCCAAATGCCTAGCACTTAGCAATTTCCTTAAGAGCCCACTGAATGAAGGTTAGATCAACAAAACTGAAAAATACCAGCATATATTAATTTACACACTAAAGAAATTGAAGTAACACAAATATAGTTCCTCAAAGATGGTAGCCATCCAATGTAACTATGTCATAGATGAGAAAGATCTACAGGTCCTTTCTCATTAGTAAATTATCAACTCATTTTTTATGATTGTCACTTGTAGATATCAATAGACACACTGCACAACAATAAATCAAGCAAAGCAAAGCAAAGCACCAAAATTTTAAAATTCCAAAATACCTAGGCTTCTGACATAGGCATGTTCTTTTCCCCTGATAAAAAGTGAAATATGCAGTAATTAACCCAGAATTCACCTGTTTTATATTTACTAGGAGTCCTGATCTTGAACTTACGTTGTCAGCTCCTTGGCTTTCTTTTGCTCATTTATGGCTCAGTAGGTCTGTGATCCTCCTCTGGTCTCTCAAACTCCCTAAATGAGTCTGAAGCCTTCCCAGTTTCCTCAGGTGTTTCCAGGTAACTTTTACAGGCTGCCTCAACAGGGATGATTCAGCATTGTTTTTCATTTCTTCATAATAACAGGATATTTAGCACCAGTGATATGTTGTTTAAAATAGTTGTCAGTCATGTCATTCTTCACTCAAAACCATCCAGTAGCTTTGTTTCTTATTCTAAATAAAGCCAAAATCCTCAGACTAGCTCCCAAAACCCCATAGACATCATCTTGCCCTACCCTTTCCCATTTCCCCTCAGATCTCAAGGCCTCTAACTCTCTCCCTCAATCCCCCTGCTCCGGCCACACCAGCTGCCCTGCCCCTCCTACTGCAGGAATGTTGAACCCTCTGCTCAGAGATTCCTCCCAGATGATGAGACAGTTCCCTTTCTCATCATCTTAGAGTCTTTACTCAAGTGTCACCTTCCTGAACCCCACTTAAAAAATTACAATCCTCCCCCAGCACTCTCTACACCCCCAACTTGCTTTATTCTCTGTAGCACTGATCACCATCTACATATTAAATATTTTATTTATTCCTTAATTATCTGCCTCTCACACTATAATGTAAAATGTATAACAGCAGACATTTGTACCTGTTTTGTTCCTTGATGTATCCCTCGGTGCCTAGAAAAGTTACAGAAGTTCTTGGCACATAGCAAGTGCATGTAGAAGACACATGGAGATGCACTGCCCAGAATCTCCTTCAAGGCCGGGTTTGCTGTCCCACTCTGGGGAGTCAACAAAAGGCCTCCAGCTCTCAGCTCCTTCAGGGTCTACCTCTGCTGCGAGGTTCTGCCTTGCTCAGGGTCACCTCCATCCTAGGACAGACCAACCCTAAGGTCTGTCAATTGGGCCCCTATACAGATCACTTTAACAGGCAACATTAGCTCCAGAACTGCCCCCTACCAACCTTTGCAGTGGCTGGAATTTGCTGGGGCCTGTATCAGCATTTGATTACCCCCTCTCCTCAAACCTATTCTTTCCCCTTCCTTTCACAAGTGTTGATCTCTAATAAATATACTGTATCCCAACTCTGTCTCAGCATCTGCCTCCAGAACCCCCCAATTTGTAACAGCACTCAATAAGTACTTGTTTAATGAATGAATAAAGGAATGAATGTGCTCCCATATCAGTAGTGGTCTCAACATTATTCCACTATGGGGCACCTAGCATAATCTCCAAGAACTGAGGCAACTGAACTTCAGAAGTGATAGTTAAGCTGAGATCTGAAGGCTAAGGAGGAGTTCAGGTGAAGACAAGGGCATTTTAGGCAAAGGGTCTGGGCCTGTGTCACAAAGAAGCCTGGAAGAAGGCCTGAGTGGCTGGAGAAGGCAGGAAGGGGAAGCATGGTGGAAGAATTGGAAAGCCACATTTTTTTTCCTGCTATTTCATTATAGCTCTTGATGGCCAATCTGGAAGAGGCTTTGAGAGGTGAAGCCAGCTTCTGGGTCAGTGGGGACTTGGAGAACTTTTGTGTCTAGCTAAAGGATTGTAAATGCACCAGTCAGCGGTCTGTGTCTAGCTAAAGGTTTGTAAAATGCACCAATCAGCGCTCTATCAAAAAGGACCAATCAGCTCTCTGTAAAATGGACCAATCAGTAGCATGTGGGTGGGGCCAGATAAGGGAATAAAAGCAGGCCAGGGAGCCAGCAGCTGCACCCACTCAGGTCCCCTTCCACACTGTGGAAGATTTGTTGTTTAGCTCTCTGCAATAAATCTTGCTGCTTCTCACTCTTTGGGTCCACGCTGCCTTTATGAGCTGTAACACTCACCACAAAGGTCTGCAGCTTCACTCCTGAAGCCAGCGAGACCACGAACCCACAGGGAGGGATGAACAACTCCGGATGGGAGGAACGAATAACTCCGGACGCGCCCCCTTTATGAACAGTAACTCACTGCAAAGGTCTGCAGCTTCACTCCTGAGACCAGTGAGACCACAAACCCACCAGAAGGAACAAACAACTCCAGACCCACCGCCTTTTAAGAGCTGTAACACTCACTGCAAAGGTCTGCAGCTTCACTCCTGAAGTCAGCAAGACCACGAACCCATCAGAAGGAAGAAACTCTGGACACATCTGAACATCTGAAGGAACAAACTCCGGACACACCATCTTTAAGAACTGTAACACTCACCGTGAGGGTCTGTGGCTTCATTCCTGAAGTCAGTGAGACCAAGAACCCACCAATTCTGGGCACACCTTGATCCCTATTAAAACCAGAGCCTTAATTATTAGAAACAAGGATATTGGTTCTCTGTTCCTCTAGGAAAAGAAAGATCCTGTGGCACGCAAAATAATAGTGCCCAAGATGTTCAAGCCCTAATCTTTGGGACCTATAAATATGTTATCTTAAAGGCAAAAGGGAACTTGTAGATCTGATTGAGGATTTTGAGATGGGGAGGTTATCCTAGAGTATCCAGTGGATCCAATGTCCAGAGAGAGACTGGAAGATGCTATGCTGCAAGCTTTGAAGATGAAGGAAGGGGCCATGAGCCAATGAATGCCAGCAGCCTCTAGAAGCTGGGAATGGCAAAGAAATGAATTTTCCTCAAGGGCCTCCAGAAGAAACACAGCCCTTCTGATACCTTTAGTCCAGAGATGTCCATTTCAAATTCTAGCCTCTAAAACTGTAAGACAATAAATCTATGTTTTAAGCCTTGAAGTCTGTTATCATTTGTTACAGCAACAGTAGGAAACCAATACAGTCCTGTTCTTCAGAAACATAATTTCTTAATGTTCTCCCACTTCAGGGAAAGAGAAAATGCCTATATTCTGTATCAAAGACTAACAACTTCCCCTACAGACTAAGCCAGTGACCCTTTATGTATAAATGCACATTCATATGTGGATGCATTCCAACAAATGCAGTCTTCTTATAAAGAAATAACAGGTTAAATATTCATATCCTTCTAGTAACTCTGTGGGTGTGTATTGTGTGCATATATATATATATATATATATATAGGCATTTCAAGAGTACCAACTTTGTCAAAGGATGATATCTGGCCCTTTAAGTATATCATTTTATTTACTTCACTCCATACCCATCATAGCCCTGTGGGGTAAATATTACTCTCTCCATCTTACAAGGAAATAAATATGATGTCAGAGAAATCAATTGTGTCCAAAGCCAAGATTCCAACACACATTGGTTGGCCCCTTCCCAAGTTCATCATTCTGCCTCTGAGAGATTTAGGGAATCCTCACTACAAGTCCTTTTCTGCCTCTTTAGCTTTACCTCTTTTCACTATGCTGTCTGCTTCCCCCACACTCACACACCCTCTATTCTCCAGCTGCAATGGAATTCTTTCTCCCCCATGGCTTCCTACTCCTTGGCCTTTATACATGAATCTGTCCATATAAACTTTATCGAAGAAGTCAGGGAAGAAGGAAGAAGGAGAAATGAGAATAAACTGAGCTGGCAGCACACTCAGCTTTCATCATGAGGTAAGCCTGCTCTCGGACCTGCTTCCTCATAGCAGTGCCTATTGCCTCAGAATCATACAGACACTGTCACAACGTTATAGTTCCCTTTAACTGTACTGTAGATAGCAACCTGAACATTGTGAAATGTTAAGCTTTCCCTCTGAGATTCGCTTTCAGAGCCTGCATAATGGTGAAACTACTGACTCAGCTGGTCTGAGGAACCCCACAAGGAGCTGGCTCACAAGCTGAAATGCTCACATTTCATCTCCCTTACTCTGACCACTCAACGACTACAATTTTTCAGCCCCTCACCCTCCATGATCCCCTTTAAAAACTCCAGTCCAGAACTTCTTGGGGAGATAAATTTGAGAGTCTAACCCTATTTCCTCACTTGGCTACCCTGCAATCATTAAACTCTTTTTCTGTTGCAAACCCTGCTGTCTCAGTGTAATTGGTTTGTTACTGTGCTGAGGGCATATGAACTTGCTGGTCCTGTAACATACATGCTGCCTTCTCTACATAAAATTCCCCACTCATCTTTGCCTGGTGTGCTCCTACTTATCCCTCAGGTCTTGTCATAAACATAAATTTCTTCACGAAGCCTTCCATCAAGCCCAAGTCCTAAAATGGTAGATGCGTTTGTTAAGTATTTTCGTAGCATTCTGTCCTTCCCCAATCTTTGCACGAGAACTATCGTATTTTACGAGCTACGACCAGTTGGAGTTTGTTCCCCATTTTCCATCCCCAAGATGTAGCTTCCATGAGGGCAAGGATCACTTGGATCTTGTCCACTACTATTCTCGGTGCATACTACAAAGCCATAATAGAAACATAATAAATATTGATTATGTAATTAGGTAGCAGTGAAAATACTACTGCCTTTAGTTGTTGGAAAAGTTAAACATATTAAGTTATACAGTATAACAAATGGGTCTTAGAGCTTTCAACTGTTGATTAAAAGAAAAATGCTCCCTTAGAGTTTCCTTGTTCCATGTATTTTTAAATGATACCTTCCAAGAGGAACTTCTGGGCTTGACACTGGGCAAGATTATTTCATTTATTGTGAGCTTTGTGTCATGTAGCTGGTGATAGGGCCCTGCAAGAAGTTTTCTTATTTCCTGAAGCTAATAGTGATAAAGAAGCTCATTTTAAGTTTCATTCTGTTTCACCAGAGTTAATACCTAAAGAAACAGTTTATTCCAGCCCATTTGGTTGTCACTCTATGATCCAGGGGGATAAGGAGCAAGATTCATAAAAACTATTACGTGAAAGTAGAATAAGGGAAATTTATGTTCCAGGACTTAAAGATCCACTCTTACATCAGTGTAAGATGTAGATCAGCACCTCGTGGCCCTAAAGACACAGAGGTAGCTTTTGAATACTAGCCTTCCAAAATGGTTAGACAAGATGACTGATTATTAAGATGAGTGATTATCAGAACATGAAGAGTAACAACAGTGGTAATGATGGTATCAGTAATCATTTAAGAGACCACTTCCTATGTGCCAGGCACTGTGCATTGTATGCGTTATCTGAATTACTCCTCACCATAGCCCTCAAAGGCAGATACTATTGTGATTACCACTTTACAGATGGGGAAACTGAGCTCAGAGAAAAGAGGAACTTCAAATCCATGTATTTTTTTTACTCCAAATCTTGTGCTCTCAACTACTATGATAGTTCTTCCCATCAGTTCACTGTGAGCACTAGCTTCGTCTTAGAGGGTAATTACACTGAGAAGGATTGTGCTTTACAATGTTTTCAATTGCATACATATTAATATATATGGTTTGAGGGTGTTATTTTTAAAAAAGAAAATTAAAATGCTCAAGGAGTGATAGAAAGGAGTAATGAACAAGGGTTGAAATGGGTTCGAACAGATTTTAGTAAGAGTGAAGATTTATCTTCAACAATAGTGCAAAGGAATAGCCCTAGTCTAGAATATCTGGCTTTGCTTGCTATGTAAGAGGCTACTGTGGCAATATATGAAAAGTACCAGACCTAGAGTCAGAGGATCTGGGTTTAAATTATGTCTCTGACTTAACACCTTGCACAAATCTAGAAAGATAGGAAAACATCTACTACAATGTACTAACAGAAATTTTCAAATTCATTGCATAAAAGCTTACCACTCAATAAAAGTGAATTGAATCTGACTTTATGTTGAATCTAAGAAATGACATATTCCAAAGGGAAATAATTCTGGCATCTCTTTGTTGCACAGCAGTATCACTGTTGTCAGCCAGCTGAATTATTTTTCTAGAAGACGTTGGCAGATGCTTAACAGGTCATGGAAAAGTAAAGTTTTAGGTTTAATGCAATGAAACCACAATAGCCCTCAGGACCAATTATTAAACAGCCTTTGGTATTTTCAAAACATCAGTGCTCTATAATCCAATACCTATTCGTCTATATTTAAATTTTAATTAGTAATTGACATTTCCAAATGTCCTATCTTGTACCATTGTTGTTGTAACTATATCTGAGGAAAAGTATATTCTTAAAGACGTTTAAGCTGATTTGAAGAAGACAATTTTACATAGGCGGCTAGTTAACCCCTCTCCATCTCTATGGTAGCCTTCTGTCTATCACATGCCCCAAAATATGATTATCTTAACCCCTCTCCATCTCTCCATCAAATGTCTGAGAAGGTATTTGATGTCTTGTTTCAGTACGTAGCTAGCCACATGAACATAAGTATTTCTCTGCAAGTCACTTACTTCCCTCATTAGAAAGAAAAACCTTTTCAATGAACAAAAAGGTATCACGTATCTAATATGTGCAAGACTCTTCTCCATCACTTGCTGATGGAAGGACAATAGGACTATTCACAAGTAATTTGTTAGAATTAGGAAACTCATTGTATTGCAACTTACTCTAAACAAACTCAGCAAACAGCTATGTGTAACAGTTGTTAATAGGATATAGCATCTATGTGTAACAACTGGTCCCTGAGACAAGTAAAAGACATGTTCATCCACATTGATTAGAGAAAGTGCATGTCTACATGAGAAGCAGAAAGTAACTGTTCATGCCCCAATCCCTGTTATCAACCCCTTGAAACAGTAGTCACTACCAGATGGCCAGACATCCCAGATAGAGAACAGATGCGAATCCTCGATACAGTCTCTAAGTATTCTGCAGATGACTTACTCAATTCAGAACAACCAGATTAGCCAAGTGAAATGAACTTCAATAGATGACAAATAGAATACCCCATGGCCAAAATAAAGTCTTTTCAAGTCCTCAGGCATATTTAGAAATCTTCCAAGATTGGAAGACCATCAGCCACAAGTTACCTGGTTGATGTTTATTATTTTTTTATTTTATATTAGCATCTTGCTATGTCTCTAAGTCTAAGCTAAGAGAACTTGCATTATCAAGCATGTGAGTAAAAAGTACAATGTGATAAATACTTAGTGGGTGTGACACCAAGTAAATGTTTTCCTACATCTAATACATAATTCATGATGATTAAGGATATGCCCGTAAGCTTTTCTGAGACCTGCTTTAGTAATATCTAGGCTACTGCCAAATGCCCTTTGACTGCAATAAACAACATGTGGCTTCTCAACTCTTTTAATTTCCAGATTATATTACCCTTAGGGCAGTAATTCATTCTGATTTCCAAGGTGGGCTCCAAGATGATGTAACCTTACTCTTTTCCATAAAGCCCCCTCATTGTTAAAACTAAATGTCATGTGTTGTAAGCCTTTATTAAACTCCTCAGGTGAGCAAACTCATGAACTGGAAAATAAACAGCCTTTTGTCTACCACATGCCCCCAGATATGATCATCTTTAAAATTCTAAAACATTCCACAGTATAAAGTAGTCAGTGAGGCAAACATAGCTCTGAGGTTTCATGACTATGTAGCCCATTGACCCAGAAAACAAAAGCCATTTGGATTTGGCCCAAGAATTTGTTCTCCTTCTCTCCAGGGTGAAAACTCATGTGCGTAAGAAAAATGACCACAACTTTGGGTAAAAATTATCTGAAATTATAGACTTCACAGAAGAAGACAAAATAAAGAGTATCAACAACAGCAAACAGAGAGGAAGGTCTTGTAATGACAGCTGAGAATTCAATTCCCTAAGAAATTATCCAGTTAACTCAAAATATGTGGTTCAGTGTTATCATCACCAACCACCATTCCCTTGGTGACCCCAGGGATTTGCCAAGATACAGGTTGAGTGCTCTGTCTGCCCCCATATAAATGCCTGCTCTTATCCCTGACAGATATACAATAGTTTTATTTGGAAAATATTTCTCAAAGAAGCAAGCACTCTCCACAAACAGCATCCCTTGGGCAGCAAGCATGTGTCCATACTAAATGTTTATCTGTTTAAACAAAGGACAGCAAATGATGGAATAGGGCCAGCCTCACACCAAAAGCCATACATATTGACAAAGGTGTTTCTTGAAAAGCTACAGAACGGTGCCACTGAGACACAGGTGTATGGAGCAGATGTATCCAAAGTAATTTGCATAGCACACTGGGATCATTGTAGACAGCAAAGATCAATGAAATTCACTAGAGTGGGCCATCTGCTAAGAACTAAAGGCCTTCTTCATTCTTCAACAAGACCTCCTTCGGAACACAGACTCCCAAGTGTCACAATTGGAACAGATCTCTGTGTATCTTTATTTACAGGAATTAGAGTACTGTTGATAAGAAACACCAAGGGCAGATAAAGGAGGAAAACATGATCAAACCTCTCAATAAGCTTGCAGACAGATCCTACCGTCTCAATTTTATCAACTGACCTAGTGATCCAGCAGAGGCGTGATCTGTACATGTAGGCGTGTTTATGTGTCATCCATTGCATTATAAACTGAAGGGAGCGCTGTCATTAAGCACAACTCCAGTGACCGTTCCCACCTTCATCAAAATGCAAGCACATACTAAACCCCAGGGTCCCTTTGCCATCCCTGTAAGCTGCCACAATGCTAACAGGCTTAGAGACAGGTTTGTATAAATCTATATGGAAACCCAACAAAGCACAAGAAATATTCACAAGGAAAGAGAATTCAGTGAGAATATAAAACATTACCTGGAGAGACTGACAGAGGACAGCTCATTCAGAACCATGAAGGACATGTGAAGGATTTCTTGTTCTTTATCCTAAATTGGTGAAAAACTATTGAAGCGTTTAAAGTAGGGTAGTAGATAACATAATTCACTTTGCCAATTTCAAAGAGAACTCAGGCTCAGTGGAAAGAATGCATCAAGAGCACCAAGAGCCCCATGCATATATGGTTATGCTTTCCTTCTGAAGCTCATATCAACAAATAATGAATGTGCTTTTTTCTGAGAGTCTTTCCCACCTTGACTAGAAGCTCCATGAGGGCAATAACTCAAGTCTTAACACTTTTTCTGGGCCTCTTGAGAGACGACTTAAATGAATAAAACTTGATTAATTAATGAACTGTTTACATGCAAAATCTTCTGAGAGGAGACCTGTTTTCTTCCATTGGCTTAACACCCACTGTGCAATCCATACAGATTCCCAACGTCTCTTCCCTGTGAAATGATTTTCCATGTAAGGATAACAAACCAGTACTGAACCATGTCTCTCTGGGAAGCTCTACTTTGAAAGTAATCCTCCCTGCAGTCTTTTCTCTTCTGCTGAGAGTAGCTCTTCTTTCCATCACCTCATTAACCCCATGTAGAGACTGACAAAGATTTTCTCCTTTAGCAAATTACAGACAGGCTCTTTTAAGTCTGGTTAGACCCCATGTTTGGGCATATTCCTTACAGACCCAATTTAACAAGAATCCTGCTAAGTCAGTTTGGCAAGACTGACTCAATATCTGACCACTCTTTATAAATATTCCTTACCCTCCGCCATTCCCCAGGCAATATCTGATCATCTTGGCCTGTCTTCAGCAAGAATCCTGTTAGGTCAGTTTAGCCAGAATCCTCCTTGTCCCCAGTATTTCCTCCTAGTAATCTTCCATTCACTGAGCCCTACACCTTGGTCTTTGGCTATAGAAATCCATTTATCCTCGTTGTATTTGGAATTTAACCCAACGTTTCTCTCTTACTACAAAGCCTTATTGTAGTGGTCCCTATGCCTATCAAGACAGTGCCTTCAATAAAGTCTGCCTTTCCATGCTTTAACAAGCAATATGCAAGAGGAGTTGTAGAATCGTCAAAGAGCCAAGTTAAATCTTTCTCTTTTAAGAAACATAGAAAAGTGTTATCATTTCTGATGTGAAAATACAGGTCTGGAGGAAGAGCATTTGGATATATTTTAATATTAGAACATGTACGGAATAAACTCTTATTAGAATCTTCAAGTAAGATATTCTGGACTCAGGATACACTCAGCCCAATATCTTATATCATCTTCAGCACAACCCTATTCAATGAGAATCTTACATCGTAAGCAGCCAGTAAATATTTGTTGACAATAAGAAACCTGGGAACTGTAAAGCCTTTCAACTATCACTGATAATTTAAACATATATTTTATTTTCACGGGCAGGGAGGAAAGTGACATTTTTCGGAAAGATTTCCAACAAGATTTAAAGAGCACACAAAAAGATTTCAGGTGCAGTGTGAGGTAACCGAAAATTCCAGCTATCAAAACCATCCCGTTTAATGTAAAATTTTTGGTTTATCTACATTTTTTCTTTATCAGTGAACAAGCTAATTTTGCTATCAGATATAAATTCTTTAGAAATACATTTTTAAATATGCTATAGAGAGAAAAAATAAAGCAGAAAGAGAAAGATAAGTGAGATCATAAGGAAATAAGAAGAAAGGAAAAAAAAAAAAAAAACACTTGGACCAGAAAGACATCATCATGAATTCAAAGACCTATCAAACCAATGGGGTGTTAAATACAGGGCAGCCCAAAGCCCTTATGCTCTAAAAAGAATTGTGAAGCTCACTGTCTGACTCACTACACACTTTACTTTGGAATTTCGCTTAACAGAAACCTTTGTAAACTGCAAAAATCCCTTTATATTGCATTTTCCTCCAAGGTAACCAAAAGCGTTCCAATGAAAATGTCTAATATAATTTCAGTAACAGATGACTTAGGTGTTTTTGGTCTGTTCATATGTTAACTGAAGATTTACCACAATGTCAATCTTGATTGCTTTTCATTTTGATAGCTGGCTTTCTGAAAACATTGCACATAACATACTAACCATTCCATTCACAAGGTTTGTCAACCTGAAATTTTACTGCCATTTTTTGACCACATATTTTTAATAAAATAAATTTTTAGAAAAAACAAAGCATTGGAAAGACAGGCTATAGGAAGCAAGTGATAGGTCTGAGAGTGCGTTAAACAGCTTTATTGATGTATAATTCACATACCATACAATTTACTTATTTGAAGTATACACCATCAGGCCAGGCGCAGTGGCCCATTCCCATAATCCCAACACTGTGGGAGACCGAGGCAGGTTCAAGACCAGCCTGACCAACATGGTAAAACCCTGCCTCTACTAAAAATACAAAAATCAGCTGAGCGTGGTGGTGGGTGCCTGCAATCCCGGCTACTTGGGAGGCTGAGGCGGGAGAATCGCTTGAACCCGGGAGGCAGAAATGGCAGTGAGCCAAGATCACACCATTGCACTCCAGCCTGGGCAATAGAGTGAGACTCCACCTCAAAATAATAAATAAACAAATAAGTAAGTATATACAATCAATGCCTTTCAGCATATTCACAGAGTTATGCAGTTACCACGATCAATTTTAGAACATTTGCATTATTCCAGAAAGAAAGCCTGTATCTCCCCTTCTTTTCCCTCTCCCCTCAACTCCCAGCAACCACTAATCTTTCTGTCTCTACAGATTTACCTATTCTGGACATTTCACTATAAATAGAATCATACAAGAGGTGGTCCCTTTTGACTGGCTTTTGTCATTTAGCATGTTTACAGGGTTTATCCTAATATTTTAGCACGCATCAGTACTTCATTCCTTTGTGTCACCAAACAATATTCCATTATATATACCACAAATCATTTGTCTATTTATCAGTTAATGGATATCTTGTTTCCACTTTTGACAGCTATGATGAATAATGCTTCTACGAATATGCACGTACGAGTTTATGTGTGGACATATCTTTTCATTTCTTCTGGGTGCATACTTAGGAGTAGAATGGCAGGTATATATGGTTACTCTATGTTAATCATTCGAAGAGCTGTCAGAGTGTTTTCTTAAATGGTTGTACCATTCTACTTTCCCACCAGCAGTGTAGGAGGGTTCCAATTTCTGTGTGACAGGTTTTAAACTCATGAACTCATATCTATGTCCAATATTTGAATCATTACTAAAATACAGTTTTAGCAAAATGCTTAATATCTCAGGAAATAACCTGTTTGCCTAAAAACTTCTCTTGGAACTTTTTCTACACCAAATTATACTTTTGCCTTTCTCCTTTAGAACAAGATCTATTAAATTATACAGAGAAGTATTTGGCTAAAAGACAAGCTAGGAAAAGAATTGTCAAACTGGTTTCTGTTTTCCGCACAAATATTTCTTCTGCTAAATTAGGCTCAAACCTGCACCAACCTGATTC
Source organism: Homo sapiens (assembly GCF_000001405.40). Taxonomy (NCBI): domain Eukaryota; kingdom Metazoa; phylum Chordata; class Mammalia; order Primates; family Hominidae; genus Homo; species Homo sapiens. The sequence continues at coordinate 5,648,881 of NC_000003.12, read as the reverse complement.
TGTGGAGTTTCATACTTTTACTTCCAGGCTATGCTAAGGTTAGCAATGATAATTCTGAGACTCCATATTTAGCATTTATATTACATCTGTTAAGTCATTTATTATTATCCACTTAAATACACACACACACACACACACACAAAAAAAAAAAAAAAAAAAAACAAGGTTTATTTTTCACCTCTACTTTCCCTCTGTTTTCTTCCATCTTAAGGTTTCTATACTGTGATGCATCTGTTTGGTCAAAGTTCTTTTTTGAACATATAATAATATATTAACATATAATTAACATATAATAATGTAATTAGTTACAATGAGATAGTATCTAAATCCTTTTCTGTCTCAAAATATCTTTCCTTCACTTGACGTGGAAATGATTTTTTGACTGTATACAGGAGTCCTTTTTCCAGGAATTACAGGTGCTACTCTCCCTTCTTCTAGTGTCCATTGTAGCAATGCAGAGAATTCAGATGCCAGTCTGAATTTTTTTCCTCTGAAAATAACTTATTCTTTCTGTCTAGAAGATTGCAAGATTTGTTCTTTACGCTCAAAGCCGAACAATTTTATGAAGTTTGTATCTTCTCTTATTAATCCTGCCTAGAGACCTAGGTGACTTCACAATCGTTGATTCACGCCTTTCTTTATCTCAAGGAGTTTTTTTATATTATTTATTTAATATGCCTCCACTATCATTTCCTTCTTCTCCCTCTGAGGGGACTATTACTGACCCATTAGAGCTCCTGGGTCTGACTTCCAACTATCTTATCTTTTCTACCGTAATTTCCTTGCGTTTGTAATATCACTATATTTTGTATTTTTTTTTTTTTTTTACTTATTCATCAAGGGACCTGACTTAAGTCTCTGTGGTATCCATCCATCTTTCAATTAACATTTTCATTTGGAAGCCGCACCAGTTGAGCGTGTGTATGTGTGTATATGCAAGTTTGTCTGCCATCATGAAATCTACATGAGTGTTCTGTCATTTGCTTGTTCAGATTGCTTGTTGAGATTGCTATCTAGCTCTTAACAGCAGTTCTGTTTTCTGAGAAGCCATTTTTTTTCCTTTGTGTTTTGCTTATTCTCCCTCTTTCTGGCTGCAAAGTCAAAGTAGGTATATTTTATTTTCCCTTGCCTGCCCACTGATGCTGTGCACTAACTCCACCCACAGGCAGGCTATATTCCAGCTCACTGCCAATTCCATTCAAATGCAGCAGGAGCAAAACCCTCTACTCTCTGATTTTCTCAGCTACAGAATAGTAATCTTCCTGCTTCCGCAATAAAGCCATCTTTGCCCGCTTATATGGTGGTCCTGCAACCTTTTCACAAATATGAATGCCAAGGAGCCTTCCTGAGAGCCATTCTGAGGACACGTGACCCCCATTTTGAAGAGGTTTCTAGGATGCCCCCTGCCACACTCTTAGGTTCCAATTTTTTTCCCCAGGGTTCTTGCAGTCGATGCCCAATCCCTAAATACAGGTAGCAACTATCCTTTACAAATATAGGGCCTAAAGCCTATTTCTCTCCTTTCAGTCCCTCCTACTTCTGATCTGGTAATTTCTTCACTCAGGAAAGGTAAAAATAATATTATTAACAGTAACAGCAATAGCTAACATTTCTGGGACACTCAAGACATAAAATATAGTATAATAATAAACTGGAGGAGCATTCTATCAGGTGCCTATTTATTCTTCATTAACCAGCTCAAACGTGTACAATAGAAATTTCAAAGCAGGTGCAATACCTCTATAAGTAAAATAAGGCAAAGAATGGAAAGAAATTGTAAACTGACTTGAAAACATTTTAGCAATTCACTATTATGAAATTTAGAAAGGCTTCATACAATAGAAAAAAAATACAATCAAAGGTTCAGATTTAGAGGCTTAAAAGTACATGGTAATCAGTGTCTTTGACAGAGCCAAAGCTTTGTTATCAAAGAAACCTGCAATTGAATCCCTAGGACAGACTTCACTTTCTGCATCTCAAATTCCTCTTGTGAAATGGGAACCATAACACCTTCTACAGAGGGTCCTTGCAAGGATTAAATGCAAAAACACTTTTTAGGACCTAGCATGTAGCAGGTCCTCAATATTATCAGCTTGTTCCCAGACCTAACCGAGGGTCGGGCTGCTTATTCTCACAGCCCAATAACGGGATACAGATGAACCGTGAAAGAAGAGAGTTGATTTCCGTAACTGCGTACAGGGAGAAGGCTGGGAACATATCACCAGACCAACTCAAAATTACAAAGTTTTCCAGAGCTTATACACATTCAATCTATATGTCTACATATCATCTAAAGACATGTGATTAACTTCTTATCTATAACTAAGATCTGAGTCCTGAAGACCTTCCTCTGGAGCCTCAGTAAATTTACTTCATCTAGACGGGCCCAGGTGCTGGGGTGATTACCCTTATCTTGTCCCCTGCTAAATCATGGAGGTTTAAGGAGTTCCTTTAGGCTCCCAACAAAACTTGTTTGTGGAGGTCTGGGGAGTTTCTTCCGACCCCCAGCAAAACTTGTTTAATCCTGAACGGGTCCTGTTAAGAATTCCTTCATTAACTTGTCATGCTTCAAGGCCCAGGAAAGGCCTAAGCAAGACTCTTGTTGGGATTTTGTTACTTTGCAACCTGTGTATACTGGCACTGGCTCTTTCAGCTTTGAATGTCTAACTCAACCACTCAGTCAGTGCCGAAACAGCTGTCGTGGAGGCCTGCCTGATTAGCTGTTAGTGACACCTGGCTTGCCACAAACTCCCATTCTGCTTTCTTTCAAACTAATTTTTCAAACAAAGCCTCTCAGGAGTAAGGGGTTTGCTTTGTTCTAACAACAGAACCGCTTCCTCCCCGAACCCAACCATAACACACACACCAGAGTATTAGTTCCCTGGTAGTGGGTGGAAATTTTTGTCTGGCTCACTTACGTTGTGCTCCCAGGTCCTAGAAAAGTCCCCGGCTTGTAGTAGGTACTCAGTAAGTATCTGTGGAATGTTCAACAGTAATATCAGCGAATGTAGATCTTAGCATTCACTGTCTCATCTGAGTAGTACAATAGTCTCTTTGTTATTACTTCCATTTCTTAGACGGGGAAACCAAGACTCAGTGAGGCAAAACAACTTTGTAAAATGGCAGAGAAAAGAGAATGATGCTCTGTCTTCTCATTCCAAATTTGTGCTCTTTGCCCTTTTTTATACTGCCAGATGCTATTCTCTGATGACTTCTACCAGTGCATGAATGAGTCCCACTACAATGTCTATCTTTTTAAAAACAACCCATTCCAGTGGGTCATGGAGGATCTGGGAGCCAAATCGTGCAGAATGTACATCAGCAGCTGCTTAATAGTTCAGCATTCTCATTCCCCAGCAGTACAGCAATGGCCTAAGGCAGCTAAGAACGCAAATACTTCACAAAAGATAATTAAAGTTTCCATATTCCAGGAGAAACTAGAGACTAGTACCAGCACAGTGAGCTCAGACACAAAAAGATTACAGGACAAGTTGCTCCAGGCCAAATTTATTCATAGACCTGGAGGAAATTTTAGTCATTCTTTGTGAAATGAGGAAAGCCAGTGTCTTTATTTTACAGAAGCGGAAACTGAGTTCTAGAGAGGGTAAGACTCTTGCCCAAGATCACACAAATTTCTGCAAGAACTAGGATGAGCGAACACAGGATTCTAATCTCCCAGATTATGAAATGGCACAGGGGCCCCTCTTAGGGGCCTGCCATCCTCACCTCCCTCTAAGCATGGAAATAAAGAGAAATTTTGAGTCCCTCCAAGGAAATTCTAGGCATCTAGCTAGCCCTGCATGCAGCAATTAGAGAAGTAAATAAACAACCAACTGAACATGAAGTCACCCAAGGAAATCAAAGGCTCAAGGTGTTTGGTTCCCTATAGAAACTAAAAGATAACATCTTGACCTATGTTCTTGACTTTTTTTCCTTTTGTTTGTTTTTCAGTTCCGGAGTATATGAGCAGGACGTGCAGGTTTGTTACATAGGTAAACATGTACCATGGTGGTTTGTTGCACCTATCAACCCATCACCTTAGTATTAAGCCCAGCATGCACGAGCTATTTTTCCTGATGCTCTTCCTTCCCCCACTCTCCCTAACAGGCCCTAGTGTGTGTTGTTCCCCTCCCTAAATCCATTTGTTCTCATTGTTTAGTTCCTACTTACAAGTGAGAACATGCAGTATTTGGTTTTCTGTTCCTACATTAGTTTGCTGAAGATAATGGCTTCCAGCTCCATCCATGTCCCTGCAAAATACATGCTCTTGTTCATTTTTAACACTGCTTAGTATTCCATGGTGTATATGTACCACATTTTCTTTATCCAGTCTATCTTTGATGGGCATTTGGGAATTCCATGTCTTTGCCATTGCGAATGGTGCTGCAATGAACATACATGTGCATGTATCTTTGTAATAGAATGACTTATATTCCTTTGGGTATATACCCAATAATGGGATTGCTGGGTCAAATGGTATTTCTGGTTCTAGGTCTTTGAGGAATTGCCACACTGTCTTCCACAACGGTTGAACTAATTTACACTCCCATCAACAGCATAAAAGCATTCCTATCTCTCCACAGCCTCACCAGCATCTGTTGTTTCCTGACTTTTTAATAATCGCCATTCTGACTTGCGTGAGATGGTTTCTCATTGTGGTTTTGATTTGCATTTATTTAATGATCAGTGATGTTGAGCTTTTTTTCATACGTTTGTTGGCTTCTCAAAGGAAGACATTTTGAGAAGTGTCTGTTCATGACCTTTGCCCACTTTTTATTGGTGTTGTTTGGTTTTTCCTTGTGAATTTGCTTAAGTTCCTTGTAAACTCTGGATATTAGACCTTTGTCAGATGGATAGGTTGCAAAAATTTTCTCCCATTCTGAAGGTTCTCTGTTTGCTCTGATGATAGTTTCCTTTGCTGTGCAGAAGCACTTTAGTTTAATTAGATCCCACTTGTCAATTTTGGCTTGTGTTGCAATTGCGTTTGACATTTTCATCATGAAATCTTTGCCCATGCCTATGTCTTGAATGGTATTGCCTAGATTTTCTTGTAGTGTTTTTATAGTTTTGGGTTCTACATTTAAGTCTTTAATCCATCTTGAGTTAATTTGTTTTTTAGAAACCGAGACCCTGACCAGATGGAAACTGCTGACTGATGTCACATAGACCTCAGACAAAAGGAAACTGAAGCCTGAACGAACTGCTGTTCTTTGTTCTAAATTTCTTCCTGAGGGACCTGGAAAGACAGTCATGACTGCAGGCCATCAGTCTTGATAACCTGACCACTCTGACCCAATACATAATGGCTGTGACCTGACTCTCGCTTAGCACCCCAAGATTGTTAATAGGTTTCCTTATCTTAACTAATGTAGGTTAAAGCCAAACCTTGACATCTCTTTCTGCTGACCCCATGTTTTTAGACAAAGCCTTCCTCCATTAACCCATTGCAAATTAAAGAATCTCTGAATTCACCTAAGACCTGTAAGCCTCTGCTTCAAGATATCCCACCTTTTTGGGCCAAACCCATCTGTAACCTCCATGAATGAATTCATGATTTTGCCTGTAACTTCTGCTTTTCTTAGATGTACCCTTGTCTTTAAAAACCCTTGCTTGCAAGCCACTGGGGAGTCCAGATCTTAAACAGGAGCTGCCCATTCTCTGTGCTTGGTGCCCTGCAATAAATGCCTTCCTTTCTCTCATTGTAAACCTCGGTGTCAGTGTTTGGCTTTGCTGAGCTGGGTGGGCAAACCTAGGCTCAGTTCCACAACAATTACGATATCATCATCATCATTAGAGTCATGAGGAAGATGAAGATGTGAAGATGATGCTGATGATGCTGATGGTGACAGCTCCACAATCCTATATTGAATACTTCCTATACATCAAGTTCTGTGTGCTAATACATTTTATCTCATTCAACTATCTATTAGCTTCATTAATTCTATAAACTCCAAATTAAAGCAAGTTGGGGGAAAAATTGTCAAAATTCACATAGCTAGGGAGTACTGAAATCAACATACTTTCCTATCCTGTGTTAAATAATTCTGAGAGCAAGCCAAAAAAATTGAATTATTTACTTCAGAAGATCTTCTGGAAGACAATGAATTAAATAAAATACTACATATTTTGAACCTATTAACTTGCTTTTCTGGACTTTTTTAAAATCCTCATCTCACTTTATGTTACAAACTCTGCCCTTTCTTAATCAGTGCCCCCACCTTACAAGAACAGTCTAAAAATCACCCAGCACCAGTGCTAATATACATCAAATACCTTCCTATGATCTCTTTCTTTCAAGATAGTATGAAGACTCTTTTAAGCTGCTATCCTCCTTACTGCAGTAACTTTGATAAACTTGGCTTTGCTTGGTCAACAGGTTATTCAGGTGGTTTTGGAAGGCACTGGCATACACACATGGGAGAACTGGAGCTCAAACTCAGGTGCGCTGAACTACAAAGTCCATGTGCTAATCATTACAGTACTATCCACTTCTTCATGAAAACGGTATCTCATAATCCAACTCAAATGCCATGTATTTTAGAACTTTTCCCAATTATCCAAGTCATATCCAAAGGTTCCTGCCTTGTATTCCCAACATAGCCTCCATTGGGAATAGCATATTCTTCAATGTGTATACACATACACCCACTGCCAATAAACTGTGTATCACGACAGCAGGAATCATGTCTTCATTCATTCATTTTCTCAACAAATATCTATGAGAACCCACTCCATGCCAGGTTCTTAGACAGGCATTTATTCAAGACTGTATTTCCATCACCTCAACACAAAGAAGGCATTTTATAAATATTTATTTTAAAATAAATGGGATAATTGAATGGATGAGTAGATGGAGCTATAAATTAATCCTACTTTGTAGAAACAAGCTGAAGACATCAGTGTTGAGCAGGGTTACCTTTCATACCCTGAAAATTCTTGCAGAGCCCGTAGGAAATCAAATGAAAGAAGGAACGCGTTATATTTTTCTTCTAACACAGGAGTGGCAACTAATGAATCTGCAAAGGAGTATGATCGAAAAATAAGACCTTGTTCCATTTCTTCTTATTAGGAAGAGGTTATAGCCCAACAATTTGAGAAAATAGATTCATGTGAGCCTGATGACATTACTGAGCAGTGCTTCACGGTGGCCTTGAAAGTTGGAGGTCCTGTTTCTCTCTTCATTCAGAGCCACTTGTAAAGCCAGTTAGCAAGCTTTCAGCCTTAGCCCAAGCATCCACCCTGCACTCCTCCAAATAAACACGGGAAAATGAGGCGACCAAATTAAGGCGAGTGCTTAAGTCATTGGTATCTCCACTTTCTCCAAATGACTATAAAGGTAAAGACTGTCAGGGAAAGACATCCAGTGCTAGAGACAGAATAGTAGAGCAGAATACTATGAAGTTACTAAAGAGAACATTGCCAAAATTTTTATAGTTCTGTAGTTCTTCCTTTCTTGCTTCTGACATCCATGGCCATAAATGAAGAGGCTAGACAAAAACCTCTCAAGATGAAAAATTCCAAAGAATGTTGTCTCTATCCCCAATCTCTTAGAACACAGTGATCAATGGTGCTGACGATACTAGAAAAAAGGGTGGACAGTGTCATCACCCTTACCCCAAACACATCTTCACACTCAAACCTCAAGTAGACATGAAGAAGTAGCTCAAAGCCTCACCACTTCTTTCCCTGAGTCAACAGGCCAGAGTAATCATCACCTGCCTTTCATACACTATAACAGGATTGAGAGAGTGTTATGTTTACTAGGCTAAGAAAAGAAGAATCTCATTGGGTATGAGTGATGAAAATGCAAAGAGGAATGTATTAGTTAGGGTTCTCTAGAGGGACAGAACTAATAGGATAGATGTATATATAAAGGGGTGTATATTAAGCAGTATTGACTCACACAATCCCAAGGTGAGGTCCCACAGTAGGCCGTCAGCAAGCTGAGGAGCAAGGAAGCCAGTCCAAGTGCCAAAGCTGAAGAACTTGGAGTTCACCATTCAAAGGCAGGAAGTGTCCAGCATGGGAGAAAGATTTAGGCTAGAAGGCTAAGCCAGTCTAGTCTTTTTATGTTCTTCTCCCTGCTTTTATTCTGGCTGTGCTGGCAGCTGATTAGATTGTGCCCACTCAGATTGAGGGGCACAATCTATATGAAGGTGGGTTTGCCTTTCCTGGTCCACTGATGGAAATGTTAATCTCCTTTGGCAACACCCTCACAGACACATCCAGGAATAATACTTTGCATCCTTCAATCCAATCAGGTTGACACTCAATATCAACCATCACAAGGAACAAATCTCAAAACAAAGAAATCACAACAAAAACACACACAGCAGGAAACTCACCCAAAAAGTCAGCAGAGATAACAGGGATTTAAAGATCTATACTGACTCCAAATTCTGTTTGGGATGCAGTCCACAGAAAAAGCATTGCACTCTCCAGCACAAGAAAAGACAGACTCAGGACCACTGGCAAATTCACAACTCTCTCCAACAATTCGGAGGACTGATTAATCCAAAATTTAAGGAAAGACAGGTACCTGCAAGGAGAGAAAGGGCAGAACACTAGCATTTGCTTACCTGGGACAGACATTTCCAGAAACAGATAGGAAGAATTTATCTAAAATCCTTAACAAATTATTAAAGGCTGAGTGTGGGCTAGTGAGAGAAGGTGGAACCCCTAGGTGTAGCAGATATAAGGGGAATTTGTACCCATTTGTAGGCTTTTCTCCTAGAAAAAAAAAATGGCCAGAGTCCTGAGAAAGCACTCGTTGGAAGGAAGGAAACAACAGCTCCAAGAGAAAGGCTAGAAGCCCCAATGCCCTGCCCAGAACATCAACTTCAAGGCAGCTGAAGCCTTCAAGTGGTGGGGGGGGGGGGTGTGGGTAACACACACTCGCATCTGGGCCACATCATGACTTCTGTGGACCCTTGGCACTTCTGCCTTTGTGTGCCTCTTCCTTCACAAAACATATATATAAAAAGATATTTTACAACCTCATAGGTGTAAAGATGAATATAATCCAGGCTGGATACGTTATTCTACATTCTTTATTATTGTGTTTTTTCTTATGATTCTAAAGTGAAGTTAAAACATTTAGGAAGAGTCCTAAAACTAGTATGTGCCCAAGACACTGTGCCCCACCACTAGGACTAATGAAAACATCTGCTCTGGTCATTGACTTTAAGGTACTGGGGAAACCCACTGCAGCTGAGAATAAGTCACAGAAAAATAGTCCTCTGCTCTCCCAGGAGCAGCAAATCTGCAGCTGGGGATGCACCAGGACCACTGAGAAAGCAGCATCAGAGACCCAGGAACAGGTGCCACCTGAGACTGAGCCTTCATCAGAACCACAGAACTCCCCCACTTCACACTATTGGGCTAACAATCTAGCTAGCAACAGTGGCATGCAGGCAAGTGCATGGAACGAAACCTTTTCTGAGAGAAAAGGCAAAATGATAGGAAGGAGAAAAGATCAGTAGTTGGCAGGGGTTGGGAGTCGGGGGAGATGTTGACCCCAAAAGAACAGCATGCAGGAGCTTCTCGTGGGTGGTGGAAACTGTTCCATATCTTGATTGTGGCCATAAATACAGGATTCTATGAATTTATCAAAACTCAAAAATATTGTCCACCAAAAAGAGTGAATTTTACTGTATATTAATAAATTAATAGATTTAATATGCAAATGGAAATTGCCTGGCAACATAAAAATAGAACTTTAATCCAGAACTTGCAGCAACCTGCCCAGGAAAGCAACCCCTTATATACAATAAACAACCCAGGGTGCTGACCTGGTATAAAGCAGGCTTGCAGAAAGCCAGATTGCTATGTCTAGTGACAATTCAGGAAATAAACAATAACTTTCATAACAATCAGTCCAAAATGGCCAGGACTTGATCAAATTTTTGTCCCCACTTCCAACTTAGGACCAACCAGAGAAACCCAAATAGGTATCTCTCACCAACCATGTAGGGTTCCCTGCTTCTAGTTAGCCTGCCTCCTGCTCCCTGACACCAGCAGCCTCCAATCATGGCATGCCTGAAGCCTTCTCTTTTTCTACTTTAGCAAAGCTTTTCCCTTTCTCTGCCTGCCTCTGAGACTCTGTCCAATGCAGATGATGGTGACTGACTCCCTTGTTACAGCAAGCTCAGAATAAACAGCCTTCGCTTTTCTCATTCGGTTGGTCTTTATTTCTACAAAATTTTAAATAGCCATCACTAGAAATGCACTTATACCTGTTTCCTAATTTATTGAACTAAATTTAGCATCTTAGCTCCTGCAGCACTTATAATGCATGCTGCCATTTCCACATGGCTGACCATCAGGAAGAAAAATTGCTAAAAGATAAAGGCACCCCACCAGTGAAATGTTTAAATAGATATTATTAATTTAAGCACTGTTATGACTGAGACAAAGTGAGTTTAGGGGGGAATACAGAAGCTTTAAGTACTTTAAATACATTCTTATTGTATCGATTGTCCGAATTCCTCCGTGTTGCAGTTCATTTACTGCTTGGATAAAGAGATAAAGTAAAATTATTAATGTGCCTTTGCCATAAATAATTAACCTCATCATGGGAAAATGTTGGGAAGCTGGTTTTTAAAATGCTTCCCCTAATGGTAATTGATATTTATCTCTTCTGTCTAACTATTAAAGGCTGCTCATAACACTTATTACTGTCACTAGGAGAAAGAATACTTAATTCATCATAATTCCAGATGACTTATACATAGATTGTGAAGGGGGCAGTTCTTCTCTTTTGCCGTTCATAAAATGGTAAGCTTCTGATAAATCACTCAGCAAAGATTTCCATTCAAGTGCCATCCTCTCATGTTTTAACTTAGAGGACTAGGTCCTCGATGCGCTGATTATAAATCAAATACCCATGTTTGTGATTGGACATATGTGCTGCTCATCAAGAGATTTCAGACTCAAATAAGTATCCTGCTCTCTGCTAATTCTGTTCAGAAATATGGCTGTTTATTCATGAGAAAGGCTGGATTCTCCAGCCTTCACTGGGATAAAGATATAGATAGAGTCACTTTCCTGATAATAATCCATACTTTGCTGGCTCTCACCCTCACCTGCACAAACAGGATCTCAGTCACCTCTAAGGATTCACCCTGGGGGTCTGGAGCCCTCATAGACCATCTCACAAGTGCTCAAGGACCAGGCTCAGCTACTGTCACCATAAGGCACCACTGTTTCCCCTCTCCTGATCCAGCCCCGTCCTCTGCCTAGGAAGACATTCTAAAGAATCTCATCACTATCACTGCTGGGAAGACTTACCGTGGGATAACAACACCCATACCAAGAACATTTGATCTAGCCAGGGCTCCCTAAGCCACCAATCCTCAAAGTAATAGAGGAGTTTCTCCACCTCAGGGCTCCTCTCCCTATTTTTATTCACGTCAAGTTTGAATGTGTTCCCTACAAAATTCATGTGTTGAAGCTTAATGGCCAATGTGATAGTATCAAGAGGTGGAGGCTTAGAGAGAGATGATCAGGCCAGGAGGACTTCTCCCTGTTGAATGGGATTTACACCCTTATAAGGAAGGCTTCACACAGCATTTGGTTTTTTTCCTCCCTCCTTCTAATTCTCCCACCATGTGAGGACACAGTGTTTCTCCCCTCCAGAAGACACAGCAGTAAGGCACCCTCTTGGGAGGAGAAACTGGGCCCTCACCAGAAACCAAAACTACCAGCATCTTGATGTTGGACTTCCCAACCTCTAGAACTGTGAGAAATAAATTTCTGTGTTTTACACATTACCTACAGTATTGTGTTAAAGCAGCACAAGCAGACTAAGATGCTATGTCATCTGTTTAACACTTGATAAAATGGTAAGGAAGACATTATTCAGGCCTATTGCAATAGGTGTTATGACTAGCAGAACAAGAAATAGAGGCAAGTTCAACCCCCAATACAACAAGGACTAGTGGGGATTTATAGTCAGGGGGCAGAATGAGGGGGTGGTGAATAGAATATTACCAAGAGAAAATATAAAGGGTAGAAAGACGCTTGCTAGACTGACTGACAGTATTCTTGTTGGAGGCAGGCCAGGTTGATCAGATATCAAGGGTGGGGGATTCACACTGACGTGACTTAGTAAGATTCTTACAACAACTGGAGTAGGCAGGCCAAAAACAGGGCCCAAGAATGAGGCTTAGTCAAAATGAGGGCTCAGAAGATCCTGTTTACAGTTTGGTCAAGGACAGAGTTTTTGCTGCAGCCAAGCAGCCATTTATCCCCCAGTTCTTATAAAGTCCCTCATGAAAACCACTCCTTTTGATTCTCCTTAAAATTCTGTCTACTGGATCAAGTCCAAAACAAATGAGATGCTACACTTTTTATCCCCAAAACCCTCCCTCCAACCCAGGACTTCGACAAACCTCTCTCTCCCTCTTTCAACCAAGACCAAAAACCTAAAGCAAAATGACTCCTCCAAGTCTGTCCAACAGTTCACCAACCACATCTAAATCTCATCCGGGACCCAAGAAAGGATATATGAGAGACAGAGAGAGAGAGAAAGGGAAAGAAAGAAACACACACAGAGGGCCATTAGTTTTCAAAGCTAACTTCCCCTCAAATACCTTTCCCAGTGCCAGTTAAATAGTCCCACCACTTTCTACCTTATTCACAGTTTTATTTGGAAGGTGACTGAGCATACGGTACTTGAGACAATCAGTGGTAGCACAGCATATTTTATTCTCTCTAGAGTTCTTCTTTTGTAGAATTCAGCCTCACTGTTTTATAGCCTAGCTATGTAATTTCTAATTCTCATGTCCTACTATTTTATAGCATATTCACAAGGATCCTCTGACAGAAGCCTCACCACCAACCTATAAAATAAGGCACCAGAAGTACCATTTCAAACATACCTAAGGAAGCTGAGGCTTAGAGAGGCTAAATAATTTGCCTGAGGCCACACAGCAAATCCACGTCTGAGTCTGAAGCAGACCTCATCTGTCCGTAGGGCACTTCCCTCCATCTACTATAACTCATGAAATCTCTCTTGATAGGATTGCTGGAAGTTATGGTACAAAGGGCATTAAAATATCCTATTCTGCAATTGCTCTGAGTCTTATACTCTCATTTCCTTTCCCTTGTCTCTCTCTCTCTTTTTTTTTTAATGGGATATTTAGATCTCCCACGCTAAGGAAAAGGAATGAGATGAGCTTTCATTGAAGAAGCTTAATTCTCAGCATTTCTAGCTAAAGCAGAAATGTGAAGGAAATCTTTCATGTAGCTTCTCGACCAGTGTAAGTTCAAGAAATTGCCACTATTTCCTTATAAATGTAACATGCTTATTATCAAGCATCATGACTTAAAAATAATTTATAGCATTCAATAAAAATAACTTCTCAAAAGTCTTCTATCCCAAGTTGTATGTTGTCATATAATTTTTTCTTAATTCATTTTTAAGATTTTTTTTATCTTTATACCAGAAATTCTGGTAAAAATAAGTAAACTCATTGCAAGTGGAATAAGCTGTGTATACTCTACAAATACTTTCTGACACGTCTTAGCAATAACCTGTGACCCAGAGATATCATCATAAATTCAATACTAGACATAATCATACTAAGAGTCATGATTTAAATATTTCTTTTTTGGTATCCAAGAAAATAACTTCCCTTTTCTAGCCTTCAGTCTTCTTTTCTGTTCATAAAGGTGATTAGACTAAACCTTCTCAAGTGTTCAAAGCTGACAACCCAAGATTTAAAATGTTAATATGGGCAGAGGATTGCATTGTGAATTTTAGCTCCAGATCAACTGCAAGAACCCACAGACCCTCTGAAGAAAGCGGACTGCTCCTGCAGGACCTAGGAGACACCCCAAATACTGTGAGTGCCCCAACTGTGGAAGTGGGAAAGGGAGACCCTCCTCTCCTGAACACACGCCCCCACTGGAGAAGCTGAAGTTCTGTTTACGGGAGAAGTTTCCGACTTTACCTGGAGCTGAGTCAAGTTAGAGAGCTGAGCAAAATACAGGGGTACAGGAAGCAGCAGAAAAGCCCTGGGAACTTGCTGGGTCCCTGAGCAGCCCATTCCTGCCTGGCACCACAGGGATCCATCGGGAGGATAGCCAGAGGAGCAGGGAGTAAAACTCCACAGAAAGAAGGAATTCTCTGACTGAACTTTGTAACAATTTGAATGGGGCAAGAAGCCTCCTGGCCAGAACTGGGGGAGGGTGTGAATCGGGTGTGCAGACTTCACAGGCGGGGGAAGAACTAAAGCCCTTTTCTCTCACAGCTGGGAGGTGGATAGCCTCGGGCAAATTTTCAAACCCATCTCACCCTCTGCCTGGAAACAGACTCTGGCCTGTCAGAGGTGGAGGGCATGGTGGGAGTGAGATCGGCTCTTCAGTTTGTGTGGGAGCTGGGTGAGACCTGTGACCGCTGGCTTTCCCCCACTTCCCTGACAACCTGTGTGACTCAACAGAGGCAGCCATAACCCTCCTAGGTACACAACTCCAGTGACCTGGGAATCTCACCCCTAACCCCCACAGCAGCCACAGCAAGAGCTGCCCAAGGAGAGTCTGAGCTCAGAACACCTGGCCCAACCCCCACCTGATGGTCCCTCCTTATCCAGCCTGGTACCTGAAGACAAAGGCCATATAACCTTGGGAGTTCTAGGGCCCCGCCCACTGCCGGTCCCTCTCCACGCTACTACAGCTGATGCTTTCTGGAAATGACCACCTCGTGGCAGGAGGCCAACCAGCACAAAAATAGAGTATTAAACCACCAAAGCTAAGGATCCTCATGGAGTCCACTGCACTCCCCGCTCCCCCCGCTAACTCCACCAGAACAGGCGCTGGAATCCACGCCTGACAGATCCACAGATGGTTCACATCACAGGACTCTGTGTGGACAACCCTCAGTACCAGCCTGGAGCCGAGTAGACTCGCTGGGTGGCTAGACCCAGAGGAGAAACAGCAATCACTGCAGTTCGTCTCACAGGAAGCCACATCCATAGGAAAAGGGGGAGAGTACTACATCAAGTGAACACCCCTTGGGACAAAGGAATCTGAACAACAGTCTTCAGACCTAGACATTCCTTCTGACAGAGACTACTCAAATGAGAAGGAACCAGAAAACCAACCCTGGTAATATGACAAAACAGGGCTCTTTAACACCCCCCCAAAAATCACACCAGCTCACCAGCAATGGATCCAAACTAAAAAGAAATCCTGATTTTCCTGAAAAAGAATTCAGGAGGTTAGTTATTAAGCTAACCAGAGAGGGACCGGAGAATGATGAAGCCCAATGCAAGGAAATCCAAAAAAATGATACAAGAAGTGAAGAGAAAAACATTCATGGAAATAGATAGCTTAAAGAAAAAAACAATAAAAAATTCAGGAAACTTTGGACGCACTTTTAGAAATGCAAAATGCTCTGGAAAGATGGTATACATAAACCACTTAATGCCCCGCACACGGTAAATGCTTAACAAACATTACCTATCATTATTTTACCTAAAAAACAGTTATTGGTAAAACTGAAAAGAAAAAGTGGATCTGCTTTCTGAAATGTCAAAATTATAAGGATGGTTAGATAATTGATAACCTGAAAAAGATTACCAGCTCACATTTTGTTACTGTCTATAGGTAGCTGCTCAATCTGAACTGCATGCTTTCTGACCTAAGTTGTTCCATTTCTTTCCTTCTTTATCTTCCTGTAAGGCACTAACCCTTCTTGAGATAACTATTTTTGCAATTTATGTTTCAAATGTTTTTAACCATTATCTATGGATACCTACCTTAGATCTCAAAGGAGACGAGATAACACGGCCCTAGGAATGAAACTAATGGCATTGCTACCTAACATTAAATAGGAGTTTACTGTCTACCTGGTATTGCACTAAGAGCTCTCTCTGTAGTAACATATTTGATCCTTACAGCAAACCTTTGAAGTAGGCACTACTCCATTTAACAAATGGGGGAACTGGGGCCTAGAATCTCTATAGAAATTTAACATATTCCATCACATAATAGTGTTTCCAGTAACCCCAGAATAATTATTTCCTTAAAATATATGAAAGTTGATCACCCTCCCAAAAGGTAAGACTTTCTAAAACAATTTCCCTTCCCCCAGTTAGGGAATTGTTACCATCTGAAATCACTTTGTAAGCCAACATCAAAAAGAGGATGAACCAGCCTACCAATATCATAGTATAGTCCTGTCTCAAGCATTTTCACAGAGTCTTTACTTATTCCTTTTCTTAATGGGATTGTTTATAATATTTATAAATATTGTAATTTTGTTATATGCATTTGTCCTTTATATACAACTTTCAAAAATCATAAATATTTATAGTATTTAGTAAGGACCATCACTTTTCACCAGCTGTGTTTTCATATCGCATTGTTGCTTTAGGAAAAAAAAACATGAAAATAGACCACCTTTTGATAAATCTTGAGATTTTCTTGCCCAGTGCTCTTAATCCATGCTGTGTTTTCCCCCAAGCCCCTCCACTAATTGCATCTTCATATAGCCCTTACATCAAACTAACAACTTCTCTTCTTAGCTCCCCAGCATGGGACCATCTTGCATTGGTCACTTTTTCTTGTCTTCCAAAAGAGCTTTAAATGCCTTGAGGAAAGGGATAACATATTATAATACTATGTTTTCCCCAGTCTTCCTAATATCCAAAAACTTCCTGATTGATTCTGATGAGACAGTAAAGGACCAAAATAGAAAATATTAGGAACCTAAATCATCTAGGGATCTTGTCTTGGCTCCATAGCCAAAGACTATCACCTATCAACCCCTTCCTTGCTAAATGTTATTCAAAGAGACTTGGAACAAGTTGGTATAATTAATAAGCATAGCCAGTCTTCCTTCAATAGTAAAATACAGGTAAATATTTTGCTCAGGTCAACTGAACATTGAAGAAGCCTCACTATGTATCATAAAAAATGTTGCACGCTGGTCACACACAGGTAAGACAGGTCCTGCCTTCTGGATTTATAGCCACACATTATGAGAATATAAAGGTTCAAGAATCCTACCTGCTTTGTTCCTTGGCATCCTCATCCCTGTTGGTGACAAGGTCTTTTGGTGTAATAACACATCAAGGTTATACTATGAAGGGATATAACCAATGGGTACCTGTGGGTCAAACTGGGTCCCTTGTACATTTACAAGGAGCAAAACCATGAAAAGAGTTTTGCAGGCTTAAACACAAGGAAAGGGGCATGACGAAGCTATGGGCCACAGCAAGGTAAAAATGAAGGAGCAATAGAGATCAAAGGAGAGGGACTTCCAGGTGCCTATGGAAAACAGGCTTGGTAGCAACTAAAAAAATAGCTTATAAAAGGGTAAGGAAAACTGTACATCCTGAATTCCAGGTATACTGGTGATTGGCTGAAAATAAGAGTGGATTCCTTGTGGTGACCAAGTGAGACTGCCCACCAACCTATCATTGTAAAGTGGTAAGGTAGATAAATATCAATAATGGTAAATATGGACACAAAACATAGAAGTAATGCTACAGAGGGTGTTGGAACGTGGCTCTAAGGACCAGATGATGGGGACTGACACAACCTAACATGAGATGGGAAGGAATTTATGTCCGGTTAATCCATATTGTCCCTTACTTGAGAGTTGTCACCATAACACAGAAATGGCTTTGAAACTCACCACCAATACCTATAATTATCAATCACTGTAACCATCATCCTAAACACCTAAGGACAATGCAGCCTTTTCTGGAAAACTTATCTTTTCAAGCTCTCTTGCAAAGCCATGTACAATAATAATAACAAATACAAGCGTGTAGCGGCCCCTCCATCTGATAATTTCTCAGCTGCCTCAGAACGTTAAATTTCATTTTTCTTCTTGTCACTGTCACAAAACTACATGTAAGGCTATTATAATTCATCTTATAACATACTTTCTCAGGCATGTCATGGGAAATCTTTGTTTTTTTCTCAAAAAGCAAACACCTGAGTATGGCTTTAATAAGTTTTCCTCCAAAGGTTCAACTCCACAGAGTCAAATATGAAAACAGAGGAACAATTTAAAAATAAATCACTTGCCTTAGAATATGGGCTAAATACAATCAGCCCTAGTGGTAAAATGCATATATTTTTCATTATAAAAGAAAATTATTTATTGATAAATCCAGCATTTTCTTCCTCGATATTCAGTTAGCATCACTGTTTACCACAACATAAACCAAAATACCACAAGTAACTATCTGTAGCAAGTGATTTCATGAGACAAAAGCCACAGGCATATTAAAATTTCAGATCACTTCCTTTTCAGTCAACTCTCTAGCACAATCCTTCACGCTGTTGAAAAAGATAAGCAGTATCTTATACTTCCTATTAAATCCATGTTTCATCCTTTCTCAGCGTCTAGCTTGATGTCAAACCCACAGGAAAAGATCAATGAACATGACCCAACCTATGAGAAATAGGGGCAACTATGGCAAATCTTTCCATTGAACAGAAGATGGAGAATGTCTTAGCTATGATAATTATGGGATGTAAGGAAGAGCAAATATTTTTGCTAAGGCATTGTGATTGTGGCACCCAGACATACACAAATTGTTCCTGCCAAGAGATATTCAGAATTAGACACTCAAATCATATGTACATGACTATCCAAACTTTTCATAAAATATTTATTTTGTAAATACACAGGTTGAAACATTATTGCATATTGCTAATATCATCATAAAGCTTATAAAACAAGGAGTGTTACAATGTTACCTAAAAAGCAAATTTAAGTGTTTCTGCCTTATCATTTTTTTGGAATACGGAATAGATTTGATGCCCATGGCATCAACCTGGCACTTTATCCCACTGGCTACATTTCACCCCAAGCCACAAAGTCCACATGGATGGTTTGCAAGGAGAGGAGGTTTATCTGACTCTCTCTCCTATTATATTGGTTACAGGGAACTAACTTTCTCAAGCTACTAGGCTGCTCTATCCATCCCTTCAGGGCCACTCAGGAAGTAAGCTCTGGGCCCCAAACTGTGATGTTTCATTCATGTCCAAGAGCAGAGGGAAAACCAGCCAAGATGGGACAACAATCAAAGCAGAGAGTAAAGAAATTAAAGGCTGAGGAATCCAAGAAAGAATTCAAGGTTTGTATCTCAACATAAATGCGTATGTGGGAAAAGCATCCTAAACAAATATTAAGCCTGTGTGAATATTATATATAGTATCATTTTATATATTTACATAAGATATAACTATATTATTTCATATATATATATATGAAATTTGGGGGTATGTACACAGAACAAAAGAACAAGATAGGATATCCAAAAGTAGAACCAAGTAAATATAGGAATTTAATATATAGTAGGTGCAGCATTTCAAATCAAGAAGAAAAATATTTATATTAAAAAATAGTGCTCAAAAACCTTACTAGCAATCTAGAAAATAAAATAAGGTTGAATTTCTACCTTAGAGCAAAGAAAAACCTGAGAGATAAAAATAACTAAACAAAAAAGAAACCACAAATGTGTTAGAGGAAATTATGGTGAAATTTATAAGACCAGAATGGAAAAGTTTCTTAAGTATGACACAGAGTCCAGAGGCATACAAAGAAAGATCAAAGATTTTATTTCAACTATGCAAAATTTTTAAATGTTTGCACATAAACAAATCTAAACAAGATCAAAAGAAAAATGACAAAAACTATTTACAACTCATATTACAGAAAGAGGACAAATTCATTTGCTATACAAGTCACAAAGTAAAACCAACAACAGATTGAAACATGGGTAAACAGTATAAACAGCTGGTTTAGAGAAAAATACAGCCGTTAAACACATAAAATTATTCTTAACCTTTCTTTTATTTAGAGAAATATACCTATACTGAGATAACAAACCTGTTAGATGGAATGCTAAGACAGAAAATGTGTCTTAAGTTGATGGCAAGGCTGTAGAACAGGACTTTTTTTTTTTTTTTTTTTTGAGACAGGGTCTCACTCTGACATCCAGGCTGGAGTGCAGTGGTATGATTATGGCTCATTGTAGCCTCAACTTTCTAGGTTCAAGCATACTCCCACCTCAGGCTCCTGAGTAGCTGGGACCACAGGTGCACACCACCACACACGGTTAATTATTGTGTTGTATGTGGAGACAAGGTCTGAATACGCTGCTTGGGATGGTCTAGCATACCTGAGCTCAAGCAATCTGCCTGCCTCGGCCTCCCAAAATGCTGGGATTATAGGCATGAGCCAATGCCCCGGCCAGAAAAGCATATTTTTATATGTGGCTCTTGGGAATGCAACTTGGTAGAGCCTTCATGGACAGAAATTTAGAAACATCTATCAAAACTGAAAACATATACTCACCCATCAAGGAATTTCATGTTTAGAAATGTGCCATAGACACACACAAACATATATTTATGAGGTCATGTGTACAAGTCATTCATCACAGCAGTGTTTAATAACAGCAAAACCCTAAAAACAATCTAAACGCTCATCAATGTAGACTAGCTAAATTATATTACATCCGTAAAATTGAATAATTGGCAGCTGGTCAAAATAAGGAATAATCTTTATATCTACTAAAATGGGATATTCCCTGAGATACATAATTACATGTCAAGGACTAGGGCAAGACACCATTTATAGTATACAGAGTTGTGCTTTCTTAACCATACATTATTGAATATGCACAGAATGTTTATAATTACAAATACACAAGTGTTTAAACTGTTATTTTTAGAGAAGAGAAAGAATAAGTTCAGAGTCAAGGTCTAGCTATAAATAATGCATATGAATTGTGCATAATTTTGTGTTTTTCTGCAGTTTCTTAACATTCTATATAAAATATATGTAATATTATATAAGCAGTAGAAAAAGTTACAAATAAGTTAAGAGTTTATGCACTACAGGTAAAATACCAGCATGGATAAAAACATACTATGCTAGCACTAATCAAAAGAAATTTGGACTAAGTTCATTTTAGACATAACAGAACTCTAACCAAGTAGACTTATCATAGATAAAGTGGGCATTACATAAAGATAAAGGGCTCAATTCTCTAATAAGACATGATGATTTTTAATGTGTATGTCCCTAACAACAGAATATCAAAATATGTGAGATAAAAACTGATAGAACAAGTTGAAATAGATGAATCCACTAGTATAGCTGGAGATATCAACACCCCACTTTTAGTAACTGATAGATCAAGCAGACAGAAAATCAGTAAGAATAAAAATGACCTGAACAACACTATTATTCAACCTGATCTAACTGACATTTGTAGAATACTACATTCAACAACAGCAGAATACACATTCTCCTCAGGTACACATGGAATATTTACAAAAAAAAATCATATTCTGGACCATAATACATATCTAAGCAAATTGAAAGGAATAGAAATTATACAAAGGGTTTCTCAGTCCACAATGGCATTAAGCTGGAAATCAATAACTGAGAGGTGGATAATTGCCAACTCTTTGGAGATTAAACACACTTCTAAATAATGCATGGGTCAAAGAAGTCTCAAAAAAATTAAAAATGTTATTTAAAAAATAAAAGTAAAATTCATATTATTAAAATGTGTAGGACACAGCAGAAGATGTGCTCACAGAGAAATTTATAGCATTAAATACACATATTAGAAAATGATGAATAATAAAAATCAACAATCTCACCTTCTACCATAGAAAACTAGAAAAAGTCGAGCAATTTAAATATAAAGCAAATGGAAGAAAATAATAAAAATTAGATTGGAAATAAAAAAAACCAAAAACAGAAAAATATCAATGAAACCAAAAGCTTGTTCTTCTAAAAGGCCAATAAAATTGACATACGTCTAGTCAAACTAACCAAGAAAAAGAGAGAGAATTCAAAACAACAATATGAAAAATGAAAGAGGTTATCACTACTGATCTTATGGACATTAAAATGATAATCAAAAAATACCATAAAAAATTCAGTAGCCACAAATGTAATAACTTAGACAAAATGAACAAATTACTTGAAAGATACAAACTACCAAAACATACAAGAAGAAATAGATAACCTGAATATGATTGCATCTATGAAAATAAAATAAGACAATAATAAAACAAAGCATCAGGCCTAGTGAATTCATTGGTGAATTCCACCACATATGTAAGGAAGTAATGGTATTAATTCTTCATAATCTCACCCAGAAAATAGAATTTTTAAGAGAACATTACCTGACTCATTCTATGAGAAGAACATTCCTGTAATACCAAAACCATATTAAACATATAGGTTTTCCCTTCCCATAAGAAGGGAAAACTGCAGGTTAGTTATCTCTCCTGCCACAGGCTGCAAAAGCAAAAATGGACAAATGAGATTATATCAAAATAAAAAGTTTCTGCACAGTGAAGAAGAGAATGTGTTTCTGCACAATCAACAGAGTGAAGAGACAACCTATGGAATGGGAGAAAATATTTGCAAACCAAACATCTGCTAAGGGGCTTATCACTAAAGTATATAAGAAATTTAAACAACTCAATGGCAATAAAACAACCTGATTTTAAAATGGGCAAACAACCTGAATAGACATTTCTCAAAAGAAGACATGAAAATGGTCAGCAGGTATATTAAAATATGGCCATCACTAATCAAGGAAATGCAAATTAAAACCACAATGAGATATTACTTCATACCTATTAGAATGACTATTATCCAGATGATGACAAATAGCAAGTGTTGATGAGGATATGGGGAAAGGGAACTCTTGCACATTGTTGGTGGAAATGTAATGTAAACTAGTATAACCACCATGGAAAATAGTTTGGAGATTCCACAAAAAAATTATACACAGAAATACCTTATGATCCAGCAATCCCAGTATTGGTTATATATCCAAAGGAAATGAAATCAGCATGTCAAAACGGTATCTGCACTTCTATATTCATTGCAGCATTATTGTACTCAAGATGCAGAATCAACCTAAGTGTTCATCAATAGATGAATGGATAAAGAAAATGTGGCATACGTGTGCAATGAAGTACTATTGAGCCTTAAAAAAGAAGAAAATCCTGTCATTTACAACATGAATGAACCTATAGGGAATTATGTTAAGTGAAATAAGCCAGTTGCAGAAAGACAAATACTACATTATCTCACTTATATGTGGACTATTTTTAAAGTTGAACTCATCAAAGCAGAGAAAATGGCAGTTACCAGGGGCTACAGGGGAGGGAAGGGAGGGGGAAATGTTGGTCAAAGGATACAAAATTTTAGTTAGACGGAAGTTATAAGATCTATTCTACAAATAGTGATTATAGTTAATAACAACGTATTGTTTCTTGAAAATCATTGCGAATAGATTTTTAGTGCTCTCAACCACAAAAAATGATTTGTGATGTGATGCATACATTCATTAACTCAATTTAGAAACTCCATAATCAATTGAAAAAATCTCTCATGAACATAGATGCAAAAATTATCAACAAAATACCATGAAATGGAATCCAACAATGGATAATGACCAAGTGGGATTTATCTGAGGCATGCAAGGATGCTGCAACATTCAAAAACCAACCAGTGTAACCCACCACATCAACAAGCTAAGGAAGTCACATGATCATATAAATTGATATGGAAAAATAATTTCATGAAATTCAATATCAATTCATTATGAAAACTTCTCAGAAAATTATAAGCAGAGGAATATATTTCTCAATCTAAAAAAGAACACATCTAGAAAAAACTGACAGCTAACATTATGGTTAACGGTGAGAAACGAAATACTTTCCTCTAAGATTAGGAACAATGTACTCATTTTCAGTAACAAAATATCATAGACTAGTAGCTTATAAACAACAACTTTAATTCTCACAGTTCTGGAGGCTGGGAAGTTCAAGATCAAGGCACTGGCAGATTTGCTGTTTAGTGAGAGTCTGCTTCCTGGCTCATGGGCAGTGGTTTTCCTACTATATCCTCAAATGGCAAAAGGGATGAGGGAGATCTCTGAGGTGTTTTATAAGGGTACTAATCCCATTTATGAGGGTCAACCCTTATGACTTAGGCACCTCCCAAAGATCCCATTTATAAATTTCATCACATTGGGAATTAGGTTTCAACATATGAATTTGGGGGGGATACATTTAGTCCTCAACACAAGGCAAATTTGTCCTAACAACTACTATTCAATATACTAGAAGTCCTATATAATGTAATAGATAAGAAAGTAAAATATATATAGCTAGGTAAGGAAGTAATAAAAGTATCTTTTTTCACAAATGACATTATTATCCATGTAGTAAATCACAAGGAATCAAAAAAAAAAAAAACTTCTGGAATTAATAAGCAAGTATAGGAAAGTTGCAACATACAAGGTTAGTATACAAACATTTTATATGCTGCTGGTGAACGATTATAATTTTAAATAAAATAATATCATTGAAAATACCAATCAAAAATAAAATACTTAGGTACAATCTAACAAAATATAAAAGAAAATAAAAAACATAACAAATAAATAAAAGAAATCAAAGAAGATTAAAATAGATGGAGAGATATTCCACATTCCTGGACTGGAATACTCAATGTCAATTATTCGCAACTTGATTTAGAGATTTAATACAACCTCAGTCAAACCACAGAAAACTATTTGTAGATATCAACAAACTGATTCTACTGTAGCTGGCAAACTCAAACTACCTGAATTCAAAATTTATTATGAAGTTACAGTAATCAAGGTGGTGTGTTATCAGTAAAAAAATAGACAAACCAATGGAACATAAACGAGGGCCCAGAAATAGACTCACACAAACATAATTTAAAAAAAGAGGAACAGATCTGAAGAAACACACACAAAAAAACATATAAAGGGCAAATAAGCATATGAAAAGATGTTCAATATCATTTTGTCATCAGAGAACTGCAAATTAAAACAATGAGATACCATTACTTATCTATTAGAATGCCTAAAATCCAGAATATTGACAACATCAAATACTGGTGAGGGACGTGGAGCAAAGAAAACTCTCATTTGTTGCTGAGGTGGGGGGATCCCAAATGGCACAGCCACTTTGGAAAACAGTTTAGTAGTTTCTAACAAAGTTAAACACACTATTGCCATACAAGATCTAGCAACTGCACTTCTAGCTGTTTACCCAACTGATCTGAAAACTTATGGGCATATAAACATCTACACATCGATGTTTCTAGAAGCTTTATTCATAACCACCCAAAACTGGAAGCAACTCAATAGGTGAATGCATAGACAAACTGTGATATACCCACACAAAGGAATATTATCCAAGAATCAAAAACATAAAGCTATCAAGAAACAAAAAGGCTTGAATAAATCTTAAATGCATATTAATAAGTGAAAGGAACCAGTTTTACAAAGCTACATACTGTATGATTCAAACTATATGGCATTCTGGAAGAGGCAAACTGTAGAAGCACTTAAAAAATCAGTCACTGGTGTGGTGGCTCACGCCTATAATCCCAGCGCTTTGGGAGGCCAAGGCAGGCAGATCACAAGGTCAAGAGATAGAGAAAATCCTGGCCAATATGGTGAAACCCCACCTCTACTAAAAATACAAACATTAGCTGGGAGTTGTAGCATGCACCTATAGTTCCAGCTACTCGGGAGGCTGAGGCAGGAGAATCACTTGAACCTGGGAGGTGGAGATTGCAGTGAGCCAAAATCATGCCACTGCACTCCATCCTGGCAACAGAGTAAGACTCCATCTCAAAAAAAAAAAAAAAAAAAATGTCATCGCTAGAGATGTAGACGGATGAGAACAGAGTTGAAAAGGTGAAGAAGTGAGCACAGGGGAATTTTTTGGTCAGTGACACTATTCTGTATGATTCTGTAATTGTGGATAAATGACAGTATGCATTTGTCAAAACCCATTTAACTTTACACCACAAAAAAAGAACCTCAATGTATAGAAATATTTTTAAAATCATTTAGAATATTGAGGTAACAAAGTCTCCCTCCCTGACCAAACTTTAGTCAGGCTCCTCTGAAGCTTCCTCTTGATTAGACCTCAACCTTGACCTTTCATGTCTATCCTTAACTAGCCAAGTTTTAGAAAAGAATCATGCTTATTCAGTTTAGCAAGAATTTCCCCGCCCTTCATATTTGATTAAATTATTTATCCCAAACCCTCAATGTCTAAGCCCTTGGCTTGCCTTCAGTAAGAAAAGAATTCTATTAGGCCAATTGGCAAGAATTTCTCTCTCGTTGATATTTCTAATACAGTTCTTCTTAGTAATTTTCTATCCATTGACCTCCTCACTCTGATCATTGGCAGATTCCCAGTTGCCTCTGCTTTATTCAGAGTTGAATTCAGTCTCTCTCTTTTATTGCAATAGTCTTGAATGAAATCTGTCTTGCCATTTTTAACATGTTCCCAGTGAATATTTTTCATCTAGCAAGATGAAAAAAAGAATGTGACACAAGAATCTAATCTAATTACAAATGTATGAAATAACCCCCCCAAATAGGGGGTGGAGGGGTATGTTGATAACTAAATCACTCTGGCAATAAGCAGCATCTGTAAAACTAGAGGCAAAAGAAACTATTCAGAAGCACTGTACTCTAGCTGATAAAGGCATTTCCTATAGGTGTATGGGTTAAAAATTCTCATGTTACTAGAAGTATATAATGGAATTGAACAATTAAGCAATTGGATCCCCAATGTTGAGAGCCAGGTTTCTTGCTGTAGAGTAAAAAATTATAGATATGCATGGAGAGAAGACTAGACTAATCCATATGGTAATGGATTACAGTTGCAGATGTTAGCATGAACCCATATTTAGCTTAACATACATAAAGATATAAGAATATTTATAGACATGTGTATATACATAAGTTAGTATACACATACTTGTTTCTTTGCTCTATCAGCTAAGGAAGTCCAGAAGCATTGATACTTGAGTAGCAATGAGCATATATAGTGCCCAGTTCTGTGTTTCTAATATCATTCTGTGATAAAAGGAACCAAAGCTCCTTGGAGAAATGACGAATTCTACTACTGGGGCAGAAAATATACAATAAGGAAGTACTAGAAAACAAAAGCACATTGATGAGCTTATGTCAAAGAGACACATGAGCCAGCTGAAAGAGCTCCTAGTGGCCAAAACTGGAGAAATTTCAGCAACAAAATAATTCAGGTAGTATTGGATGATAACCCAAGGTATAAAAAGCCCATGAGTCCTTACCGATGTAAATGATTGGTTGAATCAATAAATAAATTGGGGATACAAGAAAAATCTCCCATGCAAAAGAATACCAAATTATTTATGTATATAATCTGCCCTCAAGGAAGTGGTACATCACTCCCCACTCATTATGGGCTGCATGTAGTAATTTCCTTCCAAAGAGCACAATGCACGAAGAGGGAAAAAATGAGTAATTTTCCAATGGAGAAACCTGACAGACACTACCTCACCCACATCATCAAGTCAACATCAACAGTGAAAATTCATGTTGTTAGCATGTACCTACAACAGACTGAATGTTTATGGCTCCTGAAAATTCATATGTTGAATTTCTAACCCCCAAGACATTGGTACTAGGAGGTAGAGTATTTGGGAGGAGATGAGGTCATGAAGGTAGCACTCTCATAAATGAGATTAGCAGCCTTATAAAAGAGACCCCAGAGAGATCCCTTGCCCCTTCCATCCTGTGAGGACACAGAACAAAGCCATCTGTGAACCAGTAAGCAGGCCCTCACCAGACACTGAATCTACTGGAAACATGATCTTGGACTTTCTACTCTCAAATACTGTGAAAAATACATTTCTCTTGCTTATAACCCTCACAGTCTGTAATAATTTGTTATAGTAGTCTAAATGAACTAAGGCAGAACCCTTGATCTTATATAATAAAAATGGGTACAGGGTACATAGGAACTCTCATATTATCTTCACTTTTTTCTATAAAATCTAAAGCCATTCCAAAAAATAAAGGATATTTTTAAAAAGAAACAAAATAATAAAAACATACTATTTGAAAAATGACGCTAAGGTAAAGACTTAAATGAGAAAAAAAAAAAACTCCATACACAATTAGCATAGAGCTACAGAACTTCTGAGTAAAGACAATAGAGTGACAACTAGTAACAGAATCTTCCTTCTCCAAAATCTAAACAGATGAGCAAAAAATAGCACTGTCCCCACAAAAAAGTTGCCCAGTAACAAATAACCAAGGAGAACGGAGTAATCTAATGCCATGAAGTTAAAATAAGTTGGCATGCAGGTAAATATAAAATTCTAGAGCAGAGCTAAGAAATAAAGCAAAGCCAGTGCCTGTACTTATTGTCCTCTCAAATCCCACACAGAATAGTTGAAAAAAAAATTCCTAGAACTTTCACTAATATTCTCAAATCAGGTGAGAAGCAAACCACTCTGTAGGTACCTGTGTTAGGCCATCCTTGCATTGCTATAAATAACTAGCTGAGGCTGTGTAATTTATTTTGAAAATAGTTTAATTGGCTCATGGTTCTACAGGTTGTATAGGCAGCATGATGCTGGGATTTGCTCAACTTCTAGTGAGGCCTCAGGAAGCTTACAATCATAGCAGAAGGCAAAGGGGAAGCAGGCACATCACATGGTGAGAGCGGGAACAACAGGGAGCTGGAGGTGTTATGCACTTTAAACAATGAGATCTTGCAAGAACTCACTATCATGAGGACAGCACCAAGCCATTCATGAGGGATCCACCCCCATCACCCAAACACTTCCCACCAGGCCCCACCTCCAACATTGGGGATTACATTTCATCATGAGATATGGAAGGAACAAACATCCAAACTATTATCAGTAACCTTACCATTTTCCTATGCTAAGTAGAGGTAGAAATGGATGCTGGGGATGATACATCCTAAGAAAAGGAAAAGCTTCAATTCTTAATTGGAGGAATGCTCTGAAGGCTGAGAGCAATGCCTTCACGCTGGGGCATATTTTCTTAATAAGTCTAGTAACCTCCAGTATAGGATATTTAACAGAATCTCAGAACCCAGAGTGGAAACTGAGCTGAGAGCATCACCCTTGCCCCCCATACCATGCCCTCCATTACCATTTCTCCAGAAACAGAACAAAAGTTAAAACATAACAAATGTAGTAGTCAGAACAATGGCCATGGAGCCACAGAACTGAGAGGCAAACAAATCACCAATACCATGTTACAGAAAAGAGAAGGTATGCGAGATCTAGAAACCCAGCAGGTCAATAGGGAAAGCCAGCACTCTAAAAATCAAAAAAAAAAGAAAGAAGCTTTAAAAATTGTGCTTGTACATATGGATATATACATATGCATCCATCTATCTACCTGAATGAATAAAATGGCACCTAACCTACAGGAGAACATATTCCAAAGTAGAAAACATTTCTCCAAGTGCTTTATACTGCAGGACAATATAATAAGGACTTGGACTCAATGAAAACAAGACTTCAAAGAGACATGTGACAGAACAAAAAGAAGAAGAAAATGCAGACTCAGGAAACAAATCGAAGACAAAAAGTCTTATCATTCCAGGACCAATAAATGAATTATATAAACAAAATGAATCTGAAAATATATAACTGAAAAGTAAAATGTTGATTAATAGGAAATGCTTAACAGCAATAAATGCAGATTTGAAAGACCATAAAATTGAAAGAGTTAGAGAAAAGCAAGTAGATAAGGAAGAATGACAAAGAATGCAACTTACTGGCTGGTTATCAGAATCCAAATTATTGATGTTCCTAAAGGATCAATAAATATAACCCAAGAAGTATAAAACAATAATGAAAATTTCCCTGAAAGGGGAGATGGAGACCTGACTCCAGAACAAAAGAGTTCACACTTCATTATGTGGAAATTTGACACAAAATGTTCAGCACAACTTTATCTTAGTTTAACATATTATACCCTAAGCATAAGGGAAAAATTCTTAAGTTATTCAAGAATAAATATATTTACATTTAAGTGAGGTTGGCTTCACAATTTTTCAAAAGCAACATGGAAACAGGGTGAATTGTGGTTATATAACAGAATGTGAATATTCTACACCCAGAAAATGTAAAAATAGGCAACAAAAAGTCAAAGGTTGGAGAGAAGAGATTAAAGAATACCCTCATTTTTTTTCACTGTATAATATCTAAAAGGGAATTCTGTCATTAGTTCCAACCACTTAGTATTTTTCCAAAGTTCTTAGTCTTGGAAAGATTATTTTAGGAATAGATAAACCATGAGCTTACCAAGTACCAAGGTCTATCTGTGAATATGAGTGTGTACATAGTACAAATTGAGAGTTATCTCTAGCCTCTCCCATTGCTTTTAAGAAAAAGCATTTTCTTCCAGAATACATATATGAAACTGGACCATTTTTCAAAGAAAATTAGATATCATATAAGTATATATTTACTTACTTAAATAGTTTTCTTACTAGAACAAGGGATGGGAAATCTGGAAGGTCCAGTAGTAAATATTTTAGGCTTTACAGTTATAACTACTCAACTCTGCTGTTGGAATGCAAAAGCAGCCATAGACATAGGTAAATGAATGGGCATAATAGATATGTTACAATAAAACTTTATTTACAAAGACAGGGAGCAGGCCAGATATGACCAAAGGGGGGTAATTTGTGCACTCTTGCTCTAGAATCAAAATGTTGTGCATATCTTGCTAGACAAAAAAATTTAAATTATAAATTTTCTAAAAAGACTCTAATCTTTGCCTACATTTTGTGACAAATGTATACTGCTAAAATATGTGAATATTGTTGAAAACTCAGAAAAACAGAGAATTTTAAAAATTGAGACAATCTCACTCTGTCGCCCCCGCTGGAGTGCAGTGGCACGATCACAGCTCAACGCAGCCTTGACCTTCCCCAGACTCAGGTGATCCTCCCACCTCAGCCTCCTGAGTAGCTGGGACTACAGATATGTGTCACCAAGCCCAGCTCATTTTTGTAGAGACAGGGTTTCACAACGTTGCTCAGGCTGGTCTCTAACTCCTGGGATCAATCGATCTGCCCACCTCCACCTCCCAAAGTGCTGGGATTACAGGCGTGAGCCACTGCACCCAGCCAAGAATATTTTGAAAGGAAAACAAAAATTATCTATAGTTCCCCTATCCAAAAATAGAGGCTATTTAATATTAACACATTTCCTTCTTTTCACAAGTATTTTTTTCAGGTGATACTGCATTAACAAGTCCATATCCTTATTTTTACACTTAACATTATATCATAAAGAACTCTTATAAAATTAAAACTGGTGTAAACATGGTCTTTAAAAGGTGTGCAGAATTCTGTCATAGGTATTTCAAGATTTACTTATTTGTCCTTTTGAC
Source organism: Homo sapiens (assembly GCF_000001405.40). Taxonomy (NCBI): domain Eukaryota; kingdom Metazoa; phylum Chordata; class Mammalia; order Primates; family Hominidae; genus Homo; species Homo sapiens. Next base: position 5,617,610 of record NC_000003.12, on the reverse strand, counting down.
TTGGATCTTGGGATATTCCACTTTATCCCTATAATGTAATCCTTAAATGATTATGTTTGTACTTCAGTTATTTTTCGCATCTCTGGTAATTTGTTAGGATAGACTCACAGAAGTTCAACTACAGGGTATGAACATTTTCAAGGCTTACAAATACTTCTTAAAATTCCTTTAAATTCACACCTGCAGTATCTGAGATGTGGCCATGAAAACAGTTAGTTCCATAGTCTCAACTTCAAATTAGGGACCACTAGCCCCTCAAAAATAGAAATCTAGCTTCCAAATTAGTCTTTAAAATACTGCATCCAATACAAGCTATGTATCACTTGCTTAAAAGAAAACAAGTTTAACTGTTTTTCTACAGCAAGACATAAGACATTTATTTGCTCCAGAGTTGGAGCTACAGAGGTAAGTACCACAACAAAATATTAGAGCAGCGTAATTAATCATCATGGACATATCATTGTCAGTGAACATAAACCAAAAGGCAAGCACTTTTCCTCTCTGAGTGATATGAAACCAACATAAACACGGAAAGAGGAATCAGATGCTTGTCAGTGGCTGACAGTATTTTTCACTTCTCCCACGAATAAGTAGTAGAATGTTGCGCATGAATACTTTCCACCCTGTGATTTATTTTCTCTACCAAGTATTACTCAGAAATAGGAAAACCTTTCTTACAGCATCCTGGCATAAAAATATCAAAAGATAAAATAATCTAAATATCAATATGAATTGCCCAGGAATACATCAGGCTTAAAATGATCATGGTATAGGTGGCCAATTCAATTGCTTAGCAACATTGTCCTTCTCAATTAGACATGTAGAAGACCAAGTTTATCTTTGAAGCAGTTGAGTAACGCTGAAAAGCAGAGAAACTGAATCTCGTAGACCCAGACATGAATCCCATCTCTGCTAGTTACTGCTATGTGATTTGAGGCAATTTCCCTCTCCAACACTGTTTCCTTCATTGCAACACAGAGAAAATAATACCTGTCTCACAGGTTGTAGTTAAGAATAAGTAAGATAATGTACACAAAGTGACTACCATGGGTCCTGGAAAATAAGTGAATCTCAATTACTGTTGGCTGAATCAGAAGCTCTTCCTACATTCAAATGATGAAAAACTTGTATTATATCTCTCTCAATTATTTAGTATCTCTCTTAATGATAGCAAAGGTAAACTTTACCTGTATATATTCACTGGCTTAAACAAGCTTAAACCTTATTCCAAATTATTAGTCTTCTAATTATGATGCTTCAGTAACTCTCTTTAATTCCACTGAGCATAGAAGTTGATAAATAACTTTAAAGCCTCATAAGCAAATTCATGCTCCAAGACAGCCTTGATCAAGTGAATTGTCACATGGGCTGCCAAGCCTCCCATTTTTCAACCTTGTGTTTTTACAAAACTCAGATATCATTTTAGTGTACATATTTTATATGCACCATTATTGTTTCTTTCACTTGTATTAAAGGAATGATTAAAATCCATATAAAATGAATATTAATAATTCCCTAGAATAAGTGGATATTGAATATTTTAAATAAATGTCCACTTATTCAACAAGTGAATGAGACACATTGAATTCATGAGAATATGGTGTAAATATATTATGGAATTCTTAATAATGGACGTTGTTGACTAGAATTTAGTGCTTTTGTGGCAAAAAAATTCCATTTAGACCCTTTAAAGATAGATACTACAATATATTCCTGACAGATAAGCTAGATGATAGGGAATCTGTTAACGTCCCTCATGCAAATACACTTGTGGGTTTTATGAGCCAAAAATAGGGCAGGTGGTTGGCCGGGTGCGGTGGCACACGCCTGTAATCCCAGCATTTTTGGAGGCCGAGGTGTATGGATCACCTCAGGTCAGGAGTTTGAGACCACCCTAACTAACAGGGTGAAACCCCGTCTCTATTAAATACAAAAAAATTAGATAGGGTGGCGCACGCCCGTAGTCCCAGCTATTCAGAAGGCTGAAGCAGGAGAATCGCTTGAACCCGGGAGGCAGCCGTTTCAATGAGCTGAGCTTGCGCCATTGCACTCCAGCCTAGGCGACAAGAGTGAAACTGTCTCAAAAAAAAAAATAGGGCATGTGGTTACAGAATACTGAAGCAGAAGAGAGTTTCAACCTCTTTATAAACCCTAGTGTTTGGTATTATAAAAGAATCCCTGTGTGAGTCCACGGTCACTTCCTTTCGTAATTGTACGGGTGTCCTACAAACAAGCTCTTCGGGAAGCAGAACCTGAGCCAGTGATTTGAGTGCAATGATGTTTTAAGAAAATGCTCTCAGAAGAAATCAGTAAGAAAGTGTTGTCAGAAGGATAACAGAAAAGGGAGAAGAAGCCAAGAAGGGTCTGACTTCAGATCCTGCTGGGAGCTCTGCACTTTACAATTGAGCAGTAGCATATATTGTTTTCAGACATAATGTCCCTAAAGAGCACAGATATTACTGGTGAGTGGAGGCTGTTTTATTATATCCAAAAATATCAAAAGTATGGGCCAAAATTGATTGTGTACATTTATTTATTCATTCAGCCAACATTTTTAGGACCTTCTTAAATTCCTACTTTAAGTAATACTTTGTAATTTTTATATTACAATCCCTCAAAGTCTGCCTCTATGGAGTCAACAAAGCTGGGCTTTTGCGTGAATATACCAGAAAGCCATTCAGCCGTAGGTAGACTGCAGAGGAGGAAAGCCAGTGATAAAACATCCCTGACTCCAAGGGACAAGGAGGTTCCAAAACGCAAGGGCCATCCTCTGAAGGTCACAGGAACCTGCTTTTAGCAGAAAAATGTGCAAAGGCTGGGAAAGGGGTGGGAGAGGATCCAGATGAGCACCAACAGGGTCCTCTGCAATAGACATAGTTTCTATTCAAATCAGTGTAGAACAAATGCCCTAAAGTACTTGTATCTCAATCATCTCATTTGTAAATATATAAAAAATAGAAATGGGAAACTGTTTAGATCAGAAAAATATGGTTGGCCCAATGATGGAGAAAGTTTTTCTTCATTATGTGAAGTTATTGATTATCATGTTCTACAACCAAGTTCACCTACTCATTCAATATGTTCACTAAATACCTTTTATTATCAGGAGTTTGTGATAATAAACTTAGTTGAATGAAGCAAAGGTATTAAATTGCTTTTCACTAATCAAACACTGTTCCATGGTTATAAGTGCATTCAAGTTTCTCCACATTTGCAACATCTTCATTTGTTTGAGCTGATATAACAGAATACCTGACATGGGAATGATGCAGGCAAACGTCAAAATTGGGGCATAGCTCAGATAGGTTCCTGGCCTTGGACAGGAAAGAATTCAAGAGCAAGGCAACAGTGAAAGAAAGCAAGTTTATTAGAGCAATAGTGTCTAGCAAAATGACTGTTCCACAGATAGAGCAGGGCTATCCCATAGGCAGAGGATCGCAGAGTAGCAGTGTACAGCAAAGTAGCAGCTCCATAGGCAGAGCAGCCTAAAGCAGCAGCAGTCCCGAACAACAGTCAGAACAGGAGCAGGAGTCCCAGCAGCCGCAGCAGGAATTTCTGGCTAGCTGTATTTACATCCGCTCTTAATTATAATCCAATTAAGGGGTGGTTGATTTGGAATTTTCTAGAAAAGAGAACGGAGGTTCCTGGAACCATATAAGGTCATTTCCAGGTTATTACTATGGCACATTGACATTATATTTGTAAACTGTCATGGCACCTGTGGGAGTGTCTTTAATAATGAGCAGTGAGGGCAACCAGAGGTCATTGCCATGTGCTGGTTTCTGCCAGTTTCTTTACTCCATCCTCTTTTTGATTAACGGTGTTGTTTCTGGTGCTTGGGAAACAAGTCCTGCTTATCTCCTACATCAAGATAATTTATGATGAAAGGAAATTTATTTCCTTACAGTTTTGGTAGCGGGCAAGTTTAAGGTCAGGGCACCAGAAGTTCCAGTGTCTGGCAAGACCATTCTCTTCTTCCAAGACAGGGCCTTTCCTGTTGAATTCTCCAGAGGTAAAAGTGGCTGGTTCCCCACATGGCAAAAGGACAACAAAAGGGCAAGAGAGGGCCAGACTCACTCATTTATAAGGTATTAACCTCAACCAACAGGACAGAGCCCATATGATCTGATCATCTCTTAAAGGTAACACCTCTTAATACTGTTACAACGACAATTAAATTTCAACCTGAGTTTTAGAGGGGACAAACATCCAAACCATGCCACCACAAAGGGAATGGGAACTCATCTCAAAGGCATCCCTTCCATAGTCTCCAGAGTGTACAACACAAAATGTATTTCCTACTGATAATGAGTTAGTGGCTTTCAGTGACATCTTAACCTGTAGATGTGTCATTTCATTCATGAGAGAATAACTCATCAATAGGAATTTTAGAAGTGGAAAAATGGACTGTTCAAAAAACTCTCATAAATATGTTTGTGAAGATTCTCTCCCTGGGCTCCACCAAAGCCTTTACAGATCCCAAATATCTATAAGCCTCCTCTCTTCCTGCTGCAACATACCTCAACTAATGACCAGTTGGGACTCAATTTATTATTTATCTAGTAGTTCTTGGCTAAATTCGAAAAACAACTTACCTAGATACTCTGAAAAATGCTTTTACCTAGCAAGTGAAATAGAGATCTCGTTTATTGTCTGCAGTTTACAATTGAGCACTAGCATATATTGTTTCCATACATAATTTTGTCTCATCCCTAAAGAGAGAGCACAGATATTCCTGGTGAGTAGAGGTTGATTTATTATATCCAAAATATCAAAAGTATGAACAAAAATTAATTGAGTACATTTACTTATTCATTCAGGCAACATTTTTAGGACCTTCTTGAATTCCTACTTCAAGTATAATGTTCTATATTACAATCCCTCATTTTATATATCTTCATTAGCAGACTTTTACGTGTCTTCCCTGCCTCTAATCAATCATGTGTAATATTTCTAATATTCTGACAAACCCAAAACTATTTTTCAACACAAGTATATGCTTATATTTTCTGTAGAGTTGTGTACAGGGAATGCTGCTTTGGATGTTTTGCAAATACCCTTATTCCTTTAAAATATTAATAAAACTTTAACTTCTCAAGTTTCTATAAGAAGAAAATACGAAGTGAATTAGGGTGAACCTAGAATACTTCTTTTAGGAACTTAAACCACACTTTGGGAGGCTGAGGTGGGCAAACCTCTTGAGCCCAGAAGTTTGTCACTAGCCAGGGCAATATAGCAAAACCGGGTCTCTACAAAAAATACAAAAATGAGCTGGGTGTGATGGCACACACCTGTAGTCCCAGCTATTCGGGAGGCTGAGGTGGGAGAATCACCTGAGCTTGGGAAGTCAAGGCTGCAGTGAGTGTGATTGCACCACTGCACTCTAGCCTGGCTGACAAAGTGCGACCTTGCCTCAGAAAAATAAAGAAAGGAAAAAAAAAGAAGGAAAGGAAGGAAAGGAAAGGAGAAAAGAAAGGAAAGGAAGAGAAACTTAAACCAACAACTTTGGCATGGAGTGTAATGAGAACAGCAGGAAACTGCAGGGATCAGGTTAAGCCATGGCATTGAGCCACACCTTGTGAATGTGTTTACAACACATTCCTATTATATAATATGTATGTTTCAGTGAAACGTAAACTTTTAATAAAACAGAGCAAAATGTTTCTTTAAAAGTTAGGGAGCCAATATCTAGGGTATGCAATTTTCTAAATTATTGTAATTGAAGTTATTGTTAGGTTGTGAAAGGGATGACTTCAAGAGTTCCCTAATTGGTCCCCAAGCATGCCAAGATTTCACCCAATAATGAAATTCTCCCATTAACCCATGTTCCCTTAAAGTCCCCAGAGAAAACTGCTAGTTTCCAGGTTAGTGAAGATGCCAAAGCTTCTCCTTGCTCTGGGTTTTTGATTGGTAAATTGACACAGGGGAGAGAAAAGATTTACATATAATTGTTTGTCCTAAATTAGGAGCTATTCTGATGGATGAGTCAGGCTACCAATACTTCATGACTCCCAAAGACATTCAGGAAGATTTCCAGGGGCAACAGAGACATTAACAGTGATATAATTATATTGTTTGCAAAGATGTACATTGGGTAATTCTATTTCTCTACTAAGTTCAATATATCTGGTTACTGAGGAAGCCAAACACTAAGAAAAGTCATCTAGTTGCATATGATATCTAGCTCAGAGCAAATTACCGAGAAGTGATTGTGCTTGCCTCTGTGAACTTGCCTGAACATGCATGACCAAAGATGTCCACATGTAAAGCCACCATATCACTAGCCTCCAACCCCTACCCCATATGCCAGGTCCAAGATCCCATTACTGAGGCAGAGTTAACTAGGTACGGTAAACTCAAAAATAAAATGAGAAAAATGTAATTGAGAAGACACCCATTGATTATCCTCATTTTTCTATAATTATATTAAAATACTCTTTGCTGTGAAATAAAATGGCCATATATTTAGAAAAAGATTTAAAAAAAGAAGTGATGGATGAGAAAGAGGAAGGAGAGGAAGGGTAGGAAGGAACATAGCAGCCTCATAAAACAGGTAGAAATATTTCCTCATATATTTTAAAATTGTGTGTAGAATTGGTATTATTTACTCCTCAAATGTTTGATAGAAGTAACCAGTGAGGCTAGCTGAACCTGGGGTTTTCTTTAAGTGAAGCATTTTTAAATAAACTTTTATTTTAGCATAATTGTAGATTTACAGAACAGTTGCGAACATAGTCCATCATCCCGATTCACCTCTCACAGTGCCCTTGAATGTGGGTTTTTTCCACCTTGGCACAATTAATATTTCAGGCAAGATCATTCTCTGTTGTGGGGGACTGTCTTGTGCACTATAGATCTTTGCTAGCATCCTAGGCTTCTACCTTAGATACTGGTAACACTGTTCCCTCAATGGTGACAGCCAAAGATGTCTTCAGATATTGGAGAAGTTCCCCAGGGAAAAAAATTATTGCATAGTGGAGAACTGCTGCCCTAAAGTTAAGATCTTACATAACCATGTAAGAAATTAACATGGGCAGGCCAGGTGTGGTGGCTCACACCTGTAATCCCGGCACTTTTGGAGGCTGAGGCAGGCGGATCACGAGTTCAGGATATCGAGACCATCCTGGCTAACACGGTGAAACCCCGTCTATACTAAAAACACAAAAAATTAGCTGGGTGTGGTGGTGGGTACCTGTAGTCCTAGCTACTCAGGAGGCTGAGGCAGGAGAATCACTTGAACCTGGGAGGCGGAGGTTGCAGTGAGCTGAGATCACACCACTGCACTCCAGCCTGGGTGACAGAGCAAGACTCCATCTCAAAAAAAAAAAAAAAAAAAAAAAAAAACAGAAAACAGAAATTAACAAGGGTATGGGTATATTACTGTTAACTAAATTACAGACTATTCAGACTTCACCAGTTTTTTATTACCATCCTTTTTCTCTCTGGGTATCCAATCCAGGACACCACATTGCATTTAATAATGGAATTATTTTAATTACAAATCAAATTTATTTAATTGATATAGGGATTTCAGTCTATTCTGAGGTCACTTTTGATGAACAGGTCTCTCAAAGACTTTGTGCACTTCATCTAAGCTGTTACATTTATTGATATACAGTTGGTTGGTCATAATATTTATCCTCTTACTATCCATAGAATGTGTGATGATATTCCTATGTTTATTCCTGATACTGATAATTTGCATTTTCTCTCATTTCTTGATCACTCTGGTGAGAGATTTGTCAATTTTACTGATCTTTTCAAGAACCAGCTTTAAATTTTATTAGTATTTTCTCTATTGGTCTATTTTCTATGTTAATGATCTTTACTGTTTTCTTTCTTCTACTTTGGGTTTAACTTGATCTTCTTCTCTTGAGATTCTTAAGGGGCAAACTTAAATTATTTGACATCTTTCTTCTTTTCTAATATAATTTAACACCATAAACGAATCTCTAAGCACTGATTTGGATCCATTCCATAAATTTTGCTATTTTTTTGTTTTCATGTTCATTTAGTTCACTTTTTGTTTTCTTTTATGATTCTTTCACTCAGGGATTCCTTACAAGTTAGTGCTTAATTTTCAAATGTTTAGGGAAATTCCAAATATTTTTCTGTTAGTGATTTCTAATTTAATACTTTTTTGGTAAGAGAAAATACTCCACAGTATTTTGCTACTTAAATGTATTGTCTTATGGCCAAAGGTATGATTATGTTGGTGGCTGATATAATTTGGCCATGTCCTCACCCAAATCTCATCTTGAATTGTAGCTCCCATAATCCCCACATGTCATGGGAGGGACCCAGTGGGAGGTAATTGAATCATGGGGGCAAGTTTTTCCCATGCGGTTCTCATCATAATAGTGAATAAGTCTCACAAGATCTGATGGTTTTATAAAGGGCAGCTCCCCTGAACATGCTCTCCTGTCTGCTGCCATGTAAGATGTGCCTTTGCTCCTCCCATGATTGTGAGTCCTCCGCAGCCATGTAGAACTGTGAGTCCATTAAACGTCTTCTTCTTTATAAATTACCCAGCCTCAGGTATGTCTTTATTAGCAGTGTGATAGACTAATACAGTGGCTACTCTATGTGCACTTTAAAAAATGTGTATTCTGCTCTTGTAGGATCGGATGTTCCCTAAATATCAATTTGGTCGAGTTGATCTATAATGTTGATCAAATTTTCAATATCCTTACAGATTTTTTCCTCTACATGTTCTATCAGTTGTAGAGAAAATAAGGTTAAAATTTACATCTCTAATCATGGACTTGTCTATTTCTTTTATTTGTTTTACTTCATGTATCTTGAGCTGTTATTAGGGGCATATGCATTCCAGATTATAGGTCTTTTTGAAGAAATGATCCTTTATCATTATGAAACGCCCATGTCATACCCATTAATATTTCTTGTTTTTAAATCTATGTGCATATTTATATTGCTATTACAATGTTATTATTAGTTTTTCTATGGTATAGCATATTCCATTATTTTTATATATCTGTATGTCCAATTAAAGTGAGTTTTATGTATTCAGCATAAAGTTGAATCCTGCTTTTTTATCCAATGTGACAGGTTCTTCATTTGTCTTCATGTTTCAAACATTTTTTTCTGGGTATAGAATTTTCTGTTTTCTTTTCAGTGTCTTAAAAATATTGTTCCCTTGTCTTCTAATTTACACAATTTCTGATGAGAAGTCTATAGTCATTCTTAATTTTGTTCCTCTGTATGTATCTTTCTCTGATTGCTTTGAGGTTTTCTTTTTATCATTGATTTTTAAAAGCTTTATTACTATGAGCCTCTGTGGATTTTGTGTGTGTGTTAATGTTGCTAAAGTTTTGTTGAGCTTCTTGAATTTGTGGCTTTGCAGTGTTTAACACAGTATTGCTGAAAAGTTTAAAAATTTTTTGAAAATTCTTGAAAAATTTGAAAATTTTCTGCTCTAATTTCTTCAAATTTCTTTTTCCATTTTCCCCTTTTGTGACTTTAATTGCACATTAGATTGTTCGGCTGCTTGATACTGTCCCACAGGTCACTGAAGCTTTGGTCTTTTTTCAGTCTTTTCTATGTGTTTCACTTTGTTAGTTCCTATTCCTGTGTTTTCAAGTTCATGCATTTTTTCTTCTGCAGTGTTTAACCCACTGCTAATCCAGCAAAAGTTTTATTTCAGGTAGTGTATTTTTTTTAATTCCTGAAGCTCCATTTGGTTTTTATATTCTCTCTCGCCTCAACATGTCATATTTTACTTAGTCCTATTGATCATACTTATAATAGTTGTGAACTCTAGGGTGTGCTCTCTTCCTCCTTGTCTCTCTCTGCAACTACCTTCCATCCATTGCTCTGCACCTCAAATTCTAATTGCTTCAGCATCCCTAGACCTTGACTTCTGCCTCAGTGAGATCATCAGGCTTTGTTTCAGTTCTTCTTCCCCATGCCACAGTGCAGAATGCACCTCTAGGAAGAAAGTTGAGGTAAACATAAAGTTCATCTGATTTGTTTGCATTCTTTCATGAAGCACAGTCCTGTATTTCCTGCCATCCAATATTCAGAAACCACTGTTCTGTGTAAGTTATCAAGTTTTCTGCTTTTTTCTGACAGAAAGGCAAGTCCTGTAACAGAGACGCCTTTATGGACAGAAGTGGAAGTCTGCACACAGTCTTTAGATGGGGCTATCTGCCTCCACTAATTTTAATGATGACCTAGCAAGTATGCTGGACATGGTACCAGGTATTTTCTTGCAATCACTCAGTTAGTTTTAATGGTTCTTTAAGTCTGCTTTTCTTCCCAAACACAGAGGGGTCAAAGGTCATAAGCATACTTACTAACAGATTTGAACCTAGGTTTTCCTGACTCTCAACTGCTCCTCCATTTCAAAGAGTATCCTGTTTTTAGGGACTTTTGAATGAGTCCCCTGACATTCATTCTCTCATTCATTCCCCATTTTTGTGGGTTTTCAAGGTATCACTTAGTCTTGTTATCTGCTTTGAGGAAACAGACATTAATATGCCCATCTAACAGATAGGTCAACTGAGGTCCAGAGGGCTCTGTAATTTTCTCAAGGCCCTACAAGTAGTAAACAACATGAAGAAGTAGAAAAACAAGATTAGCACTTACATCTCTAAACACCTAGAATACCCATTCCTTGCATTATAACTCACTGGCAAGCAAAAGCTATTTAACTGCACACTTTTTAAAAAGAAGCAACCATTAAAATAACAAATCGTTAATTTAAATTAACATCTTCAATCTGCTCCTCAGCTCAACCTCTCCAATATAATCTCCAGAAATGAGGTTTAAATGCACTGATAATCTGTCAACCATATCCTTAAGGAACAGATTCCAGAGTCTGCTTTGTTTGAAATGACTGTCATGAGTTGACTTGTAAAAAGTAATTGGTTCCATAATTTCATACATGTCAAAATCTGCTACACACTGTTTCCTAATTGCTGTTTTGTGTGTGCACACAGGTGTAAAATCAATTTGGTTGCTCGGGTAGCTCTCTGGCACTGCCTATAAGTCACAAAATAGTAAAATGCAATGACTGTTCCTAGCCTGCAGCTCAAGCTTTTCCAAGCCTCTCTGTCATCTAAAAGATTATGTCAACGTCACAAAACCAACTGGGCCTCAGTTTCCCCAACTGTAAAATGGCAGCTGGAGACAAATGACATCAATAACTCTAAGCTTCCTTCCATTTCTGACATTTTAGATATACTTTTTAAGTAGGTTAAGACGGAATTGTATCAACTAGGAACACCTATTAATTGGCATGTGCATGCCTATCCAGTACAATGATAACCATAGCCCACTGTCCCAGTTTTTCTGTAACATTTAGAATCATGTCCTAAAGGATATTGCTGATGGGTGCTTCTGAATCACAATGCTAGGTAGTGCCTTTTGTAAAAACTGCAGAATGCAGAGGCCATGAGAGAACTCTTATAAAACAGGAAATGAAAAACTCAAGGAAATTACATGCTAACTGATCTTTGTTTGGTATAACTTTAATACTTTTTTTAACTTGAGTCTATTATTTTGGTTTTTAAAAGTCCTCTGATTTTTTTTCTTCCAACTTTTATTGTAGGTTCAGCAGGTACATGTGCAGGTTTGTTACATGGGTAAATTGCATATTGCTGGGGCTTAGTATGCAAATGACTTCATCGCCAAGTAGTGACTATAGTATCTGCAATCCTTACCCTACTTCCAGCCTCCCACCTCAACCCCTGTTGTCTATTTCCCTTTATGCCATGTGTGGTCAATGTTTAGCTCCCACTTACAAGCGACAATGTGTGTTATTTGGTTTTCCGTTCCTGCATTAGTTCACTTAGGATAAGAGCCTCCAGTTCCATCCATGTTGTTACAAAGGACACGATTTCATTCTTTTTTATGGTTGTGTAGTATTCCATGGTATATATCTACCATATTTTCTTTATACAGTCTACTGTTGAAGGGCATTTATGTTGATTCCATGTCTTTTGCTGTTGCCATGAGTGCTGCGATGAACATTAGGCATGCATGTGTCTTTATGGTAGAATGATTTATAATCCTTGGGTATTAATATATACCCCGTAATGGCATAGCTGTATTGAATGGTAGTTCTAAGGCTTTTGAGAAATTGTCACAATGCTTTCCACAATGGTTGAACTAATTTACACTTCCACAAGCAGTGTATATGTGTTCCCTTTTCTCTATAACCTCACCAGCATCTGTTATTTTTTAACTTTTTTAATAACAGCCATCCCAACTGGTAAGAGATGGTATCTCATTGTGATTTGCATTTGATTTCTCTAATGATCAGTGATGCTGAGCATTTATTCATATGCTTGTTGTCCATGTGTATGTCTTTTTTTGAAAACTGTTCATGTCCTTTGCCCACTTTTTAATGCGGTTGGTTGCTTTTTGCTTGTTAATTCGTTTCAGTTCCTTATAGATTCCAGATATTAGACTTTTTTCAGATGCATAGTTTGCAAATATCTTCTCCCATCCTAAAGGCTGTCTGTTTACTCTGTTGATAGTTTCCTTTGCTATGCAGAGGCACTTTAGTTTAAATAGGTTCCACTTGTCAATTTTTGTTTTGGTTGCAAGTGCTTTTGGTATCTTCATCATGAGATGCTTGCCAGGGCCTACATCCAGAATGCTATTTACTAGGTTATCTTCCAGGGTTTTATAGTTTTAGTTTTTACAATTACTTAATTTATATTGAGTTGCTTTTTGTACATGGTGTCAGGAATGAGTCCAGTTTCAATATTCTGCATATGGCTAGTCAGTTATTCCAGCACTATGAATAAGGAGTCATTTCTGCATTGGTTGTTTTCATCAGCTTTGTCAAAGATCAGACAGCTGTAAATGTGTGGCTTCATTTCTGGGCTCCCTATTTGGTTCCATTGGTCTATGTGTCTGTTTTTGTACCAATACCATAATGCTTTGGCTACCGTTAGCCCTGTAGTATAGTTTGAAGTCAGGTAGCATGATGCCTCCAGTTTTGTTCTTTTTGCTTAGAACTGCTTTGACTATTCAGCCTTTTTGGGGTTTCATATGACTTTTAAGATAGTTTTTTTTCTAATTTTGTGAAGAATGTCATTGGTAGTTTGATAAGAGTAGCACTGAATCTATAAACTGCTTTAGGCAGTATGGCCATTTTAACAATATTTATTCTTCCTATTCATGAGCATGAAATGTTTTTCCATTTGTTTGCATCATCTCTGATTTCTTTCAGCAGTGTTTTGTAATTCTCGTTGTAGAGATTTTTTTACCTACCTGGTTAGCTGTATTCTTAGGCATTTTATTGTTTTGGGGGCTATTGTGAATGAGATTGTATTGATTTGGTTCTCAGCTTGGACGTTGTCAGTGTATAGGAATGCTACCAATTTTCATATACTGATTTTGTACTCTGAAACTTTGCTGAAGTTGTTTATTAGACCTAGGAGTTCTTGGGCAAAAACTATGAGGTTTCTAGGTATAGAATCCTATTGTCTGCAAACATAGATAGTTTGACTTCTTCTCTCCCTATTTGGATGCCTTTTATTTATTTCTTTTGCCTGATTGTTCTGACTAGGTCTTCCACCACTATATTGAAAAGGAACAGTGAGAATGGGCATTCTTGTCTTGTTCTGATTTTCAAGGGGAATGCTCCCAGCTTTTTCCCATTCTGTATGATATTGGCTTCAGGTTTCTCATTGATGGCTCTTATTATTTTGAGATATGCTCCCCCATTGCCTACATTGTTGAGAGCTTTTAACAACAAGGGATGTTAAATTTTATCAAAAGCCTTTTCTACATCTATTGAGGTGATCATGTGGTTTTTTAGTCTTTTTATGTGATGAATTGCATGTGTTGATTTGCATGTGTTGAACAAACCTGGTATCTCAGACATAAAGCCTACTTGATCATGGTGAATTAGCTTTTTGATGTGCTGCTGGATTCATTTCACGGGTATTTTGTTGAGATTTTCACATCTATGTTCATTAAGGGTACTGGCCTGACGTTTACTTTTTCTGCTGTGTTTCTGCCAGGTTTTGATATTAGAATAATGCTGGCCTCATAAAGTGGATCAAAGAGGAGTCCCTCCTCCTCAATTTTTTGGAATAGTTTCAGTAGGAATGGTACCAGCTCTTCTTTATATATCTGGTAGAATTTGGCTGTGAATCCCTCTGATCCCTGAGCTTTTTCTGATTGGTAGGCATTTTATTACTGATTCAATTTTGGAACTCACTGTTGGTCTGTTCAGGGACTCAGTTTCTTCCTGGTTAAGTCTTGCAGGTGGTGATGGAACCAGGAATTTCTCCATTCCTTATAGGTTTTCTAGCTTTTGTGCATATAGGTGCTCATATAGTCTCTGATGTTTTTTCGAATTCTGTGGAGTCAGTAGTAACATCTCCTTTTTCATTTATAATTGTTTATTTTGATCCTCTTTTTAAATTAGGCTAGCTAGCTATATATCAATCTTATTTATTCTTTCAAAGAAAAAACTCCTGAACACCTTGATCTTTTGTGTTTTTTTTACATCTCAATTTCATTCAGTTCAGCTCTGATTTGGATTATGTCTTGTTTTCTGCTAGCTTTGAGGTTGCCTTGTTCTTGTTTTTCTAGTTTTCCTAGATGTGACATTAGGTTGTTAATTTGAGATCTTTCTAACTTTTTTATGTGGGCAATTATTGCTATAAAATTACCTCTTAATACTGCTTTAGCTGTGTCCTAGAAATTCTGGTATGTTATATCTTTGTTCTCATTAGCTTAAAAGAATTTCTTGATTTCTGCCTTAATTTCATTTTTCACCCAAAATGCATGCAGCAGATTGTTTAATTTCCATGTAATTGTATGGTTTTGAGTCATCTTCTTAGTATTGATTTCTATTTTTATTTTGCTGTGGTCTGAAAGTGTGGTTGCTGTAATTTCAGGTTTTTAAACATTTGCTGAGAATTTTTTATTGCCATTTTTGTGGTCAATTTTAGCATATGTGCCATGTGTTTATGAGAAAAATGTATATTTTGTCGTTTTGAAGTGGAAAGTTCTATAGATGTTCTTACGTCCATTTGGTCAGGTGTCAAGTTCAGGTCCTGAAAATATTTTTTAGTTTCCTGTCTCAAGGATCTGCCCAACACATTGGTGGGATGTTGAAGTCTCCCACTATTAATGTGTTGTTATCTAAGTCTCTTCATAAGTCTCTTAGAACTAGTTTTATGAATCTGGGTGATCTTGTGTTGGATGAATATATATTTAGGTAGGTTAGGTCTTCTTGCTGAATTGAACCCTTTACTATTACAAAGTGCCCTTGTCTTTTTTGATCACTGTTGGTTTAAAGTCTGTTTTTTTCTGAATTAGAACA
This sequence comes from Homo sapiens, assembly GCF_000001405.40. Lineage (NCBI taxonomy): Eukaryota > Metazoa > Chordata > Mammalia > Primates > Hominidae > Homo > Homo sapiens. The sequence goes on along the minus strand of NC_000003.12, from coordinate 5,602,297 downwards.
GTAACTACTTTTATTTTATGTTTTCCATTAACTTGGTAGAATTTTCTCCTTCCCTTTAATTTGAGCCTATGGGTGTCAGTGCATGTGAGATGAGTCTCTTGAATACAGCATACACTTGAGTCTTGCTTTTTTATCCAACTTGCCACTCTGTGCCTTGGGGCATTTAGCCTGTTTACATTCATGGCTAATATTGATATGTGCAGATTAGATTCTGTTATCATGTTGTTAGTTGGTTATTATGCAGACTTGATTGTATAGTTGCTTTATAGTGCCAATGGTCCATGTACTTATCCATGTTTTTGTGGTGGCCAGTAATGGTCTTTCCTTTCCATATTTAGCTCTCCCTTAAGAACTTCTCGTAAGGTCAGTCTGGTAGTAAAGAATTCCCTTGGCATTTGCTTGTCTGAAAAAGACTTTATTTCTCCTCTGCTTATGAAGCTGAGTTTGGCTGCATATGAAATTCTTGCCTGGAATTTCTTTGGGAATGCTGAAAATAGGTCCCCAGTCTATTCTGTTTTGTAAGATTTCTGCAGAAAAGTCCACTATTACCCTGATGGGGTTCCCTTTGTAGGTGACCTAGTCCTTCTCTCTAACTATCTTTAACATTTTTTTCTTTCATTTCAACCTTGGATAATCTGATGACTATGTTTCTTAGGGATGGTCATCTTGTATAGTATCTCACAGTGGTTCTCTGCATTCTCTGAGTTTGAATGTTGGCTTCTCTAGTGAGACTGAAGAAATTTTAATGGACAATATCCTCAAATATGTTTTCCAAATTGCTTGCTTTCTCTTCCTCTCTTTCAGGGACGCCAATGAGTCATAAATTTGGAATCTTCACATAATCCCATAATTCTTAAGAGACTTTATCTTTATTTCTTTTGCTTTTTTTTCCTGAGTCAACTTGCAGAACCAGTCTTCAAGCTCCGAGCTTCTTTCCCCAGTTTGGTCTATTCTTCTGTTAATACTTCCAATTGTATTATGACATTTTTAGTGCATTTTTCAGTTTCATCAGGTCAGTTTGGTTCTTTTTTAAAATAGCTATTTTATCTTTCAACTCTTGTATAATTTTATTGTTTTCCTCATATAGGGTTTCAACTTTCTCCTGAATCTCAACAATCTTCATTTCCATTTAGATTCTGAGTTCTATGTCTGTCATTTCAGCCATCTCAGTCTGGTTAAGAACCATTGTTCAGGAGCTAGTGTGGTCATCTGGAGGTAAGAAAACATTCTGGCTTTTATTGTTGCCAGAGTTCTTGCCCAGGTTCTTTCTCATCTGTCTCGGCTGATGTTCCTTTAATATTTGAAGGTCCTTGCATTTGGATGGAGCTTTTTCCTTTTATGTTCTCTGAGGGCCTTGAGGCTCTGACTGTGTTGTAAGTTGGATTTAGTCAGTTGGCTTCATTTGTGGATGATTTCAGAAGGCCAAGGCTTGGCCCAGCACTGCCGTGCTGCATGCTCTAGTCCTTGGTGGCTGGGCCCACACCTGCAGTTTTTTTCTCTGGTCCCTCAAAGTTAAGAACCTGCTGTGTTGTAGGGGCTGAGTTGCTTCCAGTGTGCTGATAACAATACTCCTACTGGGTGGGGCTGGGGTGGGGAGTGCCATCATAAGCACTTCAGCAGGGTGGTGGTGCCAGCAGCCAGTTGGTGGTGAGTACTTCTGATCATCCAAAAGTGCCAATATTCATTCAATTGACAGAGATATAAGTTAAAGTATTCAAAGTCATTTTTCATAAGAATTCAATATTTTAAATTAAAGGAATGTTTTTAACAAATAAAACTATTAATATCACCATCTAGCCTACAAACAAAAGAAATAAAGAGACGTTAGCAGTACCTATTATAAATGTTTCTCAAGATAGGAAATCTAAGAATTTCACCTCTAAAACCTGTAACTATTACATGATTATGAATAAAAAGATCTGTATTCTTTTGACTACGTGGTTTTGTTGGAGCATACTGAAAAACAAAGATGTGCAATGGCGCTGTAGTTTATTTCACTCTATTTTATAAACCCATCCCCTTCAGCTTAACTTCTTAGACAAAACATCTGGAAGGCAGAGGAAGAATAGGAGGGAGGGGAAGAGAAACGGGAATAAACGTAGAAGAAAACCAGGCTGCCTGTGAGACCACTGGACCCTCATAAAACTTACAGAACATAACAAAGTTGGGCAAGTTCTAAGAACTGAAAAGGCTCTGTAGCCTATCCAAATAACAGTCCACTAGTAGGGATATCTCGTGTCCACCTGTGGTACTGGTATAGCTAAGCAATAAATCAAAAGTCATGAGAATGCTGGAACTTTGTAACTACATGTCAAAGGCACTAGACCAAATTAGTAGGGTTCTAGGAAATGAACTAGTCAATTCAACATCAACACCCTCTAACCAACTCTGAAGTTTATTTCTGTTGTTTTTTAAATTTATTTTTGAGGGAGGAATGTGTAGTGAATGTTGGCTGTGACCTGACTCACTGGTACTGAAAAGAACAGCAACCATTAGCCATAGTACATAATTTTTACCTTTTACTTGTATTGGACCATTTCTATTTTATAGCTAATTGCTTATCTAGAGCAGTGAATTTCAACCCTAGCTGCCCATTAGAATCACCTAGAGAGCTTTAGAAAAATAGATGCCCAGGTCCTAGCTCAGTTCAATGAAAGGAAAATCTCTATAACTGGGGCCTCCTCTAGTTATTTAATTTCCCTAGTTATTTACAAAATTGAGGTAATAAGAGCCCCTATCTTATATGGTTGTTGAAAAGATTAAATGAAACATAGGCAGGCTTAGCATAGAGCCTGCCTCAACAATAAGCTCTTGTAATAATTATCATAGCAAATATAAGAGGGAGGACTGTATTCATTACATTCTGCAGTAAGATCTCCATCTCAGGTGAGAGGGAACATTATGTTTATAGAGGTCATCAACTTTTTTCTCTAAGATTGAAATAAAAAAGGAAAACAATCCAAAAAGAAATTGGTTGAGCTTAAAACTGTGGACCTCAGTCATCCCTGGGAGAAAATGGATTACCATCATTAATGTCTGCTGTATCCAGCCCAGATGCAAGTGCCAGAAGTATCTTAATTACAATCAGCTTCACAAATTAATCTCCATAATACTAACACTTCAGAAATTAATCTCTTGTCCTGAAAAGGTCAAGTTAAATGTCAGCCCCAGATGGAACCTAAAGGGGCCTTCAGATTTAAGATCAACAACACAGTTGGCCACACAGCTGTGCATTCTTCCCCCAAATTGCCTTTGATCTTTCCAGAAGCATCACTCTGAAGACGTTCAAATAAATAACAGAACTGAAGTAGAATTCTTTTTTTCTCAGCTTTAGGTATAATTCATCTGAAGATTCAAAAGGAGTTGAATTTGTATTTGGCTAAGAGTCTCATTCATTTTGGCTGGGAAGATGATAAGAGGCAAAATAACATATTACTTGGTTTCTGCAGGTCAGTGTGACAAGGGAGGATGTATCTGATCCTTGCTGATTATACTACACAGCTTTCTCACTGGCTTTGGCCTTAAAGATGAACACTACTTTCCTAATTTTCTAATTGTGGGTACAAATATATTTAGCCCTCTGCTTAGCAGAAAGAAAACATGGAGTCATAAAAAAATATATAGCTGAAAAGGATGCAAACGCTCCCGTGTTTGCAAGTTAGTCAACACATCCCAAGCAGGTCCCCCAAAGTAGATGTCAAGTCAGATTGTATCTAATATGAGATGAACCAATAAGAGTACTAAAGTTGTAATAAGAAGTTTGTTATTTGAGATGAGTTTTTTTTTTTTTTTTTTTTTTTTAAACAGAGTCTCACTTTGTTACCTGGGCTAGAGTGCAGTGGCATGATCTCGACTCACTGCAACATCCACCTCTCAGGTTCAACCTATTCTTCTGCCTCAGCCTCCTGAGTAGCTGGGATTACAGGCACCCACCACAATGCCTGGCTAGTTTTTGTATTTTTAGTAGAGATGGGGTTTCACCATGTTGGCCAAGCTGATCTTGAACTCCTGACCTCAGGTGATCCACCCACCTCGGCCTCCCAAAGCGCTGGGATTACAGGCGTGAGCCACCACGCCCGGCCTGCCCGGCCTGAGATTAACTTTTTAAGATACATAAAGTTTATGTACAATAATTAAGTTGTCAATAATAAAAGGTAAATCATGTTAATGAGCACAAGGAGGTAGACAGAGCCTGCTAGAAATAAAATTACTGTTAGAGTTAACAAAAAAAACCTGTATCATGTGAAGCAACATTCAACCCAATGACAGGTCTGGGGCACTACCATATAAGCATCTTATCAAACAGCTGAGCTTTTGAAAACAAATCCTAAAAAATAATCTCTTTTATTATCATCCTATTTTCAGTACTGAGAATTTTGCTCTATTAACTGGTGAAATAAAAATAAATGGATTATTTCTCTTAAGATTATCAACCAAAAAACTATTGGGAGTGTATAAGCTTGGATCTTTTTATCTGGAAAAGTCATTTACAAATCTCTGGTTTTTTATTTCCCCTTTCTGTAAAGTAGCAGGAGGAACTCTTCATTTCTATACTTCACCCTGCCCTGCCCCACAGCAAAAAAAAAAAAAAAAAGGTAACTAAAGTAACTACTGAGTATAGGAGAAAGGGGAGATTTGTGTTACATGATTGCCTATGAAGTACCTACACCTTTATATGGGGTATTTCCATCAATCTGCACAAAAATTTTCTTAGTAGGTTTTAATACCCACTTTCTAAAAATCACAATCTGAGGCCCAACAAAGTCAAGCCATTTGTTCATACAGACAACAGGGCTGAATCCAGGTCTTCTAAATTACTTCTCCCCAGCATGGAAGGAAATAACACAGAATTTAAGTTATGACTTACCCTCAGCATGCCAAACCTCAGGTAGATGTAATTCCAGGAAAGGAATCCTCCTTCTGATCAGAAACGGCATGGATAACAACTGCAAGCAAACGTTTCTGAGACCATATGTAGATGTGATAGGAAGAGAGTTAACATAAAGGATTAGCAATGCCTGCAAGTCACAGAGGTGTTATAGGCTGAATTGTCCCCACCTCCCCTTACCCAAGAAAAGATATGTTGGAGTCCTAACCCTCAATACCCCAGAATGTGGCCTTATTTGCAGATAAGGTCTTTACAGGGGTAATGAAATTAAAATGAGGTCATCTAGGTGAGCCCTAATTCAATATGACTGGTATCCTTATCAAGAATGGCCATAATCAAAAACTCACAGATGTTGGCATGGATGTGAACAGGGAACATTTCTACACTGCTGGTGGAAGTGTAAACTAGTACAACCAGAAGGAAAAACAGTGTGGAGACCCTTAAAGAACTAAAAGTAGGGAGCCAAGATGGCCAAGTAGGAACAGCTCTGGTCTACAGCTCCCAGCATGAGTGACACAGAAGACAGGTGATTTCTGCATTTCTGTCTGAGGTACCAGGTTCATCTCACTAGGGAGTGCCACAGAGTGGGTGCAGGACAGTGGGTGCAGCGCACCATGTGCGAGCCGAAGCAGGGCGATGCACTGCCTCTCTCAGGAAGTGCAAGGAGTCAGGGAGTTCCCTTTCCTAGTCAAAGAAAGGGGTGACAGATGGCACCTGGAAAATCTGCTCACTCCCACCCTAATACCGCGCTTTTCCAACGGGCTTCAAAAATGGCACACCAGGAGATTATATTCCACACATGGCTCGGAGGGTCCTACACCCACGGAGTCTCCCTGATTGCTAGCACAGCAGTCTGAGATCAAACTGTAAGGTGGCAGCGAGGCTGGGGGAGGGGTGCCTGCCATTGCCCAGACTTCATTAGGTAAACAAAGCAGCCGGGAAGCTCGAACTGGGTGGAGCCCACCACAGCTCAAGCAGGCCTGCCTGCCTCTGTAGGCTCCACCTCTGGGGGCAGGGCACAGACAAACAAAAACACAGCAGTAACCTCTGCAGACTTAAATGTCCCTGTCTGACAGCTTTGAAGAGAGTAGTGGTTCTCCCAGCAAACAGCTGGAGATCTGAGAACGGGCAGACTGCCTTCTCAAGTGGTCCCTGACCCCCGAGCAGCCTAACTGGGAGGCACCCCCCAGTAGGGACAGATGGACACCTCACACGGCCGGGTACTCCTCTGAAACAAAACTTCCAGAGGAATGATCAGGCAGCAGCATTTGTGGTTCACCAAAATCCGCTGTTCTACAGCCACCGCTGTCCTGCAGCCACCACTGCTGATACCCAGGCAAACAGGGTCTGGAGTGGACCTCTAGCAAACTCCAACAGACCTGCAGCTGAGGGTCCTGTCTGTTAGAAGGAAAACTAACAAACAGAAAGGACATCCACACCAAAAACCCATCTGTACATAACCATCATCAAAGACCAAAAGTAGATAAAACCACAAAGATGGGGAAAAAACAGAGCAGAAAAACTGGAAACTCTAAAAAGCAGAGCACCTCTCCTCCTCCAAAGGAACACAGTTCCTCACCAGCAATGGAACAAAGCTGGACAGAGAATGACTTTGACAAGTCGAGAGAAGAAGGCTTCAGATGATCAAACTACTCCGAGCCATGGGAGGAAATTCAAACCAATGGCAAAGAAGTTAAAAACTTTGAAAAAAAATTAGATGAATGTATAACTAGAATAACCAATGCAGAGAAGTCCTTAAAGGAGGTGATGGAGCTGAAAGCCAAGGTTCGAGAACTACGTGAAGAATGCAGAAGCCTCAGGAGCTGATGCGATCAACTGGAAGAAAGCGTACCAATGTTGGAAGATGAAATGAATGAAATGAAGCGAGAAGGGAAGTTTAGAGAAAAAAGAATAAAAAGAAACGAACAAAGCCTCCAAGAAATATGGGACTATGTGAAAAGACCAAATCTCTGTCTGATTGGTGTACCTGAAAGTGACGGGGAGAATAGAACCAAGTTGGAAAACAGTCTGCAGGATATCATCCAGGAGAACTTCCCCAATCTAGCAAGGCAGGCCAACATTCAGATTCAGGAAATACAGAGAATGCCACAAAGATACTCCTCGAGAAGAGCAACTCCAAGACACATAATTGTCATATTCACCAAAGTTGAAATGAAGGAAAAAAAGTTAAGGGCAGCCAGAGAGAAAGGTCAGGTTACCCACAAAGGAAAGCCCATCAGACTAACAGCTCATCTCCCAGCAGAAACTCTACAAGCCAGAAGAGAGTGGGGGGCCAAGATTCAACCTTCTTAAAGAAAAGATTTTTTAACCCAGAATTTCATATCCATCCAAACTAAGCTTCATAAGTGAAGGAGAAATAAAATCTTTTACAGACAAGCAAATGCTGAGAGATTTTGTCACCACCAGGCCTGCCATAAAAGAGCTCCTGAAGGAAGCACTAAACATGGACATGAACAATCGATACCAGCCACTGCAAAAACATGCCAAATTGTAAAGACCATAGAGGCTAGGAAGAAACTGCATCAACTAACGAGCAAAATAACCAGCTAACATCATAATGACAGGATCAAATTCACACATAACAATATCAACCTTAAATATAAATGGGCTAAATGCTCCAATTAAAAGACACAGACTGGCAAATTGGATAAAGAGTCAAGACCCATCAGTGTGCTGTATTCAGGAGACCTATCTCACGTACAGAGACACACATAGGCTCAAAATAAAGGGATGGAGGGAGATCTCCCAAGCAAATGGAAAACAAAAAGAGGCAGGGGTTGCAATCCTAGTCTCTGATAAAACGGACTTTAAACCAAGAAAGGTCAAAAGAGACAAAGAAGGCCATTGCATAATGGTAAAGGGATCAATTCAACAAGAAGAGCTAGCTATCCTAAATATATATGCATCCAATATGGGAGCACCCAGATTCATAAAGCAAGTCCTGAGTGACCTACAAAGAGACTTAGACTCCCACACAATAATAATGGGAGACTTTAACACCCCACTGTCTACATTAGACACATCAACGAGACAGAAAGTTAACAAGGATATCCAGGGATTGAACTCAGCTCTGGACCAATAGACATCTACAGAACTCTCCACCCCAAATCAACAGAATATACATTCTTCTCAGAACCACACCACACCTATTCCAAAACTGACCACATACTTGGAAGTAAAGCACTCCTCAGCAAATGTAAAAGAACAGAAATTATAACAAACTCTCTCTCAGACCACAGTGCAATCAAACTAGAACTCAGGATTAAGAAACTCACTCAAAACCACTCAACTACATGGAAACTGAACAACCTCCTCCTGAATGACTACTAGGTACATAATGAAATGAAGGCAGAAATAAAGATGTTCTTTGAAACCAATGAGAACAAAGACACAACATACCAGAATCTCTGGGGCACCTTTAAAGCAGTGTGTAGAGGGAAATTTATAGCACTAAATGCCCACAAAAGAAAGCAGGAAAGATCTAAAATCGACACCCTAACATCACAATTAAAAGAACTAGAGAAGCAAGAGCAAACACATTCAAAAGCTAGCAGAAGGCAGGAAATAACTAAGATCAAAGCAGAACTGAAGAAGATAGAGACACAAAAAACCCTTCAAAAAATCAATGAATCCAGGAGCTGGTTTTTTGAAAAGATCAACAAAATTGATAGACTACTAGCAAGACTAATAAAGAAGAAAAGAGAGAAGAATCAAATAGATGCAATAAAAAATGTTAAAGGGGATATCACCACCTATCCCACAGAAATACAAACTAACATCAGAGAATACTATAAACACCTCTATGCAAATAAACTAGAAAACCTAGAAGAAATGGATAAATTCCTGGACACATACACCCTCCCAAGACTAAACCAGGAAGAAGTTCAATCTCTGAATAGACCAATAACAGGAGCTGAAATTGAGGCAATAATTAATAGCTTACCAACCAAAAAAAGTCCAGGACCAGATGGATTCACAGCTGAATTCTACCAGAGGTACAAAGAGGAGCTGCTACCATCCCTTCTGAAACTATTCCAATCAATAGAAATAGAGGGAATCCTCCCTAACTCATTTTATGAGGCCAGCAGCATCATGATACCAAAGCCTGGCAGAGACACAACAAAAAAAGAGAATTTTAGACCAATATCCCTGATGAACATTGATGCAAAAATCCTCAATAAAATACTGGCAAACCGAATCCAGCAACACATCAAAAAGCTAATCCACCATGATGAGGTGGGCTTCATCCCTGGGATGCAAGGCTGGTTCAACATACGCAAATCAATAAATGTAATCCAGCATATAAACAGAACCAACGACAAAAACCATATGATTATCTCAATAGATGAAGAAAAGGCCTTTGACAAAATTCAACAGCACTTCATACTAAAAACTCTCAATAAATTAAGTATTGATGGGACGTATCTGAAAATAGTAAGAGGTATGTATGACAAAACCACAGCCAATATCATACTGAATGGGCAAAAACTGGAAGCATTCCCTTTGAAAATTGGCACAAGACAGGAATGCCCTCTCTCACCACTCCTATTCAACATAGTGTTGGAAGTTCTGGCCAGGGCAATCAGGCAGGAGAAAGAAATAAAGGGTATTCAATTAGGAAAAGAGGAAGTCAAATTGTGCCTCTTTGCAGATGACACGATAGTATATTTAAAAAATCCCATTGTCTCAGCCCAAAATCTCCTTAAGCTGATAAGCAACTTCAGCAAAGTCTCAGGATACAAAATCAACGTACAAAAATCAAAGCATTCTTATACACCAATAACAGACAGAGAGCCAAATCATGAGTGAACTCCCATTCACAATTGCTTCAAAGAGAATAAAATACCTAGGAATCCAACTTACAAGGGATGTGAAGGACCTCTTCAAGGAGAACTACAAGCCACTGCTCAACGAAATAAAAGAGGATACAAACAAATGGAAGAACATTCCATGCTCATGGGAAGGAAGAATCAATATCGTGAAAATGGCCATACTGCCCAAGGTAATTTATAGATTCCATGCCATCCCCATCAAGCTACCAATGACTTTCTTCACAGAACTGGAAAAAACTACTTTAAAGTTCATATGGAACCAAAAAACAGCGTGCATTGCCAAGTCAATACTAAGCCAAAAGAACAAAGCTGGAGGCATCACACTACCTGACTTCAAACTATCCTTCAAAGCTACAGTAACCAAAACAGCACAGTACTGGTACTAAAACAGAGATACAGACCAATGGAACAGAACAGAGCCCTCAGAAATAATGCCACACATGTACGACTAACTGATCTTTGACAAACTGGACAAAAACAAGAAATGGGGAAAAGATTCCCTATTCAATAAATGGTGCTGGGAAAACTGGCTAGCCATATGTAGAAAGCTGAAACTGGATCCCTTCCTTACACTTTATACAAAAATTAACTCAAGATGGATTAAAGACTTAAATGTTAGACCTAAAACCGTAAAAACCCTAGAAGAAAACCTAGGCAATACCATTCAGGACATAGGCATGGGCAAGGACTTCATGTCTAAAACACCAAAAGCAATGGCAACAAAAACCAAAATTGACAAATGGGATCTAACTAAACTAAAGAGCTTCTGCACAGCAAAAGAAACTACCATCAGAGTGAACAGGCAACCTACAGAACGGGAGAAAATTTTTGCAATCTACTCACCTGACAAAGGGCTAATATCCAGAATCTACAATGAACTCCAACAAATTTACAAGAAAAAAACAACCCCATCAAAAAGTGGGTGAAGGATATGAACAGACACTTCTCAAAAGAAGACATTTATGCAGCCAACAGACACATGAAAAAATGCTCATCATCACTGGCCATCAGAGAAATGCAAATCAAAACCACAATGAGATACCATCTCACACCAGTTAGAATGGCGATCATTAAAATGTCAGGAAACAACAGGTGCTGGAGAGGATGTGGAGAAATAGGAACACTTTTACACTGTTGGTGGGACTGTAAACTAGTTCAACCATTGTGGAAGTCAGTGTGGCGATTCCTCAGGGATCTAGAACTAGAAATACCGTATGACCCAGCCATCCCATTACTGGGTATATACCCAAAGGAATATAAATCATGCTGCTATAAAGACACATGCACACGTATGTTTATTGCGGCACTACTCACAATAGCAAAGACTTGGAACCAACCCAAATGTCCAACAATGATAGACTGGGTTTAGAAAATGTGGCACATATACACCATAGAATACTGTGCCGCCATACAAAAGGATGAGTTCATGTCCTTTGTAGGGACATGGATGAAGCTGGAAACCATCATTCTCAGCAAACTATCGCAAGGACAGAAAACCAAACACCGCACGTTCTCACTCATAGGTGGGAATTGAACGATGAGAACACTTGAACACAGGAAGGGGAACATCACACACTGGGGCCTGTTGTGGGGTGGGGGGAAGGGGGAGGAACAGTATTAGGAGATATACCTAATGTAAATGACGAGTTAGTGGGTGCAGCACACCAACATGGCACATGTATACATATGTAACTAACCTGCACGTTGTGCACATGTACCCTACAACTTAAAGTATAATAACAAAAATAAAATAAAGAACAGATAGTACAATAAATGTTTCTTTCAGAGCTTTAAAAAAAAAAGATTTGGGGCTGGATAATTCATTGTTACTCTGCATTATCCTGTACATCGCGGCATGTTTAGCAGCATCTCTGGCCTCTACACACTAAATGCTGGTGCCATCCCACTGCCTCTGCTTGTGCCGACCGAAATGCCTCCAGGTTTTGTCAAATGTACCCTGGCCCTGAGGAAGAGCACTATCCTTGACTGAGAATTATCGCATTAGAGGAAAAGACATAGGCCATGCAGCTGAAGAGCAGCGAGCAATGGCAAGAATTAAAACTATGGCAAAATATTAAAATTAAGCTAGAGTCTCTCCTTCCCTACTAGCACCACTACAGCCCTCATGACCTCAGAGATCCTTGCTCTCTGGTATACTGCCAAATTCACACTGGCCAAATTTTAGTTTGACAAAACAAGAACTAATTTGTCTCGGATAATTAGGGAACACAGGTCTCTAGCACCTGATGCCCACGTTCCCACATGCACCACCCTGATGGGCCTATGATGCCCCTTTCTCCACTCCAAGTCATGTGACTGGACTCACCTCAGCCTGGCTTCACAGGCTCTGCCTTCCTGTGCTATCCAGCCCACTAATACTCTGCAGAAGAGCAAAGACTGATTTTCTCAGAAACCCAGAGAAATGAGTGTTCTAAGATTTTAGAGAAATCTCATGAAAATGGAGATTATAAAAGGCATCTCCTTGGTGTTAAGAAAGAAATGTCATGAGCAAATAAGGATTTCAGATTTTAATTCACATTTTATGCATATTTTTCTCATCTATTTTGTTTCTTTACATTTAAAATGGGATCATTTTTACTAAATACCTGTTCAGTCATCAGATAAGTGTAGGAGGAAATGAATTACAACACCATGCTCTTAAGTAAGCCTTTAAAAACCCTACACAAATTAGTGAAAGGGAGGCAGAGAAGCACACAGTATTGAAATAGCAACGGATTACCCATAGAAAGCTAACTTTGGACCAAGATAAATTAAAAATGTGTAATTACAGAATATGCTGACTGGAAGCAGGGCTAAGCCTCATCTTTCCTTTGAGCCCCAAACCTAGGTGATGCTCCATGAAGTCTGTGCTAGCAAAAAGATCATTCCAATCCTTTCCAGAGGGTTTGAATTAAATAGACACTTCTATTTAAAGAGTCTATAAATAGTGCTGTTTGGACATACTTACTTCCTTTCTTCTATATCATATCTACTGAATCAAAGTTTTACAAGAAATCTTATAAGGGAAGGTAAGTGCAATTGCAGTCATTTTATCCTGAGTAGGAGAAAGCTGGTGGTCTTATTTTTATGTTTAACCTAATTAGCACTGATTATATGCCATGAAGCATTTTTCTAAGATGCTTGGATGCCATGAAGCATATTCTAAGCATTTTTCTCATGTTGATACATTAAATCTGACAACAATCCCATGAGGCAGGAACTATTGTTTCCCCTATTTTAAAGATAACAAACATGGGCACAGAGAGATTAAGTAACAAAGTTGTGCAGCTCCTAATCCCATGTTAGGACCCAGGCAGAGTCTATGAGCCTACCACCCCAATAAGCTTCTCAGCAGAAATTCAGAAGGTGGAAACACAGGGTCATTTTCTTTTGTTTATTGATGTGGATAGAAATAAAAATACAATTCGCCTAAGAATCAAAGAGCTTCAGGCATAGAAAATAGAAACGTAGGGTACACGCTAGAAAAAAAAATGCCTGCCCATTTGGGTTCAAAGATATCACATCAGACTATTTCCATATCTGTAGACCTCATTCTCTAAAAATTTGAGAAAAAGTAATAATAGGTTGCTAATCATCAACTGCCAATTTCTGATGAGAAATGGGGATGGGGGTGGGTGGTGATCTGAGTGGTGCTGGAAAGGAAAGGGTTGACCTCATAGGAGACTTTCTGTTCATTGGTTCACTTTCTGTCAGCCTCATGATTCCATCTTATGCAATTTGGCATCAAATAGACGGGCCTTGAAATCTTCCCTCTGTGCCCTCTTTCCCTGCTCACTTCACTCTCAAGATTGCTAGCCCCATTTGTATCTTTCATTTCCCTCAGTTCTCTGAAACACAATAAAGGGATGTGATACACTCTGCAGCTTAGTGCCTTGATAATCCTATTTTAGATTTGGGAGACATCAAAAAGCAAAATACATGGTTCCATCACTGATACATATTTTCTAATGAAGCATTATAGGTGTCCTGTGGGCAGTACTAATATCACAGTGGACATGAAAAGAAATAATGTTATTTGGATAGAATTTGAGTCAAAATAGCATACAAAATTGAAAAATGACAGAGCTATATCTACATTTCCTTTGTCAAGTGTCTACATAAAAAAATAATTAGCAGCTTTCATGAGTTCTGTAACCATAAATCCATTTTAAAACTCATAGATTGCAACAGCATAAAAAACTTCACATTTTTCCTCTAGCACCTACCTGGACCAATCATTATACAACTGTTGGAAATACATAAATGATTCTTTAATAATGCATTTATGCTTTGGCCAGAGAAGAAATGACTGAAGGTTATTAGGTGATATATTTGTCTCTGGATATAATGAGACCAGAATTGGTAGGTAGAGAATTTTATAAAACCTTATGGTCTACGCATAAACTAAAATTAAGCTGGACTCCCAAGCCCAGTACTGGTTTAAGACGAACGCCATTATTCAATCAACAGACGTCATCAGAAGTCTGCTTTGTTCCAGGAACTGTGCTGCACATCACAGTATGTCACTTAATATTCATGATAATCAGATTCAACAAACATCACTAGCCTGTTTTTTTTTCATTTTTTTTTCAGATTGAATTTCAGATCAGCTACAAATGTCTTTATATATATATATACACACACACACATATATACACACACACATATATACACACACACATATATATACATACACATATATACACACACACATATATATACATACACATATATATAGATACACACATATATTTTTAATTACAATTTAAGTTCTAGAGTACATGTGCAAAACGTGCAGGTATGTTACATATGTATACATGTGCCATGGTGGTGTGCTGCACCCATTAACTCGTCATTTACATTAGGTATATCTCCTAATGCTATCCCTCCCCTCTCCCCCCACCCCATAACAGTCCCCAGTGTGTGATGTTCCCCTTCCTATGTCCAAGTGTTCTCATTGTTCAATTCCCACCTATGAGTGAGGACATGCGGTGTTTGGTTTTCTGTCCTTGTGATAGTTTGCTGAGAATGATGGTTTCCAGCTTCATCCATGTCCCTACAAAGGACATGAACTCATCCTTTTGTATGGCTGCATAGTATTCCATGGTATATATGTGCTACATTTTCTTAATCCAGTCTATCATTGTTGGACATTTGGGTTGGTTCCAAGTCTTTGCTATTGTGAGTAGTGCCACAATAAACATACGTGTGCATGTGTCTTTATAGCAGCATGATTTATATTCCTTTGGGTATATACCCAGTAATGGGATGGCTGGGTCAAATGGTATTTCTAGTTCCAGATCCCTGAGGAATCGCCACACTGACTTCCACAATGGTTGAACTAGTTTACAGTCCTACCAACAGTGTAAAAGTGTTCCTAGTTCTCCACATCCTCTCCAGCACCTGTTGTTTCCTGACTTTTTAATGATAGCCATTCTAACTGGTGTGAGATGGTATCTCATTGTGGTTTTGATTTGCATTTCTCTGATGGCCAGTGATGATGAGCATTTTTTCATGTGTCTGTTGGCTGCAGAAATGTCTTCTTCTGAGAAGTGTCTGTTCATATCCTTCGCCTAATTTTTGATGAGTGTTTTTTTCTTATAAATTTGTTTGAGTTCTTTGTAGATTCTGGATATTAGCCCTTTGTCAGATGAGTAGGTTGAGAAAATTTTCTCCCATTCTGTAGGTTCCCTGTTCACTCTGATGGTAGTTTCTTTTGCTGTGCAGAAGCTCTTTAGTTTAATTAGATCCCATTTGTCAATTTTGGCTTTTGTTGCCATTGCTTTTGGTGTTTTAGACATGAAGTCTTTGCTCATGCCTATGTCCTGAATGGTATTGCCTAGGTTTTCTTCTAGGGTTTTTATGGTTATAGGTCTAAAATTTAAGTCTTTAATCCATCTTGAATTAATTTTTGTACAAGGTATAAGGAAGGGATCCAGTTTCAGCTTTCTACATATGGCTAGCCAATTTTCCCAGCACCATTTGTTAAATAGGGAATCCTTTCCCCATTTCTTGTTTTTTTTGGGTTTGTAAAAGATCAGATAGTTGTAGACATGTGGTATTATTTCTGAGGGCTCTGTTCTGTTCCATTGGTCTATATCTCTGTTTCGGTACCAGTACCATGTTGTTTTGGTTACTGTAGCCTTGTAGTATAGTTTGAAGTCAGTAAGCATGATGCCTCCAGCTTTGTTCTTTTGGCTTAGGATTGACTTGGCAATGTAGGCTTTTTAGTTCCATATGAATTTTAAAGTAGTTTTTTCCAGTTCTGTGAAGAAAGTCATTGGTAGCTTGATGGGGATGGCATTGAATCTATAAATTACCTTGGGCAGTATGGTCATTTTCATGATATTGATTCTTCCTATCCATGAGCATGGAATGTTTTTCCATTTGTTTGTATCCTCTTTTATTTCATTGAGCAGTGGTTTGTAGTTCTCCTTGAAGAGGTCCTTCACAACCCTTGTAAGTTGGATTCCTAGGTATTTTATTCTGTTTGAAGCAATTGTGAATGGGAGTTCACTCACGATTTGGCTCTCTGTTATTGGTGTATAAGAATGCTTGTGATTTTTGCACATTGATTTTGTATCCTGAGACTTTGCTGAAGTTGCTTATCAGCTTAAGGAGATTTTGGGCTGAGACGATGGGGTTTTCTAGATATACAATCATGTCATCTGCAAACAGGGACAATTTGACTTCCTCTTTTCCTAATGGAATACCCCTTATTTCTTTCTCCTGCCTGACTGCCCTGGCCAGAACTTCCAACACTATGTTGAATAGGAGTGGTGAGAGAGGGCATCCCTGTCTTGTGCCAGTTTTCAAAGGGAATGCTTCCAGTTTTTGTCCATTCAGTATGATATTTAGCCTGTTTATTTTTAAACAGATTAGGAACTAAATCTCATAGAGAGGAAGTTTCTGGCCCAGGCCAAAGACCTCATTTGGAAATCACACATAGGTCTGCCTAGATCCCAAGTAGGAGCCCAGTAAATGGTAGCTTTAGGGATTTTAACCATGATGACGTGTTTCCATTTCAGTATTCCTATATGGCACATAGCTGTCAATAAAGGCTGTTGACTGAGCCAAATTAAGTCAAATAAAACACAAATGAATTCATGTTAAGCACATGACAGAGTCCAGTTGGAGCTGTGGAAGAGGGGAAGCAACCTTGGCTTTTAAAAATTAGCCCTATATGAGCTATTGAGCCGGGCAAAGCTGCTTAGTAGCCAGAAAGCCAACATGTGGTTTCTTCTGCCTGGAACTCTGTTGTTCCCCCTTGCCACCTGGGTAACACGTGCTCAACTTAAATCTCAGACAGTTCCTCCCTTCCTCAAATTCTACCCTTGCTGACTAGATTAAATTCTCCTGTTACCTGTCCCCTTAGCACACAAACCTCTTCTATGTAGAGCCAGCCACAGTGAAGGCTCAGATTTCACTGCATGAGTATGTGGTTGACATCTCTGCCCCCTTGACACCATATACTGCTTCCTGGTGGCAGGGACCATGCTAGGTTTGGAACACCATGGTGTCCTTATTGCCTGGACAGGTGAAGCAGGCACCCAAGAAATACCGAATGAATTGGAGAACAAAAGGTTCGATTCTCATGATGGCAACCAACAAGCAAAAAGCCATTTCCAGTGCTCTGACGCTCTTTTTAAGCAAGTTGGCTGCGCAGAATACAACACTAATGAGATCTCCCTGTGTCATGGACACAAGGAGTTCTTGAGTCAGCATTGCACGGCAGCTGCATCTCATTTCTCCTTTCACTTTGTGCCTAATTTCTTAGATGGGCAAATATTATCCTGGCATAAAAGGCCAGTTGAGCGGTCACTGTCTAAGGGTTGCTGGGACACATCGTAATGAATATAATGAAAGCATGGGTTTTCACATGTTTGTTATCTGCCACTGAGAGGGAGCAGTTTCTAGGAGTGCCAAGGACAATGCAGAAAGAGCCTGTGGAGAAGATTGACAACATATGCTCTCCCCAGAACACAGTGGGCAGGTGCACTTAAACTTCAGCCTCTTCCTAGCTGGAAGTAAAATGGATCTGATCAAGGTATTGGGATGAAAAGGGTTTCTGTAGTAAAGCTGCTCACAACAGCCCTGAATGGAAGAAATTGTCTTAGTGTCAATTCTATCACCAGCTTGCTCCTATTAAACAAAGCTGGTAAAGCTCCCAGAGACCACTTTCAATTTCCATTTTAACACTAGAAGCCTCTGTTTTCCCCAAGAACATGATATCAAACCTCCAAGTGCCACCTATTCTGTTTCTTCACACCAGGTGTTCCTTCTGAACACTGGGCTCCTTCTTTAGCCAAGGAGCAAGGAATGTGTGGAAGCAGGAACAGACCACAGGGAAAGGTTTTTGCTACGATATTATTTGGCACAGCACTTTATCTTTTCCTGACCTTTGTGTCGCATTTCCATACTTGACTAAACTTCCTTGACACATCCTGCCCCCTAGCCGCACTGAGGTGGTGTTTCTCAGATCCTAAGATACTGCTCCATCTTTCCCACCACTGTGACAACTGCCACACGGGATCAACTGCTTAGTTAACCCATCTCTTGACAATCTGAGCTCCCCAAAGGCACACCAGGCCTTATGCATGCATTTCCAGGCCCTACATGGTTTTGACTTCACAAAACCTGACCTTCGAATCTCAGATTTGAATCCTGACTGTGCCACTTATTCAGGCATCTGCAAACTTTTTCTTTAAACGACCTCATACTCAATACTTTCAGCTTGGCAGTCTGTAAGGTCTCTGTCACAACTACAGAACTTTACTGTTGCAGCATAAAAGCAACCAGTGAATATACACAAATTGTATTGTGTTCCAGTAAAATCTTATCCATGGAAATTTAAATTTCATATAATTTTCCCATCGTGAAATGTTACCTTCTTTATACTTTTTCCCCAACCATTTAAAAATGTTAAAGAACCACTCCTAGTTCTCAAGCATATGAAACAATGTGACGGACCAAATTGGGTCCATGGACAATAGTTTTTCAATGCCCATACTTATTAATTATGTGAGCTTGGGCATAGATTATACCTTTATGTAACTGTTTTATCATCTGTAAAGTGATAGCACCCCCGATAGGGTTTTTGCAAATATTTTATTAGGTTATATTATAAACATTTAGAACATTGCCTTGCACATAATATGCACTCTATCAGCACTGTTGTTATACAATATGCTTAATAACTTTTAAAATATGTTTCAGTTCATAGCCTGCTATCTCTTCAGAATCCATCAGTCAAGTACTGAATGGTTAATTCTCTCTTAAATATCTGCTTCCCTTTCATCATCCCCCTTGCTATTGCCTTAGCATTACCATCAAAAGCTGTCCTTTGGTCTCCCTATGCCTTCATTTCCCCCTCTCTAATCCATCCTGTCCACAGTGACCATTAGAATGAATATGCTAAAACCCGGTTATAAGCACATGATTCCTTTGTCATAATCTCTCTTCATTATCTCCCCAAAATGAGCTCTGGGGATCATTAATTCCAAGGGTTGTTTAAAAAAAAGTTTGTCTTCTTTATGAAAGGGCTACCTGTTTAAATAAGAATGGACAAAATGGGATAAAACAAAATTAAGCAGGCTACTCACTTCACCTTAGTACTTATAAAATCCTTTAATATGCTAATGCACATTGTTAATCTTCAAGAAATTCACAAAGGGAGGTAATTTCCCAAATACAAATGATCATAGTACTCTGTTCTCAAAGGGCGACTTCCAGGGTCCCTGCTTTTAGGGACAGACTTTTTAAAATGCTGGTCCATCCAAATTCCTTAGCTTGGTATGATGATTAAACATGGTCTAACTCCTGACTGGCACACCAGCTACATGTTCACATGTCTATTGCTCTTTTGATATCTTGCTGTGTCCTGTGTTTGCTGCATCTTCTGCCTGAAATGCTTGTCCCTTCCTTGATCTGTCTTGTTTTCCTTTAAGAAGTACTCCTTACTTGCCCTGGGCAAGGACAAGGGGTTTTCCTTCAAGTTCTACAAGTGATGTGTTCATGCTTTGATTGTGTACTCAGCGCATTGCTGTGATAGGTATGTACATATACAGTTCACCCTTGAATAACATGGATTTGAACTGCCCGGGTCCACTTATATGGGGATTTTTTTTTTTAACCAAATGTGGATCAAAAATATCAATAATCACAGGGTGTAAAACCTGCATATACAGAGAGCCAATTGTTACATCCAAGGGTTCTGAAGGACCGACTGTAAGTCTTGAGTATGGGCGAATACTGGTAGATGCAGGGGTCCTGGAACCAATTCCTGTGTATACCAAGGGAGAATGGTATCTATTTCCCTCAAAACAATGACTGTGAGAGAATAGAAACTATGTTATGTGTTAACGTTTTTAAAAGCTTTCAAATAAAGTCCTTCATGTTCAAATCTGATTGTATGCCTCACAATCACCCTATGATGAAAACAGTAGAGATGGCATTACCTCCATTTAATGGTCAAGGGCAGTGAGATTCAGCAAGTTAAATAACTTATTCTCAAGTCAAAAACTGAGTGTTAGAAACCAGATGCAACAGCTTCAAACTCCTAGCCCCAGGGTCCTTTCAATTACCTACACAGCCTCACCTAACAAAGCACGTCCAACTGCAGCTGTAGTCTTGACTCACCTCTGATGAGCGTCCTTGATGTGGCACAGGATAAACAGCAGAATCTAGAGGAACCCCAGTGTGTTGCATAAGCTGATCCAGGTGAGTTCAAATACTCTCCCAGATGGTCCATCTACAAAACCTGGGATCAGAAGTCTGCTGTGGAAGCCAAATTTCAATTTTTACAGGAACCCTCAGGGGAATCCCACCAATTCCTGGCTTAGGCTTAACTTGTTCTCTCCTTGGCTAGCTTTCTCCGCACTCTCTTCCTCCCCACAGCCTCCTAGCATTGAGTCTTCCTTCCTGCCTCTACCCTCTTAAGCTGTCACTTCCTCCTCATTCCTCATGTTAGGGTCTTTAAAGCCCCTCCTCCAAACTGCCAAGGCTAATCATATGGGGCTGATGAACACTAGGTAACAAAAGAGAACCACGGGCCAGTCACTAAGAGGATCATTTCCATTGGAATTGGGAAAACATTCTCAGCTCCTGACATGGATGCCATCCAGCAGCTGGGATCCTAGATGCTTCAGGATTAAGTATTGTGTTATTTCCCAACATTTGTGAATGAGTTTGTGTGTGTGTGTTTGTTTTACAGCCCTCTCTCCTATCTCCTTATTTATGAACTGGTCCATCCTATAACCTCAGTTCCCTTCACACCTTCCAAAAGGCTTTTCTCCCCATTCCTCTACTAGGTATAAACACATACTGGTTTGGATATTTATGTCTACTGACACTGAAAGGGAGGGAGACAAATTTCAAGATCTCTCAAAATCTCTGCCTTGTTTATGGATGAAGATCAAGACCTAGACAGAAGAAAAAGGCACAATCAGCGGGATTCTACAGAGAACATAAGGAAGGGACTATATACAGGGGCTGGGGCAGGGTTAGGGAATTGAAATGGAAAGATGAGTAATCTCAGTATCAGCAACAGCAGGCAGCCAGATGTCATAACCACCTCTCTAGGCTGCAGGGGCAAGGAGACAAAATACAGTTGCTGGAACTAAAGAAGAGGGATGCCCAGGTAGGACTCGATTTGATGAACTGCAGTCACTGCTGACCTGCAGCCCAGCACAGGAAAGGATCAGGCTAAGAAACACTCCAACTTCTCCTCTTCTGCCCTCCAGCCTCCTCTGGGTGCCTCCCATTGTCCGAACCCTCTTGGAAGTCACAGCTCTAGGAAGTCCAGGTGACACAGTCCATAGAAGCCAAAGTCCTGGACAGGACAGAGATATCAGAGAATGGATGGAGGATAGCAGAACACAAACATAGTACAGCCACCGTAAGCATACGTTACCATGAGTCACACAAGAAAATACAAGCATCTCCCTGGTTTTATCCTGTAGCGATTTTTATGCAACGTTTACAAAGATGCCTTGATTTATCCTTTCTCTCTTGATAAAATGCCCTGCACTGCCTTCCCTCTCTGCACCTCCCATCCTCTGATGAGAGCAGTTAGGCTATTAGAAAGGACATCTATTGTTTTTCCCTTCCCAGTGTAGCTCCCTTTTCACTTTAAGGAAAGACCTCTCCCATTCAGCCCATTGCATCCAACTTATGCTCCATCCCCCAAATCAGAAGTGGGAAAGTGGCCCTGGCCTAGCCAATCAATGTGTTCCAACACCCTGGCCACAGCAAGAGAGTCAGGAATAAGCTTACACTCAAACTGGCCCAAGGAAATTGAATTCAAATATTTTTGCTAGAGACCTTGAGAGAGGGAAAGTGTGTTTCAATTCTTCTGTCTTCTGGAGAGGGCTTGCTGGTGACAAAAGTCAGCTTAGAGGAAGGCAGAGGTGAATCATAGAGACAGCGAAGGGAAGCGAGAGAGACAAACTCACAGACACGCACTGACTCCAAAACTTGAAGAAATTGCTTGAGCCCCTGAAACCAGCTGTGTCTGAAACCACATTCCTGAACTTTTCTGTAAGTAATCCACTAAATTATTGTTTGGGATTGGGACTTAAGGCAGTTTAAGTCGTATCTTGATTACTTGAAATGAAAACCTCCAAATTAATACAGGTGGCGTGCAGCTAGGGGCCTCACAGCAGGACAAGGCTGCACAGTGAAATTATGGAATAAAGACTCTCTTGAGAACTATGTAAGACTTGGCAAAGAACATGCATTAAACTTTGAGATAAGCTTAAGACATCATATTGCAGATGCTGCCACAGGCTCCTGTTCTACAAGAGGACAATAAGGTGTCCTGTGCCAGCCAGCCTGGAAGGTCTCTGCATTCTCTTAAGATGCTATAGAGCTTCAAAGAGATCTGACCAACTGTTTTAGTCCAAGTTCTCCAGAGAGAGAGACCAGTAGTACATTTTGAGAGATATATGAAGAGGGATTTATTAGGGGAATTGGCTTAACTGATTATGGGGAAGTGGAGAAGTTCCCCATAAAGAGGCTATGTCTGCAAAATGTAGAACCAGGAAAGCCTACAGCATGGCTCAGTCCAAGTCCAGAGACCTCAGAACCAGGGAAATTGATGGTGTAATTTTCTATCTGAGACTGTTAGTTTGAGTCCCAGAGTCCAAAGGCTGGAGAATCAGGAGTTCTGGCATTCAAGGGCAGGAAAACATGGGTGTCCAGTTCCAAGAAAGAGAGAGGAAGAATTCCCCATTCCTCCACCTTTTTCACGGTGATTAGATCATGTCCTCCCACATTGAGGGTGGATCTTCCCCCATTCAGTCCCAACCTCCTCCAGAAATACCCTCACAGACACACCCGGAGCAGGCTATTCATTCCAGTTTAATGCCAAACTGCCTGGGTTTCCCTTTCAGCAGAATAGGGACAAGCCAAGTACCTACTGAAACATGGGAAATAAATACTGCTTTCCCAGCTCTCTGAGTATCTTTAATCCTGTCAAGTTGAAACCCAGAACCAACCATCACACCAAGGAAAACCATAGCAAAGACTCCAAAGTCCTAGTAATTATCCTAAACCTTGTCCCTTACTTATCCCTCTGGCTCCCCTTATCTTTACCTAAAGATGGACCGCACACTGAGTCCCATTTTCACCCCACACTCTCCTTTGGTCATTTTCACCCCACACTCTCCTTTGGCTATGCAGTTCTCCTTTCCTAAATGTGAGATTAAGACTTTAAAAAAAAATGGAGACCAGGCACAGTAGCTTATGCCTGCGATCCCAGTATTCTGGGAGGCAAAGGCAGGCAGATTACGTGAGGCCAGGAGTTCACCAGCCTGACCAACATAGCGAAACCGTTTCTACTGAAAATGCCAAAAATTAGCTGGGTGTGGTGGCACATACCTGTAATCCAGCTGCTTAGAAGACTGAGGTACTAGAATCACTTGAGCCCAGGAGGTGGAGGTTGCGGTGAACCGAGATCACACCACTGCACTCCAACCTGGGTGACAGAGCAAGACTCTGTCTAAAAAAAAAAGAAAAGAAAAAAAAAAAAAGGAAATTATCAAGATCTAGAACTACAGGTCCCTTGCCTTGGGAGTACTATTTCTAGCTCAGCTTAGTGAGCCTCTAATATCTCAAAGTAGGCAATATTTCCCCCATACTAGTGGCCATAGTTGAACGTTGGGTAGCATCCTCCAAACCCTGAAAATGAGTCAGATTTCAAAACTCGGGAAATGTCTAAGCCTGTTCGTATCCTGCATGTACCAAGAAATCACCTCTTCTCTGTCACTGTCAGCTAATGAGGCAGTTTCCTAAATGTAACTAGAAAAAAATGGATATCTAAAAATGTATGTCTAAAACACTAGCTCCACAGGACAGTAATAGGAAGCATTCTCCATGGTCAAACAAGTATTTAAATTTTCTGGTTAAACAGAGATAGTTACATACATCTTATTTTATACATAGTATACAATGCAAGACTTCTTGAGGCCTCTAATAAATTTATGTGCAAGGCAAACTTTAAAAAGGAAAGAGATCTTAGTGCATTTGGGCTGCTATAACAACATACAATAAACTAGGTGGCTTATAAACAACAGAAATTTATTTCTCACAATTCTGGAGGCTGGGAAGTCCAAGATTAAAGAACTGGAAGATTAAATGTCTGATGAAGCTCACTTTCTGGTTCACAGAGTGTGCCTTTTTGCTGTGTTCTCATGTGGTAGAATGGGCAAGGGGTCTCTCTTGGGCGTCTTTTATAAGACCACTAACCCCGGCCGGGCGCGGTGGCTCACGCCTGTAATCCCAGCACTTTGGGTGGATCACAAGGTCAGGAGATCGAGACCATCCTGGCTAACACGATGAAACCCCGTCTCTACTAAAAATACAAAAAATTAGCCGGGCGAGGTGGCGGGCGCCTGTAGTCCCAGCTACTCGGGAGGCTGAGGCAGGAGAATGGCTTGAAGCCCGGGAGGCAGAGCTTGCAGTGAGCCGAGATCGCGCCACTGCACTCCAGCCTGGGCGACAGCGAGACTCCGTCTCAAATAAATAAATAAATAAATAAATAAATAAAAAATAACCACTAACCCCATTCATGAAAGCTCTGCCCTCATGTCCTAATATCTTCCCAAAGGCTCCACCTCCCAGTACTCTTATCACTTTAGGGGTTAGAATTTCAACGAATGAATTTTGGAGGGGCATTAACGTTCAGACCACAGAAGCATCATAAACAACTTGAGTGTCCCTTATCCAAAGTGCTTCGGACCAGAAGTGTTTCAGATTCAAATTATTTTTATATTTTGGAATATTTACATTATACTTTGAGCATCCCAAATACAAAATCCAAAATCCTTTATCATTTTGGCACTTAAAACATTTCAGATTTTGGAGCATTTCAGATTTTTGTATTTGGGATGCTCAACCTGTACAGTATTTTTCAATCTCATTTAGCCACAGTTTTGTTTTTGGTTATTTGCTTGTTTTGGGTAAGCAAAGCACCTCTTGGGACAATACTGTACAAAAAGACGCTGTAAAAAAATATAAGAGATCATTCTCAAAATATCCAAATAAGTAAAGCTATGAGTAGACAAAAACATAGAGCTGTCATAGCCGTAAAAAATGTTAATAGCTATCCTATTTTTTAAATTTTTTTCTCTCTTTTCTCTCTAGCTACTCTATTTTAATATCAGCAGGTTCATTCCAGCCTGCTCAAGCCTTTTCTCCCCTCCCTCTTGAACTCTCATCTCAAGAAGGCAACCCTCAGCGTGAATTGTGCAAGGGAGAGTTGATGCCTGGCTAGGAAACGGCTACCATTGTCCAAGTTCCCATGTGACCACATCAATCCAGGATGCCCTATTTTTCACTTAGGAGGAATCACAAAATCTGATCTTTCACAGTCAGACCACCAGCCTCAAATGCCCAAAATCAAGCTCCCTGAGCAACAGCAAAATAGACGGAAGCCCCACTCCTTCCAGATTGATTTTTATTGCCATTATAGCACAATTCAGTCTCATTCCACATCATTATATCTGATAACTGCCATAAACCTGAAATCACTGCTATTTGATGTCAGCACAAAAGTCATTCCCTGAGCTGAACTCTACCTGGGCCAATCAACGAACCTTTATCAGCTTCCCTTTTCACACGCATGTAAAATAACCTACCAGCTCATTCTTGTCTAAAACGCCAGGCAAAGGAATCAAACAAGTGCTTGCCTGGTTTCACAGCC
This sequence comes from Homo sapiens, assembly GCF_000001405.40. Taxonomy (NCBI): domain Eukaryota; kingdom Metazoa; phylum Chordata; class Mammalia; order Primates; family Hominidae; genus Homo; species Homo sapiens. Next base: position 5,576,355 of record NC_000003.12, on the reverse strand, counting down.
CAGGAGAAACATTCTATCTCCTTCTCACTTCCTAAGGGAAGACAACAGAACAAGATTTTCTTTATCCTACACTCAAACCTGAGGTTCTGAAGTTCAGAACAAAATTAAAATATTTATAGGGTATCTGACCAGCATCTTGAGAGAAACTTGTTTTGATCTTTAGACGTTTTTTTCCCTCAAAACCAGTGAATAGCTCAGTTGGTTCAGGTCCAGTGTTATAAAGATTGCAGTGCAGAATTCAATGTTCAATCCCCCTGTGGCCCTGTTAGCAAAATCACAGAAAAAAGTTCCATTCCTCAGTGCAGAATATGGGGTACACCCCCCTTCCCTTCCCTGTCCATGATATCCAATGAATAATCCACGGGGGAAATGTTTAATAAATCTTTTCATATGGTAATAATTAATGTCTGTTATTCATCACTGCAGATAAAATAATGAACTCGAAGTTATCAAGCACATATTAAATGTTTAATAAACATCCATTTCCTTGTGATTTTATTTTTCTTCTCACAGAAAGCCACTTGGGTTGAGATCTATGAAAATAAAAGCACCCTTTCGGGGTGTCAGCCTGCTACGTAAACAACCAAAATCCTACTTCATTTGCCTTACAGGAACTCTAAGTGTTGCTATGAGGATTTTCTACTCCTCTTATCATAAGATAGAAACTAGAACACTGAATATACTAGCAAAAAAGAAAAAGAAAAGAAAAAAAGACTGAAGATCTGTAAGTTCTGGATTTAAATCCTAGTTCTATGACTTTCTAGCTATGTGAACTGGGGCAAGTTATAAACCTTATAGGCATCAATTTTCTCACCTCTAAAATTGGAATAATATTTGAAACTACCCCAAAACATTGTAGTGAAGGGAAGATAAGGTCAGCAAAAATCTAAGAACAGTGTCTGGCACAAAATAAGTACATAATAAATCAAAGAGAGATTTTTTTTCCCCAAAAAAGATTGAGAGCATAAACACTTGAGCCAGACTCTCTGAATCCAAATTCTTGTCCTGCCACTTACTTGCTCTCTCACCTTGGGAAAATTATTTAAATACTTGTACCTCAGTTTCTTTATCTGTAAAAATGAGATAATAGCTACCACGTTGGGTTGTTGGGGGAATAAATGAGTTTATACATGCCTAGCACTTAGCAAATGCTGTGTATTATCTGTTACTATCTAAGTCCCATGTCTACAACCTATTCATCCTTAGCTGCCACCTCTGAAAGGGAAGAAGAGAGAAGTGTCACGAATACCCATTTCCTTGATGATTTAAGGACACATTAGGCATCCAACATGGTTACAGATGCTTAAGGGTCAAGCACGACTTTGAGCCACTCGGTCGAACAATGGAGAGTCTGAAAATCTTGGCTTCTGTCTACGCGACAGTTATTAGCTGAATGGCAGTCTGATTTATTTGCAAAGTGACAATTACATGTAGCGGACACTGTGAGGCTCACCAACATCCCCTCCTCAGGTTCTTGCCCCCATCCTCCAGCTGCTGGGGACATTGGTTGCTGTCAGCTCCCTGCTGCCACTCTCACTGCAAACTTCCTCACCCAGGCTAATGCCCCTCCTGATGGCTGGCTTTCCTGAGCACACAAAAGCTACTGGCTTACCCCACTTCGTGATAACTCCAGATGGACATCCCAGCCCCAGGGCTTCCCTGAAGATACGTGAATGGGCCTCAGTTGCAGCTGCCTTTCAGAATAGCTAACCCTTCTGTCTAATCCTCTCAGGAATCCCTGGAGAGCGCTCCTCAATAAACTTTCTTCATGCAACTCCCCATGTCAGAGTCTATCTTCAGCGACCCCAATCTAGGACACTATGCTAAGTGCTGTTCTAACAACCAGAAATAAGACCAAACAAACACTTTTATTGAGGACTGACACATACAAGTCATGCTACTGGTGAGAAACATCAAACAGGATAAATATCAAATATGGAAACAGCCCTCAAAGAACTGTCTAGTGGGGAACACAGGGGTGAAATAGTTCATTATGTAATAAAGGCATGTGACAAGCGTTGCACGGGGAAAATAAGGCTGTGACAAAAGCATACAGTGGAGACAAGAAGTAGAGGGGAACGGAAAGGAAAGAGAAAAGGTACTCAAGGAAGTAGACTTGAAGAAACTAGTTTTTGTTTGTTTACTGCCTACCAAAAGATGAGTATCTACATGGACCAGGAATTTCTTTTTCTGTTCCTCAAAAAAGAAAGTCCACTGGTTCCATAAAATTATAGGCCTAAAATGCAACACACAATAAGAGCTCTCACTGTTATTTGACTAAAAGTCTCCATCATTTAAACTATTTAATCTGCTCTGAGCTCTGAACACTTTCTCCTTTCAGAATGCATTTATGGCTACAGAATCTGGGCTAGGTTTTCCTGCTGGAATCCACAATGACTTATGATATTGTGTTTCAAGCTAGATGCTGATGTAAGAATACACAAATTATGTAAGACAGAATTTTGACCAGTTTAATGATTCGTGGGGCAATTCTCCCACCTAATGTTTCTCTCTAGATAAAGGGAGCTTACTTGACTGAAACCCTCTCAGTCCTTCCCCATCTCTCACTCACTCCTCTCTTAGACAAAGAAATTCATGATGCTGTACTAGGGAGGTAAGGCTGCCTAATTTGGGTTTGAACATTAGAAAGTCCACTTGCATACAGATATTGCGAATACTCTCCACTGCCTGACTTTAGCAGTAATAAGGCAACATTCTGAATTCAGTCTACCTTATTTTTTTTGTCTTATATCTTAAATTGGGTGGCTTAAAGCCCTACAGTTATTACATTAAAATCCTGGTTAGATTCTGAAATGAGAATTCTGACAAGGTTATGACACTAGAATTCAATCTAGTCTGTCACACTAGATTTGGGACAAAGTAAAACATGATAATATAAGGCTTGACAAATCTCTGGAGGTCCAGCTTTCATAAATATGGAGGTAGGACCCAGTGTAGTCTTAACTACTCTACTTTGTCCCCTTTGAAGAATCCACACCCCATGGGGCCTTCGGAGTAAAGGACAAGGTAGAGAAAGCAGTTGAGAAAAAATCCATTAAAACTCCCCTTCAATTCAGCAGGATATTTTAAATCCCAAAGGACCCATTCAAGGAGACAAGCAGGCTTGCTGGTTACATGGGCACATTTGTATAGGATGATTTCCCTTTCCACACAACATACAAGTCACACAATTCATAGCTTATACGGTCTTCTACGCTCATCATCAAAAGCGTTTTTCTCTCTTCCTGGTCAGATCATATGTCAGGTAGATTCCCAAACAAAAATTTAACTGCCTCTGACCCTCTGAGAGTATTTTGTCAATAATTTTAAAAAGAGACAGGATGGGTTTTCAACTGGTAAAAAGTATTTTTTGAGATCTCAGATGTTTGGAAAGATAATTCACATAACTGGGGAGAGTCAGGGGAAGAAGTCTTTGTAAATTTCAGCCTCTCTGGAAATCAGAAATTCAGTGGCTGAGAGTGTATTTGGGGAAGATGAAGATGAGCTCATAGTGGGTGATATTTTCTACTCCTTCCTTATTATCCCATCATGACAAAAGGCTGTTGACTATATTTTGTGTTTTCTCTGATTGTTTTGTGCCTCAATCCCAGTATATCACAGTTCGGTTCTTAGAGAATACGTGATCCCTGCTAACATTCAATTCTACCTCCTAAATAGCTCTCAAGCCCACCTGCCCTTCTCCATTCATTTCACCAAGTCATAAGGCTCTCTCTCCTGGCCTTGAGCAATGACCTGCTAACTAGTCTCCTGCCATCCACTACTGCTCCCTTCCAGCTCAGTCTCTACACAGATCAAAGAGGTCACATAGAATGAAAGGCCATACATTGTGGAAGAGAGAAAAGCAGACCCTGACAGCTGGGAGCCGGCCAGACACTATCAGCTAGGCCCCAGGTTGCCAGGAGCTGGCCTGGCCCTAACAAGCAGGCTTGAGCATTCTCCTGTGGACTATAAACAATCTCACAGAACATCAGCATTAGACAAGGCCACTCTGTGACAATGATGAATCAAGACAAACAAGACAACTCCGTTAGCACGTCTGGCACAGATGAAATGTGAGCATTGTCCAAACCACACAAATGGCCGCATATTCTTCGTGTCCCAGAGAATGATGACTGCACGTTCTTTACCAATTCCAACTCAAGCCTCACCATATTCCTCTCTTATTTATAAAGATAAAATTAGGAAACCCAACCAGAATTACCCCATTCTATGACAGGATGCAATCCAGAATAAAGCTTTCACTCGCTGAAGCCTCCTCAAATCACCTAGCACAAACCCCAATCTTACAAGTCCTTCTAACAGCCTCTTGCACAGAGAACTCATGGTTCTCCCTGAGGTTTCTCCCTTGCAATGACAACTAAATCCAACTTGTTGAACCACAGGCATGTTCCTGGTGGTCTTTGGTGCAGAGTATTGACCACTCTTAGCTAAAAAAGAACAGACTTCTTCAGATAGACCACCTGGGTTCGAATCCCAGCTCTGCCACTTCCTCCCCACCATGTACTTCCTAGGCCAAGTTATGAAACTTCACTGGGCCTCAATTTTCTCATTTGCTCATTTGTAATATGGTAATGAGGGAATTTTATCTACTGCTTTCAGTTTTTTTTTTGAAAGTTATAAAGTAATACATAGAAAGTTTATATAACATAACATTTAAAACACACACCAATCAAATCAATCCTACTTAAATTGATAACCAAAGCCATCACTGTGGATAATAAAGCGTTTGTTAATTGTCTGCTGCCTACCTTTTTAGCCTCAAAGTACCTCAGTTTTCTCCTCTATAATAGGAGGATGATAGTATCAATAATAATAGAAGGATAATGACATCAAATCAATAGTATTACAAAGATTAGGTAAATTTCACAACTACACTGGGCTGGGTCTTTGGAATACCTCTCACCTTCAGCACTTAGTAGGCACACGACAGATGTTACTTTACCTCCCTGATCTGAGCAAACAATTAACTCTTTCAGTCCCCTTTTCATCTCTTCTGTAAAATCATGGGATTAAATTAACTGTGTTCTGTGTAGTACCCCCTGTAGATGCTTCGAGGGTTCTGCAAAATTTTAATTTGTATTGTAAACATGTATTTGAGGAGAAAAAAATTTCTAATTTCGTAGATGCTCTGACTGATACAAGGCTGTGATTGTCATTCACAACCCCTGGAATCCATATGGAAAACACAGTCCCTTAGCAGTGTCTCACACCAAATAGAAAATCAGGAGATACTTGTTGAACAAATGAAGTACTGATTTCAAATTTTTGAGTTTTAAATGTGTTTCATCAAAATGACCTCACATATTAATATCATACTAAACAAATGTTATTATACTTGGATTTGTAAGTTTATCCTATTAAAATGTTAATTTTTGTGAAGTATACATTTATTGTCAGAAAAGGTATGTAAAATGTTAATTTAATACGTTTTATATATTGGGATTCTAAGTCTTTTTTCTGGAAAAAAAAAGCATCTATAGCTATAAAAGTTAACATGCAACTTGACTAGATCATCTCTAAGCATCTTCTGATTCAGGATGCAGAATCACATAATTTCAACATGGATGTTGTATACTATACAAGTGGGCAATTACTGCTTTTTAAATAAGTGGGTTGTTCTCTTAGGTAGAAAACAAAAATTTCCTTTTGGAAAAAAAATACCACCATCCTGTATTACTGACAGATACCAAGAAACACATAAACACACACACATATCAGAGCCAGTGAATACACCCATGACTGCTGTTGGCCTCCTGAATCTGCGTGCAGTGAATTATACTTGCAGTGCTGGGCTATTACTTTTAGATACACTAGTAACAAGCCCTTCAGATGATTACACTCTCTCCTGCCTGAATAATGTGATCAAGTTATACTGAATCATTTTACTCTTTACAATCAAAACTCTGCCTGGAAAATATTCAACAGGGCATTGTTCAGCATCCTTCTGATTACAGTAGCTGAGACGCTGAAATACCTTGAACATAGACTGTACAAAAGGCGGTCATGATAACAGAAATTGGCTTGGAAGAAACTTGGATAATCACCTCCAAAACGTGGAAATCATCAAAGCACTTTAAAGACACAGAAGTGATCCAAGGCACTACTATTGCATAAATAACGAAACAGGTCCAAAGAGAGTACATAATTTCTTCATCCTCAATTACCAAAGCAATAAATATACTAGGCCACAATCTTGGTCTCAACCTCTCCTATTACATCATATGTATTCAATATACTTTATTTTAATTTAGATCTAGTTGAATTGCAATCTAGTGCAGAAAATGTTTTATTTCCAGGAATGTGGTAGACAAATAATCTCAATGTCTGTCCTACTAAAAATAACCAAAATGCCTATAAATACTTTAAAATCTTCTTAAATGCAAAGATAATCTAGCAAGAAAATAAGGAATACTGAGGGTAAAACCTAAATGAACACAAGTAGAACACTGAAGCCAGTATTCAACCTAAGGGCAATTATTTGTGGAAATTGACCATTGGTTTTTACGTTCCTGCTGAACTCAAAAGACCATATTCAGGGACACCAAAGGTTTTATGCTGGACCCACCCCATAAAGCCATAACCCAAAGAACTATACCTTCAGTAAATAGGTAAATGTGGGGGAAATGTGCTATTAGGGGGCTTCAAGGAAGGTTATCTTGCTGAAATATTGTCACCAAGAAAATTAAATGACCAGAATTTATAGCTCAAAAGCTAGCCGTCAGGTGAGCTCATTGTCTGAAGCAAATAAAATTCGTTCTAGGGATAATTTGCTCTTAACCAAAGCTTTAAAAAATTTCCACTGGTAATATATCACACAAAAAAAAATATCGTAACAAGAACTCACTTGAACATACAAAATTTAAAAAGAAAGAAATTAGAAAAAACTCAAATGTCACTTGACAGGTGAGTGGATAAACAAATTGTGGTATAACCAAACAATAGAATACTATGCAGCAATAAAAAAGAACAAACAAGTAATAGATTCGACAACTTGAATGAATCTCAAATCCGTTATACTACTGAAAGAAGCCAGTCTCACAAGGTTTACATTCTATTTGATTTCATTTATACAGCATTCTGGGAAAAAGTATAATGACAAAACACGTAAGTGACTGCCAGGGCTTAGAGGTAAATAACTTACTGAGTGATTTTGCTGAGAAAGAACTTTCTATTCATCCAAGCTACTGACTGGACTCTACTACTCCATGAAGTAATGAGATTCCTGTCATTAGGGGTATCTAAAGCCCTGACTAGATAATAATATATCAGAGATATTATAGAAGGAATTCATGTTTTGCAGTTTGGACGGATACCCTCTAAATAATTTATTCTACCCCTGAGGGACTCTATGTGTAAGATAAAGCCTGGTTTGCACAGAAGTATACCTGGCCACGGCTAACATTAAATAAATACAGTTCCTGCACTTCTGTCATTGACGGCTCATGGAAAAACTCTCAACAAATAAGTACTTCACAAAATTGTGTGCCATCAACAAATTTGGAGTGATAACTGATATGATTTGGCTTTGTGTCCCCACCCAAATCTCATCTCGAATTGTAACCCCCACATGTCAAGGGAAGTGATGGAATCATGCAGGCAGTTTCCCCCAGGCTGTTCTCGTGCTACTGAGTCCTCACAAGATCTGACGGTTTTATGTGTTTGACAGTTCCTCCTTCGCAAACTCACTCTATGCTGCCACCTTGTGAGAAAGGTGCCTGCTTTCCCTTCCACCTTGATTGTAAGTTTCCTGAGATCTCCCTCATCTTGTGGAACTGTGAGTCAATTAAACTTCTTTTCCTTATAAATTACATAGTCTCGGTCAATTCTTTTTTTTTTTTTTTTTTGAGACTGAATCTTACTCTGTCACCAGGCTGAGGTGCAGTGGCACTCTGCCAATTCTTTATAGCAGCTTGAGAACAGACTAATACAATAACCTTATGGTAACTATTATACTAAGCTTACTTAAGGAGACAGAAACCTAAGACATATTCATCACACTCTAGAAGTTGAAAATATTGCTGGAAAGAGCAGTCATTAATACCTGAAAAGTTAAATAACATACAAGAGCTAAATAGTAATGCATGGTAGCAATACAAGAAAGACAACGGGTAAAACATGTCTAAATGCCAAATCAGGTTTATAGGTAGCAAAGTCTATGGAGGAGGGGAGCTACTGGATGTCTTTCTTCTGTGTGCCCCCCAGGTTCCCTCTGTATCCTGTCTCCCCAAGCTGTGTGCCTACAAGGTTAGTGCATATGGATACACTGACAGACTCTCTTTTTTCTAGATTGTAATTGGATTCAGTCAATAGGGGGCCCAGTAAGAGATCAAGAGGGTGGGATGAGTCAGGTGAGGGTATTTATTTCCCCTATTCCCTTCCTTCCTATTCACTGAAGGCTCCCATTAGGAATCCATCTCTACAGCTCCCTCTCAAAGTTGTGGTCATCACTCACTCCACTTTCCCTTTTGGTCTAGGGATGGTAATAGTTCCCAGTTATTGCTAGTCTCAGGGTGCTTCACCATCCTCTTTTGGTGTTTCTTAACCCTAGTCCCACCTTTCAAATAGTCTATTTAATTATCTTCAAATTACTCCATTTGATTTTGCCATTTGTTGGAGCCTGGATTGATGCTGTGGGGAAGGGAGGGCTTACTCTGTGCATCATAATGATCAGGAGAAGCCTTATGGGCTGGAGCAAGGGTTTGAAGGATGGGTAGAAAATAGACATTACTGTATCTATAAGGTTTGTCCAATGGCTACTGATTACATTATGCATGGAAAGGGATTCGAGATACACACAGTGATGGAGAAGCACGTGGCCTACTGAGGGTAGAGTGGGCCCAGCTGATTTCAATGGGAATGATGGATGTATGTGTTTGTGCATGTAGTTGGGAGAGGAAGAACACATTCATACATTCAAACAGTATTTATTAAGCTCATAATATAAGACACGCATTGTGCTAAGTTCTTGGAAAACAATGGGGAGCAAAACACACTTTTCCAGAGTGTATCAGTTATTCATTGCTGCATAACAAAAAATCCTAAAACTTAGCAGCTTAAAACAACAATATGTTCGTTGTTATCACACACTCTTTGAGTCAAGAATTCAAGAGTGGTTTAGCTGGGCAGTTCTAATTCCAGTTTCTCATGAGGTTTCAGTCCAAACATCAGCTAGGCTATGTTCAACTGAAGGCTTGGAGCTGGAAAATCTGGTTCTAGGATGGCTCACACACATGGCAGACAAGTTTATTCTGGATGTTGTCAGGAAGTCTTGTATCATGGACTTCTCTATGGGACTGCCTTCCTAACATGGCAGCTGGCTTACCACAGTGAGTGACCCAAAAAAGAGCAAGGTGGAAGCCGTAATGTCTTTTATAACTTAACCTCAGAGGTTATAGTCTGCCATTTCCCCCAATATTCGATTGGTCAAACAGGCTGACCCTACTCAGTGCAGGAGGGGACTAAACATGCACGTGACTTTCAAAAGAGAAGAATCAGTGGGGGTCATCATGGAGACTGGCTACAGCATGGTCATCTAGCAGAAGAATCTGATTGAACCTGGAGGTAGAAATGTGGAGATACTCAACAGTCACAAGGCAAGTCAAGGACACCTGACCCAGAACCATTGGCTCTGGACAAGTTTAATTCTCGTACAAACACCACATTTCCACATGGAATCTCCTATCAGCTAAAGTTTCCATGGCAAGGAGCAGGATAATCGTCAGAATTCTCAGTGCATCTTTTTATCTCACTTTTGCCTTCCTACCTTTCCCTCCATGTTTCCTTTGTTTTGCCCCAGTTCAGACCTATTTATATCCTCCCTCTAGTTAATGGGCACAATCTCCTCATTTTCTAATTTCCCCATGATGATTCTAGTTAAACTGAGAAAAAAATCAACAAAAATAATCAATGCATGTAGAATATAATTTCAGTCTCCCTACTTGGAAAATAAAAACAACTAGGTGCCATTCTAGACAATAATGAGAATGCCAAGAACCAGCCATTTGGGCCTCTTAAGTCAAGTCAGATAATAGAATTGAACTCCAGGTGCAGAGACACCTGGAAGGGGTCTCCAGCAGGCCCGTAGCTGCCAAAGTCCCAGTCTCAGATCGAAGTAAGCCCCTAAATTGGAGGAAAAACACAGAAGCTCAAGTCTCCTTGATGCTCACAAATGGTCTTCTGTGCTTACTTCCCCTATAGAACTGAGAGGCAAGGCACAGCCTAATGAGTCCAGTGACTGTTGGGGTCAATAATTCTCACTGGGGAGAGAAAGTCTCTTGAAGATATATTGAAATCCCAGGAGGGTGAAGTCTAGACCAGCCCCCCAACTGATGGATACCCAACATTTACAATTTCTTACAATTTAAATAAGCTCATTTAAAATTACTATAAATCCAGAACCTATAAAAGAATAGACATGTTGATTCTTCTACTCAGCTCAGAAAAAAAAAAAAAAAACTGCAATGCAGAAGAAAGAACACAGGAATTAGGACCTGAGAGACTGAATTGTAGTCCCAACTCTGCCACTTGTTAGATACCTTTACTGAATAAATCCCTTCCCCTCCCTCAGGCTCAATTCTCTCATCTCTGCAATGAGGGGGTGACCTGGGGTAATTTCTAATTATCTCCCCGGTGGCCTTAAGACTGCATGCATCTCTAAGCATGTAACTAACAAATTAGGGATCTCTCACCCTTAGAAAGATACATACTGCCAGAAAATTGTTTTGCTTTTTAATGAAGTAGGGGTATAAGGAGGCTGTCCAACTCTCTCTTGTGGTCAGGGTATATAGGCACATATTTGGAGGAGGAAGAGGAATCAGGGGGAGGGTGGATTTTCAAAACAAACAATGAAAGGTCAGTTTATCAATCCCAAACCTAGTGTGGTATATTAGTTTATTATTCAAGAATATTTACTTCCCCCCATTTCCACTCCATGGAAGGAATAATCCTCCTTTTGCTTTGTCTTTGCACTGGACCTGCTGACTTGCTTTAACCAACGGGTTGTTTGCAGACATAACTGCAAAGGAGTGGCTGGAAAACTTCTTGCGCAGTTGGATGTGCCCTCTTGTCCTTCCACCACTGTGTAAGAAGAGCTTCCTCTAGGAGCTGCTGCTCCTTTAGCCTGGGCGTCAGAATGTTTCATTCTGAGGAGACCCAAGTCACCAGACCCACAGCATAAAGCAGGGTTGCTCCAACCAACCTGTAGATAGGTAAGACTAAATGATCACTGCTTTAAGCTCTCATGGGATTATTACCCAGAAAAAGCTAGTTGATATACCTGGTTATGTGTAAGAATCACATGATAACGTTTTAATGAGATTCCAGGGCTCAAACTCTGAATCTACTACCCTAGACTCTCTCCAAAGGTGGAACCCAAGAAACAAATATCTCTCCCTATGTGATTCTGATACAGCCAGTCCCCACACTATGCTTAGTAACAACTGCTTTAGAACAGTCCTTCTCAATGGATAGCCCACAAATCACCTGCCTCCAAACTACCAAGAGAGTTCATAAAAACATTAAATTCTCAAGCCCCTTTCCATACCTAATCAATCATAGTTTCTGGACCTGAACACAGGTAGCTTTAGCTTGCACGAGCTCTCCAGGTGAATCTAATACATACTGATCTGACAACCAGGGCTCTTATACTATGATTCTCAAATTAGCATGCATCAAAATCAGCAGCAGCGCTTGTTAAAACACAGACTTCTGAGCTCCAACCCCTGAGTTGCTGTTGCAGAGAGTCTGAGGTGGGCCTGAGAATATGGATTCCTAACAGGATCCCAGGTGATACTGATGCTGCTGGTCTGGACATCACACATTGAGAACCACTGGTACATATCTGATTCACAATCTGAGCTGCACCTTGGAGTCACCAAGAGAACTTAAAAATACAAATAACAGATTCTCACTCCACATATTCTGATGTAGTTAGTTTGGGGTGTAGCTTGGGCATAGGAATTTTCCAAAGCTAGCCCAGGTGGTTTTCTTTTTTCTTTTTTTTTCTTTTTTTGAGATGAAGTCTTGCTCAGTTGGCCAGGCTGGAAGGCAGTGGCGTGATCTCAGCTCACTGCCACCTCCACCTCCTGGGTTCAAGCAATTCTCTTGCCTCAGGCTCCCAAGAAGGTGGGATTACAGGCACATGCCACCACACCCGGCTCATTTTAGTATTTTTAGTAGAGACAGGGTTTCACCATGTTGGCCAGGCTGGTCTCAAACTCCTGATCTCATGATCCACCCACCTTGGCCTCCCAAAATGCTGGGATTACCAGCACGAGCCACCGCACCCGGCCCCTCAGGTGATTTTCACTACTGTCAATGTGAGATCCACTGGTGTTGACCTTATCCTGAAGTCTATCATGGTTACTGTCCAGCGAACTTGCTCACTGCCATCCCACGCAGAAAGGGCTTCCAGGAAACAGCTGGTGAGTGTTCAGGTTTTCACACTGGACTTGAACACCTTAAAGTTTCAGGGGTATTGCATCAGATCTCCAGCTATAGTTACCTCCTCCCACTTCAATAAGAGCAGCTCCTCTTTCATCATTTCCTATATTGTTCTTTCTCCTAAGGTTTCATTTGAAGAAAGAGTCCCTTGGCTAAAAAAAAAAAAAATTTGAAAACCACTAATACAAGGAAAAGGACACTAAGCTGAAAATCAGCAGGCCTTGCTTCTAGCAATGTAATAATTTAACCTCTCTGAGCTTCAGCTTCTCACTTGATCATCTCTAAGAACAACAGATAACGTTTGTATAGTAATTTGAAGTTATAAATGACAGTTGGCAGTAATATACACTAGTTGACAATTTGCTTCACATGATCATTACAACCCTGGGAGATCAAAGATATTAAAGACTATTTTATAGACGGGTGTCTCAGTCCATTTTGTGCCACTGTAATAGGATATCACAGATGAGATAATTGACAAACAGTAGAAATTTCTCATGGTACTGGAGGTGGAAAGCTCAAGATCTAGGTACTGGCAGGTTTGCGTCTGATGAGAGCTCAGTGTTTACTTTGAAGACGTCACCTTAAACACAGCATCCTTCAGATGGGAGGAACTCTGTTCCTTCAGGGCAGAAGAGCAGAATAGCAAGGAGAGAGAACCCACTCTCCAAAGCCCTTTTTTAAAGGCATTAAACCCACCAATGAGACCAGAGCCCTCCTGGCCTAATCACTACTTAAAGGCACCACCTCTTAATACTCTTACGATGGCAATTAAACTTCAACCTGAGTTTTGAAGGAGACAAACATTCAAATCACAGCAACGGAAAAAACCACAGGTTGAATAACACCTCTAAATTCATCCAGCAAAGGCAATACTCAATCCCACATCTTCTGAATCCAAATTCTGATTCATTTTACATCACGACGCTGCCTTTAATGTCTCCTCTTTCATAATCGACCTGAATCTCTGCTTTATTTTCTTTTCCTCTGTCTACAAAAGGGGAGCAATTATCTTTAGGCCCAACACCTCCATAATAATCAGGGATTCATCTCATCTAGGGGTAAGGATGAAGGGGTAATTTAAAGACAGCGATGCTGAAAGCATGGTCCCCTAACCAGCAGCATTTCATCACCTGGGAACTTGTTGGAAACACCAACTTTCAGGCCTCACCCCAGACATACTGCATCAGAATCCTGGGAGGAGAGCCCCAGCAATCTATGCTTTAACAAGCCTCCAAGTGACACTGATGCATGGTCAAGTTTGAGATCTACTGGTTAAGGCTCTCTAATGCAATGTGTGAAAGTTTTGTCAGCCAGAAACATAGTGGCATAACTAGTGGTGAGGAAGAAGGCTCATATGAGCTAACTGTCAAATTTTCAAGAATTTTTCAAGCTTCTTAGAAATATTTACACCATGGAAATTTGCAAACATTACAGTGGAAAACTGGAAACACTACAAATCAGAGGACCATTCTCCCCATAGAGCCTGTTTACCAGCACACAATTACAATAATACCCTGATCATAGATCTCAATTCTCATAAGTGGCTTCAGCCTTATTTCTAAGGTCAAGAGTCCACCTTGAGGGGAATAGGCCGTGTCTTGATTATGCCAGGTGCTCCCATCTGTCACATCTACCAGGAACTAGAAAATGCACAGTCAATTTTGCCGAAAAATTTTACTAGTTTGCCATTGTTTTTAGAATGTAATATAAATATCTCAACAGGAATAAGCGATCCTGCATGCCTCTATTTTCCACTCTAGTCTCATCTGTAACCACCCTCCTCTCCTGCCTGGTCTATACTATGCTCCAACTCCAACCATACTGTAAATCATTTCTCATCCCCCTCCACCATCCCTACCTTTGGTTCATTGCATATGTTATTTCTGCAGCCTGGAAAACCTTCCACTCTCCCACCCTACTCACTCTTTAGGTCTGAGCTCAGTCACAATCCCCTCCAGGAAGTCTACCTTCACAACTCTTCCTTCCCAATCCTTCCCCTGCCTACTCCCCACCCCCAGCTTAGGATGGGTTATGACACGTATTTCCTCTGTTCTCACACAGCACCTTCTAATATCCTCATCAAGGTACTTACCACCTATGTAACCGGCGACTGGCTCCTTGTCTCTCTGCAACTATACACCCCTAAAAGCACCAATGTTTCAGTCATTATAGAACCATCGGCACCTACTACTGTTGTAGGTTTGTAGTAGATATTCAATAAGTATTTATTTGAATTAATAAATATCTTCTCTGGTTCTGATAATTCATCTGCCTAAATGTCCAAATGCTGACACTTCTAGACTCCCCAGAGTCATGCTATACCAACTTTTATTCACCATTTTGGATTTTCCAGATATGAATAACCACTAGGTAATCATTGCCATCCCCACCCAGATTCAGCCTGCTAGTGATTTTTTTTCTTTCCAAAGTATACAGGTGAATGAACAAATATTTCTATTGTAACATAAAGCAATCTGTCCCTGACCCCCGTGTCTGACTTTGATCCCATTAATCTCTCCATACTTGCCCTCAAAATCAGGATGTCATTAAGATATAAAACATTATGATGTGTGTATGCCTTATTACCTACACATTTAGCTCCTATGCATATACCAAACAAAATTATGTACAGTTATTCACCAAAAAACACATGCTAGAATGAAAATAGCATCCCTATTCCTAATAGTCCCAAACTAGTAACAATTTGAATGTCCATCAATGGTAGAATACATAATAACACAGTAGGGACATTGAAGTACAGCTACCTACAACAAGATGCATGAAACCGTGATGCAGGGCAAAAGAAATCAAACATATTTTGGTTTGAAACAGTAATATTGACCATTTTGTGTTTTGGAAAAAAAGAAGCTAAACATAAATGAGTACATACTATATATAGGCCCATTTATAAAGTTTCAAACACAGGTTAAACAAATCTATGGCATCAGCACTTGAGACAGCAGAAGGTGACAGGAAGGAGGTATAAAAGAGCTTCTGGGAAGCTGGTAAATGTCTGTTTCTTGATCTGGAGTCTGGCTACACTGTAATTCTGAAAAACCCCTCATTATTCAATTGCTAATTCACTGATAATTTGTGCACTTCTCTGTACATACATTATTCTTCAATAACAAGTTGTCATTTAAAAAGTCAAACTATCTAAAGCATTGTGGTGGACGTGGTGTGGCAAAACAAAAGTATCAGGCATGCATTCTCTCGTTGTTAGAATGTTGGGGGAGAGTTCACACATGTGCATCTGTAAGCCAAACTAGCAAAACAGACTGTGAATGACAGGGACATGGGCTCACAGGGGTGTGGTAAAGCTGGCCTTCATGAGCCAATGCTACACATCTCTTCCCTACTCTGTATTCAGTGACATCAAATTGATAGTTTGAAATCAGCCACAATGATAATATTTACACCATAGAAATTGGCAAATGCTACAAATCATGGCTGCCAACCCCACTTCCTCCTAAGGAGAGTTGATTGCTAAACATGTACCAGCACACCAGTAGCTACAGAAACCTAAATTATTATGGGAACTAGTGTGAGCACCAATATCTCAGTCTTAGTCACATCACAGTTCAGTGACAAATGCACACCTAAAAAAAAAAAAAAAGTTGGACCAGATGCGGTGGCTTACCCTATAATCCCAGTACTTTGGCAGGCAGAGGCAGGAGAATTACTTGAACCCAGGAGTTTGAGATCAGCCTGGGCAACACGGTGAGATCCTGTCTCTACTACAAACAAACAAACAAACAAAAAAAAAGAGTCTAGAATCAATTTTTTGGAACAAGGTAATAAAAACAAAACTGACCCAAAACTCTTGCTCCTGGGTGCATCACCCTGCTGCCCCCCAAGTGGTAAATAAACTCTTGCATGCTTTTCTGGAGATGGGGTTCACCTCAACAAATTCCAGGCACTGCACCCAGCCCTTGGTTTAGTTTAGGATGCCTTTAACTGAATACCATTAATTCTATAAATTCTGGAAATTACAGGGAGGTACGATTGATAGACTATATTAACATAAGAAGCATCAAAATTTATCTTGCCAGAATATGCAGTATTGGAAACAAAATATTGTCGAGAGAATAAAGAAGTTGGTAAATCATGATATTGGTGCAAGCCATACTCAGTAATCCAGTCTGGCCCAGCCTGCTATCTACAAACTTACGAGAAAGCCTGTGGAATTTCAGAAATCTTACAACCTTGTAAATAATGCATCTTGTTTTGTGAGAATCATGCAGTGAATAATACATCAGACACAGGGGATCTGAAATTCAGAACAAAGAATGGGACTGGGGAGAATTTCAGGTGACCTGAACTGTGTGCTTAAAACTATGCAAT
The DNA here is from genome assembly GCF_000001405.40 of Homo sapiens. Classification (NCBI taxonomy): domain Eukaryota; kingdom Metazoa; phylum Chordata; class Mammalia; order Primates; family Hominidae; genus Homo; species Homo sapiens. The sequence goes on along the minus strand of NC_000003.12, from coordinate 5,559,546 downwards.
ATTACTAACATTAACACTGCCTAAGTACATAGTGTGTTTTTCACAGAAGAAGTAAATGAAAGAAAGAGAAAGAGGTAGAGGAAATAGCTCTAATTTTTTTTTGGCACTAAAACAGCAACATTTCCATTTTAGAATTATACATGACAAAATGCAAAGGAAAGCATTGTTGTGAAGTATTTAATCCCTTAGACAGAAGGCTATTAAAGAAGCTGGGAACATTAATTTGTTGATCTTCATGGTGCCTGGAGGTGTTAGTGAAAGCAATCTACAGCCAGCATATGGTGGAAAAGCAGAGGAAAGTTAAAGTGGCCTCCAAGCACTTTGAGCCAACCTCAGTTCTCAAAATGTTCCCAGACATCCAAGCCCCAGGGCCCAGCTCAAACCACAATCTGGTGTTCCTTTCACTCTTCAAGGTGCATTAAATTTTAGAAGATACTGCACTTTTTTTTTTTTTTAACGGACAAGGAACCAAACTAGGAAAAAGAAAAGGAACAATGTTGCTGTGATTTCTGTAGCCAACTGTAGAAAGGAAACATTCCTAAACTGTATTTGGAGACACCAAGCTGAATGGGCGTGACGGATTACTGTAGATATTTTTATACGCTGCCTGGCAGCCCTCATTTGACTTCTTACAGGCTTAGCCTCTGGCCACAGAAGTGGCACATGACCCGGGTCTGGCCAATCACAGCACCCCATTACCCTGAATAAAACGATTGACTAAGGACAGGGGCTTATCAACAAGGCAGAACCAACAAGAAAAAGAGTCCTTCCTTGAACTAGTAAACAGACATGGCAGGGGGGCAGTTGGGAAAAAGTATCTTTCTATGGACTTCACTAAACTGAGGGCATGGGCATCTGGAACTGTGTGTGGCAGGTGGGGAAATGTTTTATCCAGAAGCCCACCTAGTGGGAAAGAGAGGAAAGAAATAGAGAGAGATGGAGCCCAATGTTTGAGTCCCTGGATCCAGCCACAGCAGAAAGCTAAAACGTTCCCCAGACTTCCCAGTTGTTACACGAGCTCAAAATTCACTCAAGGTCTTTTGAGGTTTTGTTTTGGCATCAGGTGCAATGAAAAAAAACCTTAAAAAATAAACTGGGGACAGAAGTATAAACGGGTCTATTCTATCTGGATACTGGCTTATCAGCCTTGAGCCTGGGAAAAAGAAGTGAATTATCAAATGGTAAATTATGATCAGCTATGAAAAATCCCAAGTAAAATTATAAAGGAAAGGCCAGAGCCTACCTAGAATGCAACTTCTATCATTCTTGAAAGGAAGGGAATCTGCTTTATGTTTATCAACCCCTTCTTTACAGATCAGGATCCTGAATCCTCTAGATATGAAACATGATTTACGTTCTAGATTCTCCTAAACAGAGAGTAATACAAAAGTAGCTTGCACCTGTAGAGTGTGAGGGAGGGAGAAAGAAACATGAACAGCAAGAGCTTGCAACTTCTAAGTAATCTCAATAGACCATGACCTAGAAGCTTCTGAGAGTGTGTCTCACCTGGTATTTTAACTCATCCACTTGACCAGATGGAATTTGGTACAGACATGCTCTAGGCAGAGCCTGAATCCAGTGCCCATGTCATATCTTGCTGTTAGAGACATAAGCCAACAGAAGAATACCATCTATGAGAACTCTGGTTCTCTCTGGCCCTGGGTTTGTCCATTACTAAGGAAGCAACAGCCACAGAGAATGGATTTTGGACAGATCCATGATGCCAAGGGTATATGGCCTATGGTCATCTCACTAAATAAAAGTCATTTAATGACTTTAAACACAGCTTTTCCAGAAAATACATGAATGCAATCTTCTCCCCAAAAGGTGGACTTCATATATAAAGAATATTTTTCTCCAACTTGACAAACTTCTGAAAGTTGACTAAAATATGGCCTTGGAAATCTGGAAATTGCTCTGCATATGGTCTTGGAAACCATTATTAGCCCTTGTATACAAAGATAGTGGTAAGTTAGGTGAAGAGAAACGTACTACCATGACCTAGTAATTGCATGGCCAGTAAAGTTGTTTGCAAATTTGTAAGGCATTTCTCAAATATAGATTCAAGTCAGATTAAGCAAAAGCCCAACATTCCTTGCCAACGAAGATTTATAAGAAATAGAAATAACAAAATTGCAGCCCAAAATCCAACCCAAGTCACCGGATCTGAAAGAAGAAAAGAGAGGTAGGGTCTCATGTTTCAAACTTTCAAATCCTTGGTATGCCCAATCTAGAGACATCGATCTGAATTTGGGCTGACTTGATTATTAAATTGAGGCAATATTTTACTGTAGCAATCATGGATACTGTACCCCCCACCTCAAGTTGCACAGATTTTGCTAAGAAAGCTGAGAAAGTTCAGTGTTTGTGATTGAAGCCCATCAGTTTTAAAAATATTCAAAACTAGATGTCTGCCATAGAAATCTTTGCTATTTGTGGACTCACACTCTAGTGTGACACCATGGTTTTCTGAAGTAGGATACGAAATAGATGAGAAGTTATTAGCAATATTAATGAGTAGAATGCTGTGAGTTTTCTTGAATTTTTCAACCTGTATTTTGGAGCAAAGGCAATATTACTTCCAATTTTATTCTGGACTTCAATACTCTGCATCTCCAGGTCTCCTAACAGCATCATGCATGACTGTTCAAACGAGTGGAGGACTAGACTTTCAGGTGGATAATGTTGCCAGGGAAACTGCCTACCTACCACCTCAATATGTCTATCTCAGGTAAAACAGACAGTTCTGCTGCATGCATGACTCCCTTGTCCATAACAAAACAGAGCTGGAAAACTGCCTTCAGAAATTTTATAGTCGCAAAGTCCTGTAGAGAAGATAAGGTCTTTAAAATTCATATAAAACATTACATCCATCCTGTCAGACATGTTCTAGAATCCTACAGAATAGATTACATCTGCAGGGTGGGAGGGAGGGGAGAAGAAAGATGAACAGCCAGGGCTGGCAACTTCGAAGAGACCTCTATAGACGTGACCTTGATGCTGTGGAGCCTGAGTCCCATCTGGTGTGTTAACCCATCCACTCAACCAGACAGAATGAAAAACAACCTTCTAAAGTGATGGAAATGACAGGAAGTTATTTTGTCCTTTCCCCCCACTTATAATGGAATTTTAATATGGAATAGTTGTTTCTTTTTCAAATAGAGCAGAGACCCCAGTAGATAGTTTTGATTTTTCAAACATCCAGGGTCACTTCCATCATTCAACTGGATTTTGTGGCTTGCCTTCTCTGGATAATGGAAATCTGTTCTAGTCCTTTTTCATCACCTGTGTCTGCTCTTCCTGTTTAATTTGGGAAAGTCTGTTGGAGCAGTTAAAAAGAAAGACAATACTGAGAGCACCTAGGTTTGAACCCCCAGCTCTGGCACTTCTTTGCTGTGAATTTAAGACATTTATTCTCACTTAACCTCCTCATCTGTAAAATTGGGATATCCACAGTAGTTTCATAGATTTATCTAGAGGTGCATATGAGACTATGTGAATATTTCTATGTGATTACTTAAACATGAGCATTTTTTAAATTATACCTATTTTATTTTCAAAGTTGAAAATAAGTCAATTGAAATGTGTTTTAAAGGAAAAATTAGAGGCCCAGGGTCAACTGAGTGAGGAAAGGCACAAATAGTTTAATAAATAACCCGTACGTCATTCTTTTTAATGCTCTCTGCAGCTCTATGAGGTAAAGTTTATTGCCCTCATTTTACAGAAGGAGACACTCAGGTTCTGAAGGCTAAATACTTGACCCTAAATAATGTAACTAATGAGTAGAAAAATCAGGATTTGAACCCAGGGCTGTCTCAACCAAGGCCGAATATATTTTCTCAAGAGGAAAAAGAATCAGCTGTATTAAAAAAACAAAAAACAAAAAATGAGAAGATTAGGGCATCAACCAGACTGACAGGTCAATAGATGGATCCACTAGAAATATTCCAGTGGCAAATGACAGAAAGCAGAACCTCTACTGGTTGAGTAAAAAAAGAAATTATTGTCTTCTCTAAACCACAATTGAATGTGATATTTGCTTCAGTCATAGCAAGATATGGAGGATCAAATGATGTCACCAGAATTATCTCTGTATCTCCTCATTTTCCTCTGAGTTGGCTCCATTCACAAACAAAATTTCCTCTCACAGTAAGAAGATGGGTCACACAGCTACAGCCCTTACATTTCGTCAGCTTCAAAGACAAAGGGAAGAGCAAGTCTACTGCTCTGAAGTCCTAGCAAAGTTCTTCTTACTGGATCTCAGTTTAGGCTGCTATAAAAGAAATACCATAGATGGCATGGCTTAAACAACAGAAATTTATTTCTCATAGCTCTGGAGACTGGGAAGTCCAAGATTAAGGAGCCTACAGATTGAGTGTCTGGTGAGGGCCCACTTACTGGTTTGTGGATAACGATCTTCTTGCTGTATACTCACACAGGAAAGAGGGGAGTGGGGGGAAGGTCCCGTATCTCTTTGTCATTGTATAGCAACACAAATCCCATTAACAAGGGCTCCACCCTCATGCCCTACCCAATTACCTCCTAATGGCCCCAGCTCCAAGTATTAGGCTTTCAACATATGAATTGGGGGGTGGGTGGGGACAAACATTCAGATAGCAGTCAGATACATGCCAAAGGTTAGAAACTTTAGTAAGTCATTTAATGGACTCCAAGTAAGGAGCTGATATTTTTAAGATGGAGAGCCACAAAATTACAAGGCATGTATTAAAGAGATTGAAGAAATGAGTGACATATTTGGATTATTCTGTTTTTTTAAGTTCAGAGGTACAAGTGCAGATTTGGTACATAGGTAAGCTTTGGTCATAGGGGTTGGTTGAATAGATTATTTCCTTACCCAGGTATTAAGCCTACTAACCACTAGTTATTTTCCCTGATCCTTTCCCTCCTCCCAGCCTTCACCCTCTATAAGACCCCTGTGTGTGTTATTTCCCTCTATGTGTCCATGTGTTCTTATCATTTAGCTCCTACTTATAACTGACAATATGTGGTATTTGGTTTTCTGTTCCTGTGTCAGTTTGATAAGGATAATGGCCTCCAGCTCCATCTATGTCCTTGCAAAGAACATAATCTCATTCTTTTTATGGCTGCATAGTATTTCATGGCATATGTATACCACATTTTCTTTATGTAGTCTATCATGAATGGGCATTAGGTCTATTCCATGTCATTGCTATTGTGAATAGTGCTGCAGTGAACATACACATGCATTTGTCTTTGTAATAGAATAATTTCTATTCTTTTGGATATATACCCAGAAATGGGATTGCTGGGTCTAATGGTATTTCTGTCTTTAGGTCTTTGAGGAATTGCCACAATGTCTTCCAAAATGGTGTCCATTCTGTTTTGAGGCATGAAGACCCCTAAAGATTATCAATGGGCCACAGCCCATACTTCAAAATCATAGCTCTAGGTCACATTAAGTTCACCACTAGGACTAGTAACCTAAAACAAAAAGCAACAAAAAAAGACTCAGTCCACCTTCTTTAGCCCATTTCAAAAAAAAAAAAGAAAAAATGCAAAATTGAGCTGATGTATGACATCCTACACATTTTTAAGGTCTGAGGGAAAGGACCCTTCTGAGAGTGAATGAGTATCTGTAGGTCTCCCCGATTCTCACATTTTTCAATTTCCAGAGTTTTGTTTCTTTTTCTTTACCTGTACCACCCTCCTCTACCTTCCCTTTATGTAAAAGTCCACCACATTTCTAGACCAAACCCTCAAAAGAGAGAATAGATAACTGATTGGAAGCAAGAATAAATCATTTTCAGTAGGCTCTTTCCTCTCTGGAACTTATGCTATTCCCTACACTAATCTTCAAGATTTACAGGAGAACATCCAGGATGAAGTCCACAGCCTCCAACCCATGAACCACAGCAACAGCCTACTCACCTGCCTGCACCATCAGAAGGCCACCTGTCTTCTACCATCCCACCAGACAGAACATACCCTATACAACACTGTAGCAACCGTGCCCTCATTTAAACAGGCCTGGCCCATTTTGGTGACAAGACTGATCTGCAGGAATCTGTGTCTTCATAGTATTACTATCCCAGCCAATGGGAATGCTTTAGTCTTCACTGAGAGAGAACGAGTAAGCAAGAGAAAGCGAGAGAGAGTGAGTGAGAGAGAGCGAGCGAAAGTGAGAGCGAGCGAGCGAGAGAGAGTGCACACACACACACTCTGATCAAGATAAAAATCTCTTGATGTGTGGTCCACTGCATTCCCTCAAGGGGGATGATCTTAATCATTTTGAAAGCCACCAACCTCTTTGAGAATGTTTTGAAAGCTTGGGCTTCTTCTGAGAAAAAGCCACATACACAAAACATTTTTATATAATTCCAAGAGATTATGGATCCTGGTTAGCAAATCCAGAGATCCTTGATTCCAGGTTAAAAGCTCCTGCTCTAGACTGGGAGCCAGTGCCCTGCTACTGGCTGGAGAGTACTGACTGGTACAGGAGCAGTACAGCTTCAGAGAGAAAGGCGCATCTCATCTGAGGATGACCTGCTAACCAGGGGACATTTGGCAATGTCTGGAAACATTTTTGATATTTAGAACTGGGGTGATGCTACTAGCATCTAGTAGGAGAGTCCAAGGGTGCTACCAATCATCCTACAATGCACAGTACATAATTATTGGGCCCAAAATTTCAATAGTGCTAAGGATGAGAACCCCAGTTAAAAAGCAATGGAAGAAACAAATGGATAGTTTAAAAAAAAAAAAAAACTCATGCTAGACCTCTGTCTGGGCTATGCTAAGAGCACTGAAGAGGACTACCTACTCCAGGCCTGGGAGGTGATCAAGGAAATCTTTCTCTTGTTGCAGTTATTGTTAAAGGACGCCTGTCCAGATTAGCATGTGCCACTGATTTCCATACATTAAACTCTCTAACCATGCCGTAACCTTGCCAAAGATCCAATAAATGCAGCTTTAACCAAATTTCCAAGTGAGTGATGGTTACTGAAGATAAAAATTTCCATTTGCTACAATTCATAAGAATGGTTGTTCATTTCCAGACATTGTGTTTTTCAAGTACAATTTGGAACCTTATATTATTTATAAGAGACCTTACGTAAACCATTATACTTCTCACGTAGTCTTAGTTTCTATGTTTCCATAGCCTGGATGATAATCCCTACCACACTAGGAGAGGTAGCCTGGAAAAACAGTTAGCAGCATGGACTCTGGAGTCAAAATGCTAGGTCAATTCTCAGCTCTACCACTCACTAGGTGTGTGGCTCCCAGCACAATATTCAGCCTCTCTAAGCCTCAGTCTTTTCATCTGCAAAAGAAGGATAATAGTAGCTGCCTCATGGACTTGCAAGGATTAAAGAAATACTATATGTCAAGCACTTAGATTATGATTATAAAAGTTGACTGTCTTTATTGTTGTGGTTATTATCATCTTAGGTATACAGGGATAATTACATGAAACTTAAAAGACATTGCATAAAATAAGATTTTGTTATCAGCTATTTGCCATCCAAAGGTCAAGGTGTGCACTTTTAAATACATGTGAATGTTTTTAACCTAAATTGGAATCAAACATATGTTTGCTAATTATCCTCTTTTATGTTTGTACAAAGCTAACTCATATGTCAATATTATTTTAGAAGTACAGCTCCTTCTGTTCACTCTAAATTGGGGGGAGAGGAAAATTTTACATCTCCATTAAAATGCCAAAGTGGCAAAACAACATGCTGGTATTCTGAAATATTTGAAACAATAAAAATGATACCCAGTCTTGTCTCAACTAATTCAGTATTTTACTCTACAAATTGTTAATTACTGAGTCCTTGCTGCCCACGTGAGAAAATTCAAACACTTGGGTCAAGCACTTCACCATCTGGCCCTGTAGCACAGTCATAGCACCTGCCAGCCCCATGTCTAAAGCTGAAATTCTTGTCAAACTCTAAACTTATCATTTGCCTTCTATCTGCTTCTACATTTAATCTAAATATTCAATGCACCATGTCTCTACCTTGTTAAATGTGACCAATCTTTCTATCAAATGCCTCCTGTGTCATGAAGATTTCTTGAAGTACATATTCCACCTTTTTGTTTCTAAACCAAACAGTATCTTTTCTTCCTTTGAATTCCCACAATCTTTGATTTACACCTCACTGGTGCTTCTAAACTAGCGAACCTAACAACACTGTGAAGAGTACTGGAGACGGACATTTCCATTTGAGCTGCAGAAATGATTCCTGTAATTCCCATGCTGTCATAATGTACAGACCTTGGAAGAGTAAGAAATCAATTCTGAATTTGTAATCTAGAGCTTGTGAGTCAAAGCAATTCCCTCAGTTAATCAATGTCTGAATTACACTGTTCATTTTGTAAACTAAGCGCCCAAGTCCTGTTCTCTTGAAATCAGAACTAGTCAAAGTAAAATTGTGCTGGCAGCTTCAGAGTCATGGAATCAAAGACTTAACAGACTTAGAAAGTCATCAAGCACTTTCAATTATTTAACTGAAGTCTCATTATTTGCAGACATGGGATCTTCATGACCCAAGCAAGGTAAAATGTTAGCACCTGCCCTACGTTCCTTCACCACTTATTTCCATTTTTTTCCAGACCTTCTCAAGTCTGCATCATTACCCATTCTCTCTTCCATTCCTCCTATTACTTAACTTAAATATGAATTCCTCTGAAAGATCATTGGTAATTCACATATAGTCCTGTTACTTTTCTTTCCTTTAAAAGGAGCATGATAATTGCAAACTGCAACAAACGAAGCTGAAAATAACTCCCCAGGCAGTTATGCATTAGGAATTAGATTAAAATGAGCCCAATTTATTTTTAAATGACCTGGTAATTTGTAGGAAAGATTTAAGCTACTTAAATTTTTATCAGTGGGAAACTGGGAGGCTCACGAAAATCAACTGTTGGATACTGCGGTGGGACAATGGACCCATTCCCTGAAGCCAGAGACAGTATTGATGGAATGTTGCTTAAAGATTTATGTTCAAATGGAAACAGGAGAGAAGACCTAATTTAACATAAATTTAATCTGCTTTAAAAGTCTAAAATAAAGCAAGTTCAATGTCAGCTTACAATTATATGTGACCAAATCTGTACTTGAAACTAATTTTCTGATTAGGATTTTAAATCAAAGTCCTAGGAATTTTTTTGAGGCACTTCATCTACTTGCATTTGAGGCATGAAGGATTCACTTCTCAGTTCAAGGAGTGAGTAAGGGGATATCAAACTTTTCCCATAGTCATTGCAACATGAAGACTCGGTTGAGGCACTGAAGCTGGACATCTCTGCAGACTCATAGCCATCCCCACCGCCTTGCATTATTGATTGCATGAATCATATGTTTGGAGTTAACTCACATGAGGCTTCCTTCATAAACCATAGTTCTGCTATTCCCCATCTCCCCACATGAGTGGTGCTGCTCATACATTTAAGCATGAATTTGATGAGTTCTGGTATAAAAAAACTAAAAGTTATTAATCCAAATTAACTTGTCTTCTCAACCTTGGGAGAGGACCACTACAATTCTAAGCATTGTGTATATATTTTGGTATAAATATAAAATCTTTGGTATAAATGTAAAAATCTTTCAAATGAGCTATCTATAAGCATCTTTATATTCAATATAGTATCATAATCTAATGTTCAATTTTTGTCTTGATATGTATGACTACCAATCTTCCTTTCTCTGTGAATTACTGCTGTAGAGACGGATGTACCTATCCATATACATATGTACATCTACACACATCTGCATCGGCATATTTATATAGACATATAAATATTACATATAGCCAAAATCAAAAGAAACAGTTTGATTAGTCATTGATACATCACTAAAGTCCTTGAATCATCCACTTTTGGGAGAAAGATGTCAATATAAATATTTAGAAAGGAAGTAGGAGGCCAAGGCAGGAGGATCACTTGAGGCCAGGACCTTGAGACCAGCCTGGGCAACATAGCAAGACTCTGTCTCTACAAAAATAGTTTTAAAACGAGAAAGGAAAAAAAATAGTCTTCCATAATGGTTTAATCTGTCCTGAAACTACAAGCATAAAATGTGTAAATATACAGTACTTCATTTACTAGTGCTAAAAATAAGCCAATTTAGGCATAGAAAATTTGAAAAGATGAACAAAGCACTGTGTAGTTGGACTCCATATGCTTCAGTTTTCTCCTCCAGAAACACTTTCTCCCCTCCATTAGAGTCTGTCCATGAAACACTGACAAATTGTATTGCATCAGTGGAGTCCAATGCCCTCTGGTTTCTCACTGAACATGGCCAGTGGGAGCCCCAGCAGACCAGAGGAAAGATGATGCATTCGCCTAGTTCATCCCCTGTGAGGGCACCCTGTGAGGGTACATCGGTGTACCCCTCAACAAGTCACCTGACCTCTCACCGCTGCCTGCTTATACAACTCTCTTCTTTGTGGTTCTGGAAATCTCTACCCCTCTATCTGCCCTGCCAGGGATTGTGACAGCTCCGCTTTAAGCTCCATGTTTCCTCTGTATCCCTTGTGGTTCCTTTACCCAGTTCCCAAACCTTTGTAATTCGTCTTTCCATAATTCCTCATCAAATTATCCTCCTCTAAGTGTGGCATTTCTGCCTTGCCAGCCTTTACAGTGTGGTCAGGGAAAAGAGAGTTTCTTTATAACAGCTGTCATTAAGTAGATGCAAAGACATACATGCAAAGAGGAGAAAGGGTCACTTTCAGTTGTTGGATCTAGAAAGGTTTCACGAAGTCCACGTGGCATTAAAAATGGACCTTTAAGGGCTCTCGGGTAAGACTGGAGGAGATAGGGTAATCACTACAAGGTGAAGAAAAGATCAGTCCCATACCTGAAAGGCAGCAAAGTACATACAATTTTCAGAAACAGCTAGACATCTAGTGTGTTCAAGTGAAGCTGGGGAACAATGGAAAGAAGACTGGAAAGTGAGGCTGGAGGATTCTGAATGTCAAGATCAACCATCCTTACAAATTCTATTCTGCAGAAAATGAAAGACTAATGAAAGCCTCCACACAAAAGAGAAATATTAGCAAAGCATTAGGAGTGTGTGCTTGCATGTGTATATGTTTATGAAACTGTATCCCACCAGAATGTAATCTTCATCAAACTAGGGCCCATATCTATTTTACTCTGCTGTTCCCAGCACATATTAGCTACTTAATTAATAGCTGATAAAAAAGAATGATTGAATAATGAAAGAAATTTTAGCTAAGAAAGTCCTTTATAGATACTAGAAAAATACACTGCAGAATGGACCTTAAACCAGGATGTGGCCAATGAAGACAGGAAGGAGGAGAGTGAGACCAACAATCCAAGATCCACTGATCAGAACCCAGCACACCCATTTCAAGGGTGGACAGTTCCTCATCAGTACATAGGTAGCTTTCAGGGGCAAGGAAAACTGCTGTTAGAGATTTAGAAACATGTCAGAATAAAACAAAACCCATACTCTAAAATATCCAGTTGTAGAAACAAATCTAAATGTCCTGAAGAAAAAATAGATAACACCATAGATAAATAACATTAATTAAAATATGAGGATCTTCATTTAGAGTTAGAGAAATGGATACCAAAATAAAAGGAAAAATCAAAGAACTAAGTAAATTTTGGAAGGCTAAAATTAGGGCTGAAAAGAGAAAAACTAAGTGGACGATAGGGGCCAGGGTCACACCTGTGCTGTGCATTGTCATCCTTGGGAACTAAGTTGCCGCTGTGTCCAACTCCTTGGGAATGAGAAGCCAAAGTGCTGCACCATCCAAGGTCTGGAGCCACCAATATGCTGTGCCCTTCACCCCAGGGCCTTAATGTTGATGTGCCCTGCCCCCCAGGTCTCAGGCTGCCATGGCACCCTGCCATTTTCTAGGGCCTGAGCCACCACAGGGCCCCTTCATCTTTGGGGCTGTGCTACTGCTGCACCTTACCATCTAAAATCTAAGCCACTCTATCCCTGTACCCCCAGGCCTAAACCACTGGTGCATACCCTAGAGTCCCAAGCCCTATCCCCACAAGTGATCTACACATGCCCACACCTCAGTGATTGTACTCATGCCCCGAGATCCAGGTGCCGCAGGAGTTCCATGAGCCCCTGAGCCTAAAACTCTGGTTCTGCAGCCACCCTGAGTGCCTGCACCCTGGAATCCAACACTGTAGTGGCTACTTGGGGCCACACCAGACCCACTGATGAGGCCGATCCCCTCAGCCAGCACTTCCCCCCAACAGAGAAAAGGAGAACAGGTGGACCCCAGCAATCTTTGATACCAAGGACCCCAACATTCCTCTTCTGCTGCTGCCGCTGCCACAAATATCCACAGCCATGGCCCTTACAGTGTTTGCTCCTACTGACCTTAGCTGCCCAAAGGCTATACCACTGTACTCCCTGAATAACAGATCCATCACAACCCATACAACTGACACCCTCACACCAACTTACAGCTGAATTTTTTTCCCCACTGAAGCCAGTCAACAAAGCCTGGAAGAGGTGATTGCTCTTCAAATGTGCAGACTTCAACACAAGGCCACAAGAAACATGATGGGGGAAAAAATGACATAACCAAAGAAACACAACAATTCACAAGTAACTGACCCCAAAGGAAAGGATATTATTGAAATTTCTGAAAAGGAATTCATAATAATTATTTTAAAGAGCTCACTGAAAGAGAACACAAATAGACAACAAGATCAGAAAAGCAATACATGAACAAAATTAGAAATTCAATGCAACCAAATAAATCCTAAAGAACCATACAAAAATCCAGGAGTAAAAGAATGCTATGAATGAAATTTTAAGATGTAATACCTTCAACAGTAGACTTGATCAAGCTAAAGAAAGAATCTGTAAACTTAAAAACAAATATTTTGAAATTACCCAGAGGAAAAAAAAAAAGGAAAAAAATTAAAATGAGGAAAGGAAGCATAAGGGACTTACAGGACACCTTTAAGTGAAAAGTAAAAAAAATACATTATGGGAGTCCTAAAAAGAAGAGAAAGAGAAAAGAACAAAAAGCTTATTTAAAGACATAATAGCTGAAAACTTCTCAAATCTGGTGAAAGTTACAGGCTGAATATTTCTAATTAGAAATCTGGAATCAAAAATGTTCCAAAATCCACAACTTTTTGAGTACTGACATGATACTCAAAGGCAATGCTCTCTGGAGCATTTTGGATTTCTGATTTCCAGATTAGAGATGATAAGCAGATGATAAGAATATCTCATCAAAAATCTGAAAAAAATCAAAAAGCCAAAACACTGCTCGTCCCAAGCATTTCAGGTAAGAGACACTTGCTGTGGTATGGATGTGGTTTGTTACCACCAAAACTCAGGCTGAAATTTGATCCCCACTGTTGTGGTATTGGGAGATGGGGCCTACTGGAAGTTGTTTGGGTCTTGAAAGATCCGTCATAATTGGCTTGCTGCCATTATTTTTATAGTGAATTCTCACCTGGTGAGACTGGGTTAGTTCTCATGGAAGTAGATTACTTCCCGAAAGACTGGATTGTTATAAAGCCAGGATACTCTTGGGTTTTGTCTCTTTGCATGTGTCTGCTTCCCCTTTGACTTTCTTTGCCATGTCATGATGCAGCACTAAAACCCTCAGCAGAGCAAGGGTCATGCCTTTGAACTTTTCTGCCTGCAGAACCATGAGCTAATAAACCTCTTTTTTTAATAAATTATGCAGTCTCTGATATTCTATTATAACAACACAAAATGGATGAAGACAACACACAACCTATATTAATATGGAGGTACAGAAAGCTCAAAAGTCTTTAATGAAGTTCAAACCAAACAAGACTATACCTAGACACATTATAATCAAACTTCAAAAATATCCAAGACAGAGAGAATCTTGAAAGCAGCAAAGAAAAATCCTCACATAAAAGGAAACCTCCATAAGGCTATCAGTGAATTTCTCATCAGAAACTTAGTAGGCCAGGAGAAAATGGGATGACATATTCAAAGTACTGAAAAAAAAACTGCCAACCAAGAATGCTGTACCTGACAATGCTGCACTTCACAAATGAAAAATACAAACTTTCCCAAACAAACAAAAGCAGAGGGAATTCATCACCACTAGGCTTGCCCTATAAGAAATGCTAAATAGAGTTCAAGTGGAAATGAAAGGACACTAATGACAAACATGTAAATGTATGAAGTAGAAAATTCACTAATTAAAAAGTAAATATATAGTCAAATTCAGAATACTCTACTTTTGTAATGTAATGGTGCTGTGTAAATTGCATTTAACCTAGTATAAAGGTTAAATGACAAAGTATTAAAAATAACTATAATATCTTCTTATTGGATACACAATATAAAAAGATGTAAATTGTGACACTGAAAACATAAAATGTTGGGCAAGTAATCAAAAGTGTAGAGTTTTTGTATGCAACTGAACTTAAGTTGTTATCAGCTTAAAATAGACTGGTATAATCACAAAATTTAAGCCTCACAGTAACCACAAAGCAAAATAGCCAATACTCGAAAGGTAAAGGAAAAGGAATCAAATCATACCACAACAGATAATCAAATCCCAAAGGAAGAAAAGAACAACAGAGAGAAAAATAAAGAAAAAAAAAAAGAAACTATAAAACTATCAGAAACAATTACCAAAATGGCAATCATAAGCCCTTACCTATAAATTAAGTTCAGTTCCCTACAAAAACTCTACTTTAACTGTAAATGGTTTAAATTCATCCATCAAAAGACAGAATGGCTAAACAAAAGTTTTTTCAAATCCAATTATATGCTGCCTACAAGAGACTCATTTTAGCTTTCAAGACATGTATAGGCTGAAAGTGAAGGGATGGAAAAAGGTATTCTATGCAAATGGCAACTAAAAGAGAGCAAATGTGGCTATACTTGTACACAACAGGGTCTAAGTCAATAAACTGTAACAAGAGAAAAAACAAATTATTATATTATGATAAAGGGTCAATATATTAAAAAGATATAACAAAAGTAAATATATATATACCCAACATTAGAGCAACTGAATATGTAAAATGAATATAAACAGTACTTAAAGGAAGAATAAACAACAACATAGTAACAATAGAGGACTTTAATTCTTCACTTTCAACAGTGACTAGAACAGCCAGACAGAAAATCAATATGGAAACAATGCACTTGAACAACACTATAAACCAAATGAACCTAACAGACATATACAGAATATCCCATTCAACAGCAGAATACATATTCTTCTCAACTGTACACAGAGCATTCTCCAGAAGAGGTCATATTTTGGGACACAAAACAAGTCTCAACAAATAGGAAGATTGAAATATATGGAGTATCTATTCTGACTACAATCATATGAAACAAGAAACCAGTAATAGCACAAAAACTCACAAATGTGGGAAAATTAAGTAGCACACTCCTGAACAACCAATAGGTCAAGAAGAAATCAAAGGGAAACCAAAAACTATCTTGAGACAAACAAATATGTAAATACAACCTATCAAAATTTATGAGATGTAGCAAAAATAACTCTAAAGGGGATATTTATACCAATTAATGTCTACATTAAGAAAATGAGAGAACTCTAACTTTATACCTGAAGAAATTAGAAAAAGGAGAAGGAACTAAGCTCAGAGATAGCAGAAGAAAGGAAATAAGAAAGATTAGAATAGAAATAAATAAAATAGATACTAGAAAACCAATAGAAAACATCAATAGAACTGAGTTGCTTTTCTGAAATAACCAAAAATCAACAAACCTTTACCTAGACTAAAAAAGAAGAGAAGATTCAAATCAAATTAGAAATGAAAGAGGAGACATTACAATTAATACCACAGAAATATGAAGAATCATGAGACTACTCTGAAAAAATTATATACCAACAAACTGGATCATCTAGAAAAACTGGAAAAATCCCTAGAAACCTACAACCCAACATGACTAAATGATGAAGAAACAGAAAATCTGAGCAGATCAGTCATGACACGGAGGACTGAATTGGTAATCAATAATCTCCCAACAAAGAAAAGCCCAGGACCAGATGCTTTCATGAGTAGGGTCTACCAAACATTTAAAGAAGAATTAACACCAATCCATTTCAAACTCTTTCAGAAATTGAAGAGGAAGAAACACTTCCAAATTTATTTTATGAGACCAGGATTATCTTGATATCCAAGCCATACCAAGACAGTCCAAGAAAAAGAAATTGTAGGCCCAAATCTCTGATGGGCATAGATGCAGAAATCTTCAAAAAAATATCAAAATAGCAAACTGAATTCTACAGCATATAAAAGGGATTATACACCATGATGAAGTGGAGGTAACCCTGCCATGCAAGGATAGTTCAACATACACAAATCAATAAATGTGAAACACCACATTAACAGAATGAAAATAAAGCATTATATGATTATATCTAAATATGTGGAAAAATCATCTATCAAATTTCAACATCCTTTTACAGTAACTCTCAACAAATTAGGTATAGAAGGAACATACCTCAATATAATAAGGGCCGTATATGATAAACCTACAGCAAACATCACACTCAATTGTGGGAAGTTCAAGGCATTTCCTCTAACATCAAAAAAAAAAAAAAAAGGACAAATAACGCCCACTCTAACCACTTCTATTCAAATGGTACTGGAATTCCTAGCCAAAAAAAAAGAAAAAAAAAAAAAAAGAAAAGACACATGAATTGGAAAGAAATAAAACTGTCTCTGTTTACAGATGACATGATGTTGTATGTTGAAAACCTTAAAGATTCCACAAAAACACCGTTAAAACTAATAAAATCAGCACTTTCAAGACAAAAAATCTACATAATCAGTTGTGTTTCTGTACAGTAACAACAAACTATACAAAATATAAGAGAACACTCCTGTTTACAATAGAATCAAAAAGAATAAAATGCTTAGGCATCAATTTAACCAAGGAGGTGAAATATATCTACACCGGAAATTATAAAACATTGATGAAAAAAATTGAAGGCATAAATAAATGGAAATTAATCCCATGTTCACAGCTTGGAAGAATGCTTTTAAAATGTTTACATTATCCAAAGCAATCTACAGATTTAACACAATCTCTATCAAAATTCTAATGACATTTTTCACAGAAACAGAAAAAAAACACTAAAACTTGCATGGAACAAAAGATCTTGAATAGCCAGAGCAATCTTGAGATAGGCAAATTGAACAGAATAGAGATACCAGAAATAAACCAATGCATATACAATCAAGTAATCTTCAAAAAGGTGCCAAGAACACACAATGTAGAAAAGATTATCTGTCAATACAGAAGGCTGGGAAACTTGATGTCCACATGCCAAAGACTAAAATTGTACCCTTACCTTACAGCATATACAAAAATCAACTCAAAATGGATTAAAGACTTAAAAATTGAATCCATAAAATCCTAGAAGGAAACAAAGCAGAAAATTCTTCTTGATACTGTCCTTCACAAAGATTTTATTAGTATGACTCTAAAAACACATGCAGCAAAACAAAAATAAACAAGTGGAACTGCAACAAACTAAAAAATTTCTTCACAGCAAAGGAAACAATCTACAAAATGCAAAAACGACCTACACAATGGAAAAAATATTTGAAAACTACATATTCAATGGGGATTAACATTCAAAATATTTGAGGAAATCACAACTCAACAGTAAAAAAAAAAAACAAACCTCAATTTAAAAATAGGTTAAGAACTTGAATAGATATTTTTCCAAAAAGACATACAAATGGCCAACAGATATATGAAAAACTTTTCAACATCACCAATCATCAGGGAAATGCTCATCAAAACCACAATGAGATATCACCTCACGGCTGCTAGGATGGTTGTTATCAAAAAGTCAAATGATAAAAAGTGTTAGTGAGGACGTGAAGAAAAGGAACCCTTATACGCTGTTGGTGGGAACGTAAACTGTTACCATAAAAAATGTTCTATAAAGTAAACAGTATAGAGCTGCCTCAAAAAACTATAAATAGAACCACCATACAATCCAGCACTCTTACTTTTAGATATAGATGAATATATACATATCCAATTTATCCAAAAAAATTGAAATCAGTATGTTGAACAGATAAGTGCACTACCAGAAAATGTCTCTTCATATGCTATCAAGATGTAGGGTCAACCTAAGTGTCAGTGGATAGATAATAAAAATGGAGTGTTTGTGGGCATGTGTGTGCATGCTTGTGTGTGTGTGTGTGTGTGTGTGTATGTACACATATGTGTGTATATACGCGTATATACACACACATAGGTGTATATACGCGTATATACACACACATAGGTGTATATACGCGTATATACACACACATAGGTGTATATACGCGTATATACACACACATAGGTGTATATACGCGTATATACACACACATAGGTGTATATACGCGTATATACACACACATAGGTGTATATACGCGTATATACACACACATAGGTGTATATACGCGTATATATACACACGTGTGTATATACGCGTATATATACACACATATGTGTATATATGCGTATATATACACACATATGTATATATATGCGTGTATATATACATATGTGTACATACGTACGCATATGTGTATATATGTGTATATATGTACACATATGTACACATGTGTGTATATATGTACACACATGTGTATATACGCATATGTGTATATATGTGCACACATGTGCATATACGCATATGTGTATATATGTGCACACATGTGCATATACGCATATGTGTATATATGTGCACATATGTGCATATACGCATATGTGTATACATGAGCGCATGTGTATACATGTGCGCATGTGTATATATGTGCGCATGTGTATATATGTACGCATGTGTATATATGTACGCATGTGTATATACGCATATGTGTACATATGTGCACGTGTATATATGTGCTCATGTGTATATATGTGCGCATGTATGTATACGTGTACACATGTGTATGTATGTACATATATGTGTGTACACATATGTATGTATATATGTACATATATGTATATGTATATATGTACATATATGTGTGTATATGCATATACACATATGTATGTACACATATACTCATGTGTACATATATGTACATGTGTGTGTATATATACATGTATATACATAAAATAGAATATTCTTGAGCCCTAAAAAAAGGAAATCTTGCCATGTGCAACAACATGGATAAACCTGGAGAACATTACACAAAATAAGCTAAACACAAAAGACAAACATTGTGTGATCTCACTTACATATGGAATCTAAAAAAGTCAAACTCATAGAAGCAGAGAATAGATTTGGTGGTTACCAGTGGCTTGGACAGAAGGGTTTGGGGAGATGTTAGTCAAAGATACAAAATTTCAGTTAGGAGGAATAATTTAAGGAGATCTATTGAACAATATAGTGACTATAGTTAATAACAATGTATTCTACATTTGAAAATTGCTAAGAGTAGATTTTTAGTGTTCTCATCACATAAAATGTATGTAATACATTAGCTCAATTTAGATATTTCATAATGTACACATATTTTGAAACAATATATCTCGTTTCCTAAATACATAACATTTGTATTTATTAGTTAAAAATAAACTAGCTTGATTATAGTAATCACTTCACAACATATATCAAAACATTATGTTGTACACTTTAAATACGTATAAATTTTATTTGCCACTTATACCTCCATAAAACTGGAGGCAAATAAAACTATGTAGATGGCCAAGGTTTCCCAAAGCTTACTCAGGCATCACTCGTGAATCCCTATATGAATTTACACAGAATGAGCAAGTGATAGCAATTTTCTATTTATATCATGCAACAAAGTTTTTCTGAAAATATATTATTATTTGTTTTTATAAAGTGGAGCTATTTGTGGAAGAATAATGAAGTATATTGTAGCCAGATATGACCCCAAAAATACTGAAGTCTGAGAAACAAGGGAAAGAGCAAAGTGATATGAGTAATTACAGTAATTTTCTAAGGGAATTTCATTTAAGACAAGGAAAGGGGGTTTAATCATCTGATCTGGTGATTCTGAAGAGTAGTAGCAGCAGCCAAGATTACATTGAGGTTGGAATTCTGAAGCCCAGGTAACCAGGAGTTCTGGATATAATTAAATCTTTTTTTTTTTTTTTTTTTTGAGATGGACTCTCATTCTGTCGCCCAGGCTGGAGTGCAGTGGTGTGATCTCGACTCACTGCAACCTCCGCCTCCTGGGTTCAAGCAATTCTTCTGCCTCAGCCTCCCAAGTAGCTGAGACTACAGGTGCACACCACCACACCTGGCTAATTTTTGTATTTCTAGTAAAGACAAGGTTTCACCATATTGGTCAGTCTGGTTTCAAACTCCTTACTTCAGGTGATCCGCCCACCTTGGCCTCCCAAAGTGCTGGGATTACAGGACTGAGCCACCACGCACGGCCTATAATTAAATCTTTAAGGCAAAATGCAAATGCGAACCACTGGAAATTTCTGGCATCATTATAACTTCCCTAAACCTTTTAGGTTCTGCTCCTTGATTTCTGTACAACCTTGAAAAGTTATTTAACTTCTCTACACACAAATACCTTCATCTGTAAAATAGATTAACACCACAATGGGATTATTAGATGATTTAAATAATTTTCTTGAAAAGATGTGAAACATGGTAAGTGAACAATTAATGTCACTTCTCTCCTTTTTAATGTTAGGATTTCAAACAAAGGAGGACAAAGTATTGGATAGACACACACATACCATCTTTAAAGTTACTCACTCTACCTGCATAAAAGGCCCTGCCATAGTTGGGATGTTGTCCCCTCTCCATCTCATGTTGAATTTTAATCCCCAGTTTTGGAGGTGGGGTCTGGTGGGAGGTGATTGGATCATGGAGACAAATTTCTCATGGCTTGGAGCTGTCCTCGTGATAGTGAGTGAGTTCACACAAAATCTGGTTGTTTAAACTATGTGGCACCTCTCCCTCCCCCACACCCTCTTTCTTACTCACACTCTCACCATGTCTGTACCCGCTTCACCTTTTGCCATGATTGGAAGCTTCCTGAGGCCTTCCCAGAAGCCAAGTGTTTGCCAGCACCATGGTTCCTGTAAAGCCTCCAGAACCAAGAGCCAATTAAACCTCTTTTCTTTAAAAATTACCCAGCCTCAGGTATTAATAGCAATACAAGAATGGCCTAACAGTACAGGTGTTACACTGCATGAATTGGGGCTCTTGATCACACATTGTAAAAAAAAAAAAAAAAAATCCAAGTTAACTAAACAAAAGAGCTTATTCTAAGAATCACAGGGGCCTCAAGAAGGAATTTGAAACATGTCCTGAAAAAACAATTAGGCCAAGCATGTTTGGTCATGCCTACAATTCCAGCACTTTGAGAGGCCAAGGAGGAAGGATCACTTGAGCCCAGGAGTTCAATACCAGGAGGCTGAAGCAGAAGTATCAATTAAGCCTGGGAGGTCAAGGCTACAGTGAGTCCTGTGGCTCAGCCCACTGCACCCCAGCCAGAGTGACAGAGCAAGACCTCGTCTCAAAAAAGAAAAAAAAAAAAAAAAAGGAAAGGAAAAAAGAAAAACATTTAAACACACTCAATTTCTGATCTCTCTCTCTATATATACATATACATATATATATATATATATATATATATATATATATATATATATATATGTATATTTGCTTCCTTTTTTTTTGTTCTTTCTCTCTCTCCCTAAAAACTAACTTCTTCTGTGTCTCCAGTCCCTGGTGTACATTCTATTGGTTCAGTCACTCCGAGAAACTAAATCTCTTCCTTTGTTTCAAATCCACATTATCAGGGAAGGACTCTGATTGGCTCAATTTGGGTCTAGAGCCCAACTGATTGAATAAACAACATCCAATATTGTGAGGTCATGTGCCAAAGGCTGCTAGATGAGTTCTGCAGTGAGTAAAAGGGCCTGTTAAAGAGGGTGGGGGGTTTATTATGAATGGAGATGACCTTAGTTATTCAATACAGCTGCTCAAGGATTCCTGTCGCTTTTGCTACAGTTCTGTTACTATAAATAACTTTTTAAAAAACTATTATTAGTGGGTAGCAACTTAATAACAAGTCAAACACATATCATACATTTGAGTAAGTAATTTACTCCAAGAAAATTTAAGGATATAATCCATTGGAATAAAATACCAATGGGCAGATGTTTCTCCAATATTTTTGTATTAATTAAAAATAAGGCTTGATAAGTATCCAACCACAGAGAATCATTAAGTTATGAAATATCAATTTTCAGTGAACTCTTACACAGTCATCCAAAATGCCCATAATGGATACAGGAAAAATGCTTTTGATAAAAGTCAGAATTTTGTGTCTTACCTTTGTTTTCAATTAACAACAAACAACCACATAAACTACCTCAAATACTTTTGAAAAAAAGGGCTTTGTAAATTTTTAAAATACATTTTAAAATATAAATTCATAAAAACACATCCATTATTAATAAGAAAAAATCAGCACTGTTTTGTTAAAAGAATGAAATTAAGGGTTATTTTTCCATTTGTGCTTCAAAATTTGATTAATAGTAAAAGTAACATTATTTTTATTACAGTCATATGTCACTTAATGACAGGGATACATTCTGAGAAATGTGTTGTTAGGCAAGTTTGTCATTGTGTGATCATGGAATGTACTTACATTCTATAAGTATAAGAGACGTAGCCTACGACACACCTAGGCTATATAGTATAGCCTATTATTCCTAGGCTACAAAGCTATACAGCATGTTACTGTACTGAATACAGTAGGCAACTGCAACATAATGGTAAGTATCTGTGTATCTAAACATAACTAAATGTGGAAAAGACACAGTAAAAATATAGTATAAAAGACAAAAAAATGGTACACTTGTATAGGGAACTTACCATGAGTGGAGCTTGCAGGACTGGAAGTTGCTCTAGATGAGTCAGTCAGTGAGTGGTGAGTGAATGTGAAGGCCCAGGACATTATTGTACACTACCCTAGACTTTATAAACACAGTACAATTATGCTACATTAAATTTTTTTAAATATTTTTTTCCTTTTTTTAAACACACAAGGTCTCATTCTGTCTCCCAGGCTGGAGTGCAATAGCATGATCAAAGCTTGATCATGCTTTGATTGCTGCAGCCTAAAAATCCTGGGCTCAAGTGATCCTCCTGCCTCAGCCTCCCAAAGTGCTGGGATTATGGGCATGAGCCACTGCACTCAGAGTATTCTTCTTTAATAATAAATTAACTTAGTTTACTGTAACATTTTTACTTTATAAATCTTTAATTTTTAAATATATTTTTGACATTACAACTTTCACAACATCACTAGGCAATAAACATTTTTCAACCCCATTATAATCTAATCGGACCACTTTCATACATTAAGTCCATAAATGCCCAAAATGTTGTTATGTGGCACATGACCATATGGAGTTTAGTCTCTATACTAGGTTTTACATTGAGTGTTTTACATAAATGAGTTAATTTAATCCTCAGAGCAATTCTGAAAGGTTGGTATTGTAACTGCCACTTACAAATGAGAATTGAAGGCTTGACAAGTCAAGGAAACTGACCAGAATCATGAACTTCAAAGCCACACAGCAACTTGAGAGTTTGATTAGACTCTTAAGTCTGGATGATTCCAGAGCTGCTTACTGCTTTTCAAAAGGATGTACGTGCTTGTGTATGTGCAAATGTGTGCATGTGTTCAGAAATATGAGTGAAAATTTCAGAGTCAAATGAAATTGAAACAACAGATCCATTATCTGTTGACAGACAACTGAAACCCTGAGTAAGAATAAAACAAATCCAGCTATCGCAGCATTCCCCAGGGGTGTGTCAAAGTGTCAAACATCCAAATTAGCTTAGTTAACAACATTTATAAACTCCAAAAACATTCAATGTTTAGATTCCATAACTCCCATTTTCTCAATAGTTCTTTAAAAAAAAAACCTTTCACAAACTAACCTCCACCATCTAATTAGTTTGATACTAGAAGAACTCTGAGTGTAATTTATATTTGCTGAGATATTAATGTATCCTTTCCTATCATGGTTTTCCCTCAGGCAAAATGAACACGTACAACACATTTTTTAAGTCATTTCACAGATCAAATAACTCAGAGATATGAT
Source organism: Homo sapiens (assembly GCF_000001405.40). Classification (NCBI taxonomy): domain Eukaryota; kingdom Metazoa; phylum Chordata; class Mammalia; order Primates; family Hominidae; genus Homo; species Homo sapiens. The sequence goes on along the minus strand of NC_000003.12, from coordinate 5,535,455 downwards.
ATAATTAGTCTTATGACTACGTATTTAATTAAATTAGGGAGGAACAATTAATTAAATGACAAAAAAGGATAAAAACATCGAAAATTAACATACCATTGACATTAATACATCAAAATGAGAATGTCATTATGGATACAAATATTTAAATTGATAAGATTCACACAAAGAACAAAAACTTGCTGTTGCAAGCATTCTGGCTGTGGCAGAATTAGAAAGTCTTTTAAAGTTACAAGAATGGAAGAATTAAGTATTCCCCATAGTTTCTGTAAAGCGTTTGATAAGATAAATTTAAGAAGAGACTATCTGTAATTTTAACCAAGCAAGATTTTCTTGGTACAATATGTTCATTAAATTTTGTCTTCTTGTGTTTTAGAGCTCACATGTTCTTGAATAATACATTCTATGTTCCTTGTTACAGTCTTAGCACAATAAATTCTCAACTTTTCACACTGGATGTATTAATGTCTGCAAGAGACTATTATGCCATCACCAAAGTAAGTTTCTGCTGTCTACTGCTGTCAAGGTGTGTTAATAAGTTTATAGAAGCCTAATGATCCAGAGACTTCACATTAATACTAAAGTAACATAATATTCAAGTAACATAATACTCAAGAATATTCTGAGGAGACAGAACACCTTCAATATCTTCTGTTTACAAATTAAAGATCTGACACTATTCCCTACAAGGGAGGCACCATGACCGATCTAACAGTGACAGAAAGGCTTTTAATTTGGTTTTTTATTTATCCAAACTAATTGCTTTGCAGTATCTGTAACATTTTTTTTTCCTTGCATGTCAGTATTTGATGGTCCATTGAGAGGAACCTAGCCACAAATTCTCCCCTAAAAAAATACAGGGAACTTCAGATGGATAAATAGGAAATCAAGAGAAAAAGTTAGATATACTAGTATAATGGAAGGGTCTCAAGTAACAATTACTAAAATAATAAGAATGATAATAGTGGCAGCAGAGTATGTACTATTAGTATTAATAGTAAAATAGCAGTAGTAATAAGATACCCTAGTGTGTTTCTTTAAGCATATTTTTCTAATGAATTATCAATTTGGGTGGTTAGAATTAGATATGGACTAAAGAAAATCCCCTTAATCTGCTGCCCTACCTACAAAAGAGCAATCCAAGTTAAAAATTAGAAGATGGGGGCAGACGCGGTGGCTCTCGTCTGTAATCCCAGCACTTTGGGAGGTCGAGGCAAGCAGATCACTTGAGGTCAGGAGTTCGAGACCAGCCTGGCCAACATGGTGAAACCCCATCTCTACTAAAAATACAAAAATTAGCTGACATGGTGGTGTGTGCCTGTAATCCCAGCTACTCAGGAGGCTGAGGCAGGGGAATCACTTGAACCTGGGAGGTGGAGGTTGCAGTGAGCTGAGATTGCACCATTGCACTCCAGCCTGGGTGACAGAGCAGGACTCTGTCTCCAAAAAAAAAAAAAAAATTAACAGATTGGGAAAAAGAATACTGGGCAAATACAAATGAAAAGAAAGCAAAGTTTCTGGATTTAATATCAAAAAGGTATAATATAACCCAAAAGTATTAAGCAAATATGGGTAATTTATAATGTCAAAGAGGGCAATTCATAAAAAAATTATAACAATTTACAAATATGTATGAACCAGAAAGCTTAGCAGCAGCATTCTTAAATAGAAGGTATGTGATAGAAGAAACAATAGCCAACAAACACAGTCGGAAAATTAACTTCTATCAATGACATATCAAGTCAAGTGATAATGACACCTCAAGTGGTCAAAAATATAACAGACAATATAGGATATTTTAATGGCATAATTAAGTAGATATATTTCATAAATATCTATGAAAGCAGATAATATGCCTTCTGTAAGTATTAATAAACATTAAAACTGACCATATATTAAGCCATTAGCATCTCATTAAATTCTGAAAGGTGGAAATAAAACAATAATATTTCCTTACAATATAATAAAATTAAAAATTAATAACATTGGAAAAGGATAAGTCTCTTTCCCTGAAAACTAAATAAATTGCTCTGAAAACAACTCTTCAAAGAGAAGAGGCAAAATAAATTTGTAGAATTAAAAATAATACAGCTAAAGCAGTATGTAGAGAAAAGTTCAAAGCCTCAAATGTTTGTATCATTAAGAAACTGGTCAAGTACCATCGAGACAGCAAGGGGACACAGATAGCAGAGAGGAGTGAAGCTGGGTAGCAGCGTATCTGGGATCAACACCAGTCAGGAGAAGCTCTCCAACATGGGAAAGGGTGAATGAGTGGGAGCCCCCGGGGGGATTCACATTCTCCACAGGGACCTGTGCAAGACTGGGAATGGGAGTATGCCCCAGCCCCCTTCCCCAAGTGTCCCCTACTATGCTTCTAAACCAAGGCAGAAAGCTACCCAGAGTTTTTGCAGAGGAAACTCTCAAGTTCAAGGGGACCTCTAACAAGCCCCAGACCCTGGAACAGATCAGCACCAGCATCATAGCCCAGAAAGAGGCTACAGTCATGGTTCCTGGGAGTAGTAAGATGGCTCTACCGCTACCTACCAGACAAGGCTCAGTGCCAGCTTTTGACCCAGTGGTCCCACACCTACCTGAACTCAGCCAGTAGGTGCAGCCTCCTGCTGTCCAAGGAAACACCCAGAAGGCAGGGTGGGAAACCCTGCCCACCCCGCCACTGGTAGCCAAGTGGACCACACCTGCTAGAGCTTCTAGACCAGCGATTCTACGTCTGCCTGAACTCTGCAGAGGAGCACAGCCTCACATTGCCCTGGGAAATACCCAGATGGCAGAGAAAGCAACTCAGCCCACTCATACCTCTTGTAGCCAGATTGTCCATACCCTCTAGAGCTTCTAGCCCAGCAGTCTAGCTTCTGCCTGAACTCTGCCAGCAGTCACAACCCCTGGTACTCCTGAGAAGCACCCAGACAGATTAGGTGATCTCATTCACCTTCGCAGCTCCTACCTGAGCAGGACTTGCTGGCTTAGGTGGTGCCCAAGCAGGGAGGAGTCCTCACTCTAGGATCACTGAGAGAGGTAAGATGCCCAGGTTTGCAAACCAGTGAAGGAGCAGGGTGTGGCTCTCCCCACAGGGCTGCCCTGGCAAGGATACCTGCTGTCTACCAACCACAGCGCCTGCCTAAGGTAGCCCCATGGACCAGAACACCCAACAGACAAAACGGGCACAGAGCCAGTAATCAGAGAGGGTTCCTCCACTTACCAGACTAGGTAAGTGGGTCATGTCTCCCCACTGTCCACTAGAATACACTATGGCCAACTCTGCCAAAACACAAAAGAGCCTTGCAGCAGAGCAAGGGCCTATCTGCCAGCTAACACTCTTAAGTACCACCTACTGGATCTCAGCCAAATATACAAGACCACAATTTGTTGTAAGTATACAGAACCTGTGAAAACTAAGAAAGGCTCCCACTAGCACCCCACCCCAGCAAATGTGCCAAAGCACGTGTACTTCACCACAACACCACAGCTTCTGGCACATGCAAGCAAGCACTGATCCTGCTGCCACCACCCCAGTGATGTGCTTTGGCCAGCACCCCCCATCAGAGTGTTATAACCAGCAGACTGAGAACCCTTCAGCCCCTCCAGGACAGCAGGTTCCTAGTCCTGAGGGGCCAAAGAACAAAGCTGGGGTCCTAGTATCAGCCCCTCAGAGTTAGAGGACACAATCCACGGGTACTGAGCTGAGCACTGGTCACCCAAAATTTTCCAGAACCAAACCCAGTCAGCTGAACCTACCTTATACCACAGTCAAACCCTCAAGCACATCAAAGAAAATACAAGAAAAAAAATCCAAAGGACACCAACTGCAAAGATTAAAGGAACATTAGCCCACACAGATGAGAAAGAACTAGCAAAGAACTCTGGCCACTAAAAAGCCACAGTGTCTTCTTACCTCTAAATGACTGCACTATTTCCCTAGCAATGGTTCTTAACCAGGATGAAATGGCTTAAATGACAGAAATAGAATTCAGAACATGTATAGTAACAAAGATCATCAAGATTCAGGAAAAAGTTGAAACCCAATCCAAGGAATCTAATGACAATACTAAAAAGATTCAGGAACTGAAAGACAAAATGGACATTTTAAGAAACAACAAAACTGATCGGACAGAGCTGAAAAACTATAAAAATGTCATAATACTATTGCAGAGGGTGAGCAGAAGCAGAGTGGGGCGTCGCCTCTCCTGGGAAGTGCAATGGGTCAAGGAACTCCCTGCACCAGACAAGGGAAGCCATGAGGGACTGTGCTGTGAGGAATGGTGCATTCTGGCCCAGATACTGTGCTTTTTCCACGGTCTTCACAACCCACAGACCAGGAGATTCCCTCTGGTGCCTACGCCATCAGAGCCCTGGGTTTCAAGCATAAAACTGGGCGGCTGTTTGAGCAGACACTGAACTACCTGCAGGAGTTTCTTTTCACACCCCAGTGGCACCTGGAATGCCAGCAAGAGAGAACTGTCCACTCCCCTGGAAAAGCAGCTGAAGCCAGAGAGCCAAGTGGTCTAGCTCAGTGGATCCTACCCCCACAGAGCCCAGCAAGCTAAAATCCACTGGCTTGAAATTCTCACTGCCAGCACAGCAGTCTGATGTTGACCTGGGAGGCTCCAGCTTGGTGGGGGGGAGGGGGGTCCACCATTACTGAGGCTTGAGTAGGTTGTTTTCCCCTCAGAGCATAAACAAAGCCGCTGGGAAGTTCGAACTGGCTAGAGCTCACAGCTTGGCAAAGATGCTATAGCAAGACTGCCTCTCTAGATTCCTCCTCTCTGGGCAGGGCATCCCTGAAAGAAAGGCAGCAGCCCCAGTCAGGGGCTTATAGATAAAACTCCCGTCTCCCTGGGACAGAGCACCTCGGGGAAGGGGCAGCTGTGGGAGCAGCCTCAGCAGACTTAAACATTCCTGCCTGGCAGCTCTGAAGAAAGCAGCGGATCTCCCAGCACAGCACTAGAGCTCTGCTAAGTGACAGACTACCTCCTCAAGGGGGTCCCTGATCCCCATTCCTCCTGACTGGGAGAAACCTCCTAGCAGTGATCGACAGACACCTCATACAGGAGAGCTCCAACTGGCATCTGGTGGGTGCCGCTCTGGGACAAAGCTTCCAGAGGAAGGAACAGGCAGCAATCTTTGCTGTTCTGCAGCCTCTGCTGGTGATACCCAGGCAAACAGGATCTGGAGTGGACCTCCAGAAAACTCCAACAGACCTGCAGCAGAGGGGCCTGATTGTTAGAAGGAAAACTAATAAACAGAAAGGAATAGTAAGAACATCAACAAAAAGCACGTCCACACCAAAACCCCATCCGAAGGTCACCAATGTCAAAGACCAAAGGTAGATACATCCACAAAGATGGGGAGAAACCAGCGCAAAAAGGCTGAAAATTGCAAAACCAGAATGTCTCTTCTCCTCCAAAGGTTCACAACTCAACAACAAGGGAACAAAACTGGACAGAGAATGAGTTTGACAAATTGACAGAAGGAGGCTTCAAAAGGTGGGTAATAACAAACTCCTCTGAGCTAAAGGAGCATGTTCTAACCCAATGCAAGGAAGATAAGAACCTTGAAAAAAGGTTAGACGAATTGCTAACTAGAATAACCAGTTTAGAGAAGAACATAAATGACCTGATGCGGTTGAAAAATACAGCATGTGATTCCCAGGGCAGTCAGGCAAGAGAAAAAAATAAAGCGTATTCAAATAGGAAGAGACGAAGTCAAATTGTCTCTGTTTGCAGATGACATGATTGTATATTTAGGAAACTCCATTCTCAGCCCAAAAACTCCTAAAGCTGATAAGCAACTTCAGCAAAGTCTCAGGATACAAAATCAATGTGCGAAAATTACAAACATTCCTATCCACAAATAATACAGAGCCAGGTCATGAGTGAACTCCCATTCACAATTGCTACAAAGAGAATAAAATACCTAGGAATACAACTTACAAGGGATGTGAAGGACCTCTTCCAGGAGAACTACAAACCACTGCTCAACGAAATAAGAGAGGACACAAACAAATGGAAAAACATCCCATGCTCATGGATAGAAGAATCCATATCGTGAAAATGGCCATACTGCCCAAGGTAATTTATAGATTCAATGCTATCCCCATCAAGCTAGCATTTACTTTCTTCACAGAATTAGAAGAGAAACACTTTAAATTGCTTAGGGGACAAAAGAATAGCCCGTATAGCAAAGACAACCCTAAGCAAAAAGAACAAAGCTGAAGGCATCATGCTACCAGACTTCAAACCATACTACAAGGCTACAGTAACCAAAATAGCATGGTACTGGTACCAAAACAGATATACAGACCAATGGAACAGAACAGAGGCCTCAGAAATAGCACCACACATCTACAACCATCTGATCATTGACGAACCTGACAAAAACAAGAAATGGGAAAAGGATTCCCTATTTAATAAATGGTGTTGGGAAAACTGGCTAGCCATATGCAGAACCCTAAAACTGGACCACTTCCTTATACCTTATGTAAAAATTAACCCAAGATGGATTAAAGACTTAAATGTAGACCTAAAACCATAAAAACCTTAGAAGAAAACCTAGGCAATACCATTCAGGACATAGGGAAGAGGAAAGACTTCATGACTAAAACACCAAAAGCAATGGCAACAAAAGCCAAAATTGATAAATGGAATCTAATTAAACTAAAGAACTTCTGCACTGCAAAAAAAAAAAAAAACTATCAGAGTGAAAAGGCAACCTACAGAATGGGAGAAAACTTTTGCAATCTATCCATCTGACAAAGGGCTAATATCCAGAACCTACAAATGACTTAAACAAATTTATGAGAAAAAAACAACCCCATCAAAAATCAGATAAAGGAAAAGAAGGCATTTATTGCAGTCAACAAAAATATGAAAAAAAGCTCATCATCACTGGTTATTAGAGAAATGCAAATCAAAACCACAATGGGATACCATCTCATACCAGTTAGAATGGCAATCATTAAAAAGTCAGGGAACACAGATGTTGCAGAGGATGTGGAGAAATAGGAATGCTTTTACAATGTTGGTGGGAGTGTGAATTAGTTCAATCATTGTGGAAGAGAGTGTGGTGATTCCTCCAAGATCTAGAACCAGAAATACCATTTGACCCACCAATCCCATTACTGGGTATATACTCAAAGGATTATAAATCATTCTACTATAAAGACACATACACACGTATGTTTACTGTGGCACTGATCACAATAGCAAAGACTTGGAATCACCCAAATGTCCATAAACGATAGTCTGGATTAAGAAAATGTGGCACATATACACCACAGAATACTATGCAGCCATAAATGGATGAGTTCATGTCCCTTTCAGGGACATAGATGAAGCTGGAAACCATCATTCTCAGGAAACTAACACAAGAATAGAAAACCAAATACCACATGTTCTCACTCATAAGTGAGAGTAGAAAAATGAGAACATTTGAACACAAGGAGGGGAACATCACACACTGGGACCTGTCGGGAGGTAGGGGATTAAGGGAGAAATAGCATTAGGAGAAATACCAAATGTAGATGACAGGGTGATGGGTGCAGGAAACCATCATGGCACATGTATACCTATGTAGCAAACCTGCATGCTCTGCACATGTATCCCAGAACTTAAAGTATAATTTTAAAAAAATTTAAGAAATTATGCCACACATCTACAACTATCTGATCTTTGACAAACCTGAAAAAAACAAGCAATGGGGAAAGGATTCCCTATTTAATAAATGGTGCTGGGAAAACTGGCTAGCCATATGTAGAAAGCTAAAACTGGATCCCTTCCTTACACCTTATACAAAAATTAATTCAAGATGGATTAAAGACTTAAATGTTAGACCTAAAACGATAAAAACCCTAGAAGAAAACCTAGGCCATATCATTCAGGACATAGGCATGGGCAAGGACTTCATGTCTAAAACACCAAAAGCAACGGCAACAAAAGCCAAAATTGACAAATGGGATTGACCACATAGTTGGAAGTAAAGCACTCCTCAGCAAATGTAAAAGAACAGAAATTACAACAAACTCTCTCTCACACCACAGTGCAATCAAACTAGAACTCAGGATTAAGAATCTCATTCAAAACCACTCAACTACATGGAAACTGAACAACCTGCTCCTGAATGACTACTGGGTACATAACGAAATGAAGGCAGAAATAAAGATGTTCTTTGAAACCAACGAGAACAAAGACACAACATACCAGAATCTCTGGGACGCATTCAAAGCAGTGTGTAGAGGGAAATTTATAGCACTAAATGCCCACAAGAGAAAGCAGGAAAGATCCAAAATTGACACCCTAACATCACAATTAAAACAACTAGAAAAGTAAGAGCAAACACATTCAAAAGCTAGCAGAAGGCAAGAAATAACTAAAATCAGAGCAGAACTGAAGGAAATAGAGACACAAAAAACCCTTCAAAAAATTAATGAATCCAGGAGCTGGTTTTTTGAAAGGATCAACAAAATTGATAGACCGCTAGCAAGACTAATAAAGAAAAAAAGAGAGAAGAATCAAATAGATGCAATAAAAAATGATAAAGGGGATATCACCACCGATCCCACAGAAATACAAACTACCATCAGAGAATACTACAAACACCTCTACGCAAATAAACTAGAAAATCTAGAAGAAATGGATAAATTCCTCGACACATACACTCTCCCAAGGCTAAACCAGGAAGAAGTTGAACCTCTGAATAGACCAATAACAGGATCTGAAATTGTGGCAATAATCAATAGCCTACCAACTAAAAAGAGTCCAGGACCAGATGGATTCACAGCCGAATTCTACCAGGGGTACAAGGAGGAACTGGTACCATTCCTTCTGAAACTATTCCAATCAATAGAGAAAGAGAGAATCCACCCTAACTCACTTTATGAGGCCAGCATCATCCTGGTACTAAAGCCAGCCAGAGACACAACCAAAAAAGAGAATTTTAGACCAATATCCTTGATGAACATTGATGCAAAAATCCTCAATAAAATACTGGCAAACCGAATCCAGCAGCACATCAAAAAGCTTATCCACCATGATCAAGTGGGCTTCATCCCTGGGATGCGAGGCTGGTTCAATATACGCAAATCAATAAATGTAATCCAGCATATAAACAGAACCAAAGACAAAAACCACATGATTATCTCAATAGATGCAGAAAAGGCCTTTGACAAAATTCAACAACCCTTCATGCTAAAAACTCTCAATAAATTAGGTATTGATGGGACGTATCTCAAAATAATAAGAGCTATCTATGACAAACCCACAGCCAATATCATACTGAATGGGCAAAAACTGGAAGCATTCCCTTTGAAAACTGGCACAAGACAGGGATGCCTTCTCTCACCACTCCTATTCAACATAGTGTTGGAAGTTCTGGCCAGGGCAATTAGGCAAGAGAAGGAAATAAAGGGTATTCAATTAGGAAAAGAGGAAGTCAAATTGTCCCTGTTTGCAGATGAAATGATTGTATATCTAGAAAACCCAATTGTCTCAGCCCAAAATCTCCTTAAGCTGATAAGCAAATTCAGCAAAGTCTCAGGATACAAAATCAATGTACAAAAATCACAAGCACTCTTATACACCAAAAACAGACAAACAGAGAGCCAAATCATGAGTGAACTCCCATTCACAATTGCTTCAAAGAGAATAAAATACCTAGGAATCCAACTTACAAGGGACGTGAAGGACCTCTTCAAGGCGAACTACAAACCACTGCTCAGTGAAATAAAAGAGGATACAAACAAATGGAAGAACATTACATGCTCATGGGTAGGAATAATCAATATCGTGAAAATGGCCATACTACCCAAGATAATTTACGCATTCAATGCCATCCCCATCAAGCTACCAATGACTTTCTTCACAGAATTGGAAAAAACTACTTTAAAGTTCATATGGAACCAAAAAAGAGCCCGCATCGCCAAGTCAATCCTAAGCCAAAAGAACAAAGCTGGAGGCATCACACTACCTGACTTCAAACTATACTACAAGGCTACAGTAACCAAAACAGCATGGTACTGGTACCAAAACAGAGATATAGACCAATGGAGCAGAACAGAGCCCTCAGAAATAACGCCGCATATCTACAACCATCTGATCTTTGACAACAAACCTGAGAAAAACAAGCAATGGGGAAAGGATTCCATGTTTAATAAATGGTGCTGGGAAAACTGGCTAGCCATATGTAGAAAGCTAAAACTGGATCCCTTCCTTACACCTTATACAAAAATCAATTCAAGATGGATTAAAGACTTAAACTTCAGACCTAAAACCATAAAAACCCTAGAAGAAAACCTAGGCATTACCATTCAGGACATAGGCATGGGCAAGGGCTTCATGTCTAAAACTAAAGAGCTTCTGCACAGCAAAAGAAACTACCATCAGAGTGAACAGGCAACCTACAACATGGGAGAAAATTTTTGCAATCTACTCATCTGACAAAGGGCTAATATCCAGAATCTACAATGAACTCCAACAAATTTACAAGAAAAAAACAAACAACCCCATCAAAAAGTGGGCGAAGGATATGAACACACACTTCTCAAAAGAAGACATCTATGCAGCCAAAAAACACATGAAAAAATGTTCATCATCACTGGCCATCAGAGAAATGCAAATCAAAACCACAATGAGATACCATCTCACAGCAATTAGAATGGCGATCATTAAAAAGTCAGGAAACAACAGGTACTGGAGAGGATGTGGAGAAATAGGAACACTTTTACACTGTTGGTGGGACTGTCAACTAGTTCAACCATTGTGGAAGTCAGTGTGGCGATTCCTCAGGGATCTAGAACTAGAAATACCATTTGACCCAGCCATCCCATTACCAGGTATATACCCAAATGACTATAAATCATGCTGCTATAAAGACACATGCACACGTATGTTTATTGTGGCACTATTCACAATAGCAAAGACTTGGAACCAACCTAAATGTCCAAAAACGATGGACTGGATTAAGAAAATGTGGCACATATACCCATGGAATACTATGCAGCCATAAAAATGATGAGTTCATGTCCTTTGTAGGGACATGGATGAAACTGGAAACCATCATTCTCAGCAAACTATCGCAAGGACAAAAAACCAGACATCGCATGTTCTCACTCATAGGTGGTAATTGAACAATGAGAACACATGGACACAGGAATGGGAACATCACACACTGGGGACTGTTGTGGGGTGGGGGGAGGGGGAAAGGATAGCATTAGAAGATATACCTAATGCTAAATGTCGAGTTAATGGGTGCAGCACACCAACATGGCACATGTATACATATGTAACAAACCTGCACGTGTGCACATGTACCCTAAAACTTAAAGTATAATAATAAAATTTTAAAAAAAAGAAATTAATACTAAGATGATCACTCAAAACTATACAATTACAGGGAAACTGAGCAACTTGCTCCTCAATGACTTTTGGGTGAACAATGAAATTAAGGCAGAAATCTAGAAATTCTTTGAAACTAGTAAAAACAAAGATACAACATATCAGAATCTCTGGGACACAGGTAAAGCAATGTTAAGAGGGATGTTTACAGCAATAAATGCCCACATCAAAAAGTTAGAAAGATCTCAAATTAACAACCTAACAACACACCTAGAGGAACTAGAAAAACAAGAGAAAACCAACCCCACAGCTAACAGAAGAAATCAAGAAAAACAGAGCTGAACTGAATGAAACTGAGACACAAAAAACTATACAAAAGATCAATGTATCCAGGAGTTAGTTTGTTGAAAGAATAAATAAGACTGATAGACTGCTAGCTAGATTAATAAAAAGAGAGAAGACCCAAATAAACACAGTCAGAAATGATAGAGGGGACAGTACCACCAACACCACAGCATTACAGAATATCCCCAGAGACTGCTATGAACACTTCTATGCACACAAACTACAAAACCTAGAATAAAAGAATAGGTTACTGGAAACATACAAGCTGCCAAGATTGAACCAGGAGAAACTGAATCCCTGAACAGACCAATAATGAGTTCTGAAATTAAAGCAGTCATAAAATGCCTACCAACCAGAAAAGGCCCAGGACCAGATGGATTCACAGTCCAATTATACCAGATGTATACAGAAGAACAGGTACCCATCCTCTTGAAACTCCTCCAAAAAATTGAGGAAATGGAACTCTACCCTAACTCATTCTATGAAGCAAGCATCATTCTGATACCAAACCTTGAAGAGACACAACAAAAAAAGAAAACTCCAAGCCAATACCCATGATTAACATAGATGCGAAAATCCTTAACAAGATACTAGCAAACTAAATCCAGCAGCAAATTAAAAAGCTAATCCACCACAATGAAGTAGGCTGATCCACCACGAACAAATAGGCGTCATCAACATATAAAGATCAGTAAGTGTGATTCATCACGTAAACATAACAGCAAAACCACATGATCATCTCAATAGATGTAGAAAAGGATTTCAATAAAATTCAACATCCCTTCTTATGAAAAATCCTCAGCAAACTAGGTACCGAAGGAACATGCCTCAAAGTAATAAGAGCCATCTATGACAAATTCACAGCCAACATCATCCTGAATGGGCAAAAACTGGAAGCATTCCCCCTTGAGAACTGGAACAAGATAAGAATGCCCACTGTCACTACTCCTGTTCAACATAGTACTGGAAGACCTTGCCAAGGCAATTAGGCAAGAGAAAGAAAGAAAAGGCAGCCAAATAGGAAATTATAAAGTCAAACTGTCTCTGTTTACAGATGATACAATTCTACACCTAGAAAAACCCTGTAAGACTCTACTCAAAAGCTCCTAGATCTGATAAACAATTTTAGCAAAGTTTCAGGATACAAAATCAATATACAAAAATTAGCAACATTTCTATACGCCAGCAACATCCAAGTTGAGTGCCAAATTAAGAGCACATTCCCATTTGCAATAGCCATGAAAAGGATACCCAGGAATACAGCTGACCAGGGAAATGAACCCTCCCTAGGACGAGAATTTCAAAACACTGCTGACAGAAATCAGAGATGATATAAACAAACAGAAAAACATTCCATGCTCATGGACAGGAAGCAACAATACTGTTAAAATGGTCATACTGCCCAAAGCAACTTACAGATTCAATGCTATCCCTATCAAACTACCAATGGCATTCTTCACAGAATTAGAAAAAACTATCTTAAAATTTGTATGGAACCAAAAAGAACCTGAATAGCCAAAGCAACCCTAAGCAAAAAGAGCAAAGCTGGAGGTATCACATTACCTGACTTCAAACTGTGCTATAAGGCTACAGTAACCACAACAGCATGGTACTGATACAAATAAATTACTAAAAGTAAAAGAAATTTAAAACTCTAAACAGACAAATTTCCTCACCTCCAAAAAGAAAATACTTTTAAAGAAATGGGTAAAGATGTTGAATTTCTATCCCTGCTCTCTCCAAAAGTAACAGAACAAAAAAATACCAGAGCTAGATGAATTTGTGGGATAATTTTAATAAATCCTTAAAAAGCACTTCCAAGTGAATTAAAACTTCCCAAGAAGTAGAGAAAATTGAAACTTCCAAATTATTTTGATGAAGTAAATATTAGTTGTACACACACATATACACCAACTACTGCCTTACCTCACTTATTTTGTCAATATAAAAATGTTTTACAAACCATTAGGAAAGAGAATCCAGCAATAAACTTAAAGGATACTTGATAAAAATCAACAGTTCATAAAAGAAAATCCAATCATACAAGAAAAGCTGGACACATTCGTAATATCTCAGTCCCAAAGCCAGTATCACACTTAACAGTGAAACACTAACTACAGGCATCCCAGTGTAATTCCAAAACAGAACATGAGCACCCACCATCACCAGTTTGATTTGACATTGTTCTAGCCAATAAAATTAAACAATAGAATGAAATGAGAATCATGGAAACTATTGCTATTGTCAGACAATATGATTGCATACCTAAAAAATCCAAACTACTACAAGCAATGAGAGAATTCAAATTCAATAAGTTAATAGGATGTAAAATTTAGAAACCAATTGCCTTCATATATAAAAACAATTTGTTAAAGCACATATTGGAAGAAAGCTTTCCATTCACACCAGCACCACAAAAAGATAAGATACCTAGAAATAAAACTCAACAAAACATATATGATACCTTTATGAAGAAAATTTATAAGTGTTTTAAAAAGTTGCTGCAGCTGTGAGGGAGCAGGCACTGTAACACATTGCTGTTGGAAGCATAAGGTGACAGAAGGCCAATCTGACAACACCAACCCAAACTACAGATGCATATACCCTTTGAGACATAACTCCACTTCCACAAATTCGTCTTAAAGTTACTTGTCCACATATAAAATTACACAAAAGTTCATTCATTGCATCATTGTTGCAATGGCTGAAGATTAAGAACAATCTGCCTAACAATAGAAGAATGGTTAATTTAGGCTAATTCATACAAGGCAGTATTATGCAGCTGTGCAAATGTGATGAAGCTTTCCATGTACTGATAAGAAATACCTCCAAAAAATGATTTAATTAGAAAGCAGGATGTAGAAAGGTTTGTAGAGTACTGTACCTTTTGCAGAAAAAAAATGAAATATGAACTTTTTTATAAAAATGTGCATTAAAAACTTAAGAGCACCTAAGAAATGAATGTCAGTGCTGGGCATGTGGGTAATGCAAGCAGATGCAAGAAGAGATTGGATAAGAGTCTATGAAGTGGCACTCTGCAGATTACTTTTTAATCACAGCAACATAAAAACAATGCCTGCTTACAAAATTAAACTAAACAAAAACGTTGCTAGTGGCATTAAAAATTATACAACCACCATAATGGCGAAGACAAACTACATTATGCTGCAGTACCTAACTCGAAATCACAGAGGCTTCTCTTAACAAAAGCGTTATTTCTCCCTCAGTCCATGTCCATCATGAGTTCATTGGCTGGGCTCTCTGTACGTGGTTCTTCATCAGTCCCCATGCAGAGGAAAAAGTGCTCTTCAGTGACTCACACTGGCCATTCAATCTTCCAGCCCAAAAATGACGCTTGTCACTTCTGCTTACAATCCATTGGCTAGGACTAGTCACATGGCCCCACACAGAGCACAAAGAGGGTTTAAGGCAAGTAGGACATATATTGGTAAGCCACAGTAATAACAACCATAACCATTTTGGAGAACAACTTTATGTTTTTAAAATATCACTTAGATAACATAAAAGCCATTGAAAATATCCATACACTTTGATCCAGCAATTACACTTCTGGAAATGTTTACTGAAATATTCCTAAGTAATTATAAATAAATGGGTAGAAATGTTTCACCCCTGGACATAACACTCACCAAAATGGAGTGAACTGTTCTTTGACCCTAAGGCAGCTAAATGTCCCAACACCATTCTCCTTAAAAAAATAAAGTTATAAATACCTGTAAAACAAAAGAAAGCAAATAAGCCCAGATGGAAAGATAGTGTTTTGCTTTTAATTACTGGGGCATTGGTCAGCTTTCTTATGTACTCCAGCTGTGAAATTCAATTTTGAAAATCCTTTGAAATGAAGTAATTTATGTTTATATTAATGATTTTATCTCAGGTCCTGAGGTATATGCTTTGCAGTAATTTTAATGCAGGTTTATTTCAACTTCAGGAGGAACAAATGTCTTCATTTAACTAGGTGTTCTCTAACAATGGAAAATGGATAATTACAGCAAATGAAAATATATACAAGCCCAGAAAAATGAGCCTAATTTCACTATGGATTATAGGAAGATACAGATATAGATATATTCTTTTAACAGAAAGGTCATTTAGTTAATTTGAGGCCAAACTGTTCCATGCGTTTTAAAACGTAATATAATGGACTCCTTTAAGAGCTTGGACTTTGCATTCAGATAGGCCTGGGTTTGAATCTTAGTTTTGCTCTTGAATAACTGTGTGAACTAGACAAGTACTTGTCTCTAGATGTCTCTCTCCTTGCCTATAAAATGGAGGTTCTACTTATACATGTTTCATAATGCGTTATTATGTAAAGATTAAATGAGATAATATTTGTATAGCATTTATTGATAAGACTCATGATTAGTGCTGAATAAATGTTAAGTAAATTAGGGTTCTCCAGAGAAACAATCAACAGGGTGTGTGTGCGCATATACATATATACATGTACAAACACATATACTCACTCATATATAAATATATATGTATCCATCTAAGAGAGAGAGAAATAGCAAGAAGTGGGGGAGAAAAATTGATTTCATTGATTTTCAGGAATTGGCTCATGTGATGGTGGTGGCTGGCAAGTTCAAAACCTGCATGGCAGTCAGGCAGGAAGGCAGGCAACCCAGGGAAGAACTGAAGAATAGACATTGCAGTTTGAGTCCAAAGGCAGTCCACTGGCAGAATTTCCTCTTCTTTGGAGGAAACCATTTGTTTTCTCAAGGCTTTCAACTGGTTGGATGAGACCCACCCAGTTTATAGAGGGAAATCTGCCTTATTAATTTCAAATCTACTAATTTAAATGATAATCACATGGAAAAAAATAAAAACTAATAAAAACCTTCACAGCAACATCCAGATGTGTTTGATAATACATCTGGGTATGGTAGCCTAACACATGGACACATAAAATGAACCATGATGTTAGATATTGTCTACTGGCTTATTTGTGTGAAGCTTTATTCTTCACTACATTCTTTCACATATATCATCTCAGTTTTTCCTTTTTAATTTTTTTTTCATGTTTAGTTCTGGAGTACGTGTGCAGGATGTGCAGGTTTGTTACACAGGTAAATGTGTGCCACAATGGTTTACTGCACCTATCAACCCATCACCTAGGTATTAAGCCCAGCAGACATTAGCCATTCTTTCTAACACTCTCTCTCCCCTCACTCTACCTCCCAATAGGCCACAGTGTGTGTTGTTCCCTTCCATAGGTCCATGTGATCCCATTGTTCAGCTCCCACTTATAAGTGAGAACATGTGGTGTTTGATTTTCTGTTCCTGTGTTAGTTTGCTGAGGATAATGGCTTCCAGCTTCATCCATGTCCCTTCAAAGGACATAATCTCATTCCTTTTTATGGCTGCATAATATTCCATGGTGTATGTATATATACCACATTTTCTTTATCCAGTCTATCATTGATGGGCATTTGGGTTGATTCCATGTCTTTGCTATTTTAAATAGTACTGCAGTGAACATACAGCTGCATGTATCTTTGTAATAGAATGGTGGTTTATATTCCTTTGGGTATATACCAAGTAATGGGATTGCTAGGTCAAATGGTATTTCTGGCTCTAGCTCTTTGAGGAAACGCCGCACCATCTTTCACAATGGTTAAACTAGTTTACATTCCCACCAACAGTGTAAAAGCATTCCTATTTCTCCACCACCTTACCAGCATCTGTTGTTTCTTGACTTTTTAATAATGGCCTTCTGACTGGCATGAGATGATTACTCATTGCGGTTTTGATTTGGATTTCTCTAATGATCAGTGATGTTGAGCATTTTTTCGTATGTTTGTTTGACTGCATGAATGTATTCTTTTGAGAAGTGTCTGTTCATGTCCTTTGCCCACTTTTTAATGGGGTGGTTTTTATTTTTTTTATTGAACCACATTGGGTCAGCTTTATTTGTTTAATACATATGGATTTTATAGACAATGTTGTTGAAGTCAAGTACCTTGCTTAAAAGAGAATATAACTTTGAAAAACACAGATTTTTCAGTGTTATTATTTTACAGAAGAGAAAAATAAAGCCTGACTTAATTATTTTGAGTATTCACTATGTTTAGGTAAAACATTTTTCTATGCATAGCAAAGCACATAGATATAAGTAGCACATAGTTCTTGACTTTAAGAATTTTGTAGCCTGAAATCAACGTGCATAAATCACAAGCATTCCTATACACCAATAGCAAACAGAGAGCCAAATCATGAGTGAACTCCCATTCACAATTGCTTCAAAAAGAATAAAATACCTAGGAATCCAACTTACAAGGGATGTGAAGGACCTGTTCAAGAAGAACTATAAACCTCTGCTCAACGAAATAAAAGAGGGCACAAACAAATGGAAGAACATTCCATGCTCACGGATAGGAAGAATCAGTATCATGAAAATGGCCATACTACCCAAGGTAATTTATAGATTCAATGCCATCCCCATTAAGCTACCAATGACTTTCTTCACAGAATTGGAAAAAACTACTTTAAAGTTCATATGGAACCAAAAAAGAGCCCGCATTGCCAAGTCAATCCTAAGAAAAAGAACCAAGCTGGAGGCATCATGCTACCTGACTTCAAACTATATTACAAAGCTACAGTAACCAAAACAACATGATACTGGTACCAAAACAGAGATATAGACCAACAGAACAGAACAGAGTCCTCAGAAGTAATACCACAAATCTACAACCATCTGATCTTTGACAAACCTGACAAAAACAAGAAATGGGGAAAGGATTCCCTATTTAATAAATGGTGCTGGGAAAACTGGCTAGCCATATGTAGAAAGCTAAAACTGGATCCCTTCCTTACACCTTATACACAAATTAATTCAAGATGGATTAAAGACTTAAATATTAGACCTAAAACCATAAAAACTCTAGAAGAAAACCTAGGCAATACCATTCAGGACATAGGCATGGGCAAGGACTTCATGACTAAAACACCAAGAGCAATGGCAACAAAAGCCAAAATTGACAAATGGGATCTAATTAAACTAAAGAGCTTCTGCACAGCAAAAGAAACTACCATCAGAGTGAACAGGCAACCTACAGAATGGGAGAAAATTTTTACAATCTACCCATCTGACAAAGGGCAAATATCCAGAATCTACAAAGAACTTAAACAAATTTACAAGAAAAAATACAACCCCATCAAAAAGTGGGTGAAGGATATGAACAGACACTTCTCAAAAGAAGACATTTATGCAGCCAACAGACACATGAAAAAATGCTCATCACTGTCCATCAGAGAAATGCAAATCAAAATCATAGTGAGATACCATCTCATGCCAGTTAGAATGGCAATCATTAAAAAGTCAGGAAACAACACGTGCTGGAGAGGATGTGGAGAAATAGGAACACTTTTACACTGCTGGTGGGACTGTAAACTAGTTCAACCATTGTGAAAGACAGTGTGGCGATTCCTCAGGGATCTAGAACTAGAAATACCATTTGACCCAGCCATCCCATTACTGGGTATATACCCAAAGGACTATAAATCATGCTGCTATAAAGACACATGCACACGTATATTTATTGCAGCACTGTTCACAATAGCAAAGACTTGGAACCAACCCAAATGTCCATCAATGATAGACTGGATTAAGAAAATGTGGCACATATACACCATGGAATACTATGCAGCCATGAAAAAAGATGAGTTCATGTCCTTTGTAGGGACATAGATGAAGCTGGAAACCATCATTCTGAGCAAACTATCGCAAGGACAGAAAACCAAACACCGCATGTTCTCATTCATAGGTGGGAATTGAACGACGAGAATACCTGGACACAGGGTGGGGAACATCACACACGGGGGCCTGTTGTGGGGTAGGGGGAGGGGGGGGATAGCATTAGGAGATATTCCTAATGTAAATGATGAGTTAATGGGTGCTGCGCACCAACATGGCACATGTATACATATGTAACAAACCTGCACGTTGTGCACATGTATCCTAGAACTTAAAGTATAATAATAAAAAAAGAGTCAAAAAAAAAAACTATAATTTTGTAGCCTGATAATGAGGGTTAGTAACCAGTTCAAAGCATAGGGCTGATTAGTCTTGTTTTGATTGGCAGTGGCTTGGATTATCCTATAATAGAAGGTATAGATTCTTGTTTCAAACAGCTAAGAGGGAATCACTGAAGAAATTTTTTTCTTTAAGTAAAATACACCACATTTTCTTTACTCATTCATCTGTTGATGGTCACTTAGATTGCTCCCTGTGGATAATGCTGCAGTGAACATGGGGATGCATGTATCTCTTCAACACACAGATTTCAGTTCCTTTGGATATATACCTGGAGGTGAGATTGCTGGGTCATATGGTCATTCTATTTTTAGATTTTTGATGAGCCTCTATCATTTTTCATAATGGTTGTGCAAATTTACCTTCACTCCAACCATGTAAATGATTCCATTTTCCCTGCATCCTTTCCAACACTTGTTACCTTTTATCTTTTTTTTTAGGGATCATATTTTGTTATTATTTTTTACTTTAAGTTCTGGGATACATGTGCAGAACATGCAGGCTTGTTATGTAGGTATATGTGTGCCATGGTGGTTTGCTGCACCTACTGACCTGTCATCTAGGTTCCCTTCCCTTGACCCCACCCCCAAACAGGCCCCAGCATGTATTGTTCCCCTCTCTCCCTGTGTCCATGTTTTGTCATTGTTTGACTCCCACTTATGAGTGAGAACATGCAATGTTTGGTTTTCTGTTCCTGTGTTAGTTTGCTGAGGATGATGGTTTCCAGCTTCATCCGTGTCCCTGCAAAGGACACAATCTCATTCCTTTTTATGGCTGCACAGTATTCTATGGTGTATAAGTACAACATTGTCTTTATCCAGCCTATCATTGATGGGCATTTGGGTTGGTTCCATGTCTTTGCTATTGTAAATAGTGCTGCAATAAATATAAGTGTACATATGTCTTTATAGTAGAATGTTTTATATTTCTTTGGGTACATACCCAATAATGGGATTACTGGGTCAAATGGCATTTCTGGTTCTAGATCCTTAAGGAATTGCCACACTGTCTTCCACAAAGGTTGAACTAATTTACATTCTCACCAACAGCGTAAAAGTGTTCCTATTTCTCCACAGCCTTGCCAGCATCTATTGTTTCTTGACTTTTTAATAATCGCCATTCTGACTGGTGTGAGGTGGTATCTCATTGTGGTTTTGATTTGCAATTCTCTGATGATCAGTGATATTGGGCTTTTCATGTGTTTGTTGGCTGCATAAATGTCTTCTTTTGAGAAGTGTCTGTTCATATCCTTTGCCCACTTTTTGATGGGGTTATTCGTTTTTTTCTTGTAAATTTGTTTAAGTTCCTTGTAGATTCTGGATATTAGATCTTTGTCAGGTGGGTACACTGTACAAATTTTCCACCATTCTGTAGGTTGCCTTTTCTCTCTGATAGTAGTTTCTTTTGCTGTGCAGAAGCTCTTTCGTTTAATTATATCCCATTTGTCAATTTTGACTTCTGTTGGCATTGCTTTTGGCATTTTCATCATGAAGTCTTTGCCCATGTCTATGTCCTGAATGGTATTGCCTAGGTTTTTTTTAGGGTTTTTATGGTTTTGGGTTTTACATTTAAGTCTTTAATTCGTCTCGAGTTAATTTTTGTATAAGGTATAAGGAAGGGGTCCAGTTTCAGGTTTCTGCATATGGCTAGCCAGTTTTCCCAGCACCATTTATTTAATAGGAAATTCTTTCCCCATTGCTTGTTTTTGTCAGGTTTGTTGAAGCTCAGGTGGTTGTAGATGTGTGGTGTTATTTCTGAGATCTCTGTTCTGTTCTGTTGGTCTATATGTCAGTTTTGATACCAGTACCATGCTGTTTTGGTTACTGTAGCCTTGTAGTATAGTTTGAAGTCAGGTAACATGATGCCTCCAGCTTTGTTCTTTTTGCTTAGAGTTGTCTTGGCTATATGGGCTATTCTTTGGTTCCATATGAAATCTAAAGTAATTTTTTCTAACTCTATGAAGAATGTCAGCGGTAGTTTAACGGGAATAGCATTGAATCTATAAATTACTTTGGGCAGTATGGCCATTTTCATATTGATTCTTCCTATCCACGATGATGGAATGTTTTTCCATTTGTTTCTGTACTCTCTTATTTCCTTGACAATGGTTTGTAGCTCTTGAAGAGGTCCTTCACATCCCTTGTTAGCTGTATTCCTAGGTATTTTATTCTCTTTGTAGCAAGGGAGTTCATTCATGATTTGGCTCTCTGCTTGTCTATTGTTGGTGTATAGGAATGCTTGTGATTTTTGCACATTGATTTTGTACCCTGAGACTTTGCTAAAGTTGCTTTTCAGCTTTAGGACTTTTGGGGCTGAGACGATGGGATTTTTCTTTTCTCTTTTTCCATTTTTTTTTTCTTTTTAGATGGAGTTTTGTCCAGGCTGGAGTGCAATGGTAAAATCCCAGCTCACTGCAACCTCCACCTCCTGGTTTCAATTGATTCTCCTGCCTCAGACTCTCAAGTAGCTGAGATTATGGGCACGTGCCATTACACCCAGCTAATTTTTGTATTTTTAGTAGACATGGGGTTTCGCCATGTTGGCCAGGCTGATCTCAAACTCCTGACCTCAGGTGATCCACCCACCTCGGCCTCCCAAAGTGCTGGGATTACAGACTTGAGCCACTGCGCCTGGCCGATGATGGGGTTGTCTAAATACAGAATCATGTCATCTGCAAACAGGAACAATTTGACTTCCTCTCTTCCTATTTGAATACCTTATTTCTTTTTCTTGCCTGATTGTCTTAGCCAGAACGTCTAATACTACATTGAATAGGAGTGGTGAGAAAGGGCATCCTTCTCTGGTGCCAGTTTTCAAAGGGAATGCTTCCAGCTTTTGCCCATTCGATATGATATTGGCTATGGGTTTATCATAAATAGCTCTTATTGAGATATGTCCATCAATACCTAGTTTATTGAGAGTTTTTAACATGAAGGGAGTTGAATATTATCAAAGGACTTTTCTGCATCTATTGAGATAATCATGTGGTTTTTGTCTTTGATTGTGTTTATGTGATGAATTATGTTTATTAATTTGCATATGTTGAACCAGCCTTGCATCCCAGGGATAAGGCCAACTTGATCGTGGTGGATAAGTTTTTTGATGTGCTGCTGGATTCAGTTTGCCAGTATTTTATTGAGGATTCTTGCATCACTGTTCATCAGAGATATTGGCCTGAAGTTTTCTTTTTTTGTTGTGTCTCTGCCAGGTTTTGGTATCAGGATGATGCTGGCCTCATGAAATGAGTTAGGAAGGAGTCCTTCCTTTTTAATATTTGGAATAGTTTCAGAAGGGACAGTACCAGCTCCTCTTTGTACCTCTGGTAGAATTCAGCTGTGAATCTGTCTGGTATTGGGCTGTTTTTGGTTAGTAGGCTATTAATTACCACCTCAATTTCAGAACTTGTCTATTGGTCTATTCAGGGATTCAACTTTTCAGGAATTCAACTTTTTTCAGGAATTCAGGGATTCAACTATTCAGGATTCAGAACTTGTCTACTTGTCTATTCAGGGATTCAATTTCTTCCTGGTTTAGTCTGGGGAGGGTGTATGTGTCCAGGAATGTATCCATTTCTTCTAGGTTTTCTAGTTTAATTGAATAGAGCTGTGTATTGTATTCTCTGATGGTAGTTTGTATTTCTGTGGGGCAAATTCTTTAAGAATGTTGAATATTGGTCCCCACTCTCTTCTGGCTGGTAGGGTTTGTCCTGAGGTGTCCACTTTTAGTCTGATGGGCTTACCTTTGTAGGTGACCAGGCCTTTCTCTCTGTCTGTCCTTAACAGCTTTTCCTTCATTTCTACCTTGGAGAATCTGATGATTATGTGTCTTGTGATTGATCTCATGGAGTATCTTAGTGGTGTTCTCTGTATTTCCTGAATTTGAATGTTGGCCTGTCTTGCTAGATTTGTAAAGTGCTCCTGGATAATATCCTGAAGTATGTTTGCCAGCTTGTTTCCATTCTCCCTGTCTCCTTCAGGTATTCCAATCAATCATAGGTTCTGTCTGTTTACATAGTCCCATATTTCTCAGAGGCTTTATTTGTTCATTTTTTTCTCTAATTTTGTCTGCATGTCTTATTTCAGCAAGGTGGTCTTCAAAAACTGATATTTTTTCTTCCACTTGGTCAACTGGTCTATTGATAGTTGTGCATGCTTCACGAAGTTCTCGTTCTATGTTTTTCAGCTCCATCAGGTCATTTATGATCCTCTGAAAACTGATTATTCTAGTTAGCGGCTCTCTAACCTTTTATGAAGGTTTTTAGCTTCTTTGCATTGGGTTAGAACATGCTCCTTTAGCTCAGCACAGTTTGTTATTACCCATCCTCTGAAGCCTACCTCTGTCAATTCATCCATCTCATCCTCTGTCCAGTTCTGCATCCTTGCTGAAGACGTGGTGTGATCATGTGGAGAAGAGGCACTCTGGCATTTTGCATTTTCAACATTTTTTTGTTGATTCTTTTTCATCTTCATGCATTTGTCTAGTTTTGATCTTTGAGGCTGCTGACCCTTGGCTGGGATTTTTGTGGGGACTTTTTTTGTTGTTGATGCTGTTGCTGTTGCTTTCTGTTTGTGTGTCTTTCTTTCAGTGGTCAGGTCCCTCTTCTGTAGGGCTGCTGCAGTTTGCTGGGGGTTCACTCCCGCACCTGGAGATGTCACTCAAGGAGGCTGAAGAGCAGCAAAGACGGATGCCTGCTCCTTCCTGTGGGATCTCTGACCTCAGGGGGCACCAACTTGATGCCAGTAGGATCATTCCTGTATATGGTGTCTGACAACCCTTGTTGGAAGTTCTCACCCAATTGGATGGCACTCTCCTGGGCTGCCCAGATTCCTCAGAACCACCAGAAGGAAAGGCTAAGTCTGCTGATCTGCAGAGACTGTGGCTACCATTTCGTTTAGGGAGAGATCAGAGCTCTGTCCCTGAGCCCCTGGCTAGAGTTGTTGGAGTTCCTGCAGGGAGGCCCCATCCAGTGAGGGGAGACGGGTCAGGGTCAGGCCTGAAGAGGCACTCTGGCTGCAGTCTGCCACAGCGTTGAGTTGGGTTGTGGGGGACATCTCTTGGGACCAAGCCGTGCAGTTTCCCTGGCTCCAGCAGGGGAAAAGCACAGCCTGGAGCTATAGAGATGGCTGCCACCCTTCTACAACCCAGGGAGCTTAGCATGTTAGGCAGCGAGCATTCCCAGTGTTGGCTGACACCCCTCCCCCAGGAGCTCAAATGGCTTAGACAGCAGGCGGCCTCAGCTGTGATGCTGGTTGCCCCTCCCCCTAGTTTCTAAGCAGGTGCTTAAGCAGATTCTAGCTGAGAGGATGCTGAGAAACTGCATGGCTCCGGGGTTGGGACCCTGGGCCCTGGTGGCATAGGTTCACAGATGGGATCTTCTGATCCATGGGTTGCACAGTTCAATAGAAAAAGCATGGTTTCCCAGCTGGGTAGCATGCTCACTCACCACCTCCCTTGGCTGGGCATTGGTGGCTTGCCTGCCCCATACGGCTCTCAGGTGAGCCACCACACCACACTGCTCTTCCTTCCTCTCTGTGGATCACACTAAACACCTAGTCAGTTCTGATGAGAGAACCTGGATACCTCGGTTGCTGGTGCAGGATTCACACACTATTACGGTTATGTTCTATGGCAGCATCCAGTCGCTGCTGCTTCCCATTGGCCATCTTGGCCCTGCCCCAGCATCTCATTTTCAAAATTTAATCTTAAGAACATTCCAGTAAGATAAAATGATAAGTACATACACTTAAAGGTATGTGATTTTTCTTTCCATATAAAAGAAAAGAGAAGGACAAGAACAGCAGCAAAGGGTGCCCCAGACAGATTATAGGTAGGAGCTCCTATCTTCAATTGTGGAACTATTTGGAAATGCTTCATAAAGATGTAATGTATCAAACAAACACACCAGGAGGATGCATAGGGTGTCCATAAAGGGTATAGATGAGCAGAAAGATTATCCTAAGTAGAAGAATGATGGTTACAAAGGCCCCACAAAAGAGTGCATTCACAGAACAAAAAGCAATTGAGCCTGAAGACATGCTCGGGAGCAGTGGGAAATTAGACTGGCAAGGTTGGGCGGGATGGGGTGGGGTGCAGGTAGTCGGGGGTGCTGTAATGAGAGCCCTGCCTGCCAGGCCAGAAGTGAGATCTCATTTGGTAGATCCAGGTGGGAAAGTCTTTAAGCACACTGGAGCTATGCTTACACATTTACTCCAACAGCATTCCAGGTGAGGAAGACTAAAAATGGAAAGGTAAGGGGGAAAATGAGTATGAGGTATGTGCAGTGCATGTGCATATATGTGAAAGTGTGTTTGGGAGAAGGAGGTAGTAGTATGCCTATGCAAAACTGTTCTTGGAGAATAAACAGATAGATGGTGACAAAAAGCATGATGATGATATTACAGTAATAAGCTCTTCCTATGTGTTAGACCTTGTGTTGGGGGCTTTACATCCATTTTCGCAGTTAATTCACACAATTCTATAGGTTTAAAAAAAAATTCAACAACGATAAAACCAAAGCCCAAAGAAATTAAATGATAAACTCAAAACCTCACAGTATCAGACCTCTGAGCCCAAGCTAAGCCATCATATCCCCTGTGACCTGCACATATACATCCAGATGGCCTGAAGCAACTGGAGAACCACAAAAGAAGTGAAAATAGCCAGTTCCTGCCTTAACTGATGACATTCCACCATTGTGATTTGTTCCTGCCCCACCCTAACTGATCAATTGACCCTGTGACATTCTTTCTCCTGGACAATGAGCCTTAGAAGCTCCCCACCGAGCACCTTGTAACCCCCACCCCTGCCCACAAGAGAAAAACCCCCTTTGACTGTAATTTTCCACTATCTACCCAAATCCTATAAAACTGCCCCACCCCATCTCCCTTTGCTGACTCCTTTCTCGGACTCAGCCCACTTGTACCCAAGTGAATAAACAGCCTTGTTGCTTACACAAAGCCTGTTGGTAGACTCTTTTCACACAAATGCGTGTGACACACAGCAGGGAAGGGATGAAGTAAGGATTCAAATCTAGCTCGAATTGTCCTGGTTCCATCACCCCTCACTTATCACTGGAACAGGAGTGAATGGAATTCACAAATGTTCCCTGAATCTACCATAACAGCATAAGAATCCATACCCTGTGCTTGCTCGGACTTAACCCTTGTGGCTTGATGTCTGCTGCAACCAATCAGGCTATAAACTCCTCGAGGGCGGCAGTGCTCCTTTTGTTTTGTCTTTGTATCTCTAAACAGCACACCACATACTGTTTATTCATTTATATGTATTCATTTTTATTTATCCCACAAATATTTACTATCTTCAGTAAACCAGGCCCTGTACCAGACACTAACATTAAATGACAAAATAAAGCAATAGGACTCACAAGGAACGCAGACATGATGGTGGTGGTTGTGGCTGGATTATGGGTTCATGGGCATTATTTTATCTTGTCACTTTTGCGTAAGTTTGAAGTTTTTCATAATAAAATATCATTTTAAAAGAAAAAAGGATTCCACTGAAAGCATTCTCGTCAAGGTTACCACTGTGTTGCTTGTCGCTAAACATGTTTAATTCTGCTCTGTCTTCATTTGCCTTGACAAATATCTCCTTGAACAATTGAAAATACTTGGCAAAAAAAAAAAAAAAAAAAGGAAGGAAGGAACAACAAGCAGAGGTCGGGGTAAGGGGCCCACACCCTCTCCTGTTTTCCTCCCATCTCTCCAGCTGCTGTTTCTCCATCCTCTTCCCTTCCTGAGTCTCCTTTTCCATTTCCCATCCTTTAAACATCGGAGTTGTACATGCCTGCATTTCTACCCTTCGTTTCTTCTCACCTGGCTCATTCTTTCTCACTGTTCTCATCTCTTCCCCAGGTTTTCAATACTGTCTGTAGGTTGAAACCTTCCCAGTCAATAGTGACAGACCAGATTTCTCTCTGGAACATCAGATCAGGATTGAAATACTATAGGGAATATGTTCTTAGGTTGAGGAGAGAGGCCATTTCTCTTACTGTCTCCTGTCTCCAAAGAAAAGGAGGAAGTAAAAACTGAAAAATAACAGACTGATCGTCGCCACTGGCCAGGCCTAAAGGTTAAAGATTAACCCCCTAATTGCTTGTAACCCCCACCCCTGCCAGCAAGAGAAAAATTCTAGTTGCTTGTGCTATCTATAGATAACAGACAATGGTATGGAGAAATACTTGCCTTGCTTTACCCCCACCTAGTCATGTACCCCAAGCTTGCTCAATCTATCACAACCCTGTCATGTGGACCCCTTAGAATGGTAAGCCCTTAAAAGGGCCAGGAACTCTTTCTTCAGAGAGCTTGGTTCTTGAGACGCAAGTCTGCCAATGCTCTTGGCCAAATAAAGTCGCTTCCTTTCTTTAACCCAGTGTCTGAGGGGTTTTGTCTGTGGCTTGTCCTACTACAAAGTATTCTAAAGGCATCTCAAAGCCAAAACATCTGAAGTATTCTCTTCACCTTTCTCCTCATCCAGCTCCCTACCCTTCACTCTTCCCTCTGTTTTGTTACTTACTTTACCTCAGAAAGGGGGAAAAATCTGCACTCAAAGTTGTCCACCACATCCTCCTAAGAATCTCCTTAATTTATCTATGTCACTTCCTTTGCTTAATAAATAATGGAAAGATGAATAAATAGAACTCAAGATATTTCCCCCAATAACTAATCCTATAAAAGAAACAAAACACCAAATTGAATATATTTCAAATATTTCATTATGTTCCAAATTGTCTGAAAATGTTTTCCTTTAAAAGTTGACTAAATGAGGCTGGGCACGGTGGCTCAGGCCTGTAATCCCAGCACTGTGGGAAGCTAAGGCAAGTGGATCACCGGAGGTCAGGAGATCAAGACCAGCCTGCCCAACATGATGAAACCCTATCTCTACTAAAAATACAAAAAATTAGCCAGGCGTGGTGGTGCATGCCTGTAGTCCCAGCTACTCAGGAGGCTGAAGCAGGAAAATTGCTTGAACCCAGGAGGCAGAGGTGGCAGTGAGCCGAGATTGCACCACTTATACCCCAGCTTGGGCAACAGAGCAAGACTCCATCTCAAAAAAACAAAAACGTTGACTAAATGAATACAGATCCAGCTTATGACTGATAATTTTTCTACTTGCTTAGTGCAAAAAGAAAAATTTCTAGGCCTTAACAATTATGTCTTATATGAACATTTATTCAAAAACTGTTTAAATTTTGTGCTCAAAGTAAAAAAGAAAATTTGAGATACCACTTCATCAACACTGCAAATTCTCAGATAGTGAGTTCACCTCAAATGTAATCCACATAGATTGTATGTGAACCTTGAGTTTCAAATACAGACTAGATTACCAAGAGTAAAGAGATATTCTACTTTTCAGATGCATTTTAGTATACTTCCTGGTAAACTGCTACTGTGGAGAAAACCGTATGGAAACATCAACTGTTCATGATAGCTGACTTTAAGTAACTGAAATTCTAACGTGTGGATGAGGTAGACTTGTCCAATATGTCTTTGAAGACTAAATGTTCCTGACAGGTAACAGCTCAATTTAAGAAAACATGTCATTACCAGGCAGAGCTTCTCCAAAATAGCTTCAAATGGAAGCCATTCTCAAAGATATCAGCACAGATACTCTCAAAGCAGATGGAAGGTTACATTGGATGACCTCCAAGTAGTCCTCCCAATTATGAAACATAAGGACTTTCTATCCTCAAAAGGTGGAAATGAATATTAAAATAATAACACTGTCATAATTCAAAATTGATTTAATAAACTAAAATATGTCCATGTCCACCATAACTGCCAAGCCTCAAGAGGACACACACCACCTTAAGAATAGACGATGACTAAAGCAACCACAAGGTAGGTAATCTTGAGAAGTCAACTAACTTTGTCTTCAGTGTTTCCTGGCCCTGGGAGTCTCTCCCCAGCACCCATGCTACTGTCTGTGACAGCACTGCGGGGCTCTCCTCCTTTGACCTCACCATGGTCAAGACTGCTCATCAAGATTTAGCATGTGCATTTCCCATTCCCTCAAGCTCTGCTCCTTCCTACATAAAAAAATGGTCAATGATATGTTAAAGAGACAATCTCAAGTCTAGGGAAAGAAGAAAATTTAAGAGGGTATCTAGTCTAATGGCTACATTTGTATTTATGAAACTAAAAAAATCCTATCCTCTAACTTACATGTAAAACTTACCCTCATATCATCTGGGACCTGAGAAGATCTCTGGTTCAGAACTTTCAGGATCTGGTAACTACCCTGAGGGCCTGAGGCAAAAGGGAGAGAAAATATACCCCATTTGCATCACAGATAAGACGCAATTGTCTCCAACAGCCCTTTCATTCTTGCTCCACCGCCAATACCCTTAGCAGGCTGTCCTGACTCAGCCTTCCCGTAGCAACCTATGGCCCAGATTTTCCCAATCCTCAGCTGCTCAAAACTTCCCTGTCCTGGGTCTGATCCAATAAGCTGAAAAAAGTACAGTAAACCTGTCATCAGCCTTTGATTTCTCACAAATAATTGGATCCACCCAGCAGGCTACCTGTGGTGATCATAGGCCCTTGATAATGGCTAAATATTTTTTAAAATTAACCAAAATCTTACAGCCAGTGTCAGCTCTAATATTCCTGGGCCACCAATTTTACAGGGCCACGGGAAGAGTAGCACCCCTACCCTCACTTCCAACGCAATCATCTCTAAGAGTATTAGATCAGTATCTTAAAGTGCTTTGTGTGATCTATGAGCTTGAATTTTTGTCATAATCCCCTGCAATAGATGAGCCATGCAAATGTCATCTGCTCACCTGAACAGCTTCACTCTGCACCACTCTCTACTGCACATTTCTGAATCCCTGGCCCACTTTTATTTCTTCTTGAAGCCTGTATGAACATTCATACCTCCCTTCTTCCCCACCTATACCTACCTTTGTCTAGTTAATTTGTATTCATCTGTTAAAAAATCTATTCAAATGTCAAATGTATAGAAACACATTTTCAGAGCAAGTTATATTTATTTTTTTGTATATTCTCAGAGCACCATGTCTTCTATCACTGTCATTACCAAAGCTTGAATTATTTTTATAAGTCTTTAATGTCTGGCCTTCCACCAACAGGTGTGCTCCCCGAGGGTTCTGCTCAGCACTGGATCCCCAGCATGTAGCAGAGTGCTCAGCATGGTCTCATTAGCAGCAGCGAATCCATGCAGGTCTACAGCAACCTCAATTCTTGCCTCCTCAGAAAAAAGAATTTGACCAAGTAGCATAAGGCAGAGGGAGAGACCAAGGCAAGCTTTAGAGCAGGAGTGAACATTTATTAAAAAGAATAGAGCAGAAACAAAGGGAAGTCAAATACACTTGGAAGAGGGCCAAGCGGATGACTTAGGAGATTGAAGTGCCGAGCTTGACCTTCCACTTGGATTTTACACATTGGCATTCTTCCTAAGTCTACATCTCTTCTCCCGTGATTCTTCACCTGGGGTGGGCTGTCCACCTGTGCAGTGGCTTGCAGCACCCAGGAGGGGCTTCACGTGCAGTGTGTTTACTAAAGTTGTATGCATGCTCACTTGAGGTGTTTTTCCCTTACCAATCCAGCATTCCTAGAAGAAGGCCATATACCAGTTAAACTCTGCCATCTTTCCTCTTAGTGCACATGCTTGAGCCCACTCGCCCACCTCCTGAGATCTTATTGGGAAGGTGCTGAACACCAGCTTCAAGTGTTTCTGTCTGTTGGGAGACGGCCATTTCCTGGTGCCAGCTGCAACCAAGTATTGTTTTAGAGAGACAGTTTAACAACTGCCTGACCATCACCTGATGGTTGCTTGACATTCCTGGTTGGGGAAGGCCCTCTCTTGCCCTTGCTCATGTCTGACTAGCTACCTACTGCAATGGTCTCAAATGTTTGTTAAATAAATGATTCAACTTGGTAGAAATGGAGATCTTCAAGATAGTCAGAATATTATCAGCCTGAAAAGTCTGAATTATCAAATAACACCCATAAAGAAACTCTAGTTATAGAACAGGTGGGGAAAAAGAAAAATGAAATGGCCTAAACTTTTTTGCAAATAAAAGGAAAATCTTGGCAACGCATATGCCTTAAAACTTGGAAGACCAATCCATGTGCACGATTTATCTTCCTGGAGGCTGGTAAGCATTTGCATAAAAATGAATTCAAAATTTAAATAAAGCTCCATTCATCAGCCATTATATAAGAAGCTAAGAGGTTTCAGAAATTATCATAGCCCGAACGGGAAGAAGTTTTCAAACAAAAGGAGTAGGCCCCAGACAGTCTGAGAAAATTCCATACAAGTTTTAGTTATCACAAGACATAGTGAACACTTACCTCAGAGAGATGTGTAATCTGCAAAGTACTCGGTGATCAAGAGAAGTCAATGACTTAAGAGTTTAGACCCAGAGCAGTGGCTCTCTAACAGCCTGTTTCAGAATCACCTGGAGATTCCCACACAGATTCTGGCTCCATCTACACAGCTTCTGATTCAGGAGGTCTGGGTGGCAATTTGCATTTCTAACAAGTTCCCAGATGGTATTGACACTGCATGCTAGTTTGGAGACCATGCCTTGAGAAGCATTAACTAAAACTTTGAAATAGAAAGCAAAAATCCTATGATGCAGGGAGAGGTATGGGGCTGAACTTTCCTTTCTTTTCTTCTATCATTCTACAGTACACCTCCACAATCCAATATATCCCTCCCCTGGGCTGCCTAGTTCATATCCTTAAGTGAAGAGGGCAAGTAGGTCAAGTATAGCCCATATAAAAGCTGCTTCCTATAGCCATGACATCTTCTCTGGAAGAAAGCCTTCCCAGTTCACAGGGGCCCAGCACAGAAAAAACTCAAAAGAAAAGGGACTTAATCCTTGGCATTAAAGTGACAAAAATAGCTGCCACCTGTAGAATACTTTCACATGCTCACAGTAACATACTCTATATAATTTAGTTTACACATCCTTATTACAGCCCTGTAGGTACATAGGATCCATCCTTGATTATTCACAAATTCTGCATATGTGAATTCACCTGCTTACTAAGATTTACTTATGATTCCAGTTAATACTTATAGCATTTTGGCAGTCATTCTCAGATATGCACAAAACAATGAAAACTTTGAGTAGCCCAACACGTGCATTCACAGCTGAGGTCAAACAAGGCAAAACCATTTTGAGTGTTGCCTTATTGTTTCACCCTTTATATATAAATAAGTGCCCTTTTTGTGGTCTATTTAGTACCATGTTTTTTGCATTTTCGTTATCTTTATTGGTGATTTTGCCACTTAGAATGACCCATAGCGTTGCAGTGCTGTCTAGTGTTCCCAAGCACAAGAAGGATGTGTCATACCGTATGAGGGAAAAAACCATGTGTTAGATAAGCTCTGTTCAAGCATGGGTAAGAGTGCTATTGATCATTAGTTCAATGTTAGTGAATCAAGAATATATACTGCAAAGTGACTTTAAAAAGATACACAAAACAAGATTATGTATTAATGAGTTGACAAAAATGTTATGACCACAAGCTCATAGGACCCTAGCCTTCTATTTCTCTTAGGAGCAATAATTCAATATTTGCTAATACAGTGTTTGTGGTGACTTTATAACAAAACTGCAAATAACAAGAATCAACTGTACTAAGTAGAACACTGAAAATATATTTGTTGATTCCTATTTTATAAATAAGAAGACTGCAACTTACAGAGACTAGAATACCTGACAAGGAAGTATCAATGTCTGGCTTTTAGCCAACTCCAAAGCACCTGTCCAACCATGCTATCCTGTCCCACATTAGCACAGAGGAATGGCACATCACAATGCGTGAACTCAAGGTTCAAATCCAGGCTCAGGCCTGGTGTAACATGCAACAGTTATCTCCCTGTACCTGAGTTTCAATGTCCATAAAATGGAAATATTCATAATATATCAATGAGTTAATATGTTTAATATACTTAGAGCCTAAGTTAGTTTCAAAACTAATGGTCTATAGGATCAAGATCAGATCTTATAGTCAAACCTCAGGAAATCAACCTAGTAGATAAGGAAATATCAGACCCAGCTAACAAATCAGGCTCTGAAGTCTAGAAGATCTACATTCCCTGAGTGTTGTGTCCCCATACATACAGGGACAGGAATGGAAAAGCTATAATTCTTTGCATATAGCAATATATCATCTCTCATCCTGTTACATGGCAGGAAGCACTCCATGCATGGATAAACATGCTCATTCTCTCCATAATAACCAGGATTGAAATAATTATATTTGTCAATTCTGTTAAATCTATGGCTTTAAAATGATACTAAGAAAATATTAGTTCTCCAGTCCTTTCCAGAGTACAAAATAAGTTTATTTTCTTGTTCCAGAAAAATCAACCATGTTATAAAACGGCCACTGCCATACTATTTAATTCTAAATAATACCAAAAGGGATTCACCTATAAGCAGAGGTTTGGATTTTTCTCTCCTGCTTTCTGAAATATAGCAATATTACCTTTAGTTATATATAGGATTATGTAACAGATCTAATGAAATAGCACATTTAAATCTTAGCAGAGGACTAGATCAAGGACCTAGCCAGGATGAGACCAAGATATAGGAATATCCAGTATATGCTAATCAGTGTCCCTTCAAATAATATTCTTTAAACATAGGTTTAAAATTTATTTAGAAGAGATGTTACATGTTGCATTGAGACAACAGTAGAGAAGAAAAGCTCTGCTGGCCATACCATCCTCTTACAAGAAAGTCTGGCCTGAGACTCACTCTAGAACTGGGTTTATCAACATTAGCACCATTGACATTTGGAAGCTGCATAATTTTTTGTTGGGGTGGGGAGTGGGCATATCCCGTCCAGTATTGAATGCACAGCAAAATCCCTGGCCTCTACTCACAAGAGGCCAGTAGCCTCCCCATACCAGCTGTGACAACCAGATATGTCTCAGACACTGCCAACAGTTTCCTGGGGGCAAATCGGCCCCTGAGAAAGAATCACTTCTCTAGAGAGGCAGGGATGGTATTTAGCTGACCAGCACCAACGGGACCATGCTGGTGTCCGTTGCCTGCATCTGTACTGTTGGGGCTGCATCCATACCATGCTACTTGTGAAATATCTATAATATCAGCCCTGTGGAGGAATGGGATGAACAAGCCCCTTGGAATATCACTACTCTATCATGGGCAAGGGATGCATATGATAGGATATATATATGTATATGATCCAAGAGATGCAGCATATACAACACTCATTGTGGGGGAGCATGTAAACACAGTTCTCTCCACATCATCTCACCTAGAGGCTTGTTTCTATGTCCCTCGTGCACTGGCATCTGGGTGCAACACCTCTGGTTAGCCCCTAAAGCTGCTATGCCTAGCACACAGTAAGTTTGATACATGACAGCTCTCATTTTTATTATTCACATAAGATTTTCCTCCATTGCTATGTATTTCTTAACCTGGTGCTTTCAATTCTCAGAGTTTTGGGTTTTGTGGGTTTTTTTTTTAATCAAACAAGCCAAATCTATACACCAAAAGAGAAGCCAAGCAATATCATTTTCATTTTTTTTAAATATAAAAGCTCTGGTTGATACCATATCAGTCTCTTACAGTGTTGGTGACAACACGTTATTTTTCAGTGAGTATATACATTTCTGTTCTGTACAGTCACAAATACACGATACATCTTGATTCAACTGTATCTCAGGTGATTATCCCCTCCCCCATCCTGCTGTTCACAGACTGGACCTACGAATGTTGGATTCGGACACAAAGCTAGCACCCACCACCTCTAAAAGTGCTTTGGAGCATTATTTCCTATGTAGCTTGGTGCTTCAAAAAACTAGAAGCATAAATGCCTTCACCATAAATAACAGCAGGCAAATGCCACATGGCTTAACAGTTGTGGTGTGGTTGCACATCACATCATTAGCCCTTGCATTAAACACCCTGATTAACAAGGGAGAGATGCGACCTCCACTTTGGAATTTTAGCCAAGAGCATCAGCAATTTTAGCCAAGAGTATCAGTCAGGTGATGGGGCAACACCAGAAGTCAAACAAGCCAAAAACTGCTCTCCCAAAATAGTTTGAAGCTTTGCCATGCAAAACCTATGAGCAATATTACTTTCAGTTTCAGCCAAAATCCTCTAAAAAGTGAACACCCTCATCTAGTTAAATTTTCATTTACCTCTGGGGAAAAAAATGAGCCCTCTCAGAAGGGAGCTAACAGCTGTGCATATTCCTTTCTAGAATGAAATTAACTTTCTTTTGTTATATTTAGCTAGAGTCTTATATATAATCACCTTTGCTAGAGGAAAATAAATTAAGGAGATTAAGTTTCAGTCACATAAAAGTGACAGTTGGCTCAGTGGAAACAAAAGACCTGTTTTAGTAATAGCAAGCCTTCATATGGATAGCAATTGGTATGAGCCAGGCATATTCTAAGAGCTGTTCATGGATTAATGCACTTAATCATCCACAATCCAGGGGATGTGAGGGTCCTATTATTATGCCCATTTCACAGATAAGGAAACAGAGGCTAGCATGGGTTGAGGAACTTGGCCAAATAAGCAGCAGAACTAGAACTTGAACCCAGGAAGTGTGTTCCAAAGTTCATAAGCTTAACCACTGCCATATAGAGAATTTGAGTCAGGACTTCCGGATTTGAGTGCCAGTCTCCCAGTCTCAGACATTCAAGGCTAATTTACGGCAACTTGTCAATGGCAAGGTTACTGGTTATTTTACCAATTGATTATCTCACTTGGGGAAAGGCTCAACTTTTTGAAAAATTCACGGTCCTAATCTAGAAAATGGGAATAATGATAATCCTTATTACATCAAGAGACAATTCACATGAAAATTCTTTACACACATAAGATGTTATTAAGTGCTGTGACACAGCATAATTAATGTAAAGACCTTACAAGATTCAAAATGCCTTGTTTCCCTGAACATCAAAGCTCGTACTACAAGGAATATTTCGTGACATGAAAAAATGTGCCTACCTACTACAAAAGGAACAAAGCTGAGCACAAAAATATTATGTATGCCTTGATACGTGTAAATACATACACAACAGTAGGTCTAGACACAAAAATCATATGTTATATTAAATAAAACTTTTATAGAAATTTCATCTTATGTATATACATATCCAAATACATATCCAAAAAAAATATGTGTATATATATATAGAAATATGTACATACTGTACATACCCTTTTAAAAGACTAGAAGAGTATAAGAGAAAATATTGACAATGGTTATCTTGCCATAGTGCCTTTTTGTTTTCCAAACTTCTGCACTGAGCAGATAATGCTTTATAATTAGAAACATAGCCAGAAGGGTTAATTTTTAATAAATATTATATACAGGTAACGTGAAGTCTCCTGTGAAATTACCTATTCTGAAATCAGAAAATCAAGATCATACTGAAGCCACAGACACCCCCATTTTAATACAAGTTGTTGGGAGCATGTCTCATTTTCATTACTATGCTGCTTACCTGCTCAGATTTCTCAAGGAGTTATCAGAAGTGACGCTATCTTCCCAGGGGAAAAAATCATTTAAGTGAGTTTTGTCCCAGGACTGTACTCTATGTGAAGTCCCACAGCAGTGTCTGTCCCAGGACTGTACTCTATGTGAAGTCCCACAGCAGTGTCTGTCCCAGGACTGTACTCTATGTGAAGTCCCACAGCAGTGTCTGTCCCAGGACTGTACTCTATGTGAAGTCCCACAGCAGTGTCTGTCCCAGGACTGTACTCTATGTGAAGTCCCACAGCAGTGTCTGTCCCAGGACTGTACTCTATTTGAATTGGCCTGACTCTTCAAAGAACTTGTTCTGTTTACAGGAACTGTTCCTGGGTCATTATCAGGACACAGTTTGCTCTTCATTCCCTTGCAGAAGTAGGTCTGAAATCCCAATGCATCCTTGTCTGTTCATTTCTGTGGCTTAAAATAACCTCTGGATTTGATGAAAACCATGATGTGCATTTTTAGCATTCTGTCTCCTCCCTATTGCAATCAGTTTCATTTTCCTAGAGTATGGCATGAGTCACATGACATCCTCCTCTACCCACCTCATGACTCCCTACTTTCTGACATATATAAGTTCACACATTTCTTCCATTTATCTGGGTCCTGAAGGCTTTTGAGAGGTTGTAACCATACCTGGAAATTAACTAGTCAAACTTAGGTCCCAGTGGCCAACTTGACCATACTTTTAGCTACTTTAAGATCCTAGGAAGGGAGACGAAGGAAGGAACATGTAGCTAGAAAGGAGAAGCAAGTGGCTAATAGTGGGTCTTCACGTTGGCAGGATGATAAACTAATTGCCCTTTTGACGACTCTCTGATTCTCTCCCACTTCACCTCAAATTCTGAGCTGCTGATTGATGGATTCCTCTTACGACTGCCTTTAATGGCCGCCTTCTTCTATCAAATCAGGTCTCCACCTACCTCCAGGGCTCTATAATCCGGCTCCAAGCTGCCTGTCTGTCTCGTCTCCTTCTGCATGTGCTACATAGATTTCTCACTACTCTCCAGCTGCACTCCACCTCGACTCCCTGGCCTTGTTTATGGGTGGTTCCTCCCCCTGAAACATCTTCAGTCCTTCCACATGTTAGCCCATCAAAATCCTAATTTCATAAATCCCACTTCACCACTGCCTCCTCAGTGACGCCTTTGACACCCGCAAAAGGACTCTCTTTCCCTTTCTTTGATACCCCAGCACTTGGTGCTGGTTCTCTTCTTAAAATACTCATTTCTCTACACTGTGGAGAGTCATTAGGTACCAGGGCATCCATCTTTTTCCCACCTACAGTGCTTATCACATAGTAGGTATTTGTCGAACCAGACACAGACAGAAAGTAAACCAAACTAGCATTTCTATGGAACATTAATGTATAAAGTACTTCCATATACATTATCCCATGTAATCTTCATATTCCTATATGGCAGATGCATTATTATCCCCATCTTGTAGATGAAGAGACCAAAGTCAGCTTGCAGGGGTGACCTTAAAATTTTCCAATGGTATCTCTTCCAGATAGATCTGCTAACATTTTACTCTGAACTATTTTCTTGTTTATGCTTCCTGGCTGTCCACCCACCTTAATTAACCTGCTTCTTGGAGAGACTGGCCCCCGTGCTGGCTGAAGCAACAGCTTCCCCTCACTAATGAGTCCCTAGAAGGAAGGTTATAAGGTATTCTCTGTGCTTGCTGAAGCCAAGCTGGCAGAGATGCACATGTCTCACACTTATTAGAGCGGCTGTGAAGTTCACCTGGCCTGGTCTATCTTAAAATTCACACTGCCTCGCCTTTCACTCCCCAGTCTCCCTTCACACTATCCAGGGTGAACCCAGATGGAGTCCATCTATCGAGGAGTCTCACTGCTGGGAACAGGGCCGGTTCAGACCTCTTAGCTAGCAGGTCTGCTTTGAGGAGACAGAGTTATCCCTGCTGTTCAAGTGTGCCCTGCCATTCTTCTGATCTAGAAATCTTCCAAATTGCAGCTGCTCCTTTGGGCCAACAACTCACAGCAGTCATTCATTCAACAGGCATTTATTTAGTCCCTGCTGTATGACACGGATTATCCTGGGCTCTGAAGACTCAGTAAGGAAGAAGACAAACCCACACCCTGAACAAATGGAATGGCATTGTCCTTCCAGAAAGCCTCATCCCTTACCCATGACCATGGCTGCCAGTGTCTTTGTCTGTTTGGGCTGCTATAACAAAATGCCATGCACTGGGTGGCTTATAGAAACGAGAAATTTATTTTTCACCATTCAGGAGGCTGGAAGTCCAAGATCAAGGTGCTGGCAGATTCAGTGTGTGGTGAGGGCCTGCTTTCTAGTTCGTAGACAGTACCTTGTCATTATGTTCTCACATGGTGGAAGGGGAGAACAAGTTCCCTTGGGCCTATTTTATAAGGGCACTAATCCCATTCATGAGGGCTCCACCCTCTGATCTAATCACCTCCCTAAAAGTCCCAGCTCCTAACACCATCACTTTGGGAGTTACAATTTCAACATATGAATTTTAGGCAGGACACAAACATTTAGACTATGTATCACCTAGGAAGGTGCTAAAACATTAACTTCCCCTCAGAAACCCTAGTGCACTACCCCTTACAGATATAAGAATCCTGTATGAATTCGCTTATATCTCTAGTCAATAAATATTTATTAAAGACCTACTATGGGCCACACACTGTGCCATTTCACCTAACTACACTAAAAAATAAGATTCATCACATTTAATGTCTCAGGTTTTCAAATCTGAACTATCCTTCCTAAAGAGTCCTTAGTTTTTCCTCAATGTTGCTGTTTAAACCAAAGAAGCTTAATTTCAGTGTATCATGCCCTGTAGTCAGAAGTAGAACCAAATGAATGAGAAATGCATTCATTCAGTCGGTCAACAGCATCCTGAGCCCTGGCTCTGTATGACTCTAAAAATATAAAAAGAAATAAAATGTCACACTCACCCCAATGTGGGCCACTCTCAAATTAAAGAGATGAATGAGAACTCAGTGAAGGAAAGACAAACTCCAGCACGTGCATTGGTCTTGGTGCAGATTCCTGAGCCTTCTGCCCATAGAGATTCTGAATCAGCAAGTCTGAGACAGGGCTTCAGAATCTGCACAGGTCATGTGATCATGAGCTGCTTCCCATGCAGATGACAAAAGGATTGACAATTTAGTCAGGGCTCAAAAAAGGAGTGGCTTAAAGCACTCCTGGAAGAGGAACTCGCATATTTAAAGACCTAGAGACTGAATATATATACATATATGTGTATATATATATATGTGTGTGTGTGTGTGTGCATGTGTATATATATATCACAATCCTTGTCCATTAGCATTAAGTCTAGATGCCCAGAATGTTCCAAATGGTTTGCTCTCATAATGAAAGATGCCAAAAGGAATAGATCTTAAAGTTGAAGATTTTTGTCAGAAGAGATATACACTCCAAAATGTTTATCTTCCCTATCACTATGCCTTAACACTGCTGCAAAAGGTGAAAGGCCAGTTTAATTGTACCTTTTCAGTCCCAGTCTCTAAACCTTGAGGGAGAAGAGAGCTAGTAATAGAAGTGTGGTTGACATACAGCTTGTCTGTGTGCTAATAGGCTGAGGCACATGCCATTTCACATACGCACTCAGTGGCCCTTAGATATCAGAACCCAGTCATTCTCAGACTGAGCTAAATTAAAATAGTGCCCAAGGGACAATTCTATACAAGGTCGATAACTCACACTGGACTTCAGAAGTCTCTTGCTAGAATCAGCCATGTGTAGAGGGAATGGGAGTTGTTTACTGGAGAGCCAGTGACTTGCCTAAGGCCTGTGTTGACCCGTGCCACCAAAATACTCTTTCCATCAGCATTGCTATCCCCAGCAGAGATTAATTCATGCCTATGAGTATTCATTCACTTTCAAATCATCTGGATTCATAGCTAGGTTATTTACCTAGTATAAATCTTGCCTAATGTCAATTTGTCATCACAAACCACAGTTCAAGCCAATCTTTTCCACTTTCCTAAGTTGAGTACTGATGGAACAGACAGTAAATATATCCCCAAATTTGCCAAAAGAACAAATTTACTGTTACCAATTCTCTGATATACTTTCTTTCTTCTAATTGATCATTGGATAATGGATTATTTAATATTATTTTAAATACACATGCCTCTATAATAATTTTATTCTTAAAAATAATTGTTTTATACCTCTTTTAAACAGCAGTGGGAATACTTTCACATATTCTATTCAAATAAGCATCTATAAAAACACCTGTGTAGAGATACATAATACTAAGAAAACAGGGACTTTGGCACTTTGCAGCTGTCATTCACCTAATAACAAGTAATAAATTAGCAAATAATTTATCTTTAACTTTGACTAATCATATTAAGTACAAATCCCTAGGAAAGGGAGAAAATAAAATGGGCAATTAGGATTCTATCAACTTTATAAACAAATCCTTAAGCTACTTTTTTTTTTTTTTTTTTTTTTTTTTTTGAGGTGGAGCCTTGCTCCATTGCCCAGGCTGGAGTGCAGTGGCCTGATCTCGGCTCACTGCAAGCTCCGCCTCCCAGGCTCACCCCATTCTCCTGCCTCAGCCTCCTGAGTAGCTGGAACTACAGGCGCCCACCACCATGCCCAGCTGATTTTTTTTTTTTTTTGTATTTTTAGTAGAGATGGGGTTTCACCGTGTTAGCCAGGATGGTCTCAATCTCCTGACCTTGTGATCCACCTGCCTTGGCCTCCCAAAGTGCTGGGATTACAGACGTGAGCCACCACACCTGGCCCCAACCTAATTTTTATACATGTGTGTCCACTTGGTTTGTCATGCACCCACATCCTTACTTAGTAGGCACTGAACAAGTATCTGTACAAAGGAAATTTACAAATTCAAAAAGTATTGACCTGTTTTTTAAAAAAAAAAAATCATAAAACTAGAAACTTTCTTAAAATGAGATACTCAAGCAAACTGGCGAAGACCAGCCTACTGACTTGGTTTTTAATATGCACACCTGGAAGTGGACACATGTTGTCCACTCCTCTACCCACTTCACGACTCCCTACTTTCTGACACACATAAGTTCATACATTTCTTCAATTCATCTGGGTCCTGAAGGCTTTCGAGATGTTGTAACCATACCTAGAAATTAACTAGTCAAAATTGGGTCCCAGTGGCCAACTTGACCATA
Source organism: Homo sapiens (assembly GCF_000001405.40). NCBI lineage: Eukaryota > Metazoa > Chordata > Mammalia > Primates > Hominidae > Homo > Homo sapiens. Next base: position 5,493,014 of record NC_000003.12, on the reverse strand, counting down.
CTTTTAGCTACTTTAAGATCCTAGGAAGGGAGAGGAGGGAAGGAACATACAGCTAGAAAGGAGAAGTAAGAGGCTAATAGTGGGTCTTCACATTGGCAGGATGATAAATTAATTGCCCCTTTGACCACTCTCTGATTCCCTCTCACTTCACCTCAAATTCTGAGCTGCTCATTTATGGATTCCTCTTACATTTACATTTAGTTGTTATGTCCTCCTATGCCACTAAGAACTGACCCCTAGGTCCTCAGCTTAAAAAGACCTGCCCTCCCTGATGGAGTGAGACAGCGGATTTCCAGAAAGATTGAGTTTGGGTCCGATGTTTCTTCTCCTAATACTGCTTTGTTTGTTCACCTTAAGAACACCAGCCCCTTGTGGTGAAGTAAACTCTTATTCACGAAGGGTTCATTCAACAAAAACTTGAAGTGCACCTACCAAAGGTCAGACATTGTTCTAGGAGTGAGGATATAGCAGGAAACAAGTAAAAAGCCCCCAGTGTAAAGGGATTTACTTAGCGAAACACATAACTGCAGAAGGTTTCAGAAAGTGGTTCTATGCCATGAGAATAATAAAACAGGCTAGGAGAGAGGAGGACAGATCCACAGCCCCTCTAAAGAAGGGATGGTTAGGCTGGAATATGACTAATGAAAAGCAGCCATCCATTCAAACATCTGGTAGAAGAACATTTGCAAAGGCTCTGCAATAAGAACTAGCTTGGAATGTCTGGGGACAGAGAGAATGTCAATGGGACTAGAGCTTGTGAGCAAGTGGGTGAGTGAAGGGGGATGAAATCAGAGAAAAAGGCAAGGGCAGACACTGTGGGGTCTGGCAGGTCATGGTGGGAGTTTGGATTCTGTTCCAAATGCAATAGAAAGCCTGTCGGAAGATGTTTAGCAGAATAGGGGTGAGATGCAGGACTAAATTTACACATCACATGTGTTGCTGCGTGGGTAATAGGTCATAAGAACAAGAGTCGTAGCAGGGAAGGCCAGTTTGGAGACTTGCAATTGTGCAGACAAGAGATGATGGTGAGAAGAGCTAAGGTGGCAGCACTAGCTGGGCTGAAGTGGTCAGATTCTGGATGTTGGATATATATGGTGGTAGAATCGGCAAGACATGCTGATGGAGAAGTTTCTGTCATTCAGTTGTACTTTCTCCCATCTAAAAGCCCCTTAAGGCATTGACGGAGTGGTGATCCCGGGTCTAGGGAACACCCTGAGGCTGACAGCGCATCCCTCCCTACTACTGAACTACAGCAAGTGGTTAGAACAGCTGTCAGACATATTTTAAAACCTTAAGCAGTATTTCTTAGAAGAACTGGAAGACAGGCTGTGTTCTTCAGATAACTCTCCATAAAACCTTAGGACAGAACCATCTCCTCTCTGAGGTTTAGGCTCCTTGTTCATAAAACAATATGTTGAACCTGGTGGGTGTCCTTAACACACCGGCACAGTAGCACCCTTAATCCACTGCACTGTCATCTCTGCTTTTGTACTCTGAAGCCACAGTTGGCTGAGAATTGGACAACAAATGTCCACTTCCAGGTATGCATATTAAAAACAAACCAAGTCAGTAGGGTGGTCCTTGCCAACAGGACTTCAGTAGTGATTAATGATAACGCTCATGTTTATTAGGCATTTACTATGTGCCCGGTACTGTATGAAGGAGCTTTCTAGCATTGCCTCGATTAATTCTTACCTCACCTCTATGAAGGAAGTAGGATAATATCCATTTAATAGATAAGACAAGTGAGGCAGAAAGAAGTGAAATAAGTTTTTCCCAGGACAGCAGATAGTGATAGGATAAGCAAGGATATAAATGCAGTCTGACCCCAGGACCCATGCTTATAATCACTTGGATATTGCCTCCCAGTAAACAGTAAGCCTACTTTTTTTTTCCTGAACACAACTATGCTCCAAATCCTTTCTCTGAACCATTATACAGCCCTGGCTAAGTCTTCCCTTCTGCAAGGCAAGCTTCTCTATTTTGTTCAACCATTCTTCAAATAAAGGGCTTCTGGGCTCCTAGGCTCCTCATCCTCCTTCCCTCCACAAGAGGCTTTTTGCTCTGGCACATCCCCTTAAAACGCAGTACCTAGGCATGGAAACCAGCCTCCACGTGTGGTACAACCATCACAAAGCTCCCTGAGATTATTCTTTTCCATTATACAGACATGAATCTTTTAATACCTGAAGACTACACTAGTGTTTTCTTCTGGATGTGTACAAAATATCACATAGGAAATTTCTGGCGGGATGGTACAGGGTTACAGGTCAGTAATAGTCAACAGAACCAGGAATTCTGTATTCAAGTCCCTGCTATGCCATTCATCAGCAATGTGGCTTTGGGTAAGTCCCTTAACCTACCTGAATCTCCTTTATCTGGGCAAGGGCAGTAACAATACTAATATGTAGGGTTATAGGGAGGACCAAACAAAATAATCAAAGTACAGGACTTGACAGTGTTCTACAACCTTAAAAATGGTAAATCTTAGCAAATTATTATTTTATGAGGAAAAAGACTAAATTTGACAATGTGGGATGGGACACAGAGAATCCTAGCACCCTAAACAACAGAAAGGACCACCTAACTCCAATGATTGGATCACAAACCTGGACCTACCCACCACAAACAGCATACAGGTTAAAAATGCAGGTTGTGACACTGCTCAGCCTCATGATTTGCCAGCTGCAAAATCGGGGACAACTTATTAGATCTCATTTCTTTCATGGTAAGTGGAAATGACAGACTCCCTTATTCATAGTGGGGCGTGAGAAGGACAAGAAATAACATCTAATACATATCAGAAGCTCAGCACATTGCCAGGCACATAGTGAGGGTTCTAAGGATATGGCCATAGTTGCTACCCTTAGTCAATCAACATGCAGTAAGCAATTACTTTGTGTCAGGCATAGCTTTAGGAGACTCACTACAGCAATAAACAAATCCCCTGTTCTCATGTTGCTTACATTGTTGTGAAAGAAGACTGACAATGAATAAATAAATATGTCAGGTGGTCATAAGGGCTAGGAGGAAGGGTAAAGGATGGAATCACCTTTTATAAAGAGTTATCAGAGAAGAGTTCTCTGATTGTTAAGAAGTGTCCCCAATCAAGAGTTTTACCCCTGTTCCTAGTTGAAGTCAGGAGAAGAGAAATAAACAACTCTATCTCTGCACCTTGGTTTGGGCTAAGTTAATTTTTACAGAGAGGTTCACGGTAGCACAGCTTGTTAACAGTCTGAAGATAATTTTCATTTGGCAACGCTCAAATGAATTAAACATTACCAGAAAGAGGAAGCAGAACACAATCCGCTGGAGGCTACACACAGAGCATCAGAAATGAATGGCTCTGATGCTGAAATGCCATTGCAACAAGAAGCAAAGATGGCACATGTTCCAGGTACTTAGGTAAAGAAAGTTGTTTCTATAAGTGAATAGAACACCCTTCATCTGCCTGCCCACTTCAGAAGAAACTGTGGTGCTTTTTTTTTTTTTTCAAAACAGCCAAAAATAAATTAAGAGGAAAATGGACTCCAGTGGAACATCTCAAATAAGAAAACTTTTCATATTGAGGTCTTTCATGCCTCTGGCATCAGAAGGCTGGGAAACAGGGGCTAATCTCAGGGTTTTTTTTTTCTTTAGTTGTATTACTCAGGCTCATCAGAGTCGTCTGAGTTACCTATGACATTGGCATAGGATTCAAATCAATCCACCAAGCATTTATTGATTTCCCACTGTATAACAGGATATAAAGGTAGAATATAATCCATGTCATAAACTCACAGTTAAGTAGGAAAGACAGCTGTATAAACAAATGATTGCAATTAAGCAGGATGAGTGAAATAATGGAAGTACTTAAAAGTATAGGAAGGAAAGAAAGAGATGGGCATGGAAGAACGCTGCCTAGAAGGGGCAAATGACTGTGCTTTAAAAAACGACAAATCGGTGAAGTGAGTGAGAAAATGATGCCTAATACAAGCAACAGCACAAATGAAAGCATGGCATTCTAAAACAGCATGGCTCATTAAAAAGGAACTGTAAATAAAGTTCCAGGTTTCAGAGACATAAAATAGAAGCTGGACAATGTCAAGAGCAGAAGCACAAAAAGTATGTAGGGATCGTATCGCGAAGGATCCAGTTACACTGCTTTCTTATTTCTACACATTTCAAGAGATTATTAATTAGATGTACATATAAAAATAGTCATTAAAAATTCCATTAGTTAATTTTGTCCCTCGCAGTCATTCACGTGTTCATTTCCAACTTTAATAACATATTATTTGTGACCTAAGCTCTGTCCTTATCCTAGTCCCTCTAGAGTCACATCTTAATGTATGAAATTGAATTTATGGCTGTTGAAGGGTAACAGATTAATAGCACTATAAATTAATCTATTCATCCATATACTAAGAATAGAAAACCTAAAAAGAGGCAGTTCAATCTAACACCATCTATTATTATGCCTTAAAACTCAAGCCCAGAAAACTGAGATGAAAATTTATTATCCAAGACCAAAAAGCAGGAGGCATGCATTGGCTGCAATGCTTGGCTTCCAGAACCCTCTCAGAATGACATTTTCAAGCAGGAATTTTCTATTTTTTTAAAAAAAGTTACCTTTATATTGGATCAAATATCAATGTTTCACTGTTTTATTGATTTGTAATGGAAGCCATGTTAAAATATGATTTATTCTACAAATAATAATAATAGGACAATAATGGTAATAAGAAGTAAGGGACATACACATTGAAAATTTCTCTTTTTGGAAAGAAAAGGAAGTACAGGGGAACCTTTAATAATCAATCATTGGCCATAGCTTAGATCAGGGTCATCAAATATACAGCCTGTATGCCACCACCCTCTGCCCCACTCAGACGAGAGACACTGAGAATCCACTGGCATTCTTTCCTATACAATCCTCAGCCAGGTGCCCTGGGCTGCCATTTTGAAGCTGGCAACCAGAGTGCACCACCATGGACCTACAGATTCTGACCTTTTTCTGACAAAACCAGATCCTCTCCATTCAAATTTATCTTCCACCTTGTCATCAGAGCTACCTTCCTAAACTCAAAGCTAACCATCATTTAACCATGTTAAAAGCTTCCTTTGGTTCCTTCATTCATAGAAAGATAAAAAATTTCTCAGCATAGACTAAAAGGCCTTTTACCATTTGGACTCATGCCACACTTCCTTTTCTGGCCTCATCCCAACTCTATTATTTTACAAACCCTAATTCGGCCACCTAAAATACTCCCCCGGTACTGGAAACCTTTTAACACTTTGACTTTGTACATATTTCATTGCTCTCCTTCTTTACCTGGTACATGATTATTCATCCTGCAAAGTACAGGTCAAATGTCACCCCCTACTGCCACCCCATAAGCCCTTCTCATAGAAATCTGCCAACATCCACTCCCCCTTGTTTAGGACATGTCCCTTCCCTACTCTCTGCACATTGGGTTCAGGGAAGAGTACAAGAGAGGCTGCATGACCTAAGCCTGGCCAATGAGGATGGCAGTGCCCTGGACACAGAGATTGGTTCCAAGATGGACAGGTGACACCAGCTAGACCAGAAAACTTTCTCTCTGAAGGATTCCTCCAAACCACTAAGAAAGAGGCACAAATTAAAAATCGGGTAGAAAGTAGTCCTGTAGCTGTCGTAGACCACTTTTGCTATTATATGGAAAGAGTCTGCAGAGAAGAATAAAGCCTTAATTGGGAAGCTGTAGTTAAGACAAAGACAATAAGAGGCATATTTCTAATGACAGTATTGAGTCCCTGGATTCCTATTTTAACTTTGAGTTTTTGCTGTTTGCAAGAGAAAGGGACCCAACAGATATACTCCCCTAGTGTCTCCCAGGAAGAATTAATTACTATATCCTTTGTGGTCCCATATCTCTCTGTTTAAAATACCTGTAATAGCAATTATCATAAACTATTACAATTTATTTGTTTACATAGCAACGTCTGCCACTACAACGTGAGCAGTGGCTGAATCTTATTCATCCTTAAGACAATAGTGCCTGACATACAGCCAGTACAAGTGTCTGTTGAATGAATGCCCAGGGAAGAAAACCTCATCCCCAAATTTTCAATTGTACTGCTCTCTCAAAGAGCTCTATGACACTCAAGGACCAGTGGCACCCACATTTTCCTACCCTCTTCAATTTGCTGTCAAATTCTATTGAAACAAAAGGTGGTGATACTTCCATACTAACTTATACGTTTCCCAAATCATCAACTTTATATTTCGATGGCATTAGTCACCGTAATTCCCACAGGGGCAGTGTGTTAAGAAACATAATACTAAAATTTTATTTTATAAATAGGAACTGCAAGGAAATTCAATGCTTTTGAACATTTAAGTGTTTTTAAATTGTGGAAAATAAAATTCAATCCAATCTTTGTGGCTGGAAGGGCCACAGATATATTTAAAATCTGGAAAGATAAATACTAAAATGTTTAAAGAGGTACCTCAGGCTGGGTACGGTGGCTCATGCCTGTCATCCCAGCACTTTGGGAGGCCAAGACGGGCAGATCACTTGAGGTCAGGAGTTCAAGACCAGCCTGGCCAACATGGCAAATCCCTGTCTCTACTAAAAATACAAAAGTTAGCCAGGGGTGGCACATGCCTGTTATCCCAGCTATTCCGGGGGCTGAGGCACGAGAATCACTTGAACCCGGAGGGCAGAGGTTGCAGTGAGCCGAGATCATGCCGCTGCACTCCAGCCTGGGCAACATAGTGAGACTCCGTCTCAAAAAAAAAGAAATAAATAATAAAATAAAATAAAGAGGTACCTCAAAGTGACGGGATATTGGGCGTTTTTTTTTTAATTTACTTTTTATTCTATTCTCCATTGTCTTTTTTAAAACTTTGCTTATAGGAGTATTAATCTATATTATAAGAGAATAAGAAGCTGTTTTCACTTTTTAAAATAAAAGAATAGGCCCATACCATGTCTTCTTTGTGGACCCCACATAGAGGAAGATGGAGAAGGCATATAAACTATACAGAGACTCCATGACACTCCAGCTCCATATACCAACCCCATCTCAGGCCCTGAAGTTCTAGACAGAATCACAAATAATTGCTGCTATTCCTCAGTTTACTCGGGGCAACAGATGCAACCCTTGATCTCCCCTTTAGAAAAACATCCTTTCCAATGACCTAAACAACAATGCCACTAACCATATCTGCCATCTTAGAATAGTATTCACATTCTGCAGTTTAGAAAAACAAAATGTACATCATGATATAGCCATATGGCAACCAAAACGAATCATTTTTTTCAATTAAAATTTCATACAGTTGCTCACGCCCTGTGTCTTGAGGTTTCAGCTAAAAATAAGCACAAAGAAGTCAATCTCTCTTTCAGTTAGCATTCCACTGCAGGTATCACCAGCGTCTTGAAGTAATTCAGAAACTGAAAATAAAGGAGCAAGCCCTGAAGAGTATGTAAATAAAACATACTAGGTCCCATACATTGTTCATTGCAACAACAACAACAAAAACTGTAGGTAAGATGGGAGCAGTCATCAAAATGACAAACAATGACCTCGTCCCCCGTTAACTGTTCTTAATTGTCCCAGCCCCATTCAACTGTCATCAAATCTCCATTTGGGCTTCCATATCTGCCAGTCTCATACCCAGTCTAAGTGAAGTTTTTCCAGATCTTTTTCCCAAAAGTTTAACTCACATTTATTGAGCATCACCTGTGTACCAGGCAGTGATGTGCTTATAAATGTTCAACAACCCGTTCTGGTTGAAGTGAAGCCTTATTCCCATATAATGTTTGCCAGTTTCCATGGTGAATTCTTTCGCTGTGGCCAATTTTAAGATACCAGTGTGGCTTGAGCACTGGACATGGAGTTGAGAAGAGGTGCCTGAGGCATATCACAACTTAGTACCTCTCTACTACAGACAATGCAGATATAAATGACTTCAAGAACACAGATAATAGCAAAGGGCAGAAAATAATGATGTAGTGGTGAGTTTTGAGACTTTTTTTTTTAATATCATCCACTTAGTAACAGTTTTATGTAATTTAATTTTAATAATTGCTGTATTTAGCAACCTACTTGCAAAATTCCTTAAATTTTAACATCTGGCACGCATGAGTCTTTAATGAGCCAACCCTAGCCCACCCCTGGCACCAGGCCTTGTGATAAGGTCTAGGGATGCATGAATAAAATATAATCTCTGCCTACCAGAAGCCCTCAATCCCACAGTGGAGAGGGACACGTAAAGAAATTGCAGCAAAGTGAAAAGTGCTAAGTGGAAGCCTCTACAAAATTCGGAGAGTGCAAACAAGACTGAGGGGAGAAATTCAGAAAATGTTTTGCACAAGATGCAACATTTGAGCTGAGTCCCAGGTGCAAATGGGAAAGAGTACGCACATAAGGATAGAGACATGAGCATCCTGGTCCAGGGAAATAACACACACAAGAGTTCAAATGTATGAAAAAGCCAGATATTTTCTGGAGATTTTAAGGCATTTGGAGCATAGAGTTCACATGAAGGAAAAGTAAGAAATGAACATTCAAGTCCCTTTCCCTTTATGTGAAGAAACTGTCCTACATATGAGAGTGATCTTGTTATTTGCTAATTTTTCTAGCTTTATTGAGGTATAATTGATATACAAAAAGTTGCACACATTTAACATATACATCTTGATGTGTTTGGGCCTATGCATACACTCATGATACTGTTGCCACGACCAAAGTACTAAATATCACCTCCAAAAATTTCATTGTGTTCTTGTGCATGTTGTATTTTGTTTGTTTTGGTAAGAACACTTACCATGAGATCTATCTTCTTAATATATGTTAAAGTGCACAATACCATATGATTAATTACAGGCACGAGGTTGTACAAAAGACCTCTAGAACTTCTCAACCTGCATGACAGAACCTTTATACCCCATGAGGAATAATTCCTCGTTTCCAAGCTCTCCCCAGGCCCTGGCAACCACCATACTAGTCTCTGCTTCTACACGTTTGGCCGTTCTAGATGGCTCATATAAGCAGAATCATAGTATTTGTCCCGTCATGACTGGCTTATTTCACTTAGCATAGTGTCTTCTGATTCATCTATGTTGTCACAAATGGCAGAATTTCCTTCTTTTAATGCTGAATGATATATTTCATTGCGTGTATATACCACATTTTCTTTATCCATTAATCTGTTGAACATTTGGGTTATTTCCATATCTTGGGTATTGTGCATAATGCTGCCATGAACATGAGGGTGCAGATATATCTTCCAGATACTGATTTCAATTCTTTTGGTTATATACTCAGAAGTGAGATTGCTGAATCATATGGTAGTTCTATTTTGGAACTCCAAATAACATGGTTCTTAAATAGAAGATTATTATATCAAATCCAATAAGCATTTCAGTATTTATGTGCTATTTAACATTCCCCTGGAAACAGATCAAGCTTCTCAAGTTAAAGAAGAGGTTGGCCACCTGTCATGGCTCACACCTGTAATCCCAGCACTTTGGGAGGCCAAAGCAGGTAGATCACTTGAGGCCAGAAGTTTGAGACCAGCCTAGCCAACATGGGGAAACCCCATCTCCATTAGAAATACAAAAATTAGCCAGGCATGGTGGTGCGAGTCTGTAGTCCCAGCTACTTGGGAGGCCAAGGCAGGAGAATCGTTTGAACTCAAGAGGCGGAAGTTGCAGTGAGATGAGATCGCAGCACTGCACTCCAGCCTGGGGGACAGAGCGAAACTCCATGTCAAATAAAAAAAGGTTGCAAAAATAAACAAGACACCACACTCACCCTTGAATAGCTCACAAAAGCCACATCAAGAGACAGTAAGAGAAAGGCCATATGCTGTGGTCTAAATGTGTGTGTCCCCCCAAATTCATATGTTGAAATCCTCACCCCCAAGGTGATGGTATTAGGAGGTGGGGTCTTCGGGAGGTGATTAGATCATGAGGGTGGAGCAGTCAAGACTGGGATTAGTGACCTTATAAAAGAGGCCCCATAGAGCTAACTAGTCCTCACTAACCACGCGAGGATACAGCAAGAAGGTACCATCTATGAATCAGAATGTAGGCCCTCAGCAGACACTAAATTTGCTGTAACCTTAATCCTGGACCTCCCAACCCCCAGAACTGTGAGAAATCCATTTCTGTTGCTGATAAACCACCCAGTCTGCAGTATTTTATTACACCAGCCCAAATGGACTCAGATACCACTGATATATATATTCTTTTATCTGGAACATAAACATATTGAAGGGGGATGTCACAGACTCTATGATACACCTCCCAGGTCTCCCTTTACTAATGAAGTAATTATTGCCCCGGATGCTAGAATGTTACCAGAATACAGCCCTCAACTATCAGCCCTCTTTGGAAATGGCCTCTCTACTGAAGAAAACAGCCATGTCCATGATTGCATCATTGGATAGGGGTATCGAAAGAGGCCCACATCCCAAAGATGGTCACTGAGAGGTTATCATGTCCTGGCCCCTTCCTTAAGACAACTCTGAAGGAAGGTCCCCATGAGATTCACTGGGAAGTTGTTGAGAATCAATTTTTGTGCCCAATTCTGCTTTCTTCTTCTCCCTTCCACCAGTTAATCCCAAGAGCACTAGCTTATAAACATCTTCCATGCTTATCTCCGTCTCAGAGTTTCTATCCAGGGATTCCAATTTGCAACAAAATCTAAAGTAAAAAGACTCTATGTTTTCCTTTATTCAACAAATATTTGTTGACCTCTGATCATTTGCCTGGACACAAATGTTTCAAAAGTGAAGAAAATAAGACACATAGCCCTTGTCTCATGAAATCTAGTAGAAAAGATATAATAAATCAAGTGTTTATACTAATAAATGTACAGAATGTGTAACAACAAAAATAATTGCTCTTAAAGAAAAGCATACAGCTCCAAGAAAGCCTGTAATAAAGGACTGAACTATGTTGGGTACTTGACCATGGGAAAGAGTATAGAGAACTGTGAAGGGTTGCATATTTTCCCTACTTACAAATTAACAAATTACCCTGGCACAGTTTTGATTTTTGTTTTTTGTTCTTATTTTTGAGATGCAGTCTTGGTCTGTCACCCAGGCTGGAGTGCAGTGGTGCCATCTGGGCTCACTGCAGTCTCCGACTCCTGGGTTCAAGTGATTCTCTTTCCTCAGTCTCCCAAATAGCTGAGATTACAGGTGCCTGCCACCATGCCTAATTTTTGTATTTTTAGTAGAGACAGGTTTTCACCATGTTGGCTAGGCTGGTCTCAAACTCTTGACCTCAGGTGATCTGCCTGCCTCAGCCTCCCAAAGTGCTGGGATTACAGGTGAGCCACCATGCCTGGCTTTTTTTTTTTTTTTTTGCACCATTTTCTTAAGCCCGAATTCCAATAGGGTGGCACAAAGAGAGTCAGATGGCACATGCACATGCATGGGTGGCACTAAAGGAGAGGAATGCTGAACTTAGGGAGTGAAATGTTTTATTATGGGCAATCAGGATGCCTGTCTTTGCTCCAGAGGGAGATGCTATCTCTATCTTCCAAAGCTGTTCACCATGCAAACATCCTTGAAAAGTTGGTGTGGAACAGTAATTTCTGAGAAATGGCATACAGAAACATACAGAAACTTGAAAGACCCATAGAGAGTTGTCTCTGAACAAGCAGGGCATATAACCCTGCCTCTCTCCGTTTGTCCTTTTTTCATTAGATACCCTCACTCTGACCTCTTTATTTCCTTAATTAAGGTTTATTGAATACACATTTATGATGGATAACTGCCTTCTGAAATCTTAGAAGTTCTGGAGGAACTGAGCATTTCATTTTGGTAGGGTATTTTATAGGCTCTTTAGAGTATAGTATATAGTGATCTTCTTTCTATCTTAAAAGAGATAACTTAGTTTTGTGAGCGTACAAATGCTGGATGTGAGGTGACTTACAGGTTTGTGATGGTATACTTGGACACTCAGAAGCTGGAAGCATTCAGCTGCAATGGAAATTTTTACAACCTAATATTTGATGCCCTAGCTATAGATGCCAAGGACCAGAAATATAGCCTTAGCCATTTACTAAGAGGTATAAATCCTTGTGGGATAAAAACTGGAAGGAGATTGAATACAGTACTATCATGTGGACTCAGGGCCATACTAATATCACTTTTAGGATATATTTATCCTTCAAATTCAGCTTTCAGCATTGCTGAGAATATTCCATTATGGAAGTGAACATGGTAAGGTCAAAAAAACGTTACAAATCTGAGACAGGCAGATCTGTTTTCTGTATATTACTGTTGGGCCGCATGGCTACAAATGGAACCAGAGAGTATGAGATTTCTGTTTAAAGCAAATGTTTTAGAGTTGTTCTAGCATTTTTCTACTCCCTATGAGAAAGCACACTATTGGACAATCTCTGTAAAGATAATTTTTACCATTTTTTCCTAAGATTTGCCTTATGTAATAACGTACTATGAAATGCAGCTCATAGAATGCTCGAGAACAGTGGTTCTCGGCATGTGTTCCCCACCTGTGACAGCAGCATCCGTATCTCCTGGAAATGTGTCAGATACAAATTCTCCAGCCCTGCCCCAGACCTACTGAGTCAAAAGTCTGAGGTGGGGCCCAGCAATCTATGTTTTAACAAGCACTGCAGGTAATGCAAAGTACTTTAAAGAGCCACTGCCGTGGAATTATCTGAGGACGTTCTAGAGATGAAAAATGCGAAGTAATCTAGAATAAATAAATATATCCTGTCAACACTGAGGCTAGTCACTTTAATCTGAACCTTTCTTCCAACAGCCGTAAAAGAAAATGGTTGACAACTTTTATTTTGCAATTTAACAGCCCAAGCAATAAACCCAACTGCCTGAATTATCTTTCTTATCCAACATAGCAGATTCTGGTCAGGTTTGATATACAGTGGCAGCAATCAGATTCAGAAAAAATCAATATGCAAATCAATACATTTAACTCCAGGTCTCATCTGTCAAGTCTTTCATATAAACTAGCTTAATTAGGAACGCAGTGAAATGCAAGAACAGGCCTAACTCAATATCCCAAGCCAAAGATTTATCAATAATATATAATTTTCCAGAAGAGGACACGAAGGATCAATGTAAAAGCTGCCTTGCCTCAGAAAACAGAAAGCTGAACTTCACTGAACTTCATTCAGACACAATTTGGTAACTCCATGTACCATACGTCCCCAAGTAGGAACCGACAAATGGATAAAAATTTTACTTCTATTTACACAGAACCCTTGTCATTACAAGTTTAGCTAACCTTTAAAAGCTGATACTTCTTAAGATTATATCTTCAAAAGAAAACCACTGCAGCAGTTCTCAACATGGGTTGCACACTAGAACCATCTGGGAAACTGTTAGGAGGCTCTATCACCAGGCCAGACACCCAAGACAAGTTAGTTCTTAAATTTGAGCATACGTCAGAATCAACTTGAAGGTTTGTTCAACCACAGAGGACCGCACCTTGATAACTACTGCCCCAGACAAATTAAATAAGAATCTATGGGTCTGGGACCCCCAAAACAGTATTTTTTAAACATCCCTGGTGATTTCATTGGGAAGCCATGGTGACAACCACCAGACCATGAGTCAACTCAACCTGGCACATGTCCAAGACTTCTCCTGTGTGTGAGAACACAGGAAGGGGAAACACCTAGGAAGTTTACTTGTGAGCATAATATGGAGAAAATATCCCCAAAAAGGTCCAAAGTTTATTGACTCAAACAATAATTTAAGTTTTAAAATGTTTCCAACCACTGGAGAACTGGTAAAGGATGTTACTGTTGATGGAGGTGCACAAAATATTATAACCCTGAGAGATGTACCATACATAAAAGAAGAGCATCTCAGCAGATCTCACGTGTAAATGGAGTGAGGCCACTGTTGTCACATTAAAAGAGGCCACTCAGTAGGCACCAAAGCAGGAGAGCTGGGCACAGTAAAGATTATGAGTACCTGAGTGTACACTTCTCTGTCTTCAGAAAGGAGGAGCCTGTTGGCTGAAGATTCTAGGAAAGATCAGAGAGGACAATAAAAACCAGATCTCCTGGAAAGTTCAAGAGAACTATTAGATGAATATTTACTTAGCTGCAAAATTGAATAAGAAAGTGACCCTTAATAAACAGTTGACCTATTTATTAAGGCCCAAGGGTCTGGGAGTAGTTCTCAGACATACCATGATACTAATAAATATGTGAAACACATCAAATCTTTTTTATGGGTCTGACACAGTTCTAAGAACTTTACACAGATTAACTTGTTTACTCCTCACATTCTATAGAATGGGGACCCTCTGAGGCTCAGTGTTTAAGTAACTTGCCCAAGGTCACAGAGCTGTCCTAGGTAGAGCCATGATTTGCACCCGGCATCATAGCTCCACAGTACATGCTCTTAAACACCATCAGACCTCTCTGAATGCCTCTCTGCCTTCCACAGGAGCATCTTTAAAAATAAGTTGGGTACCTCTAACACCATTAAGACTATCTCTCTTTAAAAAAAAAAAAAAATTGAATGACTATTTCTCACTGGTCACTACCAAGTTCAACTGAAAGATCTTTGTATCTGTTATCTTAAATACATACTCTGCATATTGAAAGTGCTTAGTATTTTCAGAAATCTGATTTTTTTTCCAACTACATAATGACAGACACAGAACATAGGACATGCAGATAGTATTGCTCCTTTTTTTACTCCTTAATTCTATTGTAAAGAACCAAAACAGAGAAAAAAGGCACACAGAAAAATATTGAGTAACCATGACTTTTCCTATCCAGGAACACAATAGGTTCTTAATAAATATTTCTTAAGTAGATGGATTCAATACTAAAAAAATATAATATGGTAGAGAGCAGTTGCAGTGACCATTCACACCGCAGATGATATATACATTGATGTGTAATTTGGTACTGCGTGTCAGCAGCTTTAAAGAAGCTTCCTACCTTTTACTCAATATTCATACTTCTGGGCTTCTCTCCCATAGAAAATGGGACAAACTATTAAATATTCACTTATAAAGATGTACCATGCATTATTCATAAAAGTAAAAAATTTAAAAGAAACTTAATGTCCAGAAGGAGCATACAAGTGAAATAAATTATGGTACATCCACACAATGGAATTTTTATGATGGGGAGAAGGCTTACAATATAATGTCAAACAAAAGGAGCAGGAAATAAGACTTTACATACATGACAATGCCAAATACATAAGCATGTACATAGGTGTACAGAAGACAGACTAGAAGGAAACATACCATCATGTTCACGGTAGTTTTCTTCACCTGCAGAAATGTGGACGAGTTTTGTCTTTATGCATATCAATATTTTTGAAACTTTCTACAATGTATAAAAGTCATCTGTTTACAATTTTTTTAAGTAATGTTTTAAAAGAAGAAAAAAGTAGTTCACTTGTGACAACCAAAGCAAAAGTCCAATTCATAAAATTTGCCCTTTCCTTCTCATGAATAAAAATATTTCTATTTAAAGTTTGTTAGTTTTTTTTTTTTTTGGTTTGTTTTGTGTTTTTTTTTTTGAGAAGGAGTTTCACTCTTATTGCCTAGGCTGGAGTGCAATGGCGCAGTCTCGGCTGACTGCAACCTCCACCTCTGGGGTTCAAGTGATTCTCCTGCCTCAGCCTCCTAAGCAGCTGGGATTACAGGTGCCCGTCACCACGTTAACTGTGAGCTCACAATCACTTGACCCAATAGCAAAATACTTCCAATTTTAGCAAACTGATTGATATGTTAACCAGTTTTCAAACCCGCACTTTTCTGCAATAGATTTTTTTCAAAGGAAGGCTTAAATGGAATAGCCATATATAAAATGGAAACATAACTGATCTGTTCAAAGTTGGGAGTGGCGCCCAGAGTGTCAGGGCCACCAACCTCCTTCTATCCCTGTGACTACATCCTTGGAGATCTCTGAACTCTTAGAAAATAACTCTGAAGCCATCATACAAGCAGCTCTGCAACTAGAAAGCTTTTCTGTGCAGTATTTCAAAAGCTCAAACGAGGGTCCTCTCTGACCCATGAGCAACTAATTGTATCCCGGCTCTGAGTGACAGTTTCGAGCTTCTGCATAAATAGCTACACAACGTCCTGCTGGGTTTGTAATCATAAGCCTCTTCAAATCTGTCTACTCTTATGTTAAAATTTCATGGCACCTAAGGAATGGATTGATACACTGGGAAAGTTACTGAGGCTTAGTCCATAAAGGACTACTTGGCATTTAATTTTTTTGTAAATTTTATACTGACTGTTGTGATCACTGCATACTTGAAGGAATGCAGTCTAAGCTAGCTGTATTTTTATCACATGGATGGCTGGTTTAAAGCTAGTTTCTGTAAAACCCAACTCAAGTTCTCTTCCTACCCTCCAATGCAGGCCAATGACATCTAAATTGTGTCCCCTAGAGGCCACTATTTCCAGGAGGTGCCTGGGGATGACTGCAGAGGAATTATCGGGTAGAGGGGACAGGGCAAAAGAGCTGCCCTGCCCTCCTCCACTTCAGTGAGAGCAATTCCACTCTTGCCTATATATTGACATTTCACATAGTATTTGATTTGGAGAAAGGGCGCCACTGATAACATTTTCAATTTGAAAACAATTATCTTAAGAGATAAACAGAGCATGGTGGCTCAGCACTTTGGCAGGCTGAGGTGGAAGGATCACTTAAGGTCAGGAGTTCAAGACCAGCCCGGGCAACATGGTGAGACCTCATGTCTACAGAAAAAAAAAAAAAAATTTAAGAATTATCCAGCTGTGATGGCACACAACTGTAGTCCCAGTTACTCAGGAGGCTGAGGTGGGCAGATCACTTGAGCTCAGGAGATCGAGACTGCAGTGAGCTATGATAGCATCATTACACTCCAGCCTGGGAGACAGGGCGAGACCATGTCTTTAAAAAATAGAAAGAGAGACAGATGCCCATTTTTATGCATTAATGCCCACCAGGATATACCCATGGAGGAAAGTAAAGGTAATCCTATGACCCAGAGATGTCCCTTCCAATGTTTCAGTAATAGTCAAGCTTTCCTTCGTAGTCTTTCAAAAATATAAAAAGATGCTTATCTATAATTATTTAATAAAACTTAGAGCATACTGTATCTACTTTTACTTTCTATTGTGTCTTAGTTAATATATCTTGGAACTACTCTTATGCTGTTAAATATAAATCTAGATTATTTTCAATCCATAGAATTTCATTGGATGAGTCCATTATCAAGCTGTCTACTCTAATAATAATTTTCCAAACCACTGAGCAGGCAGGCAAAGTATTTTGCTGGGTCAGGAAGAGAAAATCCTTCCCAGTATCTGAAATTATGGTTGAGAGTTAGTTACAAGATCTCTCTCCATATCAAGCTACCTCTGACTGCTGACCAATTAAATATAAAGCCCTCTGCAGTTATCGATAGTAACAGCTATTTATGTTCAGCAATCAGTGCCACAGCAATTAGATATTCCCAGCTAAAAGGGGAAACCTTTTTGCTATGGTGCAGATATGGTTTGTTTGCCCTCTTGCCTGGCAGAGGTATTTGGATCACGGGGGCAGATCCCTTGTGAATGGCTTGGTGTCATTCTCATGGGAGTAAGTTCTCACTCTTAGTTCCCACAAGAACTAGTTGTTAAAAAAAAAAACCTGCCGCCCCCCTCTCCTCCCTCTCTCTCTTGCTCCCTCTCTTTTCATTGATATCTGCACAACACTGGCTCCCCTTCCCTTTGTGCCATGCGTAGAAGCAGCCTGAAGCCCTCACGAGAAGCAGATGTTGGCACTATGCTTCTTGTACAGCCTGCAGAACTGTGAGCCAAATAAACCTCTTTTCTTTATAAATTACCCAGTCTCAAGTGTTTCTTTATAGCAAAACAAATGGACTAAGACACTTATTGTTTCCCTAAACACAGCTTGTTTGGGCTATTCCTGTCAAATATTGGGCTTCACAACAATGAATCAACTATTGGGTGGCAATGACCCTAAATGTACTTAGTGTGGTCCCTCAGCACCTGACCCGTTGAGAATCCTCAAATCTCTCTCCTATCATGTTTCTTAATGTTGGTACATCTATCTA
Source organism: Homo sapiens (assembly GCF_000001405.40). Lineage (NCBI taxonomy): Eukaryota > Metazoa > Chordata > Mammalia > Primates > Hominidae > Homo > Homo sapiens. The sequence continues at coordinate 5,474,956 of NC_000003.12, read as the reverse complement.
GAGAAGCACCTTGATATAGTGCAGGTGTTGGAGGGAGAACAATTCCTGAAAAGAAGTCCTTTACCAACTGGCATGTTTTCTGAGTAATGGTTTTTAAAGTTCCACTCAAAATGACAATGATCCAAGCCTACTTGAACAGCCACCCTCAACAGAGAGCTCTTGATCAGGACCCTTTGTAAGGGTCATTTTCCTGGGAAGATCTCTCTAGCTATAAGACTCAAGCACCTTTGGAGGGATTGGTTTAATAAAAGGTAATTTGGGGGTATTTTAAGTGAAAAAATATCACAATACAAGGGTTAGAAGGGCTACATCTCTATCACTCTCAGACAACACTAGTCACTCAAACTTGTACATCCATTCATCAAATAAATCATGTCACTCCCTTGCCTAAAACCTTCCAATGGCAGCCAGTGGCATGCAGAAAGAACAATAAGAACAAGAGCTATAAGTCAAGGATGCAATTTTGGCTCAAGAAACAGAAGGCTCGTGTGGATGGTATAGAGAAAAGGAAAGGGTGAGTGGGCAGAAGTAAGAGTAGAGAAATACGCAGGAGCCAGATCATATAGACTTGTAGAATGTGGTGAGGACTTTGGCTTTAGTCCATGTGAGTTGGAAAACCACTAGATAGTTTTAATTAGGTGAGTGGAAAAATGTGAAATATAGTTTAAGGTGTGCCTTGAGCTTCTTCATAGAGAATGGCTTGTAAGGATGCACCGTGGGTTGAGCCACATTCAGCTCACCTGATCAGACTATGGAACTGAAGGACCACAGACTCACTCCTGGCTGCCCAGTTGGCTTTGTTGTACTCCTCAGTCCCCATCTTTGCCCTGGGAGGCTGTCTTGTAAATGCGCATCATTGGCTATCAAGTAGAATGAGTCCCAAAGTAGGATTGTATCAGCACAAAAATCAATCCCCATTTTTAGAGCATCCAGGAATACAATAAGCCCCCAAAATATAACGACTACAGACTTCACTCATCCATGCACATGCACCTGAGAAACTTTTATCAAGCGCCTACTGTTAGCCAGGCATTATTATCAATATGATAATAACCCCTACTTGTGCATGTTGGTATATTTTCTAGAACTTACTAAGTCAATAACATGTTACAGCCAACGTAATAGCAATGCTGGTTTCTACTGATGTTCTAGCTCTATGGGCAATTTCAAAGAGATTCAGTAAATGCTCACCTTGTTCAGTAACACAGCTTTTTCTTCATGCCATCCTTAATTCATCAAGCATCAGCAAGGGGATTATACCAGGTTGAGTCAAATGGGAAACTGAGAAAAGTCTGGGCAGAAAGGAGTGTCACTTCAACTGTGCAGTAGCAGCTTGACTGCTATTCTGGCAGTCAAGGGTTTTCAAGGAGGAGGAAAACCCAAAGTTCTATGCAGCTTCCTGGTATTAATTTTGGAACATCTGAACTCCTAGCATGGGAAATGGTGAGGGTGGAAGCAGAGGTGGTTCAATGACTTTCCACAAAGGTTCCATTCTCTCACCTTCTCATTACTTCCCCTTCTTGTGTATCATATTCAGGTACAGAAGACTTTGCCTAAAGGATACAGTAAAATGTTTCTGTCTCAATCTTAGGGCCAGCGCCTTTTGTGAAAACTGATGGTCACTCCTGATGTCCACCTCTGCTTCTGTTTCTACAGAGAGCGACCCAGTTCTATCTATGAGGGCACAGACTCCTAGGAGGTCCTTTGGGTATAAATTAAAGAAGTGAGTGAGGATTGGATGAGCAGGGAAACACCCCAATTAATACTTATCCTGTCATGTTAAAATCTAATTGAAGTATAGCAAAATAAAGGCAAAAGGGCCTCTGTGCCAATCTCAATCTGTATTTTTATGTCATAAGAGATCCAGTAGATAAAGTACTCGTCAACTGCTTTCTTTGCATGTAATTTCATCCCTGTCGTTGCCACCTTTGGCTTCTTGATATAAAGCACCAACTTCTACAGTGCTCTGCACTGAATAAAAGTTGTCAGAATCCATCTTTCAGATACCCACAGAGTTAGGTGAAGAACTTTTCTAGACAGAACAGCAAGTACACCTGGCTTTCTCCTAAAGGCAGAAGCTTAGACAAGTTCTTCAGAGTGAGAAATACGTTTTATTATGCCATAAGCCATTTGAAGGAATAAAGGTGATAATAAAATAATCATGAATTTGGGGACACCTGCATTCATAGGTCCCTATGGCAGCATTACTTGTAATAGTTAACAAGCAGAAACTCTCATGAACAGCCAGGGGATGATGCAGGGAACCAAAACCAGTCTATTATGCAACAATCAAATGGATGTTACTGAAGACAAAGCAAAAAAAGAGAAAATGCTTATAATAGGCTAAATGAAAAGGTGAGATACAATTTTATATTTTTGATTGAATTGTGCACATACACATAGCATCAGATTATTAGACCATCAGAATTGCCACATTATATCACTGTGGTTGTTAAGGTGATGACACATTTTTAAAACTCTTCTCTAATTTCTGCATGTTAAGGTTAATATTACTTTTGAAAATAGTTTTGTAGAAAAAAGTGACTCTTTTAAGGTATGAAATAATCAAATATATAACAATCATGTCTCTGTGATGAGATCTACCTCATCCCAACATCTTGCTATATCTGCTTCAGATTTATATTTCAAGAAAGAAAGTATTACAGAGACAATTTAAGCCCCCTTTGGAAATATGATATATTCACCTAAAGACAAGTAAGGCAAAGAAAGTTTTCTCATAATATTCTTAAAACAACATGGCCTTATAAAATAAGTGCAGTTGTCATCAGCTTTATAAAACAGAGAAGGGAAGTCAAAATCATTTCTTGGTGGGAAAAGTTATTGGTTCCTGGAACAAAATAGCATTTATTCTACCGTGAGAAATATTATATACTATCCCATTTCTCACATTTTAAAATATGCTGCATGCCCACAAAATGATTGGGCTGTGTATATGTTCTTAGAAGAAATAGTAGTGATCAGTTACATAGAAAAGGAACCATGGCTCATAATCATAAATATTAATCAGCAGTTTCACAAACTGAAACATAAGGTCTGTGGCAGGGGGAAATTTTCTTTGCAGCTGGGCAACAATGTATGGCAAATAAATGTCATTTTTAAGTATTTAGTTCTCTAGATTGGTTTGCCAAAATTTTCAGTGGAAAAGCAAGTTAGTTTCATCTGGTGATACAATAAAATATACCTAACTCGGAGAGAGAAAAAATTTGAAGATTGACTCTCCACAAGACTGCTAACTCTCTATCAATCATAAAACAAAAAAATTTAAGTGAGTCCTCTTCTTAGGCTACCAAATCTACAAATCTGTATTTTGATAAAGTTAGTACTCAAGTAAAGCAAAACCATCCCTTGTTTTTACTTCTTTTTCTAAATGTGGTTCAATCAACACTTTATACCATTTGAAGCCAGTTTTATAAACTCAATGAATCCAGATATTCAGACTTTTCAAAAATAGATTAAGGAGAATTCTGCCACAAACTTCTTTTAGCGTCCTAGGTCAGTCAATTTTTAATGTCCCAGATTTATCACTGTTTAGTTGAGTGACCTTAGACAAGCCACAGTCTCCAGTTATTTCATCTGAAAATAAGAGATAATCATGCCTACTTAGCATGTTGGGAGGATCAAATAGAATACAGTATATGAAATTTCTTTGTAAATGGTAAAGTGTTATAAAAATATAAATAATGTTTACCACCCTCTAAAGGTGATAGTGAGGATCAAACAATGGGAGAACATCGCCCAGCTCTCTCTCCAAACCCTTAAAATTTATTATGGGCATTACATACTGATAATGATGTTGGCATTCTCTCTTTTAAGTTTTTATCTCCCAGGAAGTAAAGGTCTTGCCATCTCTTTAATATCACTGTAGGATCAAATATCAAATACTGGGTGGTAGGAATCCAAATATCTCTTGACAGTCTTGACATAGCAGTATTCTACAGTTCTTAATCACTTAACCTTCTGAAAACCAGAACTTATTGATAAAGACTTTCTATATTCTACTCTCAACAGAGTTGCCTTCAGGCTCTTCAGCAACAAGTGGGGGTAGGCAAGGCCAAACCAAGAGTTTTTATTTTTGGAGACACACTTTGTGAAAGTCAAACCAAGAAATGGCCTCTTTAAAATTGAATGTTTTTCCACCGAACTAATGTATAATTTAAAATTGAAGATTCACATTCAAACGAGCCATTTTTCAAAGTAGACACTCTGTATAGCTACTCATTTGTTTCAACATGACTCCTCAGTGCAATTGTGGAGTATTTTCTTTATGGAATCTGAGTCATCTTAAAATCTATATAACATTAGGTTCCTTACTTTTTCATCAAGTCAAATCACTCTTCTTATTCAACAACTTGGCCGAGAGTGACTTGTGTCTATTTCCAATAATCTTGTTTACCTGCAAAGGTTGACAATTTGCCACCCTTGTGAGTGTTCAAAAGAATGTGCTGCAGGCTCTAGATATATTAGCCTACGAGAAATTGCAAAAATGTATCACTCAACATCAGCATCTTTAGAAAAAGTGATTACCTCCTGACAATGAAGGGAAGCTCACAATTGGATATATAAGCCCTAAATGTGTTTATTAAATATTGATCACAGCAGCCATTCTAAAATCACGGTTTTGCAAATAACTTGTAAAAAATTACTATACAATGGTGCATGAGAAGAAAAACAGAATAAATATGGTACATTTGTTCTTCCAGAAAACCATTATCTGTTGAACTCCTATGGGCCAGGCACTTCTTAGATACTGGAGACTCAGCAGGAAACAAGTTTATAGTAATGTACCAATTTTGTTTAAAAACAGATTGATAAAATAGCTCACATTTGACACATTCTTTCAGGATCTGACCCAAGCACCTAAGTAATTTATCATTTGGTCTGTGTTATACTACAAGGAGAGTATGATTACATCAATTTTACAAATAAGGAAATTGAGGTACAGATTAAGTAATCCAACCAACATAACAGAGGTAGAGGGGCAGAGCTATAGACTCTGCACCTTTTCCCTCTTTCCTAACTCTGCATTTCACTCTGCTGTACCCACATAATACACCACACTCCTCTAAATCAACTACAGTCCCCTCACTCATCCCTCACAGATCCAAAATTATCCAGCAGCCTTCTCCACCTGAGCAGAAATGGGACACAACTGAGAACAGCAAGATCCAATTCTTTTCCCAAAGATTATACCAGCATTGAATCCTCTAGGCTTTTATCAATAAATAACAAAGTAAAAAATCATCCCAGTGAACTCTACTCAAGATCCTGTCCTATTTAATTATTTGCACTGTGCTTCTGTTATTCCCGCCGGTTTCCCCATACAAAGTCCCAACCACCCAAGATTTACTTGCGTCCTCCATATACTAGTACTCTAAGCCACTGGAGTGAATGGATTTTCTCTATCTTCAGATAAATCAGTAAACTGTAAAAAGATATTATCCTGAAAACAGGAGACAAAGACCTGGAATTAAAGATACAGCTCTGATGATATTTATGTCAGCTATCGTGATGTCAGTGGCCACAGCAGAAAAACAAACACGGAAACCTCAATGACTGAACATAATAGAAATTTATTTGCTACTCAAGGAAAGCCCAATACTGGAGTATCTGATGGCCTTCAACATGACCCTTTATGTATCAAGTCTGCCCTCTTTTTCTGTGACTCCACCCTCCTTTAGTCCTTAAAGCTTCTCCACTCAGATGGCAAATGAAGACAGACCATAGGAAAGGCAAGCCTGTTTCTTAGTCTCTTCAGAAAGTGGTACACACCATCTCCACTCATGTTCCATTGGGCAGAAGCAGTCTTATGAGCTGCCTGATGCAAAGGATGCTGGCAAGTGTAGTCCTTGCTAGGAAACCACCCCTCAGCAGGAAGGAGACCATGAATCTTTGTACGTCAGGTGATTTGTTGGCCACATATCTTAACCAGATAGTTTGGAAAAATTACTATGGAAAGATCTATTAGAAACAATCCCACATGTGAGAGAGAAGTGAAGAGTGGAAATTAAAATAAAGCCTGGGAAAATTAGGATCTGTAAGTAACGTGAGATATGTCAGAGCAATGGAGGAGTAAGAATGTTTTGGCCACCTGCAAAGGTATAAACAAAAGAAGGTGAGAAAAATATTCAGAAGTGTAATTGTTTGAAAAGAGGGAAGAGCTGAGATCATAACTGTTTCAATCAATAATATGACAAAGGAAACTAATTCCATTTAAAATGATGTCCTGTTTCCAGAAACTGCATGTCACTTTACAAGCTGAGATGTACCACACATCTAATTGCTATTTTGTCAGAAGCACTAATTCCCTTGATTGTGTTGTGGAAACAAAAGTACTGAAGAAAATAATTTTTAAAAGCCCTCAAAGAAAAATTAATATTCATACACAGCTGTCCCATCTGAAACCACACAAGGTTGAAGTCAATAATTAACATGGCCAGAAAAGTTACAGCAAGTGGCCTTATTTTGAGAAATTTTTCATATAAGCCTTTCCCTCTTAAATAAATCTGTTGGGCATGAATGTGAGATGAAAATAGTGGGGTAACTTGGCAATCTGAATTCTCAGATGTAAAGAGTACATTATTCTGGGGACACCAACCATCTGGACTTGGGTTTTATCCAATAAAACAAGGAGGATTTAAACTATGCTTCATCCCTCATACTACTTAGAGCAGGGGTAGTTTTATAAGTCACAAATCTGCCCTGCAGGAGTAAAAAGCAACTTTACCATCACCTGGCTCACTCCAATTCCCATTTCTCAGATGAGGAAATGGAGGCTGAGAGAGGGTATGTGACTTGACCAAATGACAAAAGTAGTTAGTGGTAAAACCAGGTCCAGAACTTAGGTTTGTTGAACACAGACTGTCCATTAAATAATTGCCCACACACATTAACCTTACCTCTATATCTTTACAGCAAAAGAGCTGCATGCATAGCAATATCAGCTATTCCTAAAACTCTGGGAGAACCAGCTTGAAAATGAATCATTAGTACAACAAAAAGACAAATGTATTTCCACTATTGACAGGCTTCTGAGAATAGTGACAAGGTAGCAGGCAAAGGGCCAGAGGATGGAAGAGAAGACTAGGAGACAGCTTCTGCCAGAGAAAGCACAGGGCTTTGGGGAACACACAGGCCTGTACAGATGGCAAGTGTCAGTTAACTTCTGTTGCCCTACTGAGTATTCTGTTTGGTCTCCTGACTTTGTCCCTGCTACAAATGGAATCTGACTCTTCTCTAAGACCTGGGGTACTTCCAGATACTACTGTTTGGAAAAAGAGTCTGACTGTTTCAATTTATTGTCACGGCATTCATCTGTCCATTCCACGAAGCTCCTCTGCATTAGAAGGCAACCGTTAGGTATAAGAAAGCAAATGGTAAACCCCATACCGCTTTGCTCTTGAGAGCTTCACAGTGAATTAGAGGAGAGGGGTATAGAAAAATATTACTATTATGTCATCACGACCATGCTTTGCGATTTTCTTACATGTCCTTAAGTAGAAAAATAAGTCTTCACCAATTTGCTCAGGAGAAAGGCAATATTCAACATCTACAACTACATTGGCAACTTAGTTTTCTTCCAAGGATTTAAGGTTCCAAGATAGGAAACTACATGATGTGGAATAAAGCCATCTACTCAAAGGGTGTCACAGTACAGCAGAACCAGCATCATCTTGAAGCTTCTTAAAAATGCATAATCTCCAGCCTTGCTCCAGACCTAATGAATGCTGATCTACATTTTAACAAGATCCTATGTGATGTGTATACCACAACTTTGATATAGAGCCCTAAACCTGGAATCTAAGCCCATCTCCGGTGTTAATAAATCTCACAATCATAGACCACAACTTCATCTCTGAGCCTCATCCCCCTCACCTGCCAAATGGGAATAATTATTTGTCTTGGCATTGTACAAATTAAGTGAGATGTCGAAAGTCAAAGTGTAGCCTACATGAAAATTGGCATGAAGCAATTAATCAGTGATGAGGCTCCTAGGCCTATGTTGCTCTCAGGGGATGTTTAATGGTGTTACACAGGAAGTATCATGACACTATGCAATGTGAGATTCATTTTTAGCTCAACCTCCAAATAGAAAATGATTTTTTCCCACCCAAAAGGCAGTGCAAAATGAACAGGAACACAAATGAGAAGTAGAAGAAAAAGGCAATGAGAAGAAAAAAAGACACAAATGTAAAAGACTGGGAAATGAGAAACAAAAAGTTAAGGGATGAGGGAAAAAATAGATCCTGGCCCTCTGGTCTTCAATAATAGACTCAATCTTTCCAAAAGTGCCTTTTAACCCAGTGGGTGAACTGCTTTCATCTAGGTGTTTAGAGAAACTAGCAATCCCTGACACTTTCTTGGGACTTTTTCTCTCCTGCAAGTGATTTTTATACCCATAGGCAAATTTCCAGCAATGACATTGTCCTTATCATTTCTGTTCAAGGACATCTTCTGCCCTATTCATTCACAAGATTATGCTAGAAAATGTCTGAGAGGATAACTGTATTTAATCACTAACACTAGTTCCAGGGCCTCTGATAGAAAATTCAAAAACTATATTGGGAGAAGAGTGCTAAGCCTGAAACACTGACCACTTTCTCTATTGCAGACTAACTGTATGAACATTGCAAAGTGATGTAACCTCTCCAAATCTTAGCCTTCTAGTATGTGAAATGAGTACATTGGGAAATAGGTTGTCTTCCTCTCTTTCCTGACTTCAGGGCTATATGCTTTAACTGTGTTACACGACTGGCAATTTTCTTAGACTGCGTTGAGACCAGCAAGGTCTCTAGTCATCCAGGTAGAAAGGAAGATGGAAAAACTCATGACTGAGCGTGAATGGGAGGCAGGGGGGATGAGATTGGAGGGAGATCCAGGAGGATGGAGTTGACCAATGTTCTTAAGGGCTCCATGTTATCCAAACAGATGGACATGAATATTACCAGCTAAGAGCCATTCCTATTGCATTCCACATGATGAGTGAGGGTTGGTGCCCCAGCTGTGCGGGCAGCTGTCTGCCATGAGGCTGTGTACCCAGCTAAATGGGAAATCTTTTCCAGAATTGATGAGTCAGACTCAAGCAGCAGCCAGGGCTCTGAAGCTCTACATCAATCACATTACCCATCACACATTCCCTTTCCTTGATTTAGACAAACAAACACAAAGGGTCTGAATTTCACTTAGTCCCTTCACCTCCAGTTTACAAAGTAACTATACTACCTCTTGATAATAATGCTTTTATCTCTATGAAATACATAATTGCTGGTTGAAATGTGTAGTGCCTGAAATGAGAAATTACAGTAAAAACTATTAAACCAAATTTCAGGGAATGACCTCATTTTTTAGTAAAAGAGGCACTCCGACAAATTGGAAATCTAGGTGCTACAGAATATCAACACCGGGAGGTCCACGTGGATACCCTATTTGAGACCCCATCATTTTACTGACAGGGAACAATAGATCAAGGTCACACTATTTATGTGTGGAAGGACTGACATCTGAATCCAGGAGGCTTGACTACTACTTTAGTTCCCTTTCCACTACTTCCCTTATTAAAATGCATTTGGACTTCTCTCTGAAGGCCAGATCTGCCACTTACAGAAAGTTATAACTTCAGGAAAGTCACCTAACTTATCTGAGCCTTAGTTTCCTCATTTGCCAGAGGGGATAATTACAGCTCTATTTAAAGGGGTATGAAAGGTAGCTTAGGGAACCACTTCATGTCATTCCTAGCACATAGAAGCCTTTCAGCATGTGGGAGATGAGGGAGGGAGTTTTATTATTACTGGTCTTCCCTGCCACATAACCATTATTAATATCTTAACATATTCCCCCGGGGTATATTTCCCCCAGCATACTTTTTCTCACTTGCAATCACAGCTCACAGGTACTGTTCTATGTTGCTTTATTTGTGTTGTTGTGCAGTCTTCATAGTCCTCATTTTAATGGATTCACTATATTTCACTGGGTAGATTACCTTTAACTGAAAGCCGCATTACCCTTCGTTGTTAGGTTGCTTCCCACTTCCCATTTTTTGCTTTTAGAAATTTTGCTGCAACAAACTTCTTTATGCACTTGGTTTAGTCCACATTTTGTGTGAGTTCCTTAGGCTACATCCCCAAAAGTAACCATTTGGGTGGTTTTGAATATAAAGAACTCACTGAAATTATATTTCTCTGTAAGAAATACTTAAGCCACCATGAGTCATACACACACACATGGGTTTGTCAAATTCAATATTCTCTCATAAAATATATATACTTTCTTTCGTATACTCGAATTTAATATTCTCTCATAAAATACAAATACTTTCTTTTTGTATACTCAAAAAGAAGGGAAATGTAAAATCCTTGGAAACAATGACAGAATATATTTGGATCAAAGCTATTTTAGAGGAATATTTAAGCTGTGGGAAGAACAGAGCCTACAGGGAATTTGGTAACGTAGGGTTAAAGATGAAAATAATGCAGATAAATGCAATATGGCTCAGAGAAGGAAAAAAATGTCTAAGGATTGAATTTACAAGGAAAGATACAAAGTTATAGCTTGGTTTGGTCACAAGTTTAAAAGGAAACTCAAGCTTGAAAGAAGTCAACATCAGAATGACAAAGAGACATTTACTATGTACCGCATTGTATCCGTTTGCTTAACAATCTTTTTAAAGAAGTTTCTATAACCCACTTCCTTCTACTCCCCCAGTCTTGCTCCATTAATATTAGACTCAATTACTTGGCAAAAGTAAGAAAAAAGGAGAAGAAGGCTTCCTCTTCTCACTCACAAATGATTCATAGTTACTCTTTGCACTCCGATCCCCTTCCTCCCACACCAAACTACCAAAATCCTTGGAGCAGGTCAGAGCATGAGGTGCAATTATCATGCAGCTGCAGAGTTTTGCAGCCTAATACATACTGAATTACTGCTCCTTCATCTTCTTTCTGACTCTATGTCCTCTCTGATGTGGACTACCGGACAGGCTGACCTGCCTCCCACTCAGCAGAGGGAGAGAATGTGAAGCCTAATGGGATGTGTCTTTTATACAACACATGAAAAGCATATAAATACACACATTATTCCATTTCAACCTTGTATGCCATTGATATACAATGCTTCATAACACGAGTCAGTGATGTCTTTTAAAAAGTAAGATTCAAGAATGCCATTCTGATTTGTATAATTCAGAAGATTATAAAAACAGCTATCCAGCACATTCTCCCACTTAAATAGCACTATTAGTAGGGAAAATAATAAGACAGAGAAACAGTTCAAGGGAGCCATTGTGAAAAAATAAGAAAATACACAGACAAATTTATTTGAAAAGGACCCTGGTCCAATCTGTTCTACTATTTATGAAGTAGTTAAAGAAAATGAGAAATGAAGTACAACTCAATACCCTGAGGATATAATATTAAACTTCCTGTAACCCCAGAACCATTTCTCCAAACAAAATCTTCCTCAACATATAAAGCAAGTCAGAGGCAGGGTGGAAGCTGAGGTACAAGTTTTGGAGTTCCACCAGCAATGGCCCCGAGTTAACTCCATAGAATTCCAAGAGGTGTGGGAACACAGCTTGAAACCACCATCTCAACAGAAGCTAGGGAAGGGATAAGCTTGGAGGTGGGGGTTAGGGGATATGGCAGAGAAAGAAATAGAAAACGGAGATATGGAGAGAGCACTTAAAAGAGAGATTTAAATGGGAGAGAAAATAGTGAGTAGAGATGAGAGATAACTTATATTTAAAAAGAAAAGATGGTGTTTTTCAATGCCAACCATCTCAATTCTTTGCACATAACAGGTGCTTTTTTCTTTTTCTTTTTTTTTTTTTTAAGACTAACAGGTCCCTGGTTGAAATCTAGAAATCCAGATGCCCCCTACTAGCACTTTACTTTATCATCAAATGTAGAATGGTTTTCCCGATTTAGTATTCTACTTCCTAGAAACGTCCTCAGTCACCCTCATCACTTTCCCCAGACTATGTTGTTTTCAGGTATCTCTTCTCTGGCATAATTTTTCAGCTTTATGAAGGAAGTATAATTGACAAAAATCATATATTCAAGGTATGCCATGTGATGTTTTCATATATGTATACAATGTGAAATGATTACCACACACTAAATATCTATCACATCAAGCATTTGCATTTCTTTGTGTATGTATGTTGTGAGAATATTTATGATCCATCTACTCTCTTAGCAAATTTCAAGTATATGATATGCTATTATTCATTATAGTTACTGTGCTGTACATTCAGTCTCCAGAACTTTTTCACCTTATAACTGTAAGATTGTGCCTTTTGACCAACATCTCCTGATTTCCTCCATTTCTGGGCCCCCGATAACCACCATTCTACTCTTTTTATGAGTTCAACCTTTTTAGATTCCACATATGAATAAGATCATGCAATATTTGCCTTTCTGTGCCTGGCTTTTTTCACTGAGCATAAAATCCAGGTTCATTCATGCTCTCACATATGGCAGGATTTCTTTAAGGCTGAATTTTATATATATATATATATTCATATTTTCTTTATCCATGTATTTGTCAATAGACATATAAGTTATTTCCATATCTTAGCTATTGTGAATAATGCTGCAATAAGCATGGGAGTGCACATCTCTTTGAGACACTGATTTCATTTCCTTTGGCTATGTACCCAGCAGTGGGATTGTTGGATCACATGGTAGTACTATTTTTAATTTTTTGAGGAACTTCCATGCTGTTTTCCATGATGGCTGTGCTAATTTACATTCCCATTAACAAAAGATAAGCATTCCCTTTTCTTCACATCCTTGCCAACACTTGTTATCTTTGACCGTTTGACAATAGCAATCCTAACAGTTGTAAGGTGATATATCTCACTGAGATTTTGCTTTGCATTTCCCTGATGATATTAACTTCTCATCAGATATATGATTTACAAATATTTTTTGGGTTGCCTTTTTGTTATTTCCTTTGCTGCACCAAACCTTTTTATTTTGTTGCTGTCCCACCTGTTTATTTTTGCTTGTGTTACCTGTGCTTTTGATGTCATATCTAAAAAAAAAAAAAATCATTGCCAAAATTAATATCAAATAACTTTTTTCATTTTCTTCTAGAAATTTTATGGTGTCAGGTCTTAACTTTATATCTTGAAATCCTTTTACGTTGATTTTTGTGTGTGGTGTCAGGTAAGAATCTAATGTAATAGTCTGGTGTGTACATATTCCGTTTTCCCGACATCCTTACTGGAGTGACTGAAGAGACTATCCTTTCTCCATTGTGTATTCTTGGCACCTTTGTGGAATATTAGTTGACTGTATACACATGGGTTTATTTCTAGGCTTTGTATTCTGTTCTATTGGTCTATGTGTTTGTTTCTATGCCAGTACCATACTGTTTTACTATAGCTTTGTAATATAATTTGAAATCAGCAGGTGTTTCTTGTTACTATGATTGTTATGACAGAAAATGCTTTTAGAGATGGGGGTGGGAAAGGAAGGTCTTGGATGGTACCAAAAGTCATGAAGGAGTTGAATCAGATAACTTATAGAGAAATGGTAAAATATAGACACATCTCATATACATCTCACATCTTAATCTTTTAAAATAATTGAAATAAATGTAATGCTCCTGCCAAATTCAAAGTTCAAGGTAACAACTCTAAAAGATAAATCAAACCCATCCCAAGCTGCATTTAGGAATAAATGTTGAAAATATTAGTCCAATAGTATGAGAAGCACATGGAGTAACAGTGAAAAAATTCAGGCTTGCATGCAGGATCCTTCACAACTATTTCCCTTAGCGTAGCAGTTTTAGAGTTTCCCACCTACCAGCTAAGTCACATCACTCATACCTTCTCACCAGAATACCTCTAAGCCAACCACATCCAGCTTTCTCCATCATTCTAGAGTGTTAAATATCTGTGGGCAATTCCTTTTGCCTGAAGTATATTTTCCTTACTTCTCTTTTACCCTTCAGTATAAAATCAAATGTCAAATATAGCTGTTGCATCTTCAGAATTGGCAGCATATATTATCCCATTTGTTCTCTACTGTAGGGCTTATCATAATATTGGAAAATATTGAGTTTTTTTGTTTTTTGCTATTTTGTCTCTCTCATTAGAAAGGCAAGTCCACAAATATGAGGATGGCCTTATTCTGGGTAACTGGCTCAACATCTAAGTGGCTATAAAGGCTTTTGACAAATAATAAAATCCACATGCATGAACGCTCATTATGTGCCAGATGTGCCAGGACCCTTTTTATTTGGACTGTTACCCAGGCTGGAGTACAGTGGTACAACCTCGGCTCACCACAACCTCTACCTGCTAGGTTCAAGCAATCCTCCAGCTCCGAGGCTCAAGCGATCCTCCCACCTCAATCCCCCAAGCAGCTGAAACTACAGACATGGGCCATCACACCTGGCTACTTTTTGTATTATTGTATACACACGGTTCCACCATGTTGACAGGCTAGTCTCAAGTGATCTGCCTACGTCAACCTCCCAAAGTGCTGGGATTATAGGTATGAGCCACTGCGCCCATCTAAGCTTTAACTACTTTACATCCATTATCCCATTTAATCCTTACAACAACCCAAGATATTTCATAGTATTATTGCCATTTTAAAGACCTTCAAACTGAGATACAGAACTGGTAAACACCTTGACCAGTTACATGAATTCAACAACAAGCCATGTCAGGACTCAAACACAAGCAGTCTAATTCCGGAATCTGAGCAATGATTACTAAGCTAAATGAATAATAAACGAGAAAGCAAATGAATAGAAGACAGGGAAAGATTGTGTGATTTCACTTATCCTTTCATCCCAAACATTCTAAGCCTAGCATAATAGAAAATGCCCTCTTTGAATCTCACAATAAGTTTGTCCTTTCTCTTCTGGTATAGCCACCTTTTTAATCACTGTGACTTGCACAAATTCGATGCCTCAAGAAACTGAAATAAACATAATATCTCCTCCAAACTCAAGAGCTTAGGTGGCTCTGCATTTATTTAGCCCATGGACAGATGGATGACTGATGGAGAGTCCAGGACTCCCCTTCTAATCCAAGTATCTGTGCCAAACCTCAATCTGAGAGGCCAAAGGATGGGTGAAAGAAGCAAATGACATGGAAAGAATAAAACAAATGCTGTCTTCAATTCCCAGATCCAGAGAGCAATAACCTCTCTAAGTATTATTTTTATACGGGCTGTGATCACAATGACCATTTTGAGTTCAAATCACAAAACTTTAAATATTCTTGGGTGAGTTCGTGAGTTCATGACCGTACTTGAGTCACTCTGCCTTAAGTGGAATGCTAGTTCTAATCCCTATCCTTTGGAGGAGAGTCCTCAAATTATGATGAAAGGCAAGATTTACTTCCAAGGATACATGCCCAGCAGCTCTCCAAAGACTTCCAAAACATTTGCAATCAACATAAACATAAGCCTTCTCTCTTCTGATGTCTAAAAAGAAAACAAATTATAAAGTATAGAAAACAAATAGCAATGGACATTTTATGCCCTTTTGGAATAGCATGTTTGCATGGGGCCAACTCTCAGGTATCCCAACTGTTAGTTTCCAAAAATCTATACTTTTGGCTTTTAAAAGAAAGAAAGCAGCATCAAAAAAATTATTATTGAGCTCCTATTATTTTCTGGACTCTGAGCTGAGGATATTGCAGTCAACGAGCCAAGTCTAGCCATTGGTCTTATGAAGCTTACAGCCTCAGGATAGATCAGCTATGAAAACTCAGCAGTGTGAGTGGTCCTATGGTGAAGACATTCAGAGTGATGAGAAATTATGTAACCAGAGATCTCAGGAAGTTCTCCAATAGGAAGTGGTCCTTAAATTAAGCCCAAGGGATAATAGGTACATGTTGGCCATAGAATTAAACGTCATTCCAGGGAAAGGTTACGGCATGGGCAAAAGTGCTGAGGTTGGAACGAACATGGAACATTCACTATGAGAAAATGTCAAAGAGGCGAGAGCAGAGAGTGGGTGGAAGAGAGGCAGAGAATTAGGAATTAGGAAGGGATCATTATTTATCATTATCAACTTATCAATAAGAATGTTTTGAGCTCCTATAATGTAGAAATCCCTAACTACATCTTGCTAAAGGAATATGAAACAAAGTAATTTAGTCTTGCTTCAGATTTTCTTAGCTCCTTGACCAACCTCAGAATGACCATCTACTGACTCAATGTATTGTGAGCTAACCACTGAGCACTGTTAGTTTTCCAAAACTAACCTGAGATAAAATGAGTCAACTGTTTATAGGAGTCACATCTCTCTGTGCAATCACAATTTTTACAGAAGTAGCATACTTTCATAAAAATAAAATTACCCCCTTCAGGCATGTCACCTAAGTATATGGTAGTATTACTAACTACATTCTTATTGTCTATTCTTACCATCATTGTTAGGCTCTAGGTGATCAGAATAATGTCTTTCATTTGCATTTTCCCTTTTCATGTATTTTCTTTCATTTGAATCAGATACTCAAACTGGGAAGGCATTATTACAAGAGGAAGAGGGAGGAGGAGGAGTGGGGGAGCAGACTAGTAAGGGCAAGTAATTTCCCCCAGATCAAATTAGGAAATGGAAAACCAAGATTAGAACCATAGTTTCTCTCAGTTTCATATTCTTTCTCTTTATAAAGATGTTTCTCAAGATGGCACCCAAAGAGCACTTGGTTAAAATACAGATTCCAGGTTCTTACCCCAAAACTGTTGACTCAAAATTTCCAAAGTTCTCCAAATGAGTCTTAGAGCATCCTTAAAGTTTTAGGATACTGCTAGTCACCAGAATCCATCGGAAAGTCCTATGTCAAATAATTGTCAGAGCATATTAAAATAAATGTCACTGACTAAAATCCATACTGTAGTATTCATAGCAGCATTATACATAACAAAAATCTAGGAACTACCCTATGTGCATCAGGAGTTGAATAGACAGTGTTATAGTCACATTGTATGTAACAGAATACTATACAGCAATGAAAATATCGACAAGAACTTGCAATATTGATAACTCTCACAAACATTGCATAAAAGAGACACACAACTGCACACTGTATGACTCCAGATTTAAATGGTAAAAACAGGCAAAACTAATCCACACTGTTGCACGTCAGAACGGTGGTTACCCTGGCAGATGTGCGGCAAGTAGGGTAGGCAGAATAACCAAAAGGAACACAGCAGGGGTTCTGAGTGTACTGATACTGTTCTATTTCTTTATCTGGGTGCTGCTTACATGGATGTTAGGTTTATAAAAATCCAGGTAGCAACATAGTTATGTTATGTGAACTTTTCTATATATGTATTATACTTCAATGAAAATAAGTTTTAAAAGATAATAAAAAGCATTCCCAAGTTTTACAACAAAAACTAGAAGCAAGTTTCTATCTGGCTGTGCCTCTCTAAGAGCTAACTCCATGCACATGTGTTACTGCCTTTGCATGTGCGAGGCATCCATCACTTCCCAGACCTGACTTGACTCCCTCTGTTCTTTTCTGCACAAGTCTTGCCTGGTCCTAGCAATAAATTCATTATACCTACTTACATTGGTTGGTTTTGCTGGTTATAAAAGCAATACATGCTCATTGCCAAAAATATATATGTATCAGAAAATACAGTCACTTATAAAAGCAGAAAGCTCTATACTATCAGCTCTCCCTTCTCAAAATAATCACTATGTATGGTGTTAGTTTTTTTCCTTTGTCCTTTTGTCTGTGTACTTTTGGCAGAATTAAGATGGTGTCACTGATAATTTTATATCCTGACTTTTCACTCAATATGATATTGTGAGAATTTTCTGAATCATTATAAACACTTAAGACTATGATTTGAAGGGTTTATTATTTACCAAATGACCATTGAGAGTCTATTAAACTTCCGTAAGTTATAATCCCCTGCACTGCATATTGTTATGGAGCTAAAGACATATGAAACCCAGATCACACCTTCAAGAGCTTTTAAGAAAATTGTGGCTGGGCACGGTGGCTCATGCCTGTAATCCCAGCACTTTGGGAGGCCGAGGCAGGTGGATCACGAGGTCAGGAGATCGAGACCATCCTGGCTAACAAGGTGAAACCCCCGTCTCTACTAAAAATACGAAAAATTAGCTGGGCGTGGTGGCGGGGGCCTGTAGTCACAGCTACTAGGGAGGCTGAGGCAGGAGAAGGGCGTGAACCTGGGAGGCGGAGCTTGCAGTCAGCCGAGATCGCACCACTGCGCTCCAGCCTGGGTGACAGAGCAAGACTCCATCTCAAAAAAAAAAAAAAAAGAAACGAAAGAAAGAAAATTGCGTGCAATCTTGATTAAATGGTCCTTTAATATCTCAGAACCTACTTTTTAATCCATATAAAGTCAGTGATAATACCATCTAACCAGGGTAGTTGAAAGAATTGAGATAATACATGCAGAATACTTAGTATTTAGTAGTTAAATAGTAAATATGAATCCCTTTAGAGAGGAAAGGCATGCACATAGGAAAGATGACTAATACTAAGAAATAGACATAGAACTGTACATTCACCAGGGTAGGAGGGGTTCTCAGAAGACAGAGTTGACTGTAGGCAGGAGCCTTCTTGCTCCAAGAATGGCAGCAACACCAGCATCACCTGGGAGCTCGTTAGACATGCAGAATCTCAAGCCCTGCCACAGACTTACTGAGTCAGAATCTACATTTTAACAATATCCCTGGGTGATGTGTATGTCAATTAAGACTGGAGGAATACTGAGCTAGATAGGTTCTTGGTGATGAGTACAAATCAGATACTCGTAAAAAATGGAGGGACATGTCACTGTTGGGGAGAAAAGAGAAAAGGAGTTTTGTAGGCCAAAATATTGAAATGTTCTTAAGAGGTACTCTACTTAAAGCAAACGGTTATTTGGGGGCACAGTGGTAGATGAAGTTGGACTTAAAAATCAGCATCATATTATATTATTCATGGCCTTGGATTCTGTGCAAGAGGTTTTGCCCGTATCCCTCCTCTGATATAATGTTTTTATATATTTTTCTCCGAAGTTCCTATTTCCAATACAGCTATAATGCTATAAGATCATTATTCTTAAAGTGTGAGCAGCTGAACATCTCACAGAAACCCTGGGAAGCTGGTTAGAAATGCGGATCCTTGACCCTGCTACTCCTCAACCTAGTGACTCAAACTATCTAACAGTGGCATTCTATGACTGAAAGTTTGAGGACCACTATTGTTATCCAATGTCTTTCATGAGGACATACTTTATATAGTAGCCATATTAAAAGTAAATAAAATTTTCTTTAGGATTTCATTTCCTAATTTTAGAACAAGCACCGGGAATTCAATCTATATGCATTCCTTAAGCAGGGAAATCCCTTGCAGTTTAGATTAATCAAGATGTTTACCACTGCAAAGACAGAAAACCCCAACTCAAACTGCTTAATCAAAAAAATGCAGAAAAAAAAACTCATATTTTTGAAAATTGCAGTTTTTTTCCTGGCTTTATGCAAAGTATGATTTAGGAGACAATGCCCTCAAAATGCAGTGTCCCCATCTTGCAGAGCTGCTGTTCTCCATCTTGGCTCCAGTATAGGGCTTCCAGTGCCAAGACGGCTGCCAGCGGCTACTAACCACCATCACACAAGGTTCAAGTCTAGCAGAAAAAAAGAGCTATTCCTCCCAATAACCCCTGAATTAAACTTTAAGCCAAATTGACCATATTTATATAATTACTGAAGCTAAATAAACATGAATGTACATCGATTGGATGGGCCTGCATCATATGCCCCTATCTAAACCAATTGCCAGAGGTATGATTTAGTGCTCTGTTGAGTCAGGCACACCTGCTCAACCTCTGGCATCACAGGTAGAGCCCCACCTAAGAAACCAGGACTGAAAGCATGGATTAAATAGAGTCTCCCAAAGGAAACACTGGGTTCTATAACCAGAGGAGGAGGAAATGGACTCTAGGCACACAAGACAGTGAACATATAGTTGGCCCTTGAACAACATGGGTTTAAACTGCACAGGGCCTCTTATATGTGAATTTTTTCAATCAAACACAGATGTAAATCACAGCATCCTTGGGACGCAAAACCTGCCTCTACAGAGGACCAATTTTTCATGTATGAGCGTTCCACATGGCCCACTGGGGGACTGCATATGTATCGATGTGGTTAACGTGGGGTCCTAGAACCAATTCCCCAAATATACCACGGGATGGCTGTACTCTAAAATGGTATTCAGGTGGCAGCTTTTGTAGGCAAATCTGACTTCAATGATTACCTCAAGTATTATATTCGGCATTCACAGATGGAGGATGAGACATAAATATAGAGCAGCCACCGTCAATGGAAATTGCATTGCATCTTTCCCTGTCACTTAAAATTGACCAACAACTCAAGACAAGTCTAAATTCCTCAGTACGGTTTACAAGGTGTTTGAGGTCATGGCCTTTGTAGCTCTCACAGGTTTCCTCATTCCCACTCCAGTCTGATGTCTCCTACCTCTAGGCCTGTGCGCATGTTTTCTTCTCCCTGTCACACAACTGCCATACATTCTGTCTACCCCATACCCCTCACATGCGCCTTTGCTGGGGTGACTCGTACCCAACATTCATTCAGGCCCCCCATTCAAAGAAGCCTATCCCTGCTTCACAACCCTCTGCTCTCTTCTCCCTTGGTATCTGGTACTGCTCCTTTAATAGCCCTGAGTCTATTGTATGGAAAATGTTTTACTGTCTCTTGACACAACTGTATCATAAGCTCAGTAAAGAATGAATGTAGTCTCCCTTTCTTTGTTTCCCACAGAAAAGAAAACTCCAGGGAAAAGCATTAGGTCCTCAGAAAATATTTATAGGATGGATGGATAGATAGAAGGATGAAACTTCAAAAAGAAATAGTATATAAAAACATACATTAAAATATAGAAGCCCCACTGACTTATATAGATGTATATGTATGGCATTTATATACATAGTTTATGACATTAGATATTTTTAGAAGGCCTACTCTGTGTCTGGTGTGAAAGGAAATTAAATATTGGGACCCCAAACTCATTAAGCCAAAGGGAAAAGTTAAGCTGGGAACTGGGTCACACAAACCTGCCTCCTGCTTTTTTGGTTCCTAAATAAGATGGCTACAAGATGAAAAGCTACATACCTCCCTCACATTTTTCCCAGAAGGAAATTCCTAGTGAGCTCCAAGATCTTTACTGTAAAGTGTTTCTGTTAAAATTTCACCATGGCAATGTAAATTGACAGTTTACATTTACAGGTCACCCCCTCTGCCCACCTGACACAAATGCATATCTGATTGTTCCCCTGCCATGCGTTTTCCCTCTGCCCCATTTGTCTGTGTCATCTTATGAAAAAAAAAAAAAAAAAAAAAAGCAGATTCACTGAGCCAAAGGGATGAATGACGATTTTCCCTACCCCACCTCTTACATGAAAATTGTGTTCTTCTCAATATCCTGCCCTTTCCCCTTTAAATTTGGAGCGCTCAAAATCATCTTCGGAGAAAGGCATAGACCTGTCTCCTGAGTCCGTCCTTAACCTTAGCAAATAAACCTCCTAAAATGATTGAGACTTGTCTCGTCATTTTTCTCGATTGACATTCACATGGTTCAAGGCACTGGAGATACATCAGTAAAAACAGATAAGAACATCATGGAGACAGACAATAAACATCATAAGTAAGTTAACTAACATGCTAGAATGTTATAAGTTCTATGGGAAAATATTGAACAAAAGAGAAGGGGGTTAGGAATACTGCTCTGGCAGAAGGAAATTTTTAACAGGGTGATTAGAGTAGGTGTCATTGAGAAGGTAACATTTGAGCAAAGATGTGAGAAAGGGGTGGGGGAGCCATGCAAATATCTAGGGAAAATGCCCCAAGCAGAACAGCCAGTACAAGGGCATTGAAAAGACACCACACCGGATTAACACAAGCTTGCCGAATTGACCCAAATCACAACCATCTTGGCACGAAGAAAATCAAAAACTACTTTTGCTTAATTGCCAAAAGATAATTTTATCCATTTTTAATGTTTATATGGAAATACTAAAGATTTGTCAGAACTTTTTACCATAGTAGACTGACTTTATAACTCAGTTTTTTCCAGCAGCCAAAAACTTGAGAAAATAAGAGAAATTTTTCTTAAAAAAAAGTATTCTCAGCCAGTGTATTGACTTAATGTTCACTTACATTAACTTTATTCATCTGAGAATTTAATGGGCATGCCTTAATTATTCAGAGGCAATGCCTATTAAAATGTGGGAAAATCATGTAATGGCTATGACTTTCTTTTTATTACTGCTTTAATAACTGCAAACTTCAACTGGTACCAACGATTATATTACTATTAATACCTATTTTATTCATTAGAAGTTGAGCAACGTCTAAGCAGCTAACTTGGTAATGATAAGCTTTCTTACTTGCCTTCTTGCCATCTGGTTTGCTTCAATAGAATGATAAAGAAAAGAGTATAGCAAATTTAATTTTATGAGCCTTGTTTCCAAGACTGATAGATACTTCTCTAATGAGGATACATTCAGACACATACTCCCAAACTTGCTTAAGCATTGGTTCCAGAATAAGCCTTTTTCTTTATTCTAACTTTCCTGAAATGGTTTCAATGACTCTGAGCAAACAAATATTGAAATAATATGACAAATAGCTACAATAACAATACTAATAGCTCATATTTATTCACTGATTACTATGTGCCAAGCACTAAGCTAAAATGATTGAAATGTATTATTGCATATAATCTTCATAACTTTCCTAATAAAGTATGAATGGTTTTTATTCCCACTAACCTGATGAATAAACCCCAGAAGTTACTCCTGAGGTGGAGGGCCTGTGTGGTGCTATGTGATCCCACCCAGCCAGTTTGGATTAGATGTGGGGAAATACCTAATCAAAGCAGGACTGATTAGACTCTCCCTTCTGAGAGAGATCAATTAACTACTGTCTGCAGTTGGCTAGAACCTCCTGTAACTGGAGTCAGAGAAGCAGAGAAAGAAACTCTGCTATGAGAAGAGAACAAAGCAGAGAAGGGGGAGTGTGGAGAGAGGAGCAGGAGAAGCTGCATCAGCTATTGATGCCTTTCTAGGACCTGTTTTCAGTCCCTCCTAAGGCTTGGCCACCATCCCCGTGATTAGGATGTGTAGACCTTATAAAAGATTCCCTATTGTGGCTTAAGCTACCTGGGGAGAATTTCTACTACTTCCTCTTAAGCACATTCATTTGTGTTGACTTGAATTCACCTGAGAACTTAATGGGACTACCTTAATCAGGAACTTTAACACATCCCCTTAATCACCAACTGTGCATAGAGAAGTAAGGACCAGACTGGTCAGAGGCAACACTAAAAATGAGTCTATTACCAGGCCATCTGGTAATAGACAATATTTTTTGACAATATCTCTCACATCCAAATCATTTTCTCAGCATCAACTCTGAACTCTTAAACTGCCATCAGGACAGCAGCAATGTTAAGTAATAATAACCTCTTGAAATCTGAAATTTAAGCCATGCCATTGTTTAGACCTCTTTTCCCGAATCTAACCAAAACACTCATATTAACTTTCTCATACACATGCTCACTCAAACATTTTTGGGCTATGGCCATGCACAACCACTCCCCATTAGTTTTGATCTCTTTGCACGCTGTCGTTTTCCTCTATAACACCTATCACGTTAATGAAATAATTGTTTAGAATTTTTATTTCTTACCTGTCTTCCCTGCTAGACTGTAAATTCTATGTGAGTAGACTATGTCTAAAGCAATAGCTGGCATAAAGGAGACTCTCAGAAAACTTCTAAGCAATTAATTAATCCTCTCTCACTCCTTATCCACATATTACAGGAGCTCAGAGAAGCTAAGAAACTTGCCAGTGTTCACATAGCTTATACACAGCAGAGCAATGCTGAAACCCAGCTCTTGCTAACTCTAAAGCTCATGCTCCTTCCATTATGCTTTCACTGTCCCTCCAGAAATGTCCACATGTCTTCTTTAATTGCATGAAATTCTACTTTTCAATGGCTATAGTCTTTCAGCAGCCATTTAAGAATGTTAAACATAATATTTTCAGCAATATAAGCAGTATTGTAAAATATTCATATTTTATCATCTCCAAAATAAAATTCCATTATGTTACTGCCTAAAGACATAGGGCAAGAATTAAATATGACGCAAATCACCTTTATTATATAGTCTTGGTGAAACAACTTCTTAAATACTCTTTTAATGAAGAAATAGTTAAGTAGATATTAAAATTAGTCTCTATTCCTCAAAGCAGGGCTAATGGGTAGAAATGAATATTGGTTTTTTTCTTCAAATCACACTCCACTGAATCTCCTCCCCTTTCAACTTCTGTTATTTTAGGCTGAGTTTAGAAACTGATACAGCGGATAGAGAAGGTAGTAAAAGCAACAATAAGTAGGAGGAGTGAAATGTAGGAATAAGAGAGATAAAGAGCAGCAATTTTAAAAAGAAGGAAAACATCCTAAAAGACTTTGCTTCAGATGCCAGTATGCAAAAACTGGCAACCAACAGAATAAAACACTGATATGATTTGAGCTAATACATTGTGTTTTAAAATCAAATATACGCCCAATATTTACATGTGGCTGATTTGACATAAAAATTTGGATTTCTCATTGCCCTTGAAAAATTTGGAGTCATCTTTAGATGGGATGCATGCTCTCCAATTTGCCTCGCACACTCCATCTCTCCAGACTTCACTTAATTATGAACCCAACTGCATCGTGTATCATTGGATTTTGGCACCCTTCAATCAGACTTCACAACTCTCTTCCCATATTCTCAAAATTTCAGCCACACTGGCTTCCTTTCAGTTCAATGAACTCATTAAGCCTCTTCATATCAATATCATTCAACCATTTATAAGAAAAACAGAAGTCTAGATATTTTTAGCAGAAAAATACTTAATACAGAAAACTAGAAACAAAGTTTTGAAGAGCTGGGGAATCAAAGGTCAGGGAAAAGGTCAAATCAAAGGTCAGAAAGTGGAAGGATCACAAAAATACTGTTCCTGATTATCAGCTGCTTTCAATGCAGAATGAGTGATTCTCAGGAGAACACTGGAATCTGCTGGCAAACCTCTCATCTCTAGCACGTCCACATCTATGCCCTGTCCACAGTAACTGCTAAAGAGAAATAGCTGCTTCTTCTCTTCTGTATTTCAAATCCCACATAGTAGAATCCTGCTGGCAAGGAGGTCTGGGAAATGAAGTTTCTAGGCTTCTAGTCATTGCTCTTCAAGGGAACACTAAAATGAGCAGGAACAAAGCTGAGTATCAAAACAGAATTTCCAGCACACCATCACCAAGCCTTTGCAAATAACTCTTGCCTCAGCCTAGAACACACTTCCCACCCCCTTCCCCCAAATCTGGTTAACTTTGGAGGAGAGAAATTCTAAAATTGCTGAGGAAAGTCCTCCAAAACTGATTCCTCAATAAAAGCAATGAGAACACTGAAAAAATTATCAAAAAAATCAACATTTTGAGAACTCAAAAAACTAACCAAAGGCTTGCAGCAATTCAAGGTGGATTTATCCAAGAAAAATAGCTGAATCTTGTTTTTTTTAATGTGAGCTTTGAGGTATCTTATTCTGCCCTATCCCCATTCCCCTTCTCCACAGCTCCCTAGCATGAAAACCAACAGCCTCATAAACATAGTAGCCAGGAAAATCAACAACCTAGCAGTCACTGGAGAAGGCAAAACTGCTTTGGAGTTCTCCCGAAAAGCCCCATTCCCAGATAACTGTCATTATTTGACCTGTCTAGCAGGTCCTTAAATGTCTTTAACCCTCACTTACATGGCTTACCTTGATTTGATCTCAGAACTTGCTTAGTGTAAATATAATTTTCCCTAGGGTATCTGTGCAAAACAATCAGTGGCAAGTGTTTAACATTGCATCTGACTGGGGTGAGAATAACAGCTGACCAAAACAAGAAGCTGACCAAAAAGTTTAAAAGGAAAAGCTGGAGAATGAGATGTTCTTTGGACGCTTTGAAAAGCTCCACCATACCTCCTGGGAACCAGAGGGCAATATACATATGCAAAACTGTGCACATGCCCAGGAAAGAATTGAGAAGTTTTAATCTCTCACCTCTGGATGAACTTGAGGCTCTGTGCAAGCAGGAAGTAAAGATGATTAATAAAGAATATGAACTGCCTTCTGGAGTTAAAAACATGCCTCAGCACATATACACACAAAGCCATTTAGCAAAGTCTCAAAAACTTATTGGTTCAAGACATTTAAGGAAACCTTTCACTGCCTAATTATTAGCTGACCACCAAGCTAAACAAAAAGACATCAGGAGCCACACAAAACAATACGAACTTTATATATTATTTCAGGAAAGTCACGACACAAACAAGAACAGCAAGCCTTGGAGTGGGAAGGAATCTAATTTCCAAAGTTGCCACATTATTTAAAGTGTTCAACTTCTAATAAAATGTACGTGACACACAAAGAAATAGGAAAGTGTGGCCCACGCATGGGGGTGGGAGGAAGGCAGTCCATAGAAACTGTCCCTGAGGTAACTCAGACATTGGACTTACTAGATAAGGAATTTAGATCAGCTATTTTAAATATTTCACAGAACTAAAGGAAACCATGTCTAAGTATCTAAAGGAAAGTATGAAAATGACGTCTTACCAAATAGAGAATAAAGAGATATAGTTTTTTTTAAAGAATCAAATAGAGATCCCAGAGTTGAAAAGTGTAGTAACTGAAATTTAAAATTTCCTAAAGGAGCTTGACCGCAGATTTGAGCTGGCAGAATAAAGAATTAAGAAGTTATAAAATTGAATAATTGAGATTATCTATCCTGAGGAGGAAAAAAGAGAAAAATGAACAGAGACTCAGAAATCTTTGAGATATCATCAAGCATACCAACATATGAATAATGGGAATATCTGAAAAAGAGGAGAAAGGGAACAGAAATAGAAATAATATTTGAAGAAATAACCACTGAAAATTTCCCAAATTTATGGAAAAAAAATTTATATATTCAAACTTTAAAAATACAACTAGGATCAACATAAAGAGATCTACAGAGTAGGATAAATATAAAGAGATGCACATTTAGAATCATTGTAATCTAACTGTAGAAAGCTGAAGTTAGTGGGTGCAGTGCACCAGCATGTCACATGTATACATATGTAACTAACCTGCACAATGTGCAGATGTACCCTAAAACTTAAAGTACAATAAAAAAATAAAAATAAAAAAATAAATCCAAAAAAAAAAAAAAAAGAAAGCTGAAGACAGAATCTTGAAAACAAAAGAAGCAACTCATCACATACACGGGATCTTTGATATGATCAACAGCGGATTTCCCATGAGAACTATTAAAAACAGAAGACTGTAATATGACATATTCAAAGTGCTAAAAAAAAAAATTTTTTTAATTAAAAAAAAAAATTTTGAGACAGAGTGTTGCTCTGTTGCCCAGACTAGAGTGCAATGGCATGACCTCAGCTCGCTGCAACTTCCACCTCCCAGGTTCAAGCAATTCTACTGTCTCTGCCCCCTGAGTAGTTGGGATTACAGGCACGCGCCACCATGCCCAGCTAATTTTTGTATTTTTAGTAGAGACAGGGTTACGCCACATTGGCCAGGCTGGTCTCAAACTCCTGACCTCGTGATCCGCCCACCTTGGCCTCCCAAAGTGCTGGGATTATAGGCATGAGCCACTGTGCCTGACCAGAAAAAGATAATTGACCAAGAATTCTATGTCTAGCAAAACCATCTTTCAAAACCTAAGGTGAAATTAAGGCATTCCCAGATAAACGAAATATGAGAGAACTCATTACTAGTAGATCTAACCTACTCCTCCTTTACTTTCAAATTTTTCTTAGCAGCTTTAATTTGGAGAAATGTTTCCAGGATTTTTTATCCCAAGGATTTATTTTCCCACATATATTCTCCCACATCTGCTTCAGTCTTATTTTGTTTCCATTCTTTGTAAACCTTTTTGTTTGTAACTACTGCCTTATCCTATTTGATTTAAAAGACAACTGCATGAAGCAATAATTAATGTATAAAGATATACTTTGTATTACAAGCACCAAGAATAAGGGAAACCTCAGAGCTACACAGGAGCAAAATTTTTGCATACTATTAAATTGATAATAAGCCAAACTAGATTTTTATAATGTGTTCATTGTAATCCCCAGAGCAACCACTATGAAAATTAATCAAATATAAAAGAAATAACTATAAAACTTAAATAATACATTTTAAAATATCTGTTTAACACTAAAGATGACAGTAATGAAAGGATAAGCCAAAAAAAGACATAGAAAAAAAGGTAAAATAGCAGACTTAACTCTTATCTCATCAGTAATTATATTAAATGGAAATGGTTAACTCACCTATCAAAAAATAGAAACTAGTAGGATAGCCTTAATATATCCTACCTACAAGTGGCACACTCACATACTTTACATTTAAAGGCACAAATACGTTTGGAAGAAAAAATACATAAAACATACACAAACAATAACCAAAGAGATCTGAAGTAGCTACACTAATATTAGACAAAATAGACTTTAAGACAAAAATTTCAAAGGAGATATTTTACAATGACAAAAAGGTCAATCCATCCAATCCATGAGGAATATACTTATAAGTATATATGCACATAACAGAGCTCCAAAATATACGAAGCAAAAACTGCCCGAATTAAAGAGAAATAGACAATTCAGCAGTAATAAAGACTTAAAACCCCTATTTTCAGTAATAAATAAGCAGAAAGAAATAGTAGACTTGAACAACACTGTAAATCAATGTGGCCTAATGGAAATCTCACTTCACCCAGCAACAGTGAATACACATTTTTTCTTTTTTTCTTTTTTGAGATGGAGTCTCACTCTGTAGCCCAGGCTGGAGTGCAATGGAGCAGTCTTGGCTCACTGCAACCTCCGCCTCCCAGGTTCAAGCGATTCTCCTGCCTCAGCTTTTTGCATAGCTGGGATTACAGGCAGGCACCACCACACCCAGCTAATTTTTTTATTTTTAGTAGAGACGGGGTTTCACCACGTTGGTCATGGTAATGAATACACATTTTTTAAAGTACACATGGAATACTCTCCAGCATAGACCATATGTTAAGCCATAGAACAACTCTTAGCAAATTTAAAAAGATTGACATCATACAGCATGTTCTCTGGCCACGGTGAAATAAAATTAAAAATCAGTAACAGAAGGAAATTTGTGAAAATCACAAATATGTAAAAATTAAACAATGCCCTGCTAAATAATTGATAAGTCAAAAAAGAAATCACAAGGGAAACTGAAATACTTTGTGATGAATGAAGACAAAACACAACATCCCAAAAGTTTAGGATATTGCTAAAGCAGTGCTTATAGGGAAATTTATTGCTTGAAACATGTATATTAAAAAAGAAGAAAGATCTGAAATCAATAACAGTCTTCCACCTTGAGAAACTAGAAAAAAAGAGCAAACTAAAAACAAAGTAATCTGAAGGAAGGGAATAATAAATATTAGAGGTGAAATAAATATATAGAGAATACAATAATATTTTTAAAAAATCAATAAAATCAAAAGTGAATTCTTTAAAAAGACCTTCAAATTGGCAAACCTTTAGCTAGAATTCCAAGAAAAAGAGAAGAGACAAGTTACTATAAACAAGAATGAAAATGTTGTTACTATTGATCTTACAGAAATTTTAAAATAGAACAGAATACTATGAACTGTTGCATGCCAATAAATAACCTCAATGAATTGGACACAAGCTCCTGAAACTGAGTCAAGCAGAAATAGAAAATATAAATTGATGTATAAAAATAAAGAGATTTCATCAGTAATTTTTAAAATCCCACAAATAGGCTGGGCGCAGTGGCTCACACCTGTAATTCCAGCACTTTGGGAGGCCGAGGTAGGCGGATCACGAGGTCAGGAGATGGAGACCATCCTGGCTAACACGGTGGAACCCTGTCTCTACTAAAAATACAAAAAATTAGCCCGGCGTGGTGGCAGGAGCCTGTAGTCCCAGCTACTTAGGAGGCTGAGGCAGGAGAATGGTGTGAACCCAGGAGACGGAGCTTGCAATGAGCTGAGATGGCGCCACGGCACTCCATCCTGGGCGACAGAGCAAGACTCCGTCTCAACAACAACAAAAATAAATAAATAAATAAATAAAATAAATAAAAATAAAATCCCGCAAATAAATGTCAGGAACAGATGACTTCACTGGTGAGTTCTACCAAACATGTAAGAATTAACAAAAATACCTCACAAACTCTTCCCCCTCCAAAAAAGTGAGGGGGAGATAATGCTTCATAATTCATTTTATGAAGCCAGTATTACTCTGATATCAAAAACAGACAAAAGATAAGAAAACTACAGACCAAAATCTCTTCTGAATATATATATGCAAACATGTTTAACAAATACTAGCAAACTTAATTCAGCCACATATCAAAACAATTACACACCATGTCCAAGGGATTTATCCCAAGAATTCAAGGTTGGCTCAACATATGAAAAATCAGTCAATGCAATACGCCATATTAAGTAGAACAAATTATTAAAGCATGACCTTCTCAATAAATGCAGAAAAAAAGCATTTGACAAAATCCAACACTCCCACAGAAAAAAATTAAAAATTAGGAACAGATGGAAACGTCAACATTGTAAAGATCATGTACATAAAAGCTCACAGCTAGAATCATACTCATTGGTGAAAGACTGAAACCTTTCTCCCTGAAAATCCAGCACAAGACAAGGAAATCATTTTCACCACTGATGTTCAACATTATACTAGATGTTTCAACCCAGGCAATTAGGCAAGAAAAATAAAGGACATCCAGATTGGAAAGGAAGAAGTAAAACTATCTCTATACACAAGTGATATGACTTTGTCTATAGAAGGTGTTTTTTTTAGCTATTAGAACAAATAAGTTCAGCTAGGTTGCAGTTTACAAGATCAATATATAAAAATCAATTATATTCCTATACACTAGCAAAGAGCAATCCAAAATTGAAATAAATAAAACAAATAAAAAAATATATATACATAGGAATAAATTTAACAAAAAAAGCATAAGCCTCCTCATGAAAACTATACAACATTGTTTTTAAAAAAGAAAAAGTAAAAAAGACCTAAATAGATTGAAATGCATCCCATACTCATGGATCAGAAAACTTAAGATGGCAATACTCCTTAGACTGATCTACAGATTTAATACAAGTCCTATCAAATAATCAGTTGTTATTTTTGCAGAAACTGACAAGTTGATCATAGAATTCATATGGAAATCCAAGAGACCCAAATAGCCAAAAACATCTTGGAAAATATACAAAGTTGGAAGACTAATATTTTCTGATTTCAAAACTCATTACAAAACTATACTAATCAGGACAGTATGACACTGGCATAAGGATACACATATTGATCAATGGAATAGAATTGAGAGTTCAAAAATTAACCCTAACATTTATGGTAAATTTCTTTTTGATGAAGGTGTCAGGACAATTCAATGAGGAAAAAAATTATTTTCAATAAATAGTGATGGGACAATTGAATATCCATATTCAAAAAGATAAAGTTGGACCTAGAGCTCACATCATATAAAAATATTAACTCAAAATCAATCACTGACCTAAAAGGTAAGAGCTAAAACTTTATAAAGAGCTAAAACTCTTGCAAGAGTAAGCCTTTGTGACCTTGGATTAGGCAAAGATTTCTTAGATCTGATGCAAACTACACAAACAACAGGAAGAAAAATAAAGCAATTTAGACTTCATCAAAATTAAAATGTTTGTGCTTCAAAGGACAAAGTGGTGAAAGATAACACACAATGGGGAAAAAATTGCAAATTATATATGCAATAAGGAATTAAAATCCAGAATATAAATAACTGTTACAATTCAACAATAAAAAAGCCTCAATTTTAAAATGGGCAATGAATTTGAATAGACATTTCTTCAAAGACATATAAATATTGAATAAGAATATAAAAACATGTTCAACATCATTAGTCATTAGGGAAATACAAATCAAAACAACAATGAGATACCACTTCACACCCATTAGAATAGCAAAAATTTAAAAGATAGACAATAACAAGTACTGGCAAGAATGTGGGGAAATCAGAACCTCCATACTTAGCTGGTGGGAATGTGAAAAGCACAGTCACTTTGGAAAATAGTTCAGCAGTTACTCAAAATGTTGAGCATAGAATTACTATATGACCCAGCAATTTCACTGCTGGACATAAATATGCATTAGTCATCTCAGTATGCCATAACACCACAGTCTAGTTGACTTAAACAACAACAGTTTATTTCTCATAGTTCTTGAGGCTGGGAAGTCCATGATCAAGGCCCCGGCTGATTTGGTTCTAGGTGATGGCTCTCTTCCTGGTTTGTAGATGGCCACCTTCTTACCGTGTACTTACACAACCTCTTCTTTGTGAGCCAAAAGCTGGCAGTAGAAGATGGGGGTGGAGGTGGGGGATAGAGAAAAAGAGAGATCTGTCTTCCAACTCTTACAAGACTACCAGTCGTATCAGATTAGGGCCCCACTTCTTTGTAATGCTGGGTACCCTTGCTCTTTCTGTAGCACTTGAGAATTCCCAAGAGATCTCAAAAAATTACCTATTTTCTGATTCCTTCTCATCAGGAATCAAATCATCTTCAATATGTGTGAAGTCCGTTTTTGCAAAACTTTATCAGTTTGGATAGTGTGTTGGCCACAGGCAATGATTCATCATTTCTCCTTAATTGCCCTTCTACACAGTCAACCCATGGCTGTTATCAGAAAGAGAAGGGTTTATACAGCAAGTCTGATTTTTTGTGCACTTTATAAGCAATAAATGAAATTAACATGCTTTTCACTTACTTAACAAGAAAGCTAATCAGTTCAGCAGAACTACTCATTCTCTCTCCCCGTAGCCCATCTCTAATGCATATGCCTTATTTCATAATTCTTTGAACTATAGGGAGAAATGTTCTTCACTGGCGTTCCCTGAGAAAAGATTCAAAGAACTAGATGATTTCATAGTACTTTCTCAAATGATTTTGACTTTTTTTTGCTTCTTGTCACTGGAAAAATTTTACTAATTTCCTACATTTTTGGATACTTAAAGACTAAACTCAAATGCATAGGTGAAATGGACTCAATTGTACAACTTCCCAAAGTCATAGGTTGAAGTCCTAATGCCTCCCCACATACTATGTGACTATATTTGGAGACAGGGTCTTTAAGGAAGTGATAAAGGTTAAATGAGGTCATAATAGTGGGGCCCTAATCCAATAGGACTGCTATTCTTACCAGAACAGGAAGAGACACCAGAGAGCCCTCTCTGTGCATACAGAGGCAAGACCATATGAGAATACAGCAAGGAGGGGGCCACCTGCAAGACAGAAAGAGGCGCCTCACTAGAAACCAATCCTGTTGGCACCTTGATCTTAGACTTCTAGCTGCCAGAACTGTAAGAAATAAATTTCATTGCTTAAGCCACTCAGTCTGTGGCATTCTGTTATGGCAGCCTTAGCTGACTGATACAATAGGTACATGGATGTTATCTCCTATAACTTCTATGTGGATTTATTTCAAAAGGGACCAGGAGGAGTGCAATTTTTCCACAGCCCCAATGGCCCTTTTACTACATGGTATTCCTGGTGCACTTAGTTAAAGGCAACAACAACAACACAACTAACCAAAACTTTGAGGTTAAATATGTACCACTGACTTTTGTTTTACTTTTTATTTTGAAATAATTTTAGACTTATAGAAAAGTTGAAAAAATAGTACAGAGTTCCTGTCTCTGTCATCCCTCTAGCAGGAATGAACTAACCTGCATTCTCACAGCAATGCATAGATAGTGCCTGTTTCCCCACAATCTTCACCAACAGAATCTGTTGTCATATTTTCTCACTTTTGCCAGTGTGATAAGAAATATCTCAGTGTTGTTTTAATTTTATCTATTTAGGGAATTTGAAAACTTTTCATATGTTTAAGGACCATTTCCATCTTTGTAAAAAACTGTTATTTTGGCCAGGCATGGTGGTTCACACCTGTAATCCCAGCACTTTGGGAGGTCGAGGTGGGTGAATCATGAGGTCAGGAGATCGAGACCATCCTAGCCAACATGGTGAAACCCAGTCTCTCCTTAAAAAAAATAAATAAATAAATACAAAAAATTAGCTGGGCATGGTGGCACGTGCCTGTAATCCTACCTACTTGGGAGGCTGAGGCAGTAGAATTGCTTGAACCAGGGAATCGGAGGTTGCACTGAGCCGAGATCGCGCCACTGCAATCCAGCCTGGCGACAAAGCAAGACTCCCTCTCAAAAAAAAAAAAAAAAAATTTTTATTTCTTCTTCTGATTTTCCTATTAGGTTTTTAGTCCATTGCCTCTAAATTTCTAAAAGTTCTTTATATATTAGGGATATCCACCTATGATATATGCTATGAATACTTTTTTCCAATTTTTCAATTGTCTTTTCACTTTGTTTTTTGTGAGGTAAGAACTGTATGTAGTCAAATTTATCACTTTTATTGCCTTTGAATTTTGAGTCATAATGTGAAAGTCTTCTCAGACATTAAAAAGGAATTCACCCATATTTTATTCTACTATTTGTATGGCTTCAGTTTTTGCATTTAGGTTTCCAGTCTATTTGCTGTTTATTCTTATATATGGTGTAAAATATGGATCTAACATTTAACTGCTTTCCAAATAGCTACCAAGTTGTTGGAGCATGATTTATTTAAAAATTTATCTTTATGCTATTGATTTGAGATGCTGCCTTTGTCGTATCTGACGTTTTCACATGTATTTGGGTCTCATAAGCATTTCTTTCCTAGGACATTAGTCCGTTTATCTATTCATGTGCCAGTGACCCACCAATTATCAAGGCGTTAGAGCATTTCACATCTAGTAGTGCTTACCCTCCTCTCAGAGCTTTTCTTTCACAGTGTTTTCCTTCTTTATTTGTAGATGTTTGCTTTACTAAGGACTTGTCTAACTCTGAAAAATAGCTTATGAGCATTTTCATAGGGATTGCATTTTGTCCTTGAATTTGGATCACAGATTTAAAAGATTCTAAGAAACTGTGGGTATGATCCCTCAAACTCTAAAGGGAGAAATGGCTAAATGGCACAAGACATTTAAAAATAAGTTGACAATAGAATTGAAAACTGTTCACTCAGTATGATAAGGTGGAGGAATCTAAAAAACTAAAGTGGTTTTTAGGGCACTCACTCTGAAGGTTAACTTCTTTTTAATGTATTTTCAACATCACTAAAAGCTTGCTGATTCTTTTTCCTTAGATTGTCTTTAGAACTGGTCCCCTTCCCTTTTTTGGCATCCACTGTCATTGCCCTAATGCAGCTTCTCAGCTTTTCTCTCTTGCATTCTAGCAACAAAGTCTTAAAATGTGTCTAATATCCTAAGAAAATAATAATGGTAATGACTTGTCTGAAACTGAACTCTCATTTCATGACATTGCAACTTAAAACCCTGTAATAATTCCTTGCTGCCTTCAGGAGACTTCCCAAATTCCCATTCAAGGCCCTTTATAATCTGACCTAGCTCAATTATTCTAGGTTTATTTTCCCTCTTTCTGCCATCCTCCTTCAGGATGTCACGTTGCTCATTTTCATATGTCACGTTGCTCATTTTCATATTTTTGCCTTAAATGCCCATAACATTCTTCTCCTATTGAAATTTCCTACACATCTTTTAGGATTCAACTCAAAAGGCCAATGTGCTGGGATGTTACTGTGTCTTCCCTATGTGCTCTGTACTTATTTATACCATAGCATTGATCAGCACTTTAGGGTACGCACCTACAGGACTTACTCAGTCCTCGCTATGAGGCCCATGACGTAGCATAGTCTCTGCAGCTTTGACAAATTGACAAAGGGAGTTATAGTGGAAGACAAACACATAAGATGAACTCAGTCCACAGGAATCTCAAGAAAGAAAAGCAGAAAATGAACTTAGACTTTAGAAATATTTTAAGAACGATAAAACAGAATTTGTCATGTATGTGTGGAAAAAGAACAGCAAGACAGGGATACACTCATGCATAGATTCTTAGTGGAAATGATAATAGACACCAGCCAAAGAGCATGGAGTGTCAATTCCTAACTTGCTTACATCTTTACCACAGAGAACGGGACCACCCATCTTGATGTACTATTTGTGCAAATAATGGAAAAGCATCCCTGTCTCAAGACACTTGACAATAACCTGCTAGAAAATTGTCATAACAAGTATGTCTTCATACACATATATATAAAAATTCATACAGAATATGTATAAGTTATATATTATTTTGAATATTATCTTATATATCACATATAACATAATATAGTTATGTATAGTACATACAGCAGCCCTATCCACAGGGGATATGTTCCCAGACCCCCAGTGGATGCCTGAAACCACAGATAATACTGAACCCTATATACACTACCTATTTTTCTATATATACATACCTATCACAAAGTTTAATTTGTAAATTAGCCATAGTAAGAGATTAACAACAATACTAATAAAACAGAACAATTAAGTACACTGTAATACAAGTTATATGAATATGGTCGCTCTGTCTCTCAAAATATCTTATTACACGGTAAAATACTCACCTATTTTCAGACCACAGTTGACCACAAGTAACTGAAACTGCAGAAAATGAAACATGGATAAGGAGGCACTACTGTATTATTAGTATAAAAATACTAATCTATGGTGGCTACATTGTGAATGGCACCTCCTAGAGTTGTGCAAATAGTAACAATAGAATTATCATCTGTCTGATAAAGTAACTGCAGTTAAGAGGGACTAGAAGCCTAAAGTAGCTAAGGAAGTTATACATCGTAGGAGATTGAGGCTCACAGCCAGGAAACACACACACAGTCTTCTGCAAGAGCTGATAGTTGCTATACAGGCACACCCTCGGGAATCCTCCAGCATTCACAGGGGATGGGAGAGCTTCCAGAAAGAAGAATGGAAAGGAGGATTTTGAAAGAGTAACTGCTGCCTAGAGGTTGGTTGTCAGCACAATTCGACATGAAATATTTTTAAAGATGTCTCAAGAGCATTTAGAAATGAAAATGCCTCTCTCTAGAACATGGCTCCCTAAGATTAAATCAGGCTATACTAACTTAACTGACTTTTCGATAATGTGGCCACACTATCTTGCCCTTTTTCATACAGACACACAATGGGCATTTATCAAGAGACAAGAGAAATGGCTTAGACAGATCTCAACTTCATCCAACTGTTTTTCAATCCCTCGTGATAAATTTCTGCATAAGATGAAGAAGCATGGTCTAGTTAACCGTGGAGCTACGTGCAGTTATTTTTAAAATCTGTAAGGTATGTTATTGGGTGGAAGAAAAATAAAAACAAGGTTAAAACAGTGTATGTGATGTCATCAACTGTATGAGAGAAGGAGAGAGTATGTATTTTATCTGCCTGTATATGCATGAAAACATCTCCGGCAGGACATTAAAGAATGTATAGTCTTTGGGAGTCATGAAGAAAGGGCAGAAGGGAGACAGAGATAAGAGAAAATCCTTTTGCTGTGTGATGCTTGTAATTTCTTAAAAACCATGAGAATGTATTATTACCTATTCAAAATAAATACAAATACACATACATATAATTATGTATCACAACTCATTTAGAAAACTTATCAAAAGACCATTAAAGGGATGGATACATATCTTCCCAGAGTGGGGACTCTGATGATAACCTCTCCCATTCAACAGATCCTCACCAAGTGCTTACCAAAAAGAATGATTATATAATTAAGGTTGGCTTAACCAACAACTAAAGAACCTAGGTCACTTCAGTAAGCCAAATCCCAAGGAACTCTTCAGTTTGAATATAAAATAAGAAAGTAGCATGACCATGTGGGTTAACAGAAGTGAACAGACACAAAATACATTAAAAATTAACCCAACTGTAAAAGAAATTACATGAACAATAAGAATAACAAAATTCATATAACTTTGAGCTACTCACATAAGCCAAGAACTGACAGTATTGCTAAGAAACTGGTTTACAGAGCCATTGCCAGTGAATGTATTTTCAGGTTGGCAGTTCTAAAAATATCTGATGGTTATGAATATGCAACTTGCTGAACATCATTATAGGTAGGTAGGAAAATAACATTAGTAATCATATAGCACTTTGAGATTATTTAGATGAAGGTTTCATAACTCAAACAACTTTCAGCAGCTTTCCTTCTCCAGTTTCCACCTTGCTACAACTTGCTGCAGAAAATCTACACTTTGTTCTTTTCATTTACAGTTAATCATATTAGAATAGATCTGGTAAGTAAACATGCCTCTAGAACTTAGAATTATTAACAATCCTGGAGAACAAGAACTTTAGTGCAATAATGTGTTAAGGTATAACTCAGGGGAATGTTAAAGCAAAAGTATAGGCTATGTTTTTGCCCACTCTGGCATAAAAAATTAGGAGTTTCAGCATTCCCAATAGGTAGCAAGGGGTGCCAAGGAAATCTGTCATGGACCAGTTGCAATAGCAAAGAGCAAAGCTGCGTCAACAAGTCCCCTGCATAAGCTGGTCCAGGAACCTCTCCTCCCCTCCCTTTTATTTTATGAATTAGCATGATTGGAAAGGAACTAACAATTGGAGAAGAAACTGGGAAAGTTATTTTAGAAAATCCCCCTGGAAGCTTCTTATTCTGAATAAGGTATGGATCAGAGCACTCATCCTTGGTTCCTATAGAACATGGGGTGTCATGCAACCAATAAATTATCCTGAGATTCTGCCCCACAGAGGATCTCTGTCATATTTTAAGTTGCCCCCAAAACCCAGAATCTTCCAAAAGTCATGACTGCTCTGGAAATGGTCTGAGTATGAAGACGTACCTTATATGATGTTATAAACATCTTCCTAAAGATCTCAGTGGGGCCAGGTGCAGTGACTTGCATCTGTCATCTCAGCACTTTAGGAGGCTGTGGCAGGAGGATCACTTGAGACCAAGAGTTTATGATTAGCCTGGGAAACAAGATCCCCATCTCTACAAAAAATTAAAAATTAGCTGTGCATGGTGGCATGCCTGTAGTTACTACCATTACCTGGAAGGCTGAGGCAGGAGGATGGCTTGAGCCCAGGAGGTCGAGGCTGCAGTGAGCTATGATCGTGCCACTGTATTCCAGCCTGGGTGACAGAGCAATATCCTGTTTCTTTAAAAAGCAAAAAACAAAAATAAAAACAAAAAAAACAAAAAAAAAAACGATGAGGGAGTACTTGCTATGCAAAAGAATTTTACTATAAATTCACAGAATTTTATTGTGATACTACAGAATCATCCCTCGATCTACCTTTAGTCATCTGGTTCTTGATGTCCCAGGAAT
This sequence comes from Homo sapiens, assembly GCF_000001405.40. NCBI lineage: Eukaryota > Metazoa > Chordata > Mammalia > Primates > Hominidae > Homo > Homo sapiens. Next base: position 5,435,566 of record NC_000003.12, on the reverse strand, counting down.
TATTCAAACATAAATACTTTGCCCCAAAGTTTATGTTTCTGCAATATAAGGGGGAAATTCCTAGCCATGTAATATATCCAAGTTCACGTATCTCAGGAATACACATTTTCCTTAAGGATTTCTGTACGTGACCTGGGGCATTTTAGCCAGCTCAGCATACACATGAATAAAAATCACATCAGGGAAAGTGAAAAGTAAAGGGAAACATTTACTTCTATTATACTTTAAAGCATTATAATTACATTTACCCTGAATGTATTGGACAAAAAAAGTCAAAGATAATATAAGCCCCAACCCCATTGTATATAAACCAGAACCACATGATCCCTAATAAAGCATAAAGGCATATTTAACAGTTCAATTTTTTTTTTCTTTTTGAGACAGAGTCTCGCTCTGTTGCCCAGGCTGGAGTGCAATGGCACAAGCTCAACTCACTGCAACCTCCGCCTCCCGGGCTCAAGCAGTTGTCTCGCCTCAGCCTCCTGAGTAGCTGAGCTTATAGGCATGCACCACCATGCCTGGAAAATTTTTGTATTTTTAGTAGAGATGGGTTTCGCCATGTTGGCCAGGCTGGTCTTGAACTCCTGACCTCAGGTGATCCACCTGCCTCGGCCTCCCAAAGTGCTGGGATTACAGGAGTGAGCCACTACACCTGGCCAACAGTTCAATTTTTCTAACATATACTAAGCATCTATTTTAAATATAGCAGTGTGATACTTCCTGTGGGGCACACACCACTAAATTGTCAGTATCTCCTCACTCCAGTGCTTCCGAATTGGTGGGGCATGGGGGATTTACACTGCCTAAGTATACCTGAATCAGAGCCACAATGTGACATACTTTCATATTTCTAGTTCCCATGCAATCAATCCAAAAGCATTTTCATATAGTCCTTTTGAAAATCCTTTTACATGAAAGTAGAGATTCCTGGTAGATTTTCAGTTTTGACAAAGCAGTCATTAACAAAACCCCAACTACGGATGCTAAAACCAGACCTAGACTTGACTTTGGAAGTAAAGAACCTGCTCCTCCCTTAACATTTACCATATCAGTAAATGGTACCAACTACCCAGTTGTCCATGCTCAAAAAATGTCATTCATGTGTCTTCTTTCTTCAACTCTCACATCCAGTCCTTCAGGAAACGCTCATCTTCCCCTCCAAGTCAGTCCTCTCCCTACCTCATGTATTACCACCATGGTGCAAGCTACCATTACCTCTTGCCAAAAATCCTGCAATAGCCTCCTTACTGGTCTCAGGATTCCATCCTTTTCCCTCTATAATCTCACAGTTTAAAGCAACCCTTTAAAACCTGAGTTGACCATTTGTTTTTATAAGTAACATTTGATTGGAATGCACCCATTTATTTTACATTGTCGATGGCTGTTTTCATGCTCAAGCAGAAATACTTGTCATTCAGCTATTTACAGTTTACTAAGCCCTCTTTTAAAGTATAAATCAGATCAGGCCATCCATCCCCTTCTAAAAAAAAGCTCAATAATTGATCTTTACAGCTGGAAGAAAATCCAAACTTTCTTCCTTTAGTCTACAAAACCCTAAATGAACTAGCTCTTACCCCACCACACCTCTCTGTCTGAGTCTGCCTCCTGCCCACATTGCGGGAGTCACACTGATTTTTGCTCCCAGTTCAGGATCTGTGTAGGGCATCCTGTTCCCTCTGCTTGGGACCCTTCTCCAGACCTTTGCCATTCTGGATCTAGCATTAAGAACCCCTTGCCTCTGGCCACCCAATCTAGATTATTCCCTCTACTTTAAATCATCGTGCTTACTTGCGTGCTTATGCTTTATCATAGCATGTAAACTTCACAAGGACTGGGAGCATATCTGATTCATTCACAAGTCTCCCTAGCATCTAACAAAGCATACATATTAGGAGCTCATAATATAATTATATCAAATGAATGACAGAAATCCTACTGGTTCATCAAATTTGGTCTCTTTTCTATGCAAAGGGCACTACATTCTAACCAAGAGGAATGTACATCTAAAAACCCATTATTGAGGAATTAGGGGAATTGCTTAGATGAGGTGGACATAACACAGGCACCAGAATCACACTGACCAGGGTTTAATTCCCAGCTTCAACACTTACTCACTGGATTCCATTTCCCAAACTGCAGTAATGCAATTTTTTTTTTTTTTTTTTTTTTTTTGAGACAGAGTCTCGCTCTGTCACCCAGGCTGGAGTGCAGTGGCACAATCTCAGCTCACTGCAAGCTCCACCTCCCGGGTTACGCCATTCTCCTGCCTCAGCCTCCCGAGTAGCTGGGACTGCAGGTGCCCACCACCTCGCCCGGCTAATTTTTTTTGTATTTTTAGTAGAGACGGGGTTTCACCATGTTAGCCAGGATGGTCTCGATCTCCTGACCTCATGATCCGCCCCGCCTCGGCCTCCCAAAGTGCTGAGATTACAGGCCTGAGCCACCGCGCCCAGCCTAGTAATGCTATTTATCTCAGGGTGTCTTGGGGAAGATTAATTTATGTGAACACACTGGCACGATGATTTTACAATCTTTGATCACATCTCTTCCCAGCCAAAACTGAACACCCTTCACTTTTGAACCTGTCCTAACATAGGGTCCTTGACATGAAAATTGCTTGTGCTAGAAATAAAAAAAAAGCAACACATAAAAATAATGTCTCAGATGCAAAGGCATTAAAAAGTCCTTCTTCGTTCCCTAACAGAACCATTTTTGTCACAGAATTTGCATCCTTTATGTAATTCAAATACAAGCACCTCTTTTTCAGTCAGCTGAGATGTAGTTATACACTAATATTTTCACTTCTAGAGTCATTTTTTATCAAAGAAAGCTTGGCAGATGCAGTAATGAAGGCAAGACAGGGTTTACTATTGCTTCAGATCCTAGCAAATGCCTTCTGATGATATCTACGTTATCTCATGATGCATGGAAACAGGCTCCTTTTGCTATACCCTGTCTAGGAATGCATATGAGTTTATCGCACTCTGCGCCATCAGGAAATCGAGTCCAGGAAAAAAAAAAAAAGACATCAAGTTTATGAACTCAGTTCTGGTGCAGGTAATTTTAACCAGACAGAATTGCTGAAAAACCAGTCAGCCATCTCTGGCTTGTTCCATAGGGTCACACAGCGCCATCGCTTCTCAAGAAGCAGACCTTGAGACAAGAATTTGAGTGCAAGTAATTTATTTAAAACAGAATCCTAGAAAACACCAGTAGGGGAGTTGAGAATGAGACAGGGAAACAAAAATAACCAGTAAAAAGCAAGTTATTATTAGGGGGTAACTGGAGTTTAATATCCCCAGGAAACTCTGGGGCTCAGAGTATCCCCAAGTTATCCCTCGTAGGGGCGAAAGAGCCATGGTATTTACAAACTGCCTCTAGTAAGTCACTGGACGATGGCTGTTCCCAGAGGGCACTAATTCTCCAACACCAGGAGCAGAGTGTGCTCAAACCACCAAGGCAGCCTGCAAGACAACAGAAGCAGAAGCTGACAACTGAAAGTCTGCCCTACGTGAAATATGATGGAAAGTCTAAAGGGCTGTAGGAGGAACACAGGCAGTATCTGCCCACAGGCCATCTATGAGTCACTAAGTCTGGTTGGATACATGCAACTCCTACCCTGAGACCAAGGTTCAGAAAGGGGATGTGGGGGAAATGTTGGAGTGATTGATTCGCCTATTGCATGTTAATTAATTACCTACTACATGACAGAGGACATGGTCATGAAAAAGAACATTTATAACCCCTGCTTCTGCTTCTCTTTAGCACTTGTGTTAGTCAGGGTTTGACAGGGAAACAGGACCAATAGGAGACAGATTTATCGATTATGAGGAACTGACTCATGTAACGATGAAGGCTGAGAAGTCCCATGAACTGCCATCTGCAAGCTGGAGACCCAGGAATCCCAGTGGTGTAATTCAGGCCAAGTCTCAAGGCCTGAGAACTGGGGGAGCTGATGGAGTAAATCCTAATCTGATGGCAGGAGAGGATGAGATGAGAGATGTCCCAGCTGAAGCAGCTGGACAGGAGAAAACGGGGTAAATGTCTCTCCTTCCTCCACCTTTTGTTCTATTCAGGCCCTCAATAGACTGGATGATGTTCACCCACATTGTGATCCACTTTACTGGGGTTACCAACTGAAATCTAATCTCATCCTGCAACACCCTCCCAGACACACCAGAATGATGTTTCATCTGGGCGCTCCCTGGCCCAGTCAACTTGATGTATGAAATCAACCATCACACCAATCCATGCCCCTCTGCACACCCTAACCTCAAGCAAGCCGGCTCCTTCACAGGCCCATGCATCCTCACAGGTTCTGTTTGAATGACATTCTCCCTTGAAAGGCTCCTTCATCCTCCTCCTGGGCTCAACTCAGCATTCAGCAGCCTGTGTTCCTGTAAAACTTCGTGTCTCTACTAATGTTTGTCAAGGTATATCATAATTCATTATTTTATATCTGTTTGCTCCTACCAGGCTCCAGGTTCCTTAGGGGCTAATAGGGTTGGGCTGTGCATCCCCACCCAAATCTCATCTCAAATTATAATCCCATTTCAGGGGAGGGGCCTGGTGGGAGATGACTGAATCACAGGGGCAGGTTTCCCTGCTGCTGTTCTCATGATAGTGAAAGAGTTCTCACAAGATCTGATATAGTTTAAAATTGTGGCACTTCTCCCTTCACTGTCTCTCTGCTGCCACCATGTAAGACATGCCTTGCTTCCCCTTTGCCTTCTTATTGTAAGTTTCCTGAGGCCTCCCCAGCCATGGAAAACTGTGAGTCTTTTATTTATAAATTACCCAGTCTTAGGGAGTTCTTTACAGCGCATGAAAATGGACTAATACAGGGGCACAGAGACTATAAGCACTCAGCACCGAGCAGGTACTCAATAAATGTTTAATTGAATTGAACAAAAGGAGAGTCATAGCAGAGGGACAAATTAAATCAGAATGACAGTATTCTAAACAATAAGATAGACCATTTATAAGCAGAAAGATGTTCATTAAGAAGTGTTTATAAAATATGATCTTAAATAAATGTACACATATATGCAGTAAAAGATAATAAGCAACCACATTTTAACAGTGAACTGACTTTTGGTTTATCTATATTTTCTAATTTTCCTGGCCATTAAAGCATATTAACTATATAATATAAAAGTTAAGTGGATCTTTAAGAACAATGTAAGCTCTATTATTGAAAAGCGAGGGTCAGGCCAGTGACAACTAGCAGATCTGCAGGTTAGACAAGGAGGCCAATGAGCAATCAAATACTCAGGGCCCACAGAGGAGATGACTTTGAAATGGAGGCAGCTTCTGTCTTGGATACAAACCTTCATTTCCATCCTATGATGAATCCATCCTATGAGAGCAGAAGCCAGTGACTGGTTCTCAGAGTGAGACCATCTGGGACTATGTGGGAGCTAGTCTATTAGGTTAGGGACATGGTAAGAGCCAGGCTGAAGGGGACTGGGGAGACAGGAGATGAGGGTGTGGATCCTCACTGCTTCCTGGCTCTTGGTTTCCTGGTCTTGTTCCCACCTTTCTCATAAGCAGCCCCACCTTACAAACTGAGTTCTTGATTGTGTGCAGAGCATCAAATAAACAAAGGGTGGGAGCTGAAATAATCCAATCCCCAATGATCCACTTCTCTATCTCTTAAAACACTGGAATATCAAATGAGAAAGGCCTTTAGTGATCATCTTCTTCAAATGTCTGGTTTTACAGATAGGAAATATCAAACATCAAAGAAGAGAAACATTTTTAACCCAAAGTGGTTATTTGCTTTCAATTAACATGCCAAGTTGGTTAGATAGGGGGTAGCTGCTGGAAGTGCTATTAGAAAATATCTCTGACTCCACAATCAGGCCCAACTGTGAAGAGAGTTGAGTTGATTAGTAATGTCTGCCCAGGGCAATGGACAGGGCATAGGTGGCCCACAAGCAGTCCTCTCCTTAAGCCCTCAGCAGCAGCAGCAGGAAAATCTAGTACTTGTAATAGAAGCCACACATGGAAGGAAATGGCACCATACACAAATTTTCTAACTTAATAGAAAGCTGATGCTTTGAAAGATGACATGATATGCTCAAAGTAATTTAAATGGCAAGCAATAGAATACGGATTCCAATTCAAGTCAGCCTGCTCCTAAAACCCAAGCTCTTGACCATTATGCTATAGGATCCTCCTTGGCAACTGTCCCTTTTACATTAGCCCTTGATGCACCTTGCTCAGCTCTCACAGCTCTTCTAAAATAGCCTTAAGACTCATCTACTTCTGATTTCACTAGCCAGTGCTGTTTGCTTCACACACAAGGACCAGATGTCCCAAATCAATCTTCTTTCAGGTCGAAAGTTTGCCATTTTCTGAACCTTTACCACAGAACCTCTTTTACATGTCATTTGGTTCCAGCCCTTCCTCCTAACCTGCTTGATTTATTCACATGGGGAAGAATGACTCACAAGTTGCACGCAGACAAACCCAGCTGTGTACCAGAGATAATTATTTCAGAGTAATTAAAATGAGCTATGGGCTGCCAAACTGAACACCAGAACGTGATTCTGCACTTTCTCTCTTATCTGCCTAGTCCGTTTTCTTCTGTCAAAGGGACTGCTTGCTAGGATGGGGGCTCCCCAGCCCTAATACATTAATCATCACACTTCAACTGGCTTATTAAGGGATCGTCTCTACACAGAAGACTTCCTACAGCTCGACAAAACTGTAGTCTGAAATCAGAGGGCTCCAAGGTGACCACTTACGCCACTTGCTGTTGGTGAGCTCCCCCATCATCTGTCCCAATCTGACACCAGAGTGTCACAGGACAGTAGGAACGGTGGGAGAAAAGGAAAAAAGCAGCTGGGACAAAAGGGAGGAGCTGGATCTCAATGCAGCTGCCCCTCCACCCTAAACCATTGCACTGACGTTCTATAGCATGGGTTTTAGCTCCTCCATATAATGACCTTGAGTTCCACTCTGTCTTTAGGTCCCCTCAAGCAGAGCTGAGATGGAGATGTTTGTGCAAGTGATTTACTGAGGAACTGCTCTCAGGGAAACCTACAGGGGTGTGAGAAAGATGGGTTAGGGCAGAGGAGCATCAAGGCAAACCATACCTCCAGAAAGCTCTCAGCCTGGTGCCATGAGGGCTCAGAAACGTATATAGTTTGTATCGCAGAGTTGGAACCACCAAATAGCAAGGGAAGCGAGTTACTGTACTCTTCCAGGGTCAAGAAGCAGCAAGGATTCACTCTCCTTTCCTGTCTCTCCAGTCCCCTCCAGCCTAACTCTCTTACCATGCCCCTAGCCTAACAGACTAGCCACCACATAGTCCCAGTTCTTCCCATTCTGAGAACCAGTCACTGCTATACTCTTCAGTCATTACCAAGGGCCACCTCTGTGTCTGCGGGGCAGAAGGTGGACTATCTCCTGGCCTGGCACTCCCATGAGCCAAGAACCACCCTTGGAAAAGAAAGGTAGGAGTGAATCGTTAGCAGGCAACACCCACAGCAGCTGGGAGAGGGGAACGCCAATAAGGTAACAAGGAACTGAGTGGGACACTAACAGTGCCTGCTAAACTCTCTTAAATTGTTTTACTTCATTTAGACTAAGAACACTGAACTTGCAAAGGATCTCAAGTCAGGAGTCCTGAACCTGGGGTCTATGGCCCCCAAAATATCCATGCTTGACCTCGGGGATTATGGGATCCCACTAATTAGAGGATTATGGTTTGCAAAATGTGCATAAACATCATTGACACGGGACAAGGGACACAGGTCTCATTTGATTGTCTGTAAAGTAGATGACCCTCTTGGATTCAGAAATTTTCCTCTGAATTTCTTCACAGCAAGGGCAGCTATAACCAGCCTCCTCCATGCAGCTTTCCCTGATTCTTCCTAGTAAAAGTGAATTGCTCCTTTTTTTTTTTTTTTACCTGGAGTGTACCTCAGAGGCATATCTGGGGGCATGGGCAGTAGACACTACCTTACATATTCCAAAAGTAGCAACTTTTTAAATTTGAAGATGGTGATGACAATGATTAAAGCTAAAGTTTATTAAGTACTTGCCATTGTCCAGTTGTCATTCCAAATGTTTGCATGTACCATCTCATTTAATTTTCAAGCAGGAATGGTTATCCTTGGAAGAAGGAATGGTTATCTCATTCTCTCATATAAGAAAACTGAGACATTATGTAACTTGCCCAACTTCCAAAAGCTCGGAAGCAGTAGAATCAGAATCCGAGCTCACGCAGCCTGACTCCAGAGCTGCAAGGATGTTAGAGGAAGCCATGTAAAAATCAGCAGCTGAAGCATCAGGGCTCAGACTCAGAGCAGGGAAGAAGACACACAGAGGACTGGGGGCCTTTTAATGCTCCTGTTTCCCCACGACCGATGGCACAGGCTGTGCCCTTGGGACACAAGTACTCAAACTGCTTATAAGCGAATAAATTAAACAGTTTAATGAGATAAATTGAGTAGACAAGTACCTAGCTCAGTTCCTAGCACCTGGTAGGAGCTCAGTAAATGGTTAGCTTACCTTCTATTTAAAGAAAGAAAGCTACTTTTATCCCTTTTCCCCCAGATACTTCACAGTGTCTCAAAAAACTATGTTAGGTACAAAACTACTGAATTGAATTAAATGGGTGTCAGAAAGAGGAGGATTGCAAAATTCAAATCAGATAGTAGGAGAGTATTGAGGAAGGAAAGAAGAAACGAGAGAAAAAAGGAAAGAAGGGAAAGGAGAAGCCAAACTTCTATTGCGAGAGATATACCCAGCACGTCCAAGTCAGCGAGATGCCGCTGACACACATCTGCAATTTGATTTGAAAGAGCCCAGTGTAACTTGCATCTGTAATTGGATTTTCCTGTGCATGCCCAGAGCGGAAAGGGAAAATGCTCACCTGAATTGGAAAGACACTGAATGAGAATGCATATTCATCTTGCCCCTCTCCAAGCCAGTACTCCCACTCCCTGTTTTTTCCAGACACTTCTCCATAGCATTTTATCACGCGCTCCTTTAATCAGTCAACACCACAGCGCCACCTACCGTCCCTGGATGCACACGGGTGAGGTAGGCCTCGGCTTGGACCTGAGGGAGATTGTAACGTGCTAGACTAGGGCCCATTCATCAGTCCTGTGACAAGCCTGGCTACAACGAAATTGCCACTCAGCATTTCCAGTGGCAGACTCGCTCCCCTCCCCTTCTCGATGCCAGGCTCTTTCTCTCCACCGAAGCATTTTCTCACCGAGTAAATGGGTAATTCAAAGAAAAGGAAAGTCTCCCAGGAAATTCGACATGGTGCTGGACTGGTCACGGATTTTCTCGTGCTATGACTAGGAGGATTTGTGGCTACAAGGAAAAAATGCTCAATAGAGCTAATCACTCCGGCAAGTGGGAAGCGACCCGGTAGGCTGACATGCACGTCTGACTGGCAACTATTGAAAGATTTCATTTGGTTTCAAGCTCTAAAACTATACCAACAATTACAAAATGAGTTTTCTGAATGCATGGTGCTTGCTTGAGCAGGCTAAGTAAACTGCTCTTCAGTTACCCCAGCTGGGTTCAGTGTCTTCTCAGGGAGCTGCCCACAGGCACCTGCAAAACATGTCAACCACCACGACTGACAGTACCACCGGCCAGTCATACAAATGGCGTTGTGTCTGAGATCTCCCCGCTTCTCAGCCCAAGTCCACCTTGTCCATTCTGCTGTGCAATGCTGAAACTGTTTCCCAAGCACCCTCATTAATTGACTTCCAGTTAGATTCTGTAGTGGGAGATACTGGAGGAAATAGGAAGGAGGGAAAGTGACTTTCTTGTGTTTTCAGCTCATCCTGGCCTTGCTGCAACCCATCAGATAGCTCCTGCATCTTTCAGTATTCAGGGCATTTGCCCCTCAATGTCCTACCCTGGGGCCCCTGAGCCAGCTAAGTACCAAACATACGGCAAGCTCCCAGAGACTGGCCACCAGCCCTGCGTACGGCAGCAAGCTTCTCTGCCCCACTCAGCACCTGGATTTCTGTAACATCATGTTGTCCCGAGGGTGGTGACTGCTCCCTCAGTGATTCCTGTGCCGCTTCAATGTCTGCTTTTTATCTTTTCCGTCTTCCCACACCATGTAACCAACTCCCTTGATTGTTTCCCCTCAGCTGGAGATTTCTGGACTGGTTTTGATTTCTTGACTTTATACAGCAGATACTGTGCACAGACAGTCAAGGGTATAAACAGTGAAATGTTTTTGAGAGATCAAGAACTGGTTTATGAGTCCTATATGCTTTTTTTTCAGGATGCCTGTTAAGAGCAGGCAGATAGAGGCCAGGCACAGTGGCTCACCCCTGTAATCCCGGCACTTTGGGAGGCCAAGGTGGGCAGATCACCTGAGGTCAGGAGTTCAAGACCAGCCTGACCAACATGGAGAAACCCCATCTCTATTAAAAATACAAAATTAGCCAGGCATGGTGGCACATGCCTGTAATCCCAGCTACTTGGGAGGCTGAGGCAGCAGAATCACTTTAACCTGGGAGGTGGAGGTTGCAGTGAGCCAAGATCACGCCACTGCAGTCCAGCCTGGGCAACAAGAGCAAAATCTCTGTCTCAAAACAAAGAGGAGGCAGCTGGGAGCCAGACAGATGGGTGGGGAGGTGTCTTTAAACCCTGACTACGCCACTTACTATTTGTAGAACCTTAGACAAGTTACATGATCAAATGGCCTCAGTTTTTCTCATCTGTAAGATGGGGATAGTCATGACACCCAATGCAATGAGTGTAAGGAAAATTCCAGGTTCTGGGTTTATTCAGAAAACTACTACCCTGAACAGTCTGCGAATCCTTGAGCTGATAACAGAGATTAAATTCCAATCGAGAGAAGTCTCATGCAGGAGAGCTGCAATGGGCAAGGCAGGGACCTGACTGACAATAATAGCTACATTTTGTCTCTGCCTAGTATATGCTAAATGCTTTATATGCACTGACTCTCTTAACTGGGACAACCAACATGTAAGATGGATAGTATTGTCTCCAATAAACAGATAAGGAAACCAGAGCTCGAAATGGATAAAACACACACACACCTCAAATCACACCAGTAAGGAGTTGGCTAATCCCCAGCCCCAGTCTGGCTAAGTAGTTCCAGAGCCCATGCTCTTAACCATGAAGCTGCCTAGTAGAAGAATTGATAAGGTCACAAGCTAAGAAAGTAAGGAGAATGGAGCAAGGACAGATACGTGGAAGCCATGCACGAAACAAAAATAGCAAACAGGGAACGTACTTAGTACATTTCTTTTTTGTACACCTCAGGACAGAGGTTCCTGCATGAAGGCATCATGTAAGACCAGGTTGCAGGGATGTCCTGGCAAATATCGAATCACTTAACTATTATAGGCTCAAAGGCTTTGAACCCCTAGGGTCCTCTCAGAATTTTGAGCTTTGAAGAATTCCAATATTAAGGAAGCCCACTGAGAAAATTGGCTCCCATGAGACTCTCCCCACCAGGCACTCAGTAGCCAGTTCCACACAGACCACCAATAACTGATTCCAGCAGTGAAAGCAGGTGCTGGGTCTTATGCATAGAGAACATAGCAGTGTGGTGCCATATGTATGTGAAAGTAGGTTGTAATAAGTCCACACAAATCACTGGGTTCAGTGCATGCGTGCTAGAAATAAGCTTTTCATCTACAAGAAAATCATTGATCATTGCTAATAAAATAAGTAAGCACTTCCTGTATCATAATCAACTCTGCCAAGGCTCAGCCCAGTGGGGCCCATCAGAAGCTTTGTAATAAGAATGAAAAGTTACAGAAGCCTTAAACAATAGAGCAGCTGAGAAAAGGCCCCACTGGACTTGGGCGGTGCCAGAAATCCTGGCACAGTGAAATAGGGAACTGGAGGGAGGGTTCATGAGATAGTCAAAAACATCTTGGTTGCCTGCCTGCATTTGCTGGAAGGGACTGTTTTACAAAATGCTCACCGCAAAAATCACTGTCAAAGAAAACTCCCACTCCTACCCACCCACCCACTTAGTGGAAAGAACTTCTAGGCACTGGTGGTGAACAAAGCCACAAGAAAGATCACAAAGGTGGAAGATGATCCCCCAACCCAGAACACCAGAAAGGATTTTTATGTGATAGCAGTCAACATTCCTAACCCTAACCAATACACCACATGTCCCAGGCAGAGCAAGTCCCAACTTTAGTTCTTCTCTGCAGAAAGTAGCAACAGGGACACAAAGCAAACAGCAGGGTGGGTCTGGGGACTTCCTTCTGGAGCTTCCTCTGGGTTATGTTGGGTCATCAGGGGTGACCACAGCTTGGCAATAGCACAAGTGAGAGCTTCTGAGTGAGAGAGAGCCGGACGCTTTCAATTAAATAACTTGCCACTTTCAAAGCACGCTGAGGAGGAACACATCTCACCTGACCCCGTCAGTCACTCCCTTTTATTAATAACAGAGGGTTTGTGTTTTGACTCTTCTCCCTGGAGGATCAGAATGAACACTGACAAGATTTGGTAGCATTTCAAGGTTGGCAACCTCTCAATAGCAGCTTACAAATATTAAAAAAGAAAAAAATACTCTCATTGACCAGCAGCAAGAATGTAGGAATACGAAAGAAACTATTATTCCCATGACATTTAATCAGTCTGCCCAAGCACCAGAACAAACTATCCCCTATCACTACTTATTGGTGATGGTACCCAGGGGGGATGGTGGTATAAAATACTGAGGTTTTTTTTTTGCAGTTTGAGTAAGAAGTATTTATTTTTGTCACTACCTTACTGTAAGTCTATTGTATTTTTTTTTTATTTTTTCTTGAGACAGGATCTTGCTTTGCCACCCAGGCTGAAGTGCAGTGGTACAATCATAGCTCACTGCAGCCTCAACCTCCTGGGTTCAAACGATCCCCCTGCCTCAGCCTCCCTAGTAGCTAGGAGTATAGATGCACACCGCCACACCTGCTCTTTTCATTTTTTTTGGTCGTGGTGATGGGGAGTGGTGGAGGTGGGCATTGAGACACGGTCTTCCTTGTTGCCCAGGCTGGTCTGAAACTCTTGGCCTCAAGCGATCCTCCCGCCTTGGCCTTCCAAAGTGTTGGGATTATAGGCATGCGATACCATACCCATTGTAAGCCTATTTTAAAGATGATGCTGGCTGCTGGAATAAATGAGCTTGAAAGTATCTGTAGCTTGACTTGAACTGACATTCATATCTTGCTCACAGAACAGTCTATGGAGGGCATTCCTGATCTGTGGTCTGCTTTCATCCACCTGGTAAGTTAAGAAAACAGGCTACTTCCAACTGTCGCTCTGCCATCCCTGAAGGTCTTGGAGTTGGCTTCCAGCTGGCAAAGAAGAATAAATGCGTGTACAACGTACACACACTGCTTACAGTTCTGGGCCCAGAAATGACACCTCACTTCCACTCACACTTCAGAAGTAAGATCCAGTCTTTGGATCACATCTAGACAGAACAGATAGAACAAGGAAATGAGGTCTCTAAATGAGTAATTCTTAGCAAGAATTCTGTATCACGGAAGGACAGACACAAATATCAGGTGATGACTACCTGCCTCTGCCATACTCAGTGGACCTGGATTTCCATGTCTACGAACATAGAATAAATTTACTTTTAAGTGAAATGTAAGAAATGAGTCAATTTAAAGAAAAATATACATGTATAAATACTAGTACAGATGGTGTGTGATTGACCCCAATTTTCAGAGTGAAAGAAATTTAGAAAACTCAAAACTGTTACACACAGGAATCCCCTTCTCGCTGTTAATAGAGGTGGCATATTTTCCCTTCAAATCTTCTACCCCCATCAGAAGACCTTTGTTTTAAATAGTTGATAGCAGCAGTTCAGGTAAGTTTTTGGAAGAACAGTTAGCCACTAGAGCTTATCAGCAACAGGTAAGGTGAGTCTCTCTCTAAAGTAGAATTTCCTTAGCTATTCAGGCTGATGAAAATCTTCAACCATATCAAGTCCAGACCCAGGGCACTCATAAAGTTTTCATTTGTTTGTTTTGGTTTGTTTTTTGTTGTTGTTTTGGAGATGGAGTCTCACTCTGTTGCCCAGGCTGGAGTGCAGTGGCACGATCTTGGCTCACTGCAACCTCCGCTTCCCAGGTTCAAGTCATTCTCCTGCCTCAGCCTCCCGAGTAGCTAGGATTACAGGTGTGCACCACCAAGCCCAGCTAATTTTTAGTAGAAACAGAGTTTCACCATGTTGGCCAAGCTGGTCTCGAACTCCTGAGCTCATCATCTGCCCACCTCAGCCTCCCCAGGTGCTGGGATTACAGGTGTGAGCCACCGTGCCCGGCCAAGAAAGGTTTTGTATTACAGTTGTTTTGTTATTTTTACAAACATTTATCTAGTAAGAACTTATTATTAGTTTCCTCTTTATCAAGTGCATTTGTCTCTGTCACCTTTGTCAAAGTGCCTGCATGTCATACTCTTTTCCTCTGAAAATTTGCTATTTCTTTCAGGGCTATTTCTTTTGTGTGTCTCCTCAATGTCTTGCACAAAAATTACATTTTCCAAAACAACTGTATTTACTGAGTGTATTTGTCAATTTTTGCTGCAATGTAGCTATGTAATAAAAATACCCTAAATTCAGTGGCTTATAAAAACCAGCATTTATTTCTCAATCCTGAGTCTGCAGGTAGGTTGTAACTCCACTGCACCTCGCTGGAATAACGTCAAGCTTGGCTCCAAGCTGCAGATTGCATTCTGATCAGCTCCACAAGCCATTTTACTCTCCTTCAACTGGTTACCTAAAACATATTCTTTTAATGCAGGAGGCCAAACTAAACCACACAAGATTGTTTAAAGTTCTGTTTACTGTCATTCCCTCTCATATTCTATTAACCAAAGCAAGTCACATAACAAAGTTCAACACTAATGGGGTTCTAGTCCAGGGAGGCACCAAAGACGATTGACAAGGAGTGCAGATATATCATTCTCTTCCTGGGAAGGAGTAAAGAGTTGGAAAAAAAAATACAATCTGCTTCCCAGAGAAATTTTTATTTCCAAAGCATCCTGAGAAAATCCCACACACAAGCAGCCAACTCAACTAACAAGGAATTAGATGAGAAGAAATGAAGATCTTTAAGACTTTGCTATAAAACCAACCTGTGACCTCACTTGGAAACAAACCAGATCATTTTTTAACTTTTCATAAAGTATCTCCACTTGCATTTCATAAAGCAGTTAATGTCAGATCATCTCAGAACTGATGGTAGCAGAAAAGCTCATTCATCATTCCAATCTACTCACGTT
This sequence comes from Homo sapiens, assembly GCF_000001405.40. Classification (NCBI taxonomy): domain Eukaryota; kingdom Metazoa; phylum Chordata; class Mammalia; order Primates; family Hominidae; genus Homo; species Homo sapiens. Next base: position 5,420,314 of record NC_000003.12, on the reverse strand, counting down.
TCACTGGTAAGATCTAGTCACACAGATACATTGAAAAGTGAGGCCAGTAGACAGTTCTCTTTGGTGATGAGGATTCTGAGGTCATGTCTGGGTTCATCAGGAAAGCTTTCCACAATGTATTTATGATGTCTGTGTTTCCAAGGGGCAATTGCAGCATATGAACACGAGTCAATTTAAAGGAAAAAAGATTAATAATAGCACAGGGAGTTTGTGACTATGGCCATAATCTTAGGAGTAACTAAAATTTGGAAAACTCTAGACTAGAAATGCCTAAAATACTGAGCCTAAGTCTTACCAAAGCAATAGATTTTACACACACGAAATTCTCAGGCCCCATTAACCCACCTTGTTAACTCTCAGGAATTTAACCTAAGAATATAATGCCCAAAGAAGATGCTTTATAGCACAGACACAAATTGCAGCTGAGCAAGAAGAGCTCAAACTGCATTAATAGAACTATAGAATATTAACATAGCCAATAGGCTCATTAAGGAAGGCACATCTGGAAAACTAAGTTCAATTTGGATGCATCATTTTAAAGTTACACAAGTGACACAATTACAGAAATCCAGAGACTCAGAATTCTATTACTCTAATAATCTTTTAATTCAACTTTTCTGTCCTTATTCACATTTGTATATAACACTTAAATAAATATAATCAACAATATAATCACGATTTTTTCAAACTTATTTTTCTGACATCTCACACTTTTTCCCATGTGGTTACATTTCTCCATATTATAATTTTAACATTTGCATAATAACCCATTAAATTTTTATTTGATATACCATAACACCAACTCCCTATGTTAAATTATTTAAACCAGTTCGCATTTCTTCATATTATGAAATTGTTGTCACTTTACTGAAATTGAGACCTAGTTTTCTTCTAATCTACAGATCTAATAATATCCAAAAGTCAGATTTCTAGCCAGGCATGGTGGTGCATGCCTGTAATCCCAGAACTTTGGGAGGCTGAGATGGTCAGAGCATCTAAGGCCAGGAGTATCACTTGAACTTCGGAGGCAGAGGTTGCAGTGAACCCAGATCACACCACTGCACTCCAGCCTGAGCGACAGAGTGAGATTCCATCTCAAAAAGAAAGAAAGAAAAAAGTAGATTTCTATGCAGAAGACAGGAATATTTGCCCTTTTCCTTAGAGGTCCAGATCAAAGAGATAAATTGTTAAGTCTGTTGTATTGGCATTCAAGTGTATCACTATAGTCAAAGCATTTGTCTTTAGACAAGCAAAGACCAATTCTGAAATGAAATCTATAGTGAAGTCACATATATGCATATATACACATATGTATATATATTCATACATACACATACATATATCTGAAACTTTGACACTATCTTCCATTAGAAATAATAACATTTAGTCAAAACGAAGATGGTAGTTTTTTTTTTTATTAGTATTATTATACTTTAAGTTCTGGGACAAGTGCAGAATGTACAGGTTTGTTACATAGGTATACACGTGCCACGCTGGTTTGCTGCAACCATCAACCCGTCATCTACATCCGGTATTTCTCCCAATACTATTCTTCCCCTAGCCCCTAAACCCCCGACAGGCCTTGATGTGTGATGTTCCCCTCCCTGTGTCCATGTGTTCTCATTGCTCAACTCCTACTTACGAGTGAGAACATGTGGTGTTTGGTTTTCTGTTCTTGTGTTAGTTTGCTGAGAATGATGCTTTCCAGCTTCATCCATGTCCCTACAAAGGACATGAACTCATCCTTTTTATGGCTGCATAGTATTCCATGGTGTATATGTGCCACATTTTCTTTATCCAGTCTATCATTATGGGCATTTGGGTTGGTTCCAAGTCTTTGCTATTGTGAGTAGTGCCACAATAAACATACGTGTACATGTGTCTTTATAGTAGAATGATTTATAATCCTTTGGGTATATAGCCATGAATGGGATTACTAGGACAAATGGTATTCCTGGCTCTAGATCCTTGAGGAGTCACCACACTGTCTTCCACAATGGTTGAACTAATTTACACTCCCACCAACAGTGTAACAGCATTCCTATTTCTCCACATCCTCTCCAGCATCTGTTGTTTCCTGACTTTTTAATAATCACCATTCTAACTAGAGTGAGATGGTATCTCATTGTGGTTTTGATTTGCATTTCGCTAATGACCTGTGATGACGAGCTTTTATTCATATGTTTGTTGGCCGCATAAATGCCTTCTATTGAGAAGTGTCTGTTCATATCCTTCACCCACTTTTTGATGGGATTGTTTTTTTCTTGTGAATTTGTTTAAGTTCTTTATAGATTCTGGATATTAGCCCTTTGTCAGATGGATAGATTGCAAAAATTTTCTCCCATTCTGTAGGTTGCCTGCTCACTCTGATGATAGTTTCTTTTGCTGTGCAGAGGTTCTTTAGCCTAATTAGATCCCATTTGTCAATTTTGGCTTTTGTTGCCATTGCTTTTGGTGTTTTAGTCATGAAGTCTTTGCCCATGCCTGTGTCCTCAATGGTATTGCCAAGGTTTTCTTCTAGGGTTTTAATGGTTGTAGGTCTTGTGTTTAAGACTTTAATCCATCTTGAGTTAATTTTTGTATAAGGTGTAAGGAAGGGGTCCATTTCAGGTTTCTGCATATGGCTAGCTAGTTTTCCCAGCACCATTTATCAAATAGGGAATCCTTTCCCCCATTGCTTCTTTTTGTCAGGTTTGTCAAAGATCAGAAGGTTGTAGATGTGTGGCATTATTTCTGAGGACTCTGTTCTGTTCCTGTTGGTCTATATATCTGTTTTGGTACCAGTACCATGCTGTTTTGGTTACTGTAGCCTTGTAGTATAGTTTGAAGTCAGGTAACATGATGCCTCCAGCTTTGTTCTTTTTGCTTAGGATTGTCGTGGCTGTACAGGCTCTTTTTTGGTTCCATATGAACTTTAAAGTAGTTTTTTCTAATTCTGTGAAGAAAGTCAATGGTAGCTTGATGGGGATAGCATTGACTCTATAAATTACTTTGGGAAATATGGCCATTTTCACAATATTGATTCTTCCTATTTATGAGTATGGAATGTTTTTCCATTTGTTTGTGTCCTCTTATTTCCTTGAGGAGTGGTTTGTAGTTCTCCTTGAAGAGGTCCTTCACATCCCTTGTAAGTTGGATTCCTAGATATTTTATTCTCTTTGAAGCAACTGTGAATGGGAGTTCACTCATAATTTGGCTCTCTGTTTGTCTGTTACTGGTGTATAGAAAAGCTTGTGATTTTTGCACATTGATTTTGTATCCTGAGACTTTGCTAAAGTTGCTTATCAGCTTAAGGAGAGTTGGAGCTGAGATGATGGGGTTTTCTAAATATACAATTACATCATCTGCAAACAGAGACAATTTGATTTCCTCTCTTCCTATTTGAATACCCTTTATTTCTCTCTCTCGCCTGATTGCCCTGGCCAGAACTTCCAATACTATGTTGAATAGGAGTGGTGAGAAAGGGCATCCTTGTGTTGTGCCAGTTTTCAAAGGGAATGCTTCCAGCTTTTTCCCATTAAGTATGATATTGGCAGTGGGTTTGTAATAAATAGCTCTTATTATTTTGAGATATGTTCCATCAATACCTAGTTTATTCAGAGATTTTAGCATGAAAGGCTGTTCAATTTTGTTGAAGGCCTTTTCTGCATCTATTGAGATAATGGTGTGCTTTTGTTGTTGGTTCTATTTATGTGATGGATTACATTTATTGATATGCGTATGTTGAATCAGCCTTGCATCCCAGGGATGAAGCTGACTTGATCATGTTGGATAAGCTTTTTGATGTACTGCTGGATTGAGTTTGACAGTATTTTATTGAGGATTTTTATATCGGTGCTCATCAGGGATACTGGCCTGAAATTTTTCTTTTGTGTGTGTCTCTGCCAGGTTTTGGTATCAGGATGACGCTGGCCTCATAACATAAGTTAGGGAGAAGTCTCTCTTTTTCTGTTGTTTCGAATAGTTTCAGAAGGAATGGTACCAGCTCCTCTTTGTGCCTCTGGTAGAATTTGGCTGTCAATTCGTCTGGTCCTTGGCTTTTTTTGGTTGGTAGGCTATTAATTACTGCCTCAATTTCAGAACTTGTTATTGGTCTATTCAGGGATTTGACTTCTTCCTGATTTAGACTAAGGGAGGGTGTATGTGTATAGGAATTTATCCATTTCTAGATTTTCTAGTTAACTAGCATAGAGGTGTTTATAGTATTCTCTGATGGTAGTTTGTATTTCTGTTTGATAAGTGGTGATATCCCCTTTATCATTTTTTTATTACATCTATTTATTCTTCTCTCTTTTCTTCTTTATTAGTCTGGTTAGAGGTCTATCTAGTTTGTTGATCTTTTCAAAAAAACAGCTCCTGGATTTATTGGTTTTTTGAAGGGTGTTTCATGTCTCTATCTCCTTCAGTTCTGCTCTGATCTTAGTTACTTCTTGTCTTCCGATAGTTTTTGAATTTGTTTGCTCTTGCTTCTCTAATTCTTTTCATTGTGATATTAGGGTGTCAAATTTAGATATTTCCTGCTTTCTCTTGTGGGCATTTAGTGCTATAAATTTCCCTCTAAACACTGCTTTAGCTGTGTCCCAGAGATTCTGGTATATTTTGTCTTTGTTCTCACTGGTTCAAAGAGCTTATTTATTTCTGCCTTAATTTCATTATTTATTCTTAATCCCTAGTTTTAATTTGATTGCACTGTGGTCTGAGAGACTTTTTGTTATGAGTTCCATTCTTCTGCATTTGTTGAGGAGCTTACTTCCAATTATGTGGTCAATTTTAGAATAAGTGTGACGTAGTGCTGAGAAGAATGAATATTCCCTTGATTTGGGGTGGAGAGTTCTGTAGATGTCTACTAGGTCTGCTTGGTCCAGAGCTGAATTCAAGTCCTGAACATCCCTGTTAATTTTCTGTCTCATTGATCTAATATTGACAGTGGGGTGTTAGAATCTCCCACTATTATTATGTGGGAGTCTAAGTCTCTTTGTAGGTCTCTAAGAACTTGCTTTATGAATCTGTGTGCTCCTGTATTGGGTGCATATATATTTAGGACAGTTAGCTCTTCTTGTTGCATTGATCCCTTTACCATTATGTAATGCCCTTCTTTGTCTCTTTTGATCTTTGTTGGTTTAAAGTCTGTTTTATCAGAGACTAGGATTGCAGCCCCTGCTTGTTTTTGCTTTCCATTTGCTCGATAAATATTCCTCCATCCCTTTGAGCCTATGTGTGTCTTTGCACATGAGATGTGTCTCCTGAATACAGCACACTGATGGCTCTTGACTCTTTATCCAATTTGCCAGTCTGCATTTTTTTAATCAGGGCATTTAGCCCATTTACACTTAAGGTTAATATTGTTAGGTGTAAATTTTATACTGTCATTATGATGCTAGATGGTTATTTTGCCCGTTAGTTGATGCAATTCCTTCATAGTGTTGATGATCTTTACAATTTGGTATATTTTCGCAGTGGCTGGTACTGTGGTACTGGTTGTTCCTTTCCATGTTTAGTGCTTCCTTCAGGAGCTCTTGTAAGGCAGGCCCAGTGGTGACAAAATCTCTCAGCATTTGCTTGTCTTTAAAGAATGTTATTTCTCCTTTGCTTATGAAGCTTAGTTTGGCTGGAAAAGAAATTCTGGATTGAAAATTCTTTTAAGAATGTTGAGGCCAATTGCAGTGGCTCATGCCTGTAATCCCAGCACTTTGGAAGGCTAAGGCGGGTGGATCACAAGGTCAGGAATTCAACAGTAAGCTGACCAACACGGTGAAACCCCATCTCTACTAAAAATACAAAAATTAGCCAGGTGTGGTGGCGTGCACCTGTAATCCCAGCTACTCAGGAAGCTGAGGTAGGAGAATCACTTGAACCTGGGAGGCGGAGGCTACCGTGAGACGAGATCGTGCCACTGTGTTCCAGCCTGGGTAACAGAGTAAGACTCTGTCTCAAAAAAAAAAGAATGTTGAACATTGGCCCCCACTCTCTTCTGGCTTGTAGGGTTTCTGCAGAGAAATCTGCTGTTAGTCTAATGGGCTTCCCTTTGTGGGTAACCTGACCTTTCTCTCTGGCTGCCCCTAACATTTTTTCCTTCATTTCACATTGGTAAATCTGATGACTATGTGTCTTGGGGTTGTTCTTCTCAAAAAGTATCTTTGTGATGTTCTCTGTATTTCTTAAATTTGAATGTTGGTCTGCCTTGCTAGGCTGGGGAAGTTCTTCTGGATAATATCCTGAAGAGTGTTTTCCAACTTGGTTCCATTCTCTCCTTCACTTTCAGGTACAGCAATCAAATGTAGGTTTGGTCTTTACACATAGTCCCATATTTCTTGGAGGCTTTGTTTGTACCTTTTTATTCTTTTTTCTCTAATCTTGTCTTCATGCTTTATTTCATTAAGTTGATCTTCAATCTCTGATATCCTTTCTTCTGCTTGATTGATTTGGCTATTGATACTTGTGTATGCTTCACGAAGTTCTTGTGCTGTGTTTTTCAGTTCCATCAGGTCATTTATGTTCTTCTCTAAACTGGTTATTCCAGTTAGCAATTCCTCTAACCTTTTTTGAAGGTTCTTAGCTTTCTTGCATTGACCTAGAACATGCTCCTTTAGCTCAGAGGAGTTTGTTACTACCCACTTTCTAAAGCCTACTCCTGTCAATTTATAAAATTCATTCCCTGGCCAGTTTTGTTCCCTTGCTGGTGAGGAGTTGTGATCCTTTGGATGAGAAGAGGTGTTCTGGTTTTTGGAATTTTCAAGCTTTTTGCACTGGTTTCTCCCCATCTTCATGGATTTATCTACCTTTGGTCTTTGATGTTGGTGACCTTCGGATGAGGTTTCTGAGTGGACATCCTTTTTGTTGATGTTGCTGCTATTCCTGTCTGTTCGTTAGTTTTCCTTCTAACAGGCCTCTCTGCTGCAGGTCTGCTGGAGTTTGCTGGAGGTACACTCCAGACCCTGTTTGCCTGGGTATCACCAGTGGAGGCTGCAGAACAGCAAACATTGCTGCCTGTTCCTTCCTCTGGAAGCTTCATCCCAGAGGGGCACCTGCCAGATGCCAGCCAGAGCTCTTCTGAATGAGGTGTCTGTCAGCCCCTGCTGGGAGTTATCTCCCAGTCAGGATGCACAGGGGTCAGGGACCCACTTGAGTAGGCAGTCTGTCCCTTAGCAGAGCTCAAATGTTGTGCTGGGAGATCCACTGCTTTCTTCAGAGCCAGCAGGCAGAAACGTTTAAGTCTGCTGAAGCTGTGCCCACAGCTGCCCCTTCCCCAGGTGCTCTGTCCAAGGGAGATGGGAGTTTTATCTATAAGCCCCTGACTGAGGCTGCTGCTTTTTTTCAGAGATGCCCTGCACAGAGGGGAGGAATCTAGAGAGGCAGTCTGGCTACAGCGGCTTTGCTGAGCTGTGGAGGGCTCTGCCCAGTTCGAACTTCCCGGCAGCTTTGTTTACAATGTGAGGGGAAAACCGCCTACTCAAGCCTCAGTAATGGTGGACACCCCTCCTCGCTCCAAGCTCGAGCATCCCAGGTTGACTTCAGACTGCTGTACTGGCAGCGAAAATTTCAAGCCAATGGATCTTAGCTTGCTGGGCTCCATGGGGGTGGAATCCGCTGAGCTAGACCAGTTGGCTCCCTGGCTTCAACACCCTTTCCAGGGGAGTGAACGGTCCAGTCTCACTGGTGTTTCAGGTGCCACTGGGGTATGAAAAGAAATTCCTGCAGCTAGTTCAGTGTCTGCCCAAACGGCCGCCCAGTTTTATGCTTGAAACCCAGGGTCCTGGTTTCATAGGCACCCGAGGAATCTCCTGGTCTTTGGGTTGTGAAGACCATGGGAAAAGCATAGTATCTGGGCCGGAGTGCAATATTCCTCAGGGCACAGTCCCTCATGGCTTCCCTTGGCTAGGCGAGGGAGTTCCCTGACCCCTTGTGCTTTCCAGGTGGGGCAATGCCCCACCCTTCTTTGGCTTGCCTTCTGTGGGCCGTACCCACTGTCTAACCAGTCCCAAAGAGATGATCCGGGTACCTCAGCTGGAAATGCAGATATCACCCGCCTTCTGCATAGATCTGACAGGGAGTCGCAAACTGGAGCTGTTCCTATTCAGCCATCCTGCCAGCCTCAGTACAGTTTTTTTTTTTTATATAGTAATTTTTATTTTATCAGTCTTGAAACTGATCTCATCCACAAAGGCATCAAGGCTAAGGAGAAACCTGAGAACTGGATTAGTTATCTATTTCTGGGTGATTTTTGGCTCAGGGACTCTGATGAGGTTGCAGTTAGGATGTCAGCTGGGGTTGCAGACATCTGAAAGCTGCTTGGCCAGGGCTGGAGTATCAGCTTTCAAGGCCACTCACTCACATGGCAGTAGGTCTGTTCCTCACCACATAGGCCTTCCTAGGGCTGGCTGTGTGCCCTCATGACCTAGCAGCTGACTTCCTCAGAGTAAGTGATATAAGAGACCAAAGAGGCTGGGCATGGTGGCTCACGCCTGTAATCCCAGTACTTTGGGAGGCTGAGGCGGGCATATCATGAGGTCAGGGGTTTAAGACCAGCCTGGCCAACATTGTGAAATGCCATCTGTACTAAAATACAAAAATTAGCCAGGCATGGTGGTATGCACCTGTAATCCCATCTACTCAGGAGGCTGAGGCAGGAGAATTGCTTGAACCCAGGAGGCAGAGGTTTCAGTAAACCGAGACCATGCCATTGCACTCCAGCCTGGGCAACAGAGGGAGATTCAGTCTCCAAAAAAAAAAAAAAAAAAAAAAAAGAGAGAGAGAGACCAAAGAAATCACACCATCTTCTATGACCTAGATTCTTAAGTTGCAGTCTTTCATTGTATTTTGTTTGTTTTATTCATTAGAAGCAAGTCACTGAAAACAGCCCACACTACAGGGAAAGAGAATTTGGCTGAACCTCTTGAAAGGAGGAATATCCAATAATTTGATTATGTATTTTAAAGCCACCAAAAAATGGAGAAAGTATGGATTTTATAGTCATGCAGAACATCTGTCAAGTTCTGGCTTTTCCAATTATTGCCTGCTTAACATCAAGGAGATCGCTCAGTGCAATGCCCTTGGCCTCTTTCTTCATCACCAAGTCAGATTATTTGTCTGCTTACCTCACTGAATAATTATGAGACTTAAATGAGATCAAGTAAAATGGTGGGTTTTGTTAGTCATTACTAACACAATAATAAATAAAAATTGAGTATTACTAATGGACACCATCAAAACAGTGATGATTGCTCAGGACTCTAGGTGACAAATAACCTCACTTGAATCACACTCAACAGCGGTCAAACCAAAAATCAACTGTATTGATTCACATAACCAGAGGTACTTCAGGAATAGCTGGGTCCAGGGTCTTATATAGGCAGAGTTCTTTTTCTTTCTATCCATCTTCTGGTTTTTTGTTTTGTTTTGTTTTTTTAATTTCTCTTTTTGTATTGGCTTCAATATTTCCATGCTATAAGTACCTTTATCTATGTGACCAGGAAAATGACTGTAGCAGCTCCATCTTACATCATTCTAATAGCTTATCATCCCAAAGGTGAAGAAGTACCCTTTCTCTGCCAGTCTCCCGAAGTCACAGCTCAGGAAAGCTTCTGATTAACCCTTTTTGGTCACTGCTGTATTCAAAACCCTCCAAGGTCTTCCCTTCATACATCCAATGAACCCAAAGTCCTCATTATCCATGAGCTCCAGTGTGATTTTGTCCCAGCTGCCACTCTGTCGTCATTTCCTATTATTCTGGCCTTGCTCTTGCTATTCTAGTCACATTGCCCTCCTGGCTACAGCTGAGGGCCATTGCACTGGGCAGTTTCCCCTGCCCAAAATGCTTTTCTCTAACATAGTCATATGCCATATTCCTTCACTTCTTTCAGATCAAATGTCACCTTACCATAGAAGTCTTCCATGAGCTCCCTTTCTAAAATCGCAGCTCACCATTCCCATCACTCTCAAACCTCTTCCATGCTTTTTATTTTTTAAGTAATACCATTATCTGACTTTTTGGGGTTTTTTTTTTTTTTTTTTTTTTTTTTTTTTAGAAACAGTCTCACTCAGTCACCCAGGCTGGAGTGCAGAAGCACGATCTCACTGCAACCTCTACCTCCCGGGTTCAATTCGTTCTCACGCCTCAGCCTCCCAAATACCTGGGATAAATGGTGCGTGCCACCATGTCTAATTTTTGTATTTTTAGTAGAGATGGGGTTTCACCATGTTAGCCAGGCTGGTGTCAAACTTCTAACCTCAAGTGATTCACCCGCCTTAGCCTCCCAAAGTGCTGGGATTACAGATGTGAGCCACCACACCCGATCCCTGAGATTTTTATTTAATTTCTGTTTACTGGCTTAGTTTATGTCTTCTCCAACTAAACAGTAAATTCTGTATGGACAGAGACCCTATTTTGCTCACTGCTGTATCCACAAGAATAAAAACCAGTGCCTCACACATGCTCCATAAACATTGTTGAGTGAATGAATGAAAATGCCAATTTATAAACCAATCACTATGACCAGGAAGTGGGGTATTCTGATCAATATTCATGACATGCCCTTCCTTCCAAAATAGTACAGTAGGTCCATGGAATAGGAGAGGCAGTGGCCTCCAACAGAAAGGCAAAGTACAGTTATCAGAAGCAAAGAGATGAGATGTAGGGCAGAAAAAAAACCATAGCTAGCCACCAGATCATGTTTATCCCAATCCCACACAAAGCCCTACAAATAAATGCGAAAAAGAAGGTTGGAGCTAGATGGAAATTTTAAAACTGTTTTATGTACTTCCCAAGACCCACACCCAAGAGCCAGAGTGAAGCTCATGCCTATTTCATAGATAAAAAACACACAACCAGAAAATATACAAATACAAGATTTATCACAATGCCTAATAAAAACTGCAACAACCCCAGCACTCTAAATTAATGATCACCAATATGTGGCACAGCATTAGAAAAGTGAAAGGCATTTTGTGCAAAAGCTGGCATTGAGAGAAAGGCATTAAATCAAACTGCAGTACCATGAGAAGGCAAAGTAGAGGTGGAAAGGATAATTTCTCAAAAAGTAACTTTCTGACTGCGAGAATGGATTGATAGTACTATCCATTCTTTATAGGAAAGTTCCCAACAATGAATTTCCTTGTCATCATGATCTAATATTGGTTACCAGCTATTACTCTCATTCGTCATGTTCCACATTCACGCGGCAGTATAAACAATATCATGGATTTCTTCAGTCGTATTTCACGGCACTTCTTGGAGGGGGTGGATTTTGTATTCAAGTGCAAACCAAAGTGTTCCAAATCTATCTAGGCTTGTAAAAACTATAAATGACCTTCTTGGGGTGCATAAATGCCCAACAGTGCTATAAAATGTAAGGCTGGTTTGCTAGAAGCCTCCCTTACTATAGAAAATTTACTTATCCCTTTACTCAAATTGAAATGAGGCTGCTCACTGAAACACTCCATCTACACAAATCAGATCGCTTCTGCTCACCATCTACGGTCTTCCTCCACCTCCAAGACAACTTGGTTTTCATCTCCCTCTCTCTTTGTCCCATATAAATTGTAGCTAACTTCTCTTGAGTGCCTAATATTTTCTGCTAACCTCTATACAATGTCTGAAGCCTTCGTAGCAGTTCAAGATAGGCATTATCACCATTTTCAGGACAAACCAAGTTCAGCACCTTGGAATAGCTCATCCAATGTCTCCCAATTGCCACTTAGCAGAATCAAGAATTCAACTCTGATCTGAGTCAAAAACTCCCAACTTTTTCAATTCTAGCACATGCTCTCCTCTGCCAATTGCAAAGTTCTGTCATGACTTATTTCAAGTATTCCTTGGATTGACCATTCCAATTCCAACCTTCACCACCTTATGTCTAAATCACTACAACCCCATCCTGATTTGTCCCCACAACTCCAGTTTCTTCAAACTCCATAATTTCCTGACATATTAGTATTCATACATGAGGGTGGGGGGGAAAGCAGAGAGAGACAAAGAGATACAGAACTAGAGCTAGAGAGAGACATCAGCATACAGGCAAACATGAATGGCTTTATGGACAGGGAGAGACACTGACAGAAATTGCCATAAAAACACAGAAATTCACACACTCATACACATAAACATGTGGAGAGAAATAGATACGGTTACAGATCCAGATCTTCACACCCTACACCTGAAGGCTCTGTGTACTCCAATATTACTGACACGATTTCAAAGCTACCTTTCATTGACCTTTTTCATGCTGTTATGTAATTTTCATAATCATCTTAGAAGACCTGTACTATTGTCCCATTTTATAAATGGAATTTTGGAGTCCCTTCTACGTTGACTTGCACTGCTCATAAATGACAGAGTAATAGTTCAACACAGGGGTATTGACTCTCAAATCCAAGATTGTATAGACCAGCAGTTCTCTGCTGGTATAGTTTTGTTCCCCCAAGAAATATCTGACAATGTTTGAAGATTTTTATTATCGAATGGGAGGTAACGGAAGGATGCTGCTGACATCCAGTGGGAAGAAGCCAGGGATGCTGCTGAAGATCCCACATTGTGCAGGACAGCCTTCATAACCAAGAACGATCCAACCCAAAGTGTCAGTAGGATAACCATTGAGACACCCTGGTATAAGCATAAAATCAGATTCTAATCCTCAGGTTTTCCCATGCAGGCTCTAGACTACAACATTCCCACCCTCCTAGACATCTAAATCATTTGAAGTATGTATTTATTCATTAATACAACAAACATTTGCTGAGAGCCTCCTAATTTCAGGCACTGAGACCAAAAAAACCTGATTAAGACATGGCTCCTCATAGTCTATTACAAACAGAGATTAGATATGGAAAAATAACTTCAATTCAATACGCCAAATGCTAATGATAAAGATATATGCAAAGGGATATGGAAGCACAAATGAGGAGCATGTGGCTATGGAAGCACAAATGAGGAGCATGTAACCCAGAAAATACAGGCCCATAATCCCTGATCCTCAATCTGGAGACCTGAGAAGTCTGACAAACTGAAATGAAAAGTTTTAGAAAGTGAAAGTTGTTTTTCCTTTCAATGTGGCACCAAAATAATTTGTGGCAAAACCCAACTTGAACTGAAGCGTCACCTGGGTATCAGTGATTCTGCCAGTCATAAGAATATCTTCTGTTCCTTGCTATTCTTGTAATTTTGGATTTAATTACACCATGAAAGTATCAGAAAGAACTAAATATATGCCAATGGATAACAGAACAGGAATTGTCACGACCAGTAGCATGGAAGGTGGAGTCAGCACAAAAGCTTGATCAAGGTCTATCTGCAAGATACCTACTGATGAATATCGTGTTAGTCTGTTCTCATATTGCTGTAAAGATATTACCTAAGACTAGGTAACTTATAAACAAAAGACATTTAATTGACTCACAGTTCCACATGGCTGGGGAGGTCTCAGGAAACTTACAATCATGGCTGAAGATGGAGGAGAAGCAAGGCCCAACTTACATGGCAGCAGGTGAGAGAGAGCACAGGGAAACTGCCAGACACTTATCAAACAAGCAGATCTCGTGAGAACTCCCTGATTATCATAAGAACAGCATGTGGGAATCGCCCCCACGATCCAGTCACCTCTCGCCAGGTCCCTCCCTTGACACCTGGAGATTACAATTCGAGATGAGATTTGGTTGAGGACACAGAGCCACGTCATATAAAATATGGTGAAGAATCTATGAGACTTAAACAAAAGAGACAAGTTATAGGAGTTTCACAGTGATAATCATGACCGAGAATTAATGATAAATGGGAAAATATTGCAAACAGTTAAAAAAAAATGAAGATCTTGACAGTGTACTGAGTGGATTTTTTTTTTTTTTTTTTACCAAAGAGTTGACAGGTGCCATTGACTGGTTTTTCAGTCTTGAAACATTCTAGAATATACTTTAAACAATTGGACATTAGCAGGAGGTATAACTATTCAGAACATCAGCTACAGAAAGTAACACGTGGCACAGTGTAAAATATCTGAAAAATCAAAAGTGAAAAGTATTCTAGTGATTTTTTCAAGTTACACTGACAATTTGCCAAGATAACATCTGCTGAAACCTTTAGTCTTGAACAAACTTATATGTTGGTAAAACAGCTCTGAATTCGCACTATATTCTTAGAAAAACATTAACAATCAATAACACCAAGAGGTATACGGATCCTAATAGATATGTTGACTATGTTTGCATATGCCAAAGCCTGAGACAGCTATAAGGGGTAAAAAAGTTAATCACAGAAAAAGCCAACATTCACAACGCTACAACATCGATGAACCTTGAAAACATTTGTTAAGTGAAAGAAGCTAGTCACAAAATGCCACCTGCCATATGATTACATTTATATAAAATATCAAGAATAGGGAAATCTAGAGACAGAAAGATTAATGGTTGCCAGGGGCTGGGAAAAGAGGGAATGGGAAGTGACTGCTAATGGGTAAATGGTTTCATCTGGAGATAATGATAATGCTCAGAAATCAGATGCAATGGTTGTGCAACTGTGAATATACTAAAAACCATTGGATGGAACTATTTAAATTGGTATATAAATTATATCTCAATAAATCTGTTAAAAGAAAAAAGAACATAGGGTAATTACATGAATTTTTTTCTGGTACATTGAACAGTACTTTGTACCGGAGGCTTAAGTTGGACTGGAAGAAAATTGTAGAATAGTATTGTTCCTGGACTTGTGCTCTGTATATTAAACTTCTTATGACAAACAACGTGGTTGATACTTATTTCTGTGAAACATACCTATTTTTAAAAAGCCCCATGATCAAGATATGCTATGCTCCATGAAGAGTAAGTACAAACACTTTTTAAATTCTATGCTCACTATATTGAACAGGGAACTTAGGAGTTTAAGATTTCCTTAAAGAGCTTAGTCTTGAGGATGCCATTTACATAGTTGTTACAGTTGGAACAATGTTGATGAGTCAACATTAACAAATGCTTGCCACAGATTTTGAAAATGTGAAGATTTTGAAGGACTTCATATGTGTAATGACAAGATAAGATTATCTTGCTTGCCAGAATAATTACAGAATAAAAAGAAGTTGTCATTGAAAAAAATACTGAGCTTTAACCATGATATACCTGTTGTGTCTTCCTTGGGTGATGGGAAAAATGGCTGAATGGTGGTGTTAAATACAGGTAAGTTTAAGAACATTAGTAATGATAAGGAGGATGTTATTGTGAACATAAGTGAAAAAGAAATCCATATAGATGAATATGGTCAACAAGAAATATTAAATAATAGTTGGTCTTGAACAATGTGTATTTGTCAATGTACAAGAGATTAAGGCACTTTACTCAATTAATGAGCTAACACCTGAATGAAAGCTTATAATGAAACCAATGACAGTGGGAAAAAGACTGAAGGCTGTCAGTTAAAGTGATGATTTATCACTTGAGAATCCCATTTGTGGCAAATCCTCAAATGTCCAAAGGCAATACTGATATATCTTCCTCAAACAACCAGATGGAAGCAGCATTTACTCAACGTATAAGTACAGGTATTTGATTTAGTTGAAACCCGCATATGCTTAAACATTTCCTGAAAGGTTTTCTTAAAAATATAATCCATATTTATCAATGTATGCTCTATTTACTTTTTTACAAGCTTTACTGTACACATAAACCTTAAAACTGATGTTAGATTCTATCCATTCCATGTGAACATTCACATGTTCCAGTACCCCAGTTGCCTCTGGGCATAATTGTACAAGCAAATTTATTTCCTTTTTAAGATGCAAATATTTTTAATTCTAAAATATATCTGGCTCTAAGAGTTTGGGATGAAAAATTGTGGACTTATATCTAATATGCAATTTACCCTTTAAGGTATCTATCCTTTAACTTTTCTATGAAATGAATTATGCTGGTAGGTTTGGTAATGTTAAACCACCTTTGCATTCCTAGAATAAGCCCTACTTTTTCATCATTTTTTTTGTCATGCTTGGCTATATTTCATTTGTTGTTTAACTTTGAATGTTGTATCTTTATTCATAAGTAAAACTTATCTTAGGCTTTCTTTTGCTGCAATCATTATTAGGTTTGAATGTTAAAGTTATGATGCCTTTGTATCATTAAAAATAAAACAATTCTTACACCTTTTTCAATGGAAAGTATTTGTTATCTTTCCAATCTCTCTTCTAGGGCTGTTGATCTAGTTGTGTTTTCTACATTTTGAGTCAAGTTTGATGATTATTATTTTGCCAAAAAAATTATCCATTTCCTCTAAGTTTATGACAATATTGTCTTATAATTAGCCTGATATTTCCTAAATGTATGATTATGGCTTGATTCTAATAATCTTTATTTTTTCACTTTTCTTTTTCTTCATTCTAGCTTGGAAAACTTTGAGTGTTTTATTGATCTTTGCAAAAAACAACATTTGAATCTGTAGTTCTTTTCTTCTTTTTTTAACTTCTGTTGGTTGTTTCTACCTCATTAATTTCAACTGTTAACTTATTTCTCTCTTCCTACTTTGTCTACCTTGATGTCAAAATAGTAAGACAAATAGTAAGCTCCTTTATTTTTTGTCGTCCTTAAATAATGAAGACATTTAAGGCTATGCATTTTTGTCTCATTGAAGATTTTATTGTATCCCTATGATTGGATATGTGTGATTTTACTACTACTTTCCTTACAGCTGCTATTTTCTATTTAATCCAAAAGGTATCTAAGAATGTATCTGTTAACATCCTAGGAATTAAGTTTTTGGTCATGCTTTATTTTTTCCTAAATGTATTGGCTTATGCTTGGAGTTTTGTTTTTTTTGTTTGTTTGTTTTGTTTTTTACCATCCTGTAAAATACTTACTTTAAAAAATTTGTTAACATGTTTGTAGCCAAATACATAACAGATTTTATACGTATTTCATAAACATAAGGGAGAAAACGATATATACTTTACTTGAGGGATTGAAGGTTCTCTATATATATTGAGTTTGTTTTTATTCAAGACTCCTATGTCATCCGTTTTCTAAAAATCTGTCCAATTTTGAAAGAGCTGTGCTAAAATCTCCCGGTATGATTATTTTAAGTTCCTGTTGCATTTCTTGTAGTTTTTGCTTGAGATATTTAGCTACCCTGCTTGGTACATATAGGTTTATGATCACTACATCTTCTTAACAAATTGTGTTTTTTATAATTATGTGATGTCTATCTTCAACTGTTTAGTGCTTTAAACCAGAAATTTTACCAAATATAACACTTTTTTCTTTTATTTTGTTTGCCTTTGCCTGTCACTCTGACTATTCCATTATTTTCACTTGCTTTGTGTGTGTTTAACCCAATTTATTAATGGATTTCATATTATAACCCTACCTGATATCATCTGTCCTTTCAATGAATGCATTTAGTTCATTAGCAACTAATGTAATAATCAAAACACTTGATTCAATTCCTTCCTGGTAATTTTACATTGTAAGTTATTCTACTTTGTTGTGTCAACCTTATCTTCTCATTGATTTCTGTGGTTTGATCAAGTAACAGTTCCTTCCATTCTTTTACTTCTTGCTACTTGGCAAATTCTCTGGCATATCTCTATTCCATTAATGGTTCCTTTCCCTTCTCTAACACAAATAGTTTCCAGACCATGGCAGAACTCTAGAAAGTAGAAATACTTAACATATATCCAAGCTCATTTTTAGGCCAGTAAAGGCTGCTTACTACTATCAAAATACAATTAATCTTCACCATATTCTCATACCAGCAGTAAAAATGGTGATAATTTACCTCATATTCTCTTAAATCTACCTTAATCGACTATATTCTACCTTCTTCTCCTCCATGCTTTAATGTAAAACTTGAGAAAGTTACTTGAATTTGATATATTATAAATTTCCCCCTCTGTGAAATGGCTCTAATAATACCTAATGTACCTTGTGCCAAGCTCAAGAATTAAATGACACCTTGACTACAAAAGCGTGTTAATAAAGACAAAACTGTAAGTATAATAAAACCTGAGTTCCACTTATCCAAAGACATATTCCTCAGAACACTAGTCTCGCAAGATAGTTTGAGGAAAAAAATGGTTTCTGAAAATATGCTTACATATACTCGGAAAATGCTCTGATTCTACCTTTCACTTGGAGATTCCAAATGCATATAAAAATAGTAAAAGCTTTGGGAGGTTTTCAAGTGGAATGAAGAAATTTTGTAATTAGAGCTTGTAACTCTAGGCCCAGACGGACTTCAGTTTGCTTCTTAGTGCTCCTATTTAATGGGTGTAAATTTAGAACAGGTTAATCCCCCTGAGCCTCCATTTGCTCATCTACAAAATGGAAATGAAATAATTTCTCCTTCATAAAATTACTGAGGAAATTCAATGCAGTTATGCATGTGAAGAACTTACAATAGTGCCTGGCACATTGTAAGTGCCTAATAAATGGTAGCAATTATTAATGTTGCCTTATTAATTCTAGTAATATTAAAATTTGCTTAATTTTGTTTTCATACTCTTTTGACCATGGAACATCTTCTCTCCTTGTTATATTAGTAACACACCTCCCCTCAGCGCACCACTGGGAAAGCCCTTTCTTAGGCAACCAAAATAATGTATTTGAGTCCCCTCCATTTCCCACATGTTAGCTACTTGATTTGGCTGATTTCCCCTCATCTGTTATACTTCCCTTAAGTCGGTAGAAGTGATACCCGATCTAGTCTCTGACTGGTTGAGTTCCCAAGAGAAAAACCACGGGACACACCAGCCAGTGCATTTATTCCTGAAAGAAGCCTCTCTAAGCCTGTCTGCTTTTCTATCCTCACAAACTATGCAGAAGCAGATTCACAACTTACAATCCTGGAAATCGAGTACATGTCTAACCCTTTTCTCTGAATTCTAGGAAAGAAAAGCCAAAATATTTTGACTCATATGCCTATTCCCAGTCAATGATTAGTGGCTGTTCAAAGGATCGTGTTGAGAAGGATAGTGAGACCCCAAGCTGAGCCCAGCAAGGAAGAGTACTGTGATCAGTTTAGGTATGCCTGCTAAGAACACAGGAGGGGGGAAGTGGCGGTAAGAGTGCCACATCGCCACATAGCTCTCATACACGATAGCAACAGCACCCATAGCTCTCACGCAGTATGGGAACAGCGCCCATAGCTCTCACGCTCTATAGGAACACCATGCACAGCTCTCATGCGCTATGAGAACAGCATACACACACTATAGGAACACTGCCCGTAGCTCTCTCACACTGTGGGTGCAGTGCCCATCATCCTTTCCCGAGCTCTACTGTGGATCCCCAGGACCAAAAGCCCTAGCAGTGGGAAGGCAGAGAGGAAAGAGGCACTCTTCTTCCCTTCCCTACACCTGTACAAATCCTTCTTCCGGTGTTTAGCCATACTCTCCCTGAAAAAGCTAACGCAGAGGAGGAGGTGTAACAGTTGAGAACAGCCCATCCCTCTGGCCTTTTCCTTTGGCTGCCTACAGACAACATGTATTCCCCAGCTTGAAAATAAGCCTGGGCTCCTTGTATAGGGGCAAAGTCTGATTTATTCCTGAGGCCTGAGCAGGTACCTTGCTCACAGAAAGTACATGGCAGTGGGGCAATGACTAAGGGCTTAAACGCACCAAATGGCCTTGCCTACTAGCACTTAACTCTGGATCTCTACTATTTTTTCCCACATTTATCCTAATAGCAGCTCTTCTGGGAGACTTTCCCATAACCTCCCCAGGAAAAATGGATGAAGCTTTCCTATGGGCAACTCCATTGCTCTCTTGTGAAAAATATATGAGGCTTATACGTTTACATCTCATATCATCTAGGATGGCCCTCTCCACGGCAGGGACTATGTTCTACTTCTGATCCCTCCCGAGCTGAATTTTGAATCTGGCACATGATAGTAGCTCAATAACTGTATATAAAGGCATTAATTTTTTTTTTAAGAAATGAACTAATTTTTCAAAACCAGGAATGAGGAAATGCTCTCTAGTAGGAAAGTTGCCAGTGCTCAATTTGGAAGTCAAAGAATCTTTAGTTACTTGAATTTAGGGGATTCTGCCATTTTATTCAGATTGAAAGTTGAGAAAATAAGCTAAATCAGAAAAGGATACAGAGCTAGAAAAGAGAAACATGACACTTATTGTCCCTAGTCATACTGCTAAAGTATGATATAATTCTCATGACGCTGAGAATTCTGACAGATCTAATAAAGACCTAAAGTAGAAACTGACACATATATCCAGAAAATGTACAATTGGGCATAGAAATTATTAAATTAGCCTATAAACCTGCTAGATTTTTCAAATAGTCTAAAATAATTATAAACCCTTACAGATTTTTGGCTTCATAGCTCCCTTTAAAACAGAATACACAAAAGGCATTTATTAAAATGACACGTGTCATTTATAAAAGACCATGCAGATGGCTTGGGATGGAATGAGGAGATGGGGTGGCAATCAACCAAATGTAACAGAAACTCACTTTAAATGAAAATTCACTTAGAGGAAATTATATGATACATGAGAAATCTATGTCTGCCAAAGTTTTAAAAATTTAGACATCCTGTAAATATCTATCTTATGCTTTTTGTATTCCTGTGAACTCTCTTTTCGAAAGGTTTTCTGCCACTATAGTCATAACATACAATCAATTCAATAACATAGCACTGAATTATTAAATGAGGTTAATGTGTTTGGAGATTCAAAGCATTAACCTCAGTCTTTTTCTCACCCTGAACAACTGCCTTTCAGATGAGATTTATTTTTTCCATGTCTAGTATGGATTTAAAAATCGAAATAATTGAAGCTATTCCATATGAGAAAAATACTTTAGGAACTCTTATAACATTTTTTTGTAAATGCATTCTGAAATATGAAGCCCAACTTGGGTATAGCCTTAAATGTGTATCCTCTATGAACTTCTACAGATTTCTGCAAAATAAGAATGGCCACTGACCAGATCCATCTCCAATCTCCTATCACAAAGGGAGTAGATCAAGAAAGACGGCCCAAAGAGGTTAAGAAATTGTCAAGGTCCATAATTAAAGCCAGAGCCAAAAGAGGCTCCAAATCCCTTAGTCCGAACCTCCTTCTGCAACAGCATACTGACTATGTTCTACCAACCAGACCCCAATAAAATTTTTTAGGCAACCATAAAATAAGGTTTCCTTAGTTGTTATTTACTATTTTTGCTAATAGTAAACAATTACAGGCTAGGTACAGTGGTTCATGCCTATAATCACGGCACTTTGGAAGGCTATTAAGGGCGGATCTCTTGAAGCCAAGAGTTTAATACCTGCCTGGGCAACATAGTGAGACCCTGTCTCTACAAATAAATGAATTACGTGGGCATGGTGATGCTTGCCTATAGTCCTAGTTATCCCAGGAGCTGAGGTGGGAGGGCTGCTTGAGCTGCAGCGTTTGAGGCTGCAGTGAGCTATGATCACACTACTGCACTCCAGTCTGGGTAACAAAATGAGATCTTCCTCAAAAATAAATCAATAAAATAATTACTACACAATATGAACTCCATTCCAGCACAAATTTGGATCTGTTTTGTTTACCGTGGTATTCTTCAGCACCTAGAACATGCCTGGCATATAACAGGCATTCAATTAATTAGGTTGTATTATTTATTGAGAGAGTACTATGTGTTAGACACAGAGCTGAGCACCTCACATAATTATCTCGTTTAATCCCCAAAACACACATATGGACTAAATTGTACCTACCCCCAAATTCACATGTTCAAGCCCTCACCCCCAATGTGGCTATGTTTGGAGATAGGGCCTTTAAGGTGTTTAAGGTTAAATGAGGTCCTAAGACTGGGGCCCTAATGAGGTGGCACTGATGTTCTCATAATAGAAGGAAGAGATACCAATGATATATGCACACAGAGGAAAGGCTATGTGAGGATGTAAGTAAAGGCAGCCATCTGCAACCAAATAGAGAGGCTTCACCCAAAACCAACCATGCTGGTACCTCAATCTTGGACTATCAGGATCCCGAACTGAGAAAAATAACTTCTGTTGTTTAAGCCACCCAGTCTGTGGTATTCTGATGGCAGCCCTACCTGACTAATACACTATCAGAATACTATTTTCATCTCATTTTTCAGATAAAGAAACAGAGATAGAGTAATTTTACTAATGTTACCCCTGCTGGTCTCTAGGTATTTAGAAGGTTGGTGATTAGACAATGGATGTCAAAAGAAAAGAGAAGTAGCTAATTTAGTAGATTTCAATGTGTAATAAATGAAACTCTTTACCGCTAGACTAGCCTTACAAGAGGTCCTCAAGGAAGTTTTAAACATGGAAATGAAAGAGTGATACCTGCTACCACAAAACACACTTAAGTACATGTTCCACAGACCCTATAAAGCAACCACACAAAAGAAACTACAAAGCAATCAGCTAACAACTTCACGATAGAATCAAAACCTCACCTATCAATATTAACCTTGAATGTACATGTTCTAAACATCCCACTTAAAAAAAAAAAAGAAAACAGAGTGGCAAGTTAAAAAATAAGAATCATCCATCTACCCCATTTCTACTAAAAAATACACAGAAACTTCGCCAGGCATGGTGATGGGTGCCTGTAATCCCGGCTACTCAGGAGGCTGAGGCAGGAGAATTGCTTGAACCTCGGGGGGCGGAGGTTGAAGTGAGCTGTGATCGCACCACTGCACTCCAGCCTGGGTGACAAGTGTGAGACCCTGTCTCAAAAAAGTATTCTACGTACCTAGTACTACTCAGAACAGAAGACTGTCTTCCAGATCTGCCTTTTTAATCAGCAACCAAGAAAGAACATAATTATGCACCTAAATCCACAATCCAAAAAGGATCCTAGGTTGGGCGCAGTGGCTCACACCTATAATCCCGCACTTAGGGAGGCCAAGGTGGGCGGATCACTTAAAGTCAGGAGTTCAAGACCAGCCTAGTGAATATGGTGAAACCCCATCTCTACTAAAAATACAAAAATTAGCCAGGCATGGTGGTGGGTGCCTGTAATCCCAGCTACTCGGGAGGCTGAGGCAGGAGAATCTCTTGAACCCGGGAGGCAGAGGTTGAAGTGAGCCGTGATTGTACCACCGCAATCCAGCCTGGGTGACAGTGTGAGACCCTGTCTCAAAAAAGGATTCTACATACCTAGTACTACTCAGAACAGAAGACTGTCTTCCAGGTCTGCCTTTTTAATCAGCAACCAAGAAAGAATGTAATTCTGCACCTGGATTCACAAGCTATCAAAAACAAAACAAATTGTTTAGGGTCAAATGAGGCATTTTGTTCTTTAACAATGTCAAGTACAAAAATCAACTAAAAATGGTTAAAATTTTTCATGATGAAAAACTACAAGTGTTCATGTAGGTCAATTTAACAACGACAGGGGAAAAAAAATACCACAGGACCCACTGCAAGATTTGTGACCAATGGCTTCCTAATAAAACTCTAGTTTTAGGCACTGAACAAAATGGGAAATCCCCATACCATCTTCATCCTGAGTCTGGGACCCTCCTTCCAGTATGAAAAAGAAGCATGAATAAATCTGTGTTTAGGAACGATTTGAAGGAAGTGGACTAACTCAGAAACAAACCCAGAAGGAAAAGAACAGTCAGTTTTACATGTGCACAATTCACTTTCTCCAACAAGTGAATGCTTGATAAATATCAAACAATAATCCAGGACCCAACCCAAGTTATACTACAATGTGACATTTAAACTTGGCTATAATCTGAACCTGAGGGGGAAAAAAGATAAAGGTTTCTTTTCAGGATGTTTTTAGAAGCTTCCTAAGAATAGGGAGCCAGCATTCTCCCCTTTGCACCCCTTAATTGGCCTTATAACTACTACCTAGTACCAAAACAGAGATATAGATCAGTGGAACAGAACAGAGCCCTCAGAAATAACTCCGCATACCTACAACTATCTGATCTTTGACAAACCTGAGAAAAACAAGCAATGGGGAAAGGATTCCCTATTTAATAAATGGTGCTGGGAAAACTGGCTAGCCATATGTAGAAAGCTGAAACTGGATCCCTTCCTTATACCTTATACAAAAATTAATTCAAGATGGATTAAAGACTTAAATGTTAGACCTAAGACCATAAAAACCCTAGAAGAAAACCTAGGCATTACCATTCAGGACATAGGCATGGGCAAGGACTTCATGTCTAAAACACCAAAAGCAATGGCAACAGAAGTCGAAATTGACAAATGGGATCTAATTAAACTAAAGAGCTTCTGCACAGCAAAAGAAACTACTACCATCAGAGTGAACAGGCAACCTACAAAATGGGAGAAAATTTTTGCAACCTACTCATCTGACAAAGGGCTAATATCCAGAATCTACAATGAACTCAAACAAATTTACAAGAAAAAAACAAACAACCCCATCAAAAAGTGGGCAAAGGATATGAACAGACACTTCTTAAAAGAAGACATTTATGCAGCTAAAAGACACATGAAAAAATGCTCATCATCACTGGCCATCAGGGAAATGCAAATCAAAACCACAGTGAGATACCATCTCACACCAGTTAGAATGGCAATCATTAAAAAGTCAGGAAACAACAGGTGCTGGAGAGAATGTGGAGAAATAGGAACACTTTTACACTGTTGATGGGACTGTAAACTAGTTCAACCATTGTGAAAGTCGGTGTGGCGGTTCCTCAGGGATCTAGAACTAGAAATACCATTTGACCCAGCCATCCCATTACTGGGTATATACCCAAAGGACTATAAATCATGCTGCTCTAAAGACTCATGCACACGTATAGTTTATTGCGGCACTATTCACAATAGCAAAGACTTGGAACCAACCCAAATGTCCATCAATGATAGACTGGATTAAGAAAATGTGGCACATATACACCATGGAATACTATGCAGCCATAAAAAAGTGATGAGTTCATGTCCTTTGTAGGGACATGGATGAAATTAGAAATCATCATTCTCAGTAAACTATCGCAAGGACAGAAAACCAAACACTGAATGTTCTCACTCATAGATGGGAATGGAACAATGAGAACACATGGACACAGGAAGGGGAACATCACACTCTGGGGACTGTTGTGGGGTGGGGGGAGGGGGGAGGGATAGCATTAGGAGATATACCTAATGCTAAATGACGAGTTAATGGGTGCAGCACACCAGCATGGCACATGTATACATATGTAACTAACCTGCACATTGTGCACATGTACCCTAAAACTTAAAGTATAATAATAATAAATAAATAAATAAATAAATAAATAAATAAATAAATAAATAAAAAAGAATCACATGCCTGAAAAAGCATACTCAGATCACTGAAGGGTAACAACAGGAATAGAGAAGCCAGTCTTGCATAGTACAGACCTATGAAGTCCGATATTCTGCATTATTGCCTCGCAGAATTTAGGGGAAAGCACTATTGAAGGGTCTCACAATATTATCACAGGTTTAGTATCCTTGCACATGAAAACCAGAGGAGATGGCACAAAATCACCTAGCAAAACAACTCACTAATTGAGCATTCTGATAAGGCCCTCCAGCCACCCTCTTAAAGGAAGGTCCAGCCTCCGTAAGACCTAATGTTATGAGATGGTAAAGCATTTTGGCTGAATGCTGATGGTTACAGGAAATGTAAGATCACTCTTCTAACAGCTAAAGAATTATATGCCAGTTGCCCCTAATAGCGGTGAGATTCTCCACTTTCATTTGAAATAAGGAAATAAATGTCTCTGCAGTTTAATATTATCCCAGATAGCAATATCATTGGCGTCCTTGCTTTAGTCATATTGTGCTCAGACAAGGAAGACATCCATCTTTTCAGTATGCTTTTGTAGCCCATTTGAAGTGTAGAACTGAAGAGCCTCTTAGAGAGAAACCTGAGAGAGAACAAGACTTATGACTGTGATTACGCTATCTTACCAAACTGAAAATGTGCCAAATGGAATCTTCAAATTAGAACTGAGGCCTCAACTGTAAACAGATTGCAATCTGTACCTCCTAGAAGACTAACATGATATTGTTATCATTGTAGAGGTATATTGTTCTGAATTAATATTAGCTTGTTTTCCCCCAATGTAATTTAAATGAACCTAATTCACTGAAATGAACTTACAACAGGGACTTTTAGTAAGTTTCATTAATAATATTGATAAAGAAAACATTAAAATACTATATCAGTCCTCCCTGACTCTCTTCTTTGGCCTAGCTATCTAGTGAGAAACCAGGGAGGTTTTGTGTTAGCATCAGTGGTGGAGTGAACTAAGAACGTACACTCGGCCAGGCACGGTGGCTTACTCCTGTAATCCTAGCAGTTTGGGAGGCCAAGGCAGGCAGATCACAAGGTCAGGAGATCAACACCATCCTGGCCAACATGGTGAAACCCTGTCTCTACTAAAATACAAAAAAAAAAAAAAAAAAATTAGCGGGGTGTGGTGGTGTGTGCCTGCAGTCCCAGCTACTCAGGAGGCTGAGGCAGGGGAATCGCTTTGAACCCAGGAGGGGGAGTTTGCAGTGAGCTGAAATGGTGCCACTGCACTGCCCTCCAGCCTGGCAACAGACTGGAATGCAGTGACTCCGTCTCAAAAAAAAAAAAAAAAAAAAAAATAGACTCAAGAATTAGAAGGTGTAGGTTCAAAAATCTATGTTCTACGCTATCTAACATGATAGCCACATGTGGCTATGGAACACATGAAATGTGACAGATATCTCAGGATCTAATTTTTAAATATTTCATTTTAATTAATTCTAATTTATATAGCCTCACATAGCTAGTGGCTACCACACTGGACAGCACAGCACTATACCTGTCACTTACTAGTTGTGTGTCTTTGGATATGTAAGTTAACTTTTCTGTGCCTCAGTTTACTCATCTTATAGACAGGGATAAAAATACTCCCTCGTAGAGTCATTGAGGAAATAAGGGAGACTATGCAAAGCCGTCCACACAGTGCCCAGGATGTGGGCTATTCTTCTGCGACATCTTTTCACCCATCCCTCCTCTACATTACCACTGTCTTCACCTTTGTCTGGCTCCTACCGTGCTCACATTATCAAAAGACCTTCTTAACCTGTCTCACTCCCTCTAACAAGTCCCAACTTCAGTCCTCCCGGTAAAATATAACCAATAAGTGTTTCTAAAATACAATTCTCAGCATATTATCCCTCTGTTCAAAATCTTATAGCTATGGTCTGACGCAGTGGCTCATGCCTGTAACTCCAGCACTTTGGGAGGCCAAGGCAGGCGGACTGCTTGAGCCCAGTAGTTAGAGATGAGCCTGAGTGACATGGTGAAACCTCATCTCTTAAAAAAAAAAAAAAAGAAAGAAAGAAAGAAATTATCTGGGCATAGTGGTATGTACCTCTAGTCCCAGCTACTCAAGAGACTGAGGCAGGAGGATCACCTGGGCCCAGGTAGGTCAAGGCTGCAGTGAGCCATGATTGTGCCACTGCACTCTACCCTGCACAACGGAGACCCTGTCAGCAAAAAAAAAAAAAAAAAAAAACTTATATAGTATGACCTTCCACAGAACATAGAGTTTTGGCTTTTGAGGCCCTTTTTATAATCTATCCCAAGCTCATGTTTCATGTAATCTCCCACTGCACTCCAGAAACAACCCACAGTGCCAAGAGACGGGACAACTTGCCCTTCCTCAGACCACCATGCATATTTTTACTCCATTTTCACTGGTTGACAACATGCCCATACACAAAGCTCAGATCCTTTTCCCTACTTTGTCATACTTATCCACTGAGGCCTCTCCCAAGACATCTCACTTCAGAAGCCATCCCCTTTGAGTTGCTCATGGAAAGGACAAGACATTTAACAATCACAGAGCCTCTACCAGCACTTCACTGTTTGTGCGTGCATTTCTTGGTTGCCCTCCAAGAATAAAACCTTCTTGAAAATGCAAGGTTATGCTTTTGTGTCTCCCCAGTGGTGCCTAGCTTGGTACACAGCAAGTAGGCGCTCATGACATGTGTGATAAAGAAATACCCTTAAACATGAACACAGACGCTGTTCAAATTGAAAACTAGGATCTTTGGAAATCTCTGCTATTCACACCACTAAAGGCATTTGAAATTCCTCCCTCAAAATAACTGTCTTTCCATAAACACATGGAAAGAAAATCTGGGCAAGTAGGGATTACTAAACCAATGTATGCTTTAAATAAAGCCTCAATAATTCCTTGTTCTCCTTCTGAGTCCTACTAGAGAAATTCTCCTTAGGATGATACAATCTTGTTCTTCAATTCCTTACAGCATGTGCTGTTTATAGGCTAAAGGACATCTACAACCCTCCATAAACTCCTCCCTCCCTTTCCCTCTTAATTTTCCCCACACCTCACTTCTCTCCCCTTGACTACACCTCACTTCTCTCCCCTTGACTTCCCATCACCCTCAATTACCCCAACTTTGAAGAATATTTTTAAACAAGGCCCCAGCCATCTTTTCTCCCACCCTTCAAACCCTCCAGAAAAACCCACCTCAAAATACTTCCTCCCTGTCCAGTAAGATGACCCATTTGCACTTCTGTTTGCAACAGATATTCAAGGAAAGAGAAAAGTGAAAGCAATCAGAAAATGTCTTGAAAATCCACTTAGGTCAGAACCTTAGCAGTGGCTTCTGGCACAGAAGACAGATCTCTGATCTCAAGGAGAGTTCTCTACAAAATATAATGCCAAATTGTTTCTTGTAATTTATACTCCCTTTTCAGACATTCTTTACTCTGTAGTTCTTAAACTTTAGAGCACATTAGAATCATCAAGAGTGTTTGATGGATGCTGATTCCTAGGGATTGCCACCAGGGAATCTAAGTCAGTGTGCCGGGAGCTACCCAGAAATCTGCATTCTAGTGGGGACTCAGCTCATTCTCTCACAAGGTCAAGACCACACTGACAAACACTGCAACAGCCTCACCTTCCTCTCTGTGCTGGTTCTCTGTTCCCCTTCTGTACACCAAGATAACAAGAATAACTAACTGCAGCCAAAAGGCCTAGATCTTCTGGAAAAACACAATCTTCCCAGCGAGAGTAATTAGGTGAAGGAGCTAAGGCAGAACAAGGTAATCAGGCACGCAAGGTAAAGACAAAAAGGCTCACAGTAACCAGAGGTCAAAGCAAATGGCAAATCAGGAATCTCAACAGAAGAGCTAGGAAGTTCAGTACAAGCGAAAGGAAAGAAAAAAAAATTGTAACATCTCAACATATGTAGAGCATCACATTTAATTGCAAACTGCCAACTCTTAAAGGGAAACTCAACACATTTAAACATGAAGTATCTAAGCTGAACCAGATCAATTAACACGGTCTTAGACTCATCAAATCAGATCATTTCCTGAGATCAAAGAGAAGAAAGAATAAAGGGTAATTTCAGAGCACTAGGCAGGCCCAGTCTGGGTCCTGACATAGGAAGCAGGAGGACAGAACATTTGTAGGAAATTAGAGGTATTAGTAGGTAAGAGAGATGATCCTAATAATAATAGCTGGGGTGGACACACATTCTGAGACAGACTTTGGATGATCACTATTCCTATCCCTTGTCCCTGCATGATCAATGACTGATATCACTTACTTTCCTCCCCAAGAGTTCTCTTTTAACAGTAAATGATATAATCACTCCAATATGGCTAACAGCCGCATGCTAGACATTGAGCTAAGAGCTTTACCTACATCATTTCAACCCTAAACATTATAAAGGACCAATGTTAATACTGTTATTATGCCCGTCATTAGGCTGAAGAATGTTGGAGCCGGTGGAAGTTAAATTACTTGCCTAACACCAAGTCAGCAGGTGACAAGACTTGAACTCAGGTCTGCCCAGGCAGTTCTTTTAACATAAGGACAGGTAAACTGCAGCCCACAGACCAAATTCAGGCCACCAGCTAATTTTGGAAACAGAGTTTACACGTTTAAAAGAGGAAATAGTGGAAGACAGCCGCCCTGTTCATTTGCATATTGTCTGTGGCTGTTTTCACACCACACGTGCAGAGTCGAGTAGCTGCAACAGGGACATTCTGGGATGCAAAGTGGAAAATATTTACTATCTGGCTCTTTACTGGAAAGGTTTGCTGATCTGGGCTTTTCCTGTCAGCCTCAAGAGAGCACCCAAAACACAAATTCACAAAATTAGCCCTTCCACCAGGGATCATCCAAGATCAAGGAAAACATGAAGACAAAATAGTAGAATAATTTCCCCAGTTTGGACATTTCAGATTTTGATTTTTTTTTAACCTTAAGGTTTATAACATGTTGAGTTGTCAATAGTTACAATAAACCATTATTTCTTAGGTTAAAAAAAAAAAAAAGAGGCCAGGCAGAGTGGCTCACACCTTTAATCCCAGCACTTTGGGAGGCCAAGGCAGGTGGATCACTTGGAGTCAGGAGTTTGAGACCAGCCTGACCAACATGGTGAAACCCCATCTCTACTAAAAACACAAAAAATTAGCTGGGCGTGGTGGTGGGTGCCTGTAATCCCAGCTACTCAGGAGGCTGAGGCAGGAGAATTGCTTGAACCTGGGAGGTGGAGGTTGCAGTGAGCTGAGATCGAGCCACTGCACTCCAGCCTGGGCAACAGAACCACACTCCATCTCAAAAAAAAAAAAAAAAAAAAAGCATTAAAAAAAAAAGTACCAAAAACCAGGGCAGGAAATATGTAAGATAAGCCTGGAGTGTCTTGCTCTGTCAGAAAGTTAAAAAAAAAACAAGTATTCCAAAAATCCCACAAGGATAGGATACATCAAAGGGACACAAAAACCAACTGAAAGAGCTCCCAATGGCCAAAGCTGGAACAATCTGAACAGCAAAATAAAGCAGCATTCAATTATAACCCAAAGTTAAAATAAATATCCATGAGTCCATAGCAATATAAATGAATGATTAATTGAATAAATAAATGGGGAGAAAACTCTTGTGCAGAAGAATTTCAAGTAATTTATGCAGATATTCCACCCTAAAGGAGAAGGAGGAAAGTCTGATCCTTAAGTCTGGGCCAAACATAGCGACTTCCTCCCAAAGAGTAAAGCATGAAAGGGTGGAGGGAGGGGGAAGTAATTTTACAGTGGAGAAACCGGACCGACACTGCCTCAACCAGGTGATCAAGATTCATCAGTGATGAGTCATGTTGATAGTACATACCTTTAATATGATGTGGTGGGAATAGCGTTTTACCTCTGTGTCCTTGCTCTCCAAAACCCATAACCCTGGTCTAACCATGAGAAAACATCAACCTAATTCCAGTCAAGGAGCACCCTACAAAATACCTAACCAGCTTTCCTCAGTGCTCTCAAGTCATCAAAAACAAGGAAGGAAACTGAGAAAAGGCCACAGCCAAGAGGAGCCTGAAGACACATAATGACTGCATGTAATGTGGTATCCTAGATGTGATCCTTATGCAGAAAAAGGACATTAGGAAAAAACTAAGGAAATGGGAATACAGGAAGAACTCTAGTTAGTAATACTTAGCAACATTTGTTCATCAACTGTGAGAAACGTACAATACTAACATAAGAGGTTAAAACCGGGGAAACGGGCGTAGAGTACAGGGGAACGCTCTGTACTGCCTTCGCAATTTTTCTGATATCTGAAATGATTCTAAAATTAAGTTTACTTTTTTAAAAGAGGACAAAAAATAGCATCTGCTTTCCACATTTAAACTCACAGGAGGATCTATCTTGGAAGAGATTTCCTTTCGTCGTGCAGTTTACATACTATAATTCTAATTTTGTCTGGAAGGTGCAAAACACGGATTTTAAAATTATCCCCATGTAAATAATTCAGCCTGTGATTAGTGCCAAAACAGAATAAATTAAACCTGGTATAGATTACCAAGTTACTGTGAGCAAAATTCTGTATTTAAAAAAACACTTGGGATAAAGAAAATGCTGCTTAGTGAAATCCTGGAAGATATAATTCAAGCATCAACAGCATACACAACCCTATCTACTTAGCCAGGCTTGGTAATACAAATAGTGCTGGTGTCACCCATTGTTCTTTGAAAATTGATCCTCCTGCATAGGAGGAAAAAAATTTGCAGGGAAGAGTATACTCAGCTTCAAAGCTACATACCATAATAACATTTTCCTCACCACAAACAGGTCTACAGATTCCTCTAGGCACTGCTGGCAAGGGGCATATGGCATGCTACCCTAGGAAAATATGCAGCCCAGCTCCTATCTCTCCAGCCACACTGAATTTTCCTCTATTGCACGAAGACACTAAATTCTTATAACATACTTTTCTCACCTCATCACTTAATGAAATTATAACAAAATGTCTGACTATAATTGTTAATTGAAAGTCCATCTCCTATATATTAAGTGGAAAGCCTTGTGAGGACCACGTCTATTTTGTTGACCGCTATATTTCTAGAATTCCATGTACCTAAGTCCTGGCATATAGTAGACGCTCGATAAATACTTTTTGAATGAATGAAAGCATTTATCAATCATAGGCTATTGGAGTTTAGCTCAAGTCTACAGATAACCCCAAACAATTTCAAATTTATGGATTTCCTCCAGCAGTTCACTGAATGCATAAATCTGCTGTGAGTATCATCAAAATCTTGCCTTTGGCTCATTTGCTTTATTTGTGCAAAGTCAGGTTTATAGGTTCAAACAACTCAGTAATAGAAGACAGAATGATTAGCATTATCTTCGTGTTCAAAGTGTCAGAAAAAAACAGCAAAGAGTTACATGTAAGCTTCCAACTGCATTATCAATTTCTATGAAGAAACTTATTTTCTAGAGGCTAATTTCTCCTGGGCAGATTTTTTTAGGCTATGTTATTGCAAGTCTATGCTAATTCGCATAGCTACTTAAACTATGATCTTATGTTTTGAATAACTGCCTCCCAAATAACACTGCATCCAAATCAGAAAAGTCATAGTTTATACAAAACTTGGGGCTGGGCACAGTGGCTCACGCCTGTAATCCCAGCACTTTGGGAGGCTGAGGTGGGTGGATCGGAGGTTGGGAGTTCAAGACCAGCCTGGCCAACATGGTGAAACCCCGTCTCTTCTAAAAATACAAAAGTTAGCTGAGCATGGTGATGTACTCCTGTAATTCCAGCTACTCGGGAAGCAGAGGCATGATCATTGCTTGAACCGGGACCCAAGAGATGGAGGTTTCAGTGAGCCGAGATCGTGCCACTGCACTCCAGCCTGGGCTACAGAGTGAGAATCCATCCAGAAAAAAAAAAAAATAGAAAGAAAACTTGGAATCAGTATGCTGTCATGTAAAGAGTAAACAACAAGGCTCAGAAGACCCAATTCTAGTCATGGCTTAACTCATAACCGTTTGTCAGAAAACTTTTACAAAATACCTTTAACAGATGCTATCCTAGGAGGCATGCAGTTCAATTACTTAAGCAGTCTAAACCACGTCTCCAAATTTATATAAAAACATTAGATCAAATGTAGAATAAACATTTTCAACCACCATCCTGGCTACTCAAAATCCCATAAAACAACATAAAAGTTACTGGAAAACAATATAAATCTGTAGCATTGCTCTGTTGTTTAAGTATTGCTAGATAAAAAATCTGCATTCTAAACTTTCAGTGAGCCAGAAACTTTAAGGCTCCCTAAATATAGAAAGCATATAAGATAAGTTTAGGGAGATCAAAACCCAGAGAAAAGCCATAGACAATGATACGATGTGCAAGACAGGTGACAAGGACATACGTGTGGTTCAGAAGAAGTATAAACCCAGAGGTAATTGATACAAAGAGGTGTTTACAAAAGACAGGTAAGTGAGAAAGGAATCAAGGTGGTAAATAGATACTCTCATATTTTACTGTGGATATTGAGGTATTTCTTAAATATATTATTTTTGCAGTGAAGAGTCATTTTTGCAGTGAAGAGTCATTTTTGCATGTAAATAACACTGAAATAAACATGTTAATAGAACTGAAGGATGATGCATCCCAGATCTACTTTTTTCTTCTGGTAAAGGTAGAATCACAAGAAAAGTAGGAGCACATTTTCTAGCATCTAGGTCTACTTTAGGAGCGCAGCTTGCTGTTTCTTCAGCCCAACATCGAGAAGAGAGGCAGCAGATGAACTGACGGTATCCAGGAAGGTTGTAAAACACCACATTTCATAAAGATAACAGACCCTCAGTTCCCCAGATTCAACACATACCTCTGTTGTTCCTTCTTTACAATTAAACATCCTCTTTACAATCTGGACAGAATAATATGCAGACGTGCTTATTTACTCATAGTTTAATTAATGTCAATAGAGATCAGGAGAGTTTTTCAAGGAGAGACCTGGTATAAAGCAAAGCATGAAAACATTTATTGGTCCTCTACCCTCCACACCCCCATTTCAGAGCACTCTTCCCAAAGGCTAGCTACATTAGGCTCAGACAAGCCTCATTTCAATTAACCTCTTTCTCTGATTTTAGGTCATCCTACTCTGTGGCTCCCAGATAGCACCACAGAGGGACATCAGAAAAAGAAAAGCAGTATATGATTAGAAAAGTAAAAACTACAGAAAAGACAGGTGGCAGAGTTAGCACCCCAATGCATGGATTTATCCATTGAATATCAAAAGGTCACTTTTCCTAAGCTAGGATCACCAGAGCATTCTAAAACTCTCATCTACTACTGAAGCATTTCAAGTTCATACACTGATATAGGCTGGAAGAAGATTGAGCATAAACTGTCTTTGAGATGTCTTCAGCTTCCTGTTAAAGGGTAAGAACATCATGAGTTAAGGTTGGGATGATCGGTACCTTGCCCCTTTTGCCTTCATATCATGCGTGTAGCTATATTTCAACAATATTCCTGAGCTCATGGGAAATCAAAAATAAAAGGCAGGATTATAAATATAAAACATGTCTCTATGTTATAGTGATAGACCAGGGAGACAGATGGGGAATGAGGTCAAGCAAGGAGATGGTGTCTGAGAGACAGGACAGCAAAAGTGGAAAATTCAGGGAAAAGTAATTTCCAGCCCTGAAAAGAGCAGAGAAACAGACAAGTCTATTTCATCCTCACTAGCTCGCAACACGTTAGGGGCTGCAAAGCTCCAAAAGAAACCTTACCTTGATAAAGCTGCACACTCAAATCAGTGCAGCTAATATGGGGAAGAAGTTTTTGACTCATGCCTCCAGACTGAGATATTCCCTATTCCATTGAGACTTAGGAACTGATTTTACCCTGCATTAAATTGACCATGCAAGCCTGCTGCTTCACAAAAAGATATTCCTATGTGGTCACATTCTAAAAAAAAAAAAAAAAATTCCAAGCCCAAGGATTATGTTTTCCTACATAGCACCTACCA
Organism: Homo sapiens; assembly: GCF_000001405.40. Taxonomy (NCBI): domain Eukaryota; kingdom Metazoa; phylum Chordata; class Mammalia; order Primates; family Hominidae; genus Homo; species Homo sapiens. The sequence continues at coordinate 5,385,081 of NC_000003.12, read as the reverse complement.
AAGGCCTTGGCTCACCATGTGTGGGTGTGTACGCATACACACACCAGTGTGTATGTATATGCAAAAGAATAATGATTGGTGACTTCACGTTTTATTCCTCGCTCTAAGTCCATCCCTTCTAGGCAAAGGTAAGAGAAAGAGAAAAAATACTAAATAACAGCCTTCTGAGATTACCCTGTACCCTGCTAACCTCCTCAAGACATCAGAAGAAGGAGCTTACATCTTTTCTCCCTCTGTGTTTTCTTAATAGCAACAATGCCAATAAGTAGAACAGAAAGACACAGACAGCAGTGTGATTTATTACCTGTACTGACTTGAGCGGAGTCAGCAGACTGAGGAAGAAGTCAGTGGTATCTAAAGGTTTAAAACTATGACCTCGGGTGGCTGGCAAGATGGCCAAATAGGAAGTACTGCGGTCTGCAGCTCCCAGTGAGATCAATGCAGAAGGCGGGTGATTTCTGCATTTCCAACTGAGGTACCTAGCTCATCTCATTGGGACTGGTTAAAAACTAGGTACAGCCCATGGAGGGCAAGCCGAAGCAGGGTGGGGTGTCATCTCACCTTGGAAGCACAAGGGGCTGGGGAACTCCCTCCGATAGCCAAGGGAAGCCATGAGGGACTCTGCTTTTCCCACATTCTGTGCAACTCCCAGGCCAGGAAATTCTGTCAAGTGTCTACACCACCAGGGCCCTGGGTTTTAAGCACAAAACTGGGCGGCCATTTGGGCAGACACTGAGCTAGCTGCAGGAGTTTTTTTCATACCCCAGTAGCACCTGGAATGCCAGTGAAACAGAACTGTTCACTCCCCTGGAAAGAGGACTGAAGCCAGGGAGCCAAGTGGTCTTGCTCAGCAGATCTCACCCCCATGGAGCCCAGCAAGCTAAGATCCACTGGCTTGAGATTCTCGCTGCCAGCACAGCAGTCTGAAGTCAACCTAGGATGCTTGAGCTCGGTGGGGGGTGGGGCGTCCCCCATTACTGAGGTTTGAATAGGTGGTTTTCCCCTCACAGTGTAAACAAAGCCACTGGGAATTTCGAATGGGGTGGAGCTCACCGCAGCTCAGCAAAACTGCTGTAGCCAGACTGCCTCTCTAGATTCCTCCTCTCTGGGCAGGACATCTCTGAAAGAAAGGCAGCAGCCCCAGTCAGGGGCTTATAGATAAAACTCCCATCTCCCTGGGACACAGCACCTGGGCAGCTGTGGGCACAGCTTCAGCAGACTTAAATGTTCCTGCCTGCCAGCTCTGAAGAGAGCAGTGGGTCTCCCGACACAGTGCTCTAGCTCAGCTAAGTGACAGACTGCCTCCTCAGGTGCGTTCCTGACCCCCATGCCTCCTGACTCGAAGACACCTCCCAACAGGGGCTGACAGACACCTCATACAGGAGAGCTCCAGCTGGCATCTAGCCAGGCCCCTCTGGGACGAAGCTTCCAGAGGAAGGAACAGGCAGCAACCTCTTCTGTTCTGCAGCCTCCGCTGGAGATACCCAGGCAAACAGCGTCTGGAGGGGACCTCCAGAGAACTCCAGGAGACCTGCAGCAGAGGGGCATGTTAGAAGGAAAACTAACAGAAAGGAATAGGATCAACGTGAACAAAAAGGATGTCCACACAAAAACCCCATCCAAAGGTCACCAACATCAAAGAGCAAAGATAGACAAATCCACAAAGATGGGGAGAAACCAGTGCAAAAAGCCTGAAAATTCCAAAAGCCAGAATGCCTCGTCCTCCAAAGGATCACAACTCCTCACCAGCAAGGGAACAAAACTGGACAGAGAATGAGTTTCACAAATGGACAGAAGTAGGCTTCAGAAAGTGGGTAATAACAAACTCCTCCGAGCTAAAGGAGCATGTTCTAACCCAAGGCAAGGAAGCTAAGAATCTTGAAAAAAGGTTAGCGGAATTGCCAACTAGAATAATCAGTTAAGAGAAGAACACAAATGACCTGAGGGGGGTGAAAAACACAGCACGAGAACTTTGTGAAGCATACACAAGTATCAATAGCAGAATCAATCAAGCAGAAGAAAGGATGTCAGTGACTGAAGATCAACTTAATGAAATAAAGCATGAAGACAAGATTAGAGAAAAAAGAATGGAAAGGAATGAACAAAGCCTCCAAGAAATATGAGACTAGGAAAAGACCAAACCTACATTTGATTGGTGTACCTGAAAGTGACGGGGAGAATGGAACCAAGTTGGAAAACACTCTTCGGGATATTATCCAGGAAAACTTCCCCAGCCTAGCAAGACAGGCCAACATTGAAATTCAGGAAATATACAGAACACCAAAAGATACTCCTGGAGAAGAGCAACCCCAAGACACATAATTGTCAGATTCACCAAGGTTTTAGAAGGAAAAAATGTTAGGGCAGCCAGAGAGAGAAAAAAATCAGGTTACCCACAAAGGGGAGCACAACAGACTAACAGCAGATCTCTCTGCAGAAACCCTACAAGCCAGAAGAGAGTGGGGGCCAATATTCAAAATTCTTAAAGAATTTTCAACCTAGAATTTCATACCCAACCAAACTAAGCTTCATAAGTGAAGGAGAAATAAAATCCTTTACAGACAAGCAAATGCTAAGAGATTTTGTCACCACCAGGCCTGCCCTACAAAAGCTCCTGAAGGAAGCACTAAACATGGAAAGGAACAACTGGTACCAGCCACTGCAAAAACATACCAAATTGAAAACACCATCAACACTATGAAGAAACTGCATCAACTAACGGACAAAATAACCAGCTAGCATCATAATGACAGGATCGAATTCACACATAACAATAATAACCTTAAATGTAAATGGGCTAAATGCCCCATTTAAAAGACACGGACTGGCAAATTAGAAAAGAGTCAAACCCATTGGTGGGCTGTATTCAGGAGACCCAACTCACGTGCAAAGACACATATAGGCTCAAAATAAAGGGATAGAGGAGTATTTACAACAAAATGGAAAGCAAAAAAAAAAGGAGAGGTTACAATCCTAGTCCATGATAAAACAGACTTTAAACCAACAAAGTTCAAAAGAGACAAAGAAGGGCATTACTTAATGGTAAAGGGATCAGTGCAACAAGAGCTAACTATGCTAAATGTATATGCACCCAATACAGGAGCACAGATTCATAAAGCAAATTCTTAGAAACTTATGAAGAGACTTAGACTCCCACACAATAATAGTGGGAGATTTTAACACCCCAACTACCTGGAAACTGAATAACCTGCTCCTGAATGACTACTGGGTAACGTAATTAAGGCAGAAATAAAGAAGTTCTTTGAAACCAATGAGAACAAAGACACGATGTACCAGAATCTCTGGGACACAGCTAAAGCAATGTTTACAGGGAAATTTATAGCACTAAGTACCCACAAGAGAAAGCAGGAAAGATCTAAAATCGACACCCTAACATCAAAACTAAAAGAACTACAGAAGCAAGAGCAAACACATTCAAAAACTAGCAGAAGACAAGAAATAACTAAGACAAGAGCAGAACTGAAGGAGACAGAGACATGAAAAACCCTTCAAAAAAAAAATCAATGAATCCAGGAGCTGTTTTTAAAAGATTAACAAAATAGATAGATGACTAGCCAGACTAATAAAGAAGGAGAGAGAGAAGAATCAAACAGATGTGATAAAAAATGATAAAGAGGATATCACCACTGATCACACAGAAATACAAACTACTATCAGAGAATACTATAAACCCCTCTATGCAAATAAAATAGAAAATCTAGAAGAAATGGATACATTCCTGGACACATACACTCACCCAAGACTAAACCAGGAAGAAGCTGAATCCCTGAATAGACCAATAACAAGTTCTGAAATTGTGGCAGTAAATTAATAGCCTACCAACCAAAAAACATCCAGTACCAGACGAATTCACAGCCAAATTCTACCAGAGATATAAAGATGAGCTGGTAGCAGTCCTTCTGAAACTATTCAAAACAATAGAAAAAGAGGGAATCCTCCCTAACTCATTTTATGAGGCCAGCATCCTCCTGATAGCAAAACATGGCAGATATACAATAAAAAAAGAAAATTTTAGACCAATATCCCTGATGAATATCGATGCAAAAATCCTCAATAAAATACTGGTAAACCAAATCCACCAGCACATCAAAAAGTTATCCACCATGACCAAGTCGGCTTCATCCCTGGGATGCAAGTCTGGCTCAACATACACAAATCAATAAATGTAATCCATCACATAAACAGAACCAATGACAAAAACCACATGATAAGCTCAACAGATGCAGACAAGGCCTTTGACCAAATTCAACACCCCTTCATGCTAAAAACTCTCAATAAACTAGGTATTGATTGAATGTATCTCAAAATAATAAGAGCTATTTATGACAAATCCACAGCCAATATCATACTGAATGGGCAAAAACTGGAAGCATTCCCTTTGGAAAACCAGCACAAGACAAGGGTGCCCTCTCTCACCACTCCTATTCAGCAGAGTATTGGAAGTTCTGGCCAGGACAATCAGGCAAGAGAAAGAAATAAAGCGTATTCAAATAGAAAGAGAGGAACTCAAATTGTTTCTGTTTTCAGATGACATGATTGTATGTTTAGAAAACCCCATCGTCTCAGCCCAAAATCTCCTTAAGCTGATAAGCAACGTCAGCAAAGTCTCAGGATAGACAATGTGCAAAAATCACAAGCATTTCAGAGAGCCAAATCATGGTGAATTCCCATTCAGAATTACTAAAAAGAGAATAAAATACCTAGGAATCCAACTTACAAGGGATGTGAAGAACCTCTTCAAGAACTACAAACCACTGCTCAACGAAATAAGAGGACACAAAAACAAATGGAAGAACACTCCATGCTCATGGATAGGAAGAATCAATATTGTGAAAATGGCCATACTGCCCAAGGTAATTTATAGATTCAATGCTATCCCCATCAAGCTACCATTGACTTTCTTCACAGAATTTGAAAAAACTGCCTTAAATTTCATATGGAACCAAAAAAGAGCCTGCATAGCCAAGACAATCCTAAGCAAAAAGAACAAAGCTGGAGGCATCATGCTACCTGACTTCAAACTATACTGCAAGGCTACAGTAACCAAAACAGCATGGTACTGGTACCAAAACAGACATATAGACCAATGGAACAGAACAGAGCCTTCAGAAATAGCACCACATATCTACAACCAACTGATCTTTGACAAACCTGACAAAAACAAGCAATGGGGAAAGGATTCCTTATTTAATTAATGGTGTTGGGAAAACTGGCTAGCCATATGTGGAAAACTGAAACTGGACCCCTTCCTTACACCTTATATAAAAATTAACTCAAGATGGGTTAAAGACTTAAACATAACACCTAAAACCATAAAAACCCTAGAAAAAAACCTTGGCAATAACTTTCAGGACATAGGCATGAGCAAAGACTTCATGACTAAAACACCAAAAGCAACAAAAGCCAAAATTGACAATAGGGCCAAGTTAGACTAAAAAGCTTCTGCAAAGCAAAAGAAACTATCATCAGAGTGAGCAGGCAACCTGCAGAATAGGAGAAAATTTTTGCAATCTACCCATCTGACAAAGGGCTAATATCCAGAATCTACAAGGAACTTAAATTCACAAGAAAAAAAAACAACCCCATCAAAAAGTGGGAGAAGAAAATGAACAGACACTTCTCAAAAGAAGACATTTATGTGGCCAAGAAACATGAACAAGCACTCATCATCACTGGTCATTAGAGAAATGCAAATCAAAACCACAATGCGATACCGTCTCATGCCAGTTAGAATGGCGATCAATAGAAAGTCAGGAAACAGATCCTGGAGAGGATGTGGAGAAATAGGAATGCTTTCATACTTTTTTTGTGGGAGTGCAAATTAGTTCAACCATTGTGGAAGACAGTGTGGTGATTCCTCAAGGATCTAGAACCAGAAATACCATGTGACCCAGCAATCCCATTACTGGATACATACGCAAAGGATTATAAATCATTTATAAATTATATACATGCACACATATGTACATTGCAGCACTGTTTACAATAGCAAAGACTTGGAATCAACCCAAATGCTCATAATGACAGATTGGATAAAGAAAATGTGGCACATATACACCATGGAATACTCTGCAGCCATAAAAAAAGGATGAGTTCATGTCCTTTGCAGGGACATGGATGAAGCTGGAAACCATTATTCTCAGCAAACTAACGCGGGAACAGAAAACCAAACACCACCTGTTCTCACTGATAAGTGGGAGCTGAACAATGAGAACACATGGACACGGGAAGAGAACATCACATACCGGGGCCTGTTGGGGGATGGAGAACTAGGGGAAGGATAACACTAGCAGAAATCCCTAATGTGGATGACGGGTTGATGGGTGCAGCAAACCAGCATGGCATGTGTATACCTACGTAACAAACCTGCACATTAGGCACATGTATCCCAGAACTTAAAGTATAATTTAAAAAAAAGAAAGGAAAAAAACCAAAAAACCAACTACAGCCTCAACATCAACACCATCCTTTTGTTTATAACATAAATGATTTCCCTCAAGACCTCATTCTTGGTTTTGCATTACAGACTCCAGACCTTTGCTACAAGGTGGAGCTCATTAAACCATGCTTTGCTCCACTAGTAATTATGATTTTCTCATCTGGGCACCAACTCTCTTATAATAATGTCATTACCATAATGCAGGGTTCCTACAGATAGAGCAGCTAACAGCTTGAGAGTGCCCAGTGTGGCCTTGACAAAAACCTTTAACTCTGTTTGTTCCTATTTCTAGTATGTCCTGGTCCTCCCTCATTCCACTCTTGTGGTTGGTTCCATTCTCCATCTCTCCTTGTCTTGTCCCTGCTTCTCTTTTCTGTGTGGCTGACCATGGGAGTGGCTCTTGAATTTGCTACTTTTTTTCTGCAGATTTCTACCATCTCACTTTTGATTCCTTTCCCCCTCATACAAAAGATCCCCACTCTAAGCAATTTTTCCCAATAAATCATAACAACTACTATAATTAGTATAAGTGTATACAATTTATACAATTGAATGAGTGTTTTGTTTGTGCCTAGCACAAAGCTAAATGCTCTACGTACTTTCCCATTACCATTTAATTTTCACAACAGTCACATGGGCTCATTATTGTCCCTATTTGAAAGAAGAGAAAATCAAAGCTCGTAAATGTTTGTTTCTGGCCCAGGGTGTAAAGAAAAGAGAACCCAGGTCCGCTGTTGGTGGGAATGTAAATTGGAATAGCCTTTATGAAAAAAAGGGATGGAGGCTCCTCAAAAAAGTAAAAATAGTTCAGGTATGGTGGCTCATGCCTATAATCCCAGCACTTTGAGAAGCTGAGGCTGGTGGATCACTCAAGGACAGGAGTTCAAGACCAGCCTGGCCAACACAGTGAAACCCTGTCTCTACTAAAAATAAAAAATTAGCCGGGCATGGTGGTAGATGGCTGTAATACCAGCTACTCGGGAGGCCTAGGCCTGAGAATAGCTTGAACCTGTGAGCTGAGATCACACCACTGCCCTCCAGCCTGGGCAAGAAAGCAATACGATCACCAAAAAAAAAAAAATTAAAAACAGAACTAACATATGATGCAGCAAATCCACTTCTGGGTATACATTTTAAAAACTGTGGATGCTCTTCCTTTCTGTTTGTTAGTTTTCCTTCTAACAGTCAGACCCCTCAGCTGCAGGTCTGTTGGAATTTGCTGGAGATCCACTCCAGACCCTGTTTGCCTGGGTATCACCAGTGGAGGCTGCAAAACAGCAAATATTGCTGCCTGATCCTTCCTCTGGAAGCTTCATCCCAGAAGGGCACCTCCCTGTATGAGGTATCTGTCGGCCTCTATAGGGAGATGTCTCCCAGTCAGGCTACACGGGGGTCAGGGACCCACTTGAGGAGGCAGTCTGTCCATTCTCGGAGCTCAAACGCCATGCTGAGAGAACCACTGCTCTCTTCAGAGCTGTTAGACCAGGGATGTTTAAGTCTGCAGAAGCTGTCTGCTGCCTTTTGTTCTACTATGACCTACCCCCAGAGGTGGAATCTACAGAGGCAGTAGGCCTTGCTGAGCTGCAGTGGGCTCCGCCCAGTCAGGGCTTCCTGGCCACTTTGTTTACACTGTAAGCTACACAAGCCTCAGCAATGGCAGGTGCCCCTCCTCCACGTCAAGCTGCAGCATTGCAGGTGGATCTCAGACTGCTGCGCTAGCAGTGAGCAAGTCTCCATGGGCGTGGGACCCACTGAGCCAGGCAGTGGAGGTTATCTCCTGGCTTGCCGGTTGCTAAGACTGTGGGCAAAGCACAGTATTAGGTCAAGGGTGTACAGTTTCTCCAGGTACAGTCTGTCACGGCTTCCCATGGCTAGTAAAGGGAAATCCCCCGACCCCTTGCACTTCCCAGGTCAGGCGACACCCTGCCCTGCTTCAGCTCTCCCTTCATGGGCTGCACCTACTGTCCAACCAGTCCCAATGAGATGAACCAGGTACCTCAGTTGGAAATGCAAAAATCACTCGTCTTCTGCGTCAACCTCACTGACAACTGCAGACTGGAGCTGTTCCTATTCGGCCATCAACGAAAAGGACATCCACACCAAAACCCCATCTGTAGGTCACCAACATCAAAGACCAAAGGTAGATAAAACCACAAAGATGGGGACAAACCAGAGAAGCAGAGAAGCAGGAAAGCTGAAAATTCCAAAAAACAGAGCACCTCTTCTCCTCCGAAGGATCGCAGCTCCTCGCCAGCAAGGGGACAAAACTGGACGGAGAATGAGTTTGAAAAGTTGACAGAAGTAGGCTTCAGAAGGTCAGTAATAACAAACTTTTCTGAGCTAAAGGAGCAAGTTCTAACAAATTGCAAGCAAGCTGAAAACCTTGCAAAAAGGTTAGACAAATGGCTAACTAGAATAAACAGCACAGAGAAGATGTTAAATGACCTGACGGAGCTGAAAACCATGGCACAAGAGCTTTGTGACGCATGCACAAGCTTCAGTAGCCGATTTGATCAAGTGGAAGAAAGGATATCAGTGACTGAAGATCAACTTAATGAAATAAAGCATGAAGACAAGATTAGAGAGAAAAGAGTGAAAAGAAGAGAACAAAGCCTCCAAGATATATGGGACTATGTGAAAAGACCAAATCTACGTTTGACTGGAGTATCAGAAAGTGACAGGGAGAATGGAACCAAGTTAGAAAACACTCTTCAGGATATTAACCAGGAGAACGTCCCTAACCTAGCACGGCAGGCCAACTTTCAAATTCAAGAAATACAGAGAACACCACAAAGATATTCCTCAAGAAGAGCAACCCCAAGACACATAATCGTCAGATTCACCAAGGTTGAAATGAAGGAAAAAATGTTAAAAGCAGTCAAAGAGAAAGGTCGGGTTACCCACAAAGGGAAGCCCATCAGGCTAACAGCATCTCTCTGCAGAAACCCTAAAAGCCAGAAGAAAGTGGGGGCCAATATTCAACATTCTTAAAAGAATTTTCAATCAAGAATCTCATATCCAGCCAAACTAAACTTCATAAGTGAAGGACAAATAAAACCCTTTACAGACAAGCAAATGCTGAGAGATTTTGTCACCACCAGGCTTGCCTTACAAGAGCTGCTGAAGGAAGCACTAAATATGGTAAGGAACAACTGATACCAGCCACTGTAAAAACACACCAAATGGTAAAGATCATCAATGCTGTGAACAAACGGTATCAATTAATGGGCAAAATAACCAGCTAATATCATAAAGACAGGATCAAATTCAAACATAACAATATTAACCTTAAATGTAAATGGGCCAAATGCTCCAATTAAAAGACACAGACTGGCAAATAGGAAAAGAGTCAAGACCCATTGGCGTGCTGTATTCAGGAGACCCATCTCATGTGCAAAGATGTACATAGGCTCAAAATAAAAGGATGGAGGAAGATCTCCCAAGCAAATGGAAAGCAAAAAAATAATAATAATAAAAAAAGCAGGGGTTGCAATCCTAGTCTCTGATAAAACAGACTTTAAACCAACAAAGATCAAAAGAGACAAAGAAGGCCAGGTAATGGTAAAGGGATAAATTCAACAAGAAGAGCTAACTATCCTAAATATATATGCATCCAATACAGGAGCACCAAGATTCATAAAGCAAGTCCTAGAGACCTACAAAGAGACTTAGACTCCCACACAATAATAATGGGAGACTTTAACACCCCACTGTCAATATTAGACAGATCAATGAGACAGAAGGTTAAAAAGGATATCCAGGAATTGAACTCAGCTCTGAACCAAGCAGACCTAATAGACATCTACGGAACTCTCCACCCCAAATCAAGAGAATATACATTCTTCACAGCACCACATCGCACTTATTCTAAAATTGACCACATAATTGGTAGTAAAACACTCCTCAGCAAATGTAAAAGAACAGAAATCACAACAAACTGTCTCTCAAACCGCAGTGCAATCAAGCTAGAACTCAGGATTAAGAAACTCACTCAAAACCGCACAACTGCATGGAAACAGAACAACCTGCTCCTGAATGACTACTGGGTATATAACGAAATTAAGGCAGAAATAAAGATGTTCTTTGAAACCAATGAGAACAAAGACACAACGTACCAGAATCTCTGGGACACATTTAAAGCAGTGTGTAAAGGGAAATTTATAGCACTAAATGCCCACAAGAGAAGGCAGGAAAGATCTAAATTTGACACCCTAACATCACAATCAAAAGAACTAGAGAAGCAAGAGCAAACAAATTCAAAAGCTAGCAGAAGGCAAGAAATAACTAAGATCAGAGCAGAACTGAAAGAGATAGAGACACAGAAAACCCTTGAAAAAAAAAATCAATGAATCCAGGAGCCAGTTTTTTGAAGATCAACAAAATAGGTAGACTGCTAGCAAGACTAATAAAGAAGAAAAGAGAGAAGAATCAAATAGATGCAATAAAAAATGACAAAGGGGATATCACCACCAATCCCATAGAAATGCAAACTACCATCAGAGAATATTATAAACACCTCTATGCAAATAAACTAGAAAATACAGAAGAAATGGATAAATTCCTGGACACAAACACCCTCCCAAGACTAAACCAGGAAGAAGTTGAATCTCTGAATAGACCAATAAGAGCTTCTGAAATTGAGGCAATAATTAATAGCCTACCAACCAAAAAAAGTCCAGGACCAGATAGATTCACAGCCGAATTCTACCAGAGGTACAAAGACGAGCTGGTACCATTCCTTCAGAAACTATTCCAATCAATAGAAGAAGAGGGAATCCTCCCTAACTCACTTTATGAGGCTAGCATCATCCTGATAATAACAATAATAATAATAATAAAGCCTGGTAGAGACACAATTAAAAAAAAGAGAATTTTAGGCCAATATCCCTGATGAACGTCAATGGAAAAATCCTCAATAAAATACTGGCAAACTGAATGCAGCACCACATCAAACAGCGTATCCACCATGATCAATTCGACTTCCTACCTGAGATGGAAGGCTGGTTCAACGTACGCAAATCAATAAATGTAATCCATCACATAAACAGAAGCGAAGACAAAAACCACGCGATTATCACAATAGATGCAGAAAAGGCCTTCGACAATATTCAACAGCCCTTCATGCTAAAAACTCTGAATAATCTCAAAATAATAAGAGTTATTTATGACAAACCCACAGCCAATATCATACTGAATGGGCAAAAACTGGAAGCATTCCCTATGAAAACCAGCACAAGAAAGGATGCCCTCTCTCACCACTCCTATTCAACATAGTGTTGGAAGTTCTGGCTAGGGCAATAAGGCAAGAGAAAGAAATAAAGGGTATTCCATTAGGAAAAGAGGAAATCCAATTGTCTCTGTTTGCAGATGACATGATTGTACATTTAGAAAACCCCATTGTCTCAGCCCAAAATCTCCTTAAACTAATAAGCAACTTCAGCAGTCTTCAAGGAGAACTGCAAACAACTGCTCAGCGAAATAAGAGGACACAAACAAATGGAAGAACATTCCACGCTCATGGATAGGAAGAATCAATATTGTGAAAATGTCCAAACTGCCCAAAGTAATTTATAGATTCAATGCTATCCCCATCAAGCTACCACCGACTTTCACCACAGAATTGGAAAAACCTACTTTAAAGTTCATATGGAACTGAAAAAGAGCCCGCATTGCCAAGACAATCCTAAGCCAAAAGAATAAAGCTGGAGGCATCATGCTACCTCATTTCAAACTATACTACAAGGCTACAGTAACCAAAACAGCATAGTACTGGTACCAAAACAGATATATAGACCAATGGAACAGAACAGAGGCCTCAGAAATAGCACCACACATCTACAACCATCTGATCTTTGACAAACCTGACAAAAACAAGCAATGGGGAAAGGATTCCCTATTTAATAAATGGTGCTGAGAAAACTGGCTAGCCATATGTAGAAAACTGAAACTGGATCCCTTCCCTACACCTTATACAAAAATTAACTCAAGATGGATTAAAGACTTAAATGTCAGACCTAACACCATACAAACTCTGGAAGAAAAGCTAGGCAATAGCATTCAGGACATAGGCAAGAGCAAAGACTTCATGACTAAAACACCAAAAGCAATGGCAACAAAAGCCTAAATTGACAAATGGGATCTAATTAAACTAAAGAGCTTCTGCACAGCAAAAGAAACTATCATCAGAGTAAACAGGCAACCTACAGAATAGGAGAAAATTTTTGCAATCTACCCATCTGACAAAGGGTTAATATCCAGCATCTACAAGGAACTTAAACAAATTCACAAGAAAAAAACAACCCCATCAAAAAGTGGGCAAAGAATATGAACAGACACTTCTCAAAAGAAAACATTTCTGCAGCCAACAGACACATGAAAAAATGCTCATCATCACTGGTCATCAGAGAAATGCAAATCAAAACCACAATAAGATACCATCTTACACCAGTTAGAATGGCGATCATTAAAAAGTCAGGAAACAACAGATGCTGGAGAGGATGTGGAGAAATAGGAACACTTTTACACTGTTGATGGGACTGTAAACTAGTTCAACCATTGTGGAAGTCAGTGTGGCGATTCCTCAAGGATCTAGAATTAGAAATACCATTTGACCCAGCCAACCCATTACTGGGTATATACCCAAAGGATTATAAATCATGCTGCTATAAAGACACATGCACATGTATGTTTATTGCAGCACTATTCATAATAGCCAAGAGTTGGAACCAACCCAAATGTCCATCAATGATAGACTGGATAAAGAAAATGTGGCACATATACACCATGGAATATTATGCAGCCATGAAAAAGGATGAGTTCATGTCCTTTGCAGGGACATGGATGAAGCTGGAAACCATCATTCTCAGCAAACTATCACAAGGACAGAAAACCAAACACCGCACGTTCCCACTCACAGGTGGGAGGTGAACAACAAGAACACATGGACACAGGGAGGGTAATATCATACACTGGGGCCTGTCAAGGGTTAGGAGGCTGGTGGAGGGATAGCATTAGGAGAAATACCTAATGTAAATGATGAGTTGATGGGTGCAGCAAACCAACATGGCACATGTATACCTATGTAACAAACCTGCACTTTATGCACATGTACCCTAGAACTTAAATTAAAAAAAAAAACTGAAAACAGAATCAAAATTACAGGAAAGAAAAATCACTACCTCAAAGAGATATCTGCATCTCCGTGTTCATTTCAGGATTATTCACAATAGCAAAGCTATAAAAAATAACCTAAATGTTCATTAATAGATGAATGAATAAAGAAAAGGTGGTGTATATACATAATGAATAACGTGGTGTATATACACAAAAGAAGGAAATCCTGCTGTTTGCATATCATGGGTGAACATGGAGGACATTATACTAAGTGAAATAAGCAAGACACAGAAAAACATATTATATAATCTTACTTATATGTGAAATCTAAAATAAACTCACAGAAGTACCGAGTATGCTGGACACAGTGGCTCACGCCTATAATCCTAGCACTTTGGGAGGCCAAGGTGGGTGGATCCCTTGAGGCCAAGAGTTCCAGACCAGCCTGGCCAACATGAAAAAACCCCATCTCTACTAAAAATACAAAAATTAACCAAGCGTGGTCACGTGTACCGGTAATCCCAGCTACACTTTGGAGGCTGAGGCATGAGAATTGCTTAAACCCAGGAGGCGGAGGTAGCAGTAAGCTGAAATCGCACCACCGCATTCCAGCCTGGGCAACAAAGCAAGATTCTGCCTAAAAAAAAAAAAAGAAAAGAAAAGTACAGAATAGAATGGTGGTTGCCAGGGGATGGAGGGAGGGGGAAACAAGGACAGGATGCTCAAAGGGACCAAATTTTAGGTGTGCAGGATGAGTACGTTCTGGAGATCTACTACACAGCAGTGCCTGTAGCTGACAATACTGCCTTGTATACTTAAAATCTGCTAAAAGGGTGGACCTTATGTTCAGTGGTCTTTCCACAAAAACATATTATAATTATGTTACTATAACTTAAATCATAATAATAAAGTGAGTAGAAGGAAACTCTGGGAGATGATAGATGTGTTCACAGCCTTGATGGTGATAATGGTTTCATGGGCATTTAGTTATCCCCAGACTCATGGAGTTACGCACATAGGATACACAGCTTTTCATATGTCAACCATACCTCAACAATGTAGTTTAAAGGAAAAAGTCACTTTCCCAACATCTGTTTGACTCCAAGACCAGAGCTCTTCACCAATTCTACACTGCCCACAGCAGCCCTCAGTCCAGCATTTTGTGTGATTTTTTTTTTCCCTTTGCAACAATAACATTACATCAAAGGCATACCTAAAAGTGATGTAACTGCAATACTTTCGGAAGACTGTTTATATTAAACACACACAAATCAGAAAATAATTTTTAAGTGTGTCCTGATGTATGATTTTTTAAATGTATAAAAATCATGAATCGGGACACAAATAAATAAATAAGGTTAAGATGGGTAGAAAAATGGTGGTGGTACATAGTCAATCTTCAAGAATTATTTGTTCATTTATGTACAGCTTTCATGCAGAGTAGCTCATGTTCCACAATGTCAGTTTCATAATAATTTTCTTTTTACCAACACGATCGGTTTTATTTAGAGGCAGACACTATCTACTACTATGCGGCAGAATGGATACAGGACTCTGAAGGATACCAAAAATTTTCCCATTTAAAACACCTCATATTTCACCACTTGAAGGTAATATTCTTTGGGGCTGACCTCTTTTTTTTTTTTTTGAGATGGAGTCTTGCTATGTCACCCAGGTTTGAGTGCTATGGCGTCATCTCGGTTCACTGCAACCTCCGCCTCCCGAGTTCAAGCAATTCTCCTGCCTCAGCCTCCCAAGTAGCTGGGATTACAGTCATCTGCCACCATGCCCAGCTAATTTTTGTATTTTGGTAGAGATGGGGTTTCACCATGTTGGCCAGGCTGGTCTCAAACTCCTGACAGGTGATCCACCCACCTCAGCCTCCCAAAGTGCTGGGATTACTGGCATGAGCCATCACACTCAGCCAGGGCTGACCTCTTTTAAAATATATATTTATTCACAGGGAAAAATAACCTTAAGCCACTAATAGCTTAGTGTGAATAAATATTCCAAGTGCTTCCTGAGAAAAGAAACTAGAATAGAAGGAACAAGCACTGTTAGTTCTTTAGGCAGACAGACAGAGCCCTGATCTGGAGGAGGTTACCCAAAAAGGATGGTAGATGGGTCAAGACTAATTTTGGCCTGAATTCAGGGCCATTGTGTTGGCCTGAATCAGTGCTTCTTTCTAATGTGAAACAGCTATGCTGTGTAAGAATAGGTTTCATTGAAAAAAAAAAAAAGATGACAAGACAACAACAACAAAAAAACCACTGCTCATAATCCTAGCCTTTGGGGCCTACCTTGCCCTAATGAATACATACAAAAAATAAAACTGAAAGATTGCATAGAAAAATGCTATGCTTGATCAGTTGCAACTATCCAACAACTTGCTTTAAAAGTAGAAGCATCCAAGTATTTTTTGTTGTTGTTGAATCAAAGGAATGAGGTGCTTTCATCCTAATTGAAATTATACATCCTTTGCATTCATAAAACTTCGGTAACAATTTGAACTGCCAAGGTCTTTAATAATGAGATTATTTGCCTTTCAGAATTGACAGTTATGTTAAAAATCCCACTTCTTTCATCCAGAGTTGAGTGCTGCACATTCAACCTGAATCTTTTTACTAAACATATGGAGTATTTCATAAGTTTAAAAAGGAGAGAAAGCTTTCAAAAGTATTTTTTCCTCCTTAGCTTCCTAAAAAAGTCAGTCTATTTTTTAAAGTATCTAAAGAGTCTTATTTCACTATTTTTGAGTATAATGTTCAAAAATATTAGATAGCCGAAAGACTCAGAGAATCCAATGTGTTCTTTTCTGTTCCAGCTAACGTCAATTAACACCAAAGTTATTACAATCGTTTGAACTAAATCACTGAAACTAAACATTAAATTTAGACATCAACAAATTATGTAGATCAAGGTGGTTCCCCTTTAACAGCTCAACAATTTAAATTCCTTCCCAAATAGAGACAATACTTCTGGACAAGTCATTACACATTACACTTTAATGAGACGCCAAATCCTACTTTAAAATAAGTCTTGATGTACCTGCCATGCTCACTTCTTTGATAGAGGAAACTCATTCAAATGATGTATGAAAAAAACTTTAAAATGCTACCCAACCATAAAGTGATATAATTTATTGTAATATTCAAAGTAAACTTTTCATTTCTACTTTTAAAAATACCTAATTATAATGCCTTAGTGTCCCGATTTTATTGTGTGGTAGACTGCTTCATATTCTACAGTCTTACAGTGTCAAATAAACCTCTGCCTCTTCCTGACTTTTTTTATGAATTAATGTACATCCTGAATCTGTATTAGAATATGTTATCTTTTTGAGAAAATTGTCATACTTTATTAAAGTCTTAACTGCCAGGAAGCAAGGTAGAAAAGCATAAGTAGAGGACCCAAAGCTTTAAAAAAATTCTAAGAAGACAAATAATAGTTAACACTTATAAGTTGATCACTGCTTTCTGAGCTCTTTACACACTAAGTCCTTTAATCCTTACAATGACCCTGTAAGTGCTGTTTACACAGGAATTAAAGAAACTGAGGTACTGAGAGGTTAAATAACATCCTAAGTATCTTACCTTTAGTAACTTGCTGTGATAGTTAATACAGAATGTCAACTTGATTGGATTGAAGGATACAAAGTACTGATCCTGGGTGTGTCTGTGAGGGTGTTGTCAAAGGAGATTAACATTTGAGTCAGTGGGCTGGGAAAGGCAGACCCACCTTTAATCTGGGTGGATGCAACCTTAACCAGCTGCCAGTGTGGCTAGAATATGAGCAGGCAGAAAAATGTAAAGAGAGACTGGCCTAGCCTCCCAGCCTGCACCTTTCTTCCGTGCTGGATGCTTCCTGCTCTCAAACACCAGACTCCAAGTTCTTCAGTTTTAGAACTCGGACTGGCTCTCCTTGCTCCTCAGCCTGTAGACAGCCTATCATGGGACCTTGTGATCATGTGTGTTAGTACTTAATTAACTCACCTTTTTATATATATCTATTAGTTCTGTCCCTCTAGAGAACCCTAATACTCTTGGCTATGTCCATTTACACACTAGTAATGGGCATAGGCAAGTTATTAAAAGTAAGGTATTTAGGAATATGTATGTTTAGTAACATGTCCATTTACTTATTGATATGCTTAGTAATATGTCCATTTACTAATGTGTAAATGGACATAGGCAAGTCATTAAAGGTAAGATTGGATAATCAAGCAATGTTACCTATATTTAAAAATAGGGAAGACAACCGTGTTTGCCCTTGGTTCCTCTGTCAACAAACTCCAAGTCTGCAGAAACTTGGGGCTATTATATTCTTATTAAAAGTAACTTACTTGTCATTCTTAGATGCAAAGAAGGAATGACAGCAAGAGTCTTGCTTTGTTTTTATGAGGAGAGGACCCATGAACAGAAGCATCTCTTGAAAAGATTAAGGCTAGTTATTTACATTAATGGCAATTATATTAATAAATCATCCAATACCAATCTTTTATAAGCTACTTAGAAAATCAGTTTTGAGTTAGTGAGAGAGGAAGTAGCAAAGGCCTTCCATCAGAAAGAGGAAATGGGGGTGAATTTGTAAGCATGTGCATGTATATGGGAGTCAGGGCAGGGTCTTAAATAATCACAGATCAGTAGGAAGGCTTTGGGTTAGAGTAATAGGGTGTCATTTAGAAGGAGGACACAGAATAAAGAAAAAAAGATGACAAATGTAATTATGCTGCAGTTTGGCCATGGGCCCTGATGATAGCTAAATTCACCCAGGCAGACATGGGTGAGTTACACAGCGCATGGGAACTCTGTACTCTATAACCAAGAATTGTAAAAGAAAAGCCAAAGACAGTCATAGTTATGTGGATCTATCCGATTGTTTTACAGAGCCTTTGTGGAGTTGGTCTAAAGTTGTGATTTGAGGACACAGTCCTCTAGACTGCCAGGCCAGCCCTAGACTCCTGATACCTACAGCAAGGGGTTAGAGCCCAGCTAGGAAGGTAGAGGGGAGAGTCCACAAAAGACTCCTAAGACTACTCTCACTTCTGACACCAACCGCAAGTTCAGGGGTTTCTCGAAAACCACCCTCTGGTTCAATAATTCTCCAGGACTCACAAAACTCCCTGAAAACAATTATATACATGGTTATGGTTTATTATAGGGAAAGGATACAAATTAAAATCAGCCAAAGGAAGAGGGCAGAATCTGAGAGGGCACCAAACATGAAGCTTCCACTGTGCTCAGGACATTACCCTCTCGGCATCAATGTGTGACAATACGCATGAAATTGTCAGCCAGGGATGCTCATCTGAGTTTCTATGTTCAAAGTTTTTATTGGGGCTTGTATTCATTTCCTAAG
Source organism: Homo sapiens (assembly GCF_000001405.40). NCBI lineage: Eukaryota > Metazoa > Chordata > Mammalia > Primates > Hominidae > Homo > Homo sapiens. The sequence continues at coordinate 5,366,150 of NC_000003.12, read as the reverse complement.
GCTGCCATAAAAAAAAATACCATAAATTGGGTGGCTTAAAACAACTCAATGTTTTTGTCCCACTGCTCTAGAGGATGGACAACTGAAATCAACGTGTCAGCAGGGCCTCACTCCCTCTGAAACCTGTAGGGACAATCCCTCTTTGCCTCTTCTAGTTTCTGGTGTTTGTCTGCATTCCTCATCGCAGCTACATCCATTCCCATCTCTGCCTCCATCGCCACATGACATTCTCCTTCCACGTGTCTCTCTCCTCTTTTCATAAGGACACCAGTCATATTGGATGGTGGATGGCTTCATCTTAATGAATTACATCCACAATGACCCTATTTCCAAAGGTCACATTCCATGATACTGGAGTTTAAGACTTCAACATATCTTTTGGGGGGCGCATGATTCAACCCATAAAAGGCTTCCCTTACATAGGCTTGATTGACTGATGGCCCACATGGCTGATATCACTTTCCAGGTTGATAGTGTGGCCCTAAACCCCTACCCTAGATCACATGGTTAATCTTTCTGGTGTGTCCAGCCATTGTCCAAAACAAAGACACTCCTATCAGATATGACATAGGTTGCCTTCGAGAAGCTGAGGACAAAGTCCAGAGCTCTTTTTGAGCAAGGCAAATTCTTTACTACACAAAGCCTTAATAATTTTACACTGATTCATCTTAAAGCTGTGTTTTAGAATATCAGAAGTAAAAAAGATTATAATAGATATGTACAGATGATTAAGATGACAATATTACATATAGTATTCAGTGGCAGTGGTAGAAATGATGTCAGCTTTCTTAGTCAAATAAGCTTTAAAACTTTGATTAAAAATTCACTGATATTTTAAACAGAGTTCAGATATTTTGAGATACAAAAACTAGAAATAATTTTATTGTTTAAGTGACAAGAAAATAGCAGTGAAGTCAAGGAGAATATACATTTACATACATCATTTGAGAGAAAATCTTCCTAGTTATTTTTATAGCAATTACTGTGACATTTCCTATACAAAATTAAAACATGTAAACCCTCTTATATCCCAATTTCACAATCTTCATGATCACAAGTTGGTTTGAGGCCCTTAAGAAGCCATCCTGACCTCAATATCCTCTCCAATACGGCTCAATACCAAAGACTGCTCCACATTTGGAGTACCATCACTTTATCAAAAGAGGGGTGAACAGGTGTTGATGATGCTAGCACCTGTGATTGTCACAAATGTAATAAGAAGAAAATGTAAAGAATTTTAAAGTAGAGAAAATGCAAAACAGTGTCCTCAGAATTTAGGATCTAAAACAGCTGGTTATCTATTTGAACGAGTCTCTACAGAATGTTCCTTGAGAATGAGGAATATGTTGTTAAATGTACATGAGGCCAACCATATTCAAGCTGAATCCATAGAAACATGGTCAAATGGGGGAGGTGAAAAGCCCTCTCTTTAACTCAGGCAAAACAAATCTGACCAGGAGAAAAAAAAGAAAAAAAAAGCATTTTCCAGAAATTAAGTTTGGGGTTTCCTTCAGAAAGACAAATGAATCTAGAAATATTCTAATTCTCTATTCTTCCCTCTTCCCCCACTTAGTCCATTTGTGCAGTTATAAAAAATACTATAGACTCATTAATTTATAAAGAATAGAAGTTTACATCTCACACTTCTGGAGGCTGAGAAGTCAAAGATCCAGATGCCAACGTTTGGTGCCTGGCGAGGGCCCATTCTCTGTTTCCAAGATGGCGCCTTGTTGCTGTATGCTCAGGAAGGGATGAATTCTGTGTCCTCACATGGTGGAAGAGACGGAAGGGCAGGAACAGGTTCCCTTTGATCTTGAGCCCAGTTATAAAGGTGCTAGTCACATTTATGAGGGTGAAGCCCTAATAACTTAATCACCTCCCAAAGGACACACCTCTACAGATTGTTACATTGGGGATTAAGTTTCAACATGAATTTTGGAGGGGACAGCATTATTCAAACCGTAGCACCCATCCTGAACCTTATTGGGCCCTCTGAGCGTCAGACCACCTCACCTTGTTAACAAGTGCTGTCATTCTACACTGCTCAGGTTTCTAAGAAGAAACACAGGTCTAGCATTATAACCTGCTTCCAGTTCAGCAGACTGGAGATCTCCATGCAAGCAAGCTGAATCTTTTGAGAGTGAAAAATATAGAGAGTTAGAGTATGTCTTCAACTTGCTTCTGTTACTGGATCACTAAAATGCCCTTTGTCTGGCTGATTCTTCCCCTCTCAGATCTCAGTCACTCTAAGTACCTTCTCTGACTCATGAGTTAAGCCCCAACCCCATGACATTCTGAGCTCTTATCCTCCCTGTAGTATTCCATTCATCAGGCTTACCTATCTGCATCGCAACTGGCTGTTTTCTTATCTGCCTCTCCAGTAGACACCAACCTAGGTAAGGCAGAGGCTATACCTAACCTGATCCTCACTGTGTCTTCAGTATCTAATACCATGCTTGGCAGCACATAGTACTCAAGAGATGTCTGTAGAATGAAATAGAATAGAGCAACATGGAAAGAATTTCAATGGAACGAAATGGCATGGAGTGGAATGGAATGATGTAGTCCCATGACTCCCCCTCTTAGTAATTTTTCTATCTAGAACTGAACCCCTAACCTATGAAGACTACCTTGGGCAAAGAAGCAGTTTCAACAGAACAAGCTAACAACAATTAAGAAGTGTGATAGCAGACCTGAAGTGATATAATCAACCACGCAATATGGAAAGCAAACAAGCTCAAGAACAATATTGCTTCTACCAGAGATGGTTGGCTTTGAGCATCACTAAGGTAGACAAGCAATACAGTAGATCCCATGGTTTACTCAGGTAATTAGAGATGCATTTCCTTTATTCTACCTAAAAAAAAAAAAACTCTCTCTCAGATTCTGTCTACATATTAATACTTTCCAAGTTCACACCACTTAGCCCCCAATGCATTTTCACCTTCCCCAGAATACACCAGCTTGCTATGCCGTCTAGATGGAGAATTATTCCTGGATTTCTACAATTATTTATTGAGTTCCCAAGAGTTAGAGGGCCCATGCCACTGTAAGACAAAATTTAGGAGCACAGACTTGAGTTGGAGAGAAAAGGATTTGAATGCTGGTTCTAGCACTAACTAGCTCAGTGTCCCTAAGGTAATTATTGAATCTCTCTGCACCTCAGTTTTCTCATCTATAAAATGGGACTAGTAATTCTTACCTCACAGACAAGGCCTCAATTTATTGCTAGGATGTTTTGCAGCCCTGTTTATAGAGGTATGGGGAATAACAAGTGAAATGCAAAATGCCTCCCTCAAAGTTAGTACCCTGAAGTGCTAGCTAATATCACACCAAGGCGAATCAGATATGGATCCTGTCCTCAAGGAGCTTAAAGTCAAGAATGGAAAATTACGCATGCATACATAGGAAATAAACCACATAACACAATTGTCAGTGCAGACAAGGGACAACTGAGCCTGGAAAGAATCCAACTGTTTCTAGCTACTGCCTGGTAACTTCTCATTCGTCTTGTGAAACATTTCTGAGACATGTCATATTGAAAGAAAATAAAGACCAGTATGGGGGTTACTAAAATCAAAGGTTAAAATCCAAGAGGCCAAAATTAATACTTGTGAATCTCTACACTTATGCAAAGTTCTTCAAAATGCAGATGCCTGAGCACTATATGGCTCATTCTGATGTCCACAAATCAGCCGCAGATGCAGAAGTAGTAGCGTGACTATAGTTTGATTAAAATGTAATTTATTCTTATTGAGGGCCTTTTCTGTGCCTCACTCAGTGGAGAGCTCTCTACCCATCAGGATTATTACTCTCCTAATGAACCCAGTAGAGCATGAAGAGGAACCAGTTAAGTCAGGATGGTCAGCTTAGAAACGTGACGGCCTAATCCAGCTTGGGAACAACATTCCCAACTCTCCTGGAGGGAAGAGCTCTAATTAATGATAGCAGGGCACATTGCCTACTCCAAGATAAAGCTTGGCTTTAAACTCCAGCCCATGGAATCAGACTCTTTCAACTTTTTAATATACGGATTTTAAGACTTAGTTCAGCAAAAGAAGGAAGGATATTCTCTATTTCCATTCTCCTCAGCATGTAACTTCATATGCATTACTGAAATATAAGTAACACTTTTAATTGCATGACAAAAATATTCCATGCAGCAACTGCTCTTAATAATATACTTACCATTGCTCGTTTCATTACCTGATAATTACCAGATCATTAGAGCAATAATATATCCTTGTGGGATAAACTTATGGCAGTAATTTTAGAGAAAAGAATAGAAAATCTCTCTTAAAGTTGCCAGCCAGTAGGCAATGTGCAGAATTAGCTACTGAACTAAATGAATAGAAAAGTACTTTCTAAAAGTAAACAGCAGTATAATGACATTTATAGCTAATTCTGGATCATGAAATCAAAAAGAAAATGGCTGGAAGTTCCAACCCTCTCATTTTACAGGTAAGGACAATGAGGCAGTGAAGTTGAATTGCCCCCACAGGCTAATTGTGCCAATGGGAGCAGAGTCTGGACAAGAATGGGTCTCTCATCCCCAATTTCAAAGCTCCTCCTTTTTTATCACAGCATCCTCTAAATGCAATATACACTTGGTTTTTAAAATCCGGATGAACTGAAATATTTGGAGAATACAAAGAGCTAGTTAATTGGATTTTCGAGTTAAACTGAGTTCAGACCAAAAACTAATCTTTTCTAACTCACAATTTTTACAGGGGTTGAAGAGGCAAGATCTCAATGTCAAGTCTCTCTCACCCTGGTTCCAATTATCCAGCCCAGGACACATTTTCTCCAATCCACTTGGACAACTTCTCATCAGCCTACAGATGGCAGCTTAAGAACCCCTTCCTCGGCCAGGCCTTGTCTATCTTCAGACTAGGTGAACTGTTCAACTGTGTGGGACTATAGTTCTGTCTCCTGTGATAAAATCACATCATTATTTGTAACTAACCACTTCATATTTGTTTCTCCCCACTAGAGCATTAGTTCTCAAACTTAACCATATTTTATAATCGCCTGGATTGCTTGTGAAACTACACATCACTGGGCCTCACCCCTGGAGTTTCTGATTCAGGTCTGAAGTGGGTCCTGAGAATTTGTAGTCCTAACAAGTTCCCAAGTGGTGCTAGTGTTACAGACACCACACACCTTGAAAACCACTAAGCTTCTGGGCACAGTGGCTCACACCTGTAATCCCAGCACTCTGGGAGGCCGAGGCAGGTGGATCACCTGAGGTCAGGAGCTTGAGACCAGCCTGGCCTACATGGCAAAACCCCGCTTCTACTAAAAATACAAAAATTAGGCAGGCGTGGTGGCAGGTGCCTGTAATCCCAGCTACTCCAGAGGCTGAGGCAAGAGAATTGCTTTAAACCCAAGAGGCGGAGGTGGCGACAAGAGTGAACCTCCAGCTAGAAGGAAGGAAAGAAGAAAGAAAAAGAAAAGGAAAGGAAAGGAAAGGAAAGGAAAGGAAAGGAAAGGAAAGGAAAAGAAAAGAAAAGAAAAGAGAAAAGAAAAGTAAAGAAAAGAAAAGAAAGCACTAAGCTAGACTATGAAACTCATGAAGCAAGGGGCAAAGTCTGTCTTATTCATCATTCTATCCCTAGTGTCTAGCACAGTGCCTGGCACACAGTGAGTTCCCAAAAACTAGATGATAAATGAAAGATTTTCCTGAGACAAAAAGTTACAACTCCAAATATCTAGAGTATAACATTAAGGGAAGCTTGGTGAAGGATATACAGGAACCCTGTAGCATCTTTGCAATTTTTCTATAAATCTAAAGGTATTCCAAAAATAAAAGTTTTATACACACACACACATATATCCATGTTCAGGTATGACCTTAAGATATACCCTGCATGTTTCTTTTTTTAGTCAATTTCTAATAGAAGTTGATAGAAACTTTTTTTGCTCTTCTCCTCTTGCTGGGAAACACTATCTAGTCCTAGGTAATTGAGCATTCAGGGTTGGCTGGCTTCTAGTAAATAGCTGCATCAGGTTTTTACCTGTAATTGTAGCAGACCCCTCTGACTTCAGCTCCCCTGGACCAAATGAAGAACAGATGTGCACCTGGATGATGCTTTCCATTATTCAGTGGAAGTATCCTAATCATCAGTAAATTACTTCCTGAGTGCCCTTTGTGAGCATGCAGGGCCCGTCTTATACAAAAAGCTGAGATAGCAACTGCCTGTTGGAGGGATGATTTACAGGCTCTAGGAAACCTTCTTGGCCCCCAAATATTCCTTACTGCTTCTCCCCTCCAACCTGCCACTGGGCTAGGATTTCCAGCAGGAGAGAGACGACCTTTAGGTTTCAAGCCTTGCCTCTCCGTAAGTCCTCTGTTAAAATGCCAATGTAGTAGCACTTTCAAACATTATCCATCATTTTACCCCTAGATAGGATTCATTTATCAGACTGCTTCCCAGTTTGACAGCCAGCCACAGGAGCCACAAAAAAAGTCATGCTTGGGAAGGGAGCACGAAAGAGCAGACCTCTGGGTCTAGAACCTCAGGGCAGGGGACACACAGGAGAACTGGGTTTCTGGAAGAGAGGTTGGCCAAAGGTCTTGGAAGGGAAGGAAGGAAGCGGCTAAATGATGTACACCTGGGTGTTAGCCAGCCCTAGGATTCACTGTGCATTTTCAGTGGATCTCATTTACAGAAAAGATATGACCCTTGCCTTCAACCTAGACAAAAGCCAAAGTCCAAAGATAATAACACATAATACTAATTACAGAGTGCCAGAGTCTGTGCTGGATACTTAATACATTCATTCATTTAGCACTGTGAGGGAGCTATGGATCTGATTAGATCCTCCTAAGACCTTGGGTGATAGTTGTTATTGTCCCCTTTTATCACTAAGAAACTGAAGCTCAGAAATGTCCAAGCTCCCACATTAGGTAAGAGGCAGAGCTGGGGTTTATCACTATACACTATGTTCTTTTCTTTGCTATGCTACCTATAATGAAAAAGGGTCAGCATTAATAATGTGAATTATTATTGCATTGCTAATAATTAATGCTAATAATGCATAATTATTACCATTAATAATGATAATAATAAGGGGCATGGTTTGTCCAAACCTGCCTCTTCTGGCTGTAGTACCTTTGGAAAGTGAGTAGCCATTGCCGAGCCTAGAAAGCAGAGCACCTGCTCCAGGCTAAGCACAACTTCAATGTTTGCTACTATTAACATTACTATTATTTTCTTTTTATGCCAAAAATAACATTAAAAAAGAAGTTATTTTTAAATGTATTCCTGTTCTTGGAACAAAGGGTAGAGAGATAAGGAAGAAAAAGCTACTAAACTAGTATAAACAGGTAAAACAAAACCATTACAGAGGGTGATACATTCTAGGAAGGAAATATACAGGATACATGATGAACAGTTGTGGAGATTGGGAAAGGCATTTTAGGAAAGGTGATTAGGGCAGGTCTCTGAGGAGCTGATGTTTAGGTCAAAATGTGACTAAGTTGGTAGCCATACAAAGACTATAAGAAAGGGCATGCCAGGCAAAGGGATGTAAGCACAAAGGCCAAGAGGTGTAAAAGGGCTTGACTTGTTTGAGGAATAGAAGGAAGACATAGCTTGGCTTGAGCCCAGTGAGCCAGGAGAGTGATAGAGTGACAGTTGGAAAGGTAGAAGAAAGCCAGATGACGCAGCTTGCTTTGGGTCCTGGTGAAAAGTCTGAATATTATCCAAAACACAAAAGATAATGGAAAGTTTTAAGCAGGTAAGTGATATAATCTGATTTGATTTGGGTTTCATTTTTTAAATCCCTTTGGCTGTTCTGTGGAAAATGAAGTATGGCCAAGAATAAAAGTACAGAGATCAGTTACAGATGCTTGACAATAGTTAGGTGAAACATGGTGATGATGTTGACTAGAGAGGTGAAAGTGGAGATGATTAGATGGAAAAATTTGCAATACATTTAGGAGATAACCCAAAGGACTTGGATTCAGTGTGGCCCATGAGAGAAAAGGGAACATTCAGTTCTGGCCTAGCGCCTAGAATGCTGGTTAGAGAAACTAGGTCAGCATACAGAGAAAAGGAGGTTTGGGAAGAAAAATAAATTGTTGAGAATTTTGAGAAAAATAAAATGTTGAGAAATCATGTTGAATACTTCATACATGAGCAGGGGACAGGGTCAATGACACACACATGTCAATCATCAGCATTCAGATGTTCTTAAAGCCATGGGTCTGGGTAAGAAACCTAGACGGAGTATTGAGAGAGAGGTAAAAAGGGCTCAGGACAAAACCCAGAGGAGTCTCATCACTCCGAGGAAGGAAATCCAGTACAGAATAAGGAGGAATGACCCAAAGAAAATGGCATTGCAGAGATGAAGGCAGGAGGAAGGTCAAAGATGATGAGTAGTCACTACAATGAAGACAGAAAAGGACCTCTTAAACTTGACCACGTGAAGGTTGTTAAAAACAAGACCAGTTTTATTGGCTTGATGAAAACAAAAACCTAATTGGAGCAAGTTGTGGAGAGATTTGGAGATAAGGAACAAGAAACAGCAAGTGTGGGCAACACTTACACATTTTTTGCTGTGAAGGGAAGAAGAAGAGGAGGATATCAGCTGGAGGAGGATCTGGCACCTGAAGAGAGCTGTTTATTTATAAGAGATACCTAGCGCTCATTCATATATCTGGGTTAACAAGCCAGCAGACAGAAAAGAAGTGATACCAAAGAGGAAGAGACCTGCAGGAGCAAAGACCTTGCAAGGGCTAAAGGCTGGACCCTAAAGCATCGAAGAAGAGGTTGGCTTTTGACAGCAGCAGGGACACTCCTCCTAGGGAGCACAGGAAGACAGAGTAGGGGGTACAGCTGCAGATGAGTCTAGAGAGTAGGCAATGGGGCCATAAGGGGTTCCACTGGCCTTTCAAGTAGTCTCAGTTTTGGTATTCTTAAGATGAAATGACTGTATAAACTAGGATCTCCAAACAGAAACAGAAGTATTGTTTCTATCTATAGAATAACTTAAAGGTCAAATAATCCAAAGCCTTCCTTCCACAGAAAAGGTTGAAGCAGTTCAGTGACTGGCTGCTAGGACACAGCTTCTTAGTAACAACTATGAGGCTAGAAACCAGTCTATCAGGATCTCAACCTTTTTGCAAAACAACAAAATTTTCTACTGTCTACCTTGTACTTTCATAGACTGAGATTTTCTCTCAGTACATGGGCAAACAGATAACATACCATCTTATATTCCTTGATTTTTTTTTCCCCACCCATCTGCTGGCTATAGATAGTCACAGAGTTAACAGTTAACCTTTTTCCAAAAACTCACCCATGAAGCTGGGGGTGGAGCTTTTGGAGATAGATGGAAACAAAAGCAATGAACCCACACCAGGTCTCAATTAACATTTCCAGGCTACCACTGCAATAAAGGGCAATTTGGTGTTTGTGGAGCTGTTTCCATTAAAATACTCTCACAGCCTCTTCATATACTTCTTAATTACGATGCTGAAAACATTTGGCTTGAGGAAGAAAGTGCACTGGGAAACTTAAGTCAATATGAAAAAGAGGCAAAGTCTGACACCAGAAAAATGGTCTGTTGACTTAATTTGGGGACATTTTCCCCCTCAATAACGAAGCAGACCAACCTAGCAAGTTGACTAGCTGGAGCGAAAATGCAGAATTTGACACTTTTATACCCAGAGTTTCTTTTATTGTTAAAGCTTTTTCTTTTTATATACTTAGGGTGCACAAGTACAGGTTTCTTACATGCATATACTGCATCAATATTGTAACCAATAGGTAATTTTTCAACCCTCATCCCCCTCCCACCCTTCTACCTTTTGGAGTCTCCATTGTCATTTTTCCACTGTGTATGACCATGTGCACCCACTGTTTAGCTCCCACTTATAAGTGAGAACATGCCATACTCACAGTTGGACATGACATCTGGCATAGAGAAGAGCTCAAAAAACATTTGCTATTATGCTGAGTGAAAAAAAAAAAAAGCCAGATTCAAAAGGTTACTTCTTGTACAGATCTATTTATATAACATTCACAAAATGACAAAATTACAAAGATGGAGAAGTGATTTGAGATAGCCTGGGATTAGGGATGGAGACTGGGCTCCAACAACCGAAGAGTAGCTGAAGGCCATTCTCACATGGTGAGGGAAAAGTGCTGTACCTTGATTGTGATGGTGGTGATGTGGGTGATGTGAATCTATACATTTGATAAAATTGAATACAACTACACACACATGCACTCCCACAAAGTAGTCCATGTAAAAACTGGGAAAAGATTAATACATTCTGTAGATTGGACAAATGCCACTTTCTTAGTTTTGAAATTGTACTGTAGTTATGCCAGATGTTATACTGGGGGTGGGGAGAAATCACAAGCAGCCCAAAGCCCTGAGACTGGAAGGGACCCTTACCTTGGAGGTGGGTGAGAACTTACAGAGAGCTCTCACCCTTGCCCCTAGCCTCTGCACATGCACAGCTGTCATTCAGTGAAAAGGTCAGAAGAGGAGGGTAGAGAGGAAGCTGAAGAGCAATCCCACCCCCCCACCTCCCCCCGCCCCCCGCCCCAGCCAATCCACATCACACTTGCTCTGCAAAGAGCTCCAGGTAGAAACAGACTCAATGTGTCAGACTAGACTGGACCACACAGCCTCCTTGCCCAGGTAAAATGGATGCCAGGCGGAAGAATAACTCACAAACAGGATCTTTTATAATAAAAAGAGCAGTGGAAGCTTAGGAGAACACTTTAAATATATTGGAAATACAATTTATGAGCAAAAGTAGCCATGCCTAGGAGGACTGAAGCCACCTGTAATGCTAATTGTGTTGTTTTTCTGGATGCTAGTTTCCTACCACAATTCTGTGTGTAATTGCTCTTGTAATCTCAAATTTTTAGTTTTCACTAACTGGTTTGGAGAATCACATCTTTTTTCCCAACTTGTCTCTCATGATACTTCCTACAAAGTTCTAAGTAGACAGTCACTACACGCTTGCAGATTTATTTCATTTGTGTTAATGCATTCTTCATTACCATAAAAGTGTATTGATTATTGACAACCTTATTGAGTTACACTGTTCATACTTCCAGGGCCCATCTCCACACCAGAATAGCTTTACCTTTCAAAACATGCCCCTGTCCCAGGATTATGGACACTGAAAATATTCCAAGACTGAAATGAGGCTCCAAATTCCCTAGCCTATTCATCATGGAGCTTGTTCATTCATGGCTGACCTGTCTTTTGATACCTTATACCTTTGGACTTGGTTTGAACCTCCCATTCCTTTGGACTACTGTTTTTGTCTTTTTAGAGACAGGGTCTCACTTTTGCCCAGGCTGGACTCAAACTCCTGGGCACAAGCGATTCTCCTGCCTTAGCCTCCCAAGTAGCTGGGAATATACGCACGCACCACTACTCCTAGTTTAGATTATTTTTTAACCTGTCATTACGAGAGGCCTTCAACTCCTTCACCTATACATTTGCTTCATTTCCCCCTTGAATCTAAAACAAAGATAAAACGTCATCTGATGCCTTTATCCTCGTTCTAGGCAAAGAATTGGGGTTCAGTAGATTCTTATTAATAGACTGCCTCATGCCTCGCTGAGTGATCTCTTTCTTCTGCCCAATGATTGTGTCTTTATACATTTCTGTGGACAAGTTCTTGTCCTTTTTATATCCTTCATTTGGTTCTTCTTTAAAAATTAAGAAGTAAGACCAGACACAGTGGCTTGCACCTATAGTCCTAGCTACTCAGAAGGCTGAGGCAACAGGATCACTTGAGCTTAGGAGTTCAAGGTTACAGTAAGGTATGATCACACCACTGCACTCTTGCCTGGATAACAGAGCAAGACCCTGTCTCTTAAAAAATAATAAAAATAAGCAACCAAGTAAAAGATAAAAATTCTTCACCCTTTTTTTCTAGGTAGGTAGGAAATAATGTGGTCTAAGAGGTTGAAATGAAAAATTGGACTTCAAAGGAAAAAGAATAATCTGAAATTTAACTGGGTCAAAAAAATGTTAGATTAGCAGAAGCTGGGTAAAGTGTCTTCAGTTTTTCACTGTACTATTTTTTTCAATTTCTTGTGAGTCCATAATTATTTCATGATAAAGAGTTTTAAAGAATAACTGGATTTAATTATATGTATACATTGCCTGATTTCTTTTAACTGCTATCCTCATAAAAATTCTGTTAGCCATTTTAACCCTACCCATTTAACAACTGGGGAAACTGAGTCTGAAGTGTTTTGTGGTGGTTAATAGAGGAATCTCTGGAGCCAAAGTACCTGGGTTCTAATTCCACAGTCACTTAATAGCTATTTAACTGTAAGCAAGTGACTTTTTCTGTGCCTCAGTTTCCTCACCAATAAAATAGGAGATATCACATATTCACTTCAAGGCACAGGGGCTAGAATATTGTAATTAATAAATGCTAGCGGTTATTGCCGTAATCAAAATTCACCCAGAGAAGTGGCAGAGCTGAAATTCAAATGTAGGTCTGTCTAGTTCCTAAGACTTCCTCTTAATTACCATAAAATATTGCCTTCTGTGTGAGTGGCAAACAAAGAAATAAATGAACACAGCTATTCAATGCTTCATCCCCTCTCCCCTGTGCACACACACCCACCTTACATCTATGAATCTTAGCTCTGTATTAGTTTACTATGGCTGTTGTCACAACATAAACTGGGTGGCTGAAAAGAAACTTATTGTCTCTCAGTTCCAAAGTCCAGAAACCTAAAATCAAGAAGTGAGCGGGGGTCAGGCATGGTGGCTCATGCCTGTAATCCCAGCACTTTGGGAGGCCAAAGTGGGCAGATCACCTGAGGTCAGGAGTTCAAGCCCAGACTGACCAACATGAAAACCCCGTGTCTACTAAAAATGCAAAATTAGTTGGGTCTTGTGGCAGATGCCCATAATCCCAGCTACTCGGGAGGCTGAGGCAGGAGAATTGCTTGAACCCAGGAGGCAGAGGTTGCAGTGAGCCGAAACTGCACCATTGCACTTTAGCCTGGGTGACAGCAAGACTCTGTCTCAGAAAAAAAAAAAAAAAAAAAAAAGTAAGCAGGGCCCCTCTCCCTCTGAAACCTGTAGAGAAGAATCCTTCCCCAACTATTCTAGCTCCGGGTGGTGCTCATCAATCTTTGGTTTACAGCTGCATTACTTCAACCTCTGCCTCTGTCACCTTCATGTGGCTGCCTTCTGTCTGTGTCTCTCTCTCCTCTTCATATAAGGATACCAGTTATATAGGATTAAGGGGCCATCTTACTCCAGTAGGACCTCATCTTGACTCAACATCTTAATTACCTTTGCAAAGATCCTATTTCCAAATAAGGTCACATTCATAGGTACCAAGTACCAAGAGTTAAGACTTCAATATATCTTTTGGGGGGACACAATTCAACCCCAAATGCCTCCCAGGGGGTTTCTAAAGCCATCTCAGACCTCACCTACCCTCTTTCCAGTCAGCAAAAACACCTCCTGTACTGCCTGTGCTTCTGCCTCTGCCCAAGACAAGTTTTGGCAGTCCACTGTTTCTTAAAACTTGAGGAGAGTTAACAAGGACTTTGGGGACACAGATGGGCATTTCTCTTTAAGAGCAACTTCAGCTTTCTAGCAGAAAACCCACAAGCACAGGGGCCATTGTGACCTGTCGTCATTTCAAGCTGCTTAAGTGATCATTTATGGTAGGGAATAAAAATTATCACTGTTTTGAAACAGACACTAAGCTGTCTGCTCTAGGTAATAATACCCCCGGGCCAAGCCATTATTTTTCAGAAGCCCTAATGATCAGGATGGGCACGCTATTGTTTATCAAATTCTTTCCGTGTCACAGACAGTGTCTGAATAAGATGAATACTGTCTTCTTTGTCAGCTACAGTCAGTTTAACCAGTTCTTCTCACCTGCCCTCTACGCTGATCAGCCAATGGAAATCAAGTGCAGGATCAGGAACAATGTGGACACACGCCCTGCTCCTGGCTCCCATGGTCAAAAATGCAGGTGGCAGAGAAGCCAGGTTCAAATCCTGGCTCCATCACTTTCAGCCATGGGACACGTTGTTTAACATTCCCTGAGATTCTAGTTCCTCTGTCCCATGGACATGATAACTACCTCCTGGGGTTATTCTGTAGATGAAACACCATGGATGCGTGTGAAAGACTTAGCACAAGACTTTGCATATAATAAGAACCTAAGTTAACGTTTTATTTTAATTCATAGACATTCATAGACATTTAAAGGGAGAAATGAGATGTGGCCTCAGAGAGCTGGCTCATTTTCCTTTCTGAGACCTGCAGACAAACCATGTCCAGCCCATTTCTACTCTGCAGTTCAGAAACCAAAGCCAAACTTCTCACCTCAAGTGTCAGAGGCTACTGCTCCAGAGAGAAAGAAAAACACAACAAATAATTCCTTAACCTGCTACAGTTTACCAAGCACTTTCATTTCTTTGGAAGGTCACAACCTGAGAGGTAGAGGTAACTGTTACCTCCGTCATGAATCGGAGTACATAGTTAAGTGCTTGTGTGAGGGAAGCAGTGGGACATCATGGTTGCAAGACCACACTCTGGCACTAGAGATCATTTGGGTTCAAAGCCCAACTCCATCTCTGGCTTATTTAACCTCTTACTGACTTGACTTCCTCATCTATAAAATGGGAATGACCCGGCTGGGCATGGAGGCTCACGCCTGTAATCCTAGCAGTTTGGGAGGCCGAGGCAGGTGGATTGCCTGGGCTCAGGAGCTCGCGACCAGCCTGGGCAATACAGTAAAACCCTGTCTCTACCAAAAAAACACAAAAAAATTAGCCAAGCATGGCGGCATGTACCTGTAGTCCCAGCTATTCGGGAGACTGAAGCAGGGGAATTGCTTGAACTTGAGAGGTAGAGGTTGCAGTGAGCCAAGATCATGCCACTGCACTCCAGCCGGGTGACAGGGTGAGACTCTGTCTCAAAAAAAAAAAAAAAAAAAAAAAAGGGAATGACCCTAGTTCCAAGTCTACCTTGTAAAACGGGGATAGTGCCAATCTCATGGAGTTACTTGAGGACATTTTAAATGAGTTAATATGTGTGAAGAGATTGGAACATTGCATGGCTCATAGCAACTGCTATATAAGTGTTTGCTAAATAAATGTTAAAGGAACAAGTACATAGTGAGCTGTCAATAAATACTATTAATGGCTATTACTAGCTATTTCAATGAGCAGCAAACTATAGCCACAGAGCAAATCTGACCCTCTGTGCAAATAAAGTTTTATTGGAATATAGCCATATTTATTCATTTACATATTGTCTAAGGCTATGTTCCTGCTACAATGGCAGAGTTGGATGGGTTTAACAGAGACCCTATAGCCCATAAAACCTAAAATAGTTTCCACGTGACCCTTTAAGAAACAGTTTGCCAACATCTTATCTATCTCTTTGACCAGACCAGGAACTTTCAAGCCAAGGATTATACTTTGTATTTACTCACCATTGCAGTCCTAGCATCTAGCATAGGACCTAGCACTCAGCAGATATTCTAGAAATATTTGTTGACACAGTGAATAAATAACTGAAATCCCATTTTATAGGTCGGGCGCCATCATTCAGCCCTTGCCACATGTCAGATACCAAACCAAGTACTTTGTCCTAAGTTATTTAATCCTCAGATGCAGATTATCATCCCAACCTTAGGAGAAAACTGAAGTTGAGGAGTTAGAAAACTACTCAAAATGACACAACTGACATGTTTGAGCTGAAGCTCAAACCCTGGTTTTCTGACTCAAAATGCTACGTTCCTACTTTACTCCCTATCCAAGCATTTAACAATTTGAAAAAAAAAAAAAAAGAAAAATTCATAAATTTCTCTATGGCTGTGTCCTTCAAGCTACATTCTGCATTCCTTTCACTCCTGTGTTTCTCAATTTAAAAAAATAAATAGAAAACCTAGATCAACAATCCTATAAAATTCTGTCCAATTTGCTCAAAGCTCCAGAATTTAACTGGGCCCATATGTCACCAACCTTTCCAGTTGAAAAGTCACTATATTCCCACCACGAAGTGTCTTTTCAGAATACAAGATGCAAATTGATAAACAACTGGTTTGATCTTTTCTGGACTAGGTTAGGTACTAGTTATCTGACTTACTAGCTGGTATAGTATTCTATAGACTGTATGACAGTTATTGAGTTGGGACAACCTAACAGCATGAATGTTTCACATACCAGCAATCAAATTGGGCATATATTCTGATAAGTAATTTCCATTCTCTTTTATTTTTAGCACATATGTTTAACACAAATCTTGCCTACAGATACATTTGCCACCTGTACTGGACCTATTTTATGCTTCTCTCCAGATTTGCTCATCCTCGCCTCTCCCTCAGATCTTAGCTCCCTGCTCAGTGGAGAACCCTGATTGCCACTGCCTGCACCTCACCCACTAACACTGCCAGTTGTCTCAGCTCCCCACAGATAAAAACAGACAAAATTCCTGAGTCACGCTTACAGAAAAGTCTTCAGGGAGAACCACTTAACCAACATTAAACCATATGTGGCTTGTTATTGCAGCATACTCTAGCCTTAGCCTGACTAAATTTGTTAGCATTTCACCTTGTACCCTGCCAAGAGCTAAAGAATCTCTGACCTGAACTATCTCCACGAGGCCAACAGCAATATGCTGTGTCATGCTGAGTAATCATCCTCTGAGATACTACAGTGGTGGGTGGGAACAGTGACATTGTATCCTAGTAATAAGTAACCTGTCTTGTTTTGTAGCAACCCCACCCCTTAAATTAGGTTGACTTTCTCCAGAAGCAAACCTGAGGCAAGGATTCAAATGAATTCTTTCACCTGAGAAACACCAGTAATAGAGTGGAGAAATAAGATGGGGATGGGAAAGAAGTCAACCAAAGGTACACCATTGAGCAAGTTAGTGCTGAGGACGACTGGAGGTCAAGTTCACTGAAGAGCTCTGGGAGACAGTGTAGACTGTGCCCCAGGCTTATCCCAATCAAGAAGCAGAGGAGATGGGGACACTTATTCACCAAATCTCCACCTGTCATTAGAAGTTTGCTTCCAGAGCATGATCCAGCTCTTCCAACTTGCCCTACACACACAGGTTGAGCAGACACAACCACCATCACCCTCCAGCAGAGAGTGCAGATGTTCACAGGTGTACTATACAGTCAGTGCCAAAAGCATGTGTGCAAAGTACATAGCACATCAGCTATTCCTTCTACGTCCAAATTATGCCACCGCCAAACTCAAACCCATGTTAACCACCCATGAAGTTTCTTTCGTGACTAGTAATGCTCCCCTTCTCCCCAGGCAAGAGGTATTAGGTCTATTTAAAAATCTTCTCAACAGCTCTAATTTTATCACAAATATAGTCACTAGGATGTTGATGGAGCCCCACCTACCATCTAAAGGTCCATTTAGTACCATTCACCTCACTTCCCAGTGTGAGTCATTCTTGGTGGGTGGAACATCCCAGTGTCCTGGCTGCTCATGAAATGCCTCATAACTAATTCCTTCAAGCCCAGAGTTCTTGGCATAATGTGGTCTTCCACGGAGCCAAGACATCCTAGGAAGTAGCTATTCCTTAGAAGCGGCATGTACACAATCAGCAGCACTTCATGTCTGCTTTTGAGAGTTCTCTCTAAGTCTCCATTTCAGTAATAAACTGCCTAATCCTGCCCATTTTCCCCACGGAGAGATGATTACGTCTGTCACCCTTGTTATGGTTGGGGGTGGCTCATTCTCATTAAAATGACCTCATCACTGCTTCTCTTTCATAGGCCACTGCAATTATTTACTGAGTCTCTGTGGGTGGAAAGGTAAACTGGAGATTGCTCTAGCTCTCTTCCCTACTTGTGAGTAAATCTAGGAAGCTTCTGGAGAAGCATAGGAAACTAAGGGTCAAGTTGTAGCTCTCTTCTGGCTTAGCACTGAACTGATATGTTGAATGGGGCAGGGGGGAGGGCTGAAATATCAGCACCCACTTCCGTTTTAATGAGACAACTGAACTCCAGTAACTCTACAAGCTCAGCCCACCAGCTACGGATGTCACAGAAGTGGTTTTTTGTTTTTTTTTTTTTTTTTTTGCCATTGTGGATATTCAAAGTAACATTAAGATGGCTTCCATATTTTTTAACTAGATGATTAAAACAAAAAAAATGATTATTTGAAGGAATAGGGGCATGTCTGATTAAGCCCCAGTGCTGAAAATAACCATCAATTCACTGATGATGAATCAGCCTATTTTGGAGAGTCACATGAATGACAGTACAAAAATGGGCACTGATATACAGTTTCATTTTAGAAAAAAATTGTCTTTTTGTTTTTAAAAAAAAAGGATGGAGTTGTTTCAGGATAAAATTAACTAGAAACTGATAATTTAATTTAATTGTGCCACATACAGAAAGAAAGGGTTTGTGGGGAAGAAGGAAAACAATGAATAAGCTGCTACCAGGCAGAGATGGCAGGGCAAGTTTCCAAGCTACATGAGCTATGTTTCCTTGACAGCTTTGGATTATAAAGAAAACAATTGCCCAGACATAAACTAATATTCAGAAACAGCTGCCAGATAATATGTTGTCTTTCCAATGGTTAGAGTATCTCATGAAAAGCCCTCTTCACAGAGCCACTCTCCTCCAGTGTTGATTTACAGAGCACTATTCCCAGGAAAAGCAGTTAGCTTAATTTACAGTAACCCGGGGCTAACCAAGGAAGTGGAGTCAGCAGAGAGCTGGCAAGAGAGTGAAAGATCAGCTCAGGTATTCGTGCAAATCTTTCTTCATTTATTAACTACCAGACATCAAAGTGACCAGATTCCCAGCTACTTATAAGTGCTTTGTCCCTCTATCAAAATGACATTAGCCATCCAAATCCTAGATGACTGAACGTAGCCCTGTCCATGCTGAAAGCAACTTGAAACATCGCCTAACCAATCCTTTGATTTTTAAGTGAGAAGATGGATGCTCAGATGATCAAGTCACCATCCAAGATCAGCCAATCACTTTGCAGTCAAGAAGAACCAGCACTAGTGCCTTATCTCCAGCCCAGGACTCTTTCCACCACTTCCCACAGGCAAAGAACTCTAGATTTTGTGAGAGTGTTACTAACCACAGACTGGGTGATCTGTGTAAGGCATATTGAGCCACATCTTCAACCATGTCTTTTGGGTACGTTAGGTACATCCAAAAGCTTCTTTAATAACACTCAGATCATCAAGATGCTCTTGGGTACACTGAAGAAGTAACTTATTAAGCAAAGTCCCTGTGAAATAAACATCCATTGATCTTTTTCTCTTCACAGTCATAATATACGATGCGACCAAGGGAGAGTCTGGCCACTCTCCAGGAGAAAATAAGTAGTTTCAGATCTCACCTATTTAAGAACAGAGACAGGGACCAAATGATCTCCAAATACTTCTCCTGGTTCTAAGATCCTTTAAGTTGAATTTATGTATTTCAAGGGTTGAATCATAGTCACACTCCTGTAATATAAACTCATAAAAATTTTACCATCTATCTGTCTAGCTCATCACTGAGTACAAAGCATCCTCACTTATATAAACTCATTATCTTATAATAACCCTGTGTGGCTGGAGAGTTAAGAATAACATGTTTTGAACAATCCTGGGAGGGAGAAAAGCATAAAGATTAAGAAAGTCAAGTCAGAGAGGCTCAGATTTAAGCTTCAGCTCTCTCCCGGCCAGCGACCTGATTAGCTCCTCTAGGCCTTGAGTTTTCATCAGTAGGGTGGGCATCATTACTGCAAGATGTAATAAGAATCGGTGATTAATGACGCACTCTAGGTCCTGAGTCCCACTTCAGAGTTTTTCCTATCTCCATATTGCCTTCTTTTCTTTTATATATATATATTTTTTTTTACCTTCAACTTTTAAATTCAGGGGTACATGTCCAGGATGTGCGGGTTTGTTACACAGGTGTACCATGGTGGTTTGCTGCATAGATCATCCCATGTCCTAGGTATTAAGCCCAGCATCCATTAGCTATCCTTCCTGATGCTCTCCCTCCCTCTCCACCCCAAAAGGCCCTAGTGTGTGTTGTTCCCCGCTGTGTTCATGTGTTCTCATCATTCAGCTCCCACTTGTGAGAACATGCAGTGTTTCGTTTTCTGTTCCTGCATTAATTTGCTGAGGATAACAGCTTCCAGCTCCATTCATGTCCCTGCAAAGGCCATGATTTTGTTCCTTTTTATGGTTGCATAGTATTCCATGCTTTAGTATCTGGGGCCTTGCTGACCCTGCCAGGACTAGCCAATTCTTAGAAAATATGTTTTGCAAATGCAAACCAACCAATCCAGAGCCTATAACCCAACCACCTCCTTTACCACTCCAGCCTACTCTATCCACCTGCCCCGATTTCCCCAGGGTCATATATCACACAACTAGGGGCAGCCCCTCTTCCCCCAGAGCCTGTAGGAATTATTCAGCTAGCCAATCCTGAGGCTCCTTACCCTGCCTCACCCATTTCTTCATGCAGAAACCACAATATAATCCCCTTCTCCCAGTTCCCCCTCTGCCTCCTGACCAATGCTGGTGCTTCCCTGTGTGGCCCTGCATGGTGTGTTGTGCTGTTCCCTTCCCCAGGGGAACTGTAACAAACTATCTTTTTTTTCTTTTAGACAGCATCTCACTCTGTCACCCAGGCTAGAGTGCAGTGGCACGATCTCGGCTCACTGCAACTTTTGCCTCCCGGGTTCAGGCTATTCTCGTGCCTCAGCCTCCCTAGTAGTTGGGATTACAGGTGTGTGCCACCATGTCCAGCCAATTTTTTGTAATTTTTAGTTGAGACGGGGTTTCGCCATGTTGGCCAGACTGGTCTCAAACTCCTGGCCTCATGTGATCCACCAGCCTCGGCCTCCCAAAGTGCTGGGATTATAGGTGTGAGCCACCATGCCCCGCCCAAACTATATCTTTTCAATGACAGTTACCTCCTGATCTGTTGGCCTAACTGTATCTCACATTTTCTATTAATACAGTGTATTTTAAAGCAATCCTACCACATTTTACCCACCCCAATCTCCCAACCCAGCACTAGCACAGGAGAAGTCACATAGCAAGCAGTAAGTGACTGCAATGGTTAATTTTGTATGTCAACTTGGCTGGGCCAAGGTGCCCAGATATTTGGTCAAACATTGTCCTGGATGTTTCTATGAAGGTGTTTTTTGAATAAGAGTCACATGTAAATCCACAGACTTTGAGTAAAGCAGGTTGTCCTCCATGATGTGGGTGGGCCTCGACCATCAGTTGAAGGTTTTAATAGAACAAAGGCTGACCTCCCCCAGAGTCTGAGAAATTCTGCCAGCAGATGACCTTTGAGCTTGAACTGAAATTCTCCCCTGGGTCTTCCACCTGCCAGCCTATCCTGCAGGTTTTGGACTTACACCTCCACAATTTCATGATCCAGTTCCTTAAAAATACACACACACACACACACAAACACACACACTGCTGATTCTGTTGCTCTGGCAAACCCTAACACAGAGACTATGAGATTAAATGCACAAAGTCACATCTGCTATGAACAAGAATGCTTGTAGCAGCACTCTTCATAATAGGCAAAAAACAGAAACAGCCCAAATGGTCATTCACAGTGGTCTGAAAAATTTACAATATACTCATTCAACAGAATGCCAGAGACTGATGAAAAGAAATGAACTACAAGTACAGTCAACAAGGATGACACTCGTAAATACAATATTGAATGAGGCAAAACATATTTGTGGTCACAGTCACCCTGGGAAGAGAAACAGGGGAGGTGAGGACCCAAGGGGACTTCTGTAGTACTCCCAGCAACATTCTCTTTCTTGATCTGGGAGTTGGTTACACATGTGAACCAATCACTGAAACATTTATTGAGCTGTACATAGCAGATCTGTGCCGTTTCCTGTGTTTATGTTATACTTCACTGAAGTTTACAAAGATAGAAAAATAAATAAAACTGACATTTGTTAAAAGTCATTCATTATTCCAATCAGCAGCCTGTTTCTAAGATACAGTGGGCATTCACGTACATGAAACCCGCAATTCAGAAGAGAAAGGTTAAACTTGAAATTACCTATGTCTAAATGTATTATATTTCCTAAATTGAATTTTGAAAAACATGCTACAGCCTCTGTGTCAGATCTCTGGAAACACTGAGAAAATTGGGGCTTGGAGCCTCAGAATCACCCCAGTAGGTATATAAAGTACTCTTTTATTTCCATAAGGGACAGCGTCCCATGGAGAACCTGGCAAAATAATCCTCTCAGCATGCAGGTTTTTTTAGAAAACAGAATTTCCCCACTGTAATTATCTCAAGTGTCTCTGGGCAAGTAGAATAAATTAGACATGCAATCTATACTGACACTTCAAGAACTACAAGTCATTCTCTGAACTTTTAAAAGAGGCAAATAAAAAAAAAAGCTAAAAAAGAACAGACAATAAGAGCAAGTGCACTTGAACTTGGGAGGCACAGGGGAGTAGTTTGTTTGTTAAGAAGTGGACTCACTCAGGGGATGTTGCTGGTTTTGTATGCTGGAGATGCAGCATTCAGATGCTGAATGGGAAAGGGGAACTGGAAGCCCAGGAGATCTGTCAGTGCCGGCAGCTCTTTCATCAGGCCTTGGTGTCTATGGGGCCCGGGTTATGTTTAGCACATAGAACAGCAAATGCTTGGTGCTGGCCATGCCTTCAGGATCAACTCTACACTTCCTGAGCTGGCTGCAGGTCCCTTCCTGCTCCCTCCTTCCTCCCCCTTCAAATGGTCTGTGCTATAGCACCTGCACTTTTGGAAGTTATAGGAATGGACCAAGAATATTTACTCTCTTACCTTTGGTCACCCTGTCCGTTACTTGGAAAATGATAACAATGACATGACAAACTCCTGCTCAACCCTAAAGACCCAACTCTTCCAAAAAGCTTTTCCTAACATTCCCCACCCCAGTCTGTGTCAAGCACCCCAGTACATCCTCTGCTGCCCACCCCTCTCTCTGCCACCCCTCGCCCTTGCCTTCCTCTCCTCTCTCTCTACTCTATTGCCAGAAGGTAGGGTTGGGGAGAGATGGGGCGAAAAGAGGCAGAGATGGATTGGGGACAGAAGGGAGGCACACTCCTACACTGGTATTAAAAATCCTAGGGAAGGACTATGATTGGTCAAGCTTGGCTACATTCCTTGACTTTAGACCAATTAACCACCACTGTGGGTGTGAGATATTATGCCCAGAGTCAGGGTCTCTTGCAGGAAGAAAAGGGAAGAAAGGTGCTGAAATAACACACACAACTATTAATACAAATGTTAAAAAATCTTGGTATTCTTAGTAAATTTCAAGGCTACTCCATAAAGGACAAGCTCCAGGTGGGCCAAATTTACCCATATCCATGTGTCTTGCACAAAACTAAACATTGCTCCTAAACCCCTAAGTCTACAGACTCTAAGCTCACGAGACGAAGATGTATCTGTCTTGTTCACTCCCGTATCCCCAGCACATAGCACAGTGCTTGATGGAGCGGGGGAGCTTACTAAACATCTGAGCAAAGAAATAAATAAATGAATGAATAATTCCTTATGGTAACTTGAGAATTTCTTTTCACTAAAAACAGATCTCTCCCCTCACACACATCCCTATACCTCACCCAGGCAAAGGTACACAGAACTCAATGCCTTGCCTTTTATCAGCCAACCACCACTCCCAGAAATAATACATTCTTGAGGTTACCTACAGCATGCTAAGATACTAGAAGCCTCCTACTGTACCGGCAGCTCCTTCTGATTTTTTCCTGAACCAGTTTCCACAAGAAACTTCAAGTGCCTGAACTAAGAGGCCCCTAAACAAAGGAGCCAGCCCTGGAGTCCACCTGCCACAGCTGGCCTAACTCAGGATGAACGAAGCTCATAACCATGAAAGAATCTCCCCTCTGGTATCTTCCTAACTGCGTATCTGACCCAGGCTCAGGAAGCAGATGAAAGTCAGAACAAGATCATTAGGAACCAAATCTCTACAAATGAGGCTGCTTATGGCAGATTTAAAAAGCAACACAGTGCCCTTGTTCTGGGCATGGTGTCGTTTCTCACATGGCTCCTTTGGAAGTGGCCTCTGATGGTACAGCAGACATCAGAGGGATCACATGAAACCGAACAAAACATTAGCACCAGGCAAGTATGGTTCGTCATGGATCTTTTAAACCCTAGTGTGCAGAGAACAGAGAATTGGCTCCAATCAGCCAGACACACACACACACACACACACACACACGCGCGCACACACACACGCACAATCTTTTTTTAGTTGGATGAAACCATCTTTCAACTCACCTCAGGGCTTTCATAGTCAAAACCCAGGCAAAAACACAACTAAAACCACAACACGTGGGCCAACACCAGTTCTGTTTGACACACTTGCTCAGCCCTTGCCAGTTCTGATCTCAGAATACTCAGAGTTACTGCCACCCCTTGCCTCAGTTTCCACATTATACAATTAACTATACGCTCACCATAAGTCCCAGGAGCTGCAGGACAAACCAAAAAGGACAGCTCAATCAAGCACTTTGTACTCCTCAGCAAAAACACAGTGGGTGAATTCATGGGCTCAGGCAAGTCAGGGAAGGTTGTTGAGCCTCACTCTCCTTGTCTATGAAATAAGAATAATGCCTCCTACTTCTCAGGAGAACACTAAAGATTAAATTTTAAAAACAGGTGAAGACTTCATCCAGGGCAGTGCTTGACCTTCAGCAGCAAAAATATTGGTTCCCTGTGTATCCAAATCAAAATAAAGAAACCCAGAACTTCATATTTTACTGCTGCCTTTTGATGTCAATGCATCCGCATAATGAATGCCCTGAGAAGCAGCACTTCACAAGCTGGAAAGCCAGACCCTCCATACAGACCCTACACATGAGATCCCACCCCCATACCAACCACATAGTTGCTAAAACCAGACCACAGATACCAGGAACCCCATCAGACAAAGAGAAGCCACAGAAGTCATTGATTGATAGGGAGGTTGGAGCAAAGCAATGAAGTATCAGGGGGAAAGCAAGCAAGACAGTTGAAGAAAGAGTCCAGCAGACAAGGAGAATAGGAGGAAAGCGGATGGGATGTAGTGACACAAATTTGTGATAGTCCAGATCCTCCGAAGAGCAGACACCAAGATGGGATTAAGCCGCAAGGATGTGATTCGGGGAGGAGCTATGTGGAAGGAAAGCAGGAAGGGCTGTCTGGCTTCTCAGTCTGAGTGATGGAGAGAGGAAAGAAAGGTTGGATGAAAGCGTCCCAGCCTGCTGTGTGGTCTAAGGGGGGTTCAACATGGTTGGGGACCAGCTGCATGAGAACTAGGTCTTCCAGTCATGTTCTCACTGCCTTCACTTCCATAAATCAGCATTTTGTACCAATATGGAAGAGCTTCTCACTCCAGTGATTACACACTAGCCTGGCCTGAGAGCGTAGGTCAAGCTATGAACAAAATGTCATGTGAGAGAATACACCACACTAGGGTGCCTCGTTAGCAGGGTTAGAGACCCACGATGCTTGTTCCAAATGGAATGGTTAGGGGAGGTTCAATAACACTAGAGAGGACTGGAGAAAAAGGCCAAGGAACCAGGGTTTGCTCCTGTCTTTGTTTAGGTCCCCCAGAGGCAGAGCCTGAGACAAGGGCTTGCTGGCAGTTACTCTGAAAGACAAACCAAGGAAGCGGGGTGTAGGGGTGAGGCAAGGGAGACAGGAGAGGAGAAGCTAATATAAGGGGCACTGCTGAGTTCTCAAGAGGCAATGGGAACTCAATTTCCTACAGGACTTGAGAAAACAAAGAATGCATTCCAGAAATGTCCCCTGGAGGACCAGAGTCTGAAGTATTTATCCACTGCCTCTTCTCCCATTGTTTGAGAGCTGTCC
Organism: Homo sapiens; assembly: GCF_000001405.40. Lineage (NCBI taxonomy): Eukaryota > Metazoa > Chordata > Mammalia > Primates > Hominidae > Homo > Homo sapiens. Next base: position 5,340,280 of record NC_000003.12, on the reverse strand, counting down.
CTTGGGGAGTTAATGCCCCTAATCTTCCAGACTGGGAAGGCCTCCAGTGCTAGAGAAAGCCAGCCCTTGGGGTGAGACATTGCCAGTGGCGAGTAAGTCAGAGCCCGCATGAAACCGTCCGGCACAGCTGCAGGGAAAACCAGGGCCGGGCACAGAGTTGAAATGTGTGCACAGGCGGCACACACATTTGCTACAGCTCCAAAGGTCAATTGCAACTGAGTGACTTTAACCTCAACATCTTGTTTCTGTTCTCATCTTAAACACTCCCCATCACCCCAGGTCCCACCAGTGTAAAGCCCTGCTATCATGTTGCGTATAACACTTTAGTTAGATGCGACCTCCCACTCTGACCCCAAAGCATTTGCTCAATAAAGGAGAACTATTCGATTTCGCTGGAGTCCCCTCAGAGGAGAACTCAAAGTGTGTGTGAGCAGTAGATATAGCAAAGCCAGGCCCTCTTGTCTACAAAGTCCTTTTCCTCCCAATAATTCCCACCCAGAGGGCACACTCACCTTGACAAAGGATGGACTCACAGAAACGATGCATGAAGTGGGACAGGTGTACGAGTCCTGGCTAATACCAGGGGATCTCTTTGCTACTGTAGATAAAGTGGGTTTCTGCTTGACTGAGAAGCTAAGAGCAATCACAAACACGCCTACTTTTGTGTCTCTGTTCTGCGCCTGCAACATTGCGGGTGGATTTCAGACTGGTGAGAAGAGCCCACCTTCACCTGCTGTCAATACCTAATCATTTCAGCCAGCGGCCTGCAAACTGTGGGATCTGAATCACCTGGAGAGCTAATCAAGTTCAGCGAGACCTCTGCTTGTTGAGGTGGGAAAGCACCTGCTTGCCTTTACCAAGTTCCCCAGGAGATTCTGAGGCCCACCAAAGTTCAAGAACCTGATTGAAGCCTGGACCAGAGCTTCTCAAACTTTACTGGGCATGTGATTTGCCTGGGGATCTTGTTAAACTACAGATTGATTCAGCAGTCTGCTGTGGGGCCTGCGAGGCTGCAGTTCTGATGGGCTCCCAGGTGATGCCAATACTGCTGGTCCACAGACCATACTTTAAGTAGCAAGGGCCTGTGATACAGAACATAATGGCCTCAAGATGGCTTCACAGGGGATGTACAGGAGTGGCTTTGCTGGGGACTCTTCTTACCTGGTCTCTTAGGTCCCCACAGAGCATATGCACTAGTGATATTTTAAGTGTAAGTAGAGAAAAAATAATTTTTTCTATGCTGCTGCCTTTTTTTTGGAAAATTTGTAACTTTTTTTAACCCAACATATCCAAATATTGTCATTTCAACACGTAATCAATACAAAAGTTATTCATGGCCAGGCGGGGTGGCTCACACCTGTAATCCCAGCACTTTGGGAGGCTGGGGCAGGAGGATTACATTAGGTCAGGAGTTTGAGGTCAGCCTGGCCAACACAGTGAAACCCTGTCTCTCCTAAAAATACAAAAATTAGCCAGACACAGTGGTGAACACCTGTAATCCTAGCAGCTCAGGAGGCTGAGGTGGGAGAATCACTTGAACCAGACAGGCAGAGGTTGCTGTGAGCCGAGATCGCACTGCTGCACTCCAGCCTGAGCAACAGAACGAGACTCCATCTCAAAAAAAAAAGTTATTCATGAAATATATTTTGTTCAAGCATGACGCACCTCTCGTTCTTGGGCTAAAGCCTGCACTAAAAAGCAGCACTCTCAGCCAAAGAGAGAAAAAGTACCCAAGAGTTCCTGGATGTTTTTCCTATACTCTGGCTTTACAGTGGGTTCCTGGGGAGTCTAGGATGACCAACAATCCCACTTTTCCCAGGGCTGTCCAAGTTTCAGCACTGAAAGGCTTTTATTCCAGGAAACACTTCAGTCCCAAGCAAACCAGAGTAGCTGGTCACCCTTAAAAGTCTGTTCCTGCAAAGATCATTCCCCCAGCCCTAATGAGGATCTTTATCTGTGGGTGGGGAAGCAGGTTCATTCCCGCAAGGGATGGGTGGAATGGGTCCCCTATCAAGATCTAAACATTTCAGTAGAGGATTTGTAGCACCAGAGTCCCCAAGAATTAGCACAGCCTCTCTCCACTCCCATCCTCCCTGGTTCTGATACTGAGTCTGAGCCTCGGCTTATCTCACCGGGTTTCATGGGCATTATAAGAATGTGAAAGTACTTTGAAAACTGTGAGATACTGAGTAAACATGCTACCCATACTTACTGAGCAACTACTATGTGCCAAGTTCTCAGCTAAGGGCTTTACGTTTATTATAAGATTTACTCCTTACAACCACCCTAAAAGGCAGGTACTATGATTGTCCCCATTTTGCAGATATGAAAACTGTAGCTCGGAGAAGTTAAATAACTTGCCTACGATCACACATCTTCAGTCTCTGAAGTGACTTGCACCCAGGTCTCTGACTCTAAAGCCCATGAAAACAACAAGATAAAGTTTGGGAAGAGACATAAATGGCAAGACTAATCTCCACACTGCAAGAAATGTGCTCTAAAAGTGAGGTTCTTGACCAAAAGAAAAACAAAACCAAACAAACCAAAAAACAGCAAAAATTTTCAGCAGAGTTTGAGATAAGAGGATACATTATTGTTTCCAAACAGCTTGGCAACATGGTCCAGCTGAACATCATTGTTTAATTGGTAGACTACCACACCGCCAGACACCACTCAGGTTACAAAAAGAAAAACCTTATCTACAAGGCTGGGAAAATGGATGGCAAACAAGGTTCACCAAAGAAAACTAGCCAATAATGAAGCCTAGAGAAAGGACAGAGAAAGGGCATCCCAGCTAAATGTAAAGCTTCCTGTGTAATGAGTACAAAAAGAGATACGAAATTCATTGTAGGAAATTTACCTTAGCCTCAAGGCAGGTAAGGGACCTGGAAAAAGATATAAAAGAGAGAGAAACAAAATTATTAAAACATGTAAATAATGAAAGCATCCACTAAAGAGGATAGAGTCTGCCTTATGCACAAACCTAAAAATAAATTCCTACCTGGTAGGATTTAAAGGGGTCTTTTAAAGGGGATTTTTTATAAAATATCTCTCTCATCCATATGAAATTCCCTTAATAAGAGACTGTCTAAGGCTGAAGATGCCAATTCTCTAGGGAAGAAGAATGACAGGGATTAAAATTATTTCAAAGTGTTTCAATCAGTGGTCACTAATTCCAAATCTACAGGAGTCATGCAGGTAAAGTAAATGAGTAAAGCAGTAGAATGTGGGGTGACAATAGGGAGTGGTGGGGATTGCAGCTAGCTAAAGGGTCCATGCATCCCCTGAATGGAGAGCAACTACTCAGCTCTACTCATTGTTGCCAGGCAGGAAGGTGGGCCTTGAGTGACCCCATACTTTTTTTTAAAGCCGAAATGTCTAGATGTTCATTTTTGAGTGAAGATCTGTACTAAACTTCTTGACAACAACAACAAAAAAATGTTTTAACACAGTGCACGCTAACACCAGACCAAACAAATACCATCAAACAGTAACTGATGGCTTGTGGACTCCAGTTGGAAAATTCTGATTTAAATTGATCATGCGAGGTCATTTCGTGAGCTTTGAGAGAGAGTTAATGTAAAGGAGTTGGGGGTGCCCATGCAGAAAATGAGTACAGAAAGGGATTGCTGATTGTGCAGAGACACTTCACCATGTTGCAATTTGCTCTTCGGGTGCTTCAAAGAGGATAAGATGGATCTTAAAAGAAAAGATTTGCTGGAGCCTTCATCACTCTATTCTTAGCAGAGTTCTGGCTCTCAGGAAGAGCACTGCGTGTGCGTGTGTGTGTGTGTGTGTGTGTGCGTGTGTGTGTGTGCGCGCGCGCACGCTTGCGTGCCCGCCCACACATGATTTAATACTTATATTTTATTTCAGTTTTAAAAAGTAAAATAAAAATATGGGGTAAAATATGAATATCTTAAGCCACATCTTTTGGAATTCACAGGTAACCCCAATTCAATTTACGGTGCATAGGGCTGAAATTAATTGCAAGTAATTTGTTCATCTAAATCCATTTGTTCACAAGAAAACTATTCCCTGGGGAAGTTTTAGCAGCTTTCTTCCACCTAGGCCAAAGGCAGCAGCCCAGTCTAACTCTTACAACTCAGGTGCTTCCAATCAGACAGCATCTAGAAACTTACACAAGACCTTCTGTACGAGGTGTGTCTGGTGTTTTTGAAACAAGGAGCCACTTCACTGTGGCCTGATGCTCCAGATTATTTGCATGCGCAGCAACAGAATCAAGACTTCTGTGTATACATGTTTTTGTTCAACAACTTCTTTATTCCCACACATGGTTAATGACTGTCGGAGAGCTTGGGCATAGTCTCAGGGGTCACTGACTACTTGCTGAGGCCAGCACAGTGTACACAGAGCTGACAGTGGCTGCCAGCAAAGTGCAATGATGTGCTCCAGGTACCATGTTTTAAGAGACACTTTGACAAACATCAGAAGGAAAGCTGCCTGCATGATGGAGAGATTGGGACCATGGCAAAAGAAGAAGAAACAACAATCATGAGAGACTTGAGCACTGCCTTTAAGACTTGATTTGTCACAAGAGAGGGAATCCAGAAAGCATCATTAAAACCAACGAATGGAGGATAATTTATTCTACGAGCATTTATTTAGTGCCTGCCATGTAACAGGATGGTGCTAGAGGCAAAGAACTCAATGGTAAGCTTTGCAAGAGGTAGGCTAAAATCCAAGAAACAAATTTTGTGTTGAGTAACTTCAATAACCAAAATAACTGTTTTCAAATAGTCTCCCTGCCACGTTTGGTACCTCAAATACTTGAAAATTTCTGAGGAAAGAAGCTGAGATTACCAAAGTGAGGAATAAAAAGGTCAGGAGTTCGAGACCAGCCTAGCCAACATGGTGAACCCCTGTCTCTGCTAAAAATACAAAATTAGCCGGGTGTGGTGGTACACGCCTGTAATCCCAGCTACTCGGGAGGCCGAGGCAGGAGAATTGCTTGAACCCAGGAGGTAGACGTTGCAATGAGCCAAGATCACACTACTACACTCCAGCCTGGGTGACCGAGAGAGACCCTGTCTCTAAAAAAAAAAAAAAAAAAAAAAGAGAGAAATGAAAATGCCAACTTGTTTCTGCCTTAGGACCTTTGCACATACTGTTCCCTCTATCTGGAGTACGCTTGCCCTGATCTTCAGGTGGATGGAGCCCTCTAATCATCCACTCAATCATATTACCCTGCTTAATTTTGTTTGTGCTACTCATCAGAGATGCAATACTACTTTATGTATGTATCAGTTATGTGTGTTAATTTCTTCCTTCACATATGAGTTCCTGGGAGCAGAGACCTTATTTGGCCTTGTTCACCACCACATCTGGGGGCCAAAGTATTCAGCACATGGGAGGCACCTGAACTCCTGTTGATTGTTGAACAAACATAATACTGAAAAACTGTGTAATAAATTGTTAATAGTGGAAAAAAAAACTTCATTGAGATTTTTTGTGTGTATGTACGACCTGCAATCAATGTACAAAACCAGACTTGGTTGAAGACAGAGCTAATTTTCTTGGTGTTGATACATCTCCACTTGAAAGGTGAACAGACCACAGAAGCTACATTGAAATCTCCCGTTGCTGAGATGAGTTCTCACGCTCTACTTACAGACTGGATTCTATAGATTTCAATTACCAAAAGTGTCACCACAAGTAATAGTCACTTAAATTCCTTGGCTTTGTAGAAGTTGAAACCCAAGTCAGGTAAACCAGAAACATCTTCACTGATCTGGTTATGTTTTGAACCATTTCCATAGAAACTGGAAGAGTTCCCAGCAGAGGCTTTCTAACTTCCAGCAATTATCTTAAGGTCTCATTAGCATTTTAAATGTCACCTGTATAAATTAAAACTGTTTACAGCTCACAATGTCATTATTTTGTGATTCACAGTTTCACCCTAGCTAGCCAAAACCTGCTTCTTGGAAAATCCCATTCAAAATGTTCTCTCTGCTGGATTAGGCCTGGCACAATCTCCCTCTTGGTTCAAAAATCTGGCTTCCCTTTTTATTCTTCACTTTGGTAATCTCAGCTTCTTTCCTCAGAACATTTCAAGTATTTGAGGTATCAAACTTGGCAGGGAAACTATTTGAAAACAGTTATTTTGGTTATTTAAGTTACTCAACACAATCTACAGCTGGCTTAAAGAAAACAAATGGAGATTTCTGTATATAGTTGTACATCAGTCAAGCATCACTCATCATCATCTATCTTGTTGGTCTATGAGTTACTTTCCTAGATATTGGAGGATGGGATAATGATTTTTGGAGGTCACCTCTACTCCTGGTCATCTTTCACCAAAAACAATACAGTCAGGTGCTGCAAAACAACATTATAGTGAACAATGGACTGCATGTATGACAGTGGTCTCATAAGATTATGATACCCTGTTTTTACTTTACAGTTTCCCTGGTTGGCTATATTTAGAGACACACATACTTAACCATTGTGTTACCATGGCCTACAGTATTCAGTACAACAGCATGCCATACAGGTTTGCAGCCTAGGAGCAATAGGCTATACCAGCTAGCCTAGATGTGTAATAGGCTGCACGACTGGGTTTTTGTAAGTACATTTCATGATGTTCACACAGTGACAAAATTGCCTAATGACACATTTCTTGGCACATATCCCCACCATTAAGTGATGCATGCTTATATTTAAAAACAACTTCTTTTTACACATACTTTATGCCACCTGCATTTGACTGATTTACCTTGTTTTGCTCCAGAATTATAGCGTACAGAGGCATTTTATGCTTCTGCAGTCAAAGGCAGCTGGGTGTAAAAGAAAACGCCTAGGCTATGAAGTCATTTGAGTAGCAATTTCCATCTTTGCTCCTCTACTTACAGCTCTGGGACCTGAAGCAAGTCCCTGCACCTCTATTTGCCTCAGCTGTCTCATGCCCATTGTCTCATAGGGAATCATCAGGGAACAAAGTAGAGACCCTGCCCTCAGTCCGGCTGGAGCTCAGACCTACATAGGAGACACTTGAGGGTCAGCTACAAATATGCCACCCAGCAGCCACAGTGATCTTTCTAAACTTCCCGTCAGATTGTGCCATTCCCTGTTCATAACCCTCTAAAGCAGAGGTCGGCAAACCTTTTCTAAAAGGGCAGGATCGCAAATATTTTTGGTATTGTGGGCCAAAACTCCATCACAACTACTCAAGTCCACCCTTGTAGCATGCAAGTAGCCCTCGACAGCTGGAAACAAATGTTTGGAAACAAATGGGCTTGGCTGTGTTCCTGTAAGACAGCCCACCTCCCCAGCCCCATCTCTCACCCATCCGCCCCTCCTCCAACATGCTTCAGCCACATAGGCCCTTGCTTTCAGTTTCTGGAATATTCCAACCTTGCTCTCTCTCACCCTGTGGATTTTGCCCTAGCCATTCCTCTTGCGTGGGCAGTTCTGCTTCCAGATCAGCACCTGCCCGGCTCCCTCTTGACAACCATCTCTCAGCTTAACATCATCAACTCAGGGGTTTCTATGACTGCCAACCAGCCAGCCACAGTGAAACAGACCTCCCTGCTTTATTTTCTCACAGTATTTATCACCCTCTTATAAGTAGTACTAAGGAGTCAGTTCCCACAATAACAGTTTTGGATGCAGACTGCTGATATTTTCTCAGTCTTATGTAAACTTGAGCAAACTTAGTTTTTTTTTAAATTGTGGTAAAGTTCACATAACATAAAACTTGCCACCTTAACCATTTGTAAGCGTACAGTTCAGTGGCATTAAGCATATTCATATTGTTGTGCAACCAGCACTACTATTCACCTCCAGAGCTCTTCATCTTGCAGAACTGAAACTCTGTGCCTGTAAAGCAATAACTCTCATTCCTCCCTCTCCACCTGCAGGCCCTGGCAACATCTTATCAATTTTTAACATTAACTCTCACCATGCAAAATCAGATTTTAAAAGTCAATTTCTTCTAACCAACTTTCCTACCAGATTTCCACCCCTGAGCCCATTTGATGTAGAGATTCTGGAACCACCGCTGATATTGGATATTTTATCTAATTTTTATCTTTTTTCTCTGTGTAATGTAAGCTCCCTGCAAACAGGAACCTTTTTTCCTACCTGAACAGCAAACATCTGGCACAGGCTAACACAGAGTGGGTGCTCCACAAATATTAAGTTAGTAAACAAATAAGTGAATAAATGACTGTGTTCTTAGTTGGGTTAGACTTTGAGCTACCTCCCAGCAGCTTTGGATAAGTAAAGATGAAAAAGAATTTCAGCTCATGGCAACAGCAGAAAGCAGGAATTCCTTGAAAGCCTGGGTAGTGTCTAAATTGTATCAGCAGCTCCAAGTACTATCAATAGCAGATAAAGAAAGAAAGGAAGTAAAGAGGAGAAGAAGGGGGCAGGCAGGTAGGAATTCAGGTAGAAGGGAGAATGAGAATGTAATTTCCACAGAGAATATGCAACTGGGAGTCCTGGACAGAAAGGACTAAGGAATTAGGTAGTTAGATGGTTAAAGATCCAGTACTGTAGGTCATGTGAACCTCCTGGTTCCTGACCAGGGAATGTAATGATGCCAGCAGGTGTATAAGGAAAATGATGTGTTGCACCGCTTGCAAAAACTTTATTTCAAAACGTCAGCAACACTGGAGTCAAATGTTAACATTTCCATGGCAGAAGCCTCATCATAACCAATCTTCACAAATAGTGGAGGTGGTATGGTTTGGCTCTGTGTCTCCACCCAAATCTCATCTCAAACTGTAATTCCCACGTGTCGAGGGAGGGACCTGGAGGGAGGCGATTGGATCACTGGGGCAGCTTCCCCCATGCTGTTCCCGTGATGGTGAGGGAATTCTCAGGAGATCTGACGGTTTATAAGTGTTTGGCAGTTCCTCCTTCCCACTCTCTCTGTCCGGCCGTCTTGTAAAGAAGGTGCCTGCGGCCGGGAGCGGTGGCTCACGCTTGTGATCCCAGCACTTAGGGAGGCCGGGGTGGGCGGATCACGAGGTCAGGAGATCGAGACCACCCTGGCTAACACGGTGAAATCCCATCTCTACTAAAAATACAAAAAATTAGCTGGGCGTGGCGGTGTGCGCCTGTAGTCCCAGCTACTCGGAAGGTTGAGGCAGGAGAATGGCGGGAACCCGGGAGGCGGAGCTTGGAGTGAGCCGAGATCGCGCCACCGCACTCCAGCCTGGGCGACAGAGCGAGACTCCGTCAAAAAAAAAAAAAAGAAGGTGCCTGCTTCCCCTTCAAGTTTCTCCATGATTGTAAGTTTCCTGAGGCCTCCCCAGCTATGTGGAACTGTAAGTCAATTAAACCTCTCTCCTTTATACATTACCCAGTCTCAGGAAGTTTTGTCTCAGGAAGTTCTTTACAGCAATGTGAAAATGGACTGATACAGGAGGGGAACAAAAAGTACCTGCACCAGGATATCCAGTGTGACTGACCTTTCCTACCCAAGACGAAGCAATAGAAAGAATGTCCCATGGAGCCGGCTTCTGGTTCAGTCCTCTTGTGATCTCTACTCTTGTCTCCAGCCAATGTCTCTGTGACCCTTGGCTCTGACCAGGTAGAGGAGATACTGAGCAACAGTGGGTGGGGATCGGGGGGAGACTGTATATGTTCCTGCCCAGGAGTGATCATTCATGAAGGATGTGACTCACCAACCAGCTTTGATCGTGATTTTGTGCATCAGGTCCCCAGAAATCCTGACTCATTCACTGAGCCATAAGGAGATTGTTTTAAAGCAGTTGAAGTCTCACAGCAAGTTTATACAAACAGAAGTGGGTTAGGCGTGGGACTCGCTGATGTAAATTGGACTTACTCATTGATTCACATAGTCTTCTCTCATAATGGATCCTATATGTAATTTTACCCAGAAGTGTTTGTTGTTCCTGCTGAGGTTAATAAACCTTCGTTGAAAACTTACTGTGTGTAGCTGATCCTGTTAGGCGATTGGGTTGGATAACTATACAGAGATGCTCTAAGTTATTGAGGAATTCGCAATCCAGTGGGGCAAAGTCAACTCAGTTCAGCCAGGATTTATTAGAAAGATGGTATTGGAAAGGAATGTGGAAACGAACTAGTCCCATCTACTCATTTTGCAAATTAGAAATTGATTGGCTGAGGTTAAATGAAGGAAACTCACATATAATTAGATGAGCTGACTCCCAGGGAAAGGGGTCTTTGAAGCCTGATTGTCATTGAGCTATATACTAGGGAAGGAGGGGTGGGGTGAAACAAAGGCCCCTGCTGTCACTGAGCCTGAAGAACTTTTAAAGAGACGACACTGACTTTTTAATGATCCCCATTCTAACTGGTGTGAGATGGTATCTCATTGTGGTTTTGATTTGCATTTCTCTGATGGCCAGTGATGATGAGCATTTTTTCATGTGTCTGTTGGCTGCATAAATGACTTCTTTTGAGAAGTGTCTGTTCATATCCTTCGCCCACTTGCTGATGGGGTTGTTTGTTTTTTTCTTGTAAATTTGTTTGAGTTCATTGTAGATTCTGGATATTAGCCCTTTGTCAGATGAGTAGATTGCAAACATTTTCTCCCATTCTCTAGGTTGCCTGTTCACTCTGATGGTAGTTTCTTTTGCTGTGCAGAAGCTCTTTAGTTTAATTAGATCCCATTTGTCAATTTTGGCTTTTGTTGCCATTGCTTTTGGTGTTTTAGACATGAAGTCCTTGCCCATGCCTATGTCCTGAATGGTATTGCCTAGGTTTTCTTCTAGGGTTTTTATGGTTATAGGTCTAACATTTAAGTCTTTAATCCATCTTGAATTAATTTTTGTATGAGGTGTAAGGAAGGGATCCAGTTTCAGCTTTCTACATATGGCTAGCCAGTTTTCCCAGCACCATTTATTAAATAGGGAATCCTTTCCCCATTTCTTGTTTTTGTCAGGTTTGTCAAAGATCAGATGGTTGTAGATGTGTGGTATTATTTCTGAGGGCTCTGTTCTGTTCCGTTGGTCTATATCTCTGTTTTGGTACCAGTACCATGTTGTTTTGGTTACTGTAGCCTTGTAGTATAGTTTGAAGTCAGGTAGCATGATGCCTCCAGCTTTGTTCTTTTGGCTTAGGATTGTCATGGCAATGTGGGCTCTTTTTTAGTTCCATATGAACTTTAAAGTAGTTTTTTCCAATTCTGTGAAGAAAGTAATTGGTAGCTTGATGGGGCTAGCATTGAATCTATAAATTACCTTGGGCAGTATGGCCATTTTCACCATATTGATTCTTCCTATCCATGAGCATGGAATGTTCTTCCATTTGTTTGTGTCCTCTTTTATTTCATTGAGCAGTGGTTTGTAGTTCTCCTTGAAGAGATCCTTCATGTCCCTTATAAGTTGGATTCCTAGGTATTGTATTCTCTTTGAAGCAATTGTGAATGGGAGTTCACTCATAATTTGGCTCTCTGTTTGTCTGTTATTGGTGTATAGAAAAGCTTGTGATTTTTGCACATTGATTTTGTATCCTGAGACTTTGCTAAAGTTGCTTATCAGCTTAAGGAGAGTTGGAGCTGAGATGATGGGGTTTTCTAAATATACAATTACATCATCTGCAAACAGAGACAATTTGACTTCCTCTTTTCCTAATTGAATACCCTCTATTTCTTTCTCCTGCCTGATTGCCCTGGCCAGAACTTCCAACACTACGTTGAATAGGAGTGGTGAGAGAGGGCATCCCTGTCTTGTGCCAGTTTTCAAAGGGAATGCTTCCAGTTTTTGCCCATTCAGTATAATATTGGCTGTGGGTTTGTCATAAATAGCTCTTCTTATTTAGAGATATCCCATCAATACGAAATTTATTGAGAGTTTTTAGCATGAAGTGCTGTTGAATTTTGTCAAAGGACTTTTCTGCCTCTATTGAGATAATCATGTGGTTTTTGTCTTTGGTTCTGTTTATATGCTGGATTACATTTATTGATTTGCATATGTTGAACCAGTCTTGCATCCCAGGGATGAAGCCCACTTGATCATGGTGGATAAGCTTTTTGATGTGCTGCTGGATTCGGTTGCCAGTATTTTATTGAGGATTTTTGCATTGATGTTCTTCAGGGATATTGATCTAAATTTTAAAAAGTCGGGAAACAACAGGTGCTGGACAGGATGTGGAGAAATAGGAACGCTTTTACACTGTTGGTGGGACTGTAAACTAGTTCAACCATTCTGGAAGACAGTGTGGCGATTCCTCAAGGATCTAGAACTAGAAATACCATTTGACCCAGCCATCCCATTACTGGGTATATACCCAAAGGATTATAAATCATGCTGCTACAAAGACACATGCACACGTATGTTTATTGCAGCACTATTCACAATAGCAAAGACTTGGAACCAACCCAAATGTCCATCAATGATAGACTGGATTAAGAAAATGTGGCACATATACACCATGGAATACTATGCAGCCATGAAAAACGATGAGTTCATGTCCTTTTCAGGGACATGGATGTAGCTGGAAACCATCATTCTGAGCAAACTAATGCAAGGACAGAAAACCAAACACCACATGTTCTCACTCATAGGTGGGAACTGAAGAATGAGAACACTTGGACACAGGAAGGGGAACATCACACACCAAGGCCTGTCCTGGGGTGGGGGGAGGGGGGAGGGATAGCATTAGGAGATATACCTAATGTAAATGATGAGTTAATGGGTGCAGCACACCAACATGGCACATGTATACATATGTAACAAACCTGCACGTTGTGCACATGCACCCTAGAACTTAAAGTATAATTTAAAAAAAAAAAAGAGACAGTACTGATGCAACAGAGTGTTAACAAATGAGCTAGGTGGGTGATGCTGGCAGAGTTCAGAGGAGAGGGCAGGAATGGTCGGGATGGAGCTTTTGGAGGAGATGATGCTTGTGCTGGGCCTTGGAAGAAAGGGAGGATCTGAGAAAAATGAAGCACAACAGCAGAGACAGCAGGGGTGACGCTGTAGAGTCTGAAACAGGCAGGACAAAAGCAAACAGCAGAGCTCAAGCACACTCACCTGCAGAACAGCATTGTAAATGGGCACCAAAAGTCTCACCTTTGAGCAATCCTGGACCTCTCTATGTACTGGTAAATGCATCACAGCTGGCTCTTGGGGAGGGAAAGAGCCCTGATGTATAGCTTCTGACCATTTTCTCAGCAGCTGACCTCAAGGATGGCTGAGATTAACAACAGGCTCACAAATTTCCTGAAAATTTAACTATCAGTTCTTAGAAGTAGTATTCTAAGTGACTTCAAAATACCATTACCTGAGACCCTCTCTGTTTACAAGAATGTTTCTCTCCTGGTGTTTTCATAATAGCTGTCCATTGTTGAGCATTTATGGGTTAGGGTCTGTGCTAATGTTTGACATGCATTATGTCTTTAATTCCTTACAAGAGCTCCATGGGGCTCTTGTTATCCTTAGCAATTAATATTGCCATTTTGCAGATGGGAAAACTGATATTTAAAGAGAGATCAGAAAGCCAAATCCTTCTCTCTCTAAAATTCATACTGTTTTTGTTTGTTTATTTTAAGTTGTGGAATACATGGCGCAGGACGTGCAGGTTTGTTACACAGGTAAACATGCGCCATGGTGGTTTGCTGCACCTATCAACCCATCACCTAGGTATGAAGCTCCACATGCATCAGCTCTTTATCCTGATGCTCTCCCTCCCCAACTCCCTTAACAGGCCCCAGTGTGTGTTGTTCCCCTCCCTGTGTCCATGTGTTCTCATTGTTCAGCTCCCACTTATGAGTGAGAATATGCAGTGTTTGGTTTTCTGTTCCTGTGTTCATTTGCTGAAAAAAAAAATGGCTTCCAGCTCCATCCATTTCCCTGCAAAGGACATAATCTCATTCCTTTTTATGGCTGCATAGTATTCCATGGTGTTTATGTACCACATTTTCTTTATCCAGTCTCGCTGATGGGCATTTGGGTTCATTCCATGTCTTTGCTATTGTGAATCATGCTGCAGTGAACACACACATGCATGTATCTTTATAAGAGAATGATTTATATTCCCTTGGGTATATACCTAGTCATGGGATTGCTGGGTCAAATGGTATTTCTGGTTCTAGATCTTTGTAAAACTCATTCTCTTGAATTTTATACTATACTCTTCCTCTGATCACTGTTAATATTGCTCTCATCATTATTATTCTTGTGATGATCCTTTAGTCTTCAGAACTCTTCCAACCCTGTGCTTCAAAAATGCAAACCAGAGACATGACATGCAGTGGACCCACTGTCCACCTTCAAATATGAAAGGCAGTAAGGGTGGTCGCCTAAACTTATAAGTATGCTTTATTGCTTCAATTTTCAAATTCTTATATTTAATAAAAGGTTAAGAAAGTAAATATGTATGTATATACGTATATTTCTTATAGAGAAAGTACCAACATGTGACTAGGTAAAATGAAAAGGAATCTTCCAGCATTTCTTAAATTTTAGATCCCACAAAGCTTTGAGGGAGAAGTTAGTAGAAACACCTGACTGCTGAATTTTTTTCCTCTTGACTCTCCAAGTCATTCTAAGACAATATCTTTGGTTGGGTTCCCAGGAAGCAGACCCTGAGGTGAGGATTCTTATGCACGGGATTTTTTGAGGGAGCTGTATGAGTCAGCTTGGGCTGCCATAATGAAATACCACAGGCAGGATGGCTTCAACAGAAATGTATTTTCTCATACTTCTGGAGACTGGAAGTTGAAGATCAAGGTATGGGCAGGTCGGGTTTCTTCCGAGGCTCTGTCGTTTGCTTGCAGATGGCTGCCTTCTTGTTGTGTCCTCACATGGCCATTTCTCTGTGCACGTGCACCCCTGGTGTCTCTTTGTGTATCCAGATTTCCTCTTTTCATAAGGACACCAGTCAGCTTGGGTTAGGGCCCAACCTAATGGCCTTATTTTAACTAAGTCCCCTCTTTAAAGGCCCTACCTCCAAATACAGTTGCATTCTGAGGTTCTGGGAGGGAGGGATTCAACATATGAATTTAGGGAGCAGGAGACAACAATTCAGTCCACAACAGGAGTGCACTCAGGAGAAGCCTGTAAGAAAGTGAGGGGAACAGGAGAAGGCAAGAGAAAAGATGTGGCTTCAGCTACAGTCTAGCTTCAGTCTGATCCCACAGGAAGCTCTGGAATATGATAGCGTTAGAGAACGCACCTGAATGCAAGAGAACTGGGCTGTTCCCGGTCTTTTACATGTAGCTGTGGGACCATAAGTTCCCAGGCATTTTCTACCGAGGTTGTTCTTGTGGACCAAGGGAAATTCTTTAGAGAAGGATCTAGCAAAGAGCCTTGAGCAGCCAGCACTGCCAGCAGCTGGGAGATGCAACAGCTGGGTAAATGGGATCTGGGCAGGGCTTCAACAATGTCTATTTCAGACAGGTAACCAAACTAAACTTCTAACAAAAGAACTTCACTTTTGCCTAATCAACCAATCACAGTAATTTTTCAGTATGTTTTCCTGCATGGTAGACCTTAAGACCTAAATTCCTGGTTTAAGATTTCACATCAGCCACAGACTCAAATATTTTGGGTGAAACTGCTGTGAACACTGATAAAGCCACAGAATTTCTTATGTGAGATTGAAATCCACATTTTGCTTCATGACTCTTAAATCTCTACTAGGGCAAGGACTGTGTCTTATTCATTTGTGGGTCCTTAGAAACGAAGGCAGTGCTTGGCACACAGCAGGTGCTTGATAAATGTGCTGATCAGCTAGATGCTTATGAAACCCTCAAGTAAGGTAAGCACCTTGTCCCATTTCACCCAGGACTTTCCCAGTTCTAAAAATAAAAGTCTCATATCCTAGGCATCCCCTCAGTCCCAAGAAAACTAGGACAATTGGTCACTCTATGACTTGAGTCTTTCTCTGTGCTTTTGCATCATTGCTACTTTTGTGACAATCCAATCAATGACTCCATCTTTCCTAAATGTCTCCTAAGAGTTATACTTATTGGCTGGGCACAGTGGATTATGCCGTGTAATCCCAACACTTTGGGAGGCCAAGGAAGGCAGATCACTTGAGGCCAGGAGTTTGACACCAGCCTGGCCGACATGGAAAAACTCCATCACTACTGAAAATACAAAAAAATTAGCCAGGTGTGGTGGTGCACGCCTGAAATCTCAGCTACTCAGGAGGCTGAGGCATGAGAATCACTTGACCCTGGGAGGCGGAGGTTGCAATGAGCTGAGACTGTACCGCTGTACTCCAGCCTAGCTGACAGAGTAAGACTCTGCCTGAAAAAAAATAAAATAAAAATAAAAGAGAACTTATTAGAACTCATAGAACTTATTCAAACAATGCACGTAAGTGTTCCTGCTGCAATTTGGATCATTTTTACTTTTCTCATCTCCAATAGAAACACCACCCAACTACCACAATACTTTGACATAGGAAATTGTAGCCTGTAGTTCTTCCATTCTTTCTTCCTTGTCAAACCCTAGGATAGCCAGTGCTCTTGAGTGAATCTCTGGGTGCCCTGCAGGACATTGCTGCAGGCTTGGAAAAGAAGTCCGAATACATCTAAGGCTCCAGACATTTTTCTTCTTCATCCTCTATATCAAAATGTATCTGTCCCACATCATATTCTCCAGCTAGATAGTGATGACTTTGTCCTCAAAATAACAACGATTTCTTCTAGTTGGAACAAAAAACACTTAAGCACTGGGGCATTTTTTTTGTCTGCTCTTAGACCTTTAACTGTGCTCTACTAGCCAGGATGTGTGGAGTGGCTAACAATATAAACACAGTGCAGACGATCTTAAGGGATGCACAAAATGAAAGGAATGGGAGGTGGAGGTTATTGGTTTGCATAACTAAAAAGTCTGCTCAAGGTAACCGTACACACAGCCGGTGCTCTGTATCTCTCTCCCTCCCAGCTCTTCTCGCCTTGGTGTTACCATCTTTCAGTTTCAGACAAACTCTTTTCATGGGATGAGAAGCCTGTCTCCTGGCCCTCTGACAGGGCCAGGATGTCATCACCCTTGCCATGTACACTGACACAGGACTAAATACCTCCCCCTTGAAAAATCCATACCCAACTCTCTCACAGGGACTCGGGTTGTGCTGGTGGGTCGTGGGGGCATGCATCCACCCTTAACCAGTCATTCTGGCTGAAAATAGTGGGGCCTTCTGATAGTTAGGCTGGGTCACTTGCCTCCTCTGCGGCTGATGAAAGTGTAACTGAGCCACTACCGTAAAAATCATAAGGGATTTGTGTGTGTGTGTGTGTGTGTGTGTGTGTGTGTGTGTGTGTGTGTGTGTGTGTTTAACTTTTCCTTCTTTGTTTTCTTCCAGGCACACTGGCTTGCTCATAGTCATTTCTGTAGAGGGGAGTCACTAGTAATTGATTAACTTCATATCCTAACCCCCCGGGGCTGCTTGCAAGATTCATGAACTTGTTTTTCTTTTAGAGAACAATGATCCTTGGTCATGCAGACCTCCTTGAGAGCATCCAGGAGTTTGACTGGCCTGAGGGATGCAAACAGTTTTGATCATCAAGGGAAGCTCACCTCCTGCCTTACTCATAAAAGCCCCTGGTTATGTTTAAAGGCAGATCAGATTTGAGAGCTCATCTCTCCCATCTTCTTTGGCTTTGGCCAAATCAAATAAACCTTTCTCTGTTCCTAAGCACTGACGTGTCAGTGTTTGGCTTACTGTGCATCAAGTATGCAAACCTAAATTTTGAGGTTCTACAACAAAAGGAAGGGGAGAAGAGAGGAAGGACTAGGTGTGGGGTTGACAAAAACTGAAGCTGTGAAAACCCACCCATCTAGTCCCACATTTCACCTACCTACAGGGCTTTTCTTCATAGCCTTCCTTAACCCGTCATAACATTATCTGGCTAAAGCCCTGTAGCCTTATTTAGAATCTGCTTGAAGAAAGGGATAAAAATATGCTATTAAATCATAATAATAACTGCCTATAAAGAATAAAATGTCAAAGTACACTTGCTTAGGTATCATGCTGCAAACATGAGGGGATGGATGCTCCCTAAAAGGGGGAGATTTTGCTGAACCAGGCTGGGAAAGTTTACAGGTGTTTTGGCAAAGTTTCCCCTGGTTGAGGCCAGAAAGACCTGCCTGCACCCAGCTGCATTCTCCATTCATTCAAACTGCTGGTAGCAACTTCACCCTCTAATTGCCTGTAGTTAGTCATTATGTCTCAGCTGCAAGACTTGGGAATGCCAAGAAGCCAGCACACCCAGAGGTCTTTTGTGTTTTAAATACTTGGACCAAAAAAATTTTTTTTTCCTAATGAAAGCTACCATTTAGACATAGGTGAGCCAATGGACTCTGGTTTGGAAACATTTCAGGCAATCCAACTTTGAAATCCCTGAGGTTCACAGAAGAAACTCAGAGTAGCAGTGTACATAGGAATGAGATTTTACAATCCTCTGAGCTTATTCTTGTGCATGGCACAGACTACAAAATGAGTTAGCCAAATCAGTTAGGGGAATTCAATTCAATTCTATGAACATTAATTGAGCTCTGTTTCAGTGAGAATGCTTTCAGCTGCAAATAACAGCTGAAAGAGCCAATTAAAGCTGGCTTTAAATAATAGGAATTAATTACCTCACATAACAAGAAGTTGGAGATAGGCAGGTCCAGAAATTGGTTAATCTAGCAGCTAAATAATGCCAAGAATATTGGTTGGCTTTTTTGAGATTCCCCTGCAGAGATTATCATGATTTCAATATGGCTGCCACAGCTTCGAACATAACATCGTCACACAACAACATCCAAAAGTAGGAAGGAACGTGGGATTTCTCCATACCCATCTCTTTTTCTAGAATGAGAAATCTTTGTCACAACTCCTTTCAACAGACTTTCTCTTGCATCTCTTTGGAGAGAATTAGATCACATAACCATTCCCAAATTGATAATCCAGAATAGAGGAATACGATAGTCAAAAAGGCTGTAGACCAATCATGATTCATCCCCTAGGTCTGGGCCCACCTTTCTTGAGCATGTTGTCGCCTAAATAAGTTTAGGGATCTGTTGGTAAGGAAGAAAAGGTAAAGCAGTGCCTACTAAGCAGTGTCTTCCCTCAAGCATCTATCTCTGTGCTCTGCACTGGACATGCAAAGATGAACAAACCACAGCCACTATTATAAAGGAGCACACAGTAATACAAGGGGAATGAGCGCCCACAAAACAATTTCTATTATTTGCTTCCCTGCTTAATTATAAAATGGATTGGAAGTGTAAAGAGCTTTGCCAGGTTGTATGTTCTAAAAATGACTACAACAGAACCTTCCATCTCACATGCTCTTCTTACAGTGTGACTTTAACTTTCTGCCCAGTGAAATATGGGGTCTGTATCCCCTCCCTTTGAATCAGGAAGGGCTGATGCTTATGGCTAAGATAACATCATGTGACTTCTAAGGCTAGATCTTAAAAGTTGCCTTGACCTAAAAGTCATATTGACTTTGAAGATCTAGCCTTAGAAGTCACTTGGACACTCTTTGCACACTCCTTCATAGAACCCAGCCACCATGCTGGGAGGAAGCCCAAAGTTCCCATGGAAAGCCCAGCACCAAGTTGTCAGCCATGTGAGCCATCCTTCAGCCCTGGTCGAGCCATTGTAGCTGATGCCCTGTGAAGGAGACAGGCACTGCCCTGACCAAACCACAATTTTTGAGCAAAATAAATGATTATTGTTTCTATAAGCCAAAGTTTGGGGGTAGTTTATCAGATAGCAACAGATGACTGGAACCAAGCTAACATTAGAATTAAGTTTTCAAAATGGCATAAATTAACTACTACCAGAGCACAGAAAAAGAAAAAAATAAATTTTTCCTGGAGAGAAAAGAAAGGGCAATTACAGAGGAAGGGGCTTTAGAGCTTGGTCTCAGAAGATGAATAGAGTCCAGAAGATGGACAACAGAAGGTTAAAAAAGTGGACACACGTGGTGGTTTTGGAAAATGTGGAGTATATGGTGGATATCTGTGAGCTTTGCCTCCTTTGGTAGACCTCACTGTTGATCACCAAGATTTCTGATTCTCCTTTCCATCCAGACACACACCTTCTTGAAGTTAGGTATGGCCATGTGACTTGTTTTGGCCAGTCAATCATCATAGGAAGTGTCATGAGTCTCTTTTGGTGAAATATTTAGGAGCCTGTACACAATTTCCCCATTCTGTTGACTTCAATCTTGAGGCCTCCTGCTGAGATAGTGATATCATAAGATTGTGGAGTTTCTGTGAGCCTGAGTCCCTGAGTGTAACGTAGATTTCTTGAAAAAAAAAAAAAAAAAGTTGTGCCCTTGTTTTATTTTGTTTTGAGGCAGAGTCTTGCTATGTTGCTAGGCTGGAGTGCAGTGGCTATTCACAGGTGTGATTATAGCACACTACAGCCTCAAACTCAAGGCTTTGAGCCATCTTCCACCAGCTGCCTTAACCCAGTTTTGAGGCCCTGTCCAAAAGCCAGACAGTTCCCTTCTAGGACAGTCAATTAAGGCCATACCCCAACCACCTGCTGTATCAGACTCTCATGCTCCAGGCCACTATATACCCACCCTAATTACCCCAGGGCCAAGTACTCTACAACCAAGGACAGCCTCTATACTCCAGAGCCACTGAAATCATTCAAATTAGCCACTCCTATGTCTGCATGCCCTGCCTTACCCTCTCCTTCCCACAGAAACCACAATAGTGCCCACAGTTCCCTCATATTCCTCTGCATCATGACTGACCAAGGTGCATCCCCCAAGTGGTTCTTCATGGGGTGCTATGTTCTCCCAGGGAGCTGTATTTCTTCTCTTGATTTGCATCTGCTCTCGTCAAACCTCATCCATGGTAATAGAGTTAAAACACGGAGTTGCTATGACAAGCTCCAGTCCCCTGCTAACCTGCACTAGGCATGTCACTAGTGCAGTAAGTTCAACTTTACTGCCTTAAGCCATTGAGGTCTTGAGGTTGTTGGTTACTGTAGTATCAGCCCACCCTGACTGAGTACTGCCCAGTCTCATCTTCCCAATTCCCTTCTCAATTTTCTTTAGGAAATCATTGCTCTCTGACTCATGTGGTTCCGATGTGTTGATTCCATTCTCTTGCTCCAGGATAAAACATGTCACCCAAGCCCAGAAAATCAGCACAATTCATCTGTCTTTAAAAAGTATCCAGAATCCAGCCACTTACTTCCATCTTCACTATCCTAGCCCATGCCAACATCATTTCATCACTGGATAACCACACCTGCCTCTTATCTGGCTTCCACAGTCTCTTCTACAGTCAATTTTCAATGTAATAATCAGAGGGGTTACTATGAAATCAGTTTTGAAACATAACTCGCTTCATTTTATTCCTGCTTAAAACTCTCCTAGACTACCCATCTTACTTGGGAAAAGCCACAGTCCTTACAGTAATCAGCAAAGTCCTATCTGACTGGCTATCTGTTACTCCCCTGTCTTCTCCTCTTTCTTTCTCCCAGCTCACTTCATTTCAGTCACATTGGCTGTCTTATTCTGTTTGTGCTGCTGTAACAAAATATCTGAGACTGAGTAATTGATAAATAACAGAAATTTATTGCTTACAGTTCTGGAGGCTGGGAAGTCCGAGATAAAGACGCCAGCATGTTTGGTGTTTGGCTAAGGCCCATTCCTCATTATAGCACCTTCTGGGTGTCTTCACAAGGCAGAAGGTAAAAGGGCGCAAAGGATCTGAGCTAGTTCCCTCCCACCCTTTTAGAAAGCACTAATTTATTCATGAGGGCAGAGCCTTCATGACTTAATCACTCCCCAAAATGCCCCACCTCTTAATCCCACCACAATGGGAATTAAGTTTCAACATGTGAATTCAAGGTGGAGAGGGGACATTTAGACCCTAGCACTGGCCTCCTTGCTTTTCACAAATATGCCAGGCTTGCCCCTGTCTCAGTCCTTGGTACTAGCCATTCCCTCTACCTGAAGCACTCTTCCCCCATATATGATTCACTCCTTCATCTCCTTCCAATCTTCATTCAGATGTCACTTTCTGGGAGAAGCCTCTGTAACACCCAAAAGAAAACTCCAGTCTGTGACTCCCACAGTGTTCCCCATCCTTCTTCCTTAGTTTATTGCTGATCATAGCACCATCTGCAATGCCATATGTTTTAGTCATCCGGCTTCACTAGAATATAAACTGCATGAGAGCAGGGACTTTTACCTGTTGTATTCACTACTGTATTCCCAGGGTTAGGAATAGTATTTAGCACATAAAAACTGTCATAAATATTTGTGGAATAAATGATAGAATAAATGAATGAATTCCATCTCTTTAAGCACGGTTATTCAATCAAGAATAGGCATATGACCCAAACCAGACCAAGACTTTTTAATTTCAGAGACTCTGGTTGGCATTACTGGAAATTTGTGACAGAGACTGACAGCAATCAACAAATTCATGAGCTCCTGCCCGTGGTGTGAAATTGTGGCTAGAAAGCAGTTATTCAGTCTGGGGCTACGTTTTCCAGCCCTTCCTGTGTCCATATTTGGTCATGTAGTCAATTCTCACTAAAGGGAGTTGAGGGAAGGTACAGAGTAAACATTCTTTAAAAAATGATTGCGGTTTCTCCACGCTTTGCTTCCCCATTTGCTAAGTAAAGAAAACTCTGAACCCTAAAGGATGGTGGGCCCTGAATCATTCCATGGAGAAAAGTCATTCACTAACAAGGAACAGCTGCATCCAGATGTCATAAGAGAAAACAAATAAGCTCTTTTTGCTAATCACGAAGACAATTAATTTTAAGAAGTTGCATCTTACAGCAGCTAGCATTATGCCAACAAATTCAAACTGGCTGCTGAGAGTATAGTGTGTAAGCCTGGGGATATCAAGGGCTACTGAGATAGGGAGATGAGAGGTTCTGCCTGGGAAGAACCTCCCTGAACTCACTGATCACAGAGGAAAGCAGATGTGGGGAGACAGCAGATTCACAACGACATCATTTGAGCCCCTGGATGAACTTAGTTCTACCAGTGAACTCTTTCCATTATCTGAACCAATAAATAATCCTTTTTCACTCAAGCCAGAGTGAGGTGAGTTTTCTATTACTCATAACAGAAAGTCCTGACTGATAGCAAGTAGGTGGAGAAAGGTGGAAAAAGAAGATCCAAATGGAGTTTAAGACAAGATCGTGGTGGACCTTGACCACCTAAGAACTTTGGAACTTATAAGCCATTGGCTTTTGTCAGAAAGGCACCAGATGAGGATCTGAGAATCTGAAACATCTTATTACAGAACCAGCAACAGCCATTGCTCTTTTCCGAAGGTGTAATCCACATCAGAACTCAAATTTTTTTCTTGCCTACTGGAAGCAACCTGTTCTCACTCCATATGCCCTTCTGAACCTATCCTGTACTTCTACAATTTTCCGCTATGATTGAAATATTTTAAACTTTAAAAGACAGAAAGAAAATTGGGGTCCAATTTTCTTCAAGCAATGGGGATCTTGAGCACTTTCAAGAGTGTCACTGAAGACCAAGAACTCGTCCACCAGTCACTAACGCTTCAGGTCAATAATCTTGCTGACAGCTGTTGTGGAACAGAGTATTCCAACCCACTTGGGATTGGTTTTAAAGCTATTTAAATTCCTAGAATGTTACAACTGAAGGAAGCTTTCCTCCTGTGTGATGTAGCTGATGTTTCTTAACCTCTCTGTGCTTGAATGTCCACATCAATATAGTGAATATTAAACAGGTTGTTGTAAAAAAAAAAAAATATGTTACATGTAAAGCACTTAGAAATGTGTGTCTTATATAATAATCAATCAATTTAGCTATAATTTTTATTATGATTTGTTTTTATTATCTATCTTTTCATTATTATTTATCTTTCATTATTATTATTGATTAATTGAGTGCATACTATACACCTGGCTCTGGTTCTGAAACAGACGATGTTTCAGATGATACCAGGGATATAGCAGTAAGCAGATATGTTCCTTGCCTTCATGAAAGTTACAGTCTAATAAAAGAAATGGGCAAGAAGATAATTATGCAGATAGGTACTAAGTTACAACAGGAATAAATGCTACCATGAGCATATACCAAAGTGTAACAGACACTGTCAAGCCTTGAGTGGCCTACTCATGTTCTCCTGGCCCACCCAGAATCAGATTGTGTTGAACTTCCTCATACTTATTTTAAAACTTAATGTTGCTTTTTCTTAGAATCACACATAGTAGTTAAAGTGGGGATTGGCATAATCTTTTTCAGAGCTTAAGACCTCCTAAAGATTTAACAAAGCAGAGAAAGAAAGACAGAATTCTCTTTTAATAAGGGCTAATCCAAATTATGTTACTATAATGAAAATTTCTTGAAATAACTGGTTTCTTAATGGACATTCAGAAATCTTAAGAAACAAACACAAATTGTTCTAGGGGCACATTAAAAATGGAAGCTTGACACCCTTGTCGGCAGGCAGGTAGACATAAGGAAAATGCAATATGAGTGAGTGATTATTCCCTGGGAAGTCTAGTGCACGTTAGTTTATGGGAAAGATAGCAAAAGCAGAACAGATGAGGCAACTAGGTAAAGGCAAAAACTTTTCCCTAAGTTACTTGACATTTTATAGTCTTAGACACAAGGCAAGCAACACTCATTATCTCATTATTTCCTATGGGACAATCCAGTTCAGTCAATTATCATTAAAATTTAACTAGAAATTCAATACATTATGCAAATGTTCCATTTATATACTGTCATGTCAAGCCAGTACTGAAATGTAGCTGTAGTTAAAAGGTGTAGATGAAACCCTGGTTCTCTTCCAGAGACATTTCAAAAACAATGAATGACACTCCCTAGCCCAAGCACGATAGAATAAATCTCACAGATAGTTAGGGTCATGTTACCAGAATGGCAAGAGACTGATTGTCAGTCTTCTTTTTTCTAAAGAAATTGAAGTGTAATTACTAGTTACTTCCAAAGAGCAGCATGACTTTTTGTGTCACTTACCAGGAACAAATATGTAAGAATAAGACACACCATCCAGTCTCAATGCAGGACAGAGAAATACGAGCCTCCCAGAAGAGGAGTTGGGCCAGGGTATAGGTAGAAATTCTAGGAAACAAGCCATATTTTAGAAATGGAAGGAAAGAGAGATGCTGTCCACCCTGGTGCAAACCCACATATTCCAGACTACAGTGATTCACTGTACATCAAGTAGGCCAGGTCTTTGCTAGTGCGGTTCCCACTGCCTACAATGCCCTTCCATTATCTTGCCTTGAAAACACCAAACTGTTGGCTGTGGGAACCCAAATGAGTCATTTAACCTCTGATGGAGGTGATTACAGTAACCACTTGACTGGCTTAATGGGAGGAGTAAATACAATATTGTATTTAAGTATCTACCACATTGCCTAGAGCACAATAAATTCTCAATCAATGTTTATATTCATAACAATTAATTAAAATGTATCAAGAGCTGACCTTGAACAGCACACTGTTCAAAGGGCTTTACGTTATTGCTTTATTTAATACTTAACCTTGATTAGCTAGGCACCATTATGCAAATGAGGAAACTAAGGTGCAGAGAGCTGAATTAACCTGCCCAAGGTCACACAGCTAGTAAATGATGGAACTGGGATCTCTGACTTAAAGAATCAGGAAATATGTAAGAATGGTGATCAACAGCAAATTGGCAGATGAACCACTGCTGAGAGTGGCTTCCAACTCAAAGAAGAGAAGGAGATTTGAGAAAAACATAGCACAGTATAGCACAGAGTCCTAAGTCAACAAAATGAGATAGAAATGCGGTATAGCTAGAGACCTGCAATTGCCTTCACAAAGTCTACTGTGAAAATATGTTTCTGCTCTCCCTTGGATCTTTATTTTAACTGTGTAGCCGTACACTTGAGTTCTGTTCTAGGCTGAAGTCGTTTTTAGAAATAGACAAGGTATAAATTAAAAATAAATGCCCACATACATATTGGATGAGAACCACCTGGTTTAATAGCAGCTTACAAGAAATGAATTTAAAGGTTTTAGCTGACTGCAAGTTTATTTTGAATCAGCAGTGTGAGGAGGCACTCAGAAAAAAGACTTTGATCTTGAAGACACATCCATAGAAGCTAAGTGTCCTAAACAAGAGAGGTGAAAGCCCTTCTTTACTTTCACCCAACCTCAGGTGTTTGGTTCTGAAGACTGCATCTGAGGACGGATGCTGGCCGACTGAAGTGTGTCCCAAAGAAGGCGACATTAACAGGAAAGATTCTTAAAACCCTGTCATATGAAGATGGGCTACACTTAGAGAACAGGAGAGTTAGAGGAAATACGATCTAGAGAAAGAATAGATAAGTTGTAGGATTTCTCTGCAAGGCTCCAGGGGACAGAGCCTAGAGCCGGAAGCTAAAGGAAAAATGATTCCAGCCCAATATGAAGAAAAATTGTCTAAAAAAAACAAAATGAGCCACATGTAAAGGACCAGACCCTGGAAACCAGGTTACAAATGGTCACGAATGGTTAGGGCAGATACAACTCCTTACCGTGGCTTGCAAGGCCCTATGTGTCAGGTCCTTACTTGCCTCTCCGGAACCCATGGTTTGCCAGGTTCTTCCCTGTCTCTGCATCCCTCCCCTCTGCCCTTAATCAGTCCTTCATATACAAATTGATTTGTTCCATCACTGGCCATTTGCTCATGATTTCCCTCCATCTAGAATGTTTTTCCATTCCCTCATCACCTTGTTCATTCTTCCTCATTCTTCAGATCGCCTATTAAGAGTCACTTCCTCTAGGCTGGGTGTGGTGGCTCACGCCTGTAATCCCAACACTTTGGGAGGCCGAGGTGGGCAGATCACTTGAGGCCAGGAGTTCAAGACCAGCCTGGCCAACATGGTGAAGCCCCATCTCTACTAAAAATACAAAATTAGCTGGGTGTGGTGGTGTGCGCCTGTAATCCCAGCTACTTGGGAGGCTGAAGCAGGAGAATAGCTTGAACTTGGGAGGCCGAGGTTGCAGTGAGCCAAGATCACACCATTGCACTCCAGCCTGGATGACAGAACGAGACTCCGTCTCAAAAAAAAAAGCAGTCACTTCCTCTAAGGATTTATCTGACACCCCAGATTACGCTCATCCCCATTTGGGGCCTCTCAGAGACCTGTTTATCTTACTATTAGAGTTTTGTGTTTTTATGTCACTTTTTATTGTTTATTATACACACAGACACACACATGCACACACAAACACATATAAACTCCATGAAAACAGTCATCTTGTCTTGTTCACTGCTGTGTTCCCAGATCCTTGTACTTAGTATGTTTTCAATATATATCTCTGTTAAATGGATGGACAGTCAGGTGGGTGGACATATGAATGGAAAGATGGATGAGATGTACACACAAAGTTCCTGCACATATGTGAGAATGGATTATGTAAAATTTTATAAGAAATTTTTCATCAACGTATATCCAACACACAGAGAAGTACATGAGTGGATTAAATAAATGTTTATGGCCTTTCAAATTCTAATTACATGTGTCACTGCCGTTTTGTTGTTCTTGTCTCAATCTACTATTTCAAAATATCTGGAAACTTAGTATCCCCAAAGGCATTCATATTTTTCCTTGACTTCTCGCTCGAATCCCACCAAAATTGTACTGCACTGCTCCCTTGAGCCACCTTTATAACTGCCACTGATATTTGAAGTTATTGAAGCAATAAGATAGTGCTTTAGCCCCTAGACTTCGCACTGCCTAGGAGTCACACTGCTTTCCATGCAGAAGGAGGAAGGCCTTTCTCCTTGCTTTAGGGCACATGCTGTCCAACGGTTCCAAAGAGAAATGCTGGCAGCCAAGGGTATTACAGAGTTTAGTGGAATAGCTCCATTGAGTCAGAGCTCACAGGACACACACCCCCACATACACAAAAACAAAACCACAGAGAGGCTGGTCTTAGAAGCTGATTCAATTATAAAAACCAAGAACTGCATGCCAACTCACTTCCCAACAATCAAAGCCATGTCATTGTACCAGGAACCCTCTTTCTTCAAGATCAATGTTATTCCGTTAAGCTCCTTGATCCTTCCTGAAAATATACCTATGTAGGGGCTGCCCCACCGGTTCATCCAGGATGTCCAGAAATGCCCCAGCCTGAGCAGTGGTGAAGCTGAGAGTCAGCTGGAACTCCCTGCTACAGAGGCATCACTACCTGCCCAGCTTTGAAACATCGAGCCAAAGAATGCCTGACATGGATTCAGCTGCAGGCACTATATAAAACGAAATAATACTTAAGAAGTCCTACCATCTCATAAATCGATCTTGCCACCTCCACTGTCCATTCTTCACCAACCCCAAGTGGCAGCACCTGCTTTTCAAATCTGGAGGCAGAAGGTAGAGTGAGGTCCTGTCCTGGGCCTGTTTGCCTTGGGTCCATGCTCCCGCTTCCCTGCTCTGTTCTGTATCCCAGCAGGACTGCAGGCTATGCTTCCCAGGCTGCCACTGCAGCTTGCTTCTTGCTGGGTTTGGCCAATGTGCGGCACTGGTAAAAGACTGAAAAGCAGGAAGCGGGAGAAGCTGGGGCATTTTTCCCAGGCATCTCCGGCAGTGATTGTATTTCCTTCACGCCGTTAGTTCACTCTAGACAGGGCCACCATGACCCAGCTTGCTCAGGCGACTCCAGTTCCCCCAGGCTTGAATTGTACTCTCTCCTCCCTTTGTCCCTCTGGCCTCGGGATGGTAGGGGCTTCCTATGACTTTCATCTCTGGTTGCCTCACTGTCCCTTGCTTCTTGGCATCTCAGCCTTTCCTTGTTTTTGGAGACAGACTCTCGCTCTGCAGCCCAAGCTGGAGTGCAGTGGTGTGATCTCGGCTCACTGCAGCCTTCACTTCCCGAGTTCAAGTGATTCTCATGCCTCAGCCTCCGAAGTAGCTGGGATTACAGGTGCCCGCCACTAAGCTAGGCTAATTTT
The DNA here is from genome assembly GCF_000001405.40 of Homo sapiens. NCBI lineage: Eukaryota > Metazoa > Chordata > Mammalia > Primates > Hominidae > Homo > Homo sapiens. Next base: position 5,311,421 of record NC_000003.12, on the reverse strand, counting down.
TGTATTTTTAGTAGAGATGGGGTTTTGCCATGTTGGCCAGGCTGCTTTCAAACTCCTGGCCTCAAGTGATCTGCCTGCCTTGGCCTCCCAAGTGCTGGGATTACAGGCTGGAGCCACTGCACCTGGCCCGCATCTCAGCCTCCTTATTGCCTATGTATCCCATTGTCTCCATGAAAGGCCTTCCATATTAAATATTCAAGTAATTTTTGTTTCCTGGCTAAACCATGACTAGCGTCAATACCTAAGGGAATAAATCGTCACTCTTTACCCCATGATTGTGTAGATAGTTAGTAATAATGAGCTTTGATGACTTTATATTCACCTCTGATTCAATATATGGAATATGCAGCTTGAATAGTGAACTCTCTTGGTCCCTAGCAGTTTTCAGTTAGGGGATGGGCTATGTATTTAGGGGATTTATTTTAGCCAGACACTAAGATGCATCATTTTAAAATTCCTTTGCTTCCCCTGATGCAAACTTAATCTTGAGAGATGCTTTAAGAGTTTCCTAACTTGTCTAACTTGTCTCTCTGCTCCTACTCTTGACTTCTCAGTCATCTATCTTTGACATAGCAGCCCAAATAAGGCTTTTAAAAATGCACATTGGCCAGGCGCAGTGGCTCTTGCCTATAATCCCAGCATTTGCTAAGGAAAGCAGATTGCTTGAGCTCAGGAGTTCAAGACCAGCCTGGGCAACATAGCGACACCCTGTGTTCACAAAAAAATTAAAAAGTAGCCAAACATGATGGCGCATGGCTGTAGTCTCAGCTGCTTGGGAGGCTGAGGCAGGAGGATCACTTGAGCCTGCGAGTTCAAAGCTGCAGTAAGCCATGATTACACCACTGCACTCCAGCCTCCAGCAAGACCCTATCGCAAACAAACAACAATTAAAAAAACACATTGGATCATGTCACTCCCCTGCTTAAAGCCTTCCACCATGACTTCCCATTGCACTCGGAATAAAATCCAAACAGCGTCCCCTGTGCTCTACATGGCCCCCTATTATCTGCTGCTTGCCTATCCCTGCCTCCACATCTCCCACCTCTGCATCTCCCTGGCTCATTGGCTCCTTTCTGGTCATCACATTCCCAGTTCATTTGTGACCTGGGGACTTCATAATGTGCTGCCCTCTACTCCCAGAACTTCATATGGCTGTCTTGTCTCGCCATTCAAGTCCAACCTAAATTACCTCTGTACCCCTCAGTCATTTTCTATATTTTCAACCTTTTTTTCCCCCATAGCACCAGCAATCAACAATAATCAGCTGCTTCATTTATTGGTTTCCTCATGTGAGAGCACAACCCCTACTGTATCCCCTACTTATTCCCCTACTTATCATCTTATCTTATTCCCCGACTGTATCCCCAGCATTTAGAAGAGTTAAGACACATAGATATTTGTTGAATTAATGACCAAATCTGCATTTCTCAGATAAGAAGACTGAAGCCCACTCGTGTTTAGTAACATGTGTAAGGTCTCTCAGTCTAAGATCTGATGCTATACCTTTTTGGGCACTGCTATTCCAGACCTTCCAATGCTAGGGCCAAGAATTTACACAGAATAGACAAGAGATCAGCCCCTCCTTGAACTCTTCTGCGGAATATTTATTTAAGAATATACTGCCTCTTAGTATTTTATATCTCCATGAACTTTGGCCTTATGAAAACCAAGTAAATAAACAACCACTATTAGCTCTACATTGAATTTCTTTGTGAATATACTCATTGTTGAAATGTGATTTTCCTGGTGATAGATCCTCGTCTAAATGAGTATATGTTTGTATCTCTACACAAATGTTTATAGATATATACATCCTCTGCCCACTCTTTCACTTGCCCATGGCAATTGGCTCTTGAATTTTTATCTGGCGGAAAGACCCACCATGGTGCTATGTTCTGTTCAAAGATGTTTCCCTCGAGGTCCTGGTAGTTCTTGTTATAATTTGACATCAAAAAATAAATAACAAAGAATTACTCAGCAGGCTTAGGAATCCTATCCACCTCAGCTGAGCTCCAAATCATGCCAAGAATCTAAAAGGTCTGACAGAGCTCCCAGCATATTCTTCAGGGGAACTAAATGAAGTATACCACACACATGCCAGTGGCCAGGCTCACGGAGAGCAGCGCTGTCATGGCTCATCTGCCAAAGGCAGGAAAAAAGGGCTGGATGTAGATTTCAAGATCAAGTGCTGCTCATGGAACTGAACTCTGAAGATATTCCTGGGGGCAGCCAGGAGAACAGGTCTAAGGTAATCATATTTTCCCAGACTGCAAATTAGGACACACAAGCACAGAAGAGAATGTTTCTTTTTTGTTTTGGTGTATGTGTGTATTGATTCTATGTATCTAAAGAAGCCAGTAAAATTTAGAATTAACCTCAAATTGTTGGATTTTCCAGGACCTTGGAAAGGCTTGGTTTCTGGGAGATAAATGGAAAGTACATCTTTAAACAGGGTTGTCTAAAAAAAAAAAAAATGCTATTTTTGCATCCCTGTGCCTACCTTTAACTCAGTTCCTAAAAGAGACCCAAAGATTTACACTTTGATCCAGGTGCAGTGGCTCATGCCTGTAATCCCAGCACTTTGGGAGCCCGAGGCAAGTGGATCACCTGAGGTCAGGAGTTCAAGACCAGCCTGGCCAACATGACAAAACCCGAAACCCCATCTCTACTAAATACAAAAATTAGCTGGGTGTGGTGGCACGCACCTGTAATCCCAGATACTCAGGAGGCTGAGGCAGGAGAATTGCTTGAACCTGGGAGGTGGAGGTTGCAGTGAGCCGAGACTGAAACATCGCACTCAAGCCTGGGCAACAGGGCAAGACGCCATCTCAAAAAGAAAAAAAAAAAAAGGATTTCCACTTTGTGCAAAGAAACTTTCAATGGTTCAACTTGCCTGCAAACTACACTGGAAAAATTTTAGGCCAAAATTGAGGACTCTTTCTACCCTACAAACCTAACTTTATCCCCTTTTTCAAACTGTATTAGTCAGCATAGACTAGGCTTATGCTGCAGTAGCAAATAAACCTCAGATCACAGCCTATTCACTTGGTATATTTCTTGCTTAAACTACACATCCAGCAGAAATGCCCAGGGTGCCCTGCATCACAGATGTACTCAGGGACTCTGGCCGGCAAAGGTTCCGTGACCTCGTCGTGGCACATCTAGAACACAAATCTGCCCACTTGGTTGACACTGCAACGAAAGGGGCTGGAAAATTGTGGACAAGTTTTTCAATGCCTGATCCCAGAAGTGATGCGTGTCCCTTCAGGTCATGCTTCTTCGGCCTGTAGTAATCATGTGGCCTCGCCTACCTGCACGGAGGGCTGGGACATGGAGAAGGAGCGATGCAATATGGAGTGAGACTTCTTGGCAGCGCCCTGCAAACCCTCCAGCCTTCAAGAAGAATTGACTACTTATTTAAAAGCCCCTTAGAATCAGGCAGAACTAGGCTCAGCTCCCAGCTCCTCCACTTAATTCCTGGCATGACTTTTGACTATCTAAACCTTCTAAGCCACAGTTTCTTCGTGTATGGAATGGAGGAATAATAATAATACATATGCCATCAAGTTACTGTTAGAATTAAATGAGCAGATTTATGTAAAGTGCTCAGAACGGTGTCTGATACATAGTGAGTCCTCAATACATGGTATTTATGATGATGAAAATGAAGAACATGATGATGATGATGCTATTCTATTCCATAATCATAGCACCTTTAGGAATTTGTTGCCTGAGCCTTTCTGATGTCCATGTCCTCAGTACTAACATAGTATCTGGCCTGCAATAGATACTCAGAAATGTTAAACTTTTGTTGAACTTAGCTGACATGTTGACTTAGCTGACATCTCAATACTTCTTGAGTATTCTCCCCTCTAAGCCATAGTTCTTTTGCTCTTGCTATTTCCCTCAACCAGAATGCCCTGCTAACATCTCTCTGCCTTTTCTTTCTGTCTTTCTTTCTGTCTTTTTTGAGACAGGGTCTTGCTCTGTTCCCCAGGCTGGATGATACAATTATCACAGTTCACAGTAGCCTTGACCTCCCAGGCTCAAGTGATCCACCCCTCTCAGAATCCCAAGTAGCCGGGACTACAGGAGTACACTACTGCACCCAGCTAATTTTTGTTTTGTTTTGTTTTTGTAGAGATGTGTTTTTGCCATATTGCCCAGGCTGGTCTCGAACTCCTAGGCTCAAGCAATCCATCCACCTCAGCCTCCCAAAGTGCTGATATTACAGGCGTGAGCTACCGTGCCTGACTATCTCTCTACCTTTACAGTGCTGCTCCTCCTTCAGTCCTTCTCCACCACAAAGCTTCAACGAGTGACATTAGTCCTGCAGGCCCCTATTTCCCTTTCCTCAGAAGTTCTACTTCTTTTCTTGTCAATAATGGCCCTGATTATTTGACTATCTCACATTCAACATCTTGGTCCTCCAACAAGAATCTAGGCCTCTTAGAAGTAGAGACTGCATATTTTGGACTCCCAGTAACAATTCATAACAATAACAATAATAATAAATATTATTCTTTAGCATCTATAAGCCAATGACTATATGACAGCATTTCTCAAACTTTAGCATGCCTCAGAGTCACTGGGAGGGCTTATTAATACACAGATTGCTGGCCAGGTGCAGTGGCTCACGCCTGTAATCCTAGCACTTTGGGAGGCCAAAGCAGGTGGATTGCCTGAGGTCAGGAGTTCGAGACCAGCCTGGGCACCATGGTAAAACCCCGTGTACGCTAAAAATACAAAAAATTAGCCGGACACGGTGGTGTGTGCCTATAATCCCAGCTACTCGGGAGGCTGAGGCACAAGAATCGCTTGAATCTGGGAGGTGGAGGTTGCAGTGAGCTGAGATTGCGCCACTGCGCTCCAATCTGGGCGACAGAGCGAGGCTGCGTCTCAAAAAAAAAAAAAAACAACAACACACACACACACACACACACACACACACATACACACACAGATTGCTAGGCCCAACCCCCCAGAGTTACTGATTCAGTAGATCTGGGGTGGGACCTGAGAATCTGCATTTCTTTTTTTTTCTCCCCCTCCTATTGTAAGAATTTGCCTTTCTAAGGTGTTACTAGGTGATGCTGATGCTGATCAGCTGGTCCAGTGACTACACTTTGAGAACCACTGTTCTACACGATGTTTTACATTTGACATTATATTTAATCCTCACAACCAGCCTTTAAGGCAGACCATGCTTCCTCATAGAGAGTTGAAGAACAACTCTCTATGAAGTTGAAGAAGCTCAAATCGCACGGCCAGGTTCACCCTGCTGGGAAGCAGCATATGCCAGATTGTGACTCAACCCTGGCCAAACCTTCGCTCTAAACCATTAGGATAATTGTGGATATTGATTATATTGTAACATACAACAGTTTATTACTGATTTAAATAAAATGTCAACCTTCCCTTTTCATGAAAATTCGAATCAAATTCTAATGCCCAGGAACATTAGTGTATGCATCACTCTTAAGGAAGTTTGCTCCAGCTCAGAATAAATATGAATATCTTTCCCAATAACTGAAGCCCTAAACCAGAAGCAGAATCACAGTAGCAGGGAAGACACAATAGCCACAAGCACTGCCCCAGGCGAGTGACTGACTTCAGGCCCTATCCTCTTTGAGACGATGGCTGAGTCCTTCCTGTGGGACTCCCAACTTTCCTTGGTGTTTGCCTTTTATGCTCCAGTTGACATTTTGACTATTTCCTAAGACATTTGGTAAATACAGAAATAAACTGAAAGAGTACAGCACTTCCTCAGAGTAGCATCTGGATAGGTTTAAGCACCCAGAAAAATCCTGGGAGACCAAGCGTCTTTTCGTGTGACCATGTTGCCCTCTAGGGGCCGTTCTTTTCCAGACACTGTTGCTTCTCTGCCCAGTAAACTCTTCTGAAGTTCGAAGATGGGCAACCGCATACTCATGGGGCAGTGAGATTTGGGGGAGATCTGTCTGTTGAGAACAGGGAAAGAGAGACCAGAAGTGACCTGTATGACCCTCCACCACTTCCAAACCCCTTTTCCTACAGGAAGCCAAGAGTCCTAGAGTGTCTATCCTTGTCTAGTCTAATCATTGGGCCACACCTAGAAATCATGCTCAAGGACATGGCAGACAAAGGCAAATAGAGATGCATGAGACATGTGAAAAAGAATGATCAAGATGGTAAAAAAGACTCAAGACCAGGGAGCACATAGTTATAGGAATGGATAATATTTAGCCAGGAGAAGAGAAGACTTGGAACATTGCAAAGCCTCCAAATATCTCAGTGGTTGGCGGCATTTCCAAAATCCTGTTCTGCAAGAAGTGAACCAGTATTTTACGAAGAAGGTTCTGAGGACAAATACATTTAAGGAACACGGATTTCGTCAATGCACGACCTTTTAATACACTCTAAGCCTTGTCAGTCTCTAAGGGGACAAAGAGTACAGTGTGTTTGCCAAAGTTATTTGGCCAGAAATTCTTTTCCCCTAGGAATGCCTTGCAACTTGTCACGGGGCACTGGTTTTCATAGAAAACACTTGGGGGTCATTAACATCCACATTTGTCCAGGACAAAAGGAGGACGTTCGTTTTCCTAGATCCAAATTCAGACAGACTTGAAAATAACTGTGCTAAGGCTTGTTCTGCACAGCCCCAAGGTCTATAGTAATACTGTAAATTGGCATAACACTTTACAGGTTACAATGCACCCCTTTTACGTTCTCTCATTTCATCCTCACAGCAATTAGGAGAGCATGCCACCCTGCCACCCTGCATCCCTGGGTTTAATTGAACAAACTGAGGCTCAGATAAACTAAGTGACTTGTCAAAGGACATGTGACTAGTAAATAACAGACCTGAGCCTAGAATTAAAGTCATCTCACTCCCACTTGACTGGTTGTTTTTTTTTTGTTTGTTTTTTTTGTTTTTGTTTTTTTTGTTTTTGTTTTTTTTTGTTTTTGTCTCCTGAGCCAAAGGAAAGTTGAATCTAGCAAATTCCACATCCTGGAAATATTTAAGAACTGACCGAAGTCTACTTCATAGCCATAAAACCACTCCCTTTTTTAAGTTCTTAACTTCCTGTACTAAGTTCATCTCATTTATTTCTCCCAAAACAATTCTCTGAGGTATAAGTTATATTACACATGTTTTGGGATGGGGAAATTGAGGCTCAGGAAAGTCAAGTGACCTGCCCTAGGTCATATAGTCAGATCTCCTTGACTCTGAAGCTCTAAGTATCACAAGGAGATTCGTGATGTCTGAAGTGTAAGTGCTCTTGGAGAGTCTATATCTTACGATAGATTTTTCACTGCTGGTACCCCTGCCCCCATCCCCTCCTTCAGCCTTAACAGTAGGTTCATTTGTTCAAGCAAAATGCCGGCCAGAAACAAACAGTACCAATATCCCTAATTATTTCCCCAAGGTGGTTTGACAAGAGTGTGGTTTCCCATATAACTCTGTTTTTGTAATTTATGAACACATTAAGGATACTTTTTATTTTGGGGCTTGGATACAGAAGGAAGGACCTGCTTCTTCTAGGAAAATACTGACAGCAGCGAAACCCTTAATATTCATAGGTTTTGTTAAAAAGAGACATTCTGTCAACCCCTTCTCATTATAATCTGAGGTGTTAATTAGTTTTATAGTTTTGTTATTACCTATGCTTCTCACTTCTTCATCTGCTTTGTAAAAATTAAAATAAGGAGACCAAAAAACTTCCAAACATTTTAACAACAAAAGTTTGGGGAACAGGCAGAAAGACGTGATTAAAGATTACAGCCCGTTTGGATTTCGTCCTACAAAACAGAAGAAATTCTCATGACTTAAAGGTAACCTTGAAACAGTAACCACTGAAAATCATTTGAATGAGTAAGTCTTTATCCCTCATCTTTCCTTGTACAGGAATATCAAATGTGTCATTTCAAACAGCGGGTAGAGCTCCAAACTCAGAAACAGCACACCTAGCTAGGGATGCTTTGCTTAATCCCTGTGTTAGTTTTCCTAGGGCTACGATAACAAAATACCACAGACTGCGTGGCTTAAACAGAAGTGTATTTATTTCCTCACAATTCTGGAGGATAGATTGTCCAAGACCAAGGCGTCAGCAGGGTTAGTTTCTCCTGAGGTCTCTCTCCTTTGCTTGCAGATGGCCCTCTTCTCTTTGTCTTTCCAAGGTCTTACCTCTGTGGCTGTGTGCGAATCTTTTCTTATAAGGATACCAGTCATATTGCATTAGGGACCACCCATATTACTTCATTTCACCTTAATTATCTCTTCAAAGGCCCTAACTCCAAACACAGAAACATTCTGAGGCACCGGGGGTTAATACTTCAACATATGAATTTGGGGGAATATAATACAGCCCAAAAGAATCCCCAATATTTATTCAGCACCAACTATGTATGCGAGCCTGGAGATACAATGAAGAGCAAAATTGGCAAAGACCCTGCTCTCTTGGATCCTACATTTTGGTGGGTAATGTAACAAGAATCTCTGATAGGTACTTGGTGGGGGTAATAGTCCTAATCTTAGTCATAGACAAAGTTGTAGTCACAGTCAAAGCCATAGTTCAAGTCATGCGGGTAGTCTTTTATCAGTGTTATCTTTATTGGAAAGCCACGGCCCTGGGAGTGGGAGAGTTTCTCAGCTTTTCATTCACTACCAATGCCTAAAGGACAGGCTGATGATGACCTGGTTGTGCACCCAAGCTGGCACCTCTGAAAGCACACCTGGACCATGAAGATGTTTTCTATTTTGTTTCTTCTCTGAAGCAAGATGGACATTCCACCCTGACGCATGATTTCTGCTCTAAGGCTGTTTTTGCACGGGTGGGCTAGCGAGACCCTAGATATCAAGAAGTGTCTAAAATAGCAATGAATTGGGAGTCACTAATCCTACATCCAAATCCCACCTCTGATACTAATTTATTGACGTTGTGCAAGTTGCTTCACTTCAGGCCTGAATTTCCTTACTCATAAATAAGAAGATTAAATTATATCAATTGTTTCAAGCTGTGCTCTGAGACAAATGTATACACTGTCCATGTGCAGAAACTGCACAACGCCACACAGCAGTCCTGCTCTTCAGGAACCCAGGGGTTCCACAGATATAAGGTAGGGAAGGTGGAGGGATGGGAAGCCAATCTGCTGCCTCCACTTCAATCACAGCAGTTCTACTTTTTATCCTTCTATCTTGCCCTTCTGCATAACATTTTGTGAAGTCTTTGAAGCTCAAAGATTCTGAAAACCATTAATGACTCAAAGGCTGATTCCATTGCTAATATCCTGTGATGATGACTCTATGTCCTGTAAAAAGAACTCCCGGGGATGGGGCATTCCCAGCAGCCACTCTGGGTTTAGGGCCAGAGACTGTGCTTCCTTCTCACTAGACCCCACTCTCTCTGGGATGGGTGACCTGATTGTATTCAGGAGGTTAGAAAGTGTGTCACATTGCCCAGAGACGTCAGGGGTGGGGGCAGGGAATATCGCACTCCTGTCTAGGAAAATTTCATTCCATTTGGTGGCTTAGGCTTTTCAAGCAGTTATAGAATCCCCCCTCATTAAGCCTTCTAAATTTATTCCTCTTGTTCATCACTCAGAGCCGCATGACACTTGGTGCTGTCACAGCCTGTCGGAATTGAGGAATCCCACGTTGCTGTTTATTTTTAGCTTCACTTGCTTACATTTTAATTTCAGACTCTGCAGGGAGTTTTCTCTCCTTCACAGTCTTAAATTGGTAAGAAGATCCGGGTCTTTAGGCACAAGGTTTTAAGTCTACCAGTGTCTCTGAGTGAGACCCTGTGGTTGATACATGACAACACCTCTGTGTGATTCAGTAAATGTTTATTAAGCACATACTGTTTACTATGTGCAAGTCCTGTTCTAGAACTCTTAGAGATTTTGAGAATGAATCTGACATGGGTCCTGCCTTTAAGAGCTCAAAAGCAAAGATGGTCGGGTACAATGGCCCATGCCTGTAATCCCAACACTTTGGGAGGCTGAGGCAGGTGGATCACTTGAACTCAGGAGTTCAAGACCGGCCTGGGCAACATGGCAAAACCTGTCTCTACAAAAAATACAAAAATTAGCCAGATATGATGGTGCACGCCTGTAGTCCCAGCTACTTGGGAGGCTGAGGTGGGAAGATCGCATGAGCCTGAGAGGTTGAGGCTGCAGTGAGCCAAGATCACACTACTGCACTCCAGCCTGGGCGACAGAGCCGGACCTTGTCTCAAAAGAAAAAAAAAAAGAGCAAAGGTAGGAGTGTGCGGAGCAGGGAGTGATGGGGGAACTCAATGGTCCTCACCCCAGTGAAGTTGGAAAACTCTCCTCTATAGCCTGTAAGAATGTGGTCCATGGTAGACAATCTTCCTGGAGGATAATCAGTGACACCGAACAGAACAGCATGGCCTAGTACTCCAGGAAGACATGTAATCTGGGGCCACTACATTCAGAATCCCTGGGGTTCTCATTTATCAGGGAGCCTGAGGCAGAAATTATCTCCATGCCTTTTTCGCAAACACCCAAATTAAGATTCCCTCACCTCTGCCAGACTCTCGCTGTACACAAGAGGCAGCCATCCCAGGCTTTGACAGAATTATCACTTAGGTGACTGCGCAGAAGAGTTTAATATAGCAGCTCTGAGACTGCTCTCCTTAGGAAGACCCGCTTATAAAGTCAGCCCTTACCTAGTGTCTGTGTAGGAACTTGGATTTCAGGAAGGTTCCCACCATCCCCTACCTGATCAGAGTGGCTCATTGTGCCTAAATATAAATGGTGTGTACAAACAATGTGGTATATGCTGAACACCTCCTTTCCTTCTGGGAGCCTGGAATTTTGGTATGTTCTCAGCTACCCATGACCAGTCCCCTATAAAAAGCTCACCGAGTCTCTGGTGAGCTTCCCTGATAGACAATGTTTTACGTGCATTGTCACAATTCAGTACTGGAGAAATTAAGTATGGCCTGTAAGACTCCACTGGGAGAGGACTCTCGGCAGCTGATGCCTGGCCCCCTACAGCCCTCACTCCATGCATCTTTTCCTCACACTGATGCTGCTTCCTATCCTTTCACCAAAATAAATCTTAGCTGTGAGTACAATTGTATGCCAAGTCCTATGAGTCTTCCTAGCAAATCAACAAAACTGAGAGTGGTCTTGGGGACCTCCTGACACAGTAACCTTTCCCAAAAATCTCAAAATGCAATGATTGCTCTGAACCTGAAATGTTGCCTAGAAATAGTCTCATCCCCCACATTCTCTTTTGTGGCACAATCAGGATCTGCCTGGCTCCTGCCCTGGTATCCCAGACCTTCCCATGAATGGGGTCACTTATTCATCATGAGAAGCCTCAGTTTTCCTAGGGCTATGACAACAAAATACCACAGACTGCGTGGCTTAAACAACAGAAATGTATTTATTTCCTCACTATTCTGGAGGATAGATTGTCCAAGATCAAGGCATCAGCAGGGTTAGTTTCTCCTGGGGTCTCTCTCCTTGGCTTGCTTAGGCTTGGCTTAGGCTACTCCTAAAATCTGAAGCCCATTCTTTCTGAGACAGCCAAGTCTAAAGGGGTCCCCAGAGAAACTCCGACCAGCCTACACACCAGGAGAACAGGGTGGAGCCACAGAAGTTCACACCCTTTGCAGCGGGAAGGAGCCTGGCCTCTCTTGTTGGGGATGGAAACTGGGATTCAATCTGTCAGATGGAAACCAGCTAGCAGGACTCTTGCTTTGCTGAAAGTCCCTGTTTCCCTTTTTTTTTCCTTTTCACCAATAAATTCCATTTTTCTCACCCTTCAAATTGTCTGAGAGCCTAATCTCTCATGGCCATGTGACAAGAACCCGACTTTTAGCTGAACTAAGGAGAAAGTCCTACAACATTTCCTTGACCAGGGGAATTTTTTAATTCCTAGTTCAAGCCATCACAAGATTCAGCATGAAGCTCTTCTTTCTGCTAATCCCCCTCAGACCTTATAGGCCAGCCTTATTCCAAAAACCAAGGTTCTACCCTGTCAGGTTGATTTTATCACTGAACCTCTGCCGTGATAATATCCCTAATCCCTCTACAGACCTGCTTGCTTTGATCTTTCCGCTGATCAGCACCACCAGCTCACTCATCAGGCCTTTGATGTCTCTATATTGCAAACGCATTTCACTAGACTTGGAAGCAGAAAAGCAAAATCAGTAGAAACACAGAGTAACAAAGTTGTCAGGAACACATGTAACTTCACACATCTGCACTGGCCTTAAATTATTGATTTGGTTAGGTTATTATTCACACATTTTAGCTTGAGTACTTATGCTGTTCTTGCTGGGTTTTATGGCTCAGGGAATATATTTAGAATTAAAACATCCTGTCCCAGAACACTAAAATTCCTAAAACTAAAAATGTAGAAGTTAGCATATGATAAGAATCGTTGGGAATTGAGATGCAGTGAAGACCATAGACTTTGGTCTTCAGAGCTCCCTTTATTCTGTATTACATCAGAATTGTCAATCATCCATGGGGGGAAAAAGCCCAGCTGATTTATCTAGGACCTAACCAAAAAGTTGTGAAAATTCTATTTTCTTTATGCTCTATGATAAATGTGATAGAGAATAAAGGGAGAATAGGAATCATAAGAAAAGATAGAAAGGTAGGTACAGAGGTTGCAGTGTTGGCAGAATCGTGACCAGCCCTAAGCATATGATATGTATGAACTGATGGAGCTTGAGAGCTCTTTGAATGACAAAAGTGGCTTCTAAATAGCAAGAGAACAGAGATCGTTTCTTTTCACTTATGAATCATCACTACCTAGACTTCTACTTCCTCATTTTGAGTGTTCAGTTATAGCACTTGAGCGAGATTTTCTTTGTCTTTGCAACTAATCCTATAACTTAAATAGTCTATTACCAGGTAGTGGTAATCTACCACAGACATGACATCAAAGCTCACCTCTTATTTAGGACATGAGATTACATGTTAGCTCTTTGTTAAGTCCATCTGCTTTGACATGCAATTAAATGGATATAGATATATGTATATATATTCAAATGCATATTCAAATATACATTTCATACATGCATCAAATTTTGATGAAGCATCTATTCAACTACTATTTATAAAGCAACTCCAAAGTTAATATACTCTAACGTATATGTTGGTAAGTTTTCTTTATGCTCTTGCTCTTTCATTAAAACATTCCTTTTAACTCACCCTGATCCACAGCCCAGAGTGGGAACCTCAGACCCCTACACATCACTGGAGGCTTGAAGATAGCTTCAAGAACACGAGAGCTCCTTCTCTTTGCTCCTGGTTTGCACTACCAAGTCTCATTTACAAGTGAACTTTTCACCTTTCTAAGCAGTTTGAGTTCATCAAAGGAAAATCCCTACTTTGTAGTTCCAGCACACATCTGAGCAGCAGCCAGAAGGTTCTTCCCACTCCCTCCAGCTCTCTCCTATAATACACACTAGGGTTTTCCCTCTGGAGCTGAAATAAAACAGCTCTCTCTTTACTCCAGCTCTTCTTTATCCAAATCAGGAAGTAGTGTTGCTGCATCTTATTATTTTCATTGCAGCTAGCCCTTATTCCAGTCCCAGTATCTTCTCCATTTCCCTTCCTCAAAAGGTGGTTAAACTGGAACATAATACTGAAGTGAGTTATCAGCTCAGGGCCTTTGGTTTAATTTAAATCCTATTTTAAATACAAAATACTTCAATTAATGGTAACGAATCCCTTTAAAAAGAATCAAGGCTGGGCAGCATGGTGGCTGACACCTGTAATCCCAGCACTTTGGGAAGCCGAGGTGGGCACACATGTAATTCCAGCTACCCGGGAGGCTGAGACATGAGAATCCCTTGAACCTGGGGGATGGAGGTTGCAGTGAGCCAAGTTTACACCACTGCACTCCAGCCTGGGCGACAGAGCAAGACTATCTCAAAAAACAAAAAACAAAAATTGTTTTAATATAAATATTTCTAATGAATAAACTTGTAGTTGAACTTGAACTTTGGATTACACAGAGCTGGGCTTGAATGAGAGATATTCTTTCTGAGCTCTGTGGCTTTGGCAAGTCACTTCACATCTCTCAGCCTTGGTTTCCATGTCTATAAAATAGGGAGAGAATATTGACCTTGAACTGTGAGACTGAAATTAAAATAGCATGAAAAAAATGAGTAGCACATGACTGTGCCCATGATGAGCACATAAAACTGGTAGTTGCCAGTATTATTATCATCCCACACTGTGTCTAATGCATCAGAATTTTGGATAAAAGGAAATGGTTTCCAACGGGAACATCTGGGTTCCAGTTCTGCTTTATCCAAGCATCAATCACAGGGCCTCAAATAAATCTAGGATGATCAAACATCCCCATTTGCCATGGATAGTCCCATTGGGTACCTGTTGTCTGGGAGTAATTCTTTATAGCATCTTCTTTCACTCTCAAAAAGATCCTGTTTTGGCCATTACACTAGTAAAACACGGTTAATTTTTTAATTAGGTAATTAGTTATAGCTTTGTGCTCCAATATCCTGTAAAACGAGGAAAATACCCATCCAATCTATCTCACTGATTTATGAGGAAGAGCCTAAAAGTGTTATTTTTATCACAAGGTCTATCAAGGAAAGTTCACGTTTTATGATAACGAATGAGAATTTGCACTGTCACATAAAAGGATATAAGCTCCTTTTATCCAATTCATTTCTTACATTTTTTTCTTGTAGCTACAAAGTCTTCACACATTTTGTGATGAACACAACTGTAACTCAAAATCACAAAACTCTGTAGCCTTTCTTTTAAAAACCAACTATAAAGGACAGAATTTTCACACCCTAAGGCCTCTTAGCTCATAGCACACTCCCCACCACTTCCTGGTCTGTTCTCAGGTTAGACATTGCTAATCAATCACAAAGAATTTACTGCAGACTCTTTCTCTGGGTACTTTGAGCAACCATTATGAGTGAACTAGAGTTGGCATATGAAACAAATGTTTCCCTTTCTGATTTGCCTAACATGATCATTTTACAGTCAGGGTCACTGGGGACACTGAAAGAGAAATGAGCCACGACCCCGACAGGAGTGACTCTGAGAGTAATACCCAGGCTGGCTTTTTC
Source organism: Homo sapiens (assembly GCF_000001405.40). Taxonomy (NCBI): domain Eukaryota; kingdom Metazoa; phylum Chordata; class Mammalia; order Primates; family Hominidae; genus Homo; species Homo sapiens. The sequence continues at coordinate 5,296,341 of NC_000003.12, read as the reverse complement.
CCTTGTATCATTTTATCATACCGACAAGTGACTGCCCTTAGAGGTCCTTGCAGATCAAATCAAAGCAGACAAATTTACATTTTGAGGCCAATAGCTAGTCTTCTAAGAGACTGCTAAATACTATCTCCTAAAAAATATGATAGTAAAATAATGAGTCCCCTTTACCTATTTATTCACTCACAGTCAAAATTGAGGTATTTACCATGGCCTTCAAGGAGCTATATAATGTGACCTCCATTCCTTCTCCAATATCATCTCCTCCTACTCTTTACTCTGGCCACACTGAGTTCCTTGGGAGCTTCTTCATACATGCTTGGCATGCTTCTATCTTAGGGCCTTTGCACTGGCTGTTCCCTCTGCCTGGAATGCTCCTCCCCAATTACCTGCATGATCCTCTCCCTTTCCTCCTTCAATAATAATTTCAAGATGACTCAAATGTCACCTCACTGGGGTCCATCCTGACCACCTTGTGTAAAATGGCAACCAACGCCCACCCCATTGGCACATCCAATCACCTTGGTCTGCCCCATGCTTCCCCAAATCCCTTATCACCTTCTAACCTCCTATATCGTTTACATACCATGTTTATATTATTGATTGCCTGTTTCCTGCAAATAGAATGTTAACTCTAGGAAGGTACATGCATGCATATGTACATGCACACTCACATGTGTGTGTGTTCTCACTACTGTACTCTCAGCATCTAGACTAGTAGTTGACATATTCTACCATTCAATACATTTTGAATGTCATAGTTACAAAGATGTAAGATGTACCTACAGAGATATGGAAGAGAATCTGTTTGTGATGGTTTAGTCATGCAAACCATCAAGTAATTTTCTAATGTATTTGCCTGGGGAGTTTCAGGAATTCCACAATACTGACTGTCAGTCAGGAACCCATCAGCAGAAAAGAAATCTCCGTGCATTTACCTTAAAAACAAAGCCTCAGGTAATTAGAAATAAATGGAAAGATATGTATGCATCTTTGTGGTCACATAAAGTCAAGGGTGAGAGTACCCAACAGACAGAGGCCATAAATAACCCACAATTTGTGAATTTAAGATAGGCAAGAAGCTGACTGGCCAGCTGTTTTGAGAGTATTTGTTTCTAGAATGTGATTGTGTCTATACTGGGTTTTTAAAGGTACATTAGAGTCACTTTAGAAAATAAGATGTCATCCTTAACTGTCTTTGATTCCTCTAAATGGCAAAACAGCTAAACTGCTTGTATCCACACAGCCTAATACTTGATTTTAATCTGTTTTTTTATAGATCTAAACTTACAACTCTAGCAAAGCTGAAAGAAGCTTAAGGGTAGGAACTTAAAGGGTTCTTACCTTTCCACAAACAGTAGAAGCTCAAGGGTAGTAAATCATCCAGCCCCACTCCTCGCTTGTCCTGTCCCCTCCAATACAGCCCCTTAGTCCTAGGCACACGTTAGATTATACCAAACATCAACACTGCTTACTGAAGACTTGTTTCCTCCCTGTTCATGTATCAAAGAGTCACAAATATTTCTAAAGGACTTTCTTTATTAGCAAACATAGATAAAAGAACTGTGCTAAGAGGGACACAAAATGAAAAGGCTAAGATCCCATTTGGGGGAAGCTCTTGATGAAGCTAGGAATTTAGACATGGGAGCAAGTAAGTATTCAACAATGCAATGCATGCCATGGCTATGAGATGCTCTAGCAACACCTGGAGTAGAGTAGCCCGGAGTTCCTGGGAAGGTTTCGGAAGGGAAAGGACAGAGGAGAAGGTGGGTAACAGAAATAAGGCTAAATTGGGTAACATCCTTGCAATTCCTAGACTGTTGCTCACTTCTAACCCAGAATGTCTCGTCATTTCTAACTGAATCATGGAGAGAAAATGTAGAGATCTAATAGCACTGCAAAGAGAACCTCCCTGCACTGGCTGACTCTCTCCCTCAGAAAAATGAGAATTTTCTGGGCTACCGAAGCATTTCCAAGATTTCCTTTTTTTTTTTTTTTTTTTTTTTTTTTCTCACTCAGTCGCCCAGTGCAGTGGTGCCATCTCAGCTCACTGCAACTTCCGCCTCCCGGGTTCAAGTGATCTCCTGCCTCAGAATCCCGAGTCGCTGGAATTACAGGCACCTGCCACCACGCCCAGGTAGTTTTTGTATTTTTAGTGGAGACGGTTTTCACCATTTTGGCCAGGCTGCTCTCGAACTCCTGACCTCAGGTGGTCCACCCACCTTCACCTCCCAAAGTGCTGGGATTACAGGCGTGAGCCACCGTGCCCGGCCAGTCCCAGGATTTCTTAACAGCCGTAACAGAGAGAAATTAATGGACTAAAATGAAAAGGAAAATAGGGAGACACCCAAGCCCTCCTTCTTCTTCCATAAGTCTATTGTACTGAATCATTTAGCCTTTTATTAAATTAACAAGTAGCAATGAAGCACCAACCAAGTGCCAGGTAGAAGAAACAGTGATAATCAAGACCCATGGGATCCTTAACATCAGAGAGCTTTCATTCAATTCCCAAAATAATCAAGAATTTGATAATTTGCCTTCACAGCCTATAAAGAGGCTTGAGTTTTTAAGAAGTGGTAATGTGTTACCTGGAAAATTCCCTCCAGCTGGGTGAATCTATTTAGATCTCAGCTCATGACTCCCCAAGATCCCCAATTGCTACTGTACATGGTACTGGAAAGTTCCATGCTCCCATGATCGAATGATATTCCACCTCATACCTATGCAAACCTAGCTTGGTAAAGCCAAACACCAGTCCCTGCCTTCACCTCCTCAATCTAAACACGATTCAAATAAAATGAGGACTGTCTTAGATAACTACTGAACAGAACACCTGACTATATATGGCCTTAGGAAGAAATAGCTTCAAATAAATTTAGAAATCATCCAGCCCCACTCCTTCATTTTACAGATGAGAAAACAGGGAGCCACAGTGGGAACATAAATGACTCAAGCTAAGGAAGCTGTTAAGAAAGCTCAGATTTCTTTTTTTTTTTTTTTTTTTTAACATTGGCAAGGTAGCTCGTTTTCACTTCTACCCCATCCTCCCTCAGGCTCCAATCCAACCTAACTACCTTTAAAAAGTTGTTTAACAAGTCAGAGCTACATCTGATATTCCTATTAAAGCCTCAAATAGAATAATTATTTCTAGCTTTGGTTGGCGCTTTGCTATACTTTCTGCAACAGAAATAATTGCATTTTGTCAAGCAAACCTCTACACCATCCCAAAAAGCAAAGACCAGCGACCTGCAGCGAGCCAGCACACTCACAGGAAGTCCCTCATCAAAGCCTAAGGCACACACAATGCATTTGAAGAATCCCAAATTGCAAATTAAACTGGCAAACTGAGTCCAACTTCCAACATCAATGAAACGTCCATACATTTTATCACCATGTAATTGCTTTTCAGGTGACTTTTCCTTAGTGCCTCTGGTTTCTGAGTAAAAATTTTAATTTCAAGGAAGTGCTATAATTTATTGTACCTGTTCTTTTTGTATTATAAAAGCCAGTGAAATCTCTCTCCAGGTAAACGAGCTCGTGTTTCAGTGATCTATTGTGCCCTCTGTATCGCGTTTACGCACTCGACCTTAATCAGTTCATAATTAGAAGGTAAAGAGAATGGTGGTGTTTATAAATAGAATTTGAAATGGAAGATGAAGTGGACACAAATAGATCTGTCTGGAACTTTCAGCCCTGGCCACTTTCATCTATCAGAAAAATAATGAAGGCACCAAAATAATCCATGCCTGTGGCAGAGAAGGAAAGCTTCTATTTAGATCGTGACAAGAAGAGGCACTATGTAATGTAGGACACAAAGAGATAGTTAATCCTAGGCTTGAAGGCAGGGAGTGGTCTACTAATAAAATCATCACATTCAGGGGAGAAAGATCACAGAAAGGTGATGATGGATGAATGCCTAAATTTTTTTAAGAGACAGAGTCTTGCCCAGACTGGAGTATATTGGTACAATCATAGCTCACTACAGCCTCAAACTCCTGGGCTTAAACAATCCTCCCGCCTTAGCCTCCCAAGTAGCTGGGACTGCAGGTGCACACCACAATGCCCAGCTACAAGTCTGTTTATTTTTTGTAGAGATGGGGACTCACTATGTTGTTCAGGCTTGTCTTGAACTCCTGGCCTCAAATGATCTGCCCACCTTGGTCTCCCAAAACATGAGGATTACAGGTGTGACCCACTGAGCCCAGCCTGAATGCCTAAATTCTAAAGTTCTGTTCTAGTCTGTGCTCCCTATCGCATGAACTTCTAGGTAAGCCAGAAGTTCACTGCTGTGTACAACACACAGACAAAATTAGTCATAGGGTATCTTCCATGCGTTTGGAACCATGCTGGGCATTGTGATATTAGAGGTGAAGAAAATAGACAAGGTCCCTGCCCTCATGAAGTTGACATTCTAGTGAGAGAGGCATCCAATGAATAAGTAGATAAGTAAGTAAATAAAGGGAATTACAGATTATGGTAAGTGTTATAAGAGGAAGAGTTAGAATGATGGGAGATAGAATAAGTGGGCAGGAAGTGAAGGGAAGCCGCCAATAAACAGGGACAACCTCTTGGAGGAGGTGGTATTTGAGCTAAGACCTGAAGGATGAGATAAGCTTGTGAGATAGGCCACAAGCACCATTCCTGTTAAATGTTAAAGGGGGTCCACTGTGCTTATTAAGTTCCTAGGACCATACTCAGTCTCAACTTCTAAAACTTTCCACCAGAGATCCTCTATGTTCACAGTTTCTCACATTGAGATGCACTGGTACAGATTTAGCTAAATGGCACTTATCATAAGCCAGGCACAGTTCCCAAACACTTAAGGTATATTCATACTTTGAATCCTCACCATAACACTTAGAGGTGGGTATGTCAATATCCCCACTTTATAGAAAAAAAAACTGAGGCACCCAGATCTAGACGACTTGCCCATGAACAGACATCTAATAAATAAGATACATTGCTGGAGTCTATCCTTTTAACACTGTACCATGCCACCTCTCAAGGCAATGTGTCAGCACAATTTAAAAGGCACAAGAGTAGGAGTTAGACAGACACCTCTTACAAGTTTACAATGTGATCTGGAGCAGGTCAGCCCATCTTGTGCTTAGATTTCTCATTCGTAAAGTAACCGTAATAGAAACTAGCTTCAAATACCTCAAACATGATCACCAGCTTGCAAGCTCCTTGACAAGCTGAAATCCCTTTTTGATTATAAGGTAGTACCAACACTGTTATTTTCAAGCTGGATACTAGCACAAGCCCTAAAGAGCCTCAAGGGGGCTTAATGGAGGATCACTGCAATGCCTGGTAAGAATAGCTGTTTCTTTTGACATCTCTATTCTCTGACCCTCAGAAAGCACAGAGAAACAGATGAAATACCTACTGACTCAATCGATCTTTCAAAATTTTGGACACAGGGAAACATCAAGGCCTAAAGCCTTTTCCACCCCCATGTAACCAGAAGTCCCAAATCTGTTCATTTTTATCTCACCCAGGCCTCTATATCCACATGGCCTCTTGCAAATAGCTGAGCTGTGGCCAGCTTTATGCAAAATAGTGACAAGAGGTAAATGTTTAGCATCTTTCCATCCTCCTGTCAAGAACCCTGATGTTCTCTCTTTTGCTTATTATCTGCTTCTACTCCTGTAACTTTCTGTACACTGCCTGCCTCCTTAGCAAAGACTTCAAGCATTTGCATTCTCTGTTATGAAAACTCATCTTCCTGTGTCCCATGCCTTCAAGCAAGGTCCACTGAGGTAATTAACAACTTTGTCTAATGAGAAGACACCATCATCTTATTATATCCATATAGACCTTTATAGTGTGCAAAGTCTGTACAGGCATGATCTAATTTAACCATCACGATGGTCATCTGCACTGAATATTGCCATTCCCATTTCACAACTGCAGAAATTGAAACTCATTGAGATGAAGCCATTTGCTTAAAATCACTCAGCTTGTTTGTAGCAAAGCTAGAGGTTGAACCAGGTCTTCATATTCCATATACAGAGTGCCTTCCATTCCATTACAACAACCACCAGCCACATTTGTATTAATAAGTGTTACTTCCCAAAGCAGGAGTTTCTAAGATAATATCTATGAACATCTGAAAGCATGACAAAACATTAAATGCTTTTTAATCAGACATTTTGGGAAGGAAAGGGCCAAGGCTTTAATACTCATCAGATTGTTAAAGCCACTCATACCCAAATAGTTAAGAAGCACTGCTAATATAAGTGATGAGTTGTTCACTCCTGTTTTTCCAGCCTAGGAAGGTAATTACTCTTATTAACATTCCAAAGAGGTCAATTTCCTCTAGTCATCTTTACCCATGTTCTATTGTACAATTCCATGCTTAAAATGGAAAAATAGGAGTACAATTACTTTTAATCCTATTTGAAAAATACTTTCCATTTATTAATCATCTTTTTTTTTTTACTGTATTCTAAGGTTAGGAGAAGGCAGGGATCAAATAGAACAAATCTAAGAGGGGTACCAGAGCTTCACTTATATTCCCAGTGGATGTTTCTTCCCTCTTATCACCAACCTCCTCTTGAGGCCTTAAGCTAGTGGTTTGTAATCTTGGCTATAAGGAATGTAGGGATGGTGCTCCCCATTGGAGTTAAATGGGGTAGAGGAGGCATAAAAAGTTTGTTAGAGTTCTCTAGACAAACAGAACCAATAAGATGTATATAAAGATAGAGGAAGAGAGAGAGAGAGAGGGAGAGAGAGAGACAGAGAGAGAGATTTAAGGAATTGGCCCACATGAATATAGAGGCTGGCAAGTCCAAAAACTGCAGGGAGGGACAGCAGGTTGGAAACCCAGAGAAGAGCCAGATTTGCAGTTTAAGTCAGAAGGCCGTCTACTACAAAATTCCTTCTTGCTCAGGGAATGTCAGTCAGTCTCTGTTCTGTTCAGGCCTCCAGCTAACTGGATGAAGCCTACCCACATTAAGGAGGCCAATCTGCTTTACTCAGTCTACCTACTTAAATGTTAATCTTACTCAAAAACAGAATAATGTTTGACCAAATATCTGGACATTGTGGCCCAGTCAAGTTGAGGAACAAAATTAATCATTGCAGATGAATTCTGTCCACTAACTCCCATCCCCACCTAAGCCAGGGCAGTACAATATTTATCATTTTTTATGAAGCTGAAGATTTTGTTTGCAATATAGGTTCTGCTACAGAATGGTAATAAAAGTTTTGATCTACTACCTTAATCCAAAGTAGCAATGAAAGTAGAAATTCTAGCTCTGCACACATGGGTGATATTTGGTGTCCTGATGCTTTTAGGTGCAAAGTAGCCTGCTTAAATAGTTGACCCACATCCTCTCTTAACTCCCTCCCATTAGATCTCTAGAGTTCAGATGGGGAAATATTTTCTACGCACAAATTTGATAATGTCTATCCCCCCTCTGGCCATGGCTTTTTCTTTGATCTAAAGATAGCAATAGTGTTTAATATTCTTTCATAAATAGATGAAAGGCACGGATGGCTTAACTTCTACCTCTTCCCAAAACCTCATCTCATGTACTAGCCAGAGCAATCAGATAAGAGAAAGAAAAAAAGGGTACCCAAATCAATGAAGAGTAAGTCAAACTGTAACTATTCACTGATGATATGATCATATACCTAGAAAACCCTAAAGACTCATCCAAAAAGCTCCTAGATTTGATACATGAATTCAGTAAAGTTTCAGGATACAAAATCAATGTACACAAATCAGTAGCGCTGCTATACACCAATAACAACCAAGCTGAAAAACAAATGAAGAACTCAATCCCTTTTAAAACAGCTGCAAAAAATACAATAAAATATACCTAACCAAGGAGGTGAAAGATTTCCACAAGGAAAACTACAAAATACTGCTGAAAGAAATCATGGATTACACAAACAAATGAAAACACAGTCCATGCTCATGGATGAGTAGAATCAACATTGTGAAAATGACCATACTGACAAAAGCAATCTATAGATTCAGTACAGTTCCCAACAAAATACCATCATCATTCTTCACAGAACTAGAAAAAAAACCCTAAAATTCATACGGCACCAAAAAACAGCCTTCATAGCCAAAGCAAGACTAAGCAAAACAACAAATCTGGAGGCATCACATTACTCAACTTTAAACTATATTACAAGGCTATAGTTACCAAAACAGCATGGCACTGGTATAAAATGGGCATGTAAAGCAATGGAACGGAATAGAAAACCTAGTACTAAAGCCAAATAGTTATACAGCCAACTGATCTTCAACAAAGTAAATAATAACATAAAGTGGGGAAAGGACATCCTATTCATCAAATGGTGCTGGGATAATTGGCAAGCCACATGTAGAAGAATGAAAACTGGATCCTCATCTCTCACCTTAAACAAAAATCAACTCAAGATGGATCAAAGACTTAAATCTAAGATCTGAAACCATACTAGAAGATAACATTGGAAAAAAACTCTTCTAGACACTGGCTCAGGCAAAGAGTTCATGAGCAGGAACCCAAAAGCAAATGCAACAAAAACAAAAATAAATAGATGGGACCTAATTAAACTAAAAAGCTTCTGCACAGGAAAAGAAATAACCAGCAGAGTAAACAGAAAACCCACAGAGTGGGAGAAAATATTTGCAAACTATGCATCTGTCAAAGGACTCATATCCAGAATCTACAAGGAACTCAAACAAATCAGCAAGAAAAAAAAATAATCCCATCAAAAAGTAAGCAAATGACATGAATGGATAATTCTCAAAATAAGATATACAAATGGCCAACAAACATAAAAAATGCTCAACATCATCAATTATCAGGGAAACGAAAAATTAAAGCCACAGTGAGATACCACCTTACTCCTGCAAGAATGGCTATAATTTAAAAATCAACAAATAACAGATGTTGACATGGATGTGGTGAAAAGAGAGCACTTTTACACTGCTGGGGGGAATGGAAACTGGTACGACCACTATGGAAAACAGTATGGAGATTCCTTAAAGAACTAAAAGCAGGCCGAGCACTGTGGCTCAAGCCTGTAATTCCAGCACTTTGGGAGGCCAAGGAGGGCAGATCACGAGGTCAAGAGATCGAGACCATCCTGGCTAACACGGTGAAACCCTGTCTCTACTAAAAATACAAAAAAATTAGCCAGGTGTGGTGGCAGACACCTGTAGTCCCAGCTACTTGGGAGGCTGAGGCAGGAGAATGGCGTGAACCCGGGAGGCAGAGCTTGCAGTGAGCTGAGATCGTGCCACTGCACTCCAGCCTGGGTGACAGAGCGAGACTCTGTCTCAAAGAAAAAAAAAAGAACTAAAAGCAGAACTACCATTCTAGCCAGCAATCCCATTACTGGGTATCTACCCAGGAAAATAAGTCATTATATGAAAAAGACACCTGCACATGCATGTTTATAGCAGCATATATTGCAAAATATGTGAAACCAGCCTAAATGCCCATTAACCAACGAGTGGATATCCCTCCCCAAGTTGATAATTTTAAATCCAAATTGTCATTAAAAAGGGCTTTTTCAGAAACTCCTCTTCTAAATTTAATCTCTGTTTCTCTGTTTAATCTACCACTTAAATATCTCAGTAAGCACTGCCCCATTTTCAAACAATCTTCAAATGTCATGCCCCATTTTCCCAGAGTTGCTTTTCTTTACTAATAATGGAGCAGATTCCACAATGACACAGAAGCAAAATGAATCTTTTGTCCTCACTTTGGAAAATAATCTCATTAATGAAATCTATAGTATTGAATTATGCACAAGCATATGATTTCAAGGCATCTACCATACTCACTCTCAGATTTAAAATATCTCCTCTTGAGAAGTAATGTTTCTCTATTTCCAAAATAAGAAGACAGTGTCTGGTAATAGCAGCAGTGACATCAGCAAGATGGTAGAGTAGGAGATCCCAGCCTTCATTCCCCACCCCACACACACACACACACACACAAAGCAAAACAAAATTAGATAGCTATCAATGAACAAAAATAGTTGAGAGAGCTCAAGTCTAGGTAAGAAGCTTCAGCAACACAGTGAAGCAAAATTCAAGAATAACTACACAGAAAGGATAGAAAGGACAGTTTTATTTTGCCTGCATCATCCTATCACCCAGGGTGGCACAGCTTAGTGCTGAGAGGGATATCCCCAGCCCCTGAGTTCCCCTTGTGGAAGAAAAGAAGAACAGAATGAGATTCCAGCTTCTCCAGCCTTTCACAGTGCTGCAAAAAGAACTCACTTTAGTTTCATCCACCCAGATCAGCAGGGAGACTGACACAGCTGAGACAGCTGGAAATGGCTAGGAGCAAAAAAGAAGGGTGGGGACTATGAGTATTAAATGCCCCCAGTGGCCTACTCTGCAGAGAACCCAGTAGCCTTCACCACTGAGGTTCTCAACATCTTCTGCCATCACCATGCAACCTCCACAGCTTTCATCATTAAGGACCCTGAAGTGATCACCATCATAGAACCCAGAAGACCCCTCCAAAGAGGACCCCAGCAGCTTTGCTACTGAGGAAACCAACAACTAGTACAGCTACTGCAGACCCTGTTGCAACTTTTGCCACTGAGGGCCCCATAGTTTTTTGCCTTCATGGAATACACCTGCCTGACCCACCACTTCCCCCACCCATTTCTCCTGTGAGACCTGTCCCAGCCAGTGCACCAAGGGCACTCTGACCCCAGAACCCAATGGAGCCACTAAACACCCATAAGCTGGCCTCAGCCCCCACCACCACATGCACACTGCCAGCCCTGACCCCTGGAGCCATGCACATGCACACAGTCAACCCCAACCCCTACCATCAGCCCCAACTGCCATGTGGACACAGACCACTGGCTCTTGCCCCCACCTACCCAAGCACACTTTCCACTGGACCCAGAGGTGCCTCTGAGGACCCCAACAGCCTTCACAACCACTGCAGACCACCCTTCATAGATGTTTGCTGCCAAGAGCCATCCAGTTGCCAATATCACAGACCCCAGGGGTCTGCAAACACTATTCCCACCTGAACTCGGAGCTGCCACACACCCCTGCACTTAGAGCCCCATTGATCTGATGCCACAGATTGGTGCTTCAAATTACAGGACCACAAGGTACTACACCCCCATTAGCACCATCTCACCTCTAGAGCTGAAGGCCTTTCCTTAGTGAAGCCAGTCCATAAAGTCTGGAAGAGGTGACCACTTCTTGAAGTCTGCAGTAATCAACATAAGGATGTAAAGAACACACCAAAATAATCAGAGAAACATGACACCACCAAAAGATTATAATAAACCTTCAGTAACCAGCCCCAAATAAATTGAGATCCACAAATTGCCTGACAGAGAACTCAAAATACTTGTTCTAAAGAAGCTCAGTGAGCTACAAGAGAATACTGATAAGCAATTTAATGAAATGAGGAAAATAATACAATAATAAAATAAGAAGTTGAACAAAGAGATTTAAAAACATAAAAAGAACCAAACAGAAATTTTGGAGTTGAAGAATACAATAAGTACACACACAAAAATAATAATAATAATATAATAAGTAAACTAATAAATGCAGTAGAGAGTTTCAATAGCAGACTTAAGTAGATGAAAGAATCAGCTCTCCCTCTCCCTCTCCCTCTCCCCACGGTCTCCCTCTCCCTCTCTTTCCACAGTCTCCCTCTGATACCGAGCCGAAGCTGGACTGTGCTGCTGCCATCTCGGCTCACTGCAGCCTCCCTGCCTGATTCTCCTGCCTCATCCTGCTGAGTGCCTGCCATTGGAGGCACGCACCGCCACGCCTGACTGGTTTTCCTATTTTTTTGGTGGAGACGGGGTTTCGCTGTGTTGGCTGGGCTGGTCTCCAGCTCCTAACCGCGAGTGATCCGCCAGCCTCAGCCTCCCGAGGTGCCGGGATTGCAGACGGAGTCTGGTTCACTCAGTGCTCGATGGTGCCCAGGCTGGAGTGCAGTGGCGTGATCTCGGCTCGCTACAACCTCCACCTCCCAGCCGCCTGCCTTGGCCTCCCAAAGTGCCGAGATTGCAGCCTCTGCCCGGCCGCCACCCCGTCTGGGAAGTGAGGAGCGTCTCCGCCTGGCCGCCCATCGTCTGGGATGTGAGGAGCCCTTCTACCTGGCTGCCCAGTCTGGAAAGTGAGGAGCGTCTCTGCCCGGCCGCCATCCCATCTAGGAAGTGAGGAGCGCCTCTTCCCGGCCGCCATCCCATCTAGGAAGTGAGGAGCATCTCTGCCCAGCCGCCCATCGTCTGAGATGTGGGAAGCGCCTCTGCCCCGCCACCCCGTCTGGGATGTGAGGAGCACCTCTACCCGGCCGCGACCCCGTCTGGGAGGTGAGGAGCGTCTCTGCCCGGCTGCCCCGTCTGAGAAGTGAGGAGACCATCTGCCTGGCAACCACCACGTCTGAGAAGTGAGGAGCGTCTCCGCCCGGCAGCCACCCCGTCTGGGAGGGAGGTGGGGGTCAACCCCCGCCAGGCCAGCCGCCCCGTCCAGGAGGGAGGCGGGGGGGGAGGTCAGCCCCCCGCCGGGCCAGCCGCCCTGTCCGGGAGGTGAGGGGCGCCTCTGCCCGGCCGCCCCTACTGGGAAGTGAGGAGCCCCTCTGCCCGGCCACCACCCCGTCTGGGAGGTGTACCCAACAGCTCATTGAGAACGGGCCATGATGACAATGGTGGTTTTGTGGAATAGAAAGGGGGGAAAGGTGGGGAAAAGATTGAGAAATCGGATGGTTGCCGTGTCTGTGTAGAAAGAAGTAGACATGGGAGACTTTTCATTTTGTTCTGTACTAAGAAAAATTCTTCTGCCTTGGGATCCTGTTGATCTGTGACCTTACCCCCAACCCTGTGCTCTCTGAAACATGTGCTGTGTCCACTCAGGGTTAAATGGATTAAGGGCGGTGCAAGATGTGCTTTGTTAAACAGATGCTTGAAGGCAGCATGCTCATTAAGAGTCATCACCACTCCCTAATCTCAAGTACCCAGGGACACAAACACTGTGGAAGGCCGCAGGGTCCTCTGCCTAGGAAAACCAGAGACCTTTGTTCACTTGTTTATCTGCTGACCTTCCCTCCACTATTGTCCTATGACCCTGCCAAATCCCCCTCTGCGAGAAACACCCAAGAATGATCAATAAAAAAATAAATAAATAAATGAAAATAAAATAAAAAATAAAATTAAATTAAAAAAAAAAAAGAAATAACCAAAAATTTTCCAAATCTGGGGGTGAAAATAGACAGCCAGATTCAGCAAGCCCATAGGACCCCAAGTAGATTGAACATAAAGAGGTCTACATGAAGACACATTATGATTAAACTCTCAAAAGTCAAAAACAGAATTTTGAAAGCAGCAAGATAAAAGTGAATTGTCACATTCTAGAGAACCATAAGACTATAAGTAGATTTTTCAACAGAAAACTTCCAGGCCAGGAGAGAGTGGGATGATATATTCAAAGTACTGAAAGAAAAAAATGCTGACTAAGAATACTACATCCTGCAAGGCTATACTTTAAAGATGAAGGGGAGATAAAGTCTTTCCCACACAAACAAAAACTGAGGAATTTGTCACCACTAGATATGCCTTATAGGAAATGCTTAAGGGAGCTCTTCGAAAGGAATTTAAGACACATTAAATATCAATTTTATATGTGAAAAGTATAAAAAAATACATCTCACAGATAAAAGTAAATATATAGCCAGGTACAGAATACTATAACCTTGCAATGATGGTACACAAATTACTTGTAACTCTAATATAAAAGTTAAAAGAAAAAAGCATTAAAAATAATGACCATAGAAATTTTGTAATGGATTCAAAAATATAAAAAGAAGTAAACTTTGACTTCAAGAACACAAAATAGGAAGGCAAAAATGTAGAATTTTTGTGTGCAATTGAACTAAATCATTATCAAATTAAAATACACAGTTATAACTACAAGAAGATTTATACATATCTCATGGTAACCATAAAGGAAAAACATAGTAAATACATAAAAGATAAAGAGAAAGGAATTGATCCAAACCACTACCAAAAAACTATCAAATAATCAAAGACAGCAAAGAGGAAGAGAAAAACAAAAATACTACACAGCAGACAGAAAAACAATTAACAAAATGGTAATGCAAGTCCTTACCTATCAATAATCACTTTATATGTAAATTAGTTAAACTGCATAACAAAAGGAATGAAATGGCTGAATGGATTAAAAAGGACGATCTTGAGATATGCTGTCTACAACAGACTCACATTTTATATAAAGATACATAGACTGAAAGTGAAGGGATGAACAAACATATTTAATGCAAATGGAGACAAAAGATTAGGGGGTAGCTATACTTATATCAGACAAAACATACTCTAAATCAAAAACTGTCATTGGAGACAAAGACTATTACATAAAAATGAAAGTATCAATTCAACAGGAAAATACATTAATTGTAAATATATATGCACTCAACACCAGAGCACCTAAACATATAAAACAAATGTTGACAGCTCTTAAGGGAGAAAAATTAATACCAATGCAATAATAGTAAGGGACTTCAATACCCCACTTTCAATAATGGATACAATATTCAGTCCAAAAATCAATAAGGAAACAGCTGACTTAAACAACACTACAGATCAAATGAATCGAACATGTACATAAAGAACTGTCCACCCAACAGGAGCAGAATACACATTCCTCCCAAGAGCACATGGAATATTCTTCAGGATAGATCACATGCTAGGTAACAAAACAAGTCTTAACAAATTTAAGAGATTAAAATCATTCCAAGAATCATCTCAGACCATGATGAATGAATCTAGAAATGAATAACAGAAAGAAAACAGAAAAAGTCACAAACATATGGAATCTAAATAACACACATTTGAACAATAATTGGGTATAAGAAGAAATCAAACGGGAATTTTTTTAATATCTTGAGACAATCAAAAATAAAAGTACAACTTACCTTGGGCATGGTGGCTCATGCCCGTAATCCCAGCACTTTGAGAAGGCAAGGTGACTGAATTGCTTGAGCCCAGGAGTTCAAGACCAGCCTGGGCAACACAGTGAAACCCTGTCTCTACAAAAAATACAAAAATTAGCTGGGCGTGGCGGCACACACCTGTAATCTCAGCTACTCGGGAGGCTGAAGTGGGAGGGTCACCTGAACCTAGGAGGTTGAGGCAGAAGTGAGTGAAGCCATACTCATGCCACTGCACTCCAGCCTGGTGGCAGAGTGAGATCCTGTCTCAAAAAAAAGTACAACTTACTAAAACTTATGGGATGCAGCAAAAGCAGTACTAACAAGGAAGTTTCTAATGTTAAATGCCTACATTTAAAAAGACAAAATATGTCAACTACATAATCTAACTTTACAACTCAAGGAACTATAAAAAGAAGAAACTAAACCTAAAGTTAGGGCTGGACATGGTGGCTCATCTGTAATCCCAGCACTTTTAGAGGCCAAGACAGAAGGATCACTTGATGCCAAAAGTTTGAGACCAGCATGGGTAACATAGCAAGACCCTGGCTCTATACACACACAAAAAATTATCTGGGTATGGTGGCTACTGAGGAGGCTGAGGTGGGAGGATCACTTTGGCCTGGGAGTTTGAGGTTGGAGTGAGCTATGATTACACCACAGCACTCCAGACTGGGTACACAAATTATTTATACCTCTAATATATAGAGTAGATATAGTACTAATATAGAGAGCAGGATATAGTATTCTTGGTCAGCATTTTTTTCTTTCAGTACTTTGAATATATCATCCCACTCTCTCTGCTCACTTCTGCCTCAGCAAGACCCTGTCTCTAAAGAAAAATGATTGTAGGGCCAAAGTTAGCAGAAGGAAGGAAATAATAAAGATTAGACTAGAAATAAAATAGGAAAATAATTTTAAAAATCAATGAAACCAAGAGTTTGTTTTTGGAAAAGGTAAACAAAATTGAAAAATCTTCAGCTAAACTAATCAAGACAAAAAGAAGATTCAAATAAAATTATAAATGAAAGAGGAGACATTACTGATACAACAGAAATACAAAGGACCATAAGAGGATACCATGAACAATTATATGCAAACAAATTGGATAATCTAGAGGAAACTGGTAAAGTGTTAGCGACATATAACCTTCAAGACTGTATCACAAAGAAATAGAAAAGCTGAACAGACCAATAATGAGTGAGGAGATTAAATCAGTAATCAAAAACCTCCCAACAAAGAAAAGCTTGGCACCAGATGGCTTCACAGGTAAATTCTACCAAGAATTTAAAGAAAAATTAATGCCAATTCTTCTCAACCTATTCCAAAAAATGTGGAGAGGAGAGAACACTTTCAAACTCATTTTATGAGGCCAGCATCATCCTGATTTCATTGCCAGACAAATACAGCACAAGAAAAGAAAACTACAGGCCAATATCTGAGATGAACATCGTTGCAAATATTCTCAGTAAAATACTGGCAAACCAAATTCAACAACACATTAACAGAATCATACACCATGATCAAGTGGGATCTATCCCTGGGATGCAAAGATGATTCAACATATGTAAATCAATAAACATGATACACCATATTAACAGAATGAAAGGCCAAAAAACCCGCATGATCATCTCAATAGATGCAGAAAAAGCATTTGACAAAATATAACACCATTTCATGTTAAATGATAACTCTCAGCAAAATAAGATAGAGTTTACCTCAATGCAGTAAAGCCATATATAAAAAACCCACACCTAACATTATATTGAATATGGAAAAACTGAAAGCGTTTTCTCTGAGATCCAGAACAAGGCATGGATGCCCTCTCTCACCACTGCTATTTAACATAGTACTGAAAGTCTTAGCCAGAGCAATCAGGCAAGAAAAATAAATTAAAGGCATACCAATCAAAATGAACAAAGTAAAATTATCTCTGCAGATGACATGATCAAATATGTAGAAAATCCTAATGACTCCATTAAAAAATTGCTAGAACTAATAAATTAACTCAACAAAGTAACAGGATAAAAAGTCAACATACAAAAATAAGTAGTGTTTCCATACTAACACTATACTATACTACATGTAAGGGGCTGGTACCTTGTATAAAGCTGCTTTATGGTTCACAGCTGAGACCAAGATCTGCAGGTCTGATTCTGGGGGCACAGATGGGTGTGCTGCTGGGTTTGCGGGTGGTCAAGACTGTCTCAGACTGCAGCTGAGAGGGGCTGGAGCCAAATTACAGGGCCACATAAGGGTCTACAGCTAAGACTGAGGGTGGTGAGTGTGTCACCTGAGGCATAGGTAGGCTTGATTCCTCCTCTGTCCCTCGATGAATGAATCTAGCAGCAGGACCAAAGCCAAAGGGGGTTGTAACTGACTCCCCAAGGGGTTGAGGCCATTTCTGGGTCTGCAGCCAGAACTATGGTCAGCAAGCCTACACCTGGGCACAGGTCTGCCCTCTCCAAACATCCTCAGTCTTCAATTCCAGCAGGGTTTTGAAAACCTCCCACCTAGATTCCAAAGCTTCCAGAAGGCACTCTCATCCATGGATGGCTGCCAAATTATTGTTGCTTTGAGGGGATGTGAGCAGGAACATCCTATTCCACCAATTTGCTGATACCACTTCTCTTTTTTCTTTCTTCTAATTAATTCTATAAATAAGTAACCATAATGGATGTGTATAAAATTCATATTTATGCTTTTGTTGGGTCTTTTATCAGAGTTATGTTAACTTGTCACAGTGAATACTGAATTCATTTTTTCTTTCTTATTTAGTTACACAGATACTTAAGTTTATGAATTTTCCACTCAGTTAAACTGTGGCCACATCCTAATACTTCTTATATGTGACTTTTTCTATATCTATATTTTCTAAATATTCAGCAAATGTTATTTTGATTTTTCTCTCTGACCCAGGAATTATCCAATAAAGATATTTATAATTTCCAATTAATAAAGCTTCTGCTTTGCTATTTGTGTTTTCATTTATCAATTATTTCTAAGTTTATCAGAAAGTGTGCCTCATTCTAGTTCTACTCTGGGGACTTTACTGAGAGTTTCTGTGTGGCTGGATATTTTGGATAATATTTATACATCTTTCTTAGGGTACTTGATTATTTCAGAGAGAATCTCAGTTGCAACTTTATATTTCTGGAGAGCATTCCATGGTGACGCAGAAGTCTATAAATGGCCTTGCTATTTAACCAGCACTTTTAAAATTTCTTTATAAGAAAACTTATGTGGATCCTAAAGTAAACTGGTAAGTGAAATTCACTCTAAGTGCTAAGAGCGACTTAGGCAATGCACCAAATGATATGAGATCTGGATCAAAACTCTCAACTCTACCACAAGCCAGCTGTGCGACCTTGGGCAAGCTCCTTGCCCTTTCAGAACCCCAGCTTCCTTACCTCCCTGTAAAAAAGGCTGAAGCATTTGTCTTTGCAAGCTCAGATCTGTCTAACTAAGCCTAGAGTTTTCAAGCCTAGAGTGAGAAGCAATATCTCCAGCTCCCATTGTGTAGATGAAGTAATACAATTCAGTGACCCTTAAGGTCCTGACCATCTTTTAAATTCCACAGTTGTAACAAATCATTTACCCATGGTCCTTGTTCTCAACTGCCTGAGCAACTGTGCTTGGATTTAAAGAACTCATGTTGTATAAAAGAAAGGAGGAGCTATTAGGTTCAAGTCCCCACTCTAGCATTAACTAGCTAGCTATGTCACCACAGATATTGTTATCTATTAGCTATTTAAGTACTCTGACCCTACACTTATCTCATTTTTAAAATGGATATAATACCACCCATCTCACAAAACTTAAATAGAATAATAAATAGAAAGTGCTTTGTAAACTGTGTAGTTCCATAAAGCATTATTTCCCATTATTAAACTCATGCAGCATTGATGCTGCCAATGACTTCCATGTTTTATAGGGTGTGAAATTTAATGGAATTGTTAAACTCACTGCCTTTCATTAAACAGGTAATCACCAGCCGGTCTAAACAGTGAACACAAGAGAATAGGTCTTTCGCCTGAATTACCTGGGTAATCAAAGTTAAATCACTTCAATGAGTTAAGAAGAGTAAGAGTTAAGCATATCTCAAGGCTGGGGAAGGGCTTAATAACCTCGCTACATCTTTTTCTTCACCACTATTTCATAAAATTGAGACTAAGAGAGAATTTCATTACACTACACACTGAAAAGAAAATGAAACCATAGATTCACACCAGATTCACATTAGCATGGGACAAACGCACGCCTGGTGACTAACGTGTCGAATGAGTTGTCACATGAGGTGCTAATTATTTCTTATTTCAGGAGGAAGGTATAAGCCAACTCTCTGGCGCTTTCATAACTCTAAAGCTAAATGAGGAGCTGTTTTGTGATTCCAAGCCCTCTGCCATTAACAGATTCACAAAATCTAAAATCTGAATTCCCCAGATGCAGGCGAGAGAAAATGGATTTGAACGATTGTTTCCTCCAGCAAAGAATGATCCGGTGTTTGTCTGAACAAGCCTGTATACTCATTGTCTTTTTTAGCTCCTGGGGAAAACATTCATGATCGGCAATGATAACAATTATAAACCATCAGCAGGGTGTGGTGGCGCTTGCCTGTAATCCCAGCTACTCTGGAGGCTGAGACAGGAGGATAGCTTGAACCCAGGAGGCAGAGATTGCAGTGAGCTAAGATCACACCACAGCACTCCAACCTGGGCGACAGAGCAAGATCTGTCTAAAAAAAAAAAAAAAACAAAACTATAAACCGACCACCTGACCAATGATTGAGAAGTTCAAAGTCATGCTTCCAGGAGCTGGGTTCTTAAAGCAAAATCAAACCAACTTTCACAGAGAGACCAACAGGAACACAACTCAATCGCTCACATATTAAGCCCGGATGAATTGCTGTCATGGTACATTCTAAGGGGAAACTTACCACCACACATTTGTCTTTAACAAAAGTCCTCATTATGGTGTCCAACTTTCTCTCCTTTTTTTTTATGGTAAAAATGGCCTTTATTGGCTGCAGGAGGAAGTAGCAAAGGGGATATGGCACCTGCAGACTAGATCCCCATCCTCCAAAAGCTGATTTTTCTCTTAAGAGCAAAGGACAAGGCTAAACAGCCTGACGTCACTGATTCAATCTGTGTCCAAGCCATTTAGCTTTTTTCTGGTCGTAAGGTCTTAATTAGCTGCCCATATTCCTATATCCTTGGCTGCCAAGAGTGTGAATCTATGCAATAGGAGCAATAATATGCTCACCACCTACCTGGCATAGGTTGAATGGTAGCCCCTAGAAAGATATGTCTATATCCTAACCCCTGGAAGCTGTTACATTATTTGGAAAAAAAAATATGTAATCTTTGTAGATATAATTAAGGATCTCAAAATAAGATTATCCTGGATTAGCTGGGTGTGCCCTGAATCCAATGACAAATGTCCTTACAACAGTCCTGTTGAAAAGGAGCCCTGTAAATCTAGAGGCAAAGATTGGAGTTATGCAGCCACAAGCCATGGAATGCCTAGAGCAAACAGAAGCTGGAAGAGTCGAGAAAGAATTCTCCCCTACGTACTTGGAGAGAGTCTGGTCCTGCCAACAACTTGATTTGGGGCTTCTGGTCACCAAAAGTATGTGAGAATAAATTTTTGTTGTTTTGAACTACCAAATCTGTGGTCATCTGTGACAGCATCCACAGGAAACTAACACCTCCCCTCCAAAGGATTGTTACTAATTGCAAGAAAACAGTTTACATCAGCCTGGGCTGACCCAGGCCTGCCTGGAAAAAATGAAAATCAGAGTCCTATTTCCTTGGAAACCATTACAGAGTTGAGATAAATGTGGAATGTTATGTTGTCCTTCTTTGCTGTGAAACCCTGATCTTGGAGCTGTGATTGGCATGCAGACTGTGGGCCTACATGGATAGAACTGATGGCAAACCAAGGCCTCAGATGCTGTCAAAGTGACCCACATGTATGAAGTTCTTGTTCTACATAAGCCCACACGATCTTGTGGTTGGGAGGGAAAGGGAAGTCGTGTCCTTGGGTAGCTGCTAGGCCCCTGATGAGATAAAGGTGCTATACAGAATGTATTTCCCATCCTGTATCTTTCTATAAAGCTGAGTAGAGATAGTGTTTGATTAATGAAAGCCTGTTTCATCCTATAAATCTGACAGCCAATTCTAAACTGCACCCACCCCTGTACCAGTAAAATAAAAATAATAGCTAACACATACTGATATACAAGGTATTATGTGCATTTTCATAATTAATCTTCGCATAGTTATGAAATTGGAATGATTATTCCCATTTTAGAGAAGACATTTAAATACTTAAATAACCATTCAGTAGTGATTCAGAACTTGCCTTGTGGTTTTTTAGTTATGAACTTCACATTACGCTTTCCCTATTGGCAGGGTCAAATAAGTTTAGGATATCTTGTCAAAAAGCCACAAACTGATATCCTTCAGGTTACATCTATTTCCCAACCATATTTTGTTTGTATTTATAAATTGCATTAGTTATAAATTGTCTAAAATAAAGAAATGTTTTAAATGCATTAAAACATTTGAATTAAATGCATTAAAATTTGAATTTCTAGCTTATCTTGAAGATCACATCTTGCAACACAGAGCTTACCTTACTATAATATGCTGGATCTTAGTAGGGATGATTTTCCTTAGATAAACTATGCACCCTCCAGTTCTCCACAGCCCCCACCATTCCCTCTTGCCTCCCCAAAGACTGAGGAAAAGGATCATCTACTGTTTATCATTTTACACCCAGCCTGAGCAATACACATGTATTCATTTATATTTCTTCTTGGCTAATGTAGGCTTATGAATATTTAACCCTGATGTTTTAGTTTCTTAATGCTGCCATCTAACAAATTACCACAATTTTAATGGCTTAAAACAACACTCATTAATTATCTCACAGTCTGTAATTCAGAAGTCTAGACACTGCATGGCTCAACTGGTTCTCTGCTCCAGGTTCCACAAGGTCAAAATCAAGGTGTTGGCAGGGTTGTATTCCTTTCCAGAGGCCCTAGGGATGGATTCACTTCCAAGCTCACTTAGTTGTTGGCAGAATTCAGTTCCATGTGGTTGTAAGACTGAGATCCTTATTTCCTGGCTGGTTGTCAGCCAGGAGCTGTTCTCAGCAACTAGGGGTGCTTGCATTTCCTGGTTGGCGGCCCTTTTCCTCCATCTGTAAAATCAGCAATGGCAGGTGAAGTCCTTCTCATTCCTAGAATCTCTCTGACCTCCCCTTCTGCCTCATCTCTCCTCTCCCTTCCTCTTCCACCACATCTTCTACCTTCCTCTTCTCTTGCTAAGGGCTTGTGGGATTACATTTGTATTAGTCAGGGTTCTCTAAAGGGACCTAATAGGATAGATGTGTATATAAAGGGGAGTTTATTAAGGAGCATTAACTTACACCATTACAAAGTGAGGTCCCACAATAGGCCATCTGCAAGCTGAGGAGAAAAGAAGCCAGCTCGAGTCCCAAAGCTGAAGAACTTGGAGTCCAATGTTCAAGGGCAGGAAGCATCCAGCGTGGGAGAAAGATGTAGGCTTAGAGATTAAACCAGTCTAGTTCTTCCTTGTTCTTCCACCAGCTTTTATTCTGGCCATGCTGGCAGCTGATTAGATGGTGCCCACCCAGATCGGGGGTGGGTCTGCCTTTCCCAGTCCACTGACTCAAAAATTTTAATCTCCTTCGGTAACACCCTCACAGACACACCCAAGAACCAATACTTTGCATCCTTCAATCCAATCAAGTTGACACTCAATATTAACCACCACGCTGTTACAAGGACAGGGATGAAAATGTCACACACATGCTGAATGAAGTAAGTCAGACGAAAAAGAACACATTCTGTAAGGTTTCATGTATATGAAGTTCAAGAATAGGAAAAACTAATTTCTGATGATAAAAATAAAAAAATGGTTGTTTCTGGGCAGGGGGATTGTTTGGAAGGGGACATAAGCAATTATGCTGCACTGTTAGAAATATTATCTGTCTTGATTAGGGCCATCATTACCTGGGCATGTCATTTATCAAAACTAATTAAACTGTGTACTTAAGATCTGTGAATTTACTGTATGTAAATTAAACCCTAGTAAAGATAAACATTTACTTACCCATTTATTTACTTATTTATTTATTTTTTAAAGGATGGAGAGGAAAAAAATAGATGTCATTTAAACCCTGTGATTTCTGACCGTGCGTGGTGGCTCACACCTGTAATCCCAGCACTTTAGGAGGCTGAGGCAGGAGGGTCACTTGAACCCAGGAGTTTAAGACCAGCCTGGGCAATGTAGGGAGACTCTGTCTCTACAAAAAAAATAAGAAGAAGAAAAACTTAGCTGAGCATAGTAGCATGTCTGTAATCCTAACTGCTTGGGAGGTTAACATAGGAGTGTCCTTTGAGCCCAGGAGTTCAAGGTTACAGTGAGCTATAATTATGCCATTGCACTCCAGGCTGGCTGACAGAGCAAGACCCCATCTCTTAAAAAAAAAAAAAACAAAAAAAAAAACCAGAAAAAAAACTCTGTAATTTCTATCTCTATGCTACTTTTATAGCAAACATGTTAAACTTAAAGCTTTGTTGGCTCTTTTTGTAAAGACTATTTTTACCTTAACATTACTCCCATACTTTCTTAACGCCGATTTGATTATTTTGTTTGTTTGTTTAGTGCTTAACAGTCTAGCTAGGCAGCTTCTTCTATGACATGCATTATGCAGGCACTGTACTGAATTAGAGAGTGAATATTCCTAACTCCCACGACATGGTGTAAAAATAAAGGCCTAGTTATTGACTCTGAGAACCATGTGAACAAATTAAACATGGCCATAATAGTGAAGGGGAAAGGTGGCAACAGTGAGATCTTAACACAGTGATCCATGGGGCTCATTAGCACGGAGTGGAGCTTATCAGAAGAGGTTTTCAGAACCTAATTAATTAGGCCCCCATCAAATAGATGTATTCAATTAATATGACTCCATTCTGAGTTTGAACATCAACATTAATTAACCCTATAATTGATACATTTCCCATCCATGTAAGAAACATTCATCACATTAATCAAAAAGGATCACAATATTAATGAAAATAAATTGAGTAGCAAATGTAGATGAGATGGCATGACGCTTTGGCCTATCCCGTTTTAAATTTATTTTTTTTAATGAAACTTAGAAAAAATGTTGGATGACAGTGTATTGCAGAGAAAAAAATTTTTTAATTGGGAAATATTCTCAAGTTTTGCCACTCACATAATGTATTACTTAAGCCAGTTACTTTGGCTATCTTGGCCCCTGTTTCCACATCTCTAAAGAGTAATACTTAAAAAATTATCTCCAATTTCTCTTACACCTCTGAAATTTTAATTAAGTGATATCCATTTTTCTTATACTGCTAAATTTTTAATTAAGTGATATGTATACATATATGTGGCATTTTCTCTATTTGTGCAGGAGTTTCCATATTTTTCTGCAAAGAACAAGATAATAAATGTTTCAGGCTTTTCAAGGCATGCAATCTCTGTTGCAACTACTCAACAATCATTGCAGCCATTGTAGTTGAAGAAAACAGCATAGAAAATATATAAATGAATGAGCATGGCTATGTTCAAATAAAACTTCATGGATACAGAAATTTGAATTTTATCTAATTTTCATGTGTCATGACATAGTGCTCTTCTGATTGCTTTTCAACCATTTAAAAATGTAAAAACCAGTCTCAACTTGAAACCTCTGCAAAAGCAAATAAGGGGTTGGGGAGAGGGGCTAGATCTGATCTATCACTTGCCAGTCCCTGTATTAGTATATGCCGGCGTGGTGAGCGACATGCCAGTACCCACCCCCACTACCCAACCACAACATGGACATACATCCGTTTATTCAAATAAGTAGCTCTGTTTCAAATAACTCATGGATTCAAAACAAGAAGTTCACTTGCAATGTGTGGATTGAGTCACAAGGCCACTCTCACCAAAACAATACTGTCTCTTCATGTTTTTGCACTGTTGTAAATTGAACTGTTGGGCCCAATTCTTCACCTTCCATGCATACACATGTTTTGCATACCTTCCACTAAAGAACAGCGTGCATTTCTCTACCCCTTAACTTTGGGCATAGCCATGTGACTTGTTTGGACAATGGGATATTAGTGAATGTGATGCAAGTAGATATCAGAAACACACGCATGTAGTTCAGCTTGCTGTCTTGTGCCTCTGCCAATACTGTGAGAAGCACATTCCCCACTAACCTGCGTACTCTGAGCAGGATGACAAATACACGGCACAGATCAAATCCTGCAGACTTTAAGGTAAAGCACAGCCTCTCAACCCCATCCACCCACAGCTATGTGAGACCAAATTATTACTGGTGGACAAACTCTAAAATGGCCCCCAATTACTCTCCCTCCTAGTGTTCTCACCCCTGTCTTATCCCCTACCCTGAGCATGGGCAGGCCTGTGACTTACTTCTAACCAATGGAATGCAGCAAAGATTACGTGATGTCACTTCCATAGTTGTGTTGCATAAACTGTCAATACCCATCTTGCTAACAGACTCTCTATTGCCTTCACAACTTGCACGTTTTGGTGACGCAGGCTGCCGTGTTAGGGCAGGAAATGAGGGCAGCCGCTGGTCAATACCCAGGAAGTAAATGAGGTCTCTAGTCCAACAGGCCACAAGAAACTGAATCCTGCCAATAATCAAATGAGCCTGAGAGTGAGTCTTTTCTGGTCAATCATTCATATGAGACTCCAGCCCCAGCCGACACCTTGATTCCACCTTCATGAAAGCCCTAAAGCAGAGGACCCATCCATGCAGTGCCCAAATTCCTGCCTTATAGAAGGGTATACAGTGAGCTGAAAGTAGGCTGCATTCCTAAGAATGGAGAAAAACCACTATGCTAGCTTGCACTGCCTAACTCTCGACTTTTATGGGAGAGAAATAAACTTATATCTTACATAAGTCACTTTAGTTTTGTATTTTGTCGTTTTGTTGCTGCTTACAACTAAATTTAATCCTAATTCATACAAAGAGTATCACATTTGTAGTTTTGTGTTTGTCCCTTTTCTGTTTCTTAAAATTAAAATAGCAATTAAAGCCTCACGCCTTGAGAAAGAATACCAGATATGTGTAATAAGGAACTCTTGTCTTCACCTGAGTTCCCTAGAAAACAAAGGCAAGGATTAGTGCTGATGATTATTTATAGGTCCAATTACAGGAAAGCGAGAGTGAGGTACATGGATGTGAGACAGAATGAGAACAATTCAAAATTATGATTACCACATTTCTGACTCTTTCACAATAAGCCATAAAGAGATACAGTAGGTTACTTATAATTCAGCCACGTGGGACATCTTCAGATAAGCTCTATAGGTCCGAAATGCTGGCTCTCGCCTGTAATCCCAGCACTTTGGGAGGCCAAGGTGGGTAGATCCCTTGAGGCCAGGAGCTTGAGACCAGCCTGGCCAACATGGTGAAACCCCTGTCTCTACAAAAAAAAAATACAAAATTAGCCAAGCTTGGTGGTGCACATGGGTAATCCCAGCTACTTGGGAAGCTGAGGCATGAGAACTGCTTGAACCTGAGAGGTGGAGGCTTCAGTGAGCCAGGATTCTGCCACTGTGCTCCAGCCTGGGCAGCACAGCAAGATTCTTGTCTCAAAAAAAAAAAAAAAAAAGATAAGCTCTATGGATAAACCATGCTTCAAGCAGTCCATGGGTAGAAGGAAGGAGAGAAAAATTATCTATGTTTCCCCCTCCTCAGATTGCCAACATTCTCCCCTTATAGAATTAACTCCCCCACAGAGCTAATACACTGTGGTGTCATGCTTCTTTCAATCTCAGAAGTGGAGAAAGGAGTTGGAAAGTCAAAGGTATGTGGCTACTGGGCCTGGCTTGTGGTAGCAGCCATGGAGGAGGACCCAGAAATTCCAAGCAAGGAATTATCTGACCTAAGCAAGAAGATGCCTCAAAATCAGACTTGGACCAATAAAGCCACCACACTTGCCACTCTATCAGTGCCTTCCAACTCAGACCTCATACGTGCTCAAACTCTTACTCTCTAACATCTCAAAGCTGACATTTGCAGTACCAACATGGACAGGTCCCTACATACGCGTACAATCCTACCTATGAA
This sequence comes from Homo sapiens, assembly GCF_000001405.40. NCBI lineage: Eukaryota > Metazoa > Chordata > Mammalia > Primates > Hominidae > Homo > Homo sapiens. Next base: position 5,269,252 of record NC_000003.12, on the reverse strand, counting down.
TTTGGGCCTATTGGCTTTGCTTTCTGGGTATCCAACCCTATTGGTCCATATCCATTGCCCTTGCATGTCATGAATAGTACCCTCACTCTCTATAGAAGATGAGAACAGAAAAAAAGACGGGCAATCACTGATAACCTTAAGCCAATCAACACCTCAACGTTTGTGCAAAGAGGACATATTGAGTCATTTTTTTTTAACTTGTTGCGTGCAGAGACACTCATCTCTGATTCTCCTCTCTAAAGGGATATAAGTAAATTTTGCCAGTAGAGATGCAGTGTGCCTGCCTCTTGGAGCACAGCAATTTTGCTGTAAATTTAAATTCCAGGCTTGTTGGTGGCCAGAGTGGTACAATGAAGAGAAGACTAGACTAGTACTTTTTAAATTTATAAACAATTAGATAGGAAAAAAATTTTACTGCATATAATAAAGCCAGATATTTAAAAGAAAGGGACTCAGAATACAGAAAACAAGTGATACCTATTGTTTAACTTTCTACATGACATTTACAATTTGGATTAGATAATATGTGGATCAATTTTGACAGATACCAGGAGATTCTACCTTGTATAACAAAATACAAGCATCCCTGATTTTCACGGCTTGTTTCTGGAAACTGTTTAGAAGCTGCTGCCATTCCACGAGTCCAGTTGTTTATGGATGCCTCCATCATTCACGGCTACTATTGGAAAGTTCCTGATTCATTGTCTATCTTGAGATGCAAGACCTTTTAAAAATGCAAACCTTTCTCTACTAGAAATATAAAACTTTTCTTTTGGAAATGTTTCATTTTCCCAGGATGAGAAAAATTAATTGTTCCAGACAGTTCGGAGCTAGACTAAGGGCAAAATGGCAGATTGCTTTTTCTTCTTCTTCATGAGGAATCTGAAAACACGTTCTAGTTCCAGTTCAGCCATGTACTTGTCTAACTTGGGAAAATCCCGTAACCACTTGTAAACTCAGTTTTCTAATCTCTTGAGAGGGGAAAATACTACTGTTGCAGTATAATTTTCAAACAGTTATACTATGACACTGATAAATGTATGTTAAAAATTTTATTCAACTCATTAATTAATGAGATAGCTAGTAAGATGTATCACTGGTTCGAAGAGGAATATGAAGAACAGAAATATAGTCAGTTAAAGAAATGACAAAGCAAATTTGCTGACAGATGCAAAACTAGTTAATATCCTACAGGTCAACAAACTGTAATATTTGGCATTATCCATTTTTACCACATAGAAATCAATTGCATCTTGACTGGACAAAATTTACTTACATTCCTATAGAGAGGAGTTATTTACATTCCTCTCAGACAAGAATCATGTGCAATGTATTAGTTTTCACAAGTTAATGTCTATCCCTACAGAGTTATCAAATAGCCTAGTCCAAGAGATGGCAAGAAAAACTACTGCCCATGGGTCAAATCTAACCCACAGCCTGTTTTTGTACTGGTGGCAAAGTAAAAATGAGTTTTACATTTTTAAAGAAATGTTAAAATGAAAAAAGGACAAGAATGTTCAACAGATATTGTATATGTCCTGCAAAGCCTAAAATATTTACTATCTAGTAAAATATTGACTATCTAGCGTTTTACTGGAGATGTTTTCTGACCCCTGACCTAGTCAACAGTCTACCCCCCTGTAGACTTAGTGAATCCCTAGGGGATCGGCTGCACAACATTTGTACTGTAGTGAGGGGATAAAGCATCGTCTTGTTTGCCACTTCAAATCTGGGATATTTTTTCCTGACATCTTCCATGCTGCCCTAGAGGAACTGTTACAAGAATCAATTTTGCTGACAAAGCAGTTAGTAAACTCTAGTGTGCCATACATGAATAAAGGGGCACATTTGCCATAAGCAAAGAGTTGACAGTTTTCAGAGGTAAATCCTTCAGGGTCTGGCAAGATCATAATGCCATCTGCCCAAGGCTGATACTCCAAAGATATTTGGAATCCTGGAATAAGAAGCATTCACCTCCATAAATTCTGCTATTCTGTGTCATCTTCAATTCCACTAGGATTTATGAAAAAATTTACACTTTGTCCTTCAAAACTGGCTTACAAATCATTGAGAATTTTACTGAGTTTTGATTTTTTGTTATTGTTGTTTTTTGACTACTGAACTTCTTTCATAATGTCTTTCCTCACCCACAGCTCAGTGACAATGCCATCATAACCACCTTGGAATATTAAACTTTTTTCCATGCAGATGAAGATTTCCCAGAGCTATTAATGTGTTTTCTAAAAAATGAGGGTGATTAATAAAATTAAGCAACTTTTTCTGCTTTCCGGCTCTAAAATAAAAATCCTACTGATAATATATGAAAATCCATTCCGGCTTTATGAAATGTACCATTTATCTCCATTAGCTAGTTTACTAGTATCTATTGACCTCCCACTGGGTATGAAACATTCTGCCACATATTCTAGCAGATAGAAAAATAAGATCCCACCCATGTCCCTAAGAAGCTTAAAATCTATTTAGAGAAATGCAAAACATACAACATCAAGAGCAAACCCATGAAATATGAGGTCCAAAGTAGGATGAAATCAGCAGGGGTGATATCCTAACATTTGGAGTCAGAATAGTTCGTGTTTATAATTCCATGAAGTAGAGAGGTTTCCCATTTTATAAGTATTTCTGCAAACATTAGTTACTACCATTAAAAATCAAGGTAATTTATGTAAAACTGAGACTTACAAGTTTTCTTTAAAAATATGGTGAGCTGGTAAAACTGAATCCACATTTCTGCATGGCAACATCAACTAGATTCTTCCCTCAAAGTGTGGATCACAGAATTGGCATCACAACATCACCTAAGAGCTGGTTAAAAATGCAGAGTCAGCTGAGTGCAGTGGCTCATGCCTGTAATCCCAGCACTTTGAGAGGCTGAGGTGGGCAGCTCGTTTCAGGTCAGGAGTTCGAGGCAAGCCTGGCCAATATGGCAGAAACCCTGTCTCTACTAAAAATACAAAAATTAGCCGGGCGTGGTGTGCATGCCTGGAATCCCAGCTACTCAGGAGGCTGAGGCAGGAGAATCACTTGAACCCAGGAGGCAGAGGTTGCAGTGAGCTGAGATCATGCCACTGCACTCCAGTCTGGGTGACAGAGTAAGACTCTGTCTAAAAATAAAACAATTAAAAAATAAACCAGAATCTCGGGCTCTGCCAGAGACTAAAATCCCAGAGCCAAGATGCCCAAGTCACTCACTTACACACATTGAAGTCTAAGGAGCACTGAGCTAAACATGGACAAGCCCCTTAGAAGATGGGCATGTGCTGTCTAGACAGGTACAGTCCCTACCAGTCCATCTTTCTTCACGCCTGGTCCATGTACATATTCCAGTTTTCAACCCTAATCCAAAGCCCTTAGCCCGTAGGCTAAGGGCCTATCAGCTAAAGCTGCACAGAACTCTATTTCAAAACTTTCTCCCACTACACCTCAATGCAATCCTTCCATTCAACTTTCACCCAAAGCACGAGCACCTCTAACACACTTTTCCTGCCATTACTGCCCCAATCATTCCTCTCACCTCAAGCGCCTTTTCTTTAGGGCACCAGGCCTGACACACAGCAAGGATTTAGTAAGTGATTATTTCATTCATGCATTCCTTCATTCACGTGTAAAAGCATGTGTGTGGACACAATTTGCATTCCTTACAGGAATTATGGGACTTTCCAATGTCAGTCTTGCTCACATTGGTACTCCTAGCACCCAGCAGAGTGCACAGTGCATAGAAGGCATTCCAGAAGGAAAATATGAACGTAAGAAAAAAACCAACAAGTGAATAGAGGAATGTCCTATTAAATTAATGCCAGAACTTCAGTGGCAAATATTTATTACCTACCTAGTACTATGCTGGGCCCTGAGGTACAAGGTAAATAAGATACCATCTCCACGCTCAAGAATTTCCCAATATGTGTGGAGAATCTCATAGATAAGCCACCATAATTGCTATACAAGAGAATTAGAGCTATAATAGAAGTTTAACCACTACTGATCATTTTAATAAGCCTGCATAACAAACAACCATAAAACCTCAGTGGCATGCAACATTTATTTTTTATTGTTCACGTGTCTGGGGTGGTCAGCCAAGTGGCTTTGCTGTTCTTTGGTTGGACTTACATATCTGGAAGTCAACTGGAGGTCAGATATTCTAAAATTCTTGTGGCTGGAAAGACCAGCTCCCCTCCATGTGTCTCTCATCCTCCAGCTGACTATCCTGGGCATTTTCATGGTGATGGCAGGTACATAATATTTTTCTCTTGATAAGATGAAATCGGCCAGACGCAGTGGCTCATGCCTGTAATCCCAACACTTTGGGAGGCTGAGGCAGGCAGATCTCTTGAGGTCAGGAGCTCGAGACCAGCCTGGCCAACATGGTGAAACCCCGTCTCTACCAAAAAATATAAAAATTAGCTGGGCGTGGTGACGAGCACCTGTAATCCCAGCTACTCAGGAGGCTGAGACATGAGAATCATTTGAACCCAGAAGGTGGAGGTTACAGTGAGATCATGCCACTGCACTCCAGCTTGGGCGACAGAGTGAGACTCCGTCTCAAAAAAAGAAAAAAACAAACAAACAAAAAGATGAAATCATACCATTTGCACATTATTTTAAGGTCAGCAAAACTACATCTGTCTTGTGCTTTGGGTTTGTTTTACAATAGGTGGACTACTATCCCCACATCTTTACCTAGCAATACTTCTGGTTGAGGCCTTCGGTTTTGAATCGCAGAGCAGGCTTCAGACATGGCATAAGACTATTTCAAATAAGTGACTTACTGCTGTGCTGGGTTCCATGAGACTCACACCAACTGGAACTGTGCTTCAAAGAAATCCTACCAGGAATCTGGAGAATGCTTGGGATACTATTGTGCATGACTCAGAAGCAGTGAAAACTCTAACTTTTCAAGCCTTTCTTTACATTATGTCTGCTAACATCCATCAACCAAAGAAAGTCACATGATCAATTCAGAAACAAGAAGCAAGGAAATAGATCTCCTTCCTAATGGGAGGAACTTCAAAATCACATGGGCTAAGGGTGCGGATAGGGGAAATGAGGAAGAAGTGGGCCATTTTTGCAACCTGTCATAAGAGGTGTGAAAAAGCTGCTGTAGGCGGAAGCTTAAAATCAACAATCTAAACACAGGAAAGCTATTGAGGAAGCTTTCCCATTCCACAATTCCAAGATTACGTTTTCTCAATACTATCTAAACTAGAAAGACCACTGCCATTCAAAGCCATGATATAACATACAAAATAACAAAACTTACTGAGCCCTTTCAATGTATCCGGCCCTGTGCTAGGCACCCCATATGCACTAACTGATCTCCCCTTCTCCTAACAAACCTAAGACATGCATATTATTACTCCAGTTACAGGTGAAAAAACTAAGGATCAAAGAAGTTTGACAACTTGCTCAGGTCTGCAAAGCCAGGATCAGGTACTCCCTTGCTCTCTTCAGCCACACCACAGAAACTAAACTTATGCCCATTACCTTGTCTTCCTTTTCCTTACTGAGAGAGGGTATGTAATGGTTTTCACATACAGGTCATTTTTGGCCAAATGTAGAATTAAAATTTCAGTAAGTGAACCACCACAAGTCAATTACAGCACAGGTCAGCCATGAAATTGCAGTTGTGTATTTTTAGGGCCATTGTATACTAACAGACAAGGCCTATTTGTTTTCCTTTTCCTACAATATTGAATTTTGAAATTGAATCCTTGGTTCAAAAAGTTCTGATGCCATTTGTGTGATGTCAGTTGCAAACCAAATTCAAGGAATCCTGAAGAATCTAATAATCATGTGTCAACCAAAGATGAGGGTTGCATTTTTCATTCTGTGAATAATGCATTTTAATGAAACCAATTCACTCCTCAAGTTTGAAAGCCACAGCCTAAACCTTCCCTTCTATCACACCATTTTGTTCTGTGTGGTCATTTGCTGGCCTTTGCTGGCAACTTCAAGAGGCAAGGACAAGAAAAGTCAAACAAACAGACATGAACCTTCAGGGTCACTTGGCATTCACTTGCCATCAGAGAAAACTTTCCATCCCAAAAGATCAGATTCTCACATGGTGCAACCCATTTTCCTTCCCTGCTGAAATACACAATTTTCCATTTGTTCCAGGTGTTGGCTCCCATCGATGTCTGGCATAGGGTAAAAGGATCAAAAAATAAAATGAAGTCTTGCCTCAGCAATCCTGTCAGAATTCCCCAGTGGAACTTCTAAAGTGGCCCACTTTTCAAAGTGACATAACAAGCAATGAGCCATTTAGTGATTCAGCTGGAAATACAAAGCCCAGGCTGTTTATCCTTAAAAATTTCCATAAGGTTAAAAACAATAAAAAAAAAAGAAGAAGAAAACAAAACAGCAAGAAAAGAAGAGAAAGACAACGTTTTCTTATGATTTACGTTAGGGATGGCAAAAGATTTTGTCTTATGTAATAACTCCAGTCTAGGGTCTCCAAATAGTGTCTTCCTGGTATGCTAGATGGAGAAGAATGTTGAGGTCATATCTGCACATGATGGGAAAAGTGCAGCAATCAATTAGCAATGTCTGCTTCATTACACAACGGGAAGTGGTAGTCTGTGCGCTATCCTGGCTTCATTCTTCCAAAGTTGCAGTTGTTTGAAAGTTCATCTAGAGTTCTATCCAATATGTTTTATTGTATAGATGGAGAATTTTTTAAAGTATCTTTTAATGCCCAACATAACTGATGGCATTAAAGAATTACAATAGACTGGGCATGGTGGCTCAGACTTATAATCCCAGCACTTTGGAAGTCAAAGGTGAAAGAATCACTTGAGGCCAGGAGTTCAAGACCAGCCTGGGCAACATAGTAAGAACCCATCTCTACAAAAAATAATAAAATTAGTTGGGCATCTGTAGTCTTGCTACCCAGGAGGTTGAGGTAGGAGGATCCAGGTGTTCAAGGCAGAGCCCAGGCGTTCAAGGCTGCAGTGAGCTATCACACCACTGCACTCCAGCATGGGCAAAAAAGTAAGACTCTGCCTCTAAAAAAAAAAAAAAAAAAAAATTGCCACAATGGGCTATGCTGGGTGACTCATGCCTATAATCCCAACATTTTGGGAGGCCAAGGTAGGAGGATTGCTGAGGCCAGGAGTACAAAACAAGCCTGGGCAACATAATGAGACACCATCTCTACAAAAAATTTAAAAATTAGCTTGATATGGCAGTACGTGCCTATATTCCTAGCTACTTGGGAGCCTGAGGTGGGAGAATCACTTGAGCCCGGGAGTGTGAGGTTATGGTGAGCCATGATCTCACTAGCCTGGGTGACAGAACAAGACCCTGTCTTTAAAAAACAAAACAAAACAAAAAAATCCACCAGAAAAGTGATCTAAGGTGGTTATCAGACAACCATATAAAATGCCTACAACACACTTACATATTTATTGTTCGTACCCAAGCTGCATAAAATTGGCTTCACCCAACTGGATTTCTCTTTAAAAATAAATAGCTGTTCTTTCCCATTCTCACCTTATAGTATAGAAATTGAGTGCTATGAAATAACTATGTAACCATGTCTTTCCACAGCTCCAGAATCAAATCAGTGGCTTTTGGCTAAGCAAGAGGTGAGATAACACTGAGAGCCTTGTTCAATAAAAGCAATGCAGCCCCATAGCATGGCTTCATGGACTACATCAGATCATTAGGCAGAGATTAACTGCCTTTTGTGCCTGCTACCTCATTAAAGCTCACAAATAATAGTTGTTCCTACTAGTTAGTGCTTATTCTACCATCCCTCCTTACCACCTTGTAGTGCCCATCCCCTCATAGTGCCTTGGTAAGAGAAACAGCCTTATTGATTAATGTCAGAAGAGACCTGGGAGTAAATGGTGTTTTGTTCTTTATACAAAGGTAGGAGTGCACAATGAGATGCCTGCCGTTTGAATCCAACAGTTCTTTTTTTAACTCAAGTCTATAAACAGGAAGAAACTCAAAGCCTCCAATTCCTCTTTTCTCTCTCTTCCTTTTCTTGTCGTGTTTTCTTTCCTTTCCACTTTTCTTAACTTTCCCTGTTCTTTGCTCCTTCCAATCTTCTTTCCTTCCTTCCTTCCTTCCTTCCTTTCTCTTTCTCCTCTTTTCTTCACTTCTTTTTCTTTTTTTTTTTTTTTTTTTTGAGACAGGCTCTTGCTCTGTCTTCCAGGCTGGAGTACAGTGGTGCAATCATGGCTCACAGAACCCTCTACCTCCCAGCCTTAAGCATCCTCCCACCTCAGCCTCCCAAGTAGATGGAACTACAGGCATGCCCCACAGCTAATTTTTTACTTTTATAGAGATGGGGTTTCACTGTATTGCCCAGGTTGGTCTCAAACTCCTGAGCTCAAGGGATCTTCCCGACTCAGTCTCCCAAAGTGCTGGGATTATAGGTGTGATCCACCATACCCGGCCATTTCTTTACTTCTTTGCTTGGATTCTTTCCTTCCTCTTCTACTTCTCTTTTCGTTTTATCTTTCTTTCTCTTTCTATGACAAAACTACATCTTTCTAGCCATTTGAGACTCTGAGTTCAATACATATCAAGAGTCCTTTTTCACGCAGTCATACCTCATGCACAATACCGATATCAGATCCTTTTTTTGTTGCTAGTTACAGGAGAGATAAGGACAAGAGGAGAGAGTGGACTACCCAGCCTCACCCCTAAGCATGTGGTAACACCACCATTGAAGAAACTGAGTAAAACAAATGTCTGCTTTCGATGATCCTAAACATTTATCCAAAATGATATCACAGATTGGGCCTGGTTCTCAGGGGGTTTGAAGAGTACTTTGGTGGGCAGGGGCCTGGGGAACTGAAACAGTTGATTGGCTAAGGATGAAATCACAGGGGTCCCTAAACTGTCTTCATGCATCTGAGTCAGTTCCTGGGAGAGAGTTTCAGGACGGGGTGGTATCTCTTGATCTGCTGAAACGCTAAATCTGAAAAATATCTCAAAGACCAGTTATTTAGGTTTCACAATAATAAAGTTATCTTTAGGAGCAGTTGGGGAAGTTACAAATCTTGTAACCTCCAATTATGTGACTCTGGGCAATAAGCAACTTACAGAAACGCCAGCTAAACAAGTAATGGATGGTTATGGTTTAACCGTGCCTACTCTTCAGCAAAGTTCAGGCCCCTAGCATAATTCTAACCTTGTTACCTTCTGTTGGTCTTTACAAATATGGTTTTAACTTCTGAACAAGGAGGGGATCAGTTCAAGGAAAGAACTATTATGGCCTTCACACAAGAATGAGCAAAAGCAATCTAGCCTGGTAGAAGCAAGATGGGGTTAGGTGTGTTAAATTTCCCTTACTACTATAATTTTTGCAAAGGCGATTTCATCTGCAGGCAGAACTTGTATCGGCAAGTTCAATGAAACAAGCCATTGTTGGTACCCAATAAATAGCTACTAATAATACAAAAATCTTATTAAAATGTCTACATTTTGAAAGTTTGCGGCCGGATGCGATGGCTCACGCCCGTAATCCCAGCATGGGAGGCCGAGGCAGGTGGATCATGAGGTCAGGAGTTCAAGACCAGCCTGGCCAAGATGGTGACATCCCGTCTCTACTAAAAATACAAAAATTAGCCAGGCGTGGTGCTACATGCCTGTAACCCCAGCTACTCAGGAGGCTGAGGCAGGAGAATTGCTTGAACCCAGGAGGGGTAGGTTGCAGTGAGCCGAGATCGTGCCTCTGTACTCTAAGCGGGGCAACAGAGCGAGACTCCATCTCAAAAAAAAAAAAGAAAGAAAGAAAGAAAGAAAGAAAGAAAGAAAGAAAGAAAGAAAGAAAGAAAGAAAGAAAGAAAGAAAGATTGCCAATATATAATAAAGTCATACTAAACTCAAGAGTTAAATGAAGTTAAATTTGTTTTGACAGGTTGGGTGAAGTGGCTTATGCCTGTAATCACAGCACTTTGGGAAGCCAAGACAGGCAGATCACTTGAGGTCAGGAATTTGAGACCAGCCTGGCCAACATGGTAAAACCCTGTCTCTACAAAAAATACAAAAATTAGCCAGGCATGGTGGCATGTGCCTGTAATCCCAGCTACTCAGGAGGCTGAGGCGGGAGAATCACTTGAACCCAGGAGGCGGAGGTTGCAGTGACCGAAATCATGCCACTGCACTCCAGCCTGGGTGACAGAGCAAGACCCTGTCTCAAAAAAAAAAGAAAAAATGTTTTAACAAATACACTGAAGGTCAGAATCATTACTTTCAACACAGGCAGCTAGCACTTACTGCACATATTTTTCTCTCATAGTACACTCCTTCGTTCCTGTTGAAACTGGCTTGCCCATTGCACCAGGTTATCTCCTATAAGCCCAAGGAGCAGTAATCTCTACATTTCTGCTCAACTCCGAGGTGGCATTGCCTTTATAAAATGATCTGGTAGCTCATTCTCGAAATTTCTTTTGAGCTCTGCATTGTTTGAAAAGAAATTACCTCTGCTGCCTGGAACTCACTGGTGGGTGTAATTTGTGGCATTATGCCTCAGCCACCAGGAGGGTGAATGAAGGCAGGAACATTAATCAAATTTGGAAACAATGAAGAAATAGTGGGGTTGGCATGGATCCACACATGTTTAGCAGTCTACAAGATCAGATTTTAGAAGGTGAAAATGAGAGCCTTGTGGCAGAGCTACTACATACTTAATAGGTTAAGGTATCAACCCGCAAGCCATCCCTGAGCACTTTGAGAGCAAATACTTCCCTCCAATGCATCATGTCAATGTCATAACTTATCAGTTGTTTGCAATTTTTCTCTTTCTATTATGAACTGCAATTTTTCAGAAAATTATAAATTTATCAGTTTGGTATAGTCCCTAACATGGCACTAGGGGCATGAGGATGTAACAAGTGCTTCTGGCTGGGCATGGTGGCTCACACCTGTAATCCCAGCACTTTGGGAGGCCGAAGCAGGAGGATCACTTGAGCCCAGGAGTTCACGAACAAATGGGGCAACATAGTGAGATGCCAGCTCCACAGAAATATTTAAAAATTAGCTGGATTCAGTGGTGCACAACTGTAGTCTCAGCTACTCGGGAGGCTGAGGCAGGCGATCACTTGAGCCCAGGAGTTCAAGGTTGTAGTGAACCACTACACTCCAGCTTGGGCAACAACAGAGCAAGACTCTGTCACAAAAAAAAAAAAAAAAGCAAGCGCTTCTAGCCAGCAAAATGTCTGTTGAGCACCTACAACATGCAAAAGGCACCCCTGGAGAAGCATAGTTGGATGTTTCATCAAAATAAGTAATCGTTGGCCAGGCACGGTGGTTCACGCCTGTAATCCCAGCACTTTGGGAGGCCGAGGTGGGCAGATCACGAGGTCAGGAGATTGAGACCATCCTGGCTAACACGGTGAAACCCCGTCTCTACTGAAAATACAAAAAAATTAGCTGGGCGTAGTGGCGGGCGCCTGTAGTCCCAGCTACTCAGGAGGCTGAGGCAAGAGAATGGCATGAACCCGGGAGGCAGAGCTTGCAGTGAGACGAGATCACGCCACTGCATTCCAGCCTGGGCGACAGAGTGAGTCTCCGTCTCAAAATAAATAAATAAATAAATAAGTAATGTTGGCTGGGCTTGGTGGCTCATGCCTATAATCCCATCATTTTGGGAGTCCAAGGTGGGCAGATTGCTTAAGCCCAGGATCTTGAGACCAGCCTGGGCAATCCAGAGAAACCCTGTCTCTACAAAAAGTACCAAAAAAAAATTAGCTGGGCATGGTGGTATGTGCCTGTGGTCCCAGTTACTTGGAAGGCTGAGATGGGAGGATGACTTGAGCCTGGGAGGTCAAGACTGCAGTGAGCCATGATCGTGTCACTGCACTACAGCCTGGGGGACAGAGCAAGGCCCTGTGTCAAAAATAAAAATCAGTAATTGTTCTAAATGGTATTTTTTCCATTTCTGCTCTTCTTATACATGTCTCCCTGACAAAAATATTTTTCCCAATCTTTCAAAATTCAACTCCTCTTTAAAGGTACAGCTAAATCCCACCTCTTCCACACCATCCCTGACCTTCTAATATCTTTCTCCTTTGAAATTCCACAGTGCTTTGTAAACTTTGAGCATGCTCTTCATGAATATCTTTTTTTTTTTTTTGAGAGTCTTGCTCTGTCACCCAGGCTGGAGTGCAGTGGTGCAATCTTGGCTCAATGCAACCTCTGCCTCCTAGGTTCAAGCGATTCTCCTGCCTCAACCTCCCTAGTAGCTGATATTATAGGCGAACACCACCACATTTGTCCTCTCACAGTTCTAGAGGCTGGAGGTCCAAGATCAAGATGCCAGCAAGGCCAATGTCTGGTGAGGGCTCTCTACTTGGGTTGCAGATGGCCCCTTCTCTGTGTGCTCACGTGAGCTTTCTTCAGTGAATGTGCACCAAAGGGATTGCTCTCATAACAATCCTAAGCCTATGAGATCAGAATCCACCCTTATGAACTCATTTAACCTAAATTACTTCCTAAAGACCCTATCTCCAAATACAGTCATATTGGGAGTTGGAGCTGCAACATCTGAATGAGGGCGTACAGAATTCAATCTACAGCTACCTTCCTATGAACTGTACCCATCAAAGAATGCTACAGAAACTGTGGGATCTGAACGGCACCTTGAAGAGAAAGGATTATTCTTGGAAAGAAGAGGGAGGATGTCCCAGTTTAAAAGAGGCACTCATCAAATGGGAAGCTACAATCAAACATCTTCAAGGCATTTTCACCCATAAATATATAGGGGAATAGAGCTGGGAGTGCTTAAGGTATGGGCAGGGTGAAGGAGAGACAAATGTGTATGAGGTAAGAAAGACCAATGAACAGAAAAGAAACTTATGTTTTTAAACTCTGTTTCTTTAGATCAAGTAGGAAAGTAGAGATTTCTGGTTGTTTCCATTGCTCATGCATGTATTCAGTGAGGAATAAAGCATTTATAATAATCATTTTATGGAAATTCTAGTCTTGGTGGGAGAGAGAAAAAAGAGAAGGAGAAGGGTTGCAAAAGCTAAAGATTCATTTAGTCATTCATTTCTTTATATGTGTAGAGCATCTGCTATGTGCCAGGAGTTATTTTAGCTGCTGAGAACACAGCTATGAATAAAGCAGGCAAAGCCCTCATCTTCAGGGGGCCTCTATTCCAGTGAGGAAAGAGAGATAACAAACAAATAAACATGCAAATGCATGATGTCAGTTGTGCTGGGTGCTGTTAAGAAGAAACGCAGAATAAGGAGGATAGAGAATACAAAGGCTCTTCTTGATAAATGGTGAGCTTAGAAAGCAAAGACTTGAAGGAATCAGAGAGCAAGCCATATGGTCATGAGGAAAGGAGTTTCAGGCAGAGGGAACAGCAAATGCAAAGATCCTGGGGCAATACTTCTGGCAGCATGTTAGAGGAATATTGCTGGAGGCAGAATTCTTATTTTTCTCTCTCTCTCTGTCTTTTAGACAGGGTCTCCCTTCCGTTGCCAAGGCTGGGGCGTGGTGGTGCAATCTCCACTCACTGCAGCACTAACTTCCTGAGTTCAAGTGATCCTCCCACCTCAGGGGAGGTAGAATTCTCAGAGGGGCCCCATGATCTCCACTCCCAGATGTCACTCCCATGATTATGTAGGTTAAAGGAATTTTGCAGCTGTGAGTAAAATTACTAATCAAGTAACCTTTAGTTAGGAAGATTGCCCAGGTGGGTGTAACCTAATCACCTGAGTCCTTTAAAACAGGGAATTTTTTTCTGGCTAGCAGCAGAAGAGCAAGTGTAATAGATTCCAAGCATGAAAAGAAACCAATGAACCTTTTCTGGCTTGAAGATGGAGGGGATCACATGGTAAAGAATGTGAGTGGCCTTCAGGATCTGAGAGCGGGCCTCAGCTGACAGCCAGCAAGGGCCCCAGCTGACAGCCAGCAAGGGTTCCACAGTCCTACAGCGTCGGGAACTGAATTCTACCAATAACCTGAATGAATTTGGAAGTAGACTTTTCCCCACCAAGCCTCCAGATGAGACCATAGCCCAGTTAACACCTTGATTTCAGCCTTATCAAACCCTAAGCAGAGAACATTGCTGAGCCTGCCCATGCTTCCAACCTACAAAACTTTGAGGTAGTAATTCACAGATGTTGTTTTGAGATGCTGTGTTTGTAGCAATTTATCATGATGCAGCAACAGAAAACTAATAGAAATAACAGGGAGGCCAATATGGCAGGCATGAGGGAAGCCAATATGGCAGGCGTGCAGTAAGCAAGAGGGGTTGTTGAGGTGAAATCAGAGAGGGCTGGAGGCCAGATCATACAAGGCTCTACGTGCCATGGTAAGGCCATTGCATTTCCAGCTGAATAAGTGGGAAGCCGCTGGAGGGTTTGAGCAAAGAAAACAAGGATTTTACCTGCTCCTGAGAGCTCAGCACTGCTAGATGAGCTGATAGCCAGAGAAAACAACTCCACTGATGGAGTTCCTGATGACCTGCAGAGGCACTGGTAAATACTTGATTATAAAATATTCAGAAGGCACTGGCTAAACGAATGGAGAACAGCCAGAGAGGTTGAGAGACAGAGCATATAAAATACAGCACTAAAGCAACGCCAGCAGCTTAGAAAGAACAGTAAATGCATCGAGAGGTCGCATTAAGGCAGCCTGAAATGCCACCATGCTTCCCACTTTCTGCAGCTCCCGCATTCAATACAAAAAATGCTTTCCTTCGACATGTTTCTCTAACAAGTGTATCTGGGCTTTACAGAGTCAGCCTCGGGAATATGTGAAGCTTGCCCCAACACCATCTTGGCAAATGATTAACCTATGATTAAACCTGATGATTAGCCATGGCCAGGAATCAGATTGCTAATAGCCAGAGACTCAGTGGGCACCTTTCGTTGGCGGTTGAGTGCTTTGCCAGAAACTGCATCTCAGTGGGAGTTGGGAGATTGGAAAGTTGACTAAGGAGCCCCATGGTGGGAAGAATTAAGCTGTAGACCCATGAGATGATAACAGCAATAGAAGGAGAGGCAGAGCCTCCCACCCACACACCAATTCAGAAATACCTCAGGTATAATTAAATCCGACTCCAGAATTTAGCACCTTTTTGTAATAAGAATCTTTCCTTCCAGTCCTTAGCATTCTGTTGCCTTGGCAAAAACCCGGTCTCTTGACATTTGAAAGGTTTCTGTCCCATTTTCAAAGAACAGCCCTGGTGAAGATGCCTTTAAAAATGTGTTTTGTTTCTGCAGATGCCTTTACCGCGGAGTCCTACTCTGGCCGAGTAACATACTCTCTGACAGATTCTGTTCATATCCTCCACCTGCCTTCTCCATAATGGGTGCGCCCAGCTCTATTTTCACCACCAAACTTTAGGTGGAGCATGCCATGGCACACCATGCCGCACAGTGCTGACCCAATTGTAGGAGAGTGCCCCAGCAGGAAACAACCGAGATGGCCACATCAAATGGTGCTTTGGGAGGATGTCTTTGAGTGCCCACTGCTTGTCTTTGACCCTGGTGCCTGCACATGGCTGGGCTCCTGACTCAGGTTGACCCTCTTGGGCTTGAGATTGGTGACTTCTGCCTTTTTGACTGGTTTGTAATTGGTTTTGTCCCAACTACCAGTTTATGGGGACTCCCATACTCGATTCCTATCTTCCATTTTCCATGCTTGACAATATTTGCTTTCTCCTGGCTTCCCACTCTCTCTCCTTCTCTTCGGAATCCATGGTCATAGCCTAATTCCATTATCTATAAAACGAAAATTCTCATGATTCAATCTCAAAGAGTGAATCTCAAGACAATGTACATAAAGCACTGGGGAGGGTGCCTGGCAAATGGTAAGTGCTGGAAAAACGCTGGCCAGTTTTAATAGGAAAGCTGGTAGAAGGGTGGGTAAAGGATGAAGATTAAACTCAGAGAGAGCACGCTGGTAGGAGAGGAAACTTGGATATGGGAATAGAATTTCAGAATCCTATTTACAAGCAACAGGTACTGTACTGGGCCTTGGACGTCCATTTCATGAACCTGGATTCAACACTGTAGTCATGGAACCATAGAATCTGGCACTTCAGCCAGGCCTGGTGGCACGTGCCTGTAGTCCCAGCTGCTCAGGAAGCTGAGATAGGAGGATTGTTTAAGCCCAGGAGTTCTGGGCTGTAGTGTGCTGTGCCAATTGGGTGTACACACTAGGTTCAGCATCAACCCGGTGACCTCCTGGGAGTGGGGGACCACAAGTTTCCTAAGGAGGGGTAAGCCAGCCTGGGTGGAAAACAGAGCAGGTCAAATTTCCCGTGCTGATGAGTAATCAAATCATGCCTATGAATAGCTACTGCACTCCAGCCTGGGCAACACAGCAAGACCCTGTCTCTTAAAACAAAAAGAATCTGGTACTAGGGAGTTCGCTTAAAGCCACATACAGATAGTTATGCCATGTTTGAAAATTCTAGTGGTGGAAAATTCATTTTAGTCTGCCTTTAGCCTTCTCTATCAGAGTAAAGACAGTTATGATTTATTCAGTAAATATATATTGCAGGTGTGCTATGTGTTAGGCCCTAGGTATACCGCAGAAAGCAGCACCAAGTCCCCGCGATCATGCATCTTAAGAGTCTGATGGGAAAGACAGAATAAACATGTACATAACACAAATAAGTAATTACGCTCAAAATGGTCGTAAGAGTAATAGTAAGTAACAGATGGAGGGGTCAAAGAAGTCCTCCTTAAGAAGGCAACGTTTGAACTGAGATCTGAGGAATGAGAATAAACAAAGGAAGCAAAGAATGGGAGGGACCTAGAGGGGAAGATGATAGTCTTTCTGGCCATGTATTGAGCTGCTCCATGCCAGCTCCTTTACAGGCTGTCTTAATCCCACTACTTTGCAAGGAAGGCATAATTTTCCCAGGAGGCAGCCGGGGAACAGAGAACTGAAGGAAATCACCCAAGCAAGTGGCAATGCTAACTGACACTGAGTCACATCAGCACTTGCCTTGTTTTGATAACACAAGGTCAGAGCAAGGGAATAAACCAGAACCACTAAGAACCAAAAAGACAAGCCCTCCAGGCCAGGGAATAGGCAGGCAGCCTCAAGGACTGACTTCAAATGACGCTCTTAAAGGGAATTCTAATATTAGCCACCATGTTCTGAATGATGGTCTCGTGCCAGGCACTGGGCCAAGGCCTTCCCAAGCATTGTTCATGTCCTCCTCATGATACCCCAGAAGGTAGATACTACATTCCCTGCTTTGTAGATGAAGAAAGGGCTGTAGAGCCATCCTTCCGCACACCGCCGTATCCTCTCCTCCATGTCACACACAGACTCAAGCAGAAGTCAAAATTTCAATCTGGAGCATGGATTCCAAAGGAAAGTTATGAGGGTGATTGCAAGACTTTAAACCATGACAAGGGAGCTTTGGTTAAACCAAATTTGAGACTGAGTGCAGTGGCTCAAGCCCATAATCCCAGCACTTTGGGAGGCCGAGGTGGGCAGATTGCTTGAGGCTGGGAGGTGGAGACCAGCCTGGCCAACATAGAAAAACCCCGTCTCTACTAAAAATACAAAAATTAGCCGGGCACGGTGGTAGGCACCTGTAGTCCCAGCTACTGGGGAGGCTGAGGCACGAGAATTGCTTGAACTCAGGAGGCGGAGGTTGCAGTGAGCTGAGATCGCACCACTGCACTCCAGCCTGAGCAACAGAGCGAGATTCTGTCTCAAAAAAAATAATTTTTTTTTAACCTAAAGAAGAGATGAGTGCAGCCAAGAATGAGGATAAGACGCTGTCTTCAAGTATTTGGACACTGGGCTAGCTTTGTTTTGTGTGAACTCAGAAAACAGAACTGGAGTCAGTGGGTGTTAGAGGGAGTCGGGGCAGTCAGTGCCCTACCCAGATCTTGCCTTACCAGGTATTTTCAATCCCAAGTTGCTGTAAGGACTGGCTGCAAACTTCTCACAGCTGCACCCTTTTCTCGAGGATCTACAATTAGGGATGTACCATTGGGAAAGCAATGAAATGTTCGCCGTCTCCCAGCCACTTTATTCAGCCTGAATCTTGGCACATACAATGACTGTCTGAAAATACCAGCCCCTCCATATACAGCTCGCTTCAATAATAACCAAAGAACCAAAGAATACAGTTTGAAGAAAAAATGAATTCCATGGTATTCTGCTTGTCCCCAGGCAGGCAGGCAGGCAGGCAGGCACAAAACAAACCGAAAGAGGACACACCTCCTCCAGCACCAGGAAACAGTTGTGGAGCTTCTCCCTGCCAATATTCATACATTTCCTGGGGCTTTCTCTTTACTTGGATAAATTCCAGGTCACTTATTTCTATTCTCTTTGCGCACCTCATATTTGCCTCCTCTATTTAATCAAGGAAAGTTGGAGGCAAAGTCCGGCTGTAGCAAAAAGCAGTCGTCAAAAACGTTACTCCAAGATCAAATATTTATGCCGCAGCAAGCAAGCTAACTGATTGTGATATCAAAGGATAATAAATCATTTGAAAAAAGAAAGAAAAAGCGATCAATGTGAATAGTATAATTTGCCTTTCATCAGGTGCTGTTGAGATCCTGATTTTTTTTGTTCATCTAACAATGATCATTTCTGATTTTCTTTTCTTTCATTTAAAAATACATTTTTTTCCCTCCCCAAGCCACTCAGATGTGCAGTGCTATTTGATGAGTTTTTGTGGAGGAGGCATCAAATTCCATATTCTGCACCCTGTGAAAGAGAACATGTGTAGTTTTCTGTAGCCTGTGTCTGGTTTTCAAAGGCTCACGCTGTTGTTACATGATTAAGAAATTGATTGAATGGCGGAGTGGGTTAAAGAAAAAAAAGAAAGAAATTGATTGAACTCAGAAAGACTGGAACATTTCAAAGAACAGCCGTGTTCAAATTACAGATTTCGATAAATGAGACTTATGAAAAATTAACTGCAGCCAACTGGCCGATATTTCTCATCCCCAGACACCCCTGCCTCTTCTCCCAAGCTCAAATGGGCAGCAGGTAAAACATTAAATGTAGATTACAAAAGAAAAATGATAATGAACAATGTGACATCGCTTTACCATTCATGTTCACTGAAAGGTAGATTTTAAAAACATGAATGGTAAAGCGATGTCACATTGTTCATTGTCATTTTTAAAGAGTACTGTCCATCTTGTCGCATTTTTAAAATGTTTTATGTGCTTCTATTATGAAATATTCCTGGAAAAATGTGCAAACAAGATCATACTGCGAAGACAAATCGCCCAGGATTTATCATCAGTCTATTCATTTCCAGTGAAAATCACCTGATTTTTTTTTTTTTTTTTTTTTTTGTTGATTCGGAGTCTCGCTGTCGCCCAGGCTGGAGTGCAGTGGCACGACCTCGGCTCACTGCAAGCTCCGCCTCCCGGGTTCCCGCCATTCTCCTGCCTCAGCCTCCCGAGTAGCTGGGACTACAGGCGCCCGCCACCGCGCCCGGCTAATTTTTTGTATTTTTAGTAGAGACGGGGTTTCGCCGTGTTAGCCAGGATGGTCTCGATCTCCTGACCTCGTGATCCGCCCGCCTCGGCCTCCCAAAGTGCTGGGATTACAGGCGTGAGCCTCCGCGCTCGGCCAGAAATAACCTGATTTTTACGGAATGCTCAGCACATATGGAATTTGGTATTCTCATTTTAAAAATGTACTTAATACAGTTATTGGGATATAATTCACATTCCATAGAATCCACCTATTTATTTTTCTGCCTTTTTTTTTTTTTTTTTTTTTCCTGAGACACAGTCTTGCTCTGTTGTCCACACTGGAGTACAGTGGCATGATCTCAGCTCACTACAACCTCTGCCTCCCAAGTTTAAGCGATTCTCGTGCCACAGCCTCCTGAGTAGCTGGAATTACAGGCATGCATCACTACACCTAGCTAATTGTTGTATTTTTAGTAGAAACGGGGTTTCATCATGTTGACCAGACTGGTCTTGAACAAGTGCTGGGATTACAGGAGTGAGCCACTGTTCCTGGCCTTTTTTTTTATTTATTTAATAATTTCAACTTTTATTTTAGATTCAGTGGGTATATGTGCAGGTCTGTCACATGGGAACACTGCATGATGCTGAGGTTTAGGGTACAGATGATTCTGTCACCCAGGCAGTGAGCACAGCACCCAATAGGCAATCCCTCAGCCCCTTCCCTCCCTCCTGCCTCCAGCACTGCCCAGTGGCTATTGCTCCCATGTTTATGTCTATGTGTACTCAATGTTTAACTTCCACTTATAAGTGAGAACATGTGATATTTGGTGTTCTGTTCTTGTGGTAATTTGCTTAACATAATGGCCTCCGGGTACATCCATGTTGCTGCAAAGGACATGATTTCTTTTTATGGCTACAAAGTATTCCATGAATCCACCCATTTAAACTGTATAATTCAATGGTTTGTAGCGTATTCAGAATTGATTCTTTTGTAACCAGTTCTGTTACTTTAAATTGGTCTTCTTCGGAGGAAAGTCTTGGAGAAAAATAAAAAAGAACTTTTAACTTCATGAACACTGAACTCAGGAAATCAATTCTAGTTTTGTTCCACCCCGTGGCTTCTTTCTTTGTAAAATTTTCTCTTTGCTTTTGGAAGAATCCATTCCACCAACTGAAGTTTTCTATGCCTAATGTCAGCACGTAAGTAATTGCATTAGGTTAAAGCTACACTGTCACTCCAGGAAGCATAGTTGGAGCTTTGCTGCTAGAATATAAAAGCTTTATTTCCCTTGTTTATTCCTCACAGACATTTTGGGGCCACAGCTCATTGCAGACTGATCTTTATGACTTCACATTTGCTCAAAGCAAGTGATTTATTAGGAGCAGCACCGACATAAATTCAGAGGAAAATTCTTTATAAAATATCAGTGAATGAAGGTTCACTTTTCACACCTCATGCTGCCTGTGTGTGTTTGTGTATGTACACATGCAATGCCATGCATGCACAACACACGCACACACACACACACACACGTTCAGTCATTCATAGCATGGCTTATAGGTCGGACTCTGTTAAATTTTTTACCTTTAGGAGAGCAGATCATTAAAAGTGAACACTTTTGTCCATTCAACTCCTGTACATCATTCCCTCTCACCCCAGGAGTCTTGAACCTCTTGGAGGGTTGAGGCCCAGGAACCTGCATTTTAAACCAGATCTCCAGGTGTCTCTGATGTCCTGACATTGAAGAACCAAGGTTACTGTGTCGCATACTGAAGACTGGGTATTCAGTGAAGCAGGGATGGCTCCTCTGCTGAGAGTCAGGGAGTCGGACGCACTGGAATGAAATCCCTGCCACTCCAGATGTGTGGCAGCACTCAGATCCACATGTGAGTTGCAAGTCTACTGCGTGCCACATGCGGGGAATACAACACAGACAAAACTCAGCTCTTGACTTTCTCTGACTAGTGGGAATCTGGAAATGTAAACCAATAAATGACAATAAAGTGTTATAAGTACAAAAACAAGAAACTGTATGTTAATAGGCCAATTTGAAGAAAGTGTTTAAAACAATTCAAGTTTCCTATATCTCCTTTTTCCTTCTTCTGACAAACTCTCTTATCTACCCACCCAAACATATGCCTCACACAAGTACACACACCCCACACACCGTACACACACACACACACACACACAATGTCCATCCTACATATACCCCATAAGCACTCAATACCTGGGGCCCACATATCACCCCACATGTTCCCCACATACAGATCACCCAGACAAAGTTGCCAGATAAAGAAATAAAATACAGGACACTAAGTTAAATTAGAATTTCAAATAAACATATTTTGGACAGACACTAAAAATAAATGCATTATTTATGTAAAATTCTAATTTAACTAGGGGGGCTATATTGTATTTGACAAATGTAAAATATCTCACACACATCTTTCTATCACACACACACACGCACGCACACCCATTTCTCTACCTGACTTTCACAATGGCTGGAAATCTGACAAAGAGAGTTCTGAGTTTCTTTTTACCTTTTTATATTGTTTTGTTTAAATTTTATAACACATAGGCATTACATCTAAAATTAGAAATAAAAAATTGTTCCGAATTTTTTTTTTTTTTTTTTTTTTTTTTTTTTTTTTTTTTTTTGAGGCAGAGTCTCGCTCTGCTGCCCAGGCTGGAGTGCAATGGTTCAGTCTTGGCTCACTGCAACCTCTGCCTCCCGAGTTCAAACAATTCTCTTCCCTCAGCCCCCTGAGTAACTGGGATTACAGGAGCACATCCTCATGCCCAGCTAATTTTTGTATTTTTAGTAGAGACAGGGTTTTACCATATTGCCCACCTCAGCCTCCCAAAGTGCTGGGATTACAGGCATGAGCCACTGCGCCTGGCCATTGGGAAATATTTAAATAAATAAATTAAACCACTAGCACTCCTGGGAGAGTGCCCCCTCCTTGCCAGTTTGTGAACTGCCATGGAGAGTACCATGTATCTGGTGAAATGTGGTAGATGGAAGGAAAACAGGCAAGGACCAAGGCCCTGTGGAAAGAACAGCTGGAAATGGACACAGGAGAAGGCCACCAGGAGGTCCCTGGGCGTGGGGACTGCTAAATGCCTTGACTGTTTATTTTTAATGGTGAAACCAATTACAACAATAATAGTTGTCAGGACTGCCATGTTTGGTTATACTGTGTGTGCACTTCATAAGGGTCTCATGAAAGGGTGGCTGATGTACTCTGCCTCCCCCTTCCCCAATGTCCACAGAGCAACTTTTTCTAATTTCTGTACACTCCCCATAGAGGCTAACAACTGCCTCAATTAGCATTTAGGAATAGTTGTACGTGCTAGCTAGCATGCTAAGTGACTTATGATCCAACACTCCCTGTGGGGGTCTCCCTGTTATAGAAGCGACACCACTTCAGCAAATCAGGAGCACTATCAGGTAGCTTGTCTACCACACACAATGCAAGCTGTCCCAACTTGTTCAACCTGGACTCCCTCACGAGAGAGAGAGGTGGAGGATTGTATTTTCCATACATGACTGCAATCTACTCTTCTACCATGTGACACCTCATTAATAGGAAGAGTCTAACTTCTCAACCTTGAATCCAGGAAGGGTTGCAACTGCTTCAGCCAGTGGGGTAGAAGAGAGTTGTTGCAGATGGCTTAGGAGGCTGGGTCATAACAGGTGGAACAGCTTCTGCCTTGTTTCCTGGACTTCAAAGTTATTGTGCTGAGCCACCACACAGGAAGTCCAGCTACCCTGAAATTGCCATGCTGTGAGGAAGTCAAGCCACATGGAGAGGCCAGGTGAAAACTCTCTGAGTCACCCAGGTCCAGGCACACAATATGTGCAGGAATTAACCCTCAGGGGATTCCAGCCCCCTGAGGTTGTGTTACCACCAACTTTTGAGTCTTCCCAAATGAGGATCCCCAACCACCCAGAGCACAGACAAGCTGTCCCCAAATGGGTATACCCTATCTGATCTCCTGACCCACAGAATCCATGAGCACAAGTCACTAAGTGCTGGAGTAACTTAGTGCCCCGCCATTATACCTGGAACAAGAGGACAGAAAACCACCTGACCTAGGAACACGGTGAAGGCCAATAAATTCTATCAAATTCTATCAAAGCCCAGAGAACTCAGTGATATAAGCAAGGCCCACTGTCTTATCCTAAAATCTACCAGATTTGGACTCTCTCTCTGTCTGGCCTACACAGTACGTTGAGCCCATTTGATCTTATCAAACAGAAATTACAGAACAGAAAGAATCAGCAACCAGCAAAGATGGCCTTACTCTTATTATTGCCTATCAGAGATGATGCTAAGCTATACCAGACACTACTCCTACCCTCAGGGAAAGGTTGAGATTCTTCAATAGTCTGAACATTCCTGGGCCTCAGGGCTTGCATAGTGCACTTAGCAATGGGGACAGGAGAGAACTTCTTGCAGTACATCCCCCAAAGAGATGGGTAATCTGATAACTCTTAATGCTTTTCCCTGGGCAGAAATGCTGAGGCCATGGTGCTATCCCAGCACAATTTTCTTTTTTTTTTTTTTAATTTATTATACTTTAAGTTCTGGAATACATGTGCAGAATGTGCAGGTTTGTTACATAGGTATACACGTGCCATGGTGGTTTGCTGCACCCATCAACCTGTCATCTACATTAGGTGTTTCTCCTAATGCTATCCTTCCCCTGTCCCCTAACATCCCAACAGGCCCTGGTGTGTGATATTCCCCTCCCTGTGTCCATGTGTTCTCATTGTTCAACTCTCACTTATGAGTGAGAACATACAGTGTTTGGTTTTCTGTTCCTGTGTTAGTTTGCTGAGAATGATGGTTTCCAGCTTCATCCATGTCCCTGCAAAGGACATGAACTCATCCTTTTGTATGGCTGCATAGTATTCCATGGTGTATATGTGCCACATTTTCTTAATCCAGTCTATCATTGATGGATATTTGGGTTGGTTCCAAGTCTTTGCTATTGTGAATAGTGCCACAATAAACATATATGTGCATGTGTCTTTATAGTAGAACTATTTATAATCCTTTGGGTATATACCCAGTAATGGGATTGCTGGGTCAAATGGCATTTCTGGTTCTAGATCCTTGAGGAACTGCCACACTGTCTTCCACATGGTTAAACTAGTTTACACTCCCACCAACAGTGTAAAAGCATTCCTATTTCCCCACATCTTCTCCAGCATCTGTTGTTTCCTGACGTTCTAATGATTGCCATTCTAACTGTCATGAGATGGTATCTCATTGCTATTTTGATTTGCATTTCTCTAATGACCAGTGATGATGAGCTTTTTTTCATGTTTGTTGGCCACATAAATGCCTTCTTTTGAGAAGCGTCTGTTCATATCTTTTGCCCACTTTTTAATGGGGTTGTTTTTTTTTTTCTTGTGAATTTGTTTAAGTTCCTTGTAGATTCTGGATATTAGCCCTTTGTCAGATGGATAGATTGCAAAAATTTTCTCCCATTCTGCAGGTTGTCTGTTCACTCTAATGATAGTTTCTTTTGCTGTGCAGAAGTTCTTTAGTTTAATTAGATCCGATTTCTCAATTTTGGCTTTTGTTGCCATTGCTTTTGGTGTTTTAGTCATAAAGTCTTTGCCCATGCCTCTGTCCTGAATGGTATTGCCTAGGTTTTCTTCTAGGGTTTTTATGGTTTTAGGTGTTATGTTTAAGTCTTTCATCCATTTTGAGTTAATTTTTGTATAAGGTGTAAGGAAGTGGTCCAGTGTCAGTTTTCTACACATGGCTAACCAGTTTTCCCAACACCATTGATTAAATTGGGAATCCTTTCCCCACTGCTTATTTTTGTCAGGTTTGTCAAAGATCAGATGGTTGTAGATGTGTGGTGTTATTTCTGAGGCCTCTGTTCTGTTCCATTGGTCCATATATTTGTTTTGGTACCAGTACCATGCTGTTTTGGTTACTGTAGCTTTATAGTGTAGTTTGAAGGCAGGTAACGTGATGCCTTCAGCTTTGTTCTTTTTGCTTAGGATTGTCTTGGCTATATGTAGGCTAACACAACTTTCTTAAGCCTTATTTGGAATAGAAAAGATAAGCTCTCCCTACTATGTAGGAGAACATGTATCAGAAGCAAGTGTGATTTTTAAATCAAGAAGTGTTCAGTAGAGGGTTTGCAAACATTATGTATACTCTTCCTTTATACAGATAGATATGCAGCCCATCTCTGGGAAAGGACACAGAAACCTTTGGGAGACTCCATGAAAGGACTGTTAGAAAATGACCATAGTCGCTGTCGCTCTCGCTCTCGTTCTCGCTCTCGCTTTCCCTCTCCCTCTCCCCACGGTCTCCCTCTCCCTCTTCCCACGGTCTCCCTCTCCCTCTCTCTCCACAGTCTCCCTCTGATGCCGAGCCAAAGCTGGACTGTACTGCTGCCATCTCGGCTCACTGCAACCTCCCCGCCTGATTCTCCTGCCTCAGCCTGCCGAGTGCCTGCGATTGCAGGCACGCGCCGCCACGCCTGACTGGTTTTCGTATTTTTTTGGTGGAGACGGGGTTTCGCCGTGTTGGCCGGGCTGGTCTCCAGCTCCTAACCGCGAGTGATCCGCCAGCCTCGGCCTCCCGAGGTGCCGGGATTGCAGACGGAGTCTCCTTCACTCAGTGCTCAATGGTGCCCAGGCTGGAGTGCAGTGGCGTGATCTCGGCTCGCTGCAACCTCCACCTCCCAGCCGCCTGCCTTGGCCTCCCAAAGTGCCGAGATTGCAGCCTCTGCCCGGCCGCCACCCCGTCTAGGAAGTGCCACCTAGACGTCTAGCACCACCTCTGCCTGGCCGCCCATCGTCTGAGATGTGGGGAGCATCTCTGCCCTGCCGCGACCCCGTCTGGGAACTGAGGAGTGACTGTGCCCGACCACCGCCCCATCTGGGATGTGAGGAGCGTCTCTGCCCGACCGCCGCCCTGTCTGGGAGGTGTACCCAGCAGCTCATTGAGAACGGGCCATGATGACGATGGTGGTTTTGTCGAGTGGAAGGGGGGGAAGTGTGGGGAAAGGAAAGAGAATCAGATTGTTGCTGTGTCTGTGTAGAAAGAAGTAGACATAGGAGACTCCATTTTGTTCTGTACTAAGAAAAATTCTTCTGCCTTGGGATGCTGTTAATCTATAACCTTACCCCCAACCCCGTGCTCTCTGAAACATGTGTTGTGTCCACTCAGGGTTAAATGGATTAAGGGCGGTGCAAGATGTTCTTTGTTAAACAGATGCTTGAAGGCAGCATACTCGTTAAGAGTCATCACCACTCCCTAATCTCAAGTACCCAGGGACACAAACGCTGCGGAAGGCGGCAGGGCCCTCTGCCTAGGAAAACCAGAGACCCTTGTTCACATGTTTATCTGCTGACCTTCCCTCCACTATTGTCCTATGGCCCTGCCAAATCCCCCTCTCCAAGAAACACCCAAGAATGATCAATAAATACTAAAAAAAAAAAAAAAAAAAAAAAAAAAAATTGGTAAAAGTGAATTAAAAAAAAGAAGATGATTGCATTCACATCTACTTTCATTACTATTGTTAATCAAAAAAGAGCTTGCTCATTGAATTTGGTCCTGAAGTTTTCATGTCGTATTCTCTTATGACTTGTTTTGGTATTAGATTCCTGTTATCATTTTAAAGCAACTTTACAGTCTCCCGAAACAGACTGGTAAGAACTGGGACTAATCACAGTATATTTTGTTGTTTCTATCTGGGTTACTATTATGAACACTTTATCAAGTAGTTGTCTTTTAAAAATCATATAGTTAAAGGGTGAAAAGTTGCTTGTAGTTGTCTAGCCTCTCTGATCTAAGCCCTTTTTGTTAGGCAAAGGCATTGAATGTGGCACAGGAATATATAAAAATAAAATTAGCAATTGTTAAAAAAAAAAAAAAGAAAGAAAATGACCATAGTCCATTAATTCCATCAACTGCCCATGAAATGAAAAAGTAATTACATAGTCAGCCAGGTATGTTGGCTCATACCTGTAGTCCTAATTACTTGGAGGCTGAGAGGGGAGGATTGCTTGAGTCCAGTAGTTCAAATTCAGCATGGGCAACACAGCAAGACCCCATCTCTAAAAGTAATTTTTTTAATTGTAAATAATTCCATAATGTTGTCAGGGGTCTCAAGGTCTAGGTAAGGGGTTTTTCTGAGGGGAATCCCATGAAATTTGCAGAGTTTATATAAGCCCCTGATAGGATCCAAGAGGATGCCCAAAATCACCTCTATACCTTCATGGGACTCATAATTCAAGATGCCCATTGTAGTCAAAACTAGAATAGCCAGAATCAGTGAAAACATTCTAGATCAATGGAAGAGGCTGTGCACTACTATTCAGAAACAATGATAATGGCACCACTCACTTTTCATAGTGACATCAGTAAGGACAACAAAGACTTTTTACCTAGAGCCCTTGCTGGCAACAAAACATGAACTGGAAGGATCTGCTACAATGGTCCTGAGACTTCACATCAGCCAGTCCACTTATATTATCTGCCTGGAAGGGATGGTATTAACGCAAGGTCTCTTGTAAAAAGGAATGACATCCAAGGTACTTCCAAATTTCCAACCAATAATAAATGATACAATCTGCTGGCTCAAGCACTTGCTTCAGACAGCTTTGAATCCCAGCGTAACACTATCCTACAAGACCCTAAGAAAGTCATGTTGACCTCTTTGAAACTCATTTTTAATAATCTGTAAAACGAGGAGTTTGGACAAGCATAAAATGTATTTCTTAGAATACTAGAATCCCCTGAGAGTTAATTCCAGCACATACCTAATTTCTTATAAGACACTTCATAGGTCAGACCAGAAAAAGGGAAAAATCCTGTGATCAAATAAATTTGCAACATGCTACATATTGAATCACCCTTTAGAAGAAACACAAGATGTATTGACATATAAAGGTTCTGATAAGTCCTGCATTAAAGAAGCTTGTTTCATTTTGTTTAACTCAGCATTTCCAAAACAAGTTGATGAGAAAATTCATTAGTACTCCAGGAATGGTTCCATAAAACCCATCTTTGGAAATGCTGGGTTTTGTTCATTTATTCATTCACTAACACCTATTCTCTTAGTCTTACCAAATTCCAGAATTCTTTCATTCAACCTTAGTTAGTTTGCTTGTTTGAATGGAACATCTGCCAAGGGATTTAGAAGGGAACAAATGGAGTCAGAACCAGATCAGAGACACAACGTGCTTTCTGCTAAATTTCACTGTGGGACAGCCCCAGGTCTTATCAATAGGACTGTGGTTGCAAAAATATTAGCCAATGAGTTCTCCAGGAAAAAAAAAAAAAAGCCTGGGCCAGGCACGGTGGTTCACACTTGTAATCCCAGCACTTTGGGAGACTGAGGTGGGCAAATTACCTGAGGTCAGGAGTTTGAGACCAGCCTAGCCAACATGGTGAAACCCCGTCTCTACTGAAAATACAAAAATTAGCCGGGCATGGTCACGCCCACTTGTAATCCCAGCTACTCGGGAGGCTGAGGCAGGAGAATCACCTGAACCCGGGAAGCAGAGGTTGCAGTGAGCCAAGATCACACCATTGCACTCCAGCCTGGGCGACAGAGCAAGACTCTGTCTCAAAAAAAGAAAAAGAAAGGCTAACAGAAGCACTGAGAAATAGTTTTATCATCATGCTGATCATTCCTATCTTTCCTGTTATGATGTACTACCATGATTCAGTCACTGCCTGGTTCACCAAGGTAAACCATTCTTCCTTAATAGCCCCCCAAAATAGCAATAATGTTCTTCTCTTTCCCAGAAGTAGACAACTCTGAATAATTTTCTATTGCTTTCCTGTGAACTGAATATTTACCTTGCTGCACTCCAGATAAAATGACTAATCCAAAGACAGCAACTGGCTGTCAGACCTATTCTCTCAGTTTCTTGGACTTCAGGGGAGAGAAGGATGCGAGGCTACATCCAGAGTCATCAGCCAAGAGCACCGTGATTGATTAATGATGTCTGCCAAGGATCAGGAGGCAAAGACAAAAGCCTCTGATTTGTGGCCCTGGCTCTGAACTAAGATAAGGTGAAAGCCACCATCTGGAAACAAAAACAACAGTACGATTACAAAAATCACCACAAAACTTAGTCATATATTAGCAGGGGAAATTTAAACAGATGCTCTTTGTGTGTGTGCGTGTGTGTGTGTATGGTGTGTGTGTGTGTATGGTGTGTGTGTGTGTGTGTATGGTGTGTGTGTGTGTGTATGGTGTGTGTGTGTGTATGGTGTGTGTGTGTGTGTATGGTGTGTGTGTATGGTGTGTGTATGGTGTGTGTGTGTGTATGGTGTGTGTGTGTGTGGTGTGTGTGTGTATGTATGGTGTGTGTATGGTGTGTGTGTGTATGGTGTGTGTGTATGTATGGTGTGTGTGTATGGTGTGTGTGTGTGTGTGTGTATGGTGTGTGTGTGTGTGTATGGTGTGTGTGTGTGTGTATGGTGTGTGTGTGTATGGTGTGTGTGTGTGTATGGTGTGTGTGTATGGTGTGTGTGTGTGTATGGTGTGTGTGTGTGGTGTGTGTGTGTATGTATGGTGTGTGTGTATGGTGTGTGTGTGTATGGTGTGTGTGTGTATGTATGGTGTGTGTGTATGGTGTGTGTGTGTATGGTGTGTGTGTGTGTGTATGGTGTGTGTGTGTGTTTACTATTGCTCTCTTTACACCACTAGCACTCAAGAAAAAAATGTGTGAAAAACGAGTTCGTTTTATTACACTCCCAGATTCTGCTACTGATTCTAGTGGGACTGGAGTTAATAAACCTCTGAGATGGAAGATTGAATTGTAGTTGCTTCAATCCCCATTTTATTTCGTTACAGAAAATATGTACTCGCCAAAAGTAACTTTATTATTCTTCTGACATCTTTTATCTAATTCAGAAATGGGCAATTTCAGCCATGAAATGAGCATGCCACACGCCAACATTTTCAGAAGTTGGGCAAAGCCCTGAGAGCTGGTGTGTGTGGAAGAGCCATACTTGGCCCCACTGGATGGAAATATACTCCCAGTGGCTGTGAGATCAAGTTCACAGGAGTGTGTTAGTGACAGCTGCTTCCAGTGTTCAGTCACTACCTCGTGGTGTAGAGGGCAGGATTAATTGAGCTGCTCTGGTCCCTGCTTGATTTTATAGTGTTTGCGGAGCACCTTGAGATCAAGCAGTGTAGAGTTACTGACTTCTGCCCCTCAGTGCTCAGGATCTCCAAACTGAGTTATAGCATCAGGGAATCTGGCCATACGTAAGACAAGGAATTTCAGGAGACCTAGGTTCTAGACCAGCGCTGTCCAAGAGCTGTTTCTGCCACAGTGGAAATTATTCCCTAAACTGCAGTGTCCAGTATGGTAACCAAATGTGTCTACTAAACACTCCTAATGTGGCTGATGCCACTCAGAAGAGGGAATTTCTAATTTTATGTAGTCTTAATTAACATAAATTTAGATAGCCACTATGTGACTTTGGTCAATTTACTTAATTTCTCCAGCGTTCAGTTTTACTTGCTACAGACCTCCCAAATCCATCCACTTCTTTCCATGCTTCTGCTGGCACCCTCATTCTCCAATTCCAGCAACACAGGCTTTCTGTACCCAAGATAGCCAGAACGATCTCCTAATTAATTCTTTTTCCTGACTGTGAATGGTGAGCACTTCATAAAATTAAAATTGGATTTTAAAAGTCTGTCATTGGCTTCCCAGTGCTCTCCAGAGAAAGGCCACAATCGTTTACATGGCCCATTGATGAGGCTCCGTGTGAGTGGTCTGGTCCCTCCTCTCTCCCCAGCCTGAACTCTCACTGCGATGCCCCCACTGTCTGGGCTCCAACCTCTCTGGCGTTTCCCTGTTCCATGAAGCCCATGTTTCTTTCTTCCCCAGGATCTTTGTACGTTCTTCCTTTCCCGTTCTGTCCCCTCCCTTATCGTATTCTCTCCCTTTGCACATATTAACTCTTTTACAACCTTTAGAACTCAACTTGGCCGCAGCAGGTCACGGTGGCTCACGCCTGTAATCCCAGTACTTTGGGAGGCTGAGGCGGGCAGATCACAAGGTCAGGAGATCAAGACCGTCCTGGCTAACACGGTGAAACCCTGTCTCTACTAAAAAATACAAAAAATTAGCCGGGCGTGGTGGCGGGCGCCTGTAGTCCCAGCTACTCAGGAGGCTGAGGCAGGAGAATGGCGTGAACCCGGGAAGCGGAGCTTGCAGTGAGCCGAGATCGCACCACTGCACCCCAGCCTGGGAGACAGTGCGAGACTCCATCTCAAAAAAAAAAAAAAAAAAAGAACTCAACTTCGCCGGGCGCGGTGGCTCATGCCTGTAATCTCAGCACTTTGGGAGGCCGAGGCAGGTAGATCACCTGAGTTCAGGAGTTCAAGACCAGCCTGGCCAACATGGTGAAACCCCATCTGTACTAAAAATACAAAAATCAGCCAGGTGTGGTGGCACACGCCTGTAATCCCAGCTACTTGGGAGGCTGAGGCAGGAGAATTGCATGAACCCGGAGGCAGATGTTGCAGTAAGCTGAGATCATGCCACTGCACTCCAGCCTGGGTGATGGAGTGAGACTCCATCTCTAAATACATACATACATACATACATACATACATACATACATACATACATACATAGAACTCAGCTCAAGCATTCTTCCTCTCCAAGGAAACTTCCAGTTTTGGTCTCCACTGTCTGTCATACAATTTCTTAGAATTGAAGTCCACTCCTTCACAGATCATCATCTGCCAACTTTAAGTTCATTGCTCCAGTGATAAGAAAAAGCACAACCTTGTCAGAATCTTAGTAGCATCTCAGAGTGGAAGGGCAAAGTTGGAATATTTAGGAGATTCAGGGGACTGGTTTAAGGCACTTCCATCAACACAAGGTCTGATCGGGTTTGGGCAAAGTTCATAACATAATTGTTTCAAATTTGTGGACACAGCAAGGCAAGGCTCTTGAAGCTGTCTTGAAAAGTCATTTGATAAGCCTAGTTAAGGGAGCTGTTGCCTTGAGAAAGGGTTATTTACCCTAATGAGAGCTAGTTGAGAAGTCTCTAATATGGATACGTGGATTTTCTATATACCTATTTGCAACTTCAGCTTCCAGGACAAGAGTTTCTTGGAATGACAAGTCATGTTAATATGGACAGTCAACAGGAAAGTTTTGTTAAAGAAGAGATGGGTGTTTGTAGATGGCACTAGTTCTGAGTACCTATGAGAATTTGTAATTTTACAGTTTGGTGATTATTGTATTTGCAGTACATCTCTCTCTCTCTCTCTCTCTCTCTATCTCTCTCTCTCTCTCTGCTACAAAGTCCATGAGAGCAGGGACTCTCTGCTTTTTGAGTCACCATTGTATCCCAACACTTAATCCTAGCATGATGTCTGGCAATAAATATTTAACAACTAAGTAAATAAACAAACATAAGGAAGGAGCGGACCAGTGAGATTTTCCATAGGATAAGAAAGTTAATTAGAAAAAAAATGCTGGGAGGAGGAAGAGGTGATTATTTAAGGGGTAGAGGGAAGCGGCACAAAACAGAGACCATGCTGCTTGACTATCAAGTGTGTTTCTGGCTACAGAGACTCTCAAAACCCAGAGTTGCTTGGCCTTCTGTCTTCAGCATCCACAGCTGCCTATCTCTGTCCCTCGCTCTCTCTTCCTGGGTATCTACGCCCCCACAGTATCCCCCTCCCACCTCGCCCCTTCCTGTATCAAAACCTTAGATTGATTACATCCCATCCATCCCCATAAACCAATGTCACGATAGCCTTTCTCCCAGAGGCTTCTTCCTCTGCGGCTTCATTTCCTTTTGGAGAAGCAAAGGATTTTCCCCTAATAAAGGGACCTCAGGCTGCCTCTTTCCCCAGCCTCAAGTAAGCAGAGGATCATTCCATAGACCTGCACTAAACCTCTTCTGTGTGTACAAGTACTCCTTGAGCAAGCCTGAGGCAGAGAACTGGGCTGATGACACTTCTGGCCATCTGCAGAGACCTCTGCTGACAGGCATCCAAGTGGTGAAAGGCCTTGCAAGCAGTCTTGCAGTCCTTCCCGTGCTAGAGGGTTCGCTTGTTGGTCTCATCACCTGTGCTAGCAGATTATAGTTAGAATCCCCACGAGTTTATACAGAGACATCTATGAGTGCGTCGATGCTAATGTACATATTCGCATCCTCCAGGTCACAGGAATCCTGAATTAGGCCTATTCCCTTTGTAAAAGACAGAAACTCAACTCAAACGAGCTTAAGCAAAAGACGAGAGTCTTGGTGCCCATTTCTAGGAAGTCCATGGATGACTAGATCTGGGGCTGAAACTCGTCCAGAGGAGACTGTTTCTCCATTTCCCTGGCTTTGTTAACTTCGTTCTCAGCCAGTCTCTGGGCCTATTTGATCCTGTCTATTCTCAAGCTCCAAAGGGAAATTTTGTTTATCATTCTGTATCTACCTTAATCCCTCCAAATACACTCTGAATGTCCCTACCCAAGTTGTATGCTGACCTGTGCACCACTCACCGGTTTTCTGACCCACCTGAGATCTATTTCCACCGCTGTGCAGCAGTGTTTGGGCACCCTTGGTTGGCAGCCCCACCCAGACTACAGAGGGTGAGGAGGAGGCAGTGCTCCAAGAGAATGAAGAAGAAAAGACCAAAGAGTGGCAGATGTCCACTGCTCTGGTGCTTCCACAGTGTGGCCTAAAGACCAGCAGCAATGGCATCCTTAGGGTGCTCATTAGAAATGAAGACTCCCAGGCTCCACCCCAGATCTGCTGATTCTGAATCCCTGGGAATGGAGTCCAGAATCTGCATTTGAACAAGGCTCCCAGGTGATTCAGATGCATGCCGAGGTATGAGTCCACATTTCTACTCACTGTTCAGAAGTCACAGGCTGAAAAGGAGTAGTTGTCCAATGGGCAGTCGCTCCTGGAAGCACACATAAGAAGTCTTGAAACAAGGCCCATCCAGCATTTCCACAGGCTTTTCCATCATCTAGTAATCACTAAATGGGCACAACTACATGTCAGGCCCTGAGTTAGAGTCTGCAGATCCAGAGACAGATATGAACCCATCTTAGTGATCTAGAACCAAAGGTTTTCAGTCTAGAACGAGCTGTCTTTTGTTTTTTCTTTTTGAGATGGAGTCTCCCTCTGTCACCCAGGCTGGAGTGCAGTGGTATAATCTCAGCTCACTGCAACATCTGCCTCCTAGGCTCAAGTGAGTCTCCTGCCTCAGCCTCTTGAGTAGCTGGGATTACAGGCATGTGCCACCATGCCCGGCTAATTTTTATATTTTTAGTAGAGACACAGTTTCACCATATTAGCCAGGCTGATCTCAAATGCCTGACCTCAAGCCATCCACCTGCCTCAGCCACCCAAAGTGCTGGAATCACAGGCATGAGCCACCATGCCTGGCCTAGCATGAGCTTCCTTTATTAATTAATTTTTTTTTTTTTTTTTGAGACGGAGTCTCCCTCTGTCACCCAGGCTGGAGTGCAGTGGCATGATCACTGCTCACTGCAGCCTCCGCCTCCTGGGTTCACGCCATTCTCCTGCCTCAGCCTCCCAAGTAGCTGGGACTATAGGTGCTCACCACAACACCTGGCTAATTTTTTTTTTTTTTGAGACGGAGTCTCGCTCTGTCGCCCAGGCCGGACTGCGGACTGCAGTGGCGCAATCTCGGCTCACTGCAAGCTCCACCTCTCGGGTTCACGCCATTCTCCTGCCTCAGCCTCCCGAGTAGCTGGGACTACAGGCGCCTGCCACCGCGCCCGGCTAATTTTTTGTATTTTTAGTAGAGACGGGGTTTCACCTTGTTAGCCAGGATGGTCTCAATCTCCTGACCTCGTGATCTGCCCGCCTCGGCCTCCTAAAGTGCTGGGATTACAGGCGTGAGCCACCGTACCCGGCCTGGATCAGTTTATATACAAATCTTGGTAGCATTATTCATCACAGAAAATAAAGACGGCAATCAGGATAGCCAATCATAGGAGAATAGCTAAATAAATTATGATTCATTCATGAAAAATCATATTTATGACTAGTTTTTAATGGCCTGGGAAAATGATTTCCTTATAATAGTAAGTTTTATAGAAGCACAATACAGGCTTTGTCTGTTTCCACCTCCCAGAACTCTTCGTGCTAGTTATCCACTGCAGGGCAGCAAATTACCCACGAACTTCGCAGCTTAGAACAGCACCACTGATTATGTCACAGTTGCCGTGTGTTAGGAACTCAGGAGCAACTTGTTTGGATCCCCTGGCTGCGATTCTCTGACAAGCTTGCAATCATCTTAAGAATCAACTAGGCTGAGGTGGATGAATCACTTCAGGTCAGGAGTTTGAGAACAGCCTGGCCAACATGGTGAAATCCCGTCTTTACTAAAAATACAAAAATTAGCCAGCCATGGTGGCGTGTGCCTGTAGTCCCAGCTATTCAGGACACTGAGGCAGGAGAATCACTTGAGCCCAGAAAGCAGAGGCTGCAGTGAGCTGAGATCACACCACTGCACTCCAGCTCTGTCTCAAAAAAAAAAAAAAAAATCAACTAGGGCAGGATCAGCTTCCAGGCTCATGCTGGTGGTTGATGGCAGGATGCAGGTACTCACCAGAGGCCTCCTTCCATTCCTCACCACGTGGACCTCTCCACAGGACAGTTCACATCATGACAGCTTGCATCATCACAGCAAGCAAGCAAAAGGGCAAGCAAGAGTGTCAGCAAGACAGAAGTCACAGTCTTGGATCCTAAACTTGGAAGGGACGTGCCATCACTCCTGCCAAATTCTGTTCATCAGAAGCACCTGCTCATAAGGGTTCATCCTGTAAAAGTCCTTGCAGGCAGCGTCGTAGTTCCTTCCTGTGCTTCTGGGTTACCCATTGACCTCAGGAGTCACGCTACCAGTTTTGTACTTAGGGTCCACATGAGCTTACAGAGAGCCCCTGAAATCCAGCCCACACGCCAGAAGAGGGGATTCTACAAGGTCGTGAATACCAGTAAAAGGAATCGCTGGAGCTATTGCAGAAACAGCCTGCTTCACCTTCAACTGTCAGCCAGAGGCCGCCACCAGCAGGAAGCTCTCCTGGTCTTTCCCATGATCTTTGGTAATGCTTAGAGAACAAAGCAAGTTTTAAGCACCTGATGGTCTTCACTGAGCCAGAGGCCTGAGCACACGGAAGCAGCAGATGCAAACAGTGAGAAAAGAATTAAACATTTAGAAAGCTTGCCTCATGTAAACACAGACTGAAGCTCACCAATATTAGAGAAGCACTGGTTAAGCAGCTAGAGGAAATTCTGGTCCCTAACTTGAGATAAAACGTCCCCAGAACCAGGGGCTCAGCCAGGATCGAAAGTGACTTTTTCACAGATCGCCAAAAAGAAACAAAACAGATACTCAGAAAGGTGATGCTGGGAGGCTCTGAGCCTCACCCAGATCTCCTTTCCTGGTAGGGCACCCACGCTTCCCCATCCCCACACTGCCCACCAGGAGTGTTGGTCACTAATGGTGTACAGTGGCCCCTTGTCCTCAAATGTCAGAAGCCCACTCTCCCAGAAAGTTGCATGCACACCCCCACCTGCGGTGACACCCTGCCTGGCAAGGGGATGGTGCAGTGGTGCACACAAGTAGTTCCAGCTACTTGAGAGGCTGAGACGAGAGGATCACTTGAGCCTGGGAGTCCAAGGCCAACCTGAGCAGTACAGTGAGACTCAGTCTCTAAGAAAATTATCTTTTAATTTGGTGGGAGATTAGAAGGGATTAGGGGGAAAAAAAAACTATAAAAAAGGCTCCCAGAGGGCAGTCAATAAAAAAAAAAGATTAAAAAGCACGGTGCAAGATGGATGCTAACAGGGAAGATGGTCATGACAGATAGAGACCAACTGCTCCAAGTGGCTAAAATGCAGAAATGGGCTATTTCTGTTACTTGGGCAGATTCCCAGTCTAAGGACTGGTCAGTCCTGATTGCTTCTCCAGAGCCCTCACCCCACGGCACCCCCATCTCAGGCTGCCGGGGTTGCAATCTGGGTTGGGCTGTTCTCAGCTGGAGGAAATGCTGCCTGCCTCCTCCATCTGAAGCTCATTTATGCACAGCCAAGCCTGGCAGCTCTGCTCCCTCATCTCCACCCCTGTTTTGCATATTATTAAAAGCAAATCATTTGGATGTCTGCACTGAGAGAATTTTACTTCTGTCATCATATAAATCTGTTCTGAAATTGATGGATGTGGGGAAAAAAACCCACAAGCAATGTAAATTGGCCCCAGAATGACTGACTTTTCTGTAATTCTGAGATGAGAGAAAGTGCTGCCCTAAGAAGGTGTCATCTATCTGCACACAATTTAGTTTAGAAAGAGAAAATCCTTATCAGTACCTTATTATACATCTCTCAAGCCAGCCGCAGAAAACACAGTGATTTGAGACAATGAATATCATCAATGCTGTGAATTCGATGTAATTGTATTTCATTGAGAAAAAGAAAAATGTCTCTACTCGGCACACTTGTGCACTGTACCATCTGGAGTATCAGAATAGAGAGAAAAAATAGACCAGCCACTCATCCTGTCATTGGGAACTCAGTCACGTGTTTCCTAAACACAAAACATGAACACCATGAGGCTAAGGTAACAGAAATCAGCTTGACAGCTTATTATTTTCTGGAATCCAGCCACTGGTTACCGAACACCCACTGCTGGCCACGGGCTGAGAGCCTCACAGGTTCTCTCCCTTTCCTGCATCCTCTTAATCAGCCCTTCTTGCAGAGGAGGCAATTGACACCCTGAAAGAGGCAGACGCAGGTGTTGAATTGCGTGTTCCCTGGGTTTAGTATTATGACCCTTTGCGTTTCAAAGGACTGAAACACGTTCTGCCGAAAATGTAATGTATGGGCTCGTGAAACTAAAAAGTCCAGTGCTTCAGGTATGCCTGGATCTAGTGCAGCAGTCCCCAGCCTTTTTGGCACCAGGGCCAGTTCCGTGGAAGACAATTTTTC
Organism: Homo sapiens; assembly: GCF_000001405.40. Lineage (NCBI taxonomy): Eukaryota > Metazoa > Chordata > Mammalia > Primates > Hominidae > Homo > Homo sapiens. Next base: position 5,230,865 of record NC_000003.12, on the reverse strand, counting down.
CACAGACCCAGGGGTTGGGGGTAGGCGGGTGTGGTTTTGAGATGATTCGAGCACATAACATCTATAGTGCACTTTATTTCTATTATTATTACATTGTAATATATAATGAAATAACTATACAACTTGCCATAATGTAGAATCAGTGGGAGCCCGGAACTTGTCTTCCTGCACTAGACAGTCCCATCTGGGGGTGGTGGGAGACAGTGACAGATCATCAGGCATTAGATTCTTATAAGGAGTGCACAATGTAGATCCCTCACGTGCATAATTCACAATAGGGTTTGTGCTCGGATGAGAATCTAATGCTGCCACTGATCTGAGAGGAGGCAGAGCTCAGGTGGGAATGCGAGCAAAGGGGAGGGGCTGTAAATATAGATGAAGCTTCACTTGCTCACCTGCTGCTCACCTCCTGCTGTGCAGCCCAGTTCCTAACAGACTAGGGACCATGACTTACCAGTCTGTGGCCCAGGAGTTGGGGACCCCTGATCTAGTGGGGTCTGTAATGAGGACTCTCTCTTCCTCTCAGCCTCACTTTCTCTAGGTAGGCATTGTTTTTCAGGGAGCTTCTTCCCTCTCCGTAGTCCCCAGAAACCCCAAGCCCCAAGCCTTGCAGCCCAGTGACATCAGCAGTTATGAAGAGAGGTTTTTCTTTTCTCTCTTTTCAGTAGTGTCTAGGAAAAGCCCCGGGATTGAATCTCCTTTAGGCAACTCGTGCCCAGTGCAGAAGCATTCACTGCTAGAGGCAGAGAGATGAATGCTTTGATTGGCCAGAAATGGGCCATGTGCCTATCCCTAAAACTGTAGGGGTAAGGAGGGTGGAAACTTTTGAATTGACGGGGTGGGAAGAAAATCAAGGTGCTTTTCTCAGAGCAAGCACTAAAGGGCAAACAGAGATTCATCCTTTATATCATCCAAGAAAAAGCAAGTGGCCCCCTCTTCTCTTTGCGCATTCCCCTCTCCCACACCGAACATTCTATCCTCTGGTTCTGCTTTGCCCTCAAAGCTATTGCCACTCTAGCATTATAGCAGGTATTTATTTTTTCATTCATTTCTTCATGTATTTTCATTCATTTATGCATGTACTCATTCATTCATTTCTGCATGCATTTATTCATTTATTTATTTCTGCATGTATTTATTTCTGTGAAGGCATAACTCATCACTATATCCCCAGTACCCAGAATACCTGGCACATAATACTGTTTAGTATTAGTTGAATAAAAGAATGAATGAATCAGAAACACTGCATTAGGTCATTCTGGGACTGCTATAAATAAATACCTGAGGCTGAGTAATTTATAAAGAAAAGAAGTTTAATTGGCTCACCGTTCCACAGGCTGCACAGGAAGCAAGGTGGCCTCTGCTCAGCTTCTAGGGAGGCCTCAGGAAACTTACAATCATGGCGGAAGGTGAAGGGGAAGCCAGCACTTCACATGACCTGAGCAGGAGGAAGGGAAAGAGAGGGGAGGTGCCACACACTTTCAAACAACCAGATCTCATTAGAACTCACTCATTATCACAATGATAGCACCAAGAGGGACGGTGTTAACCCATGAGAAACCACCCCATTATCCTTTCACCTCCCACGGCCCCTCCTCCAACACTAGGAATTACAATTCTACATGAGATGTGGGCGGGAACACAGATCCAAACCATATCAAACACCAATCTACCTCTCAACTATAAATATATGGTTTAGTTGACAGGGCAAGATAGATGCGACAATGAGTGATCAGCGGTCAGCACACCTAGTAGGTGCTTAATAAATGTTCACCGCCTGCACACTCAGAAGAGTGGAGCAGAACCCCCACACCCACCCTTACCCCTACCAGCCTAAGGTTGGAAGAGACTAGATTCCAAGATCTGTCAGGGTTAGGAGGGTGTCTGCCACTGGCCCGAGGAATCACCTGGAGTGCTTGTTACAGCGCAGGTTGCTGGGTCCCATCTCAGAGTTTCCCATTCAATGTTGGGTGGGGCCCAAGAGTTGCCACCACTGCTGCTGTAGCTCCAGGAACCATAGTTTGAGAACTGAGCCTTTCTGCTGTCAAAGACAGCATCTCCTAGTAGTTATTCCCAAGGTGATACAGCAGCTACTGAATGGCAGAGGGTCCTTAGGAAGGTGCAGCAGGGAGCCACCTAGAGGGGCCAGATTTGCAAATGAAATTAAATTGTGATTAAATCTATCCCCGAAGGTAAGCCTTTGGTGCAGGTTCCCCTAGCAAACTCCCAAGGCTGTGGTTCTCAAACTGTGATCCTTTGACCACTCACTTCAGAACCCCCATCCCTCACCCCCGGGAGACAGTTCAATGTAGATTCTGTCCAAGCCATCCAGCAATTGTTTAGCAATCATGCCAGCCACTGCCCCCAAGGACCATAGGGTTGTGCCAGAACCCGATAGGTCAGAAACAAGTGTTCTGTGAAGTGCTGTCAGAACTAGGAATAATGACCACAGAGGCAGCTGATCAGAGGGCGAAGGAGGAAGAAAGGGAAAAAGGATTTGCTCAGTAGACCCATCCACCACACGCGAGGCCCTTGATACACTTGGTTGCTTGAATCTCCCACAAAACCCTGTGAAATAGCTAGAATTAGCCCCATTTACAGATGAGGAAACTGAGACTCAGAGAGGTTTACTAATTCACCCAGCTAATGAGCACAGTCCAGATTTAAATCTAAAACATTGACTCCAAATCCTGCCTTCTCTCTGCCAAATGGGTTAATGGAAACTGCAGGCAGGGTGGGAACTAGTAGGAGGCTCTAGGAGATGAGGCTCCACCGGACCGGAAGCTGCCAACATCCAGGGTAGAAGCTAGTGATGAGAGGCTGCAGGGAGGAGAGGCTGCAGGAGCTTTCGTCTCGGGAAACTCCCAATTGTGCAACATTCTGTGAGTGCTGAGAGACGCTGGGCATCTTCCCAAGCTTTATCTTCAACCTGATTTCATATCAGGCTGAAAGCAGCTTCATGGGATGAAAATTAAACCACTCAATGCCGAGGAAGGTGCTCTTCCCAAATAATAGGTCTCCATTTCTCCCTCTCCTTACTCATCCTTGGTGCTGAAATATCACGACTCAACTATGCAATTGGTGGCATTTCCCTGAAGCTCAGTTTTATTCTCTGGAAAATGAGAATACTGAGACATCACAGAATTGTGAGTCTTTTTTTGTTTGCTTGTTGTTTTGTTTTAGAGACAGGGGCTGCCTCTATCTCCCAGGCTGGGGTGCAGTGGTATGATCGCAGCTCACTGCAGCCTCAAGCTCCTGGGCTCAATCCTCCTGCCTCAGCCTCCCAAAATGCTGGGATTACAGGTGTGAGCCACCATGCCTGGCCAATTGTGTTAACTGTGTAATACATATGAAAGAGCTATGATCTTGGGACTAAGCCCCTATAGAGATACACAATGTCATCATTGTGGTCATCACTATTACTCATGTTTCAATTAGCTGCACAAGCCAAGATTTAGAAACAAGATCCTGAGGACCATGAAATTACATTTCTACGCACTGTCTTTAAAACATACAACACGGCTGGGCATGGTGGCTCAAGCCTATAATCCCAGCACTTTGGGAGGTCAAGGTGGGCAGATTACCTGAAGTCAGGAGTTCAAGACCAGCCTGGCCAACATGGTGAAACCCCATCTCTACTAAAAATACAAAAATTAGCTGGGCATGGTGGCGGGTGCCTGTTATCTCAGCTATTCAGGAGGCTGAGGCAGGAGAATCACTTGAACCCAGGAGGCGGAAGTGGCAAGTGAGCTGAGATCACCGTTGCACTCCAGCCTGGACGACAAGAGTGAAACTCCATCTCAAAACAAAACATACAACACTATTTTCTTTTTCTGTACCACTGGGTTTTTCAAACTGCTTTTTTAAAAGGCATCTTTGGAAAAAGTGAAGCAATAGTGGTCTCTTGTGGAAGTGAGCAGTATTTGCAACCATTTTTTATAAACTAAATGGCAAAGGACTTTTTAAATTGACAATAATTGTACATATTCATGGGGTATATAATGACGTTTTGACGCACATAATGTATAGTAATCAGATCAGGGTAATCGGCATATCCATCATCTCAAACATTTACCATTTCTTTGTGTTGGGAAAGCTCAATAGCTTCCATCCAGCTATGTGATGCTATATATTATTGTTAACTGCAATCATCCCACGGGAATTTGATGCCCATTGGTGGAAAACGGCCCATTTTCAGAGTGGATGGCTTATGGAAATGCACGCATAAAATCTTAGCCTATATTTAGGAGCCTTTCCTTGGGAGCAGGAAAAGTTTTATTTTTCCTGTTGGCCGGCAGCTTCCTACTCTGTGCTCTCCAAGCCACCCAGGCGAGCCCGAGCAGGTGTTCAGGACGTAGTCTTTGAGATTCGGGGGTCCAGCAAGTCCCGCTGGCATTGTGTGGCGCACATCATTGTGTTTTCATTAAACACTACTGTTGGGGCTCTGAAAACAATACCCCAAAAATGAAGGCCTCAGAAGCAAAAGTTTTTCTCTGACCTTCTCTTGCCCTCCCTTCTCTCAGTTCCACTGCCCTTGCCAAGGCTAGCCGTAGAAACTAGAATCCCTCTTTTCCAAGGCAGGCCATAGAAACCAGAACCCTCTTTCCCCAAAGCCAGCCATAAAACTTAAAAATATTACTCTAACTTTCTCTCCGCCTTTCTATGTAAAAACTGGCCATAAAGAAATTATCTGGGCCAGGCGCAGTGGCTCATGCCTGTAATCCCAGCACTTTGGGAGGCTGAGGCAGCAGGATTGCTTGAGCCTAGGAGTTCAAGACCACCCTGGGCAACATAGTGAGATCCCATCTCTAAATAAACTTTTAAAATATAAATACTTTTAAAAAGAAATAAAAAAATTATCTGGCTGGCTGCAGTGGCTAACCCTGTAATCCCAGAGTTTTGGGAGGCCAAGATGGGAGGATTGCCTGAGGCCAAGAGTTTGAGATTAGCCTGGATGACATAGTGAGATCCTGTCTCTACAAAAAAAAAAAAAAAAAAAATAATAATAATAATAATAATAATAAATACATTTTAAAAAATTACCTGACCTACCTTCTTTGACTGCAGGTCCTAAGACCCCCATTCCAGAGAGGGTCCTGTCCCACACCCAGAAGGAAAGCAATGATGCATAGAGAAGTCAAGAAGAATCAAGACAGACAGGCCTTGCTGGGCTCCTCCGCTCAGTCTATTAGCATTAGATCAGACTTTTTTTATCTTTATTTCAACAAATAAGGCTGATAGGGTTGATTGGCTGGAAAACAAGGACTGGCTTAGCCAATTAAGTTATACGATGGATACACTCTCTAAATTGAATGAGCTAGAGCTACAGCTCTGAGCTTTTGTTGCAAATATAGTTAAAGGAGGTGACAAGATAAAGGCACTTTAAAAAACTACTCTCAGAGATGTGTTGAAGTTAATAGTACAGTAGACCCTTGTACAGCATGGGTTTGAACTGCGTGGGCCCACTTAATACACAGATCTTTTCAATAACTACACTGGAAAATTTGGGGGGGGATTTTTGACAAATTGAAAAAGACAAATCACGTAGGCTAGAAATATTGAAAACATTTAAGAAGAAGATATGTCATAAATGCATCAAATATATGTAGCTACTAGTCTATTTTATCATTTATTACCATAAAACACATGTGAATTTATTATAGTTAAAAGGTATTAAAACTTACATGAACACACTGTACATTTATGTAATTAAATGTAAAGATGCAGTATTAAACCATAACTGCATAAATTAACTGTAGTACATGCTGAACTACTGTAATAATTTTATAGCCACCTCCTATTGCTAATGTGGTGGGTTCAAGTGTTGCATATATCTGCTTAAAATACTGGTAGGCCGGGCGTGGTGGCTCACACCTGTAATTCCAGCAATTTTGGAGGCCAAGGCAGGAGGCTCACTTAAGCCCGGGAGGCAGAGGTTACCATGAGCCAAGATGGCACCATTGTACTCCAGCCTTGGGGACAGTGGGAGACCCTGGCTAAACACATCCATGCACACACACACACACACACACACACACACACAGACACACTGTGTGATCCCTTCCACCTCTGCCACTCCTGAGACAGCAAGGCCAACCCCTCCACTTCCTCCCCCTCCTCAGCCTACTCAACGTGAAGATGAGGATGAAGACCTCTATGATGATCCATTTCCACTTATGAATAGTACATATTCTTTCTCTTCCTTATGATTTTTAAAGTAACACTTTCTTTTCTCTAGCTTACTATATCATATAAATACAATATATAATATATATGACCTACAAAATATGTACTAGCTGACTGTTTTATTATTGGTAAGGCTTCCAGTCAACAGTAGGCTATTAGTGATTAAGTTGAGTCAAAAGTTAACACGAATTTTCCACTGAGCAGGGGTTGGCATCCCTAAGTGTTGCTCAAGGGTCAACTGTATTTTTAAATTTCCCAGCACTTTCTGAGTGTTTCAGGTTACCTGAGCCTCTCTAAATAAAACAACAGGTACAATGAATAATCATTTGGTATGTTTTGGAGGGGCTTTCTGGAATATGTTCCAGAAACTGCAAAAATGAATGACTCTAATAGCTGAATACCTACCTTTTTGCAAGTCAGTGTTTTCCAAGTCTGCTTACAACAAAATTGAAAGAGAGCCTAATTTATCAGCACAGAATTCTCAAAAACGAGTTCTTATGATAAAGTATTATGTAAATTTTGACATTATTCAGACATACAATTAAGACATTTATATCTATGTATAGATATCCATATGTAATATCTACAATAAAAACTCTATTTCCGTGCACTTATTTGTGTGAATACATTACATCCATAAAATAAAAAATAAGGGCCAGGCACAGTGGCTTATGCCTGTAATCCCAGTACTTTGGAGGGCTGAGGCAGGAGGATTGCTTGAGCCCAGGAGTTTGAGACCAGCCTGGGCAACATGGCAAGCCCCTATCCCTACAAAAAAATACAAAAATTAGCCGGGCATGGTGGTGCGCACCTGTAGTCCCAGCTACTTGGGAGGCTGAGGCAGAAGGACTGCTTGAGCCCAGGAGTTCAAGGCTGCAGTGAGCTATGGTTTCTCCACTGCACTCTAGCCTGGGCAACAAAGGAAGACCCTGTCTCAAAAAAAAAAAAAAAAAAAAAAAAAAAGGAATATAATTCATGCTGAAACCCATCTCATTCCAACAGTAAGCAGTATTCATCCACAGCCATACAATTCAATTAAAGAGGTGGAAAAACAAAACTGTCATTTAACAAAGGGAAACTTTTCTAATAAATTTTTGTTAATAACTATCAAAATATATATGTTGTTTATACAACTAATTGTAATGTCAGCTCAATTCCAAAGACTTTTTTAATACTTAGAAACTTATGAACACAGAAAATTGTTAAGGATTTTATAGAATTGAAATATATTAAATCGGTATAAAATTCTGTGGGGAGGAAGAAATGTAAATACTAATTCAAGCAGAAAAAGAGACAATCTAAAATTCCCAATAAATAAATTGGAATATATTCTTTAATAGATGATGGCGGGTAACAAATTATGACGGTTTACAGATTTCAATGGATATATTTAAAAGGGTTAAAGTTTTATTTTAAAATGTCAGTATTTACCCCCCAAAATCAGTTTAGGGTGGTCCAGATAGGTTTTCTAACGATGGCAACTGGCTCTTGTTCCTTTTTGGTGCCTTATTAAGCAGGCGTTAAGCTTTTCAAATGATCAGGTCATTTTCTTCGAGAATTTGACGAGCCCATCATTGAAGGGCACCCAGCCGTGCAGCAGAGCGTCTTCAAAGCTCCCCACGATGAGAGACTTTACCTTGAAAAGGTGGATGTTTGAGAAGCAAGCTCTTTAAAGAGGAGCTCTCTGTGGTGTGGGGCAGTGTAGGTCCCCAAAAGTAGCCTTCTTCCTACCCGCCGACACAGGCAGAGAGAATATTCTGAATTGTGGAGAAAGGGCATTCACAGTGTGCCTTCTGGGGTCTTCATCCCTGGCAGCTGCAGAGGACCTGGTGCTGGGCTCCTGGCAAGCCAGAAGCAGGCGCGCAGCCCAGTCCCAGCCTCGCCCCTCCAGCCCTGGGGAGGGTCTACTTGCGTCTCTGACCAAAGGTCGAGCTACTCCCTCTGGGGAGAGACAGCGACATCCCTTCTCTTCATACGGGGGCTAGAACCAAACCATTCACAATGGCACCGTGAAAATAAGTAATTCAAATTTAAGCTGTTGGAACTTTTAAATATTTCAAGCCTTAAGGAAATGTGATTATGGGACCTGAGTTCAGGCATCTGTAACCTTTATTTTTCTGACTATAGATTAGCCTTCTTCCTTACCTACATTGCTTTGTAAGAAGTGACTAAAGGGCACCAGGGAAGACTCCTTCCTTCTTCACTGTTGATCTTCACTATAGATTAACTTCCCTCTTCCCTTTCTCACACAAAGACCTCATGACTATCACACTGTCTCAAGAAGGAATGTTAAATGGACTCTTAAATTGGAAAGGACATGAAAACAAGCTGTACAGAAAATAAACAAAACTGTAACAAAACTGTTGTTAACTCGTAAACCATCCTCGTACGGAATATGTTTTAATCCTACTAGATATCTTTGTCTTCTACCTATGTAAGCAAGACCTTAACTTCTAACTTGGGAGCATTGACCCCATTTTTCTGGAGTCTGTGTTCCCTGGGTAACCGGTTATTCCCGGCTTTGGGATCTAATAAACTCTTAATCATATATCTAATATACTTCATCATATTTTCTGAATTTCATCATTTAAGGTTGACGGCATCTAAAAGAGAGCGTCAGGCTGTTGCTTCCAGTGGGTTCCGCTGTGACAGGAAGCAAGATTGTTTACTTTCCAGGGTTCTCTGCTGGAGAAATGGAATCATAGAATTTACCGCTCAGGACTTGGGTGAGGTTTGAATGTAACAGGCTTTTAAACCATACACACATGCACGTGAGTGCACACAAGCACATAGACAGACACACACACACACACACACACACACACACACACAGAGCCAGAGTGGGGAGGGACTGTTCATTCTTTAGGCCACTGACTAGCAGACTGGGCCAGACGCTTAAGCACAAAGACCAGGTGTGCTGGGGCACAGGTACCACCACACCCAACCACTCTGCACCTCCTGGTCTGGGTTTCTGAGTTAGGAAGACATTAGCATACTTCCTTGATTAAAGAAGGAAAAAAAAACTTTAAGGGACAAAGAGACATAACCTGTAAACATTTTAGCAGCTGCCGCCTCACACGCTGACAAATGTAGCTTCTAATTCATTTTGCCATCACGGGAACCCTAGGAGTTGATGTGCTATCATCTCTGATTTTAAAAGTGAGGACACCGTGTGAAGGTGAGTGCCTTGACCCAAGCCACACATCCAGGACAAAGCCAGGAGGCCAGCCCAGCCTCCCCATGGCCAGCCATGTTCTTACTCTTCCTCCAGCATCCCTGTTTAAGCCCTAGGTCTGATCCTGGATGTCAAATCCAGCTGGACCATAATTATAGGAAACACGTTAAGTGCCTTACACATATGAATCCACCCAGTCCTCACAACTATCCTGAGTATGGGCTATTATTATCAACCCATTTACTAGACAGGAAAACTGAGGCCATCAAGTCTGTAACTTGCCCAAGGCACACAGCTAAGTTAGGGGTAGAGTTGGAATTGTACCCAGCACCGTGTGGCCCAGAGTCCCCATACTCCACCCGACACTGACTACAGCGTTCATACAGGACTGCTGGGCTCCACTTGCTCCACAGATGGCAAAGGGCCTGGTGCTCCCACTACTGAGGCAGCCTGGAGTGGGAAAGGCAGGAAGGCAAGAACCCTGTGGCTCTTGATTTGGTCCCTTGGCCCACTGGACTTGCTTGGTTTTGTCAAGATCACAAACCCACAAGACTTGACAAACACAACCCCACCACCCCTCACAATAGTAGAGCTCAATGTGGGCAAGGTGTTTCCAGCCTTGAGAGTCTCTCCTTCGCCCTGTCATGCTTCGTGGCCTTTAAAAAGGCCCATCAGGCGTGGTGGCTCATGCCTGTAACCCCAGCACTTTGGGAGGCCAAGATGGGCAGATCACCTGAGGTGAGGTGTTTGACACCAGCCTGGCCAACATGGTGAAACCCCGTCGCTACTAAAAATACAAAAATGAGCCTGGTGTCGTGACACGTGCCTGTAGTCCCAGCTACTCAGGGAGGCTGAGACAGGAGAATCAGTTGAACCCAGGAGGCAGAGGTTGCAGTGAGCCGAGATCGTGCCACTGCACTCCAGCCTGGGTGACTGAGTGAGACTCTGTCTCAAATAAAAAAAAAAAAAAACCCGTATCAAAATTGTCTGTGACCAAAGCTGGGACACAGATGTCACAAAGCAGGAGCAGGTCCCTTCCTCAGGATCCCACCATGGTCCCCAGTGGCAACACACAGGGAGGGAGGCCAGCCCTCCAGAACCCTCTACCCACACGCTTCCCATGGGCCTCTGCACCCACACAGACCGTGAAGTGCCACTGCTCTCAGAGGTGAGGAGAAATGAAGCGCCTTGCTTAGATAACGCAGAGAACTGGTTTTAGATCCCAGATACACTCAGCTAATTGGCAATAAGAATAGACAATGAACTCAGTGGCCAAGAGAAAGGAGGCTGATGCAGAGGGGAAGGCCAGGGCTGGGACAAAAGTCATGAAAAGCAGTTCTGACCTGCATGTGAGGGGCATTTAATGGAAGAGTGTGACATACAAAAATGTAGTGGAATTCCATGGGGGAGGTATTACTTAGGGCTTAGCTATAAAAAGCAAGGTTTTATTCATCTAGATGGGCACTTCCTTTAGAGACTTTTCTCCCATTTGTCTTGCATGTAATGTAATGTACATGAGAATGTAAAAAAGAAACAAGATGACAACTCAAAAAAAGAAATCTTTTAATAAAAATTACTCATAAAAATCCTAATAAATTTTAAAGAGCAAGATATTCCTTATTACATTTATAAAAGAACATTTGGTCCTTTTACAAAAAGATCCCTTTTAATTTAAATACATTTCTTATTTACAGATTAAACATAAAATATCATCTACAGTTGCAAAGCATATTGCACATTACAGAGAAGCATTTGTGTATTTCCGTAAGTTTTCCCAGAGTTTCCAACTCTATACTTTTTTTTGTAAAAAGATTTACCTTTCTTATGCAAAATAAATAAAAATGCAGCTTGTGTTTTGCTATTTAAAACTAAAACAAAATAACCTTTAAAAATATTATTCCTCTGCCTTGCAGAAAGAAGGAAGAGGGTATAGAATCAGGGAGTTCCACAGGTACTTGATATTTTTACCAGATTCACGTCCAGATTCAAGCGGGAGCATAACCCTGAGCCCTGTGAAACCTGGGACACAGGGCCCAGCCCGTCCCACCTCCTCGATTTCCCAAGGGGTCCCTGCCCTGCAGGGAAGAGGCACTAGAATAGGAGCTGGATGCTGGGAATGGACAGGAAAGCTCAGGATTTTCTTCTAAAGTTCCTGCTCAGCCACCCTGTGGCTAAGGTAATCACTCAGCCCTACCTTTTCACCAGCACTACATTTGAAAAAAGATTTTTGTTTTTGTCAACAGACAAAAAAAATTTATCAAAGAGAAAGGCCCCTGGTGCCCTCCAGAAAGCAGAAAGGAATGTCTCATGTTGAGTCTACACAATCCAAAGAGGAATTACAGGTGGTAATCATTCAGTAAACTGAACTACGAAATCATTAAGAGGGATATTTTCCTTTGGTGGGGAGAAGGGGAAAGGGGAGGAGGAAACAAGGCCCTCAGATTGCACAACTGCACTGACCAAACCAGGTACTTCTACAGACGCTCCTCTAATAGTCACGTGCACAGACACCATCCTGGTGCATTTTTCTTTAAATACATAGAAAATTATTTAAGTGTCACGTGCACAGTCCATGATCTAAAACAAGAAAAGCCCTGAGGATTCAGTTACAATGAGTAAGTTCCAGCACAAGCGCTGCCAAAAAAAAAATTTAAAAAAATGAAGGAAAGATTTGAATACAGAAGCTGGTTTTTCACAATGGCCAGTGCAAATGGAGAGCTAGCAAACCCTCCCTTGCCACCTATGATTCTAGAAGGGATTCCTCGGTCACATCAACTAAAGTAGCTAAGCTACTGTAATGATTTGAAAGTTTGTTATGAGAGAATTATGCTTTGTCAAGCCAACTATAAGGCAGCTTTCTACAACAGTTCTGCAAAATGTTTCCACCACACTGAGCAAAGCTGACACTAGACACTAGCTACACGTGGGAATAGGAAGATGGGCCAGGCTCAGAGCCGCCGCAAAGGATGAAGTCCACTCAGATTTGAGGCAATCCTGGGGCAAAGCACTGAGCAAAGCAACTTCTCTGGTAATCTCCTCCTCAGCCATTCTCTACCCAGTATTTCAGAACACAGAACAGAAGAAACTGCAAAAGCCCTGCAGGATATATCACAGCTGTTAACATTCTGACTTTAAAAAAAAAAAAAAAAAACAAGTAACCTTTGAAACTGGCTCAAAGAACCTTCTGGCATCCAGCCCCACAAACCACTGACTACATAGCATCAAACTTTGGACGGGGTAGTCTGGAAGCTCAACAACCAGGATTAATATGTACTAACTCACTCACCCTCAGTCTCACCCACTGGTATTAATTCCAGTACCCAGAAGTCAAGTGGGTTTGTGACTTAACATAAAACACGTTTCCTGACAGCCTGTGGCCCCTGGGAAGCACCTGCAGCATTGTGTAGTTTGCAAGCATGAGATCCCTATTCCCTATTCCAGGAGCATGAGGAGGAAGGAACACCCAGGCTTGCTCGAGTGACAGGCAAAGTGCCTCATTAAGAGAACACTGGAGTGCTTACCCACCACTGCCGCCACAGAAGCCAGAGCGGGAGAGGAGGGGAGCGCCAAGAGAAATCACAGGCAGGAAGAACTCACCTCCTTCTCTGAGATGCTCTATTTTCCCAAATGGGTCACTAACAGTCCCACCTGTTTGCCCAGAGACAAAGGTACAAGTATGCTCGTGTGTGCATGCATGCATGTGTGTGTAATTAACATTTTCAATGAGTCAGTGAAAACATTTAAAATATATATATATATTATTCTCAAAGTTTTCTATTCAGTAGATGGGACACTGTTAATAAACAGAATAATGCTTCTGAAATGAAAAAAGGTAAAATAGAAGCATTTTATTTTTTCTATTTTAAAACAATTGTTGTAATAAATGTTTAAGAGATAGAGATGGCACGTTTATTACTGAAAATACTCTTTTCAAAAATCTCAAAGAACTGAACTATATAAAACCATAACACTTAAAATTTTCAAGAAGGAATAAGATTTCTCCCTTTTGACTAAAAATGCAACATAAACTTAGACAGTGCTTATTTCTAGCTTTGAAAAGATGTACATGAAATCCTTAGAGGTGGGAAAACAGTGACAGGTGAGAACCGTGCTATGTGAGGCTGGAAGTTTTAGGGATTTCCTACCTTTTTTACTAGAATGCGTTTCCACCCATGACGCTTCATGGAAGCCAGACTAAGAGTCAACCCTGCTGCACTGTGTAAGAGTAGCAGGTGTGTATCAGTGTGAGTTCAAAGAGAGATGTTCTGGCTAAGAAAATAATAACAAAAAAACAAAGGCATTTTAGCACAACTTCCTCCTTCTACATGCTTACTTTTACAGGATGAAAGGCAAAGACTGGCCAAGCAATTTCCATCCCCCTTTCACCACGGTCTCACCATGTGGCTAAACAGGCCTCCTGAAACCATAGCAGTAGCTGCGACATCCAGTGCCCCAAACCAAAACCAATATAAGGCACTAATCTAAAGCCTGTATTACACAGAGAAATGGCTCAAGGATGCTAAAAGTCATGTGATCATTTCTTTCTCCCTGATTTAGCTAATTGGCACTAGACACAGAAAACAGAAACAAAACAGAACTCTAACCCAAATATGGTCAGAAGTGAGAATCCTTGCTTAGGAAATATGAGAAAGATGGAAGCTCAGACAATCTTAGGTATTGTTCTCTCCCTAAAAGGCACCTGATTCTGGAACTATGGGAGTTCCTCAGGTAAGTTCATATTCAAAATGCAAAATACCACCCAAAAGATGTCAGTTAACCTCTTAGACCATAACATAATAACCTAAGAGACTATCTGTTAAGAATTCTGGTTAAGACCATTCTTCTTAAGCAAATAATTTGTAACACTGTAAAGATTACTTGAGGCAAACATGAAAAACTGGATGACTTTTTCTCCCATGTGATCCAAAATCACGGTTGGATATCAGGGGAAGACCCCAATTATCTAACAACAGAAAGGATGACATTTTCAATGCAATTAAATAGGGATACCAAATGAACCATGGGCCCTTTTGCAGAAATTTCATTCTCAATCCTCTAACAAAGAAGTAGCTAGCCAGGTACAGTGGTGCTCACCTGTAATCCCAGCTACTCGGGAGGCTGAGGCAGAAGGATCACTTGAGCCCAGGTAACCCTGTCCCAAAAAAATATCAAGACCCTGTCTCAAAAAAATAAAATATAATAAAAAAAATTTTTTAAAGACATAGCAATACTCCAGTATAGCAGGTGCCAGCAAAGTGAAGAGACTTAGGTTCTGAAGTATAAAGCTGTGAACATCAATCCAAAGATGCCCCATCTATTGTGCTTATAACATCAACATGTCATAAGAGGGCAATTTCCATGTATCTTCTCACTTCAAATTATATCCTTAACAGGGCATTTTATTGAACAGGAGAGAAACACTGAAGTGTGCAAGGATTAACCAGACGTGGTGAGGTGTTGCACAGAAATTCCTACACCACCATGGACAGCAAGACTTCTGTCCCCTTTCATTTCAGACTGGACTTTGGCATGGTCTGGGTTTGGTCGTTAAGGTCTGGTTCAAGATGAGGCCTCACAGAGAGCAGATCAAATCAAACCAACCATCTGGTCAATCTGTCGCATGTAGATGCTCTTTAAGGGCAGGGAGTACCTCCTCTCATCAGGTACACGATTGCACTAGAAAGACAAAAACGAGGGAAAATTAAAAACTCATATGTTGCTCTCTCAGGAAATGTGACTGGATGACTTAATCCAGGGTTTCTCAGCCTGTGAACTACTGACGTTTGGAAGTAACTGTTGTGGAAGCTGCCTGTACACTGCAGGACGGTCAGCAGCACCCCTTGCCTCTCCCACTAGGTGCCAGTGGCAACTCCTACGCCTCAGCTGTGAAAATCAAAAACGTCTCCAGACGCTGTTCCAATGTTCCCTGAGGAGCAAAATCACCCTCAGGTGAAGACCAGTGACATAATTTAACATCCTCACTCACTTTATAAAGAAATGGCAGATCCAGGGAAGCTAAAAGGCATCGCAGCAACTGCTTCGTGGCCAGGACTGAAAGCCACATCCCTGGGGTCCTTAGTCCGCCCAGAATTTCAGAAAACATTTCTGCTACTTGAAAATACTGTGTTTTTCTGAGCTATGTTTTTCTCATTCACAACTCACTAAACTCTAAATGCTTAAGACTATTTCTTTAATTAAAACCCCCCCACCCCCACCACTTTTTTTCCTCAAAGCAGATGCACATCTTGAGAACTAACCAACTGTGACATCCCTGGAAGCAGTTGTCTAAATACATTCATTATCTGCTTCATCTCCAAAGAAACATTTTCCCCACGCTTTGTAGTAAGTTGAACTTACTACACCCTGCTCCTCATCCCTGGCAAGATCAAGACTGGCCGGTCCTTCCATTGGTCCCGACTGCCCCCACCAGCCCACATCTCTGTGCTTTTGCAGGTGCTACTGCTTCTGCCTGAACACCCTTTCTGGGATACCCCTTTTCATCCTTCAAGGATCTCCAGCAAGTGACCTCCTCAGGGAATCCTGCCTTGATTTTCTCTGGAGATTACTCCCTACCCTCTGTGTTTCAACAGCACTACAGACAAACGCCTAGGATGGAAGTGGATTCCCCACTAGGCCATGCTCCTATCCAGAACCGGGAGCCCTTCTGAGGGCCTGAATCCCTGGTGCCTGGAATCATGGGATCAGATCTATTAGTGAGTATGGCAGGTCAGAGATGTCTCCTTCCTAAAAGAGAAGACACTGCCTGGGTCCAAATCCTGGCTCCACTGTGGGACCTGAACCTCTCTGTGCCTCCCTTTCTTCAGCTGTAAAATGGAGATGTTAAAAGTAACCACCCCTCACAGGGCTGTTGTTAGAAGTAAACAGATTAATGTACGTAAGCGTTTAGAATGGTGCAAAGGCTAACCCTGGTATGTGTTTGCAAATGCTGGCTGTTATTAACTCTTCCCCCTCTCACCCTCCTTCCCCTTCCTCCCGATTATGCTTTGTCCACTCAATCAGCGCTCCATGACTGATGGAAATGGGGGCGGGGGTGGTTATCTACACTCTGGCCTATCGATTTACTTCATAGACTGATGGTGAAGACCTTCACTGGGGCATTAACGGAAAAGCACTGAAGCACAGTCGGCGATGAGAGGGCACCCCTAATGCCAAGGCAACCCATCTGTGGGGAGGCTGCCGAACTCCTGACCACCAAGGCCCTGGGGGATAACAAGATTTGAAATTTTGACTGACCTACATTTCCCTATCCTCACTTCCAAATCATCCTATTTGATTCAAATCAACACAACTACCTGATACTTTCACTAGGGATGCAAGGACTTCCATTTCCAAATTTTTCCTGCTGCTTCTCAGGACAATCTAGGCATGTGGAGTAAAGCCCCACTTTAAATGAATGTGGGTGTTTGCTGCACTTCGAAGAGCATCTTCATTGGGACCATCGTGACCATCACTGCTTTTTTTCCCTTCTGCTGCTGGTAAATGATTTTGCTGAATGTCTTCCATTTGCCCCTCCAGGTCCACTGATGGATCATATCAACAGGCTCCCTCGGCCTCCAGCTTCTGCCCCAGGCAGCCAAGAAGATGCTCCAGCAGGCAACTGGGGGAGCGGGGAGGGGTCACATGTTGACTCTGCCGGCTCCCTCCAGGCAAGGCCTTGAAAGTCAGATCTGAGCCGTGGCTCCTGCTGAGTGCTCGCTCCTCCCACAAGGCTCCCCCCTTCCAGGATCCTGTAGCCACTCTCCCCACCAGCACCTGCAGCCAGCAGTGATGATGCCACCGCTGCTCCTGCGGTTTCCCTATACCCTGACAACAGCTATGTAAATGGTGTCTTTAGGAGGTGTTTTCAAATCTCCCAATCTGCATACACCATCAATTTTCTGTCAGGAAGTCTGAACAACTAAGCAATTCATAGTATCTTCTCTTCCTCTATATGCAAATCACCCCTGGAAAAAGCAACTCACGTTGGAGCTGGAGTTGATGACTTTTAACTCATGAGGTTTCGGCCTGTGCACAGACTTTCCCCCTTGGTCCTGCCCTCCCTCTTCAGAGAAGAATTCCTTCCATGGCAATTCCCGAAGATGCTCATCCACAGATACAATGTGTCCCTCTGTTGTGAACATGTATCTGGTTCCAGACTTGTGTACTGGATTGTCTTCATCAAACAGCTAGAGGGAACGGAGAAAAAGATACAACCAATAATTGTAGCACACTGGGAACTGAATCATGGGGGCGTGTCCCAGCTACTCAGGGAGTAGAATTTGCTTGGGCCTCATGCTTCTCAGTGACAACTGGGTGAAAAGGAATTGACTGACAACTGTGGTGCCCAACCCAGGCTGCAAGGCAGAATCACCTGCTTCATCTAAACTCAGATGCCCAGACCTGCCTCTCCCCTACACATACCCTGCCCAGACGCAGAGACTCAGAAATTCTGAAACTAAGGCCCAAGCACAGGTAGTCTATAAAAGTTCACTGGATGATTTCCATGTGCTACCTAAGAGTTCTCCTGCTGGAATTCTAGAACTACACCCAACCTCACACACACCTAGACCCTGAACTGTAAATGCTGACAGGGAGGGACCAAGTTTTATCCACCACCATTTCCCCAGGGCCTAGCACAGAGCCCAACACATCTGCCAACATTCACTTCACTTCTTGCACAACAAGGGTTGGGCTCTGAAGACGCAATGGACACAAGGCACAGTCCTTTCCCTCAATGGTGCATGTGACACGGAACGAAAGAGCATCTAGAAAGAACATCTAACCCAATATGGGATGCAACAGTGCAGGAGAAGGCAAGTGTTCTGTGAATGTTGAATGAATGAATACCTAGAAACTCTTTGAAACTTTATTGGTCACCTAAACTATTTCAAGATGAGGAAAAATGAGATTCAGTGCAGCTTGTCAATGTTTACACAGTAACAAGAGAAGAACAGGGTAGACCACAGGTTTTCCTCTCCCCAGACTCTAGGTTCTTTCAGCTAGCACACCCTCCAGGGTCACCTTCCTTTTACTCTAAAACTCGCCCTGTTAACGTCCTTCTGACACCAGTGGCTGCTGGATGGAAATATGTAGCTAGGCTCTGACCAGCCTGATTTAGCAGAACTGAGCCACCTGCAAGGAGAGCAAGAACCACTGCACACACAGGAATCGACAGCAGGACAGCTGTCTTCCCACTGGACAGATCACATGGGCTGCTGGTGGACATACCTCTGCAGTCATCTGTGAAAAGACCCCAGACAGAGAAGAGTATCGTCTTAATGGATTAGACCAGCAGCTCCAAAACCTGGCTCATGTGAAACCACTGGAGGCACTTGTCAAAATGACAGATTTCTGAGCCCGCTTATTCTGAAGATTCTGACTTAATATGGCTGTCATCTTAGCAAGGGCCCCAGGGTGATTTGGACCCAGCTAGCCCCAGGCCTAGGAACCACGGAACTAGATAAACACAATTTATCACAGCTGCTTCTATCTCTGACCCTCTGCCCAAGTTCTCAGTTGCCATGCTATCTTCTAACCTGGAAATCCTGCCCTCTGTTTCTATGTGGCCATACTGAGGAAAGTGGCAGGGGGCACGAGAGTGGCTGTATGCACGAGGCAGAGCGGTGAGATGGAAAGAGCACCAGACAGGGAGTCAGGACCACAGTTCACACCTCAGCTCTGCCACAGCCATCGCCATACTTTGAGCAAGTCGCCTGACCTCTGTGTAGGCTGTAGTTCTTGTGAGGGAAATGATGAACATATGAACATTAGGTAATACCAAAGGGTTCGTCCAGGTCCAGAAATTCTCTCTCTCTACACACACACACACACACACACACACACACACACACTCACTCACTCATGTGCCTGAGGATGTGTGTATGGACAGAGACAAGGCTGAGCTGCAGGTCTTGGCTAAGATCACATACATCAAGAGAAGTGAGAAGCCATTATGAACACAGCTCTCTTCCTCAGAGGCGTCTTCCCCGACCACCTGTAGTTAGATACAGAACTAACACTGGTTCTGTATCAATCGTTACCAGGATTTCCCACAGTTTGTAATCATAAGTTCAGTTCTTGGTTTACTTGACAAATGACTTTTCAACAAGGTTGGAAACCATGAAAGAAGATAGTAATATCCTTTGGTTCTGACAGCGTTTGCATCCTGGGAATGCACAATGTCCAGCACATAGCTTTAGCCAGTAAGTACCTGTCAGATGGAAGACTATGCGAATGCTTGCTCTAAGCAATACTAAATATTCCTGGGTTCATCTTGCAACACACATACCAGATACAAATATTTACAGGTCTCACTGAGAAAGAAGCTCTCCATCCGGTCTTCTGTGGACTTGTCAATGACGTGATGCAGCGTGGCGTACCCACACCTACAAAACAATCATCTGGTCAGTCCTGCCTCTCTTCCTTCCCACCTGCTGATTCACTTAAGAAGCAGAAACATTCTCTTATCAGAATAATCAACCAGTCATCCAACACCATATGAAACTATGTTTACATTGAGGGGCTCTCCTTTTTTATAGCCTGGGTTGTTTGCAAATTTACTTAGCAAGTGCTTTTGGCTGCTAAATTATCAGGTGAGTTAGAGGGTGTGGGCGTGGTGGCGGGGTGCTGGCCAGAAGCATAACGTGGCACCAGGAAAATGACCGGCAACAAATGTAAAAGGACTAATTTAAATTTCTAGTCCTAATACTTGTAGAATTGACTTATTATTGAGAATTGACTTATTATTTGAGTATTGACTTATTATTTAAGATAGTACTTAAAAAAAAAAACTTACAGCAGGTAAAAAAAAGCATGTCACAAAATTGAAATATAGAGTATGTTTCTTATATATACATATATACACACATCATATATAAAAATATTTAAAAGATTATAAGTACATACATTTCAATACTGACTACAGTTTTCTCTGTATGTGGAGATTACAGTGATAATATTCTACTGCTTTATATTTTCTGTACTCCCTAAACATTTTAGCGTATATGTTATTATATAACTAGGGGAAAGAAGTTAGAATGAACACCCATAATCTGCTAGAACCTCACGGAAAAGAAAGGGCAGTTCTCAGTACAATGGAAAGGTTCTACTACACCAAAAGGTAAGCAATTTCCCTGTAAATGTAACATTAATGACCTGGTTCTATAAATTAAAATGCAAACTAGGATATTTCCCCAAAACAATTTGAAATAAATTAAAAGTGGCTGACAGAAAAAGGTAGGAACTTAGAAAACTGACTTGACTTTTGTGTACTTTTCCAGACTCTGCAGAATATCCATTCCTACATGGAGGTAGAAGGGATTCTTGGTTGCCTAGAGAGAACACGAGAGAATGTGATCCAGCATGGGCTTGGAAGACATGCCATCGACAAACATCATGGTGACTGCGGGGCTTCCCCATGGAGACGAGTCGCCAGCCAAAGGAAGAAACAGGGCCCAGGTCATTTATCTTGCAGGGTCACAATGGTTAGAGGACTAAGGTACTCCGTCAGTTCACATCAAAGAGTACCTGTGATTTGGTTAACTTTAGCCAGGGGTAAGACCATCTGTTCCAGGGTAGAACAATAGTCTACTTTGGTTGCCATCATGATTAGAAACAAAACAATGCCCACGCTGACAGCACCATATCTGAGAACAAATCCAATTTCTATCTTGCCTCAGAACTCTCCAGAAACTTAAGACACAGGCACAGGAAAGAGGACCTTGCCGCCATTCCAGTTATGGCACCATGAGGAAAGGCTGATGGGAACAAGACTTTCCGAAGTATGAAAGGAGGCCGCCACCCTTTCCTTTCTAATCACCCTGAGAAATCAGTCCTCAGTTGCCTACTCTTCTCACACATACTCTTAGATGGTTTTACTAGAGAAAAACTTCTCTGGGAAGATAAGCCTTTATCCAACAAACAGTTTAAAAGTTGGGGATCTTTAATTCATGCCTAGTGCCAGATTGCAGCAACAAACAACAAGGTTAGCAGTCTCCAGATTAAAAGTGCACAGGGTGTGGCTTCGGAGGGTAAAGCTGAAGAGTGCAAGACATCTCTGTCAACGTGAAGGAGAAACGGAAAACATGAAAGAAGCAGTGACAGAAACAAAGAGGAGTAAGCTCACAGGCCACAGGACTAAGCTTAAGAGAAGAAATCAGCCAGTAACCGGCACGCCATCCTCCGTGTACAGTCTTTCTACTGGGCTCAGAAAGGCCAAACAGGTGGCTATTATCTTTTCCCTTTTTTGAGAGGTTACCTAAAACTCATGAAGTCCCTTTTTAGGCATGAGGACTACTACCAGTTTCACAGGATTTCTTTCCCCTTTTTTCATCTGAAGCAAACGGCAAGGATTTGGTATAAAAAAATTGTTGAATAAATAAATTCAAATCTTAGTGTTAGCTCCACTACCAGAGTTTCTAAAACTCCCCACTACCAGAGTTTCTAAAACTCAGGCCCTGCTTGCTAGGGCTGGCCCACGGTGGGCATCTGTTACCGGCCTACTGAATTTCACCAAGGCCAGTTTCTTGGTGAGTTAACCACTCGTGCTGCTGTGCATGTGGATGGAGGAGGACTCTCAGTGTGTATATATGTATGGCATACACAGAAGTATAAATACCTGGCTTCAACCGTCAGGAAGAAGACATTTCACAGTTAAAGTCACATTCCCTCTACCACTGAAGTAATTTCACAAAGGATGAACACTATTACATATATATGTGTGTGTGTGTGTGTGTATATATATATACACACACACACACACAAACACAAACATTAAACAAAAACAGGCATCCAGATGAATCCAAGATGATTTCCTTTACAACCAAGAAAATGAATTTTCTTTTTGTCTGAATAGTTGTTACACAGACCGGGGCTCCACAGTACACTGATGCAGAATTGCATCCTAAAAACGGGTCTTCTGGTCACATACATTTGGAAAACACCTTAGTACCAAATCTTCCTCATGAATACTTAAAGATGTGAGTTATAAGTCCTACGGTAAAAACATGATTCAGCTTTGTAGAATATTAGGTTAAAAACATATTTGACTGCAGATGCCTTCTCTGTCCTGTGAAGTTACGAATGACACTGAACACTAACAAGACTACGGATAGGGGGTAACTCAATCAGAGTCACTATGAAACAACATAACCCTAAATCACTCAGCAAATGTTCATTAAGAATGAACTGCTGGGGTCAGGGGAGGCAGTGAAAGGAAAAAAAAAAAAACACAACTCTAGTACCTGGTAGAGGAGATATGTGGATTCCACTAACTCTGGTCTCAGTGGGTAGAAGAGAACGTCAGGGGCCTGCAGCTGCCAGTTATATCTCTCAGGGAGGGCACCATATCGTTTCCATATGGCATAGTAGAAGGCATGAAGGCAGATGGCATCTTCCACATCTCCTATCAGCACCTAAGGAGAGGACACAGGTCATCAGGCTGAGATACCATTCCTAGAGTGACAAGACATGGCACAAAGGGCCTGCCTGGGCTCTCCTCTGCCCCCGAGTTCTTAGTTGACCTACACATACGGTTAAAGACAAAACCAACCCAAAAGTGACAACCCAGACAAATAAATGCCCTCCCTATCTGGCCACTAATGCCAAATTGATGTGAGCTGCACACAGAAAAAGAGATTACGTGTACTCATGAACAAGGAATAAACAACTGAGCGATGGATTATCCAAAAATCTCACACAGCCCAGCACAGTGCCTCATGCCAGTAATCCCAGCACTTTGAGAGGCTGAGGCGGGCAGATCACCTAAGGCCTGGAGTTCGAGACCAGCCTGGACAACACAGTGAAACCCCGTCTCTACTAAAAGTACAAAAAATTAGCCGGATGTGGTGGCAGGCGCCTGTAATCCCAGCTACCCTGGAGGCTGAGGCAGGAGAATCTCTTGAACCCAGGAGGCGGAGGTTGCAGTGAGCCAAGATTGCGCCACTGCACTCCAGCCTGAGCAACAGAGGAAGACTTCATCTCAAAACAAAAACAAACAAAAACAAAAATCACACACAGTCACTTCTCAAGCACGGTTTTGCACTTGTGTGGAATGGCTCTGTTCAATATTCTGGAGACTAATTTCTCAAACAGAGAGATGAAGACGTATAGTGTCAGTGACCTCCCAAATCCAAAGGAGACAGAGAATGCTCAGGGTATTAAAAAAGAAAGAAAAGGAGGGAGAAGCCCTTTCTGGTGATTGGTTATTCTTAGGAAATCTGATGGCAAAATACCTGCAGTCCAGGGAAAAAGGCCTGCAGAGAGTCAATCCAGGTGTTCATCAGCTGCCCACTGAACATGTTCACGTTGACATAGAGTGGAGGGTCTCCTTCTCCTTCATTGCAGGCTTCCCGCCTGCAAACCCAAGCAGCACATTCAGTGGTGAAAAGAAAGCTCACTGACAGATCTCTACCTCTCCAGCAGCTGCTGGTAGTTTCATTTAAACGGAATTAACATTAATTTTTTCTCCTAACTCATTCCTTAAACCTCTGCAGACAGACTGCCTTTAATTATCTACATTAGACTCTAGCAGAAGATAATATTTTCCACAGGATCAAAGTTCCTAACGCAGCCATTGTAATATGTCAGGATTTCACAGTATTCTGCAGAAAGCACTTTGAGCTTTGGGTTTAAGAGCCCTGCCACATAAGAGAATTCAGTATATAGTATGGGCCTATGCTGGATTTCACCTGAGCAGAAAAGCTTGGTTCTTTTGGTACAAAGAGTCTCTTCTCTAGTAATGTCCTACAGCATGGGCCTGGAGAAATGCATCAGAGCAAGACCCTTGGGGATTACTGCTCAATTTAGTTTGTGGCTTTGAAAAGCAAAAATAAATAAATTCCACTCAAAAGGCCCCTTACTTAAACATAGCACATACAAGTGGTTCCTACAACAGCAATGTAGAAATGGACCCAAGAAAATCCAAGCAGGAAGCTCAGTAGCTATAACTTGCACTGAAACTGGACACTTAACATAGAAATACATACAAAGAAAGATCTGGGGGCCAGGTGTGGTGGCTCACACCTGTAATCCCAGCACTTTGGGAGGCCGAGGCGGGTGGATCACGAGGTCAGGAGTTTGAGACCAGCCTGACCAACATGGTGAAACCCCATCTCTACTAAAAATACAAAAATCAGCCAGGCAAGGTGGTGCACGGCTGTGATCCCAGCTACTCAGGAGGCTGAGGCAGGAGAATCGCTTGAACGCAGGAGGCAGAGGTTGCAGTGAGCCAAGATCGTACCACTGTACTCCAGCCTGGGTGACAGAGCAAGACTCTGACTCAAAAAAAAAAAAAAAGAAAGATCTGGGAAAGAGAGTGACACTACGTAGAAGCCACTGTAGCTTCAAATGGCTCTCTCTCTCCTGTCATCCTGGAGGAACAACAGAAAATGGTGAATAATGTTTTAAACAAACTCAGAGAGAAAAAAAAATGTGGTAACTGTCCTTTCTATCACCAAGTATAAAAACCAATCCTAACAGTTCTTTGTAAAGTATTAGAACCAAAACATTGTCCTGCATTGCAGATCTATCTGCAATTAAAGCCACAGTTAAACACTGGGATGTGTCAGCCCCTGTAGTAGCAGCAAGTCTCTAAGACGGCCCCCGAGAACCTCCATCCGTGCGAGCCACACGCTTGCACAGCCCCCTCCCACACTGAATGTATCATTTTGATCTGGGTGACTAATGGTCTGGCAGAAGTATTGGTATATCATTCCCAGACTAGTCATGAAAGCACTGTGGTTGCCATTTTGGCCTCTTTCTTTTTCTCTCAGATCACTCACTCTGGGGGAAGCCAGTGGCCATAAGCTACCTACAAAGAGGCCCCTTGGCAAAGAACTGAGCCCTCCAGCCAACAGCCAAAGAGGAACTGAAGACTGCCAGCAACCAAAGTGAGCCTGGAAGGGGATCTCCCAGCACCATTGGGCCTTAGCATGGCTGTGGCCCTGGCCACCAGCTTGACAACAACCTCAGGAGAGATCCTGGGCCAGAATGACTGGCTCAGCTGCTCCTGGATTACTGTCCCTAAGAAACTTCATGAGATAATGCTTGTTGTTTTAAGCCACTAGGTTCTGGGGTACTATGCTATGCAGCGACAGAAAGATAACACAGCTCTTTGCCCCCAGATGACTGACAAACTAGGAGAGGTGGTAAGGTGAGGGCAGAGATAAACAGACCCTGTGATTGTGTGTTAAAAAAAATACAAACGCTTCAGAATGCATTCTATTTGCTTTACAAGGCAACAGAGGAGATGTTAGGGAGACATACCCTCTTCTTAAGTAGTTCTGAATACTCTGATATGCAGCATTAAACATTTCTAGGTCTTCTTTTTCTCCAAAGAGAATGTAAGATTTCAAGAGGTATTCATAGAAGGAGTCCAGCCCGGCACCCAGGCCACTCTGCTTTCCAACCCAGTGGCCCGTCTGAATGTTCACGACATTGCCTGCAAAAATAAACAAGGCACTTGAGGTCCCAGCTGTCTCATCGGGGAGGACATGAATGGAGACAGGCCTCCTACTCCAACCACACTGCTCCTCAGCACCTTTATCCTTGGCATACAGGAGAAGGAGGTGGTTGCTTGGACCTAACATTTTTATCAGTCTTATCACTAACTTAGCCTAGACATCTTCTAAATATATAGCATTTACTGACACAAACATGGGGATAAACATTTAATGCAAAATAAAAATAGGTTTCTCATTTTGCTTTTCCAGATTGACGATGCATTTCAAAACCCAAGAGTTTTTCACAGACTTTAACCCAGTACTGCCATTCCTGGGAATTTATCCAAAAAAAGATGATTTTAAAAAGAAAAAGTGGCCAGGCATGATGGCTCACACTTACAATCCCAGCACTTTGGGAAGCCGAGGCAGGTGGATCGCTTGAGCTCAGGAGTTCGAGACCAGCCTGGGCAACATGGTGAAACTCTGTCTCTACCAAAAATACAAAAAATTTGCTGGGTGCGATGGCAGGTGCCTGTAGTGCCAGCTACTCAGGAGGCTGAGATGGGGGGTTCACTTGATCCCAGGGATCACTTGAGCCTGGGAGGAAGAGGTTGCAGTGAGCAGAGACTGTGCCACTGCCGTCCAGCCTGGGTGATGGAGGGAGACCCTGTCTCAAAAGACAAAAAAAAAAAGAAAAGGGAAAAGATAATTTTTTTTAATAATAAAAACAACAACAAAAGTGGTCATTATGAATGCAAGGCAACAACCTGGAAACAAATGATCTGCCAAATGTCAGGCAGAATCAAAATATATGTTTATATTATAATGAAAAATATATAGAAGTTACACAGGCCAGGCTGAAAGGGTCTATGGAAACCTAAAAAGTTGACAATCGGGAGTGACACTGGTCAACTATTTGGTGATAGGCTGACAATTTGAGTGACTTCTTTATTTCTATTGCTGTTGTTAAATACAACAAATGTATACATAAATTTCAGAACTTAAGACAGTTACATGAGTTAAAATAACACCTAGGCTGGGCACAGTGGCTTACACCTGTAATTCCAGTACTTTGTGAGGCCAAGGTGGGAGAATTGCTTGCGCTCAGGAGTTTGAGACTAGTCAGGCAACATAGTGAGACCCTGTCTCTACATAAAATAAACAAAATTAGCTGGACATGGTGGCACAAGCCGGTCGTCTCAGCTACTTGGGAGGCTGAGGTGGGAGGATCACTGAACCCGGCAAGTGGAGGCCGCAGTGAGCCAAGATCACACCACTGAACTCCAGCCTAGGTGACACAGTGAGACCCTAACTCAAAATAAATAAATAAATAAAATAACACCTTGAGTTAGCAAAATACTGATAATTAGTGAAGACAAATGATGAGTACATAGGGGTCATTATTCATCATACTTTCTCTCTACTATATTATGAAATTTTCCATAATAATTTTTAAGTAACATCTTCACCAAACATTCTAAAGGGAAAAAACCCCACCTCACACAGGTTTAATCTGGACTTTCAATCTACTACCACAGGCCCAGATTTTTTAAAAGGAAAAAGCTGCTCCATCAGTAACTCTAAATTCCTATATTTAGAACCTTACATTGAAGCAATAAAATCTGCCTCAGAGGCAGTTCTTTTTACGGCATTTCCATTAACAATAATTTTCAAGTGGAATATGCCAGGGGATCCGAATCAGAAGGGAGCCCTCAAACACAAAAGCTTAATGCTTTTCCATCAGACCATGCAGCCTCTCTGCAAAGGGTCACATAAAGAAATTAGATAGAGCTGACACAATTCTTGCTGAGTTGTCAATTGAGTTGAAGAGTAAAAAGGGGGCAGAGCCCAGAGAAGATGAAAGGAAAAGGGGACCAAGCAGTGTGCAGTCCCAATGGCGAGGAAAGGTGCCACACCTAGTAATCCTGTATCATTGCTCCGGAGGTTCCAAAGGGCTTTCACTGCTCGTCTGGCCACCCACTCAAATGTGGAGTCCCCCAGGAGTCGACTCAGAATCCCAAATTCCACCAGGAGGGAACCGGCTCCCGCTGTGCATGTCTCATTATTGGTGTCAGGAGGAACTCCTGTCTTTAGATTCACCTGGGGATGGGAACAGACAAAGACTGTGACAAAACTCAAGGAATCCACAGAGCTGAAAAGCCGGGTCTCAGAGACTACACTCAGCTAATAAACCAAGCTTACCACGGTGAGAGTCTGCCCTCTGCCTTCCAAGATACATCTGAGGTGAATACGGGAATTAAATTTAAAAGACACAAACAAGACAATAAGAACAGCAGAGCCTTGCTTTATTAATAAGAGCAAGTCTTCAGGGAATGGCTATAACACTTCACTAAACCTTCTCTTTCCAGCAGGTTTTCTTCATGGTAACACAGGCACCAGGCTTTAGGGTTAGAGACAAAGGCAAACTATAGAATTTCTTCTAAATTTTAAATGAACCACTATGAACTCACTCCTGCTCAGCACCTAAACAAACCTCAAACTGGGCAAGAAAGGAGGCACTACCAGAATATGACAGCCAGTTTCATCATGAAGGCTCTGTGCTCTGGCAGTTCTCAGTCAGTTACCTAAAAGGCTGACTCAATTCCCAGAGGAGTTCTGGGCTTGGCAAATCAGATGTCACAAATATATAATCTAATTCCAGATCCTGGCATTTAAATCAGCAGCTAACTTGCTGGTCTGTGCAGCCTTTATTTGAAAGATCCACGTGAAGCATTGAAAAGAACACTCACTGAGCTCCCGCAATACCCATGTGAGGATCTCTGGGAAAACAGACCCAAGTCAGAGATGAAGACAAACTCCCCACACTGCTTTGTAGCAGAGAATATAAATCACACATGTAAATGGACTTAAGAATACTGAACTTCACAGAACATCTACTCTTTAAGGGGAAGGAATAAGTCAGATATATCACTGTTTGCCTTTCATACAGTGGATGTTCAGTAAATGCTGAATGAATTTTAAAATATTTACATCATATTTAAGGCCAAATTCTTCTAAGGACACTGCTTTTCTCATCTACCTCCATCCCATTCCTTCTCCCAAATAAATTAGTAAGCAAAGAATTTTAATTCAGGAAGATAGTGAATTGTCAAACACAAAGGGTCAAACCAGTCTACCCACCCGAGGATATGGAATCCCTGTCTTGGTGTTTTCAAAAGCAGGGAGGAGCCGCACCGCCAGGTCATGGGCCATGTATAACAACTCATTATCATAGTCCTTAATTGTCATGTCACCAAAGGGCTGCTTGGAGTCAGTTATTATTCTGTGAGCAGAAAGGAGGCTTCCCAGGACCCTAATGACAGGAAGAACAAAAAGATAATACAATCGTGTTGCTTGTAAATGCACATAATCCAATTCAGAAAGATAGAAGTATGTTCATATCCACATAGACTCAGAACTGCCTGACGTCAGAGAGACCTGACTTAATGGACTCTTGAATTCCTTTCTAGCTCTAAGAATACACGATTGATTTTTGTTAACCATATTACTAAAAGAGAGAAAGGGAATCATTTATTCGAGACTACCAAAAACAATGCTATTTAAAATAGTAACAATTTTGGTAATCTAAATCTTAGGGCATTAAGAAAAGGGAGTTGGCTGGGTGCGGTGGCTCACGCCTGTAGTCCCAGCACTTTGCCAAGAGAGATGCATCTCTTGAGGCCAGGAGTTCAAGACTAGCCTGGGCAACAAGGCAAGACCCTGTCTCTATTAAAAATAAAAAAAATTAGCCGCATGTAGTGGCACACACCAGTAGTCCTAGTAGCTACTTGGGAGGCTGAGGCAGGACGATCTCTTGAACCTAGAAATTGAAGACTGCTACAATCATGCCACTACACTTTAGCCTGTGTAACAGAGCAGGACCCTGTCTCTTAAAAAAAAAAATAAGAGTGTACTAACTGTTCTCAGAATAAATATTACCTATTAGTATTATTAAATTACTCCTGATTTATTTCACTTGGGGAAAACACTCATAAAAAAACAGAAGCTGGGCATGGTGACATTTGCCTGTAGTCCCAGCTATTTGGGAGGCTGAGGTGGGAGGATCGCTTGAGCCCAGGAGTTCAAGGCTGCAGTGAGCCGTGATAGCACCACTGCACTTCAGCCTGGGCAACAGAGCAAGACCCTGCTCTAAAATGAAAAAAAAAATTTAATTTAATTCAAATTAAAAAAAAAAAAACAGAGAAAGGTAAGACAACAAATACTAAGTAATTTTTGTTGTTTTGGCTGCCAAGCAACTTCCCTAACACCGTAACATCTGGTAAAGAGGCAAGGTGAAGAGGAGGAGGAAAAAATGACCTACTAAGAGGCAGCAGGCTACCAGCTTATACCTAAGTCCTTGTAGACCCATAAAGTCCCATTCTAAAGATCTGAAGTAGGCTGTGATATATGTCAGAACAAAGGTTTTCACCAATTTAATTTTAAATAAGTATTACATCTGTGAACTGGAATGTTATGCAGTTGATACAATTTTCAAAAGATGTAAACAGGAAAATAACCACAATGTATCAAAAAAAGCAATATACAATATACTAGGTATACAGCATGATCCCAATCCACTAAACAAATAGAGAAAAAGAGAGAGACAGAGAGAGAAATAGAAGTGAGAGATATACCTAACAAAGAAATATACTAAAATGGTAAGCAGTGATTTTCTGTGGGTGGTAAGATGGGAAACTCTCATTTCCTTCAGAAATATGTAGGGGTTGTCCTAGGACACGGTGAAAGAAGAAAATGAAATCAGACTATAAAGGGAAACCATGAAATTCTGTACTAGACAGACACCTATTTTACACCCCCGTTAAAACATAAATGTACCCAGGCATGGTGGCTCATGCCTGTTATCCCAGCACTTTGGGAGGCCAAGGCAGGCGGATCACTTGAGGTCAGGAGTTCGAGACCAGCCTGGCCAACATGGTGAAATCTCATCTCTACTGAAAATACAAAACTTAGGTGTGGTGGTGAGTGCCTGTAATCCCAGCTACTCTGGAGGCTGAGATATGAGAATGCCTTGAACCTGGGAGGTGGAGATTGCAGTGAGCCAAGATTGCACCACTGCCCTCCAGCCTAGGTGGCAGAGACTCCATTTCAAAAAAAAAAAAAAAAAGAGTTTAATCTATAAAAACAAAACAAAATACAAACGTGTCTTTCCCTTCAGTCCGGAATGTGATTACTTTGAAATAATTGTTCCAGTTTTGACAGATATGAACATGAAAAATGCACACTGCACCCATAAAGCCCATATGGACTCCCTGCCTGGATCATGTGGCAAAAAGACCCTCAAAGGTATTTTTTTCTTTAAACACATAAAAAGAAGTCTCCAATTCATTTTATGAATATTCATTATTTTACCTTATCGTGGCCTCAAAGACTTGGACGGTGGAATCTTTGTCAAATGAAACTGTGTTGATCACTAACTTGACGGCTTTCTGGAACTCGGATGAATTTCCCATTATCTTTAAAAAGAGGAACACAGGTCATTACAGCAACTTGAAATGAAACTGAGGCTGTATCATCACAGCAGCCCAGTCACGTCACCTAAATGTCTGTATGTGGTTTTGCTACCATAGGAGTAGAAACACAAGAGACAGAAAAGCAGTTATTTCTTAGCATATATTCCCAGCACATGGCTGGCCCATTTCCTCCAACTCAAGAGTCCTGTCTCCAAAGGACAAAACTGTGAAAATAATTCCTTGTAAAATCATTGGCACTCCTCATCTTCCCAACTCCACTCTCCAGCAAACTTCACTATGATCTTATTTAACATGCCAGGCATTGTGGTTTCTAAAACTTCTGGCAGGTATACAAATAAATCAGAAAACTGAAGAAACAAAAATATGTCTTTCTCTCTGCTCCTCAAATAAATCAGCAGCTTGGGTGCTTGGCTCCCAGGAGACCAAAACATGTGGAAAACTGAATGAACTTGTTGATTGTTATCCAGATGCCTAAACACTTTGAGAAATAGTGGTAATATCTTTTGGAGCACAGGATAAAACCAGTGACTGATTTAAAAGAAACAAAACATATGAATAATCAGCTCTATGTCCTTTTTAAAAAGTGATCTAGAATTATGATTCCTATTTTGGGTATGTAGATACGACGTCACACTAAGCCACTCTCTCCTATGTGAAGCACAGTTGGGCATCAAACTTTATAGATTAACCTGAATCAAAATTATTTCATTCCACTCTAAATTTTATGACAACCCTGAGACTATAATGACATCATAAGGACATACTGTGATAGAAAAATAAATTTCTGGGACCCCAAAATCACTAAGCCAAAGGGAAAAGTCAAGCTAGGAACTGCATCAGGCAAACCTGCCTCCCATTTTATTCCTAAATAAGATAGCTACAAAGATTCAAAAAAAAAAAAAAAAAAAAAAGCTATATACGTCCCTTACAATTTACCTACAAGGAAATTCCTTGTGGGCCTCAAGATCTTCCCCTCAAAACAATTCTGCTGAATTTCACCCAGGCAATGTAAATTGACAGTTTATCTTCACAGGTACAAACAAAGGACAGAACTCAGTCATCCCTCTGCTCACCTAAGAAAAATGCATATCTGATTGCTTCCTCTGCCCTACTGTTTATGTAAAACTGCAGATTCACTAAGCCAGACAAAGGCATAAGTGACTATTCCTCTACCTTTGTCACAGGTAAACTGTATATTCCGTGAAAGGCTAATCAGAGAGTCAACCGGCTGGACACGGTGGCTCAGGTCTGTAAGCCCATACTTAGGGAGGCCAAAGCGAGCGGATCACTTCAGGCCAAGAGTTCAAAACCAGCCTGGCCAACATGGCAAAACCTTGTCTCTACTAAAAATACAAAAAATTAGCCAGGCGTGGTGGCGCATGCCTGTAATCCCAGCTACTCGGGAGGCTGAGGCACAAGAACTGCTTGAACCCCTGGGAAGGTGGAGGGTGCAGTGAGCCGAGATCTCACCACTGCACTCCAGCCTGGGCAACACAGCAAGACTCTGTCTCAAAAAAAAAAGACAAAAAAAATGTAACCATTTGTCTTTTATCTGCCTGTGACTTGGAAGTGCCCCCTCACCCCACCCCCAGCACTTCAAGTTGTCTCACTTTTCTGGACTGAACCAATGTACATCTTACACATACTGATTGATGTCTCATGTCTCCCTACAATGTATAAAACCAAGCTGTGCCTAACTACATTTTTTCCACCTCATCGTTATTTTGCTGTAACCTACAGAGTAAGTACAGACATTTCTAGCTTTCAGTTCTTTCTTTTTAGAAGATGATGCAATAATGCTGCAAGTTGCATCCAATGGTCAGGGGACTGCTATCTTCACAGTGTTTCCCTAGCACATCTGTTAAAGCCTGTTTAAATGTTAGCAAAAGAAAAGGAAAACTTCAACAGAAGTAACACCTGAAAAATAAGCCTGAAGCACTAAAGGCCGGATATTCTACAATGAAAACCACAGAGATGAGTCTGTTTCCTTACAGATGTTTACCAGCAACAATATCTGGTGAAGCTGCAGGTGCTGACAGGAGCTCAAATCAAGTGAGGAAGGTGAAGGAAGTCAACAGCTCTTACTTATTGTAGTTTATCATTATGGTCAGATAGCTATAGAATCCTGAGTGACTATGTTCTGAAATCACACTAATGTTTGAAAATGGCTGAATGGGACAGAGGAGCTAAATGGGTTTGTTTGTTTGACTGTAGGACTTCTCAGAGTCTTTAAAATGCTGATGGGCACTGTGGCTCTCTAATAGTGGGACCAGACATACGGAATTTCTCAAGTTCATTTAGAAACAGAACTCTTCTTTCAGGGAGTAAGTATCTTTGGAATCTGTGTTGGGAAATGCTTCATTAGTCAGAATTCATTTTTTGAACAAACATTTGCACTGCTACTGTGCACCAGACACCATTAAGTGTGGGGGAGAGTATGGTGAACAACAGAATAGCAGGCAAGATGGAGGGATAAAAAAACAAAATGGGGAAAAAAAAAAAAAAAAAAGCCAGCTACTCGGGAGGCTGAGGCAGGCGAATCACTCGAACCCAGGAGCTGAAGGTTGAAGTGAGCCAAGATCACGCCACAGCACTCCAGCCTGGCGGCAGAGCGAGACTCTCTCAAAAAAAAAAAAAAGAAAAGAAAAGAAAAGAAAAGACGACGACGATGACAAAGCTCTCAGGGACAAGGAGTAGGCTTTCATGAGCTATACATTGAGTCTTAGGACGTTTCCTTTAAGCAACACTTGTAGGCTGAGTCAGCCTCTGGTATCATCAACAAATTAGCTCTAAGGTCGAACATACTTGTCTGGGCACATTTTGATCAGTGATGGTAAATGACTGAAACAGAGCAGCAATAACTTCAGAAGGAGATATTGGGAAACTAAGTTGCTTTGTAATTTAAATTATACTAAATCAGTACCCCAGATTTCCTATTAGACCAAGGGCCTAGTCCTATTTCTACTACTTATTTATAAAATGAGGACGTAGAATGATCTCTCAAGCTCTTTCCAAGTTCTGGTAATTCTACTACTAGCAAGATACTAGACAATCATAATGCAAACTTGGCTAGCACATTACCCAATTCTTGTGTGTGTGTGTGTGTGTGTGTCTCCAGAGATGGAGTCTCACTCTGTTGCCCAGGCTACAGTGCAGTGGCGCAATCTCAGCTGACTGCAACCTCTGACTCCTGGGTTCAAGCATTTCTCCTGCCTCAGCCTCTTGAAGAGCTGGGACCACAGGCGCCCGCCACCATGCCCAGCTAATTTTTGTACTTTTAGTAGAGAAGGGGTTTCACCATGTTGGTCAGGCTGGTCTCAAACTCCTGACCTCAGCTGATCCTCCCACCTCAACCGCCCTAAGTGCTGGGATTACAGGCGTGAGCCACTGCGCCCGGCCCCAATTCTATCTCCTAACAGACAGCTTTAAACTCTTCTATGGCATGTTAAAAGAAACAAGAATAAATAAAAGTACAACATTTGGGCTAGACTGCAATAAGATATTTCTCATGGTAAAGACTTGCTGGACAATGAAGGAAAGCAAAGAGGTTGTAAAAATCACCTTAACTAAGAAGATTTTAAAACAACACTATGCTGGAATACAGTCCCCTGGAAACTGCTTTAATGGCAAAAGGTGAAGCAGATGAAGCACACAGACATGGCACCATGTACTGAGTGCCACACTGCCTTCAAGGTGCTTCTGCATATCTGCTCAAAGGCCTCTAGTTCTCCAGAGTCAATGAGCAAAACCACAGGATGAGGCAGTAATGCCAGCACCCACGTTGGCAGCTCAGGCATGGAGTGTCCACAAAACAGGAAGTGGCAAATAAAAGAGAAGGGTTTCTAGGGAGCCCCACATAAGGATGGGCGCTAGGGCTCCAACTTGCTCCTGGGGGAGCCAGTGGCTAGATGACATTTCAGGGTACCTGCCAACCCTTAGATCTTCTCTCTTTTACTCCTGGAATAGCAACGACTATAATTATCAATATTAATGAGCTTCATTATGGGTTCTTTTAGGGAATAAGATAGAAACTGGTTAAAAAAAAATAGGTTCCCTAAAATCAATCGTACATTCCTTCTCCTTTTTTTAATGGAATCACATTTCCCCTCATTTAACCTTCAACACTTTTCTTGTTCTCCCCATTAAGGTCATTAAAATAAATAACAGTTATCAAAGCTAATGATACATTTTGACTTATCAGGCTCCCTGGAATTCCCACTGCTGGAGGGAACTAGGGATAATCAACTCTAAAACATCTTAATTCATTTTTTTAAAAAAAGGTGAACACTTACTGCAAGTGTATCCAATGCATCAACAAGAGTCAATGAGTAGTTCCCTAGTACATCATTGATGTTCAGATTTGAACTGAAAAAGAAAATTAAAATTCAACAAAAAGACTTTATTTCAAAAGAGAAGACAATAAAAGTAAACACCCATCAGAAACTATAATTGCCAGCAACTCTTATTTATTCAGGAACTAATTATGGGTGAATTAATACAGCAAAGGTCTTTCTACCCCCAAAGTAACACTTTCTATGGTGTCCATAAGTAGAATCAAGTCACAGAACTGTGGAGACACACTTGTACCAGAGTGGAAAGAATGCTCACAGGAAGTCAGGAGGCAGTGAGTCATCTCCTCTCTGAGATTCAGGTTTATCACCATAGACAATCTCCTTGGTCCTGTCCAACTTTAAAAAGCTCTGATTTCACAATCATTAGGAACTAAAGAAGAGCCCTTGTCATACGACCCACCTGTAATACTTTAATACAGAAATTAGACACCACAGCCTATATTACACACAAAAAGAAGTAAATACATTAATTGACAGTGTCAATATTACTCATCTGCCCTATGGTTGGGGGTATAAATTAACTTCTTTACACCATTTCTTCATTAATAACTCATCCAAAGGGTCTTGATTATTTCCGTTAATTCTGAGATATCATTTAACATGAACCTAGGCAGGAATTGAGGCCTTTCTCACTTCTTGACTGGAGCTACATAAACGTTTCTGCCACACACCTCTCACCCCATAATCTACACCAATTTTCCATTCTGAAACAACCTTAAGAAACCAACTTCAGGATGACAAGGGTGAAGCTCCTCAGGCACTGTGGTATGTCTTTGTAACACTTTACAAAAAAGTCAACAACAAAAAAACTAATACATCTGGGAGAATAGGGATGAAGAACTAGTAAAATAAAGGAC
This sequence comes from Homo sapiens, assembly GCF_000001405.40. NCBI lineage: Eukaryota > Metazoa > Chordata > Mammalia > Primates > Hominidae > Homo > Homo sapiens. The sequence continues at coordinate 5,194,364 of NC_000003.12, read as the reverse complement.
AGTTTGAGAAATTCTGGGGACTTCATTTATTTATTTGTCCCATTCCCAAAAATCCAGAAAATAAGTGCAGAAGCTTGGAAAAAATGATAGTAAGAGAAGACATAAGACAACTGTTTAAAGATTTTATTAGCAACCAAAGCAAAAAAGCTCCAGTTTTATTTCCAGCAAGATGCATTGATATCTGCAGTCTTCCATCATATCCCAAAGCACTTCATCTGCTCCTCGGATCACCCTAATGGGTCCTTATCTCACCTTCCAGTCAGAGAAGCTTCTGGTGCACAGCACCTCTCGTGTTGTGATGGCTTGCTGTGGTCTCTGAAAGGCCTGTGCCTCAGCTGGGGAAAATGGGGCTTATGTGAAAGAGGCATAACAGCTCCAATGTCTCATTTTATTTGAACCCTCCAGTTGCCTTGTTTTATGCTGTTACACCATCTAATCTAAAGCAAAGAATTTATAGTAAAATTTTAGGCTGGGTGCGGTGGCTCACGCCTGTAATCCCAGCACTTTGGGAGGCCGAGGTGGGTGGATCATCCAAGGTCAGGAGTTCAAGACCAGCCTGGCCAACATGGCAAGACCCTGTCTCTACTAAAAATACAAAAATTAGCTGGGCGTGGTGGCAGGCGCCTGTAATCCCAGCTACTAGGGAGGCTGAGGCAGAAGAATTACTTGAACTCAGGAGGCGGAGGTTGCGGTGAGCCGAGATCATGCCATTGCACTCCAGCCTGGGCAACAAGAGCGAAACTCTGTCTCAAAAAAAAAAAAAATTTTAGATACTGTTTTTTTGAAACGAGATATATATGGGGGCTATAGTCTAGGAACTAGGGCTAGCTCATTTCCTATAAGCTGGGAAGTCAGAAAACTGCTTGGCTGGAAAATTGTACCTGTTTTTTCTATTTGTTGATTTTCTGGAAATAAACTTATACAATAGCAAAAGGTCCCCTCAAAGCAAGAGCTATGGATTCAAATATGCCTCTCAAGCGCAAGTGACAGCCAAAAAAGGTACAAAAAGTGCAAGGGTTGCAGGAGGGGCTCAAAGGAGACAGGGAGATCCTTACGCCCAATTCTGCCAACTCAAGAATGTTCTGCTCTGTGTAAATATTTCACTCTGTTGCTCTGCCGCTTAGAAACAGAGTGGGCTTCAACAGCCCACCTCATCAGAAAACAGCTCCCTCATCATGTAGCATCCAAGCTAGATGGTAATCAGGAGAACCACATGTAACTCCCCTCTCCTGAGTCACACCCAGATCTGCGGCATGTGTCATTCTATCCACCTGCACAGGCCCATGGAAGGAAGGTACTCACTGTGAGCACTGAACTCCTTTCTATGTTTTATTGTGCTTTGCCTTGTAATCTATAACTAAAATAGACCCAGTTTTAAAATATTTTTTACAATGCCCAGTCACTAAAAATTAATGAGCTGCCACAGTAAAAAAAAAAAAAAAAATTACTTGCAGTAACTGTGGGGTTTCTTCTCTCCACTCTAGTCAGACAAATCCTCTCTAAGATCTGGGGTATTTACTCATTAGAACACTTTTAATTCTTTCTTACCAAATAATTGCTACATCCTCTTTCAAAAGGTGCCAAAATAAGGGGGAAGTGGGAGTGAGGATGAAGGAAGAAAAAAAAACACCATAAAACTCTACTGGCCTAACAGCATGAAATTATTATGACTCCATTTATGCCAGCCCACTATGCAGCTCAGACTCTGGATTTGTTCTTTGTAGATATTCTTGTCAATCTCCAGCCTAACCTGATACCTTTAAGTTCATCCAGCAAGAACTCAATACCTTTCCCTGTAACCAGCTGGCTGAACCGCACAACTAAACGCTCCACTTACTTCACCAGGTACAAATGTTCATGGCATTCACCCCACTGTAAATTTTTAAAGTTCACCTCAAAACAGAAAAGATGGAGAAAACCATGGCCTTTGATAGAAAATTTTTGATTATGTAGCTAACAAAATCAAACATATGTGTTTTTAAATTTAAATTCCCATGTATACTTAACCTGTAACAGCTGTTCAGAAATCTACCTGGTGTGGTGTAGGCACAGAGATAACATAAGAAACAGTCCCTGCGTTCAAGGGATTGATAATCTGGAGAGACAAGACAAAGGGAAATGCAGGTGAATACACAACAGTACTCAATCCTCAAATAAGGTTAAAATGTAGAATCGCAGCTCAAAGGAAAGGAATCAAAAGAAGAACTGAGCAAATAAAGGAAAATCATCTTCAAACAGTTAGATGGTGTCACGGAAACAAGAGGAGCCTGACTCTGAAAGAGGGCAGGACTTTCCAAAGAAAGAGGAATGCAGAGGAGGCCATCTTGAGCTAGTAGTACCTAAGCATTTGAGGGGCCAATATTTGTTTGGCTTAATTTGAGATTTGTTTTGTTGTTTTAATAGCAATACAGTTGAGAAGAAATTGAGAATGGTCACATGCCCAAAAGCCAGAACTACAGTTAACCATTCACAGGATTACAAAAATATAATATCCACATTTACTCAAAGAAACTTTAAATTTGGATCCTCCAACCCAAATTAAGGATGTGAGAACTGACTTTGCATAGTTATCTTAGACAGATCTGCTCTTTTTAGAGTGTTCAGGTTTTATTCACTTCATGTTAACTCCTTACCTGATACCTCCCCAAGAACAAGTCACATGTACTTGAGGCAAGATAAGTTTGGAGCATATATGACTACAGAGAAACGGTAAGAGTGTTTAGCACCGAAATTTTCTATGTGTACTTTTTATATAATACTCTAATGGCAAATTCACTCTTGTTAAATGAGTCATTAGAATACATTTGATTTTTTAAAATCTGAAAGATTTTTGGCTGGGCTTGGTGGCTCACACCTATAATCTCAGCACTTTGGGAGGCCAAGGCGGGAAGACTGCTTGAGGCCAGGGGTTTGAGACCATCCTGGGCAACAAAGTAAGACCCCACTTCTACAGAAAAATTAAAAAAAAAAAAAATTAGCCGAGCATGGTGGGGCACACCTCTAGTCCCAGCTATTCGGGAGGCTGAGGCAGGAGGACTGCTTGAGCCCAGGAGTTCAAGGCTGCAGTGAGCAATGATTATGCCACTGCACTCCAGCCTGGGTGACAGAACAATACCCTGTCAATTAAACAAACAAACAAAAAATATGAAAAATTTTTATTACAGATTATTTAGTTTGGGGATGTGAAGTACCCTCCTGTTTCAAAGCCAGCATGACAATACTCTGGTTTTAAACTTTCCTCAAGGCCTAGTATTCGATAGCATAACAGGAGGACTACAGTCAATAATAATTTAACTGTACATTTTAAAATAACTAAAAGTATAATTGGATTGTTTGTAACACAAAAGAAAAATGCTTGAGGGGTTGGATACCCAATTTTCCATGATGTGATTATTACAAATTGCATGCCTGTGCCAAAATATCTCATGTACCCTATAAATATATACACCTACTGTGTATCCTCAAAAATTAAAAATAAATTTTTTTAAAAAATATTTAAAAAAAAGCAAAGCCTGAGAGGAGTTAAAGGAAGGAGAGTACAAAAAATTAAGTTTTCCACTGTTTGTAAGTGGCAAGTGTGAGGCGTCCATGCAAGGCTTCTTTGGCCTCCTCAAAGACAACAAAGGTTTACCAACCAACGGGCCTACCCAGCTCAGGGCACAACCCTTCCCTAATGCCATCCCCACCTCCTCAATACTTCTAAAACCCTCTTTCCAATAACACATCTGTCTCAAAGCAACCTGACCTTAACTTACGCATAACCAAACCAATGCATAACCAAACCAAAACACTCATCGGCAGCCTTCATCCTGAAATAAAGGCCAACAGCACACATGATACCACAAAGACCAGCAAGTTAAATCAACCACCACCTCACTTTGCTGGGAAGGGATTCTTAAGGTTCTCCAGAAGCGCTTTTAAGGTTCATTAAGAAAAACATTAAAATGTCATCAACTCACTCTCCAAACCGTCATATTCTCAAATGAAAGTGTTATCACAATTCCCCGTTAAACTGTTTTCAACTTCAGTCCACCTGATAAAAGGTAATCTGAGAAACAGTCTGTGAGCAGGAATAAAGGCACTTATTGGAAGTGCTCTCTCCCTTCTTGTAATACCAAGAGCACTAGTGGAAAAGCACAAATTAAGATCCAAAATATGTACACATACTATGATTGCAACTATGTAAAACATGCATAGACATATGGGTAGGAACTAGTGGCAAAAATAAATTTAAAATAGCTGGTGGGATTTTATGATATTTTTCAAACTTTAATGATGTTGATTTAAAAAGAAAAAACATCAAAGCATGATGTAGGCTGACAACAAAAAAAAGACCACAATTAAATGAAGTTTATCCCCCCCCCCAAAAAAAAAACTAAGAAAGAAAATACATTTATAGGTATAAAGTCCCCTCTAGTTAAGTGAGCCAAATAATTCATTCATTTCTTAAAATCTGGAAAGACCATGGCCGGGAGCGGTGGCTCACGCCTGTAATCCCAGCACTTTGGGAGGCCCAGGCGGGTGGATCACGAGGTCAGGAGATGAGACCATCCTGGCTAATACGGTGAAACCCCGTCTCTACTAAAAATACAAAAAATTAGCCGGGCGTGGTGGCACGAGTCTGTAGTCCCAGCTACTCGGGAGGCTGAGGCAGGAGAATCACTTTAACCACAGAGGCGGAGGTTGCAGTGAGCGGAGATCGCGCCACTGCACTCCAGCCTGGGCGACAAAGCGAGACTCCGTCTCAAAAAACAAACAAAAAATCTGGAAAGGCCAAATACTTTTTTTTCAAAATTTAATATTTTTTCTCAAAAAAATTGAGATAGAAAATACACTTATACGTATAAACGCTATGGTTAAGCAAGAAAAACTCATCGGTTTCCTAGAATTTTGAAAAGGCTCAGTCCTTTGAATTTAGCTTGGGATGTCCCCTTGCTTCGGTAGAAATCATGCTCTCAAACTGCAATTTAAAACATAAATGTGTAAATAACCACACCATTTTAAAAACCCAACTCCGTTTAGTCTATAGGCTTCCTTATCAGAACCTAAGGACTGGACTCCACTGCTTTCCTCCAGGTGAAGGAAAATGCTTGCCCCAGACGGTGCCAAGACACTGAGCAAACCAACTCCTCCACTCCCATCCAGGGGAGGGGAGTCAACTATTTGGACTAACAGGGTCTATGGCAATGCACATTCCTTCCCTACAGGTAAGAGGTCCTTAGCTGGGTGTACTGCCCTCTTGGACTTTGATGTCAACAGTGGTGACCCTTGGAGCTCAGCCTTTGCAAACAAGGCTGGTGAACAGGGAAGACTGCCTGACCTTCCCGGACAACCACGCCACCAGAGGCGGGGGATTTATAGACAGATCGTACAGGGCGATGACGTTGACAGTCAATCTGGCATCCAGTGAATTTCACCTCAAGTATCTGGACCCCAAAAGTGGGCCACATAGCTTCCCTCCCCACCACCTAACTATCCTCAGCCTAAGAAGCAGCCCCTGTGAAGGAGAGGCTGTAACCCCGTTCTGCCTCAAACTCAATGGACGGCTTTGGAGAAGTCAACTATAGGCTTTTTACATAGAAAAGACGTGGGTGTGGCAATGTGATAGAGGTGGGGGTGCGAGGTAAAGGCTTGTTCTGAGGCTGCGTTTACACGGGGGGCATGATGGAGATTTCATTTAGAGTTTATGCTCATCCGGAGGAAGGGGTCGGATGGAAGTGGAAAGCCCTCCAAGCCAGCCCTTGGCACTGCCACTGTCCCTTCTGGTCCTGGACCTCAGTATCCTCACGCGTAAGACACTGAGCTGGACAGCAGTTCTGAAGTTTGGAGATTCCGGGAGAATCAGGAGAGGAAGGCCACCGGCCCACCCCGCACCCTCAAGCTCGGGGGTCTTCACAGGGACTCACACGGGACAGGGCGCGGGAGCGCTGCCCGGGACCCTAACGGCCCTGGCGCCCTCGGGGGCCCCGGAGGACAGAGGGCTGCACCCCGGCGCGGAGGGCGGAAGGAAGCGCGTGGGCGCGCGGCCCCGGGCGGCGGGGGCTACTCACGGGTCCCCGCGGTCGGGCCCACGGCCGCGGCAGTGGATGGGGTTGAGCTCGTCCTGGGGGAAGGCGTGAGCCATGTAGTTGTCGTAGCCAAAGACGAACATGCCCCGTGCCAGGTCGCGCATCTGGGCACGCAGCTGCGGAGGGAAGGCGCCGCTGTAGCGCTTCTCGTACTCGTCCGGGCCGCGGCCCCGGCCGCCCAGCACGTAGCCCCAGTTGGCTGGGCCGCACATCCCCGGCCCAGGACGCCGCGGAGCCTTGCGCGGGCTCTGCGCTGCCCCGGTCCCCGGCGGCTGCAGCCACGACGGCCCGGATACCCCCCCAGGCCGGCCCACGGGCCCCGAGGTGGGCGACGCGGGGCCGTCGGGGCTCCTCAGACGCTGGAAGCCGAAGCTGAGCGGAAAGCGCTGGTAGAAGCCCATGCTGGGCCCCAGCCCGAAGACGAGCCACAATACTCCATGGAGGCCAAGCCGGAGGAGCACCAGCCCCAGGACGAGCGCTCGCCATTGCATGGTCGCGCGGGCGCCGCGGGCATTATTTTAAAGCGCGGGGGCCTCCCCGCCGACCACCGCACCCCGCGCTCGCCCCGTAGCCCGGCTCGCTTCCCCTTTAAGGAACTCCCCCGTGACGCACCAGGAACTAGCCCATCGTCCCCAACCCCCAGGCTCTCCGGCGGGCCGGCCAGGCCCCACGGTCGCCCGCCCAGTGGCCCGGGATTGGCCCGGCCTGGGCCCGGCCTCGCGGGGCGCGGCCCAGGACTCCCTCCCACGCAGTAGGCCGCCAGGACGTCCGCGACGCCCCGAGGCCCCGCCCCTCACCCGGGCCCCGCCCCAACTCCCAAGCCCCGCCCCCCTGGGCGGTCCGTAGCCCGATGGGCTGGCGTGGCGAGCAGGAGCCGCGCCGGCCCGCGAGGGAACTTCCAGCCAATGGGAGAGCGGCACGGCAGCGCCCGCCGGACGCTGGACACAGACGTGACCCCAGACCGCCTGGCCTTGGGTGGATCGGGTCTCTGGGCAGAGCGTGTGTCCGGCAGAGCTAGGACCGGAAAAAGCCACTCTAGGTCTAGGTTAGGAGTGATGACAGTTAAAAGATATATAAGGAAAAGAAGGAAAGGATCGTTTCTGTATAAAACGAGCTATTTTTGCATATCGAGCGCATAAGTTTTATAACTTAGGTGTCTGTTTATGGAGAGGGTGGGATACTACCTTTTAGCTCAAGGAGTGCACAAAACGGTATCATGAATTCTGCTCTTTTGATTCAAACACCCAACTTTGAAGAATCGCTCATGGTGCTTGTAAAACACGTATCCCCAGATCCCTCCCTAGACCTATCGAACAACTCCAACGGTCTCGGGAATGTGCGTGTAAGTACTCTTGGACAGTTCTTAGAAACTGGAAGTTTCAGGAAATACAAAGTTATGTTATATTGCTTTTGTCTCGGAAATAGGATTTTTTTAAAAGGGGGGGGCGGGTTGGGGGTGGGAATGAAGGCTCCCACCACCACCAAATTATTTACCAGATATATCTAAACATGTCTTCTCCTGTCCCTCCCATCCTACCATCTCTCCTGTGCACCCGCAATTAGTGACCTAACCTTTGAGGTGTGGGGTAGATTCCCAGTTAAATAACTTTACCCCTCTGTATCTACTTCCTATAATTAAGAAGATTGCAAATGTTAGCTCTAAAGGGCTATGGCTTTCACATAAAGATTCAATGGTTTAGGCGCTTATTTATTTTGCTTGCTGCATTTGGAGTTGGCTGTAAGTTTTGCCCTCCCTAAGTTTAGACCCTATGCCTGTTTCATCAGGGTTTCTGAAAAGCTTGGGAAGCAAGACCTGACTAGACCCCCAAATCTGATATTGGCTGAATGGCCGACCAATGGAGTGCATAAGAAGGTAAGTTGTCATGTGGCACTCTCATCACATTTTCAGGGTAGAGGACTTTCTGAAATACAGAGGAGGTGTAAGGGGAACTAAGAAAACACTTGATTACAGCACATGGTAGCTGGCACATAGGAAGGTCCTTACTGTTGGCTGAGCCTTGTTCTTTCCCAACATTGAGACATCGAGAGCAGCCCAAGCAGCAAAAAGATTACGAAGACAGCTTGAGCCAGGGTCTTTAGACTACACAGCTTCTGCTTTTTCCCCTCTGTGAAGGATGCCTAGGGACTGTGCTGGCAGCCCAGCTCCAGCCCTTGATCCTGAACTTCTGCCTTCCTGGAACTTGCAAACTGAATGTGAATATTCAGTTGCATGTTGCATGTTTCCTTCCGGGGCTACTTTATTGCAAATTTTAACTTAAATTTGACCTGGTTAACTGCAGGCCACATTGAGGACAGCTTCTGTCTTGATGTTAGAGAAAAACTCTTATAAAAATAAATCTTTTAATAACCAGAGAAAACCATCCAACTCCTGAAAGATGCTTTTCATAGTAAAACTGATGGTTTTCAAAACACTTTGACATGTGTGCTTATTTAATCTTCATAGAAAACTGTAAAGCTTATTCCACAAGCCATAATGGAAGAAATCAGGTTGGGGGCTCAATTCTCAGAGCCTGTTGGCTCTAGGCAGAAAGGGAGTTACTACACTTTAGGGCAATTTGCACTTCAAATAGCTGGCCCTTGAGCAGACAGGTCCCTCTGCTCTTTCCAAGCCACCCAAAAGCAATAGTTTTGACATTAGTGCCCTGCAAGGCATAGCCTAGGCATTAGGGTCTAGGTTCAGAAAGTGTTTCCTTCTGGAATGAAACTGAAATGAAAGAAATGGGTTATTTTGTGCTAGTCCTTTCGATTAGGACTCTCCTTAAGCTAAATGTACTGATAAGATTGGGACAACACCCATACCCAATCAGAAAACTCCAGTCTTGAAAATCAACTCTTTAAGATAAACAGTTTGATTTGTGACAGGTTTTCCGGTAATCTCACAAGCGCATCAGGGACTGATAAAAAAGGAAAGGAGGCACTTTTTCAGTGTAAAAATGGCTTTACTCTGGGGAATGCAAAGAGATGACAACTAAGAACTCACATTCAGAAGTCAGGTGTTCAAATCGTAGCTCTGCCCTAAGAGTGACCTTGGGAAGTTACTTTTCTAGGACTTGTTTCCTCATCCATAAAATGGGTGAGTGATGAGGACAATGTTTATCACAGTTGTGATTACATCATATATATATATAAAGTACTTACAACCGTGCTACATAGTGAGACCTATTAATACTTTTCAACTCTGAAACTTTTAAAACTAGCACCCGGCTGGGCGTGGTGGCTCACACCTGTAATCCCAGAACTTTGGGAGGCCAAGGCAGGCAGATCACTTAAGGTCCGGAGTTCAAGACCAACCTGGCCAAAATGATGAAACCCCATCTCTACTAAAAATACAACTACCCGGGCGTGGTGGTGGGCGTCTGTAATCCCAGATACTCAGGAGGCTGAGGCACGAGAATCACTTGAATCCAGGAGGCAGAGGTTGCAGTGAGCTGAGATAGCGCCACCACACTCCATTCTGGGCAAGAGAGTGAGACTGCGTCTCAAAAAAAAAAAAGTATTTCAAAAGCAGAGGTTTTGCAAAGCTGAAGGCCTAAAAAAAAGTATATAATTACAGTTCAAACTTATTTGATGGGCACAAATCCAAGTTTGTCAACATGCTCTGTTAGCAAGATACAGGATACTCGAGAGGCTGAGGCAGGAAGATCCCCTGAGCCAGTAGTTTGAAGCTGCGTTTCCTATGATCGTGGCTGTAAATAGCCAATGCAATTACCTGGGTAACAGTGAGACTTCATCTCTTTTTTAAAAAGGCATAGGGGACTGGGACTGGTAAAAACAAAAACTAGTACTTCCCGTGTGAAGGGTCATTTGGCAATTCCTAGTGTCAGAAAAAAATTACAACAAATTTACTTACAGATCTAACTGGCGTTTATTCATAACTTATGAATGGGGCAGCCTCCATTCTACAAAACAGAATGAAAGCTCCCAATGAGAAACAGCAGAATAGTGGGTTTTGTAAGATGAGAGCAAGGAAACAAAACAATGAAAAATAACTGATTGGTTAACATCGGGTTACTTTTTTTTTAAGGGTTAAAGAAGAAGGGACTTCCTTATTATTCTGATTCAGACAGACTGGGATTTTCTGTTTTCAGGAAAAACTGGTCTGTAAAGTTTCCATGTAACTGTGTGGCACTTAATATATGTAACTACTTTGGTCTGCTAGGACCTAGTGCAGAAACTCAGTCCACAAACAATGACCCCCCATAATTTTGGTTTAACGTTAGCACAAGTCGCCAGGCGCGGTGGCTCACGCCGGTAATCCCAGCACTTTGGGAGGCTGAGGCGGGTGGATCACTTGAGGTCAGAGTTCAAGACTAGCCTGGCCAACATGGTGAAACCCCATCTGCACTAAAACTACAAAAATCAGCTTGGCATAGTGGCACATGCCCGTAGTCCCAGCTACTTGGGAGGCTGAGGTAGGAGAATTGCTTGAACCCAGGAGGCGGACGTTGCAGTGAGTCGAGATTGCGCCACTGAACTCCAGCCTGATGACAGAGCAAGACTATCTCAAAAAGGAAGAAAAGATAGTGAGATTCCCTTCTAGCAGTTCTAACACCAAACCACTGAAACAAATATATGAACTATACATCAAAAATATTCATCATGCACATGCCCATACCATGCTCTAGCCTTTAGGTTACTGATGCTTCCAGAGAATATAGGAATTCTATAAATCCTTAACCCTTCTTTGAATGAGGGCTAGCGCTTATAAATTAGCTAATAGTATGACAAATAAGAGCAATTTGAATTTTTCTTACAGAATAAAATATACAAATGGAAGAGTTATCTAATTCACCTATTGGGTAGTAGATAGAAATGGTGAATTCTCTTAAGCCACAGAAACAAGCTAGCACATTGTGTGATACACATTGTACAACACTGAGGGTAAGTCACAATTGTAGATAAGAATTGGTTAAGGGAGATGCTATAATTAGCAAGTGGTTAATGTTCTACTTCCCAAGTCCAAAAGGGGATACAATGGTTTTGTTGGTCCTCCAGCCCCTTTACTTTTAAGAGTAGTATTTTCTAACCATTCCAGGTTTCTCCAAAGCTCTGGATAAATTCTAGCAGAACCTAGCTGGCCGGGCATGGTGGCTCATACCTGTAATCCCAGCACTCTGGGAAGCTGAGGTGGGCGGATCACAAGGTCAGGAGATCGAGACCATGGTGAAACCCCGTCCCTACTAAAAATATTAAAAAATTAGCCAGGCGTGGCGGCGGGCGCCTACAGTCCCAGCTACTCGGGAGGCTGAGGCAGGAGAATGGCGGGAACCCGAGAGGCGGAGCTTGCAGTGAGCTGAGATGGCGCCACTGCACTCCAGCCTGGGCAACAGAGTGAGACTCCATCTCAAAACAAACAAACAAAAAAACCCCCAAAAACCCAGCAACACAGCAGTTATAAAGGATTAAACCTTAGCTCTAAACCACCTACCCTCAAATTGGTAGTAGGTATATACACTTTTCTGGAGTGCATACCAAACATTTTCTGCAGTCTGGGGAAAATGTTCTAAAATTTGTAAATGCCTTTCAAAATATAAGCCGGTATATTTACAGAATTTCCTTCAAACAAAATAAATTTACTGTATCATTCTGTAAAATGTCTGCAATCTCCAGCTTTTGTGCTAAAATTTAAAGTTGTAACATGTAAATATTTCTGTATTTTTGAATTACCTTCTATTGAAGGAACATGTAATATTAACATATTCACTAGGCCAAATCGGTGTTTTTGTATCTCTTTTTAACCACCAAGCAAATTTCTAGGCTGCTAGAATCAGCCTGTCAGTGGCAGAAGTTATGGTTAGAAATCCTCTCCTGTTCATTTTATAGATGGGAAAACTTAAGGAGCCATGAGGGGGTTCTGCAACTCACCAGTCACACAGTCAGTTAATGGCCAAGGAAAGAACCCATTCTCCCAAATGCCAACCCAGTACTCTCCACAGAATTAAGCTATATTAGCATCGTAAGCTAACAACTCTTTTCCTACATCCCTACTGTAAGCCCCAGTAAAATGAAGCTAAAGTATCTTTTCCCCCTCCTGATTATTGGGAAATCTGCATTACCTAAATGCCAGATGCCTTGGGATTTCAAAATAGAATTATCTTACTGAAGAGAGGGCTGGTTAATAGAATGGAATAATAAATGACTACTGCTGTGGCTTAGATTTTTAAGAGAGTCCTATTGCAGTCTGTCTACCATGACAATGACCTGCTTTGGTTTCCCTAAGAACACCCAAGAGGAGCAATGACAAAAGTACACATTTTTATTAATAGCTGAATTTTAAACAGCCAATGTGTGGAGGTTATTTACTAACCAACAGGAAACACCTGCAGCAGGCTGCATACTTATAGAGCAGCAAACTTAAGGGAAGTCTGTAAGGCTTTACTGTCTTCCTTTTCAAGTCTCTTCACTGCTATGCACAGTTGAGGGCATAACCTTAAAAGTCTGTAACATAACAAAAACATTTTAAACATCAAACATCGTGCTTTCCCCACTGTGGCACATTTTTAGAGTAAAGCATTTGGCCAACTGGATGTTACAGCATGATGCCCACTACATTATGTTTAAGCTTCCATTCCAGTTCTGAACCCACCAGACCCTTGGAGCAGCTGGAATTACCAAATCAACAGGGTATCAGTGTAACTCAATCCTACATGGAGCAAACAGACAAAGCAGTTAGTTCCTCAAACACCCAATTTACTTGACAGAATCAAAGACCAACTTTATAAGTTTAGAAGTTTTTAAAAGCAGATACACATTTAGAATTAAGCTAAATGTATATCCTCCGTGTTCCCCCATCCTCACCCTCAACTCTCACACACTCACCCCCTTGGTAGGAGAATGGTGAGAAGTGGATGAAACTTGATGCTTGACTACATGGCTCCAGTAATGCAGTGAAAAGACAAAAACACATCAACGTGACGTTCCAGGGAAATAAACGCGAAATCATGCATCCAACTGGCCACTAAGGGTTGGCTGTACAGAATTGTAGTATGCGTATGGAGAAAATGCTAACTGAACCTTTCTAAACAAATAAAAATATACACAATTATTTTTCCAATAGCTCAAGTATTGACTTATTTTATGGGCAGATGATACCAAACTAGCAAAAAGCTTTATGCTAAAAATGTGCCTTTGTGGGAAAACCAGCATGTTCGGTACTTAAAATATTTCCATTCTGAACTGAAGTCAGTGAATAGGCATGTCTTGCAACTTCATTTGCTTAGCAGGGTCTTGGTTTGATTTGTAAAAACTGGGACATAAAATGTTTTACTAGCACTTGCCACTTAAAGTCCTAAATTTGGTGTATTGTGACCGTTGACAAGTAGTAGCATTTCCCCCGCCCCCAAAAAATCACAATATCAATTCTGTGGATATTTTAAAAGTTTATTTCTATTTTAACTAGCCCACAGACCCCATTCTTTGAGGGCTGATCTGATTTCTGACAAATGGTCTATAGACCCTCCTCTCGGAAACTTCCAAAAAAGTCTGCACCTTCCATCATGATGCACATTTTAAGTTAAAATTGCCAATACAACCCTTAAAATGCAAGTTTATTGAATAAAGCTGAGAAGAGCAGTAAACAGACAAAAAATGCATCCACCTAAATAAAAAAATTCACATATTTACATAGTTCAGTAACTGTTAAAAGTTTTCACATGCAGAGGTTAATGCACAGGAAAATGTTGGTAATAGCGTCTGGATGTCTTGAAATGCGGAAAGCAATGTATAGACACACAAACACATTAAGGTTTAGCTATAGGTCAATTAACAAACCTATGCAGTCCCCACAGAGTCACACATTCTAGTTCCAATTCCTCCTTTTAGGCACAAGCAAGTTGCCACATTCTTTGTAATGGTTCACACTGACCATTAATGGTGTTGAACAACAGTAGCAAGTTTAAATATCCCTTCATTTACAGAACCATCCATCCCACCAGGGTAGTATGCAACATGCTTCAAAGAATAAGAAGAGAAATTTAAAAGCCCAGATTCTACTCATAAAAATATGAATGGAGAAAAGCAAGTAGTGTCTGTGCAACACAGTGCAGTATATTGTACAGAATATTTTTAAGGCCATGGCAGTCTATAAATTAAAACTGATATTCATTAAAAGAACTTACTGTTGACTACACTCTGAGTGCTCAACACATTTGGAAATGCAGTCTACATAAGTGCTGCTTAACAAAAGAAACAAAATCACACACAGTGTGAGGCAACACATAAGCAGGTGTACCATAGAGTTTTATCTACTACAGTGGTCTATATGAATAATAATTTACAAATGAACCAGTATTAATATGTCCCTTTATGTATACGGAAGTCGCTAAACTACAAAACATGTCCATTTGAAGTTTTTAGACATCTCTGTATCATAGAAGCAAACAAACAGCATCAGTTCCTCAGTTCTCTGTGTGACTGATTATTAAACAACCTGTAGACATTGAGCATGATTACATTAGATAAAGCAGGCAGGTCTAGAGTTGTCACAATAATCAAGATGTCTAATGGCACCAGTCAAAAGAGTGCCAAAGCTTACATCAGTAAGAGAGAAAAATAAAAATTTTTTATTTGTTTATAAGTATCTTTTGTGCTGAAAGTCAACTTTATGACTGGATATAAAAAGTCAGGAGTTAAGAGTGTCATGCAGCAGCACTGATTTAATGACTGGAGATAGAACAAACAGATGTTTGAACAAAGACTGACATTCTTAACAGGTTTTATTATATTGGGTGGAATGCTCTAAATTCATGAACGCTTTTGGAAAATCTTCAATTCTCAACCCCTTAAAAAAGTATCCTGAACCAGGAAGAAAAAACAAGAGACAGAAATAATGATCTGGACAGATACAAAACAGGATGCTTTAGTTCCTCCCATATCCCAACTGCCATCTGGTGATAGAGTTCTCAGAAAGCAGGATATCTTTAATATTCATCAGGCAGAATCTCACCAGTGCAAAGAACCAACATTGATCTGGTGCCTCCGCTCACTCTCTGCAGACCATTTTGGATTCCTAAGATGTAATTATACATTTCACATGCATTTGTGAGATAAAATAAACATTATGTTTACATATATCCCACATGAGTCATTCACGCCTAAAGGTTTTCTAAATACTGTGTGTGGCACTAGAAACTTCATGCTGTATCAAGTCAGTGTCAGTATTAAGCTACTGGACTCTATAATGAAATATTATAGATAGACATTTACTGAAAACCAATATAAAAATCTGGCCCAGAAAGACCAGAATGGAAATATGCAATTTTCTTGATTTAAGATGGTCATAAGTATATGGGGTTTTTTTTCTGTTTTTAAAGCTCTACACATGGTTTAAGACAGGTATGTGTAAGAAGCCTTTTTGTGTGTGCTGACTTTATCATGACAACTCTAGCTGATTCTTTATGAAGGATTAGGGATATTCATCTTCAGCAGTGCACATGAGAAATAAACTCTGAAAAAGGCAATTTCTGGGGTTTAGGAAGGACCGTATTCTGGGAATTACTTCAGAGGAACGGACAATAATTCTAGGATTATAGCCAAGAAGGACTGGAAGACTTCAGGAGATGCTTCAGCTTCTTCTAGATTTTGAATGCTGAATAAGCCACTGAAGTGTGATATCTAAAGATAGAGGGGAAAAGTGAAGACATTAAAGTTAAAAAACTAAACATCAAACAGAGACAATATTTAAAAGGCAGCTAATTCAAGGCACACACTATGCCTGACCTCTGCTGCTTTTCTGCATCTGCATTACCATACTCCATTACCCGAACTTCAAGAGAATATGAGGAATTATCAGAGACTGAAGCGTTTTCTGATTTAAAAATTAAGTTGTGTATAGGACGGCTGGTGCCACCTTTTATGTGTTGCCCACACAATCAATCAGGTGTTGCATGCAAATTGCCAGGAAGGCAAAAAAAAAAAAAAAAAAAAAGGAATAACCCCTGTTTGCCCTCAAGGCGCTTTTAAGTATAATACACAGAAAAGATGCAGTAATTCCCGGGGCTTGGGGGCCACCCCACAGAACTCCAGGTTAAAAAAAAAAAACAGCAAAAGAATGTTAAAAGGCATGAAACATTGTGGAGCTCTGGATGGATTGTGAGTGATACAATGTGACTAAAGCACAGGGATGGGAGAGGAGGCTGTCACTGCCAAGGCTGGTGCAGGGTTCACACCATGCCCTTTTGACATCTGGGGCTGGGTAATTCTTGTCCTCACTTCTTCAGAAGGGTACATGAGAGTCTATCAGAAGCACCACTCTATTCTCCAAGCCTGAAAGATGAGGGTAAATTCACTACCAGTTTCCCAGCTAACATGCATTAACGAAACACCACAGGGCTGAGCTATAACAAACATGAACTGTTCACCATTGTGGAAGCAATGATTTAACCCAACTACTGAAGAAGCACCTCTGCACCTTAAAATGGGGACAACAGTGCACAATACGAGCAAAGCCACACTCATTGGAACTGAATGGGAGAAAGGTAAATCTGAAGTGAAATAACCAAATTTAAATATTTAAGAAATTCATGGCCGGGCACGGTGGCTCACACCTGTAATCCCACACTTTGGGAGGCCGAGGCAGGTGATCACCTGAGGTCAGCAGTTTGAGACCAGCCTGGCCAACATGGTGAAACCCCATCTCTACTAAAAATACAAAAATTAGCCGAGCACGGCAGCGGGCGCCTGTAATCCCAGCTACTCGGGAGGCTGAGGCAGGAGATCACTTGAACCCAGGAGGCGGAGGTTGCAGTGAGCCAAAATTGCGCCACTGCACTCCAGCTGGGCCACAAGAGTGAAACTCCATCTCAAAAAAAAAAAAAAAGAAATTCACTAAAAAATTACACAAAGCCTCTGTGGATACTGATAGAAGTTCATATCCTAAAGACAAATGGATCTTTATGAATAGGCAAAAAGACAACAGAAATAAGATACTCAGATGAACTGATCTACAAAATACTTATTTCGAATTTTATTAGAGTGGATCTTATTAGACTGGATCAGATTCCTTGGGCTTGACAACCTTTTAAGTGAGCCAGGAGTTCTAAAATTACTACTGAGCTATTTAGCCAACTATAAAGATCAGCCTCAAATAGCGAAAGAAGTCCTCACAGCTCTACTGCACTTCCATATATGAGCCCAAGAGATTTTGTTTTTTTTTCAGGAAGTATCCAACTAGTTTGTAACAATGGAAAAACAGAAAACATGTAGGGAGTAATGGATTTACAAAATAGCACAATGGACTAAAAATTACGGTTAGTGTAGAACAGGATTTCTCAACCTTGCCACAACTGACATTTTATGCTGGATAATTCTTTGCTGTGGAGGTTATAGTATGTTTAGCTACATTTCTGGTATCTACCCACTAAATGCCAGCATCACCCTCCTAGTTATGACAACCAAAAATGTCTCCAGACATTGTCAAGTCTCCTGGGGGAAAAGCTCCCCATTGAGAACCACTGATGTAGAAATAAATGCTCTCATGGGGCATATCTTAAATTTTAAAAAGAGTTTTCCCCGCCACATAGAGAAAAAACTTTTAAATAAAGTCTAAGTAACCACAAGTGCTTGAGGAGTCTGTTCTCAAATAAATGCTCCCAATGTAACAAGTGAATTATTCTATCCATTTATAAAGGAAAATTTGTGTCTATCCGCTGTTACTAAGGCTGAGACTGCCCTGGATGGTCTTTAAAGGAAGCCCAAAATTAGCCAGAACGACTATCCACACTTTAAACTGAATAAAGCATATTTGTGGCTGGGCGTGGTGGCTCATGCCTGTCAATCTAAGCACTTTGGGAGGCTGAGGCAGGTGCATCACCTGAGGTCAGGAGTTCAAGACCAGCATGGCCAACATGATGAAACCCTGTCTCTACTAAAAATACAAAAATTAGCCAGGCGTGGTAGTGGGCAACTGTAATCCCAGCTACTCAGGAGGCTGAGGCACAAGAATCACTTGAACCCGGGAAGTGGAGGTTGCTGTGAGCTAAGATCTTGCCACTGCACTCCAGCCACGGCGACAGAGTGAGACTCCATCTTAAAAAAATAAAAATAAATAAAGCCATGTTTGCAGGCGGGGTGGAAGGTGAGTTAGGGAAGGATAGACTGGAATACAAAAGCTAAAGAAAAAATATCAGCATAAACTTTATAGATATACTATTCTGGTACTATTTATTACATTTTGTTCCAATACATTCATTTATCAAATCATCTCAAACCAAATTAGTTAAGAAACTAAAGTTGAGCCATACATACTTATTCTGTAACCATACTATGCTAGAATGTTTAATGTCCCCCTAAAAAGTCATGTCCATCCAGAACCTCAGAATGTGACTTTTACTGGAAATAGGGTCTCTGCAAGTTATTAGTTAAGATAAGGTCATACTGGATTAGGTGGGCCCTACCTAATCCAGTGACTTGCGTCCTTAGGAAAACATAATACACTGACACAGAGACAACTACAGGGGAGAAGCATGAATGTGAGGCAGAGACTGGAGTGGTATATCTACAAGTGAAGGAATGCCAAGGATTGCTGGCAACCACCACAAGCTAGAGAGAGGCAAGGAGGGATCTTCTACAGCCTTCAGAGAGAACACGACCCTGCTGACAACTTGATTTTGGACTTCCAGCCTCTAGAATTTTGAATGACTTAAGTTTCTGCTGTTCTAAGCCACCTTGTTTGTGGTACTTTGTTATGGCAGTTCTAAGAAGTTAATATGGGCATTGAGTAAATGAAGGGTATTTTGGGCATATAATTCCAATAGAGTGCTAACATATTGCAGTAATATACTGGTTCAATAACTGAAAAATTGTTGTAGTGCCTGTAGACTAATTTTTGTAAAGTCTTATTTCAAAAATGCCATTTTGTTATAAAGCACAGCGGGATACTAGCTCTGCAAAAATTAACACAATAAATTGGTATCACATAATCTTAACCTCACGACTTTATTGCATTTTCTTCTTTAAATAGCACAAAGAAGATTCAGGATGTTATACATTCAGTCCTCACTTAACATCACTGATAGGTTCTTGGAAACTGCCACTTTAAGTGAAATGGTGTATAACAAAACTATTTTTTTCTCATTAACATTGTAACGCTGAACGAAATGAGGGCCTACTGTATGTCATTTCGCTTAAAAGTGCAATTTCCTCTTTTTAAAAAATTTTTTGCTGTTCAAGAGTTTGATAACATATAGGCCGGGCTCACACCTGTAATCCCAACACTTTGGGGGGCCGAGGCAGTTGGATCATTTGAGGTCAGGAGTTCAAGACCAGCTTGGGCAACATGGAAACCCTGTCGCTACTGAAAATACAAAAATTAGCCGGGCGTGGTGGTGCACGTCTGTAGTCCCAGCTACTCAGGAGGCTGAGGCACAAGAATCGCTTTAACCCAGGAGGCAGAGGTTGCAGTAAGTCGAGATCACGCCACTGCACTCAAGCCTGGGTGAAGGAGTGACACTGTCTCAAAAAATACATATACATATAATATTATTTATATATATATATTTATGTTATATATAATATATATTTATATATATTATATATTACATATATATTACATATAATATATAATACATATTACATATATATTACATATAATATATAATACATATTACATATATTATATTATATATATATTTGTATGAGAGAGAGAGAGATAACATTGCAATTTCAAAGAAGCCATCAATGATGTTAAGTGAAGGTTCACTATATTTGTTGTCAAAAGGTATGTCTATTCTTTTTTCTCAGGCAAAAGCAACAGTATTCTGAAAAGGAAGTCACTTAATGAGAAATCGAGACAATAAGCTGTAAGAAGCATAGACATTCCTTCCAATGATACCCATTTCTTCCAAAATTACCAGTCATTTCTTACCTATATTATCCTTTTCTTTGCAAGAAATTGAATAGCAGCAAATTTCTCTATCCTGAATAGCAGACAGATTCCTATGAGAAGAATTAAAAGGATAAGTCTGTGCTTAGAACAGCTGTCATACTTATCACTTTGTTCAATTTTACTCATTAGTTTTATTACTATACTGAAGAAATCATCGTAGCAATCCTAAAATGTTAGGATTCACTTCTCTGATAGGCCAACTTTTATCTACCTAAAAAAAATGGCTATGATCATTAGGAATAACATAACAAGTGGGCAAAATATGGTAATTTAGAAGCAAATTATTAAAATAGCATATTCAAGACATACATTTTTTCAATTAGCTGTTTCTCATCCAAGGCATTAGGAAGATCTCTCTTGTTTCCAAGCACTAGCACCTTTAAAAAGAAAAGATATTAAGAGCACACGTTTATGCAAGAAAAAGTCACAGAAGTTTATCATCTTGATATGTGAAGACACAAAGTTAAGATGTTAACACATTCCACAATGTTAAGGCCTATTTGTGTAACTGGTGGCTTGTCTCATTCATTTCATTGCTCACACTTGTATTCACTCAACTCCCACCATGCAGGTGCTCTTAATTCAGTATGTGGCTGCCAACTGCTATGTAAAATAGTCTGAGTCTATGATACACATTCTGCTATTCTTTTTGTTTGTTTGTTTGTTTGTTTGTTTGTTTGAGACAGAGTCTCGCTCTGTCACCCAGGCTGGAGTGCAGCAGCCACTGGGCTCACTGCAAGCTCTGCCTCCCGGGTTCACGCCATTCTCCTGCCGTAGCTGGGACTACAGGCGCCCACCACCACGCCCAGCTGATTTTTTGTAGTAGAGACGGGGTTTCACCGCGTTAGCCAGGATGGTCTCGATCTCCTGACCTGGTGATCCGCCCATCTCGGCCTCCCAAAGTGCTGGGATTACAGGCATGAGCCACCGCGCCCGGCGGCATTCTGCTATTCTTAGTACAGGTTTACTATCCCTTATCCAAAATACCTGGGACCAGAAGTGTTTCGAATTTTGGAAATTTTTTGGATTTGCATTATATACTTACTGGTTGAGCATTCCTAATCCAAATGCAAATTCCTAAATGTATTCTAGAGACTGGCCTCTTCTCAGTTTCCCACTTCCTCCCACCCAAAGGCCTTTGCCTGGAACTCTCTTCCCCTCCAACTGTCATATACCTCACATTTGTATGTATCCCTTGGATCTCAGCTCAACCATTACTTCCTCGTGAATCCCTCCTTCTTCCCTCAAACTAGATCACATCTCCCCTCTAAATTACAACTCTCATATCCCCTTGCACCTTTCTTCCTAGCACTTAAAGCTGCATTATTCAAGTGTTTTCAGAGTATCTACCTTTCCCACTAAACCATAAGGTCCATGATGGCAAGGAGTATGTTTCTACTGATTTCCATTCATCACTATATCCCTGGGCCTACGCACTGCTCCTGCTGCATAGTAGTTTAGTAGATACGTGGTTATGAGATTCATATTTAGCACAATGCCCAGTATATGGCAGATACATGGTAAGCAAGTTTTCCAGATTTTAAAAATGAAGACATGTTACTGATTTCAAACATAATTAATATCACTGCATAATTACCATAATTAATATCATTATATAATTACAATGTAAAATAACAAGTATTCCATACTTACTGGAATTCCTTGTAACTGTGGTTTATCTAGAAGATTATGTAGCTCATTTCGGGAAGCTTCTATCTTTTCACGATCTGCAGCATCTATCATGTAACTTAAAAAAATGAAGTGATCTCAACATACCTTCTCTGTATGCCTTGATGATGACAACTAGTATTATTGATTTTTAATTTTTGTAAGATTTACATTATTGAAATTATTAACCAAAATAAACTATGTCATAAGAAAAGGCTCAGCACCCTTTAATACTTTTTAACTAGACTGTTTTTAGAGACTAATACATGATAGTAAAACATGTACACCCCTTAGCTCTTAGCTCCATAAACAAAAAACATAAAGATCTTATTCTATGATTAATTTTTTTTAAATCCCATGTTGGGAATTACACTAGGATATTAGCTAAGAAAGATTTTCACTGCCTGAGATAAAAATTGAGCCTCTGGAAATACTAAAATAAACTTTCTTCTTTGATGCCTACATTGATTTAAAAGCAAACAAACAAAAAAAAACCACTTACACAATAGCATTGACTCCTCTGCAATACCGCTCCCACATGCTTCGAAATCGGGGTTGTCCTCCTATGTCCCAGATCTTTAAATCAAAACAAGGCAATTCTTAATAAAGATATTTTAATTAAATGATTGCAAGAGGAAGTAACAGAAAAAAAGAAAGATCGGGAAGATATATTTATTTCTACAATGTTAGAGGCAAAGTGCTCCTGAAAGACTTGACCTCAAACAAGCTCTTAATATGGGAATTCTTGGGGCCACTTCTAAACTTGAAGTCCGTATTTAATACATTTACAATACATCTAAAATTTTGCTTAAGCAAAGATTTGGTTTATGTGCAATAGTTTGCCTGTTAACTAATATACTTCTATTATTGAAAACATATGTCTTTATGATAACAATTTAAAAGCTACAGGACCATGCACCATCCAGATTTGAATGCCAAGACAGAAAACAACAATTCAGAATCTATTAAGTCTTAATCGTCTGATTTGTTCTACATTAATGCCTAACCTTTTGAAATTATCCTGTAAATAAGTAGCCAACATTTCCACATAGGTGTTTTTCTTGTATAAAATTATTTTGGTCAGGCATGGTGGCTCACACCTATAATCCCAGCACTTTGGGAGGCCGAGGCGGGTGGATCACTTGGGGTCAGGAGTTCGAGACCAGCCTGGCCAACACAGTGAAACCTCATCTCTACTAAAAATACAAAAAATTAGCCAGGTGTGGTGGCAGGTGCCTGTAATATACTCGGGAGGCTGAGGCAGGAGAACCACTTGAACCTGGGAGTCGGAGGTTGCAGTGAGCCGAGATCACACCATTGCACTCCAAGCCTGGGCAACAAGAGTGAAACTCCATCTCAAAAAAATAAAATAAAATAAAATTATTTTATGCACATGAAAGCCACATCCATAATCATTTTATTATTGTGTCTACTCCGTAGGGCATCACACTAGACACTGGGCTACATTAAAGTCTCAAGTCACAGTATTAATCTTCAAGAGGCTTCCGGTTTAACTAAAGCACTGGTAACAAGCATAAAGAAACCTGCACTTGACTAAATCTGGAACTTCATTAGATGAGCCACAGAGAAAGTGAACAGCTTCTGTAAACCACAATAATTGGGCAAAATGGACATTAAGGCTCAGGCCATAGATTTGATTTTTGAAAAACAAAATAGATTAAAAATCTATTCTTGGCCAGGCGTGGTGGCTCACGCCTGGAATCCCAGCACTTTGGGGAGGCCGTAGCAGGCAGATCATTTGAGGTTAGGAGTTGAGACGAGCCTAACCAACATGGTGAAACCCTGTCTCTACTAAAAGTACAAAAAATTAGCTGGGTGTGGTGGCACAAGCCTGTCATCTTAGCTATTTTGGAGGCTGAGGCAGGAGAATCACTTGAACCGGGAGGTAGAGGTTGCAGTGAGTGGAGATCGCGACACTGCACTCCAGCCTGGGTGAAAGAGCAAAACTCTGTTTCCAAAAAAAAAACAAAAAAACAACAACAAAAAAACCTATTCTTTTGAAACATGCACATTCATTACTGAAAAACTGCAAATTTTCAGTAAAAACACAGAAATTTAACAGAAAAATTTCTAGGGGTCTGTGCTAACAATTTAAATTGCGTACGGCAAGAAATAACTTACCTTTATTGTGACGTTACCTTTAGTTACCTTCCTCATGTTGAAGCCCACTGTGGGTATCATATCTTCACTGAATTGACCTGACTGAACAAAATAAAACATTTGAAGTTAGGCTACTCACTTATAATGACACTGCATAAACTTCTAATATCAACATTGCATTTGTAACCATTTTAGTAAATATTTTTTTACCATTGGTAACAATCTACTTTAAGAACATGTTCCTTATGGCCATAATTCTTGAAGAGATGCATTATTTTGTCCCAACAAAGATATATTCTTCCATCTAAAAAAGATATTTTTGAAACTAATGTAATTTTTTACATATTTCCTTATGCTAAAAGAATTTTATATGACAAATACATACGAAAATTTTTAAATGTGTTCACCTAGATGTACATTTCCACAAAGTAGATGAGATCAGAAATAAAACTTTCAGCATTTAAATTATTCTGACAGTAACTATTAAAATTCACTGCTAAACAGCATTTCCAAGTCTGTCTTTTAATAAGGCTTATAAAATATTTTGTCATACAGAAGTTTTTCCTTTTATGTAATCAATTTTGTTCTCTTTTTGGTTACTTATCTCAATGTCATGAGTATTGTCTGCTATGGCCTTATGCTAGCCACATACACATGTATTCCAAAATTGTCTTAAATCTTGAGCACAACGAATTCCAACTGTACAAATAACTTCCTATACAGAACTCGAATTGTGCCTCTTTTAACTGTTCAGTGGAGTTTTATTAACTTCAGAAAAAATGTTAACACAGCCATAGTCACTACTTTCACTTATATAAGACATTATAATTCTCAGGACTTTCACATATGTGATTATATGTGAAAATCTAGTCATTCTATCTAAACTAGTTATATCAAAAGTAAGCCATGATAAAAGATAAATGGCCAATGAACTCATGAAAAGACGTTCGACTCACTAATCATTAGGGAAATGCAAATCAAACCCACAAAGAGATACCACCTAACATCCAGTAGGATGGCTACTATTAAGAGGAAAAGAAAAAAAACAGAAAGCACTGGAAAGAATGCAGAGAAATAGGAACTCTTGTATACTGCTGGCAGGAAGGCAAAATGGTATAGCTGCTATGAAAAATGGTATAGCAGTTCCTGAAAAACCTAAAAATAGAATTATCATATGATCCAGCAATTCAACTTCTGAATATACACTCAAAAGAAATGAAGACATTTTGCTAAATGAAATGAGCCAGAAGTCTCACACACTCACACACACACACACACACACACACACACACACACACAAACACTGTATTTCACTTTATGAGGTACCTAAAATAGTCAAATTCATAAAGACAGAAGATATTAATTTGCTTAATGGGTATGGAGTTTCAGTTTGAAAAGATAACAAATTTCTAGAAGTGGACAGTGGTGATGGTTACACAATGTGAATGTACTTAACACTACTGAATTGCACACTTAAAAATGACTAAGATGATACTTTGTGTTTTATGTATTTTACCAAAATTTTTAAAAAACTAGTCATCATACAGGGAGGGACAATTATCATTATCATTTCATAGAACAGGTAGTAGAGTCCCAAGGTCACATGGCTAAATCGTGATTATATTTTTCTTAAATATTTTCATTGTAATTATATTTATTGTGATAGGCTTTAATCTCTGAGGAGAGATCTACGTGAGATAATGCTCATTTATTTCATATCATTAAGTGTTTTACATAATGAAGAGGCAGGAAAAATAGTAGCTAAAATTTTTAGGTACCAAACTTTACAACTAGCTTGCATGGAAAGCTTTCTAAAAGGCAATATACACTTGGCTAACTTCCCACAAACAACCTATAGAACATGATTTAATGTGTTCTCAATGTTTCTGGGTCAGTTTATCTATTGCAAAACAAGAAAACTAAATTAGATAACACTCAAGGGCCCTCCCTATTGGAGGTAAAGTTTTATGATTATGAACATCAACTACAGCACTTCATAATAAAATAATGTAGGGGGCTGCAGTATACTGGGGTACCCCCGAGCTTTCTCAGGGGTTCATTTATCTCTTTTCTTTACCTTGGCCAACCCTAACAACTTTCCTGTAACTCAGCTGCTACTGCTAACATGCAAAAACCGAAAATTAGCTAATCAAGTCCTTGAGTTTTTACTCCAAAATTCTTGAGTAGAGCAAGATATTCAATAAATATTTGTTGAACAAACTAAGAGTTATTAGGGCCAGGCATAGTGGCTCAAGCTTGTAATTCCAGCACTTTGGGAGGCTGAGACAGGCAGGTTGCTGCGGCCCAGGAGTTCAAGACTAGCCTGGGTGACACGGCAAAACCTTCTCTCTACAAATACAAAAATTAGCCAGGCATGGTTATATGCACCTGTAGTCCCAGCTACTAGGGAGGCTGAGGTGGGAGGATTGCTTGAGCCTGGGAGGTGGAGGTTGAGATCTTAAGAACGATATGACTTTAAGACAAGATTGTGCCACTGTACTCCAGCCTAGACAATAGAGTGAGAGCATGTCTCAAAAAAAACATAGGCCATGAAGGAGGAAAATGCTGGAACTCTTCTGCCAATAAAGTGCTTAACTTTGATGCATGAATTTTGTGCAATAATTACTTTATGGACCTGGAAGTATTTTCTACTTCTTTCCTAGTGTCCAATCTTAATCATCACTTTTCAAAGCTTGTGTTGAACAACTATAACCACTCAGTTGGCAACTGGGCACTAGATACCTGAGAATTTATGTCTGAGCTGTCAAGAAGCTGCTTAATTAAGACTACAGGTTTGGGAAACAGATGTTTAGAAAATACTACTTAGTAGTATATCATTCTACTTATTTTAACAAATTTAACAAACACGTAATACTAAGCACTTAACATTCATCAGCATAGTTTAATCCTTATAACAACCCAATGAAATGAGTAGCATTATCTTCATTTCTCAGATGAGAAAAACAAGGCAAAGTCAGCTTAAGTCACTTGCCTAAAGTCACATTGTTCTTAAGATCTGGATAATTATGAGTTAATCTGACTTGGGGGGGAAAGAGTAGAAAAATAAAAGTAAGTAGTCCCTCCTTATCCTTGGGGGATACGTTCCAAGAACCCCAGTGGATGCCTGACATCACAGATAGAACCTAACCCTATGTACACTATGTTTTTCCCAATACATACATACCTATGATAAAGCTTAATTTATAAATTAGGCACAGTACTCTTCTGCTTTAGAGTCATTATTATTTCAGAGGTTGATCATAGGTAACTGAAACTGGAAAGCAAAACCATGGATAAGAGGGACTACTGTATGCTTTCATGCCTGCCTTCTTAAATGCCATGATCACACGTGGCACTCGCTGTGATTCTGTGATGGCAGATGGAGCTGTCACTGTCATAATGCTTACCCTCCTATAAGCCAAAGTTGCAAGGCAGTGTACCTGGAACTTGGTTGAACAAAATAAATCTGAAGCAAAATAAGATGGTGAAAAGAAGATTATTCTCAAAGTCAGGGAATCTTATTAACAATTATGCTACTTACTAACTAGATGCAAGTCATGTGACCTTGGGATTCAGCTTCCTTATCTAGAAAAAGGAAATTGGAAGAGTATCTCCAGTCACTTCCAGCCCTAACGTTTATGGTTTTATGTTCTATTCATAGGCCGTTCATTTAAAATACAGGTAAGCAAGGAGATGAATGCTACAACAGCAGAAAAATGTGGCTTTTCCCAAATTCATTAGCATACCAAAGGCTAAAGCAGACCTTGTCCTAGAAAGTTCTATCAGTGCCAACACTCCACTTTGCAGCACTTACCTACATTTTCTACTAGAGATCTCAGAAATGAGACAAATGGAAAATGGTGAAGAACGTACAGACAGCAACCAAAGTTAACAGCAGGAAGACTGAAGACATGAGGCGGTGAACCTCCAGTAATGAAAGGACACTTTACTAAAGATATCTTAAGACAGCTGGGCGCGGTGGCTCACACCTGTAATCCCAGCACTTTGGGAGGCCAAGGCAGGTGGATTGCCTGAGCTCAGGAGTTCAAGACCAGTCTGGGCAACATGGTGAAACCCTGCCTCTACTAAAATATAAAAAATTAGCCAGGCATGGTGGGGCTTGCCTGTAGTCCCAGCTACTCCGGAAGCTGATGCAATCGCTTGAACCCAGGAGGCGGAGGTTGCAGTGAGCTGAGATGGCACCACTGCACTCCAGCCTGGGCCACAGAGCATTACCAAAAAAAAAAAAAAAAAAACGAAAGATACCAGCCAGGCGCAGCAGCTCACACCTGTACTCCCAGCACTTTGGGAGGCCGAGGTGGGTGGATCACGAGGTCAAGAAATCAAGACCACCTGGGCCAACATAGTGAAACCCCGTCTGTACTAAAAATACAAAAATTAGCTGGGGGTGGTGGCGCGTGCCTGTAATCCCAACTACTTGGGAGGCTGAGGCAGGAGAATTGCTTGAACCCGGGAAGCGGAGGTTGCAGCGAGCCAAGATCACGCCACTGCACTCCAGTCTGGTGATAAAGCAAGACTCCGTCTCAAAAAAAAAAAAAAAAGATATCTTAAGACAATAGAAACGGGTGAGGGGGCGGGTGCAACTATTCTTTGTAAACAGGTTAATATACCAGAGATGTACTGTGCACTGACTACTTGTAAACAGTGATATCTGACACTGGAAAGAACACAGTGAAATCCTCTTCATATGTTCTAGTGCTTTCAAAGTAGAGTAGTACTAAATGGATTAGGTTAGATTTCACAATTGTTCTTTTAAATGAAGACATGCAGAAAGCAAGCTATTAACAACAGCATGGGAAATGAAGTTTCTCTTTGCTTGACCTGTCCATCTATAGCAGCGGTCCAATACAATACAATAAACTTGAAAAGACAAATAGAAAAATACCTACTTTAACAAATGTCTCATGGTTTTTTTCCTCTAAGAATCATTTTTTAAGGGTGTAGTTATCAAGCCACTTTGTGAAGACAGAATGAAATATGGAGCATGACAAAGCCTCATACTAGATTTTTTCCTTTGGTACAGTACAGAAGAAGCTACTTTTCACATGCTAAACAGAGTGGTCTTTTCTTTCTTTTTAAAACAAAACACACTAGGACTCAATTGTTTAATTCCAAAATTCACACACTGGGCAAACGAGAGGATATGACCAACTAAATACCCAAATTAGTCATTTTTCCTTCTAAGAACTTTTAATTCCTATATGAAGTCACTATAATTACCAATACTCATTTTTCAAATTAGTATTATGCTTTCTGTATTTCTGTAGTAAGTAGAATTTTTTATTTCAATTTACATTAGTAAGAAAAAGAATTACAAACAATTTTTTTTTTGCTAGCAAAGTACTTAAAAGGAAGGTAATAAGATACTCGTCTAGGGGGAAATTTTGATGAAGAGCAAGAAGTTTCACAGTCTGAAAGTGTATCCCCACAAACTGATCATTAGCTGCAAGATGGGGAAAACTAGTATTATACAATGGAGAAATCAGGCAACACTTTGTGTGATTAAAATTAGTATCTCAATGATGCTCAGATTAACATCATGTGCCTACAGACACCATACCATTAGAAGGACACAATATCCCCTATGTAGTATTCCAGCTGAGAATATATAACAGAATCTAATCATCAGACAAACCCAAAACGAGGAACACTCTATTTAAAAGAAGGGTTATGTGTGAATTTTTCAAAAATGTCAATGCCAGAAAAAGAAAAGCTGTAGAAATGTTTCAGACTAACAGAGGCTAAAGAGACATGACAATTAAAAGCAGTACATGATCCTAGACTGCATCCAAAAGGTACCTGATCCTAGTTGGATCCAGTACTGAAGGACAAAAATGGCAACAAATGATATTATTGGGTCAACTGACAAAAATGGAATAGGTAAAATCTATGATGTATCAACTTTTAAATGTACTAAAGTTGGTAACTTAACTATACTCATGTAAAAGAACATCCCTAATCTTAGAAACTACATACTTAGAAAACAAGGGCCTCACCCTCCGATGTTTCAGAAAATTGAATGCTGTAAGGTGATACAAATACACATCAGAAAGCAAATGAGGTAAAATGTTAACCACAGTTTGATCCTAGAAAGGGGTATGAGTGCTGTTTGCAATGCATTTATTTCTGCAACTTTTCTATAAATTTTAAATAATTTCCAAATAAAACAAATTTTAAATAGAAATAATCAAATACTACCTCATTCTTTATTATATCAAGTGCATCTCAAAACAGAAGACAAATCAGTCATGCCACTACCACCTATTACCTACTACAGTAATAATAATAGTAAAATTCATGAACAGAATCAATCATAAAGAATTCTGACAATTAGTTCAGGAAAAAGTAGAAGAGTTATAACTAAAGTTAACCCTTGAACTACACAGGTTTGAAGTGCATATGGGTCCACTTACACATGGATTTTTTCCAAACAAATGCAGATCAAAAATACAGTATTCATGGAATTCAAACACCTAATATATAGGGGGTGGGGAACAACTTTTCATATGTGCAGGGCCGACTGCGGGACTTGAATACGTACAGATTTTGATATACAGAGGGGGTCCTGGAACCAATCCCCCGCATCTACCGAGGGACAAAGTATAATAATATTCTATTCTTTATCTTCCTCTTCTTTACAATATTTATTGCAAACACATACATGATATTCAAATATGATATTCCCTTTACAGCACTCTCTCTTTTTTTCTCCCAAGACGGAGTTTTGCTCCTGTCGCCCAGGATGAAGTGCAATGGCACGATCTCGGCTCACTGCAACCTCTGCCTCCCGGGTTCAAGCAATTCTCCTGCCTCAGCCTCCCGAGTAGCTGGGATTACACGCGCGTGCCACCATGCAGAGCTAATTTTTGTATTTTTAGTAGAGACGGGGTTTCGCCATGTTGGCCAGGCTGGTCTTGAACTCCTGACCTCAGGTGATCCACCCACCTCGGCCTCCCCAAAGTGCTGGGGTTACAGGCATGAGCCATGGCACCCAGCAGCAGTCTTTTTAAAGTGCTAGAAAATATGTTCATAATCATTCACTACAGTAACATTTCAAGAATCATATATACAATGTTCATTTTCTCCCAATTTCAGAACACTATGGACAATCCTTAAATAATTTTGCAAAGATCAATAATTTGATCTGTTTTATATGCAAATTTGGATTTACTTCCAACCACAGACATAATTCCTTCCCAAAGGATTTTAGTTAAAAAGTACATGTTAAAAGATTCAGCGATATTAATACAGAAGCAGAAAACCAAAAACTGCATATTCTTACTTATAAGTGGGAGCTGGTCAGGCGTGGTGGCTCACACCTGTAATCACAGCACTTTTCGAGGCTGAGGCGGGCGGATCACCTGAGGTCAAGAGTTCGAGACCAGCCTGGCCAACATAGCGAAACCTTGTCTTTACTAAAAATAAAAAATTAGCTGGGTGTGGTGGCACACACCTGTAGTCACAGCTACTTCAGAGGTGGAGGTAGGAGAATCACTTCAACCAGGGAAGCGGAGGTTGCAGTGAGCTGAAATCACGCCACTGCACTCCAGCCTGGGTGACACAGCAAGACTCCGTCTCAAAAAAAAAAAAAAAAAAGTGGGAGCTAAACACTGAGTACACACAGACATAAAGATAGGCCCAACAAACATGGGAGACTCCAAAAAGTGGGGAGAGAGTAAGGACTGAAAAACTATCTATTGGGTACTGTGCTCACTATTTGGGTGACAAGATCAGTAGAAGCCCAAACCTCAGCATCACAAAATATACCCATGGAACAGACCCGCCCATGTTCCACTGAATCCATAGTAAAAATAAAAGATTCATTTGGGCAGTTAAGTCTTATTACTAAAGAATAAAGTTTCTCAAAACTTCAATGGATTTATTTTTGTTTCTAAAGAAAGTGCTCTTCTGTAATTATCACAGTGAATTAAGTAGCGTGCAAAAATTTTAAACTAATACTTCAAAATTCCTTAGTGATATAATTAATTAAGGCTTCTTTTACCTGATGGCCCAAATTCTCCCCATGGGCCAACATCCCAGATAAACAAAAAACTCAGAAATTATTTTTCTGAAGCAAATCAAATAAAACCTTCTACAAAGTCATAACATTCCAAGATTATCATTTCAAAACTGACACAATGTACAACAATACAGACTCAAACAAATCTAACTCTTCCAAAAACACTAGCCAGAAAGATAAAGGCAACCCTAGATTCTTCTAAGAACAGGCACCCTGCGTAGACTGTGGCCTGCATGCCAACATTTCATCTAGCTTACTAATCCAAATGGACTGACTGTGGCTCCAACCTGAGGTCAATGAGTGACATTCTCTTTCATCTGTGGCATCTGCATAGATGAAGAAGTGGCTATAGCTCTCATACTATGCATTTATGAACTCTGGCTCTAGTTATTCTAAGGCAGACAGGCCAATTGTAAAAGACTGCTACACAAATGATCCAGTCCAGTGATGAGCAGCTGATTTACACAGATGCATTTTGTGTGCCTTGACAGCATACACAGATAACGAATCTATAGCAAACTGATTTACAAACACCTATTGCTGTTCACTTTTTCCTGCGGTCTTATAAACCCTTAAAGCTACTTGTCTCTGCCTCTATGTACTCACTTAGCCATCAGTCAGTAATTCAACAATAAAAAGAAGAGAAACTAGGAAACAAACATACAAATATCACCCAATAAATATATGCTATGCAAAACAGAGGAGACTGTATGAGGTGATTGAGTATCCAAGAAGGCCTTTCTTGAAGTAGTGACATTTAAGCCCCTAAGGACTAACTTAAATCAACACATAACAATAGGAATGTTTCTGCAGAGTGCCTACCCACTGTGCTACTTGAAAATGAGTCAAGAAATCTAAATTTCAGTCCTAGCTATGTCACTTTTGATTATATTAGATACAGAGAACTCTAAACCCTCTTACTCAATCAGAATGCAGAGGTGTTGTCTCCTTTCTCCTTACTGCCACTTCTCCTAAGTGCCTATACTAGCTCAAACCTCAAGTGTTTACTGCTGGCTTTGCTTCTTTTCTTCTTTCCTGCTCCCGAACAGCTAGCCTTTAGATGAGGCAAACAAACAGACCCACTCAAACCCTTAAGATGAAATATTTAACTCTTAACTGCTGTGCTGTTTTTTGCAAACCACTCAAACATTGCCTCTCTGATGTCAGTGGGGCTCTTGATACACTTCAGACTGAGGACCACACCTTAAGGCAAGACTGCAAGTTTCAGTGTTAATATTGCTGGGTTTTTGTTTTGTCTTTTTTTGATGTTGCTGAGTTTATGGTAATCTGGCAAACAATCAGATTTGCCTTATGGGACAGGGGCTGAATCATTTATTTTTTCAAGATAACTAGTGGTAAAGGCTGGTACAGTGCCTCACCCCTGTAATCCCCGGCCGTGGGAGGCCAAAGTGGGTGGATTGCTTGAAACCAGCCTGGATAACAAAGCAAGACCCCATCTCTACAAAAAATACAAACATTTGCCAGGTGTGATGGGGCATGCCTGCGGTCCCAAGCTACTTGGAAGGCTGAGGTGGGAAGATGGCTTGAGCCTGGAAGGCAGAGGTTAGAGTGAGCTGAGATGGTGCCACTGCACTCTACCCTGGAGGACAGACACCTGGGGGACAAAGCCAGACTCTGTCTCAAAAAAACACTAGTGGCAAGTTTTATTTATCCTGTCAGGATCTATAACATCCCAAATAGTAGCAACATGGATTTTTAAATAGTTCTTTTTGAATGGGAACAACGAAACTCAGTGAAAAACTCATTACATTTTCTTCAGCATTATGCTATGAAAATTGAATACAGCAGATAAAAATTCTCTAGAAAATTAATTGTTTTTATTACAGGGGATCAACTGGTCATATCACATCTAGATAACTTTTTATAAAGCGTAATGGCATAGGAACTCTCCAACTAATTACATGCTGTCGTTCCAATTCTAAAATTCTAACTCACTTGAAACAACTAACTCTACTGCCTGTTAATACAAAGGGAGCTACTCTGCAGCAACTTCCTTTACAAAGACAACCCTAGAGGATTAAAATGTTCTCCAAACCACAATTTCAATTAGGAGCCTGAAAACTCATTCTTGCTTACCTCTACTCCTGAAAAATAGTCATTTTAAAAGGTCTCTAAAGATTATTTCATATGATCACTCTACCTTTCATTAACAGCATTCTAATAACGGTGCTACTAAATCCATATCCAAAAAACTGCTGAATAAAAATTCAACTTGCTTGTCTGTGATTAGTTTGCTAGTGAGTATCCCTTGTCAACCAACCAGCAGTTTCACTCAAATATTCAGAAACATTGATGAGCCAACAGCAACATAAAAAGGGACACTAAAAGAAATCTTAGTGCTAGAGAGCTCAAGCAAATAACACTTTTTGTCAACTTGTGAAGTCACTAAAGTTATCTGGATATATTTCCCATGAAAATCAAAGGTCGGCCATAATCCTTAATAAACACC
Organism: Homo sapiens; assembly: GCF_000001405.40. Classification (NCBI taxonomy): domain Eukaryota; kingdom Metazoa; phylum Chordata; class Mammalia; order Primates; family Hominidae; genus Homo; species Homo sapiens. The sequence continues at coordinate 5,160,093 of NC_000003.12, read as the reverse complement.
TGCATTTTTATATAAAAAGATGATTACCGTTCACATGCAGGCTGTGTGGGGTTCTTAAGTAGGGAGCATGAGTGTTGAGGTTATTAGTATACCAGTCACATTTTCAGGCCTTGATACTATTGTCCTGGTTGGTCTCTAAACATCTGTACTACTTTTTGAATGTTTGCGTTTCTAACATAAAAACTTTTTAAAATTAAGAAAATAACTTTATTTAGAAGTTTATTTTCTTCTTTCTTGGGAAAACTGGGTATTTTGGGAACTAAAATGAGAAAAAGACTTGTCATTGTGTGCCCTTCTATGAGTACAAATGCTGCTTGTTCATAAAAAAAAACTGTAAAAAAGTTTCTTTCTAAATCTATTTCTAGGTTTCTATTACTGAACTTAAAAAGGGGGATTTCTAGAGCTACCCAAATGATCTTAGTAAGATATGTATGTAACAAAAATCCTTCAGTCTTTTTTCTTTTTCTCTTTTTTTTTTTTTTTTTTTTTTTGAGACGGAGTTTCATTCTTGTTGCCCAGGCTAGAGTGCAATGGCGCGATCTCAGCTCACCCCAAACTCCACCTCCCAGGTTCAAGGGATTCTCCTGCCTCAGCCTCCCAAGTAGCTGGAATTACAGGCATGCACCACCACACCCAGCTAATTTTGTATTTTCAGTAGAGACAGGGTTTCTCCATATTGGTCAGGCTGGTCTTGAACTCCCAACCTCAGGTGATCCACCCACCTCGGCCTCCCAAAGTGCTGGGATTACAGGCATGAGCCACCGCACCTGGCATTTTTTTTTTTTTTTTTTTTTTTGAGACAGAGTCACTCTGTCACCCAAGCTGGAGTACACTGATGCGATCGTGGCTCACCGCAGCCTCAACCTCCCGGGCTCGGGGGATCCTCCCTCCTCAGCCTCCCAAGTAACTGGGACTACAGGCACACACTACCACGTCTGGCTCACTTTTGTATTTTGTACCAAAAATACAAAATTTGAGCCAGGCGTGGTGGTGCATGCCCGCATGTAGGGTTTTGCCATGTTGCCCAGGCTGGTCTCGAACTCCTGCGCTCAAGTGATCCTCCAACCTTGGCCTCCCAAAGTGCTGGGGTTACAGGCATGAGCCACCATGCATTGCTGTCCTTCAGTTTTAGAAAAACAAATAAATCCCTTACGGAGGAAGACTTCAGCATATACTACAAATTTGTAAGCCATAAACAACAGAATGAATTTCATATTCATTAAAATTTAAAAAGCCTAATCTTTATCAAGACCTATTAAAGTAAGACAGAATCAAGGGACTAATAAAATGAAATTTTAAATGTCATTTATAAAGCCTACTAAAACAGTAGTCACATAACTGATAAACAACCATTTCGGTATAACATAAAGAGTTTCAGTGGCTCTCGAATTACTCTAAGAGACCCTGTTCATTTTTTCAGGTAATAAATGTTAAAACAATGATATACAGGCAGTGTTATTCTGGTGGTTATAACGGACCCTGGAGACAGTCACACTAGGTAACAACTCTGACGTTACCTCTTGCCTATCAGTGTGCCCTTCTTACACATTCCTTAACTTTGTAATGCCTTACTTTGCCCAAATATAAAATGGAGATAACCACAGTCTCTACCTCACAGAGCTGTTTAAAAGTAAAATGAATTAAAACACATACAGCATTTTGAACAGTGCTTGGTACAGGGAAAGCATTCAATGTTTGCTACCATCACCCACGGTCCATGAAACGTGACATTACCTGTTCCTTCCACTGAATACCATTACCTGTTCCTTCCACTGAATACAACTAAAACCCTGGACAGAATGCATGCCCCAGGCTGGGCGCGTGGCTCACACGTGTAATCCCAGTACTTTGGGAGGCCAAGGTGGGAAGATTACTTGAGGTCATAATTTCAAGACCAGCCTGGCCAACATAGTGAAACCCTACCTCTACTAAAAATACAGAAATGAGCCGGGAGTGGTGGCAAAGTGGTGAGCACCTGTGATCCTAGCTACTTTGGAGGCTGAGGCAGGACAATCATTTGAACCCAGGAGGCGGAGGCTGCAGTGAGCTGAGATCGCTCCATTGCACTCCAGCCTGGGCAACAGAGCAAGATTCCATCTCAAAATACATTAAAAAAAAAAACCTATCTGAGGACTCTGAAAAGTAAATGGTAGCAGATAGATTTGAGAAGGGAACTAGAACTTGAAGCACAATCTATCTGGTGCTCTTTCTTACTTTTGCTTGTTTTCTCCCAATCTTCCAGTCTGGATACAAAGGCAGCCCAATTTCTAGAAATGTATACCAGCCATGAAGAGATAAAGCTCCAAGAGGAGATTTCTCTTTCTGGTATAAGGTATGTGTGTGTATATGGGGGGCGATAAGGTTGGGAGTGTGAGGAATACAGAGTGGGAGAAATCCATTATTTCCACCCTCTCTCTTGCCATTGCAACCAGACAAAACCAAGCCTGGAAGCTGTGCACACTTAAGGCAGCTATGGACCAGCTGTACTTACGGAGAAGAAAATCCTCTCTGACCAGAAAACTGTGGTCTAACTTAAGTGCTTTGGGGAGGGGAGGGAGTAGAGTGGTATGGAGAAAGAACCTGTGTTGCTTTGGGGGTTTTTTTGTTTTGTTTGTTTTTTTGCGATTCCTTCTCCTACCTTGTGGCCCCTGAGACAGATTCAACTGAGGGAAAGGCAGGAGCCTCAAGCTTTCCAGGCTCAGGACCAGGAAGTGGGAGATGGGAGACTAAGACAGTATCAAGGAAACTCAGAAGGGAACGAACTGGAGTAATACATCTGATAAAGTTGTGTATGAACTCCTGGGCTCACCCCCAAGCTGTGACATATGGATCTGATCCCAACAGCACAAAGGCTTTGAGAACTAAACTATAAGGTAGACCACCACCCAAGTGCCTGGTTGACCCCTGTGTGGCACATAGCCAGAAATGACCCAAATAGCACCAGCAAGGCTTTGAAAACTAACATCATATTAGAACCAAAGCCCATAGAAGGTGGGTTGGATCTTGTGGCCTAAACTGAGTTAACTGTCTGCTATAACAAAACAAAATAACAAATCAATATTCTCCACAGGATTTAAACAAAACCTAGAATGTCGCAGTACTCGAAGTATCCAAAACAACTGAAAAATGAAGAAGAATAAAAGAAGAATCCAAAAGTATCCAAAATAACTGAACATATGAAGAATCATGGCTGGGCACAGTGACTGGCTCATGTCCGTAATCCTAGCATTTTGGGAGGCTGGGGGCGGGGAGGCAGGGACAGGGATCACTTGAGGTCAGGATTTCAAGACCAGCCTGGCCAACATGGTGAAATCCCATCTCTACTAAAAACACAAAAATTAGCTGGGTGTGGTGGCGCATGCCTGAAATCCCATTTGAGGCCGGGCATGGTGGCTCAGGCCTATAATACCAGCACTTTGGGAGGCCAAGGCGGGTGGATCACTTGAGGTCAGGAGTTGGAGACCAGCATGGCCAACATGGCAAAACCCCATCTCTACTGAAAATACAAAAATTCACTGGGCATGGTGGTGTGTGCCTGTAATCCCAGCTACTTGGAGGCTGAGGCAAGAGTATCGCTTGAACTTGGGAGGCAGAGGTTGCAGTGAGACAGGATCGTGCCACTGCACTCCAACCTGGGTGACAATGTGAGACTCCGTCTCAAAAAACAAAACCAAACAAACGAACAACTGAAAAAAAAAAAAAGGCAGTAAACTCTGGGGAAGGGGGAGAGTCTGATTTCCAGGGTTACAACATTATTAGATTCAAATTTCCAGTTTTCAACAAAAAAAAATCACAAAGCATAAAAGAGACAGGGAAGTATGGTCCATTCAAAGGAAAAAAAATTAACCAACAGAAACTGACCCTGAGGAAGACCAGTAAACAATTATCTTAGGCCAAGTGCGGGGGCTGACGCCTATAATCCCAGCACTTTGGGAGGCTGAGGCAGGCAGATCACTTGAGGTCAGCAGTTTGAGACCAGCCTGGCTAACATAGTGTAACGCCATCTCTAACAAAAATACAAAAATTAGATGGGCATGGTGGTGCGCACCTGTAGTCTTGGCTACTAGGGGTGCTGAGGCTCAAGAATCACTTGAACCTAGGAGGCGGAGGTTGCCGTGAGCTGAGATCGCGCCACTGCACTCCAGCCTAGGTGACAGAGCAAGACCCTGTCTCAAAAACAAAAACAACACACACACACACACAAAAATTATCTTAAAGGTACTCAAAGAACAACAACAACAAAAAAAAAACACTGAGAAAAATGCAAGAAAACTATGTACGAACAAAATAGAAATACCAATAAAGAGGTAGAAAACCGAAAAAGATGCCAAAAAGAAAGTGTTCAGAGTTGAAAAGTACAATAAAGCAAATGCAAAATTTACTAGAGGAACACGAAGGCTGATTTGACCAGGCGGGGGTGGGGGGGCACGGGGAATCAACAAACCTGAGGATAGGACAAATGGAATTAATTATTCAGTCTGAGTCAGAGAAAGAAAAAAAAAATGAAGAAAAGTGAACAGAGCCCAGGGGACCTATGGGACACCATCAAGAAAGCCAACATGCACACTGTGGAAGTCCTAAAAGAAGACAGATAATAGGAGGCAGAGACATAATTTGAAGAAATAATGACCCAAAACTCCCCAAATTTGGTGAAAGACATGAACATAAACATCCAAGAAGCTCATCAAACTCCAAGTAGGATGAACTTAAAGAGATCTATACCAAGACAAATTATAAACATGCTATTAAAAGACAAAGACAGATATAATCTTGAAAGCAGCAAGAGGCAACTCATCAAATATAAATAATCAATAGTAGCAGCAGATTTATCAGAAACTTCAGAATTCAGAAGGCAATGGGCTAATATATTCAAAGTGCTAAATGAAAAAACAAAAACTGTTAACCGAGAATCCTATTTTCAGCTAAAACGTCCTTCAGAAGTTGGAGAAAAATTAAAACATTCCCAGATAAACAAAAGCTGAGGAAATTACTACTAGACCTGACCTGTAAGATAAAATAAAGGGAATTCTGCAGGTTGAAATGAAAGGATAGTAACTTGGGCCAAGCCCAGGAGCTCAGGCCTGTAATCCCAGCACTTTGGGAGGCTGAAGTGGGAGGATCACTTGAGGTCAGGAGTTCGAGACCAGCCTGGCCAACATAGTGAAAACACAAGTCTACTTTAAAAACAAACAAACAAACAAAAACAACCACAAAAATCCACCGGGCATGGTGGCATGCCCCTGTAATCCCAGCTACTCAGAAGGCTGAGACAGGAGAATCACATGAACCCCGGAGGCAGAGGTTGCAGTGAGCCAAGATCGTGCCACTGCACTCCAGCCCGGGCAACAGAGCAAGACTAATCATAGACAGAATGTAGAATAGTGGTTGCTAGGGTGGTGCTGGGGTGAATGAGGAGTTACTGTTTAATGGGTACAGAGTTTCAGTTCTACAAGATAAAAAGAGTTCCTGGAGATGGATAGCAGTAATGGTTGCATTCAATATGAAGGTACTTAACATCACTGAACACTTAAAAATCTTGAAGACACAACCTGGCCAACATAGTGAAGCCCCATCTCTACAAAAAAACAAAAATTAGCTGGGCATGGTAGTGGATGCCTATAGTCCCAGCTACTCGGGAGGCTGAGGCATGAGAATCACTTGAACCTGGAAGGCAGAGGTTGCACTGAGCCAAGATCGTACCAGTGCACTCCACCCTCGGGCAACACAGCGAGACCCTGTCTCAAAAAAAAAAAAAAGTTATTTTACCACAATAAAATTTTTTTTTAAAAAATGAACAAAACTGTGAAATGAACAGGATCTGTGGGACAATATAAAAAGGACTAACAGTCATGTCAAAGTCCTGGAATAAGAGAGAGAGTAATTCAGGAAAAAATACTTGAAAAAAATGACTGAAAATTTCCAAAATTTCCAAAGACAAAATTACAGTCAAGAAGTACAACAAACACTAAGCAGGGTAAGCAGAAAGAAATCCACATCCAGATATATCACAATTAAACTGCTATAACCAAAGACAAGAAAATATCTTAAAAGCAGCCAAAGAGAAATGATGCATGACATTAGAGAATAACAATTGAAATTACTACAAATTTCCCATCAGAAACAATCAAAGCATCTTCCGAAGTGCTGGAGGGGGAAAAAAAAAAAGACTATCAGTCTGAAATTCTATATTCAGCAAAAATATCTTTTAGGAATTAAGGTCATAAAGACATTCTCAGATGCAGGAAAACTAAACTAAACTAAAATCTGTAGCCAGCAGACGTGCTCTAAAAGAAATGTTAAAGGAAGTTCTCCAGGCATAAGAGAAACTACCAGAGGGAAAGGTGGGACTTCAAAAATGAAGAGAAATCAAAAGAAATGATAAATACCTGGGTAAATATAATAAACTCTTCTCCCCTTAAATACTTTAAAATGTTTGATGGCTGAAAGGAAAAAATTTTTTTTTCAAAGAATAGGTAAAATTCGACATTGGTGTCGTTTTCCATTTAGGTAGGTGTACGTATTAGTCCATTTTCACGCTACTGATAAACACATATCCAAGAGTGGGCAATTTACAAAAGAAAGAGGTTTAATGGATTTAACAGTTCCATGTGGCTGGGGAAGCCTCACAATCACGGTGGAAGGCAAGCAGGAGCAAGTCACTCTTACATGGATGGCAGCAGGCAAAGAGAGAGCTTGTGTAGAGAAACTCCCTTGTTTAAAACCATCAGATCTCATAAGATTAATTCACTATCAGGAAAACAGCGTGGGAAAGATCTGCCCCATAATTTAATCACCTCCCACCAGGTTCCTCCCATGACACATGGGAATTGTGGGACTTCAAAGAGGAGATTTGGGTGGGGACACTGCCAAGTCCTATCAGTATATTACCGATAATGACTACAATATAAAGGGGGGAAGGTAAAGGGGCCTCTACGTTGCTAAGGTTTCTACATTCTACATTAAGTGATATACATTAATTCTAAGTGGACTGGGAAATGCATACTTGTAAACTCTAGAAGAACCACTGCAAGGAACAGTCAAAACCCCAATAGAGAAATTAAAATTAATATAAAAACACTCCGCTGAAATCAGCAAAGGTAAAATAAGAACAAAACCAAAGGCACTGAACAGAAAACAAATAATTAAATGATTATTTGAACTAAATACTATGTTTAAACTAAGTCTTAAATATCAATAATTACATTAAAAGGCAATGGTCTAAACACATCAATGAAAAGACAGAAACTGTCAAAATGTATTTTTTTAAAAAGACCCAACCATATGTTGTCTTCAATAAACCCAGATTTTGTCTAGGCACAGTGGCTCATGCCTGTAATTCCAGCACTTTCAGAGGCCTAGGAAGGAGGATCACTTGAGGCTAGCAGTTCGAGACCAGCCTGAGCAACCTAGCAAGACTCTATCTCTACAAAAAATTTAAAAATTAGCTAGGTGTGGCGGCACGCGCCCTTAGTCCCAAGCTACTCAAATGGCTGAGGTGGGAGGATTGTTTAAGTCCAGGAGTTGGAGGTGGCAGTGAGCCTTGATCACATCACTGAATTCCAGCCTGGCAACAGAGCAAGAAGAAAGAAAAGAGGAAAGAAGAGAAACCCACTTTAATATAATTTAGGGAGAGGTAAGTTAGAAGTAAAAAGATAGAAAGACAAACACCATGCAACCACTTATCACAGAAAGCTGAAATAATTATTTTAATATCAGAAGAAAAAGCCGACTTCAAAGCAAGAAAATATACCAAGGATAAAGAGGGACATTACATAATAAAAGGATGAATTCACCAAGAAGAAGGTATAACATCCTAAATGAGTATGCACCTAACAAAACTTCAAAACACATAAAGCAAAAATTGATAGAATTGAAATAAACCCACAATTATAATTAGAGATTTCAACATTCCTCTCATGTTAATTGATAGGGAGAAAACCAGCAAGGATGTAGAACTTACCACAACAACCAACTGGATCTACCTCACAGTTACAGAACATTTCATTAAAAAAGAATACACATTCTTTTCAAATGCACATGGGAACATTCACTCAACCATATTCTGAGCCACAAATCAAAGCTTTGCCTGGGCACAATGGCTCATGCCTACAGTCTCGATACTTTGGGAGGCCAAGGTGGGAGGATTCAAGACTGGCCTAAGTTACATGGCAAGACTCGGTCTCTACAAAAAAATTATAAAAATTAGCCAGACGTGGTCGTGTGAGCCTGTGGTCCCAGGTACTCAAGAGGCTGAGGCTGACGTGGGTGGACTGCTTGAGCCTGGGAGGTTGAGGGTGCAGCCAGCCGTGATCACACACCACTGCAGCCCAGCCTGGAGGAAGACAGCAAGATCCTATCTCCAAGGGGGGGGGTGGGGGGAGAAAAGCTTCACAAATGTAAAAGGATTCAAGTCATACAAAAATCATACAAAGTATGTTCTTTCACCATAATGGAATTAAACTAGAAATAATTAATATAAAGCTATCTGGAAACAACCAAATACTTGGCTATATAATCTATTGGTCACAGAAGGAAGCCTCAAGGGAAAATAAAAACATGTTGAACTAAATGAGAAACATGTCAGAATTTGTATAATGCAGCTAATCAGTGCTCAGAAGAAAATTTATAGACTCAAATGCTTATATATTTTAGAGACAGGGTCTTGCTCTGTCGCCCAGGCTGGAGGGCAGTGACATAATCATAGCTCACTGCAGCCTCAGACTCCTGAGTTCAAGCAATTCTTCTACCTCATCCTCCCAAGTAGCTGGGACTACAGGCACACTTCACTATGCCCAGCTTCAAATGCTTATATTAGAAAAGAAGAAATGTCTCAAATTAACAATCTAAGCCCCCCATTTAAGAAATTAGAAAAAGAGCAAAATAAATCCAAAACAAGCAGAGGGCAATGGTAAGAGCAGTAAATAATACTGAACACAGAAAAACTTTGAAGCAAATCAATGAAACCAAAAGATCCTGATTCTCTAAAAAGATAATTAAAATTGATAAACAAAGGAAAATAAATAAAAATCACCAATATCAGTAAGGACATCACTACAGACTCCACCGACATTAAAAAAGATAAATAAGAGAATACTATAAACACGCTATGCTCATAAATTCAACAACTTTGATGAAATGAACCTATTTCTTGAAAATCACAAACTACCAAACACACTGGAAGAAAAAACGGCCCTCTCTCTACTGAAGAAATTGAATCACTAACTTCAAAGCTTCTTAAAAAGAAATCCCGGGACTAGAATTATTTTCCTGCTGAATTCTACCAACTATTTTATTTTATTTTATTTTATTTTGAGACAGAGTCTCACTCTATCACCCATGGTGGAGTGCAGTGGAGCAATCCTGGCTCACTGCAAGCTTCCCCTCCCGGGTTCAAGTGATTCTCCTGCCTCAGCCTCCTGAGTAGCTGGGATTACAGGCATGTGCCACCACGCCCAGCTAAGTTTTGTATTTTTAGTAGAGACAGGGTTTCACCATGTTGGCCAGGCTGGTCTTGAACTCCTGACCTCAAGTGATCTGCCCACCTTGGCCTACCAAAGTGCTGGGATTACAGATGTGAGCCACCATGCCTGGCTCCAAACTTTATTTATTTATTTATTTATTTATTTATTTTGACATGGATTCTCGCTCTGTCACCAAGGCTGGAGTGCAGTGGCAAGATCTCGGCTCACTGCAACCTCTGCCTCCTGGGTTCAAGCAATTCTCCTACCTCAGCCTCCTGAGTAGCTGGGATTACAGGCGTGTGCCACCACGCCTGGCTAATTTTTGTATTTTTAGTAGAGATGGGGTTTCACCATGTTAGTCAGGCTGGTCTTGAACTCTCAACCTCAGGTGATCCCCCTGCCTCAGCCTCCCGAAGTGCTGGGATTACAAGCGTAAGCCACCGTGCCCAGCCCTAATTCTACCAAACATTAAAGAATAACACGAATTCTACATAATCTCCAAAAACAGAAGAGGCACGAACACTTCCAAACTCATTTTATGAGCCCTGCATTACCCTCATAACAAAAAGTAGCTCACAATATTCAAAAGGACTGACACACTGTCCTAAAACAAGTACAATGATATAAGATACTTAACAGCAAGCAAGAGGGATATATCACTGCAGCTAGAATATTCATGCCAATCCACAGCAAAGTTCTACAAACTAAAGGATTTGTGCAATTGGGGTCAAGACCTTGACTAAAACATCTATCATGTGCTGAATGGTCTAAATTGTCAAGTTTGTCCAACCAAATGTGGTAGGGATTAGGGGTGTGAGAAAACATTTTAAATGGTCCATTTTCAAGTCATAATAAACCTAAGGACTGGCAGCCAGCCTGCGGATGTAACAAACTGCACAGCTCATGCACCTAGAAGGTCATGATAAGTGAACAGACTGTAGAAGAGGGGTCAGCCCATAAAAGGAAAGAAAGTTTCGTTATTGGGAAATCGAAACTTAAGTGGGGAAGGGGACGAGGATATAACCTTCTAAGGGTGATAATAAAACTTACACATCTGGGAAGATTGTAACTCCACAGTACTCAACCAATGAAGAACTGGGGGAGGGACTTGTGTGCTAGGAGATAAATTGCCTGTCGTAACTGCCCCAGGTGTGCCTGCCTACCACACACGGGATGGTGTCTCCAAGTCCATTTTTTGGGTTTGCATGGGTGAATGTGTGTTTCTCACAAACCTGGGGGCCCAACCAGGATCTCTGTGCCTGCATGGAGTGGAACTCCGGTCAAGGGGGAGACACATCCCATCAATTTAGGTGGCCTGCTCTGTCTGGGTATTCCAGCACCCGGCAGAGGCCATAGACAAACCCAAGACTGTTATTCCAGAGGCAGCAGAGACAACACAGGGAGAAAAGCACACACTGCAGCAACCAGGCAACCTTGTGCAGGAGCCCAGGTAGGAAAATTAGACTGTAAGTACTGCCTTAGTGGTTGGGCATTTTCAGAGGTCAAGTGTGTGCAACTGAGATGTATCTTAGATATGAAGCAAGTGCGGAGTCCCAATCCACGGTTCCGTTCTCCTGCGACGCAAACAGCCAGAGACGGACAAACCGATGCTCAGGGTGTGCAAGAAACCTCTAGTAGCGCGGGTCGAGTACACAGGGAAGAAAGCTCAGACATAGAGGCTGATCAAAAATGGGAAACAGAAATCCTAAACCTAGGGTACAAAGCAAAGAGGGAGCCAAAGAGACTCCCTCTGACATTCCCCCAGATAGTCCTTTGGGGAGAATGCTGAAGGTTTGAAGGGACAACCCTTGAACCAGGCAAAAGGAAAAGCAAAAGATAAGGCATCGCTGTTTTATCTGGCCCAAAGACCCTATTCATAAGCCTTCGATCTTTTTTGGCCTAAGTTTGGCTCAGATGAGGATTGGGTGTGCCAAGCTTTAATTCTCTATGTAAATGATAAAACTCCATCCTCACAAGAAGAGGTAGGTTACACTCTGCTGGATCAAAAAATTAGCTCCCATGTTCCCCCTCAAAGAAGAAGAAAAAGAACCTAATAAAAAGCCCTCACCCAGTGAAAGGCCCTGGAACCACCTATCACGCATGCCCCCTCCATACATCTCACAAAATAGTGGACAGGAAAATCAAGGGGCAGCAGGAGGGTTAGAGGAAGATAGACCTGGAGACCACAGGAGAGCCAAACCAACTGCTCCTTTAAATCCTTATCCAAATTTAAGAAAAGAATTAGAACAGTGTAAGAGGGATACTGAGAACTTCCCTATCCCTTCCACACAGCAGGCATCTAGCAATGTTCCCTCTTAGGGAAGCTCCCATGGGACACAGAGATATTGGCTTTGTAAATGCTCCTCTTACAAGTACTGAAGTTAAGAATTTCAAGAAGGAAATGAAATCACTCCTAGAGGATGCCCTCAGTTTAGCAGTCCAGCTGGACCAATTCGTAGGACCCAGCTTTTACACCTGGGCTGAAATGATATCTATCATGAATAGCCTATTCACAGGAGAAGAAAGGGGAATGATTAAGAGAGCAGCCATGACCATCTGGGAGAGGCAACACCCTCCTGGGCAAGAAGTCTTGCCAGCTGAACAAAAATCTCCAAACGTTGACCCCAAATGGGATAATAATAATCCCAGGGACCAAGCCCAAATGCAGGACCTCAGAGAATAATTAAAGGGATCAAAGAGTCCACTCCTAGGACACAAAATGTCTTAAAGGCATTCGAGATTCAACAAGAAAAAGAGAAAATTCCCTCCGCATTCCTGTAGAGGCTCAAAAATCACATGAGAAAATTAGATCCGGAGGACCCAGTAGGGCAAGGCCTTTTGAAGGCTAACTTTGTAACATAGAGCTGGCCTGACATTACAAAAAAATTAGACAAGATTGATGGATAGAATAAAAAACTGATTAAGGAATTATTCAGGGAAGCTCAGAAGGTCTTTGTAAGGACAGAGGAAGAGAAGCAAAAACAAAAAGCAAAAATCATGGTTTCCACTGTGGAAGAGGTAGTCAGAAAAACGTTAAATCAAAATCCCCCTCAAAGGAGAGAAGGGAATGATAGATTCTGACATAGAGAAAGAAGGGAAACGCAGGAAAAAGCTCCTAAGAGTGGATGTTACGAGTGTGGAAAGCCAGGGCATTTTAAGAGAATGTCCTGAATAGAAAAAAGAAGACCCCAATAGCAAAGACTTGGAACCAACCCAAATGTCCAACAATGATAGAATGGATTAAGAACACCATGGAATACTATGCAGCCATAAAAAAGGATGAGTTCATGTCCTTTGCAGGGACATGGATGAAGCTGGAAACCATCATTCTGAGCAAACTATCGCCAAGGACAGAAAACTAAACACTGCATGTTCTCACTCATAGGTGGGAACTGAACAATGAGAACACCTGGACACAGGGTGGGGAACATCACATACCAGGGCCTGTCGTGGGGTAGGAGGAGGCGGGGGATAGCATTAGGAGATATCCTAATGTAAATGACCGGTTAGTGGGTGCAGCACACCAACATGGCACATGTATACATATGTAACAAACCTGCATGTTGTGCACATGTACCCTAGAACTTAAAGTATAAATCAAAAAAAAAAAGAGGAAGAAAAGGTAATCCCCCTCATGACCATTAATGAAGACTATTGGGGTCAGAGGTTCCTTCTGAGTAGGTCCCACTAGGAACCCTTGATAAATTTGAAGGTGGGACCTGAGGAAAAAGAAGGGACATTTTTGGTTGATACTGGGGCGGCTTGCTCCTCCCTAATTCACCAAGGGGTACTGAACCAAGGAAAAATTGACAGTATCAGGGATTAAAAGGGAGAGATTTCAGGTTCCAATATTCAAGAAAATGTTAATTAGATTGGGACCAGAACGAACTGAGAGGTCACTCTTATATGTTCCCAAAGCAGAAACTAACCTCCTGGGTGGAGACCTGATTGTGAGATTGGGTTTAGAATTAGGAATACAGGCAGAACAATTAAAAGTCATAATGGGCCTCCTAATAAAGGAGGAAGAAAGACAAAATAATCCCTATGTGTCGATTAGAAAAAGGCAACAGCAGAGGGTTAAAAATCACACCCTTACAGACTGAACTAAAACAACCAGGAGAACTAGTTTGCAGAAAACAATATCCCATTTCTACTGAAGGGAGAAAAAGGCTCCAACCAGTAATAGAGGAATTAATTAAAGATGGACTATTAGAACCCTGCATGTCACCATACAATACTCCAATTCTCCCAGTCAAAAAGCCTGATGGGTCGTATAGATTGGTGCAAAATCTAAGGACTATAAATCAAATTGTCCAGACCTGCCACCCTGTGGTGCCCAACCCCTACACCCTCCTTAGTAAGATACCCTATGAACATAAGTGGTTCAGTGTGGTAGATCTAAAAGATGCATTCTGGGCATGTCCCCTAGACCTTAGGAGCAGGGACCTCTTTGCCTTTGAATGGGAAAATCCTACAACTGGGAGAAAACAACAATACCACTGTACTGTGCTGCAAGAAGGCTTCACGGAAGCCCCAAACTTATTTGGTCAAGTCTTAGAAAAAGTCCTGGAGGAATTCCAACCTTCCAGGGAAACCCAGTTGTTACAATATGTAAATGATCTTTTAATTTCTGGGGAGAGGAGAGCCAAGGTATCAGAAACCACTATAATAATTTCCTAGGAGAGAGGGGATTGCAAGTCTCTAAAAACAAACTGCAGTCTGTAGAAAAAGAAGTTAAATATTTAGGACACCTGATTAGTGAAGGAAAGAGAATAAACCCAGAGAGAATATCAGGAATAGAGGGGTCTACCTTTTCCTAAGACCAAGAGAGAACTCTGAAAATTTTTAGGTTTAACTGGCTGTTGTAGGTTATAGATTAAGTCATATGCTCAAAAGACAAAGATTGTGTATCTGAAACTACTAGAGGAGGAACCTGATTCCTTGCAATGGTCCCCAGAAGAAATTCAGGCAGTGAAAGAACTAAAACAGGCCCTCATTACAGCCCCGGCCCTAGTCCTCCCATCTTTAGAGAAACCATTCCATCTGTTTGTAACAGTAGACCAGGGCATGCCCCTTGCGGTGCTCACTCAAACCTGGGGAGGGAAGAGGCAACATATTGCTTTTGTCTCCAAGCTTCTTGATCCTGTCTCTCTCGGGTGGCCCGAATGTGTACAAGCAGTAGCTGCCACAGCCCTGCTGGTAGAGGAGAGTCGAAAGCTATCCTTTGGTGGGGCCCTAATAGTAAGCACCCCACACCAGGTCAGGAATATATTAAATCAAAAAGCCGGGAGATGGTTACTGGATTCTCAGATTCTAAAATATGAAGCCATATTACTAGAAAAAAAAGATTTGGTCGTAACAACAAATACTTGCCTGAATCCAGCCAGTTTCCTATACAAAGGAGAGAACAAAGAGCCATCAGACCATAACTGCTTAGATATCACTGAATACAAAATCAAAGCTAAACCTGACCTTAGGGAAGCTCCACAACATGATGGGATAAGGCTGTTTGTGGATGGGTTGTCCCAAGTGGATAGATGGCAAAGAGAGATAATGGTTATGCTATCACTGATGGAAATAAACACTCCTTATGTGAGAAAGGTAGATTACCTAATGGTTGGTTGGCCCAAACCTGTGAATTATATGCTTTTAACCAGGCGCTAAAGCTCCTTGAAGGCCAAGAAGGCACTATATTCACTAATTCTAAATATGCCTATGGGGTGGTACACACTTTTGGAAAAATCTGGACAGTGCAGGGCCTAATAAATAGCAGGGGAAAAGAATTGGTACATGGGGAACTGGTCAAACAGGTTTTAGAAAGCCTCCAGCTTCCAGCAGAGGTTGCCATAGTTCGCATAAATGGTCATCAGAAAGGTAACACTATAGAAGCTGTAGGAAACAAGCTTGCAGATAAAGCTGCTATGCAAGCCTCCCTGGAGGAAGAAATTAGACTATTTAGCCTGATCCCAGACATCCCTAAGGTAGTATTAAGGCCCCAGTTTACCAGAAAGGAGAAGGAAGAATTAGGATAGGGGTCACACAAACTGAAAACGGGAAGTGGGTACTTCCTGATGGGAGAGAAATAAGTAAACCCCTGATGAGAGAACTAACGTCTGTATTACACAAAGGGAGTCAATGGGGACCCCAGGCTCTGTGTAATACAATACATAGGAATGATGAGTGTATAGGGAGTTACACTTTTGCTAAACAAGTACGTGGAAGCTGTGTAACTTGTCAAAGGATAAACAAAAAGGTGATTAGAAAACAGGCCACAGGAGGAAGACCTCCCAGACTAAGACCATTTCAAAGCATTCAAATAAATTTCACAGAAATGCCCAAAGTAGGAAAACTAAAGTATTTACTGGTGATCAGAGATCACCTTTCTGGCTAGGTGGAAGTCTTTCCACTCCCAACAGCCACTGCTGGGAATGTGGTCAAAATAAAATTAGAACAGAATGTACCTAGATTTGGCCTGGTGGAAAATATTAATTCAGACAATGGGAGCCACTTTACCTCAAGGGTATTAAGGGGAATTATGGAAGGTTTACAAATTAGATGGGATTATCACACTCCTTGGTATCCCCCTTCCTCTAGAAAAGTAGAAAGAATGAATCAAACTCTCAAAAAGCATATCACCAAACTAATCTTAGAAACTAAAATGCCTTGAATGAAATGTCTCCCAATAGCACTCCTCAGAATTAGGACAGCCCCAAGAAAAGACTTGGGATTGTCCCCCTACGAGTTATTATATGGGCTCCCATATTTGGGCAGAGCTACAGATCTTCCTACTTTGGAAACCAAGGATCAATTCTTAAGAAATTATATACTGGCCATATCCTCTACCCTGTCATCCCTTAGGTTAAAAGGACTTCTGACTCAAACTCTTCCTCTTGAGTTCACAGTTCACCATTTCCACCCTGGTGACTTGGTGCTGATTAAGACTTGTTAAGAAGACAAGCTCCACCCAACCTGAGAAGGTCCCTATGAAGTGCTCCTGACCACTAAGATGGCCGTGCAAACGGCTGAACAGGGGTGGACTCACTGTACTCAAGTCAAGGGACTGGTAAAAGAGACCTCGGAAGGGAAGGAACAAGACCAGTGGAAAGTGCATGGATCACCTGTGCTACGGGAGGACCTCAGGCACAGGTGGTTCCATTTCCCCTAGGATGGGATACTGATCCTGAAGAAGTGGATTGCACGTTGGCTCTATACCAGGACAAGGATGCATGGGGAAACAAGACTTATAAGAGTCTGTCACTGCTCTTTCCCACATTGCAGAGGTTAACTTTAAGTAACCCTTAAAGTTAACTCTGAGAAAAATCTAAAAAGAAAACATGGGCTGGCCCCATTTCTGGAAGTTAATATGGCTGAGATGGCCTACTACGCAAAGAGCAGAAGGTCAAAATGGAAACTTGCAGGCAACTCCTCCCTACCCAATCAGGTTTGTAATCTATGTAACCAAGATGGTAGCACCCCAGACTATAAGATTCGATGCCTGCCAGGTCTCACCTTGTGGGAATTTTGAAACTCAGAGATAGTTCTCACAAGTGAATAAACATCTTTGCCCTGAACCAGATACAGATTACAGTATGGCATTACCATGCCCCAGCTGGGATGATGTATGGTGAACCACCCAATTCAGGGTTGGACAGTAAACACGGGGTGGGTAACTCCGAGCTGAAGACACTTAAAGAATAAACTACATCTGTCCAAGGGCTCCTTGCCAAATAACTGCCAAAATTTAGAACGCAACCCTATACTCATTGCCATTAGCAATCCAGCCACTCTAGGCCAAGAACCAAAAGTAGTGTCTCAGGTATATACGTGAGGGGCAGACATCACAGGGAAAGACCCCATAGGGTGATTTGTTCTCAAACTAATAAAAAACTCAACCTCTCATTTGCCTGGAACTACTCCAACTCCAGACCCTAATAAACACTTTAGTCTGCCAAATAATAACCCTAAAAGGTAAAAATAATTGAGGTAAAGGATTTAAGGCAAACCTTAGAAATTGAGACAGGGTGCAGGGATGTAAACGCCTGGGTCAAATGGATCAAATTTTCGGTACAAGCCTTCAACAAGAGTGACTGCTATGCGTGTGCTACGGGAGGACCTCAGGCACAGGTGGTTCCATTTCCCCTAGGATGGGATACTGATCCTGAAGAAATGGATTGCATGTTGGCTCTATACCAGGACAAGGACGCATGGGGAAACAAGACTTGTAAAGAGTCTGTCACTGCTCTTTCCCACATTGCAGAGGTCAGATCCCAAAGCAATCCCCTCATTCTCTCTAGGGAATATGAACCACTCCTCTTGCCTCTCTAGATAGGGGGCAGAGTTCAATAAGCCCGTGGGAAAACTCTCAACTTGTACGCACATCCTAAACATCACTGGTAAGTCAGGCGATGGCAATCACTCGGCTCTCCATATACCCCAGGCTAACGTCTGGTGGTACTATGGGAAAAGGAACCTCCCCAACTTGTTACCATCCAACTGGACCGGGACTTGTGCTTTAGTCTAATTGGCCATTCCCTTCACCCTGGCATTCCATAAGATACCTGAAAACACACACGGCCACTGAAAGCAGAGAGATTTGACAAACTCTTTTAATGTCAATATATATGTTGACTCAATAGGAGTCCCTAGGGGAGTGCCGAATAAATTTAAGGCCCAAAACCAAATAGCTGCTGGGTTTGAGTCAGCACTCTTCTGTGGTCAACTATTAATAAGAATGTGAACTAGATTAACTACATCTATTATAATCAACAAAGATTCATCAATTATACTCAGGACACCCTCAAAGGGATGGCTAGCCAGTTAGATGCCACCAGCCCAATGGCCTGGAAAAACAGGCTTGCACTAGACGTAATACCAGAAAAAGGGGGTGTAAGTGTTATGCTGGGTGGGAAACGTTATACTTTCATTCCCAACAATACTGCCCCAGATGGGACCATCACAAAAGCTTTACAAGGACTGACAACTCTAGCCAACGAACAGGCAGAAAATGCTGGAATTAACAACCCATTTACGGGTTGGCTAAATGGTTGGTTTGGAAAATGGAAAGGCATGGTGGCTTCAATCCTTACATCTCTCATAATTGTAGCAGGAGTCTTAGCAGTGGGATGTAGTATTACTTGTGTGTGAGGGGACTAGCACAGAGATTAATTAAAACAGCTATTAATAAACAATGCCAATAAGTTACCAGCAAAATAACCTGCTACTATTAGAAACCAAAATAAACTCACTCTCCTATAAGGAAGAAAGTAAATGACTTCTAAAGCAATTTGAGGACCAAAAGGGTTTAGATGAAAATGAGACCAAAGGAAGTAAATAGAAAAGGAAGGAAATTTGTGAGAAAACATTTTAAGTGGTCCATTTTCGAGGCATAATAAATCTAAGTACTGGAAGCCAGCCTGTGGATGTAATAAACCACACAGCTCATGCACCCAGAAGGTCATGATAAGTGAACAGAATGTAGAGGAGGGGTCAGCCCCTAAAAGGGGAGAAAGTTTCATTATTGGGAAATCGAAACTGAAGTGGGGAAAGGGACCACGGTATAACCTTATAAGGGGGATAATAAAACTTAGGCAATGTCCAGGAAGATTGTAACCCCATAGTACTCAACCAATGAGGAGCTGGGGGAGGGACTTGCGTGCTAGGAGATAAATTACCTGTTGTAACTGTCCCCGGTGTGACTGCCTACCAGACACCAGATCTTGCAAGACCGCCAATAAAAGTCTTGCTTCCGCTGTTCTTCATGTCTCCAAGTCCATTCTTTGGGTTTGGATGAGTAAATGAGTGTTTCTCACAGGCGTGAACCAACATCCCACCAGAATGTTATTGGTAGTAACCCGTCATGGTTTCTTTGAGCCCCAGGAACAATTATTATAGCCTAGAATTTCAGATGACAACAAATCACAGCTCCATACATACGGCTGCACACATACAGCCCCTCAGGGCATATTTTCCTTATGGACTGTACCCCTAGTTCAGTTTTAAGCAATCTGGAGACTGCTCCAACATTCACTAGAGAGTTAAAGACTAACGTGTTGAAATTTTGCCAAAAAAAAAAAACCAAGAAGGTGTATGAGTCTGTTCTCATGCTGCTAATAAAGACATACCCAAGACTGGTAATTTACAAAGGAAAGAGGTTTAATTGACTCACAGTTCCACATGGCTGGGGAGGCCTCACAATCACGGCACAAGATGAAGAAAGAGTAAAGGGGCTTCTTACATGGTGGTGGGCTAGAGAGAAGTGAGAGCCATGCAAAAGGGGTTTCCCCTTACCACAAAACCAACAGATCTTGTGAGACTTATTCACTACCTCAAAAAACAGTATGGGGAAAATCGTCCCCATGATTCAGTTATCTCCCACCGGGTCCCTCCCACAACATGTGGGAATTATGGGAGCTACAATTCAAGATGAGATTTGGGTGAGGACCCAGCAAAACCATACCAGAAGACTTTGTTCCCTAAGAACCAACAGGAGAGCATTATTTTTAAACACTGCCACACACGCTCCCCAAAGTGAGGAACAAAAACTAATCACATCTTGGAGGCAGAGCTTACAGTGAGCAGAGATGGTGCCACTGCACTCCAGCCTGGGCGACACAGCAAGACTCCGTCTCAAAAAAAAAAAAAAAAACAAAACTAATCACATCTTGTGTAGTGAGAAGCTATCCTGACCATTGCTACCCCTGAAAGAACATAACAGAAAGACCTATGAGCCCTGCAAGCCTTGCACTGCATACTGCCCTAATTTCTTTCAGACAGGATACCCTGCAGGAATTGAACTGACTCATTCAGAATTCCCAGGTCCAACATCATCCAGTAACTACTTCTGCTTCCCGTTCAGTTTCATTTCTCTAAGGGAAGTTACATAGGAGTTTTTCTGGGCCATGAAGAAATACAGCTGATGACAAGCACTCTACAATATTCTGGGTCTGCCTCATTCTACTTCCAGGGAAATAAACTCCACTGCTTACTGAAACTGCAGTATCCATCAGTGGCCATTTAGGTCTGCAACTAAACAAATGTCAAAGATGTTACTGAGAAGTTACCCAGAAACACTTGTCTGCAAGGCTCCTAATGACACTCAGATCCATTGTATTAGAATAAAAAAACTTATAAATGTGACCAAGGATTATAGCATATAATGCCAGGTGACAACATCTCCATAACCCCTTATCAGCTCTTTTCTACCTGGAAGATAAATGAAGCCCCTAAAATTCTGTTCCACAGGTACATCATAAGATAAATAGGCAATCCTCCCATTAAAGACTATCTTTAAAGACTGCTAGCCTAGGCATAGTAGAGGCAAGAAAATGTTTACAAATACTATTTTGCCTGTTAGACTCTGGAGGAAGCAAACCATGGCACCTGTCATTGGATACATTAAAGCCAAGATTGTAACTTCTTAGTCCTTTAGTGCCTACTTTTAACATTTTTCTGCCTCACAATTTTGCAACTTCATCTCCCAAACTAATAGTATCATATGGATTGTCTCATGTTCCCTTCTACTGTAAAAAAATTCAGTAACAATTTTTTAAAATATTATTAATAATTCCCTAAAATCATTTTAAACTACAGTGTATGGAATCTTTTAGCTGTCTGCTTATATATCAGTAGAGACATCTGTTTCTCAAGTGATCCTGGCAGTACAGTGGTGTGGCTGCAGAGAATGCCATGGGCTGAATACATTCTTTCACCGGCTCCTCCACACTGCAGCTCTCTCTGGGTATTACTGAAGAAACAGTAAGCACTGTAAAGCCACTCCATTAGTCCAGTCAGTGCTTTCGACATTGTTTCACAGTGAAACTCAACTCTTAAAATGATGGACAGTCATAAAATACTAAGTCACTGTACATTTCTCAGGTTCCAAACTGCAGTGCCTTCTAGATAGTAAAATCATTATTTATTCAGTAGCTGCCTAAAATTCCACTTACTATCATCAGGGTGGGGAGTGTGGCAGGTGCAGTAAGCGCAGTAAGAAGTTGGAGTGACAGGAATGCTTTTCAATCACATGTGATGACTGCATCAACAACACATCCTTATTAGCTAAGCCATATGTAATTGGCTTATACTATTTAAAAATAATAATGATAATAGCTCAGCATTACTCATTTTACTCTGGCCTCGTATTACAGAAAAGAAAACTTGAGGTCAAGGTCACAAGGTCACATACACACAGCTAAATAGTGGCAAAACTGGAATTTGAACCTAAGTTTAAACTTAAAAGCCCTAAAAGTGATTTTCCACTTTAGTGTAATGCCTCAGGCATTTGGCAGTTATTTGTTGGCAAATGAACGAGAGTCATTATTTGTACAAAAGCTTGAAGTCAATGTTAGACTGCTGAACAACAAAATACAAACTCCATGATAAATTGAGAGGTTGTAAATAGATGCTCTGCTAGTCTTCTACTCTGGTGAAAAAAAAAAAAAAACTTAGAGCAATCACCATCTCTTCCACCAAGCCAAAACTATTAACTACAACCAAATTTATCAGCAGAAGAAAAACCCAAATAAACCAGTAAATTTTTCACCAAGTTGCCCCTAACATCCTAGCACATCTAGGATGGGTTATGGCACCGAAAAAAAAAAAAATCCCCAACAACAACAACAAAAACCTCTCATTTTAGTTTCTCTCTCAAAATGACAGAAAACCTTCAAGAATCAGAAACCATTAAAATATAATAATAGTGAGCAAAGAAAGAAGATTTAAAAAGAAGAATCAGAATCAGAAACCAGGCTAGGCACAGTGGCTCGTGCCTGTAATCCTAGCACTTTGGGAGGCTGAGGTGGGAGATTACTTGAGGCCGGGAGTTTGAACCAGCCTGGGCAACACAGTGAGATCCTGTCGCCACAAAAAATAAAAAGTTTTTAAAAATTAAAAAAAGGGCTGGGCATGGTGGCTCACGCCTGTAATCCCAACACTTTGGGAGGCCAAGGCGGGTGGATCATTTGAGATCAGGAGTTGAGACCAGCCTGATCAACATGGTGAAACCCTGTCTCTACTAAAAATACAAAAATTACCCAGGCATGGTGGTGCATGCCTGTAGTCCCAGCTACTTGGGAGGCTGAGGCAGGAGAATTGCTTGAACCCAGGAAGCAGAGGTTTGCAGTGAGCCAAGATCAAACTACTGAACTCCAGCCTGGGTGATAGAGTGAGACTCCATCTCAAAAAAAAAAAAAAAAAAGAGAAAATTAAAAACTGGTCCCTTGTGCCCAGTACACTTCTACTCTGAAACTCAGGAACTTTCATTACCTTCTGAAATTGAATTCCCACTCAGTGCTCACGTGAAAGGTGAGGGGGTTCCACTTCATCTAGCATCTAGTAGAGCACATGATCCTGCCCTAACCCCCGAATATCACATCAACCTACCACCTAAGGAGTACTCATTCTATGCCAGTCACTGTGCCAACTGTCTTACCTCACCATGAGCTCATGGGGCAAGTATTCTCATGCCCAAATCCCCAATGAGGAAACTGAAGCTTTGAGGAGGTCACAGAATTCTGGCATATCCAGAATTTAAATTTAGGCCTGCCTGATCCCACATACTTAAACATTACCCTATACTGTTTTACTCTATTTAAGTCAACAATTACAGAGCAGTAGGCACACTGCTTCATTTAAAGGCCATAAATATTGAAAGGTTGTTGTCTGAAGGTAGAGACCAATGAACAGATAATTTGCACAGATAAATATAATTTTGATCAAGTGCTGTGAGGAGACGAGTTAGGGCAAAGTTTTACAGACCTGGGACCTGAACGATGAGTAAGACAGTGCCATCTAGGGGGAAAGGAGTACCAGCGGACAAAAACAAGCATCACAGGCAAAGAAAATCAATTGGTATCTTGGGCGTCTCAGTCTCTCCATCATTACCACAATCTAACATTTACTTCAAAGGCCTACTTCCTCTATCCTTCTGCCCACAGCCATTCTGCTGTAATTTCACTAGCTAATTTAAATCCCCTTTCCAAATCCTGCCAGAATAAATACTAAAATTTGTAAGTGTTCCTAGGAAAGATAACATAGGGTAGTACTAACAGCTAGTAGAGTAGACTTAAAACACTTGGCACAAAGAGCCAAAGAAAGCAAAAAATGCACATGGAACACTATAAAGTCATGCCCAGCTTCCAAACTAATTTCAGTGACAGGAGGCGGAAGAATTAGATTTATCAGGAGTCAAAGCAAGACCCTAAAGGATGTGTAAAAATGGAACCCAGATTCCTCATAACTCATCTATTTTATGGAACAGTACACTTCAGACTGAATTGGAATTGAATTTCAGACCCAAATGACAATTAACTGTGTCACTTAATCTTTGTTTATCTTACATAAATCAGTAAATGTCTACTTAAAGCAAGAGGGCCAAAAGAATAATATAATGCCTTACGTGAAAACATTTTATAAAATAATCAAGTTCACTTGAACCCAGGAGGCAGAGGCTGCGGTGAGCCAAGATCACGCCACTACACTCCAGCCTGCAACAGAACAAGACCCCATCTCAAAAATATACATAATAATAAAAATAATAATAATAATAGGCCAGGCGTGATGGCTCACGCCTATAATCCCAGCACTTTGGGAGGCCGAGGCGGGTGGACTGCCTGAGCTCAGGAGTTCGACATCAGCCTGGGCAACATGGTGAAACCCCGTCTCTACTAAAATACAAAAAAATTAGCCACGCGGGGCAGCATGTGCCTGTAATCCCAGCTACTCGAGAGGCTGAGACAGGAGAATCGCGTGAACCTGGGAGGTGGAGGTTGCAGTGAGCCAACATCGCGCCACTGCACTCCAGCCTGGGCGACAGAGTGAGACCCTGTCTCAAAATAATAATAATAATAATAATAATAATAATAATAATAATAATAATAGGCCAGGTGCGGTGGCTCACGCCTGTAATCCTAGCACTTTAGGAGGCCGAGGCAGGCAGATCACAACGTCAGGAGTTTGAGACCAGCCTGGACAATATGGTGAAACTCCGTCTCTACCAAAAATACAAAAAGTAGCTGAGCATGGTGGCGTGCACCTGTAATCTCAGCTACTTGGGAGGCTGAGGCAGGAGAATCGTTTGAACCTGGGAGGTGGAGGTTGCAGTAAGCCGAGATGGCACCACTGCACTCCAGCCTGGGCGACAGAGCGAGAATCCATCTCAAAAAAATAATAATAATAGTAATAATTAAGTGAGCCAGGAACAATGGCTCACACCTGCAATCTCAGCACTTAGGGAGGCTGAGGCAGAGAATTATTTGAACCCAGAAGGCAGAGGTTGCAGTGAGCCAAGACTGCACTCCAGTCTGGGCAACAGAATGAGACTGTCTCAAAAAAAAATAAATAAATAAAAAGATCAGATGTGTTTCATTAATTAAATGAAATAATTTTTACTGAACGTTCTTTGTATTGGAAATGGGAGGAAAGGATGATTACATAAAATAGGATGTCTAGGAACTATATGTTAACTAGCCTAAAGAATAACATAGTAGGCCAGGCGCAGTGGCTCATGGCTGTAATCCCAACACTTTGGGAGGCTGAGGTGGGCAGATCAGCTGAGGTCAAGAGTTTGAAACCAGCCTGGCCAACATGGCGAAACCCTGTGTCTACCAAAAACACAAAGATTAGCCAAGCGTGGTGGTGTGTGCCGGCAGTCCCAGCTACTCTGGGAGGTGAAGGCACAAGAATCGCATGAACCTGGGAGGCGGAGGTTGCAGTGAGCTGAGATCATGCCACTGTACTCCAGCCTGGGAGACAGAGCGAGACTCCATCTCAACAAAAAGAATGACATAGTGAAGGTGGAACAGCCATTTCCTAACTTGTTTTATGGTAATGTCCGCATGTTCCAAAATGAACTGCTATCTGTGAGCACTATAAATCCATTATTAGACTGCTCTAAATGAGTCTCTAAGCAGATATCAAAGAACCTAACTGGGCTATGAGGACCAAGGATCACACTTTGTCTTTTCAACCACACAGTAAAATGATCAGTAATGTAATCTGAGTAGAAGAAAAATGATACTCTAACACTATCTACGTGTTTACCTGGCACCAAAGAAAAATCCCAACTTAAATGTCAAGAAATCAAATATCCTTTAGATTTAAAGCACACAAATCACACCTAGAAAATTTTCTCTTCAGTAGAAAGTCACTATACAAACCTAAGCCAGGCACTTTCCAGAAACAGAAAAATTACTCTTCGAATTCGACAGCAAAGGCTTCCCAGCCTGCAAACGAATCTGACCCACTCTGAATATACAGCCTTCATCCCAGCTATTAAAGACCTCTTCTGGGCAGACTGCATTCTGGCCACAGATTCATGTACATAAATACACAAATAAATCAAGATAGCCCAACAGCAATCCTGAGGAGTGGAGAACATTCTGCCTAGTCCTTGTGTCCGAAACATTGGCAAAACGAGTCATCAGCAGGGTACGGTAAGTGACAGCAATCAGTAGAAATAAAAGATCCTACAACCCACTCTTTTGAAGAGAAACTAGGAATGGATCTCAACTACTTCCTGTATCTCTTATACTCCTGAAGACAAAATTAGGAATTGGATGAAATGTTAATTCTCAGTTTTTGTGCCACTGAACTTAAATATAGCATTCATAGCCTGTCATTTCCAACCAGCCATCCCTTTATATCATTAATTATGTAACACTTTTTTTTCCAGGGGTGTGGGGTGTGCTGTGCAGTGCAGGGGAGACCTGGTCTCACTCTGTCGCCCAGGCTGGAATGCAGTGGCACCATCATGGCTCACTGCAGCCTCCTGGACTCAAGCCATCCCCTTACCACCTATGCCTCCCCGGCAGCTAGGACCACAGACACGCAGCAGCACATCCAGCTAATTTTTTTTATTTTTTTATTTTTTGTAGAGACCAGAGTTTCACTATGTTGCCTAAGCTGGCCTTGAACTCCTGAGCTCAAAGGATCCACACCCTTCTCAGCCTCCCAAAGTGCTGGGGTTACTGGCATGAGCCACCACGCCCCAGCCTGTAATACAATTTATACTCAAATCATCCCTTTTTCTTCTAAACCCATTCTTTCTTCCCCACCCTGTAACTGCTGTTTGCTGATGGTACAACCATATTCCCCACCATTCAATCAAATCTTTAAAAGGGTCTTTGCAAATTCCCCTTTGTCCTGTACCTCTGACTTAATTGCTAAATTGTACTCATCCTATTTCCATAATAATGCGTACCTTTCCCCTCCTCCCCAACTGTCTCCCTCAATGTCTCTCAACCAGACCTCTGTAATAACCTTGTAACCAATTTCCTTGCGGATGGTCTCTATATTGCTGCTAAATTAATCCTTCGGAAACACAGGTCTTATCTTATTCCTCTGAATTAAAACCTTCAGTGGCCCTCCATGCCTAATGTCACACTCAGTCAAGGCCCTGTGGGAGCTGACTGATCTACTTTTCCAGCCTTTGTTTCTTTTTCCTTCACTAAGGTTATGCCTAAACCAACAAAAAAATTTCTTTCCCTCAGCTGTGCCTTTGCTTTTCCCACTGTTCCTGCTTGAATATCTTTTTTCCCCACATGATATCGGCAGTTCCACAAGGGCAAGAACATTGTCTGCTTTGCTCCCCATTATATTTATGCTGCCCAAAACACTGCTTGACATATTTGTTGAATAAATGAAATTCCTCTACTCTTATAACCCAGCTCAAAAGCCATTCCTGCCACTGTCCAACCAAAACTCAGCAAACAGCCTTACTAAATAAAACTCCTCCAATGTCTTAATGGGGTGGGTCAGGGGAGAATTCCAATAGCATTTTGTATCTTAAGGCACTTAATATTCCTCTCCTATACATGGCACATACCCGACCATAAATGACCTTGTCTGGTACATTTATAAGTTATCTATCACAATGCCTTGCACCTAGTTTAAACATGCATGGAGTAGGTATACTTTGCTGTTATTATTCATTCATTCATTCATTCAGTATTTAAAGAGCTTGTCATGTGGCAGGGACTGTTCTTAGCAATGGGGTACAGCATTGTAAAATATGATAAAGTCTTGGCTCTGTGAAAAGGGACAGACTATTAGAAACAAGAGAACAAGATAATTTCTGATGGTTAAAAATAATGAGAGGAGCCGGGCGCAGTGGCTCACGCCTGTAATCCCAGCACTTTGGGAGGCCGAAGCAGGTGGATCACCTAAGGTGAGGAGTTCAAGGCCAGCCTGGCCAACATAGTGAAACCCTATCTCTACTAAAAATACAAAAAAATTAGCAGGGCATGGTGGGGAGAGCCTGAGGCTGAGGCAGGAGAATCACTTGAACCAGGGAGGCGGAGGTTGTAGTGAGCCGAGATCGCGCCACTGCACTCCAGCCTGGGAGACAGAGTGAGACTCTGCCTCAAAAAAAAAAATAATAATGATGATCATAGGGAATATGATCAATCCTAACTTAGGGCAATACCTACTACAGAAAGGATGGGAGGACTTAGGCACAGTACAGGCTCATGCCTGTACTCCCAACACTGGGAGGCCAAGGAAGGAGGACAGCTTGAGCCCAGTAGTTCAAGATCAGCCTGAGCAATACAGCAAGATTCCACCTCTACAAAAAAACAAATTTTTTTAATTAGCTGGGCATGACGGCACATGCCTGTAGCCCCAGCTACTCAGGAAGCTGAGGCAGAGGACTGCTTGAACCCAAGAGGTTGAGGCAGCAGTGAGCCATGATTATGCCACTTTACTCCAGTTTGGGTGACAGGGTGAGACCCTGTCTCAAAAAAAGGAAAGAATGACAGAAAAATTCAAAGGATAAAACTAGTCAAATCATTTCATTTCTGAAATTACCGGAACTCTGAAAAAAAGACAAAAACCAAAGTTAAACATTTCAGTCACTTAAGAGTAGAAAATAATGGCAGTAACCAAAATATTCATATAAGGGTTAATGAAAACCTGTAACGTCAATTTAATATTTTTAAGAAACGGGTAGGCTGGGTGCAGTGGCTCACACCTGTAATCCCAGCACTTTGGGAGGCCGAGGTGGGTGGATCACTTGAGGTCAGGAGTTCAAGACCAGTGTGGCCAACATCGTGAAACCCTGTCTCTACTAAAAATACAAAAATTATCTGGCCATGGTGGCGTGCGCCTGTAACCCTAGCTACTCAGGAGGCTGAGGCAGGAGAATCGCTTGAACTCGGGAGGCGGAGGTTGCAGTGAGCCGAGATCGCGCCACTGCACTCCAGCCTGGGTGACAGAGTGAGACTCTGTCTCAAAAAAAAAAAAAATTTTTTAATTTTTTTATTGAAATAAGATTGCCAAAAGCTAGAAACGAAATAGCTAAATTATGAAGGAGAGAAATGTAGGTTTCCTTTCTTTTCCTAGATTTTCCTCTGATAAGAACTATTTACAAATGATGAAGTCCATGTATTGGCATTAAAACATTCTCCGGACAAAATGAGCTTTCAAGAAAATGGTGGCCGGGCACGGTGGCTCACACCTGTAATCCCAGTACTTTGGGAGGCTAAGGCGGACAGATCACAGGAGTTTGACACCAGCCTGGCCCACATGGTGAAACCTCGTCTCTACTAAAAATACAAAAATTAGCTGGGCGTGGTGGCGGGTGCCTGTAGTCCTAGCTATTCGGGAGGCTGAGGCAGGAGAATCACTTGAATCCCCGTGCCACTGCACTCCCAGCATGGATGACAGAGTGAGACTCCATCTCAAAAACAAAAAAAGAAAAAGAAAAAAAAGAAAAGAGCGAAGAAAAGGCAGGCCTAACTATGTGTGTAGCCTAGATTTTAAGCAACCTCATTCTTAACATTATGCTACATTTTGCATACTGAAGTAAGAATATAGGTTCATAGGCTGGGCGTGGTGGCTCATGCCTGGGCCGAGGCGGGCGGATCACTTGACGTCAGAAGTTCAAGACTCGCCTGGCCAACGTAGCGAAACCCCATCTCTACTAAAAATACAAAAAATAGCCAGGCGTAGTGGCGCAAGCCTGTAATCCCAGCTACTGGGGAGAGGCTGAGGCAGGAGAATCATCTGAACCCAGGAGGCAGAGGTTACAGTCAACCGAGATCATGCCACTGCCCTTCAGCCTGGACAACAAAGCAAGATTCCATCCCCCCGCCAAAAAAAAAAACACACACACACACAAGCAAGCAAGCAGCATCCCACTATAATAGGTCCAAGATTAGGTAAGGATTATACTGAAATATATCAGGGTTATGGAATATGCAATCTACCAATACTTCTAAAACAAAATAGCAGCATGATAAGTAAAGGGGATGAGCTGTATTTATATTTACATGGCTTGCCTGGGAAGCTCAACAAAAAAGAACTATGTTCTCAGGGGCAGGCGTGGTGGCTCCTGCCTGTAATCTCAGCACTTTGGGAGGCTGAGGCAGGAGAATCTCTTGAGCCCAGGAGTTCCGGGACCAGGCTGAGCAACACAGTGAGATGAAGTCTCTACAAAAAAAAAATATATATTTTTTTTTAAGAGAATATGACCTTGGTCAGGTGCAGTGGCTCACGCCTGTAATCCCAGTACTTTGGGAGGCCAAGGCAGGCAGATCACCTGAGGTCAGGAGTTCGAGGTCAGCCTTGCCAACATGGTGAAACCCTGTCTCTACTAAAAATACAAAAACTAGCTGTGTGTGGTGGCACGTGCCTGTAGTCCCACCTACTTGGGAGGCTGAGGCAGGAGAATCACTTGAACCCAGGAGGCAGAGGTTGCAGTGAGCCAAGATCATGCCACTATACTACAGCCTGGGTGATAGAGCAAGACTCTGTCTGAAAAACAAAAAAGAGAGAGAGAGAATGTGGAGAATGTGGCCTCACTATGTTGCCCAGGCTGGTCTTCAACTCCTGGCTTCAAGTAATCCTCCTGTCTCTGCCTCCCTAAATGCTGAGATTACAAGCGTGAGCCACCACACCCAGCAGCAAAAATCTTGTTTAAAAAAATTAGCCAGGCGTAGTGACATACGCCTGTGGTCCCTACTACTTGGGAGGCTATGGTGGGGGGATCTCTTGAGCCAGGGCCCAGGAGGTGGAGGCTGCAATAAGCCATGATCATGCCACTACACTCCAGCATGGGCAACAGAGCAAGAACTTGTCTCAGAAAGAATTATGTTCTCTATAGTTATCAGTCTTGGCAGTTGCTGAAATATAAAAAGGAACTTCTTAAAATATATTAAACACAAACAGAGCAGTATCTAATAGGATAATTTTAAAATACCGTTCTACTTCATCAACAAAACTATGTTTGTCCTAAAAAATACCAGAGGACAAAGTGCTTAACCAAAGTCCAACTTTATATATGAAATCTGCTCAGTATTAGCTGGGCGAGGTGGCAAACACCTGTAATCCCAGCTACTTGGGAAGCTGAGGCAGGAGAATTGCTTGAACCCGAGAGGTGGAGGTTGCAGTGTGCCAAGATCACACCACTGCACTCCAGCCTGGGCAACAAGAGCGAGACTCTATCTGGAAAAACAAAAAACAAAAAACAAAAACTGTTCAGACCTTCTCAGTGGGAGTGTACACTTTCTGGAAAGCAATTTGGCCATATGACATAAAATGCGTTTTTGACCCAGAAATACCAACTCTGGAACACATCCTCAGGAAGTGCAGATCAAATTGAGTACAATAGGAAAACATAGGAAAAATCCCTCAAATGTCCAATAAGGGAATTACCAAATATGTTATGGCATATCCACAAGACATACCACAATGGAATAAACTATGAAGACATGAAAAATGTTTTAGATAGAAAAATGCATACACTGTAACAATTAAACCAGAATATAAAGCATTATAAGTAATATTATCTCAGAACTTTTTAAAAGACATCTGGATATACACATTAAGAAGACAAAAACGAAATGCTTTTAATGTTGACAGTAGTTAATCTTGGATGGTAGAAATAAGTGGCTTCTTCTACCTTATACTATTCTTTTCACATCTCCGCTAATGAGCCTGTATTGTTTTGATAACACAAAAAAAATTTCAGAAAAAAAATTTTTTAATAATATTTGAGTAACTTTTTTATAGGTTCAATGTATTTTGTATCCATGTTCAGTAACCATCCACTTACTATATCTTTGAAAAACTTAAAAAATCCATTAACTTGTGAAATATCTTCTAAGACAGGCATTTAGAATGCATTATTGCACTCTAACAGCTTCTTAATGAGAACATTTGGCTTTCAAGATTCTTGGTCTGCAAGGAAAAACAAATAATTGGAGCGGGGATGAAGGGTAGAAAACTTTATGGAAGGTAGAGATGTTCCTTTGTAAGATGCCTCATTTTCCACAACTCAGAATCTATACTTGAAGACCACCTTATTGGAAGACTAGCTTCTCCAGTCAAGTTTCAGATGTGTAAAACATCTAGACTTGAACCACAGCCCATTTTCTTTAAAAATGGTTTTTGCCATTCTTACCTCCAAAGAAATTAAATAATAAGCAATACAATCAAATACAAAATTATTTCTGCTTTTTTTTTTTTTTTTTTTTTGAGACGGATTTTCACTCTGTTGCCCAGGCTGGAGTGCAGTCGCTCAATTTCGGCTCAACGCAACCTCCGCCTCCCAGGTTCAAGCAATTCTCCTGCCTCAGCCTCCTGAGTAACGCCAGGCTAATTTTTGTATTTTTAGTACAGATGGGGTTTCATCATGTTGGTCAGGCTGGTCTCAAACTCCTGACCTCATGATCCGGCCGCCTTGGCCTCCCAAAGTGCTGGGATTACAGGCGTAAGCCATTGCGCCTGGCCCTCCGCTTTTTTTTTTTTTTTTTTTTTTTTTTTTTGAGACGGAGTCTCGCTCTGTTGCCCAGGCTGGAGTGCAGTGGCGCAATCTTGGCTCACTGCAAGCTCTGCCTCCAAGGTTCACGCCATTCTCCTACCTCAGCCTCCCGAGTAGCTGGGACTACAGGTGCCCACCACCACACCCAGCTAATTATTTGTATTTTTAGTAGAGACGGGGTTTCACCGCATTAGCCAGGATGGTCTTGATCTCCCTCTGCTTTTTAAAGATACTAAAAGTAGTTCAACAACTCAGTAATGCCTGTTAGCCAGTTATTTAAATATCCAAACATAATATTCCACTCTTACTTTCCACAGATTATCATTCCTTCTCCTAATTCATGTTCATAGATAAATATATAGTCCTCAAATGTTAGTCAGTATGCTTAAGATGCCTGGATTTAAAATGCTCTCTCTAGAGAGACACACAGTACTCATTACGTCTGTATTTCTTATTCTATAAAGCAAACATTTCATATACGATACAAAAACTGCAGCTGATTTTTTAAATTAAATTAAATACAAAAAAGATGTTTAATGGATTAAGATCTCCCAATCCACAGTTCTATGGTTCTAACCTCAGCTGGATCTAAAGAGGTGGGAAAAGTAGAAAGTACACTGGCCCCAGATTCTAATTCTATCTCTGCTACGAATTAGCTTTGTTGCCTTGGAATTCCACTTAACCTCACTGGATCTGCTAGCCACATCTAAAAAATGAGGGGAAAATTAGACTACTTAATCAAGGTTTCTACAAACTCTTTAAAAAATGATTCTAGGTTCATATTTCTACAGTCTTCCCAAATATCTTCTTTTCCTAATTCTCAGCAGTAATAAACTTTCCCTTGGATTAACCTTTCAGGTATCAACAATGTGCAAAAGTGTAGACAAATTTTTATACTTCCATTTAAAAAATACATAATGTCCATAAGATTTATCCTATATTATTTTGGCAAATCCTATTAGATATTTTTTAATAACTATAACATATCTAAAAGCCCCAGTTAAAAATAAAGATTACTCAATATACATTACACATATAGGCACATGACTTATTGTGCAATAACTGCCAGAACAGTTAGCAATGGAAAAAATACTTCATTCCTTGACACTAATCAGAAAAGACAAGACTAGGGTGTTTCTTTTTTATAATGTTCAAAACAAAAGAGAACACTACATATATCAAGTGTCTCTACATAAAACTGGATTAAATTAGGTATCATTTCAGTTTTAAAATCCTAAGGAAAGGCATTCTAAGTCTGAGCATTCTGTAACTAAGCTGCATTATCTTTTAGACTCAAACCAAACCCTACATATAATAGTAATTCAGTCTCATGAACCTTTTGAGTAAGTTAAATGACATCTATTAAATCTTCCTTAATGTTTAAGGCACATGTAGTGACATTTTAATGTTTACAAAATGTTGATTTTTACAAAAAGAAAATTGGCTTCAGCTGAAGCTTTTCATACCTGAGAAGTCGCTTCTTAAATGTGAATAAGTAAATGGTCACCTTTCTAGAGTGACACATAGTACTCAATACATCTGTATTTCTGATTCTATAAAGCAACTATTTTATATACAATACAAAAAGTGCAGCTGATTTTTTAAAAGGCTAAACTTACTATTTTGGACACATTGTTTCTACCTAAAAATCTCTAAAATCATCTTTAATCACTAACTTGGATTTTAATCACTACATCCTCAACATATTCTATAAGAATCAGGGGTTAGGTTAGAGCCTTGAGGTTAAAAAAAAAAAAAAGTATGAAATTCACTGAGGGGGTCCCTTTCAGCATCTTAAAAGCCACAGCCAATTACAGCCCAGATGTCTTTTTTCTTTTTTAAATTAATATTACTTTTAATTGACAAATCATAATTGTATACATTTATGGAGTACAATGAGATGTTCTGATACATGTTTACAGTGTGGAATGACTAATTCAAGCCAATTACACATCCATCACCTTATCTTTGTGACTTTTTTTTTCTTAACTGAAGCTACCCACACCATTACAATTTTAAAAAGAATAGTCTAATGATAACAGTGGGCTGGGCACAGTGGCTCACGCCTGTAATCCCAGCATTTTGGGAGACCAAGGCAGGCATATTACTTGAGACCAGGAGTTCGAGAACAGCCTGCCCAACATGGTGAAACCCCGTCTCTACTAAAAATACAAAAATTAGCTGGGCATGGTGGCAGTCGCCTGTAGTCCCAGCTACTCGGGAGGCTGAGGCACGAGAATAGCTTGAACCCAGGAGGCAGAGGTTGCAGTGAGCCAAGATCATGCCACTGCACTCCAGCCTGGGCAACACAGCGGGACTCCGTCTCAAAAAAAAAAAAAAGATAATGGTGGAGCCACTGGTTCACTTTGACTTCAACAGCTTTGCAGAAGTTTTGTTGTTGTTAAATATAATAATCTAATGGTGGGGGCGGGGCAGGGGGGAACACATGATGCGATTACTTTCCCCAATCCATAAATCCACTACTGCAGCCCACATCTGGATAGATACAGTGATTCAAAGTAGAAAATGATACCAGTTGAGTCCCTTCTCAGTATTTTTCAAGCCATCGTTCCTGCATTAAACAGGTACGCCCAATTACAAATAACAACAGTTACCATCTACCTATCCCCTTCTGTGGGCCAGTATGAGTGCTAGCCACTTAACATCTTTCATGTCATTTAATCCCTAGAGCAACTCTGTAAGAAACATATCATTACCTCCATTTAATAGATGGGAAAGTAAGGACTCAAAGAGGATGTAAGGCTGCTAAGCGGCAGAGCCAGATTTCAAATCCAGGGCTGTCTGACTTCAAAGGTCATGCTCATTAAGCTACACTGTCTACTGAAAACAGAAGCATAAAAATCACCAAGAAGTTTCTCAAAGATTTGCTCAACTTTTTAGAGTTCCCAAGCATAACAACTCAACTGCAACAAATACAACTGGCTGTATTAATACACCTATCCACATGAAACATTAATTCCATGTTGTCAAAGAGCAAGTTTTACAAGATGACTCCAATTCTCATCTCAAGGGGATATGAGAAAATTTACAGTTAACTGAGCTCAACTTCACTCAAGCTTATGCCTCATCTTTTCCATATTATATAAAAGCTCTAGCAGGCTTATAATCCCAGTATGCTGGGAGGCCAAGGCAGGAAGACTGCTTGAGGCCAGGAGCTCAAGACCAGCCCTGGCAACATAGCAAGAGCCCGTCTTTATAAAAAATAAAAATTAAAAATAAATAGCGAGCCATGGTGGTAGCACATGCCTGTAGTCCCAGCTACTTGGGAGGCTGAGACAGGGAAGATCACATAAGCCCAGGAGTTGGAGGCTGCAGTGAGCTACGACTGCACCACTGCACTCCAGTCTGGGTGAAAGCTCAAGACCCTGTCTCCAAAAAAGAAAAGAAAAAAATTCTAATATAAATATGTAACCCGAAGTTCATGTTTCCTCATTAATTTTAGTGGTATTAGGCCAGGAACGGTGGCTCATGCCTGTAATGCCAGCACTTTGGGAGGCCGAGGCAGGAGGCTCGCTTGAGCCCAGGAGTTCAAGGCTGGCCTGGCAACATAGGAAGATCTTGTCTCTACCAGAAAAAAAAAAAAAAAAAAAAAAAAAAAATTAGTGGTATTAGATACACATTCCACTCTTCTATTCCTGCGGAAAGATAGTCATTCCAAGCGCAAAAAATCATAATATTACAATAGGAGGCCAGGCGCGGTGGCTCACACCTGCAATCCCAGCATTTTAAGAGGCCGAGTCGGGCGGATCACATGAGGTCAGGAGTTTTGAGACTAGCCTGAGCAACAAAGCAAAACCCATCTCTACTAAAAGTAATTAGCCGGGCGTGGTGGAGGACGTCTGTAATCCCAGCTACGCAGGAGGTGGAGGCAGGAAAATCGCTTGAACCTGGGAGGTGGAGGTTGCAGTGAGCTGAGATCTCGCCACTGCACTCCAGCCTGGGGGACAAAGCGAGACTCCGTCTCAAGAAAAAAAATTAATAATAATACTACTAGAAAAGGAGCCGAACAACAAGCAGGTAAATCTTCCTTATATACATCATTCTTCAAAGGACTTTGGGGTTTCTGCTAATCTCTTTTTCTCCAAGACTTACTCATTCCTGTTGCTTTATTAGTGCAAGGACTAAGAATCACAAGTTACCTATTTTCTCAAACATGAAAGCTGTGTTTGAATCATCTTGTGTAACCTAACCAGTCGGACAGCTAATCTTCAGGATTTCAACAGTCATCGAAAAGGTGGAAGAACTGCTGCCATCTCTCTTCAGAACAGTTCTAAAACTCCCCTGGCGTGTACAAGCCACTACCAGCTAAAACTGAGTCACAACAACTCTTGGGCTCTAAATAAAGATCGAGGCGAAATCTTTCACTCCTATTTATTTCCCAACCAACCAAACAAGCAAAACGAAACAATCACCTTTCTACTCAATCATTGCTGAACAAACACCACATTCTATGTAAGTCCTCAGTGCAATTTTCCTTCCACCCATTCCCTAGGCCTGCTAAGCTATGTTCCTGCCCAGTACCTTCTTTTCTCTTCAAGTGAAAAACACCATTTAAAGACCAACTCCTCTTTCGCAGGGTAGTTAACTTTATGCTAACTGCAGATCCATCTTATCTAGTCGCTTAAGACAATTAACTCTTAGCTTAATAAATACTATGTATTGTGGGCTAGCTGGAGCTCAGCAATGAGCTTGGTCTCCGCGCCTGGGGGACGGGTGAAAACAAGTAACTGAATTAGATGGGACCAGCGGCCCACAGAATTCAGGAAGGCGCTCACACTGGTCTCCCGCTTTCACAATGGGTCTATTGGTCCAAAGTGGCAACTTAAGAGAGGCTCTTAATGCTTACGCTTTCTCGTACGGCTGACGGATTTGCCAAATCCCACCCTTTGGGAAAGTGACAGACTGGACTTAACTCTTTGGCTGCCCCTACTGGGCAAACCCAAGGGAAACCCCAATCCCCAAGCGCTTTAAAAATGTGACGAGTTCAATTTAACTCTTTCCGAGCCCCCGCGGCGTTGAGGACACAGCCCTTGGAAAATGTCTACACTGACTTAACCCTTCCGCTGCCGATCTCAGTGCTACTCCCCGCGCCGCCAACACGCGGGAAATTCCAAATGCTGGCCCTCGGGAGATGACAGGCCCAGCTTCGCACGCCCCCCGCCATCAGTCCCATCGCGCCGAGGGGGGCCCCAACTCAGGCCTTGGAGAAGCGCCGGGCCGGACTCCTGGCTGCGGAGCCCCGGGCGAGTGAGTGGGCGGGCGCTCACCGCGATGACATTGACGAAGGTGGTCTTGCCCGAGTACTGCAGCCCCACGAGCGTCAGCTCCATCTCTTCCTTCCAGAAGAGCGAACGGAACCAGTCCAGCAGGCGGGAGATGAGCGCCAGCATGATGGCGGCCGGGAGCGAGAACGGACGGGAGGACGGACGAGCGGCGGCGTCGACGACTTCCACACGAGCGGGCCTCCGCCCGGACCCTCCAACGGCTCCTTGGTGCCCCGGCGCGACACGGGCGGACACCGGCGGGCGGCAGCAGCCAGACCCAGGAAGCCGAGCGGATCATATGACTCGCCCTACCCCCCACGCCCGTCCCGGCGCCGCCGTCGGCACCCACGGCAAGAGCGGCGCGGCCAATCCGGCCAGGCCCGCCCGCCGCTGGCATCGCCACCTGGTGGGCATGCTCCGCAGCACAGCGTACCCTCGGGCCCCCTTGAGGCTTTCTCTACATTCATTCATTGTTGGTTCATTCGTCATTCATCCACTTATACATTCGTTAATTCATTCATTCATTTTTTGCTATAATTGTTCATTAACAATCTGCAGGAAGACTTCAAGACTCTGGAAGAGTTGGCGTGGAATAAAAATTCCTGTCCTACATTTTTGGTAGTAGCAAAAGATAGTGTTAACTTAAAAATGACACCGTTTATAAATTTAGAAAGGAGAGCATTATTTCTTAAGAAGGGGATTATAAGCTGTAGGCAGGACGTGCAGCCTCGGGCCAAAAAAAACAAAAGTAAGCACTTTGAGAGAGGGAAGGGTGCAACAAGAATTTATATTGAGGAGTTGGCCAAGTAAACATATTTAACTTATGGAAGGAGCTATTAATATGTATGAAGGTGGTCTTACACACATAGTGAACAAATCTGTATGTTGCATATGACCTATGTTCATTTGGGGTGGCGACTTAACATTTAAATGTATTATAATCAGGCAGGGCGCGGTGGCTCATGCCTGTAATCCCAGCACTTTGGGAGGCAAAGGTGGGCAGATCACCTGAGGTCAGGAGTTTGAGACCAGCCTGACCAACATGGTGAAGCCCCATCTCTACTAAAAATACAAAATTAGCCGAACGTGGTGGCATGCACCTGTAGCCTCAGCTGCTTGGGAAGCCGAGGTGGGAGAATTGTGTGAACCCAGGAGGCGAAGGTTGCAGTGAGCTGAGATCATGCCACTGCACTTCAGCCTGGGTGATAGAGTGAGACCCTCGTCTCAAAAAACAACAATTAAAAAATAAATAAAGTAAAAGTATTATAATCAGGCCCTCCACATCAGAAAGTGAATCAGGGACGGGAAAGGTATTGAAGTGCTTGGCCTCTGTAAAACCAGCCAGAACTGGGCTGGGCGCGGTGGCTCACAGCCTGTAATCCAAACACTTTGAGAGGCTGAGGCAGGTGGATCAGGAGGTCAGGAGTTTGAGACCAGCCTGGCCAACAAGGTGAAACCCCGTCTCTACTAAAGATACAAAAAATTAGCCCAGGCCGGGTGCAGTGGCTCATGCCTGTAATCCCAGCACTTTGGGAGGTCAAGGCGGGCAGATCACCTCAGGTTGGGAGTTCAAGACCAGCCCGACCAACATGGTGAAACCCCGTCTCTACTAAAAATACAAAAATTAGCGGGACATGGTGGCACGCGCCTGTAATCCCAGCTATGCTGGAGGCTGAGGCAGGAGAATCGCTTGACTCCGGGAGGCAGAGGTTGCAGTGACCGAGGTCATGCCACTGCACGCCAGCCTGGGTGACAGAGCGAGACTTCATCTCAAAAAAAAAAAAAAGAAAGAAAGAAAAGAAAAAGCCAGCCAGAACCAATGCATGGATGCATGGTTAGTTGTCTCTTAACAGGAGAAAGTTACAGAAATCAGTCTCTTGTCTAATCAAAGCCATAGTTAGGCTTGTGGAACAGGTCAGTTAGCCTGCATCTGGCAGAGAGTTGTAACTGTTTTAATTGTGTTTATCTCCAGGCCAGTGCTGGTTTAGCTGGTAGAGAAAAAGAGAAACCTTGCACTTAGTCATTTAACTCTTGCCTAGTATGGCCTTAGGTCCTGTTTATAATTTGGTATCTAATTGTCACAAAGAGTCTGTTCTGTCAGTCTTGTGATCTCTATTTTAACGTTAATGTTGGTCGTTTGTTGTTTCTTTCTTTTTTTTTTTTTTTTTTTTGAGACGGAGTCTCGCTCTGTCGCCCAGGCTGGAGTGCAGTGATGCGATCTCGGCTCACTGCAAGCTCCGCCTCCCGGGTTCACACCATTCTCCTGCCTCAGCCTCCCGAGTAGTTGGGACTACAGGCGTCCGCCACCACGCCCGGCTAATTTTTTGTATTTTTAGTAGAGACGGGGTTTCACCCTGCTAGCCAGGATGGTCTCGATCTCCTGACCTCGTGATCCGCTCGCCTACGGCCTCCCAAAGTGCTGGGATTACAGGCTTGAGCCACCGCGCCCGGCCGGTCGTTTGTTGTTTCTAAACGACATAAGGGAGGAGGTATAACCAGGTGTGACTGACTTCCCATCTTGTGGAGGGAAGGAACTCAGTTTTTAAGACTTTCCTAGGATAGGCCGGGCGCGGTGGCTCACGCCTGTAATCCCAGCACTTTGGGAGGCCGAGGTGGGCGGATCACAAGGTCAGGAGATCGAGACCATCCTGGCTAACACGGTGAAACCCCATCTGTACTAAAAATACATAAAATTAGCCGGGCACGGTGGCGGGCGCCTGTAGTCCCAGCTACTCGGGAGGCTGAGGCAGGAGAATGGCGGGAACCCGGGAGGCAGAGCTTGCAGTGAGCCGAGATGGCGCCACCGCACTCCAGCCTGGGCGACAGCGAGACTCCGTCTCAAGAAAAAAAAAAAAGATTTTCCTAGGATCTCTTTGTCCAGGAAGGATCTGTTTAGTCAGTTGAGGGGACTTAGTTTGTTTGTTTATTTGATTTTGAGACAGAGTCGAGCACAGTTGCCCAGGCTGGAGTGCAATGGCAGATCATAGCTCATTGCAGCCTTGAATTCTTGGGCTGAAGTGATCCTCCTGCTTCAGTCTCTCAAAGTATTGGGATTACAGGCGTGAGCCACCATGCCCACACCCAGCCCAGGAATTTTTTTTTTTTTTTTGAGACAAGTCTCGCTCTGTTGCCAGGCTGGAGTGCAGTGGTGCAATCTCGGCTCACCGCAACCTCTGCCTCCCGGGTTCAAGCAACTCTCCTCCCTCAGCCTCCCGAGTAGTTGGGACTACAGGCGAGCCACCAAGCCCAGCTAATTTTTGTATTTTTAGTAGAGATGGGGTTTCACCATGTTGGCCAGGATGGTCTCGATCTCTTGACCTCATTATCCACCCACCTTAGCCTCCCAAAGTACTGGGATTACAGGCGTGACCCACCGGGTCCAGCCCAGGATTTTATTTTTAGTTTACAATGGGAAGCAATTAGTGTCTATCAATAGGGAACTGATTAACCAGGATGTGTCCCCAAAAAGGAATACTATGCAGCTGTAAAAAAAAATACAAGAAGAAGAAAGTTATCTGTCAACTGATAAGGAATGATGATCAGGAAATATTTTCAAGAAACAAAAAAAAATCAAGGTTCATGGCTGTGTACGGTGGCTCATACCTGTAGTCCCAGGACTTTGGGGGGGGGGGGGGCAGATCACTTGAGGCCGGGAGTTCGAGACCAGCCTAACCAACATGGCAAAACCCCATCTCTACTAAAATTACAAAAATTAGCCAAGCGTGATGGTGCATGCCTGTAATCCCACCTACTCATGAGGCTGAGGCAGGAGAATCCCTTGAACCCAAGAAGCAGAGGTTGCAATGAGCTGAGATTGCACCACTGCATTCCAGCCTGGGTGACAGATTAAGACTGTCTCAAGGCTGGGCGAGGTGGCTCATGCCTGTAATCCCAGCACTTTGGGAGGCTGAGGCGGGTGGATCACGAGGACAGGAGATCGAGACCATCCTGGCTAACATGGTGAAAACCCATCTCTACTAAAAATACAAAAAATTAGCCGGGAGTGGTGGCGGACGCCTGTAGTCCCAGCTACTTGGGAGGCTGAGGCAGGAGAATGGCATGAACCCGAGAGGCAGAGCTTGCAGTGAGCTGGGATCATGCCACTGCACCCCAGCCTGGGCAACAGAGCAAGACTCCCTCTCCCAGAAAAAAAAGACTGTCTCAAAAAAACAAAAAAACCAGGGTTCAGACTGTGTACGTAATGATATTTGGAATGTAAGGTGAGAAAATAATAACACATATGCTTATACATATATATACATATATAAGCATATGCTTATACATATATATACATATATAAGCATATGCTTATACATATATATACATATATAAGCATATGCTTATACATATATATACATATATAAGCATATGTGTATGGTATCTGCATAAAGAAATACTGGGAAACTAATAAAAATGGTTTCCTATGGGGGTAGGAAAAACTGGATGTCCGGTGGCAGAAATGGAAATGAGACTTGTCTAGATAACTTTTAGACCACTTTGACTTTTCTCTTTTTCTTTTATTTATTTATTTATCCTATTTTATTTTACTGTTTTTTTTTTTTTTTTGGAGACAGAGTCTCATTCTGTTGCCCAGACTGGAGTGCAGTGGTACAATCTCAGCTCACTGCAACATCCACCTCCCAGGTTCAAGTGATTCTCTTGCCTCAGCCTCCCAGGTAGCTGGGATTACAGGCGTGTGCCACCACATCTGGCTAATTTTTTTGTATTTTTATTAGAGATGGGGTTTCACCATGTTGGCCAGTCTGGTCTCCAACTCCTGACCTCAAGTGATCCACCCACCTGGGCCTCCCAAAGTGCTGGGAATACAGGCGTGAGCCACTGTGCCCAGCCTATCTTAGTTATTCTACAACATACCCCTAGAGGCAAACTTTGACTTTTCAAACATGTAAATGGGTTGTCTGTTCAAAATACAATTTACTTTTTGTTTTTTTGAGATAGAATCTTGCTCTGTCGCCCAGGCTGGAGTGCAGTGGTGCGATCTCAGCTCACTGCAACCTCTGCCTCCCAGGTTCAAGTGATTCTCCTGCCTGAGCCCACTGAGTAGCTGGAAGTATAGGCACATGCCACCACACCCAGCTAATTTTTGTATTTTTAGTAGAGATGGGGTTTCACCATGTTGGCCAGGCTGGTCTCGAACTCCTGGCCTCAAGTGATCTGCCTGCCTCGGCCTCCCAAAGTGCTGGGATTACAGGCATGAGCCACCATGCCTGGCCACAATATAATTTACTTTAACAGTAATTAAAAATATCTTCAAGGCTTTAAAATTTAAAAAAAATTCCTTCCCTCATGGAGCCTACAATCCAGTGGGGGAGACATATGCTATAATAAACAAATTAAGAAATGAGGCCTGGTGGCTCACTCCTATAATCCCAGCCCTTTGGGAGGCTGAGGCAGGGAGATCACCTGAGCCCAGGAGTTCAAGACCAGCCTGGACAAGATAATGAGACCCTGTCTCTACAAAAAAATTTAAAAACTTAGCCAGGCGTGCTGCGCATGCCTGTAGTCCCAGCTTCTTGGGAAGCTGAGGCAGGAGGATCACCTGAGCCAAGGGATCAGAGGCTTCAGTGAGCCATGATTGTGCTCCAGCCTGGGTAACAAAGTGAGGCCCTGTCTCAAAAAAATAAAATAAACAAATAAATCTGAGACATAATAGCATGTAGTACTGAACATTATAAAGAAAGCTGAACAAGAGAAGGAACAGGAGAGGACTCTGTTCTACTTCAGGTCAGGTGGCCCTGGGTGAGAAGACTTAGAGGAAGTGAGAAAGAGATCCAGGCAGACATCTGGTGGAAGCACATTCCAGGCAGAAGGAACAGCAAACACCCAGTTTGGGAGAAGGAGTTCAGAATGCTCTGGGCAGAGAAAGACAGTCGGCGTGGCTGGCACAGATTAGTAAAGCAGGGAGTTGGAACAGATGTGGATGGAGAAGGAGGAAGGGAGCAGATTGAAAGTTGGCATGGTGGGCCTACCTTGGATTTTACTCTCAGTGTGATGGGAAGCCAGGAGAGTGATCCAAATGATATTTTTAGTTCGTTTTTCTGTGTCTATTGATTATTTAAAAAGAAAAAAGAAGCAGCAGCAGCTCACTATGGCACAACTGTGGCAAATTGACTGTAAGGGGGT
Source organism: Homo sapiens (assembly GCF_000001405.40). Taxonomy (NCBI): domain Eukaryota; kingdom Metazoa; phylum Chordata; class Mammalia; order Primates; family Hominidae; genus Homo; species Homo sapiens. The sequence continues at coordinate 5,116,447 of NC_000003.12, read as the reverse complement.
TTTAGGGGTTGAATTGTGCCCCCTCCCTCCTTAAAAAAAAGACATATTGAAGGCCGGATGTGGTAGCTCATGCCTGTAATCCTTGCAGGATTTGGGAGACCGAGGTGGGAGATTGCTTGCACTCAAGAGTTCAAGACCAGTCAGGGCAACAAAGTGAGACCCTGTCTCTAATTAAAAAATACAAAGGGAAGGGAAGGGGAAGGGGAAGGGGAAGAGGAAGGCGAGGGAGAGGAGGAGGGGGAGGGGGAGGGAGAGGGGAAAGACGGGTGTGTGGTGGCTCATGTCTATAATCCCAGCACTTTGGGAGGCCAAGGCAAGTGGATCACCAGAGGTCAGGAGAGAGAGGGAGAGGGAGAGGGAAAGGGAGAGAAAGAGAGAGGGAAGGAGGGAGGGAGGGAGGAAGGAAGGAAGGAAGGAAGGAAGGAAGGAAGGAAGGAAGGAAGGAAGGAAAAGAAAGAGAGAAAGGCAGAAGGGGAGGGGAGGGAAGGGGAGATATTAAAGTCGTAACTCCCAGTACTTCAGCATGTGACCTTGTTTGAAACAGGGTCACTACAGATGTAATTGGTTAAGATGAGATCATACTGGAATAGGGTGTGTCCTCCATCCACTATGATTGGCATCCTTTTAAGAAGAGGAGAAGAAATACCGACACATGACACACGAGAGAGAATACCATGGATGACCGAGGCAGAGATTGAGTTGTTACAGCTGCAAGTCAGAGAACAACGAGGATTGCCAGCAAACCACCAGAAGCCAGAAGAGGAGAGGAAGGATTTTCCCCAAGAGCTTCAGAAAGAGCATGGCTCTGGGGCACTGTGATTTTAGACTTCTAACCCTCAGAACTGAGAGACAATAAGTTTCTGTGGTTTTAAAGCACCCAATTAGTGGTACTTCATTACAGCAGCCCTCGCAAACAGATACAAAGGGGTAAAGAGTTTTTTGGTTCTTTTTGTTTTGTTTTGTTTTTGTTTTTGTGACAGGGTCTTGCTCTGTCACCCCATGCTGGAGTGCAGTGGTATCATCACAGCTCACTGCAGCCTTGACCTCCTGGGCCCATGTCATCCTCCCCTCTCAGCCTCCTGAGTAGCCGGGACCACAGGTGTGCACCACCACACCCAGCTAATTTCTTAATTTTGTGTAGGGAGAGCTTCTTGGTATGTTGCCCAGGCTTCTAATTCTTTATGATTTTTTTTTTTTTTTGAGACAAAGTCTCACTCTGTCACCCAGGCTGGAGTGCAGTGGTAGGATCTCAGCTCACTGCAACTCCTGCCTCCAGGGTTCAGGCAATTCTTGTGCCTCAGCCTCCTGAGTACCTGGGATTACAGGCACCCGCCACCACGCCCAGCTAATTTTTGTATTTTTAGTAGAGACGGGGTTTCACCACGTTGGCCAGGCTGGTCTTGAACTCCTGACCTCATGATCTGCCTGCATTGGCCTCCCAAAGTACTGGGATTATAGACGTGAGCCACCGCGCCTGGGCCTTGTTTCTTTATGATTTTGTTTAAAGACTGGGTCTATATTAGGCTATATTGCCTAAACTGCACTAAAACTCCTGGACTTAAGGGATTCTCCTACCTAAGTCTCCCAGGTTACTGGGACCTACCACCATGCCCAGGGAGAGTCTCTTATTTACAAAAATGAGAACATGTAAGCATTACTCAATAGCTCCCTTTATTCACTTAACGTACAGTTAAATACATTTTATTAAAAATAAAGGCAGGCCCTCTCCCCTCTCCCCTCTCCCCTCTCCCCTCTCCGCTCTCCACTCTCCCCTCTCCCCTCTCTCCTCTCTCCTCCCCTTTCCACGGTCTCCCTCTCATGCCGAGCCAAAGCTGGACTGTGCTGCTGCCATCTCGGCTCACTGCAACCTCCCTGCCTGATTCTCCTGCCTCAGCCTGCCGAGTGCCTGCGATTGCAGGCGCGCGCCGCCACGCCTGACTGGTTTTCGTATTTTTTTGGTGGAGACGGGGGTTTCGCTGTGTTGGCCGGGCTGGTCTCCAGCTCCTAACCGCGAGTGATCCGCCAGCCTCGGCCTCCCGAGGTGCCGGGATTGCAGACGGAGTCTGGTTCACTCAGTGCTCAATGGTGCCCAGGCTGGAGTGCAGTGGCGTGATCTCCACTCGCTACAACCTCCATCTCCCAGCCGCCTGCCTTGGCCTCCCAAAGTGCGGAGATTGCAGCCTCTGCCCGGCCGCCACCCCGTCTGGGAAGTGAGGAGCGTCTCTGCCTGGCCGCCCATCGTCTGGGATGTGAGGAGCCCCTCTGCCTGGCTGCCCAGTCTGGAAAGTGAGGAGCGTCTCTGCCCGGCCGCCATCCCGTCTAGGAATTGAGGAGCGCCTCTTCCCAGCCCCATCACATCTAGGAAGTTAGGAGCGTCTCTGCCCGGCCGCCGTCCCACCTGGGAAGTGAGGAGCGCCTCTTCCCGGCCACCATCCTATCTAGGAATTGAGGAGCGTCTCTGCCCGGCCGCCCATCGTCTGAGATGTGGGGAGCGCCTCTGCCCCGCCGCCCCGTCTGGGAGGTGAGGAACACCTCGGCCCGGCCGCAGCCCCGTCTGGGAGGTGAGGAGCGTCTCTGCCCGGCCGCCCCGTCTGAGAAGTGAGGAGACCCTCCGCCCGGCAGCCGCCCTGTCCGGGAGGTGAGGGGCGCCTCTGCCCGGCCGCCCCTACTGGGAAGTGAGGAGCCCCTCTGCCTGGACACCACCCAGTCTGGGAGGAGGTACCCAACAGCTCATTGAGAACGGGCCATGATGACAATGGCGGTTTTGTGGAATAGAAAAGGGGGCAAGGTGGGGAAAAGATTGAGAAATCGGATGGTTGCTGTGTCTGTGTAGAAAGTAGTAGACATGGGAGACTTTTCATTTTGTTCTGTACTAAGAAAAATTCTTCTGCCTTGGGATCCTGTTGATCTATGACCTTACCCCCAACCCTGTGCTCTCTAAAACATGTGCTGTGTCCACTCAGGGTTAAATGGATTAAGGGCGGTGCAAGATGTGCTTTGTTAAACAGATGCTTGAAGGCAGCATGCTCCTTAAGAGTCATCACCACTCCCCAATCTCAAGTACCCAGGGACACAAACACTCTGCCTAGGAAAACCAGAGACCTTTGTTCACTTGTTTGTCTGCTGACCTTCCCTCCACTATTGTCCTATGACCCTGCCAAATCCCCCTCTGCGAGAAACACCCAAGAATGATCAATAAAAAAAAATAAATAAATAAAATAAAAAAAATTTAAAAAAAAATAAAAATAAAGGCAGGTCAGGCACAGTGGCTCACACCTGTATTCCCAGCACTTTGGAAGGTGGAGGCAGGCGGATCACCCGAGGTCAGGAGTTCGAGATTAGCCTGGACAACATGGCGAAATCCCATCTCTACTAAAAGTACAAAAATTAGCTGGGCATAGGGGCCGGCGCATGTAATTCCAGCTACTCAGGAGGCTGAGGCAGGAGAATCGCTTGAACCCAGGAGGCAGAGGTTGCAGTGAGCCAAGACCACTGCCATTGCACTCCAGTTTGGGTGACGAGAGCAAAGCTCTGTCTCAAAAAATAATAATAATAATAAATAAAAATAGGCTGGGCGCGGTGGCTCACGCTTGTAATCCCAGCACTTTGGGAGGCCGAGGTGAGCAGATCACCTAAGGTCAGGAGTTGGAGACCAGCCTGGCCAATATGGTAAAACCCCATCTCTACTAAAAATACAAAAATTAGCGGGGTGTGGCGGTGGGTGCCTGCAAACCCAGCTACTCAGGAGGCTGAGGCAGGAGAATTGCTTGACCCCAGGAGGCGGAGGTTGCAGTGAGCCGAGATCATGCCACTGCATTCCAACCTGAGTGACAGAGCAAGACTCTGTCTCAAAAAATAAATAGATAAATAAAAATAAAATAAAAAATAAAAATAAAGGCAGCCAGGAGCAGTGGCTCACGCCTGTAATCCCAGCACTTTGGGAGGCCAAGTCGGGAGGATTGCTTGAGCCAGGAGTTCAAGACCAGCCTGGGCAACATAGGGAGACCAGTCTCTAAAATAAATAAGTATATACAGGCAATAAATACTAAAAACTCATCATTTCCTAGTTATTTTGCTGTAGCTTGCTATTATCTATGTTCCTGTAGCTATTTATGGGTAGTGCATCTGTATAATGGAAATGTCATGTAATGGAGAGCTACTGAACATCTCAACTCTGTGTTCACTGATGTCACATTGGTAGCTTGAAATTGGCCACAGTGGAAATATTTACACCACAGAAATTGGCAAACACTACAAATCAGTATTTCCTGTCCCCTAGAGAGTTGATTGTTAGATATTTACCACCCCACTACTGATAATACCTAACGTACTGTTAGAATGAGGAGTAAATAAAATAAAATTATAATTCCAGCCATGCCAGCGGTTTTTTAAAAATTACATTAAATAAAGCAATAAAAAGCAGGATGATAAAGTTATCCTGAATATGGTCTACATAGTTAAAATGACTGATTTTCATACCAGCTTTTCCTTTCTTTCTTCTTCTTCTTTTTTTTTTCTTTTTTGAGACAGAGTCTTGCTCCTCTTTCCTGGCTGGAGTTCAGTGGCATGATCTCAGCTCACTACAACCTCTGCCTCCCTGGTTCAAGCAATTCTCGTGCCTCAGTGTCCAAAGTAGCTGGGACTACAGAGGCACGTGCCACCATGTCTGGCTAATTTTTTGTATTTTTAGTAGAGACCGGGTTTTGCTATTTTGGCCAGGCTGGTCTTGAACTCCTGGCCTCGAGTAATCCCCCTGCCTCAGCATCCCAAAGTGCTGGGATTACAGTCATGAGCCACTGCACCCGGCCTTCTACCAGCTTTTCTACCTAGCAGCTGTATGAACTGTGCAAGTTGCTTAACCTCTCTGTGCCTCCATTTACTATAAAGGGAGAAAACGTTGTTATCTGCCTCATAGGATTATTGTGAAGAGTAAATGAATGAGTTCATATCAAGCTCTTAGAACATAGCCTAGCACAGTCCGGGCTTGGTGGCTCATGCCTGTAATCTCAGCACTTTCGGAGGCCCAGGTGGGTGGATCACTTGAGGTCAGTAGTTCAAGACCCCCCTGGCCAACATGGTGAAACCTCATCTCTACTAAAAATACAAAAATTAATAGCTGGGCATGGTGGCACATACCTGTAGTCCTAGCTACCTTGGGAGACTAAGGCAGAAGAATCGCTTGAACCTGGGAGGTTGAGGTTGCAGTGGGCCAACAGTGCACCACTGCACTCCAGACTGGGCTACAGTGAGACTCCATCTTTTTTTTTTTTTTTTTTTTCAGGGTGAGTCTCACTCTATTGTCCAGGCTGGAGTGCAGTGGTGCAATGTTGGCTCACTGCAACCTCAACCTCCCAGGTTCAAGCGATTCTCCTGCCTCAGCCTCCCGAGTAGCTGGGATTACTGGTGCCCACCCCCATGTCTGGCTAATTTTTGTATTTTTGGTAGAGACAGGGTTTCGTCATGTTGGCCAGGCTGGTCTCGAACTCCTGACCTCAAGTAATCCACCCGCCTCAGCCTCCCAAAGTGCTGGGATTACAGGTGTGAGCCACTGTTCTCGGCCAAGACTCTATCTAAACAAACAAACAACAACAACAAAAAAAAAACAGCCTAGCACAGCGTTAATATTCTCTAAATCCTAGTCATTATTTCTGGAACATAGTGACTTAGGACATATGATCAACAATTCAGGGGCTTAGTTTCTCATCTGTAAAATATGGGTAAGGTTACCACCCTTATCTGATGTTTTAGCTGAGGAAGTATTTTCTGCTGAAGTCGCTGGAATAGTGTACAAAGTCATGTGGGTGGCTATTCCCTTTGAACTTTGCCTAGATTTAAGTTACAGGAATGGGAACTGAGGATCATGTGCTGAGACACACGGACCCATTGATGCATCCTTTATAGGGTCAGGAATCCCAGAGCCCTGGGAATGTAGATGGGGAAGGACAAGGGTGAGAGATAAGATTGACTCATGTATTTGCTTTGTGTCTGTTATGTAAGAAAGGTAGAATTCTGTGGCATCACAGCTGAATGACTCCAAGACCATTCTAGTTTTACTTAGTGAAAAGCTGAGGCACAGAGAAGGGATATGTTACAGTTAGAGATGCGAGTTTAAGTCATAATCTTTATTTATTTATTTATTTAGCGACAGAGTCTCGCTCTGTCACCCAGGCTGGAGTGCAGTGGCACGATCTTGGCTCGCTGCAACCTCCACCTCCCAGATTCAAGCGATTCTCCTGCCTCAGCCTCCCAAGTAGCTGGGATTACAGGCGCGTGCCACCACACCCAGCTAATTTTTTGTGTTTTTAGTAGAGACAGGGTTTCACCGTGTCAGCCAGGATGGTCTCAATCTCCTGACCTCGTGATCCACCCACCTCGGCCTCCCAAAGTGCTGGGATTACAGGTGTGAGCCACCACACCCAGCTAAGTCATAATCTTCTTAAGGACAGTAACCATTTCTACTTAAATTACTAAAATCATTTTAAATGAGTGAGCCAGCCTGGGGTACCTGAAATCTCATCTCTCAGGCATTTGTTTTATTATTACCTTTGCATTTGTCTAAGGTGATCATTGTTTTGGCTCCAAAGAATGAAATAAATGTGACACATTGCATAGGTTCTCACTGGCCTGATTACCAACCTAGTAGCATCTGAAACTGACAGCACCTGAGCCTTATCTACAGGACATTTCTGCTTTGGGCCAAGTCGATTAGAGAGCCAGAGTTTTTCATTAGCTGTGGATGTCACTACAGGTGCTCCCCAAAATCTGCAAGGAGCAGAATGTCAGTTCCATCTTTTAAAGGAAGAGTTTTGGCCTTCAGGAAAAGGGAAGCAAGACTCAATTAGGACATTCTCTTTAGAAGGAACATTCATCATTCTTTCTTTCTTTTTTATTTTGAGACAGAGTCTCACTCACCCAGACTGGAGTGCAGTGGTGCGATCTCAGCTCACTGCAACCTCCACCTCCCGGGTTCAAGTGATTCACATGCCTCAGCCTCCCAAGTAGCTAGGATTATGAGACACACACCACCAGTCCCAGATAATTTTTGTATTTTTAGTAGAGACATGTTAGTCAGGCTGGTCTTGAACTCCTGGCCTCAAGTGATCTGCCCACCTTGGCCTCCCAAAGTGCTGGGATTACAGGCATGAGAAACTGTGCCCGGCCCATTATTTTATTTTTATTTATTTTATTTTGCTTTTCAGAAACAGGATCTTGCTCTGTTGCCCAGGCTTGAGTGCAGTGGTATAATCACAGCTTACTGCAACCTCAAACCCCTGGGCTCAAGTGATCCCAGGCATGAGTCACGAGGCCCCGCCTCTTCTTCATTATTTAAAAATTGAGCTAGTCACCCCCATTTTAAGAACAACCAATCATATGAGAATTCCATAGGTGGAAAACAGATACTCAGTGCAAAGTAGAGTGGTGTGAAGAGTCCTGTGCAGGAAATAAAAAGACCACACTGCTGGAAGAAAAGCCGTGTCTTGAATTAAAGAGTTCTCAGGTTGGGTGCAATGATTCACGCCTGTAATCCCAGCACTTTTGGAGGCTGAGGTGGGTGGATCACCTGAGGTCAGGGGGTCAGGAGTTTGAGACCAGCCTGGCCAACATGGTGAAACCCCGTCTCTCCAAAAAAACAAAACTTAACCAGGCATGGTGGCATGCGCCTGTAATCCCAGCTACTCAAGAGGCTGAGGCAGGAGAATCGCTTGTGCTCAGGACGCAGAGTTTGCAGTGAGCCAGGATCGCACCACTGCACTCCAGCCTGGGTGACAGGGCAAGACTTTGTCTCAAAAAAAATTCTTGGCTTTGAAAACTAAATGGCTGTGTGACTTTCAGCAAGTCACTTCCTTTCTCTGGGCTTCAGTTTATTTATGAACTGAAGAGTTTGGATAAGATAAAATTAAAGAACCTTTTATCTCTAAAACCTTCCCATTTCATAGCAACCTGACTGAAATGAGATAAGAGGAAGGGATTCCTGCATGGTAGAGATAAGAATTCTCTCTTTATAATAGCCATTATAGGCTGGGCATGGTGGCTCATGCCTGTAATTCTAGTACTTTGGGGGCTGAGGCGGATGGATTACCTGAGGTCAGGAGTTCAAGATCAGCCTGGCCAACATGTCAAAACTCCATTTCTACCAAAAATACAAAAATTAGCTTGGTGTTGTGGCATGTGCATATAATCCCAGCTATTCAAGAGGCTAAAAAAAAAAAAAAAAAAAAACAGGAGAATCTCTTGAACCCAGAAGGAGGCTGCAGTGAGCCGAGATTGTGCCACTGCACTTCAGCCTGGGTGACAGAGAAAGACCCTGTCTCAAAAAATAAAAATAAAAAATAAATACCCTGTGTAAGTCGGGCATGGTGGTTCACGCCTGTAATACCAGCACTTTGGGAGGCTGAGGTGTGCAGATCACCTGAGGTCAGGAGTTCAAGATCAGCTTGGGCAACATGGTGAAACCCCGTCTCTACTAAAAATATAAAAATTAGCCAGGCATGGTGGCACATGCCTATAATCCCAGCTACTCGGGAGGCTGAGGCAGGAGAATTGCTTGAACCTGGGAGGCAGAAGTTGCAGCGAGCCAAGATCGTGCCACCGCACTCCAGCCTGGGTGAGAGAGTGAGACTCAATCTCAAAAAAAAAAAAAAAAAAAAAAAAATTAGCTGGGCATGTGTTGATGAATGCCTGTAATCCCAGCTACTCAGGAGGCTGAGGCAGGAGAATCGCTTGAAGCCAGGAGGCAGAGGTTACTAGGAGCCAAGATTGTGTCACTGCACTCCAGCCTGGGCAACAGAGTGAGACTCCATCTCAAAAATAAAATAAAATAAAATAAAATAGGCTTTATATTTTTTAGAGAAGTTTCAGGTTTACAGAAAATTGAGCAGATAGTACTGATGGTTCCAATGTACTCTTCCTCTAGCCCCATAGCTTCCCAAATTACCTTTGTTTTAACTGAGGAACCAATATTGCTACCTTATTATTAACTAAAGTCTATAGTTTACAATGGGGTTCAGCCTCAGCATTGTATATTCGATGGGTTTGGACGAATGTAGAATGTTATGTATCAACAATTACAGTGTCATAAAGAATTGTTTCATCTAAAAATTCCCTGTATTCCACCTACTCATCTCTGTTATTTTTAATTTAATTTAATTGTTTTAGTGATGACGTGGGTGGATCACTTGAGGACAGAAGTTCAAAATCAGACAGGGTCTTGCTGTGTCACCCAGGCTGCAGTGCAGTGACATGACCACAGCTCACTGCAGCCTTGACTTCCCAGGCTCAAGCAATCCTCCCACCTCAGCTTCCTAAGTAGCTGGGACTGCAGGTGCGTGCCATGACACCCAGCTCCTTTTTTGACTTTTTTGTAGAGATAAGGTCTCATTATGTTGCCCAGGCTGGTCTTAAACTCCTGGGCTCAAATGATCCTCCCACCTCAGTTTCTCAAAGTGCTGGGATTATAGGGTGAACCACTGTGCCTGGCTGCACCCACACATCTCTGACATAATTCTCTTTCCATTTTGACAGTCTATGGTTTTGAATATTTATAGGAAACAAAGGAACATCAAGTGGCATAAACACTAAGACAAGGGTCATCATTGTAACTAGAAACACCTACGCGACCATTTAGCAGAGGAGAAAGTTTTCTGGTGTTATTTTGGTGGAGCACCCTGACTGATCTGGACCTGAAGCTGTTCTGAATTTTTCATTTAAATGACTCCACTGGCTGGGCGCAGTGGCTCACGCCTATAATCCCAGCACTTTGGGAGGCCGAGGTGGGTGATCGCTTGAGGACAGGAGTTCAAAATCAGCCTGGCCAACACGGTGAAACCCCGTCTCCATGCAAAATACAAAAATCAGTCGGGCATGTTGGCGCATGCCTGTAATCCCAGCTACTCAGGAGGCAGGAGAATCGCTTGAACCCTGCAGGGGGTGGAGGTTGCAGTGAGCCAAGATTGTGCCACTGCACTCCAGTCTGGATGACAGAGGGATACTCCATCTCAAAAAAAAAAAAAAAAAAGATACCATCAATCTCTCTCTCTAGTTAGTTGGATCTGGGTTCCTGTCAAGTGCACTGGTAAGGATCTTATCTAAAATAGATCTAAGTAATCAAAACACAAACAAGTCTATCTATGAAAGAAACAAAGTTAGGAAAGTGAAAGAAAATGCAACAAAGTACAGAGAACAATAGAAAAAAGGAACATAGAAGTACAGGATAGAAACTTTTTTTTCAAGTGGGCAGGTTGGTCAAGGTCATAGTTGCTTCTTGCTGGATCTGATTACTGGTCAGTTGTGTAGGGTTTTTTTGTTTATTTGTTTTGTTTTTGTTTGTTTGTTTTTTTGTTTGAGACAGGGTCTCACTCTGTCACCCAAGCTGGAGTGCAGTGGTGTGATCTTGGCTCTCTGCAGCCTCCACCTCCCAGGCTCAAGAGATGTCCCACCTCAGCCTCCCAAGTAGCTGGGACTACAGGTGAGAGCCACCATACCTACTAATACATACATACTAAAATTAGTACATACAAAATTAGTACACACATACTAATATGTTTATTTTTTGTAGAGTCGGGGGATCTCACTATGTTGCCCAGGCTAGTCTTGAACTCCTGGGCTCAAGCAATCCTCCCACCTCACCCTCGCAGACTACTGGGATTACAGGTAGGAGCGGCTGCACCCAGCCATCAGTGGTGTAGTTTGATGGGTAAAAGCAAGCAAGCGTGCATTTTTGACATCAAGCAGGTGAGCGTTTGCATCTCAATTCTCCCACTTCTGACCTTTGATATATTGCTTCACCTCCCTGAGCCTAAAATGGGAATACCAATAGGTACCTCTCAGGGTTATCAGGAGAGTCGAATGCAGCAACAAACAAAATCTCCCAGCACAGTGCTCTGCCCACAGAAGGGGCTGTGTAAATGATACTGTTCTTTCCCCTCGCAGCTGAGATTCCAATGCCTAGTGCATAAGCTTCCTTTCTGTGTTCCCTTGACAGGCGTGCTACCCAGAAAATGACCTACATAATCCCCTCCTTCTGAGAGTTTACAGTCTACAACAACAGGCCCTGGGAATCCACCCTAGGCCTTTGTCACCCAAAGTTAAAGAGTGCTTCCTGCGCATCCTGTGATTAAAATGTCAAGATCAGGTTTTCTGGACCTGGCACTATTGGCGTTTGGGGCCGGACAATTATGCATGGCTGGGAGCCATCCTATGCGCTGCAGGATGCTGAGCAACATCCCTGGCTTGTATCCACTAGGTGCTGGTAGCACCTCGTCCCGCTTCTAGTTGGGACAAATAAAAATATATCCAGACATTGCTAGATACCCCCAGGAGGGGGAGGGGGATGGTAGGTTGGGCAAAATAACCACCAGTTGAAAACCGCTAGATCAGACAATAGTTTTTTTATCTTTTTCTATTTTCCACTGCCATGTACTTTAAACCCTCTCTGGGGCAATGGTATACCAAAGAGGTAGGGAGTGGTGGGAGCAGCACCCCAGGCAAAGAGGAATGTGTTATCACTGACAGTGTTCAATATTGCCAGCATAGTGGTGATAAAAAGTAGACCTGGAGGCTGGGCACAGTGGCTCACGCCAGTAATACCAGAACATTGGGAGGCGGAGGCGGGAGGATAGCTTGAGGTCAGGAGTTTAAGACCAGCCTGGCCAACATGGTGAAACCCCATCTCTACTAAAAATACAAAAATTAGGGCTGTGGGGCTCACACCTGTAATCCTAGCACTTTGGGAGGCTGAGGTGGGTGGATCACGAGGTCAGGAGTTCGAGACCAGCCTGGCCAACATAGTGAAACCCCGTCTCTACTAAAAATACAAAAATTAGCTGGGCATCGTGGCGCGTGCCTGAAATCCCAGCTACTCGAGAGGCTGAGGCAGGAGAATCGCTTGAACCCGGGAGGTGGAGGTTGGAGTGAGCCGACATTGCATTCCAGCCTGGACAACAGGGCGAGACTCTGTCTCAAAAAAAAAATAAAAAAGAAAAAAATACAAAATTTAACATCGCATGGTGGCTCGTGCCTGTAATATCAGCTACTAGGGAGGTTGAAGCAGGAGAATTGTTTGAACCCAGGAGGCAGAGGTTGCAGTGAGTCGAGATCGCACCACTGCACTCCAGACTGGGCCATAGGGCTAGACTCTGTCTCAAAAAAAAAGTAGACCTGGCTGGGTGCAGCAGCTCATGCCTGTAATCCTAGCACTTTAGGAGGCTGAGGTGGGAGGATCCTTGAGGCCAGGAGTTCAAAACCAGCCTGGTCAACATAGTGAGACCCCCATCGAAGGAGGAAGAGGACTGGGGGAGGAGGGGGGAGGAGGAGGTTAGGGGGAAGAGGAGGGGAGGAAGTCAGGGGGGAGGAAGAAGGAAGAGGAGGCAGAAGGAGGGGGAAGGAGGGGGGAGGAGGGGGAGGAGGGAGGAGGAGGAGGAGAAGGAGAAAGAGAAGAGAACCCAAGGTTAGAGGATGGAGGAAAAAATGCAGACTAACTTGTATTGGTTTATTGCTGTGTTTAGCTTCTCTACGGACAATACACTTACTTATTGCTGCACCCAGATTCCACTGCTCTCTGCGCACTGGTTCTTTCCTTCCTGCTGTCACTTTTTTTTTCTTTTTTTTTTCTCTTTCAGTCATTTATTTGTTTTTATTTACAATTTGTGTTTAATGCAAATCAATTCGATAATATGCAAAGTTACTTTGAATCAAAGCATAAACATACAAACTGGCTGGGTAAGGTGGTTCATGCCCATAATCCCAGCATTTTGGGAGGCTGAGGCAGATGTATCATTGAGGCCAGGAATTCAAGACCAGCCTGGGCAACATGGCAAGACCCCATCTCTAAAAAATAGAAAAAGAAAAACCACGATATACAACCCAAAATAGATGGACGACATTGTGAAAGTGGTCAGAATCAAAATGGTGTCAGCCAGGTGCAGTGGCTCATGCCTGTAATTACAGCACTTTGGGAGGCCAAGGTGGGCAGATCATCTGAGGTCAGGAGTTTGAGACTAGCCTGGCCAACATGGTGAAACCCCATCCCTACTAAAAATACAAAAATTAGCCAGGTTTGGTGGCAGGTGCCTGTAGTCTCAGCTACTCAGGAGGCTGAAGCAGGAGAATCAGCTGAACCAGGGAGGTGGAGGTTGCAGTGAGCCGAGATCGCACCACTTCACTCCAGCCTGGGTGATAGAGCAATGTTAAGAAAACACTGACAAATAGAGCCAGTAAAGACCATGAAGAGAGGGTTCTTATTCTTTTATGCCTGATAATAAAAGAGACTCTACAAAAACTACAATCTCACACAAAGGCCATGTCAACCTGACACAAAAAATACTCCTGCAAGGACATCTGCCCAGTAACTGCCTGTCCAACCTCAGACTGGCATCACCCTTGCTATTGATCTTTGTAGCCAAGGATGGTTCTTTCAAAACAATTATGTAATCCTCTTCATTTCTTTCCTTTAAAAACCTTTTTCTTCCTTTACTTCTCTAAATACACACACAGTTTACTATGGTATGTATATTTCCATCCCAGTGCTCTATTCCCAAATATCTTTTTTCCTTTAGAGAGCCTCTCTCTGTTAGTTAGGTTGACAGCATTCAGGTATGAAGCAAAAGGAGTATTCATTCACATACGCAGTAGCTTCAGATCTGTTTGATCTCGTCTCCATGTAGGTTCTGGAGATGGGAAAAAATGACATTGGTTATCAATACTACTGTGGCCATATTTGTTACTGCAACGTCTAAGCTTCTATGCATGACCCTGCACTCAAGACTTCAGAAATGTCTGTTTTTTAAGAGATTTCTGTGTGTAGAGGCAATTGTAAAATATTTACTGCAGAAACAAGCTCACTTTTAGGCTTGGGACCAGGTTCTTTGTAAAAATATTGCCTGATAACCAAACAATATGTTTTCAGTGTGGCTGTTCTGATCCATTTTTAAAAGATATTTACAGAGTGAATATTAATTTCTTTCTGAATTTAATGCAAGACAGCTTCCAGTTTTCACCTCCCAAATACTTGATTTACAGTTTTGTCTCCTTCACATTTTTCATTTTTGCCCTTTCTTTCTCTTTCCTTTCTTTCTTCATTTCTTTCTTTTTCTTTCTTTCTTAGACAGAGTCTTGCTCTGTCACCCAGGCTGGAGTGCAGTGGCACCATCTCAGCTCACTGCAAACTCCACCTCCCAGGCTCAAGTGATTCTCCTCCCTCAGCCTCCCGAGTAGCTGGGATTGCAGGCACGCGCCACCATGCCCAGCTAATTTTTGTATTTTTAGTAGATACAGGGTTTTGCTGTGTTGGCCAGGCTGGTCTTGAACTCTTAAGTGATCCACCTGCCTCGGCCTCCCAAAGTGCTGAGATTACAGGCGTGACCCACTGTGCCTGGCCTTCATTTTTGTCTCTTTAATGTCAAGATTGGTTATTTTATCTTCAAAACAGATGATTTTTTTTTTTTTAGATTGAGTTTTGTTCTTGTCACCCAGGCTGGAGTGCGATGGTGCTATCTCGGCTCACCAAAACCTCCGCCTCCCAAGTTGAAGTGATTCTCCTGCCTCAGCCTCCCGAATAGTTGGGATTACAGGTGCATGTCACCACGCCTGGCTTTTTTTTTTTTTTTTTTTTTTTTTTTGTATTTTTAGTAGAGATGGGGTTTTGCCATGTTGGCCAGGCTGGTCTCGAACTCCTGACCTCAGGTGACCCACCTGCCTCGGCCTCTGAAGTGCTGGAATTACAGGCATGAGCCACCATGCCTGGCCAAAGCAGATGATTTTTTAAATTATAAAACGTATTCAACATATGCAGAAATACAAAGAAGCATTTTGAAATTATTTGAGGTCAACAAAATTCTACTCTTTGGATGCAGCTTAGCTAAATAAATTGGGTGCTCTTGTTGAATGAAAATAGATGATGGGAAATGCCTACCATTTGACTTTATGAGGATAAGCAAGAGTTACTCATGATGCTTGAAGCTGGGGGTAAATTCTATTAATAATCCATGACTGCCCTGGCACATGTCAATTACTACATAAAAGGTCACATGCAATGTCAAATCCAAAGATTTGGAGAAAAAAAAAGTGTTTAGTTCCCAAGAGAACAGTGATAGCTTAACAACGTAAAACATCTAGGTATAAAAGCATTAAATTAGTACTGTGAAAACAATACATTGAGGACTTACAGTAATACCTGGAAGTTCCTTCTGAGGTACATATAAACAGAATCACGGAAGAAGCTTTTCATTTTACCTGTTTTATGGCCTTATAGATTTCATGAACCAAATGGAAATTGAATCTCTATTCCACATCCCATCCTTTATCTCTAGATAAGACAAAATCAATACCTGCTTTTTTTTTTTTTTTGAGACTCTCATTCTGTCACCCAGGCTGGAGTGGAGTGGCATGAGCTCAGCTCACTGCAACCTCTGCCTCCCAGGTTCAAACAATTCTCCTTCCTCAGCCTCCTGAGTAGCTGGGATTACAGACATTCACCACCACACCCAGCTAATTTTGGTATTTTTAGTAGAGAGGGGATTTCACCGTGTTGGTCAGGCTGGTCTCCAACTCCTGGCCTCAAGTGATCTGCCCACCTCGGCCTCCCAAAGTGCTGGGATTACAGGCATGAGCCACCATGGCTGGCCTCAATTCTTTTTTTCTTTCTTTTTGAGACAGAGTTTCTCTCTTGTTGCCCAGGCTGGAGTGCAATGGAGTGATCCCAGCTCACTGCAACCTCCACCTCCTGACTTCCAGCGATTCTCCTACCTCAGCCTCCTGAGTAGCTGAGATTACAGGTGCATGCCACCACGCCCAGCTAATTTTGTATTTTTTTAGTAAGGATGGGGTTGCACGACGTTGGTCAGGCTGTTCTTGAACTCCTGACCTCAAGTGATCCACCTGCCTCAGCCTCCCAAGGTGCTGGGATTACAGGCATGAGCCACCGCACCCTGCCTCAATTCTTATTTTTAAGGCAGAGTTTTA
The DNA here is from genome assembly GCF_000001405.40 of Homo sapiens. Lineage (NCBI taxonomy): Eukaryota > Metazoa > Chordata > Mammalia > Primates > Hominidae > Homo > Homo sapiens. Next base: position 5,100,490 of record NC_000003.12, on the reverse strand, counting down.
GTGTCCACATTTGTTAAGCCACATACAAGGAAATCATGTCTCAACTAATTTTGGATGTTGCCTGTCTTCATCTTGTACATGAAACTCCAGCAGATACACTATTGGCATTCATCATCTTGTCAAACCCTTCACACATTCTTCGAGCCAATCAAATTTAGGGTTTTTTGTTGTTGTTGTTACTGTTGTTTTGAGACAGAGTCTCACTCTGTTGCCCAGGCTGGAGTGCAGTGACACCATCTCGACTCACTGCAACCTCCGCCTCCTGGGTTTGAGTGATTCTCCTGCCTCAACCTCCCGAGTAGCTGGAATTACAGGCATGTGCCACCATGCCCGGCTAATTTTTATATTTTAAGTAGAGACAGAGTTTCATCATGTTGGCCAGGCTAGTCTTGAACTCCTGACCTCAGGTGATCTGCCCGCCTCTGCCTCCCAAAGTGTTAGGATTACAGGTGTGAGCCACCACTCCTGGCCTCTCAACAGTTTTTATGTCAATAAAAGAAGGTGTGGGATTAGTAGATTTGACGACGATTTGTTTTTTCCTTGTCACATTGGACTTCTAGATGCCATTTAAAATGGGTTTAGAAGATGGGGACATATAGATGTTTCTTGGCCTGAGTCTCCTAACATTAGAGGTGGGCGAGAGAAAGCAAGACTAGGAGGAGACTGGCTGTTGACTCCAAGGCACTGCCAACCACCTTGGTAGTGGCATTAGCTGGATTTGTGGCTGCTGAAGTATTCCGGGAGGAGTTATCTGAAAAATGTTATGATTTGAAAAATTGTATGATTTGAATGAATCTATGTGTGTAGGAGCAGTGCCAGAAGCGGTAGCCCCAGCCTGCGCCTGTCCACCATTGCTCTGCTGATGTCCCCTCCTTCAGTGTGGTGGCTTGTCTCACCGGATGCTAGGTGTGTGGAGAACTACTGGCTCCTAACAGATGTCCCCTGGTCACTCTTAGGTAACAAAACATCCTGCTGTCACTTTAAATCACTACACACATTTCAGGTTCAGTAACAAATAGTCTAGTCTTCTGAAATTAAAATGCAGGCTGGGCACGGTGGGTCACACCTGTAATCCCAGCACTTTGGGAGGCTGAGGTGGGCAGATCACCTGAGGTCAGGAGTTTGAGACCAGCCTGGCCAACATGGTGAAAACTGGTCTCTACTAAAAACACAAAAATCCAGGTGTGCCGGCAGGTGCCTGTAGTCCCAGCTACTCGGGAGGCTAAGGCAGAAGAATCGCTTGAACCCAGGAGGTGGAGGTTGCAGTGAGCCAAGATTGTGCCACTGTACTCCAGCCTGGATGACAAGTGCAAAACTTCATCTAAAAAAAAAAAAAAAAATTACAACGCAGCCATAAAAAAGGACACAATCATATCCTTTGCAGCAACATGGATGCAGCTGGAGGCCATTATACTAACCAAATTAATGCAGGAACAGAAAACCAAACACCATGTGTTCTCAGTTGTAAGTGGGAGCTAAACTGGGTACTCATGGACATAAAGATGGGAACAATACACACTGGGGACTACCAGTCAGGGAGGGAGGAAGGCAAGAGTTGAAAAACTAACTGTTGAGTGCTGTGCTCACCACTTGGGTGATGGAATGAATTGTAACCCAAATCTCAGCATCACGCACATACCCATGTAACAAACCTGCACATGTACCCCCTTGAATCCAAAATAAAAGTTGAAATCATTTAAAAAAAGACATTTAAAAAATCAAAAATCGCATTTCACGTAAAATGTTTCCCATAGCCCTCAGTTGGAGCCAGCTGCAGATTGGACATTTGGGAAGGGACAAAGGGCAAGCTCGGCTGCTTCTGTTTCCTGATGTATTCATTTGCTAGGGCTGCTGTCACGATGCACCACAATCTGGCTGGCTTAAGCAACAGAAATGTATTGTCTCACCATTCTAGAGGCTTGAAGTCCAAGACCAAGAGGGCAGCACACTTGTGTTCTTCTGAGGGCTGTGAGGAAGCATCTGTTCCATGCCTCTTCCTTAGCTTGTGGAGTTTGCTGGCAATCTTTGGCATTCCTTGGCTTGTACACGCATCACCCCAATCTCTGTCTTCACCTGACATTCTCCCTGTGTGCATGTCTCTGTGTCCAAATTTCTCCTTTTCGACATCCTATTGGGTTAGGGTGCACCCTAATGACTTCCTTGTCGTTTGCTTGGACTCTATAAAGACCCTATAAAGACCTTATTTCAAATAAGGTTACAATCTGAGGTACTAGATATTAGGATTTCAACATATCACTTTGTGGGGATACGATTCAACTCATTGCACCTGCCTAACCAGCTACTCCTAGCCTTCCATGTGGAGGATGAACATGTAATTTATCATCCAGAATGGGACCCTCTTGAGATTGAAAGAGGGTGCTATTAATAATTACCTCAGGACTGCAGATGTAAATCAGAAGTGTCCTGGGCAGGTCGGGTATGGTGGCTTACGCCTGTAATCCCAGCACTTTGGGAGGCCGAGGCAGGTGGATCACTTGAGGTCAGGAGTTCAAGACCACTCTGGCCAACATGGTGAAACCCTGTCTTTACAAAAATACAAAAAAAAATTAGCTGGCTGTGGTGGTGCATGCCTGTAGTCCCAGCTGCTTGGGAGGCTGAGGCAGGAGAATCCCTTGGACCCAGGAAGTGGAGGTTGCAGTGAGCCAAGATCACGCCACTGCACTCCAACCTGGGTGACAGAGCGAGACTCTGTCTCAAAAAAACAAAAAAGTGTCCTGGGCAAACTGGGGCATATGGTCACCCTGCCCATGAAGCATCAGATCTAGTGGAGGTAGAGAGTGGGGTGTAGGCTAGAGAGTAGTTAGGGGGGCCAGGAAAGTGTTGAGTTGACCAACATTGCCATGATAGATGCTGGCGCTTGCTGGGCTTGGCAGATGTTTATGGCTGGCTCGCTCCTTCATGGGGCATTGGAAAGGTCTCACCTGTAATTCACTGAATTTAGGCAAATGTCTCTCTATTCCAGCTGGTGGCTTAAGAATTTCCTTTACAACCCAGAGTATCTAGTTTATCTTATTTCTGCTGACTTCTCCTCATCCCACCAGAAGGTCTCCATGGAAAAGATCTAAGGCAGCTCTACCTCAGTTCTCTTTGGCAGGCCATCCACATATGGTCCCCTGGGACAAGGAATACTTCCCCCACAAACCATGGGCACAGGATGACCCCAACATGGCAATGTCTCTTTGTTCGTTAGTTGGAACAGTTAGCCAGCCCTGGTACCACACATTTTATTTTGTCTTTTTATTTTTTTAGAGACAGTTTAACTCTTTCAGTGGCACGATTGTAGCTCACTGTACAGCTACAGTGACTGAGCCCTTGGGCTTAAGCAGTCCTCTTGCCTCAGCCTCTAGAGTAGCTAGGACTACAGGCGCGTGCCACCACGCCTGGCTAATTTTATTTCTTAAAATTCTTTTGTAGAGACAAGGCCTCACTGTGTTGTGCAGGCTGGTCTCCAACTCCTGGCCTCAAGCAATTCTCCAGCCTCAGTCTCTCAAAATGCTGGGATTGCAGCGACTGTGTTTGGCCTGCAACTTTTAGATTGCTCAGACAGGAGTCTACTGTGTCCGCAGCCCCTGTGAGTGATTCCTTTATAGCCCCTTTTTCTAGGTTTGAGATGACAGGCTGGCACCCCCCCTCCCCGCCCCCCACCCTTCTCATTGTTGGGGGGAAGGTGGGGAAAGGATCCACTCATCATCAACTCCTTCCAAATCCTGTCTTTTCCTGTAGTGTTCCTCTTTTGACCCTTTTCATACCCTCAGTGGGGGCGAAGGGCTCAGCATGTCAAAGCCAACCCTTCTGCAAGCCCTGCATGAGGATCTCACACATCTCGCTGACATGTGACATCTGTCTCTGTGCTTCAGCCAAGAGCAGAACAAAATGCTTCCATTCCAACCCTCCCTTACTGGGTATCATTATTAAGCTCGAAGCGAGGCCCTGTGAAGGTAGGGATTGTCTTACTCAACGCGGCATCCCCAGTGTCCCAGGACCGACCCCTGGCAGGGGGCCTGTAAATGTCTCCCAATGAATGGAAGAATGGCTGGTTTCCAGTCTGAGACATGTGGACTCCTCTCCTTTGACAACGCTTCAGTTTGATTTTATGAACCCCCTAAAGCAATCTTTGATAATGGAATAAAGAGACAGGCCTAGAAAAGCGAGCTGTAAATGAACTCCAGCCCAGCTTCGGAGGGGACGCATGTGACTCCCCGCACCACCCCCCACCCCCGCCCCCCGCTGCCTAGGGAAGGTGGCAGGTCAGGCGGAGCTGACACGCGCCCCAGCCTGGGCTCCCCGTGGGCTCCGCGCCTGCGCGCCGCCTTTTGGTTCCAGCTGGTGGTCGCGGGGCGCACTGCAGGGGCTTCTGCCGGCAGGAGGACGCGGGAGCAGCGCTCTGACGCGCAGCGGGGTTGTCTGGGGATGCTCGCCGAGGTTTTCATCCGTTGCCAAGTCAAGTTCAAAGCCAGGCTGGAAGCTTTCAGGATAGACACATCCGTCCAAAACACCCTTGGCGTTGACAAGGCCGAGGCAGGCGGTCTGCTCTGCCGATGTGCTAGGGGAAAACGGATTCAGAGCGTCCAAATAAAACGCTGTTGATAACATCGGGTTCTTCACGCTGCTCTGGGGCCAAAAATAAGCTATGGAATACAAGCACTGGAATAGATCTTTCAGATTTTTTTTTTTAGGAGTTCATTATTATTTTAATGGTTGCTTGTACGAGAAAATAAAGGCATTTGGGGAAATAAATTTTGATACGAGAGGGTGTTTTTGCTTTGTTTTGTTTTTTTGAGATGGAGTTTCCCTCTCGCTCTTGTTGCCCAGGCTGGAGGGCAGTGACACCGTCTTGGCTCACTGCAACCTCCGCCTCCTGGGTTCATGCGATTCTCCTGCCTCAGCCTCCCAAGTAGCTGGGATTACAGTTATGCACCATCACGCTCAGCTAATTTTGTATTTTTAGTAGAGACGGGGTTTCACGATGTTGGTCAGGCGGGTGTCGAACTCCTGACCTCCCATGAAAGGGTTTTTATTTTTACTTTTTAAATTTTTAGTAGGGACAGGGTGAGCTATGTTGCCCAGGCTGGTCATGAACTCCTGAGCTCAAGCAGTCCTCCTGCCTCAGCCTCCCACAGTACTGGAATTACATGCATGAGCCACCATGCCCAGCCTCAAAAGATATTTTTATTTTTATTTTTAAATACAGACACGATCTTGCTATGTTCCCCAGGCTGGTCTTGAACTCCTGGGCTCAAGCAATCTTCCTGCCTCAGCCTCCCAAAGTGCTGGAATTACAGGTGTGAATCACCACCCCTGGCCTCAAGAGGTATTTTTAAATAAAACGCCTTTTATAACATGTAATAGAAGTGGTGTCTGATTGTTGTAAATGCATGGAAGAGCCCAGATGTGTATAATGTAGACGATACAAATTGTCATCCCCTTCCTTACCCTGTGGCGTCACTCCCTAGAGGTAATCACTGTTGACAATTTAATGAATTTCTCTTCATAAAAATAATGACAATAATAGCAAGAAATGGATCAAGTACTCATTTTTGTGTCAGGAACTGTGCTTTTATCCTTTCTTTGTGGTAGATACTTTTTCTTCGCCCCAAGACGGAGCTTCACTCCGTCGCCCAGGCTGGAGTGCAGTGGCGCGATCTTGGATTATTGCAACCTCCACCTCCTGAGTTCAAGCGATTCTCCTGCCTCAGCCTCCTGAGTAGCTGGGACTATAGGTGCACACCACCGCACCCGGCTAATTTTTGCATTTTTTAAGTAAAGACGGGGTTTCACCACATTGGACAGGCTGGTCTCAAACCCATGACCTCGTGACCTGCCCACCTCGACTTCCCAAAGTGCTGGGATTACAGGCGTGAGCTACCGCTCCCGGCCTGTGGTGGATACTTTTAATACTCCTGCTCTGCAGATGTAAAACCCAAGGCTTAGGGCAAGTGGGTAAATTCCTGAGGTGGTATTGCCTTTCATACATTTTTCTCATATACAAAAATATATTATGTGAGTACATCTATATGTGTTTATATATACTTCAAATTAATGAGATTTTCTAAAATGAAGTTAACTATAATGTACTGTTGTGAAACTTGCCATTTGCACTGAATATAATGTAGGCACCTTTATGTAACAATTTATGATTGTGTTTCATTCCACTGAGCAAGATGATCTCTATAAACTTCAGTCTCCCTGCAGTTTCCCTGTTATTATCAGCGTGAAAGTTAATCTGTGTATGTGAAGTACCAGGCTGGCACATAGTAGGTTCTCAAGAAATTACAACTATTAACATTACAATTAGCATTTACTAGTTAATGTGCAGGTGAATCACCACTGAAAGATATGCTTTTTGTTTGTTTTAATTTAATGTGATTGTCCTAATGCAAGTAAAATCCGCTGGTTTCAAACCATCTGCCAGCTGTCTCTGGATGTGTTACTTTGAGAGTTTGGTTACTGTGGGCTCAAAGAGAAAAGAGAAAAAATAGACAGCTGGGAATGAATGTTTAAGGAACTGTCTAATGAGGCTTAGAAAAGCAAACAGAAAATGCAAAAACAAGTGAAATCCTGAGAAGAAATCTGACAACAGGAGATCAAGTCTGAAGGCCTTTGCCCCATCTATATCCCTTGAGATCATTTCCTGGCTCTAGATGAGGTGTACTCAGAGCCCATCATCTTAGTGAGCCTTTAGTGAGAAGCTCTCTCAAGAGAGCTCAGTTGCCAACCTGGAATAGTAACGGACATGCTCATTTTTTGTTAAATCTCTAGAGTACTACTGCCTAATAAATTAGTAAATTGCAGTTTGTTCCAATAGCAGACGTTGCAAATGGAAACCACTAATTTTTTTTTTTTTTTTTTTTTGAGACAGAGTTTCACTCTTTTTGCCCCGGCTGGAGTGCAATAGCATGATCTCGGCTCACTGTAACCTCCACCTCCTGGGTTCAAGTGATTCTCCTGCCTCAGCCTCCAGAGTAGCTGGGATTACAGGCATGCTTCAGCACGCCCGGCTAATTGAAACCACTAATTTTTAAGCTCAAACAGAGGTTTCCATCATTACAAGAGGCAGGGATTCTGGATGCTTCTAAGTAGAAAATAAATTTGACTTTTTTTTTTTTTTTTTTTTGAGACAAGGTCTTGCTCTGTTGCCCATGCTGGAGTACAGTGGTGCCATCTCGCTTCACTGCAATTTCTGCCTCCCGGGCTCAAGCGATCCTCCTGCGGCTGGGACTATAGGCGTGTGCCACCACGCCCAGGTAATTTTTTTGTTTTTGGTAGAGAAGGGGTTTTGCCATGTTCCCCAGGCTGGTCTCGAACTCCTGAGCTCAAGTAATCCACCCACCTCAGCCTCCCAAAGTGTTGGGATTACAGGTCTGAGCCACCACACCTGGCCAAATTCAATATATCCTGCTAATTTCTTCTAGCTTCTGCTAAAATTAAACAACAAACTTGGAATCCTTTGAAATTGTAGTTTTGTTTAACTAACATTTATTGAGCACCTACTATGTGCCAGGTAGCGTTCTAGAGGCTTGTGATATCAGAGAACAAAACGGAAACAAAACAAAAAACCCTTAGAGTTTCTACCGTAGTGGTCTGAAGTTCAAATGGCCAGGAAAACAACAGTTCCTGATGACCTGTTTTCAGCAACACAACCTTTCTGTGGCATACATAGTAATTTAATAAAAATAATAATTCCTTATGCTGATTTAACCAGTATGGATTGCCTCATGATCCCTGGGCTAGTAGAAATTTTATGTCTTTGTTTTTGAAATTGAATTAGAACCAGCTCACAGCCCCACATATTAGGATTAGAAGGGAGTCTGTTATTTGTCTCTCAGGACGTTCTCCCTACCTAGGTACGTCAGGAATCCTGAGGGGACCTCAGAATCCAGGAAGGATGTCTGCTAGGCTTCCCCCAGGAAGGGTGCTGGTCCCCCAGTCCAGGGTTTACTAGGGCTCTAATGTTCCAAACTTCTACTCAGTGTCATTGCCAGAAATTAGTCACCCGCTCATTACAGGTGTGATCCAAAATATTTAACCATCAGTATATCACAGGTGCCAACCAGTCAGAAGACAAGCCAGCCATAGTGCTGGTGTGGGGTCCTGGTACCTCCACTGTGCCTGACATTAACCTTTCATCACTGGATCATAGGATATAGGGAGGAAGGAAACATGTGAGTAGCCAGGATAGAGGGGCCACTCAGGAAAGGAAGGATTGAGGCAATGGTTATTGACCAATCATCACAAAAGTTTTTAACCATTACGAAAGTATTTAAGTATGTTGACTAACCATATAGCCACACCTTTGTGTATTGGTAAATACTAGCCCTGCCACAGCTTGCCTATGAAGTGGGGCTGCTGGCTGTGGGAGTGGGTGCTTGCTTGCCCAATTCCCTGCTCTAGACAGTAGGCCCTTTGAAGAAAGGGGGATCATGTCTGTTCCTTTCCTTTCATGGCAATTTGGACCCAAACAGCTCTTCACTATACCCCACAATCTTTTTTTAGAGACAGGGTCTCACTCTGTCACCCAGGCTGGAGTGCAGGGGCATAATCATACCTCCCTGCAGCCTCAAATTCCTGGGCTTAAGCAATCCTCCCCTGTCTCAGCCTCCTGAGTAGCTAGGACTACAGACAACCGCTACCACACTCGGTGAATTTTTTAATTTTTAATTTTTTTTTTTTTTTTTGAGATGGAGTCTCACTCTGTCACCTAGGCTGGAGTGCAATGGTGTGGTCTCAGCTCACTGCAACCTCCACCTCCTGGGTTCGAGCGATTCTCCCACCTTAGCCTCCAGAGTAGCTGGGACTACACCTAACTAATTTTTGTATTTTTACATGCCACCACATCTGACTAATTTTTGTATTTTTAGTAGAGACGGGGTTTCACTATGTTGGCCAGGCTGGTCTCAAACTCCTGACCTCATGATCCGCCCGCCTCGGCCTCCCAAAGTGCTGGGATTACAGGCGTGAGCCACTGCTCCCAGCCAATTTTTAATTTTTTTAGAGACAAAAATCTTGCTATGTTGCCCAGGCTGGTCTTGAACTCCTGGCCCAAGTGATCTTCCTGCCTCAGTTTCCCAAAGTGCTGGGATTATAGGCATGAGCCACTGCACCCAGCCCACTCTATAATCTTTGAACCCAGCCTTCACAGACATCTCTGCAGACATCCTCCCATGAGGCCAATCCCTCCTTAAAGGGACTGCCCCTGTGTGGGCTCAGTAGGAATCTGTCCCCTGACGGAAATGACAGCACTTGCCAGCTTCTCCTTTAAGTTCTTGGATATAAAAGCCTGATCCCACTCCAGCTTTCTAGGTAATGGCATAGACTCCACTCCTTCTAAGAATGGCTGTTCTAAAGTCCTTTAGGCACAGGGTATGCCTATGTCCTATACACACACAGTACACCCATTTAAGAAAGTTACCTGTATTACAGTGGCTCTCAGTCTTCAACGTGCACACAGGTCACCTGAGGGAACTATTAGAATGAAAAGTTCCAGGGATTCACCCCTAGAGATTCTAGTTAGTTAGGTATCCAGTGGGACACAGGTTTTAAACAAGATCTCCCTTCAACAGGTGGATCTAATGCAGATGGTCAGAGGGAAACAAACAGCAGGTGATTATTAGCAGAGATTTCAGCTCTATTTGTAAGTCACTTTGTGTTTGCAAAGTAATGACAGAGGCGTTGCCCTCTCCAAAGCCCTAAGTCAATTATAAACCATAACTTTGGTTGTTATATTTCACTCTGTTAATCTGTTTTCCTTAAGTCATCCACAGCAAACATGGCCAGATATTCCTTTTAAGATTGGAGATACCTTAAGGTTATCTCAAAGATATAAGGGAATTAGAGGTAGCATGGTACATTTCCCCAGCCGTGCAGTCCCATTGCCTCCTAGTGATTGTTTGATCTCTAGGAGTGATGGATTCAGAGTGAAAATGGCAGTTGGAAATGTTAACCTTTTAGTCCCTCTGTATGGCTAAAATTGTGAACACATGGGGCAGATATTATCTTTATTTTTTGTTTGTCTAGAGGCAGCCTCACCCCCTGCCCTTCAAGCGTCCCCTTGACATTTTCTATGCGTGCCCTTTTCCTCTGCTTTAGTTGTTGTGAACTTTGTCAGCATTCAAGACTGCGGCTCCCATGTGATAGTCCCTGAGATCACATGTAAAGGAATACCTATCCTAACCGTTAGAAGCCACTGAAATGAATCTGGTGGCTGACGGTCTTCCTTACATGCCACCCTGAACTTTCTTGTTGGGGATGCAAGGCAGGACCAGAATGAGGCCACCTTACGTGACTCTTTTTTTTTTTTTTGCGACAGACTCGGCTTTGTTACCCAAGCTAGAGTGCAATGGCACAATCTCGGCTCACAGCAACCTCCGCCTCCTGGGTTAGAGCACTTCTCATGCCTCAGCCTCCTGAGTAGCTGGGACTACAGGCATGTGCCACTATGTCCAGCTAATTATTATTATTTATTTTTTGGAGACATGGGGTTTCCCTATATTGGCCAGACTGGTCTCGACCACCTGGCCTCAAGTGATCCGCCCACCTCGGCCTCCCAAAGTGCGGGGATTACAGACGCGAGCCACTGTGCCTGGCTACATCACTCTTGTTCTAAGGAATTCGTTTAAAAATGTACAGCTCACAGAAAGTTAATAATAAAGACATTACTGTTAGCAAGGAACTTTCATCTCTGTCACCCCCTTCCCTCTCATTTCCCATATATGACATAGACCTCCTGTTCCTATGAGGAAACTTCCTCTAAAGCAAAGTTCTCAACCCTGTTGGGGCACTGAGGTACATTTGAAAATATGTGGAGGCGATTTTGGTTGTTAAGTGACAGGCCCACCATTCAGGGATACTGAAGAGTTTACAATGCATACAACAGTCCAACCGAGACCTGTCCTACCCACCATACTAAGAGCAACCATTAAACACCCCACTCGGCTGTCATTCCTGCCTCAGATCTTCTTTCCTCCCAGCCGCAGGAAAGGAGTAACTTCTCTAATTGGTGTCTTTGGGAGAAGGAATGAGCGGAGCAGCTCAGCCCCTACCGGGATGTGTTCTTTGGAATCTGGCAACCCAAAGAGAGGGTGAACTAGGGCCTGCTCTTTGCTGGATGGTCAGCTGCCCAGGTAGGCTCTGCCCTGTTGGGAAGACCTGAAATCCATCTATACCAGACGCTGGTGGGAAAATCTATTAATGGTAGTGGAGTGTTACCAAGCCCTTTGGATCACAGTTCTGAAGTCATGTTTCCAGTCCCTTTTATCAGTGACAGAGATGACATTTTCATTTCCATTTGTTTGTCTCCCATATCTTATTTACCAATTGTTTTGAACTGGGAAGGGAATCAAGGAATGCTATTTAATTGGCTCCAACATGTAAAAAAAAGTTTGAGAGTAAAGAGAAAATATCACTGTATGTAAATGTTAGTGACTCTAGATTTTCCAGTGATTTTAAATTTTTAAAATATGTCATAACCACTTAGATTTATGTTATTCATATGGATTTCAGGACATCAAAATGGTATTTTTATTTTTTTAATTATGCCTAGTTTAACTACAAAACAGACTTGAGGCTGCTTTTAAAGAATGCATACAATTTCATCAGATTTTCTTTCTTACTTAAAAATATAATGGAGTAGGAAAAACAAGGCTCCAATAATAAGATAAAGCCAATAAAGTATTAGTACACTAAAATGCATGCTCTTCAGTCTTCCACATTTATTAAAAGTAGTGGCGAGCTAAACACTAAACTTCCTGGTGGACAAAGGAAAATGGAAAACACAATTATTTTCAAGAGTAACTGGCCAGGCGCCGTGGCTCACGCCTGTAATCCCAGCACTTTGGGAGGCTGAGGCGGGCAGATCACCAGAGGTCAGGAGTTTGAGGCCAGCCCGGCCAACATGGTGAAACCCCGTCTCTACTAAAAATACAAAAATTAGCCAGGCATGGTGGTGGGCGCCTGTAATGCCAGCTACGCAGGAGGCTGAGGCGGGAGAATGGCTGGAACCCAGGAGGCGGAGTCTGTAGTGAGCATGATCATGCCACTGCACTCCAGCCTGGGTGACAGAATGAGACTCTGTCTCAAAAAAAATAAAATAAAATAAAAGAGTAACTTTGCCCATTGAATGTAAGATTAAAATAGATTTTAACTAATTATATATCAGTGTACCAGTCCTCAGGAGAAAGTCAAGGGGTATTGGCTAATATAATGTATATAGCTCCAAAAACATCCCTAAAGAAAATGTAACAGCGAGTTGGCTTCAGCTGTTTCTTATGGGTTCCTTCAATGCAAGCCATGAGGATCATGCCAAAGCATAATTTAATAAAAGGGCTCCTTCAGGGACCAAAACAATCCAAGAAAATTGCCCTCTGACGGTCTGGCTTGATGTCCAAACCTACAAGATCTAGATTGTTTTGCCTTTTACACACATTTTTGAATAGCAGCTATTATTTCCTGTATATGATAAATGATTAGATTCTATTCTGCCAATACCCCATCATCCATACTAATAAGGTAATGCAAAGACATAAATCATTCCAAATATTGGGCTTTAAAACATTATTAACCAGCACTAGAAAATCTTAATGCTTTTGGCTTTGGATTGCACTGCTTAAGTTTTTTTTTCCAACAGAAGCAACTTACTTCCTCTATTATATTTTTCTTGGTAGTCTAAATCCCCAATGGGTCTGGAAGAATTTCCACTGGAATAAGGCAATAAGTCATTATAACTTTTATTTATATTTAGTAAAAAGAAGTTAAAAAAAGAAAAAAATGGAAAATAACAAATAAACAAAGCTTTCCCCTCGCTCAGTACCCAAATGACCATATAGCATGTGTGGTATAGGTGGTACTCAGAGAGAGTTCCACAATGCTTAAGGAATTGAAAATGCAACCTTTTTGTTGTTGTTGTTGCTGCTGGTGTTCGTCTGCTGTGTCAGACACTTCTTGAGCACCTCTTCAAAATTTCCTTGGCCCACTAAGTGTAGGGAGTCAGCTCCAGCCACTGCTGTGGGACCAGTATCATGCTGGCACTAACATGGGCCTCACTGTACATCTCACTCTTCTGCTCTGGGACTTGGGAATCCCCTTTGAGTAAACCAGAAGAGCAGGAGTGTTTACGCTCTTGAAGCCATTCTTGACAATTGGGACGCAGGAGCTGATGGATAAATGCTTCTTTTTTGTCCTACAGACACATATTTCCGAAATGAACTCTGTGAGGCTCCCCAAAATATTCTAGTGAGATGCCCCTTAGCTGGGGTCATGGAGGGGCAACTTGGAAACAGGTTCTTGTACGGGTTTTCCCTCCTTCCCTGTTTCACTCCCCGGCCCTGCATTTTTATTCCTTGTGACCATATTCCCAAATGAACTATCTGCAAAGAAGACTTTACACTGGGCTGCACTTTGGGGGTAACCCAGCTAGATATCTGCTTTGGTCATACTTTACTGTGTTCCCATGTATGTGGATTTACAGACTCTATTCTTCAATTTTAATGAAATTAACTTTCATATAAAGCAAAATGAACCTCTGAAGATTCCCACAGCAAAGCTGCTTATTGAAGATAAACCAGGAATGTAAGCACAAGATGATAACAAGAAAATCACAAAGCTGATTCTGCTCTTACTCAAAGGATGAATTCCACATGAGCTACAGAGAAGAAGAAATAACTTTTGTAGCCTTAACAATAAATTAAAATAAGTTTTAAATATTTTTATCTTTATTTTATTCTTTTAAAATTCCATTTAAAAAAATAAATTCCAGGTCAGGCGTGGTGGCTCAAGCATATAATCCCAGTGCTTTGGGAGGCTGAGGTGGGAGGATCACTTGAGCCCAAGAGTTTGAGACCAGCCTGGGCAATGTGGCGAAGTCCTATCTCTGCAAAAAATACAGAAATTAGCCAGGCTTGGCAGCTTGTGCCTATAGCCCCAGCTACTTGGGAGGCTGAGGTGGGGAAATCACCTGAACCCAGGAGTTGAAGGCTGCAGGGAGCTGTGATCATGCCATTGCACTCTGGCATGGGCAACAGGAACCCTATCTCAAAAAACAAACAAAAAGCAAAGAAAATAAATTCCATATATTCTTAAAGTTCACAATGAGTGGAGTAGTCCATATATAATGTCTAGATAAGTGAATATGCATATATGAGGAGCATGCACTCAAAATTTTTTACTGATTGGAGATCACTGGTCCAAATAAATTCAGGCTGATCCGAGTGCAATGGTGTTTACAACTAATCGATCACAACCAGTTACAGATATCTTTGTTCCTTCTCCATTCCCATTGCTCTGCTTGACTAGCCTTAAAACATATATAAAAAGTAAATAAAAATTTAAAAAAAAAATTTTAATTCAAATGATCTTACCTTTCCAGTTTCCTTATCAGCTTTGATTGGATATAATAGGAGGTGAGCAAAACTGAGTCATTCATAAAAGTTTCCCTCAATAATCCACACTGATAAACAGAGCAGATTCATTGATAGACAAATAATTTCTTTTATTTTGCATATCTTTAAAAAAATGCTTTTTGTAGAGACAGTGAGCTGTGATGACACCACAGCACTCCAGCTTGGGTAACAGAGTGAGACTCTGTCTCAAAAAAAACCTCAAAAATAAATAATAAATAAATATAAAAATATTTATCAGTGTACCTCTAACATTGCCTTTAGTAAACAAAAGGTAAAATCATAAAGCTTTTGGAGGCAAATATAGAAGAATATCTTCAGGACTCAAGAGTAAGCAAGGGTTTCTAAGGTTCAGAAGGCAAAATCACAAAAGAAACATTTGATAAATCGAAATTTCTTTAAACTAAAAACTTCTCATCAAAAGCCAATTAAGAAAATGAACAGGTGGCTGGGTGCGGTGGCTCTCGCCTGTAATCCCAGCACTTTGGGAGGCCGAGGCAAGTGGATCACTTGAGTCCAGGAGTTCAAGTCCAGCCTAGCCAACATGGCGAAATCCTGTCTCTACAAAAAATACAAAAGTTAGCCAGGTGTGGTGGCACATGCCTGTGGTCCCAGCTACTGGTGAGGCTGAGGCACAAGAATCGCTTGAACTTAGGAGGTGGAGGTTGCAGTGAGCCAAGATTGAGCCATTGTACTCCAGCCTGGGCAACAGAGACTCTGTCTCAAAAAAAAAAAAAAAAGAAAACAAAAGAAAAGAAAATTCAGAGGCAAGCTACAGACTGGGAGAAAATATTTGCAAAACATACCCGTGACTAAGGACTTACATCTAGGATATATAAGTAATTCAATAATAAAAAGACAACTAATCCAATTTTTAAAGGGCAGAAGTAACATTTCATAAAAGATATAAAAATAGACAATAGATCAGGCCTGGTGGCTCATGCCTGTAATCCCAGCACTACGGGAGGCCAATGTGGGTGGGTCACTTGAGGTCAGGAGTTCAAGACCAGCCTGGCCAAGATGGTGAAACCCCATTTCTTCTAAAAATACAAAAAAAAAAAGAAAAAAAATAGCCAGGTATGGTGGTAGGTGCCTGTAGTCCCAGCTACTCGAGAGGCTAAGTCAGGAGAATTGCTTGAACCCGGAGGTGGAGGTTGCAGTAAGATGAGATGGCGCCACTGCAAGTCAGCCTGGGTGACAGAGGGAGACTCCGTCTCAAAAAAAAAAAAAAAAAAAGTCAATAAACACATAAAAACATTGAGCGATTTATTCATTCATTCTACAAACATTCACTGAGTATTATACACCAGGAGCTGGGAGCAGTTTTCGTGTGGGAAGGGGAGGGTACATGCTGTTGAGCTGGACTTCAGGAACTGGGGTAAGAGTTAGGAAAAAGAGGAGGGGCACACCCTCATACCCACAGATCCATTAAGTCTAATAGGGTCTTGGCTGGGTCTCTCTGAGAGTGTGGACCTGCGTCCCTCCCTCCCCTTTGGGAGGTGGCAAGGGATAGAAAGCCCCTCATCTCTCAGCCTGCCTGAGCAGGGACTGGTATGTCTTCTAAAGGCAAAGTGACTTTGACCCTGGGTTGCCGCCAGCACAACCAAGGAGGTGGTTGGACAGCTGGAGGATGAACAGAGAAGCCCATCCCCCACTGACCTGGAAATGGCCGCCTTCAAAGGCCAAGACCACCGGTCCCAGGAAGACATGCTGACTTTGCTGGAATGCATAAAGAATAACCTTCCAACCAACAGCAGTTACAAGTTCAAAACCACCTAATCACGTATGGGGACAAAGTAGCATTTAAAGATTTCTGGAGACACAACAAGTTCAATGGGTAGAGATTTCTTTTTTCTTCTTCTTTTCCTTCTCCTTCTTCTTCTTTTTGGCTTTGTTTTGTCTTCTAGACAGGATCTCTTTCTATCACCCAGGCTGGAGTGGACTGGTGTGATCATAGCTGACTGCAGCCTCAAACTCCTGGGCTCATGCAATTTTCCTGCCTCAGTTTCTTAAGTAGCTAGGCCCACAGGTGTGAGTCATCACACTGGGCTAATTAAAAAAAATTTTTTTTTGTAGAGTTGGGGTCAGAAATGGGTGTTGGCCAGGCTAGTCTCAAACTCCCAGCCTTAAGCAATCCTCCCACCTTGGCCTTCCAAAGTACTGGGATTACAGGTATGAGCCACTGTGCCTGGCCCAAATGGGTGAAAATTTCTGACAAGGTGAGGAAGTTGTGCACTTTGACAGAATTGATCCTCAATGCCAGAAACATGTTAAAAATCCTTAAAAAGGTTAAACACAAAAAACTCAAACAACACCCAGACTTCCCAAAGAAGTCCCTGATCCCTCATTTCCACTTCCTCATGGAGAAGCAGGCCAAGTGTGCAAAACTCCACCCTGAGATAAGTAACCTGGACTTCACAAAGATTCTGTCCAAGAAATAAAAGGAGCTTCCTGAGAAGATGAAAATGAAATATATTCAGGACTTTCCAAGGGAGAAACAGAGTTTGAGTGAAACCTGGCTCATTTCAGGAAGGATCATCCCAACTTAATCAAGAATGCCAAGAAGCCAGACATCCCCAAGAAGCTCAACTCCCCCACCCAGCAGCTGTGGTACACCCATCGGAAGAAGGACTTTAGTGTATGTGTGTTTTCGGGGTTTTGTTTTGAGACGAGGTCTCATTCTGTCACCCAGGCTGGAGTGTGGCAGTGCAATCACGGCTCACTGTAGCCTCAACCTCCCGGGCTCAAGCGGTCCTCCCACCTCAGCCTCCCAAGTAGTTGGGACTACAGGCACGCACCACCACACCCAGCTAATTTTTAAACATTTTGTATAGAGACAGGATTTCACTATGTTGCTCAGGCTGGTCTAGAATCCTGGGCTCAAGCGATCCACCCACCTTGGCCCCCCAAAGTGCTGAGCTTACAGGCATGATCCACTGTGCCCGGCCAAGAAGGTGTATTTTAAAGTGTGGCCAGATGCCCCTACAAAGGAGGCGAAGAACTTTCTGGGGAAGTAGTGGTCTCAGCTCTCAGACAGACAAAAAAAAAAAAAAAAAAAAAGGCTGAAATGGATTCTTGAGGCTCCAGGAGCAGTGGAAGTAGTACAAGGAGATCATGCAGACCTATATCCAGGAGCGCCCTGAGCCGAACATCACTGAGGAGGGCCCCACCGAGTCCACCCCTGCCAAGGCTGAACACCAGCTCAAGGACAAATTTGATGATGGGCGACCCAACAAGCCACCTCGGAACAGCTACTCACTGTAGTGCGCAGAGCTCATGGCCAACAAGAAGGATGTTCCCAGCGCGGAGCGCATGATATGCCGTGTGGCCAGCAGTGGAAGCTGCTCTCCCGGAAGGAGAAGGACGCCTATGTGCGACCAGGAAACAAAAGATTATGAGGCGGAACTGCTGCGTTTTTCTCAGGAGACTGCCCCAGGAGGAGCAGCAGCAGGTCCTGTGGGAGGAGAGGGTGCTGAACATCAACAAGAAGCAAGCCACCTGCCCGGCCTCCAAGAAGCCTGTGGGGAAAAGAAGGATCAGATTGTTACTGTGTCTGTGTAGAAAGAAGTAGACATAGGAGACTCCATTTTGTTCTGTACTAAGAAAAATTCTTCTGCCTTGAGATGCTGTTAATCTGTAACCCTACCCCCAACCCTGTGCTCCCTGAAACATGTGCTGTGTCCACTCAGGGTTAAATGGATGAAGGGCTGTGCAGGGTGTGCTTTGTTAAACAAATGCTTGAAGGCAGCATGCTGGTTAAGAGTCATCACCACTCCCTAATCTCAAGTACCCAGAGACACAAAACACTGCGGAAGGCCGCAGGGACCTCTGTCTAGAAAAGCCAGGTATTGTCCAAGGTTTCTCCCCATGTGATAGTCTGAAATATGGCCTCGTGGGAAGGGAAAGACCTGACCTTCCCCCAGCCCAACACCCGTAAAGGGTCTGTGCTGAGGAGGATTAGTAAAAGAGGAAGGAACGCTTCTTTGCAGTTGAGATAAGAGGAAGGCTTCTGTCTCCTGTTCGTCCTGGGCAATGGAATGTCTCGGTGTAAAGCCGATTGTATATTCCATCTACTGAGATAGGGCTGGAGGTGGGACATGCTGGCAGCAATACTGCTCCTTAAGGCATTGAGATGTTTATGTATATGCACATCAAAAGCACAGCACTTTTTTCTTTACCTTGTCTATGATGCAGAGACATTTGTTCACGTGTTTACCTTCTGACCTTCTCTCCACTATTATCCTATTATCCTGCCACGCCTGATAACGATCAATAAATACTAAGGGAACTCAGAGGCCAGTTCGCGCGTGGATCCTCCGTATGCTGAACGCTGGTCCCCTGGGCCCCCTTTTTCTTTCTCTATACTTTGTCTCTGCGTCTCTTTCTTTTCCAAGTCTCTCGTTCCACCTAACGAGAAACACCCACAGGTGTGGAGGGGCAAACCACCCCTTCAGAAGCCAGCCCAGGAAGAGGGTAAGGAAGCCTCTGAGAAGCCCACGCGGCTTCTCGGTGGATGGAAATTGGCAGCCATCTCCTGGACTCAGAAGGAGCACTACAAAAGCTGGCCAATGGGCAGCAAAAGCGTATAAGGTGCACCTGGACCCCTGGGTTAAGGATCTCTGTCCCCCAGTGGGAAAGGGGCAGCAGCTGCAGGAGGAGCAGCCTAGGTTCTTGGAGATCGAGCTGGCCTGCACGCTGGCCCGAAGGTGGAGTGACTTGTCTGAGAAGGCCAAGTACAAGACCCGAGAGCAAGCCAGGCAGGGAGTGCCAGGAACTCAGCAAGCCGCCCAAGTCATCAAGAGAGTACAGATCTGGCAACAGAGCATCATCAGCAACTACCTGGCCTGCTTCAAGAACGACCGGGTGAAGGCCTCGAAAGCCATGGATGTGACCTGGAATCCCAAGGAGGAGAACCTGATGTGAATTGAGAAGACAGCCAAAGACCAAAAGTGATGAGAGAGAGCTGAGTGCGATGTGGGCACTTCCAGCTGCTACAGAGTCTTCCAAGATGATGAAATTCCAGGGAGGAAGCAAGAAGCCTTGTGAACCGGTATCAGAAATTCTTCCAGGAACTGCTGTGCAATGGGAGCTGAAACACCTGCCACAGACAGAGCGCATGGTGGGTGGAAATTGGCAGCCATCTCCTGGAGTCAGAAGGAGCACTACAAAAAGCTGGCCAATGAGCAGCGAAAGTATACAAGGTGCACCTGGACACCTGGGTTAATGGTCTCTGTCCCCAGGACCGCAGAGCCTAGAAAGAGTATATCTCTGATAAATGTAAGAGCATGACCAAGCTGCGGACTCGAACTCCTCTGAGTCCAGACAAACAATCCTGCAGTCCAAGTCAGAGTCCTAGGAAGATGATAAAGAGAACGAGGGCCATGAGGACAAGGATGGAGAAAAAGTGTGAAACCTGGCCCATTTCAGGAAGGATCATTCCAACTTAATCAAGAATGTCAAGAAGTCAGACATTCCCAAGAAGCCCACCCCTCACCCCAACCAGCAGCTGTGGTACACTCATGAGAAGGTGTTTTGTGTACGTGTGTTTTTGTTTTTGTTTTGAGACAGGGTTTCTCTCTGTCGCCCAGGCTGGAGTGCAGTGGTGCAATCATGGCTCACTGCAGCCTCAACTCTCAGGCTCAAGTGATCCTTCCACCTCAGCCTCCCAAGTAGCTGGGACTACAGGCACATGCCACCATGCCTGGCTATGAGAATGGGGATTCCTCTGAGGATGGCAGGAACACCTCTGAGTCCAGCAGCAAGGAAGGGGATGAGAATGAGGAGTATGATGAGGATGAAGATGAGTCCATGGGCAGCAGCTCCAGCTCCTCCTCTTCAGGGGACTCCTCAGGCCCTGAATCCAGCTGAGGCTCAGCCCCACCCTGGGGCAGCCAGGGAGAGCCCAGGAGCTCCCCTCCCCAGCTGGCCACCTTTGTTTCTCCCCCATGTCTATTCCTTTCCCTCTGGCCTCCCCCACTTTCTTTCTTTCTTCCTTTCTTTTTTAAACAAAATGGGGATGGAGGCTGGAGGAGTCCAGGCCAGCACTCTGCAACCTCAGAGACATTAGCCCTGGGGGGGTCCTCCAGGGAGTGCAACCATCAGACTGAGCCAGCCCCAGACCAGCTGCGCCCACCCCACCCACTTCTGCACTTGCGGTTCCAGCACGGACAATGGATGGGGGAGTGGGGATGGGGGTGGGGCTGTCACAAAGAGTTCAATGAGCCCTTGCACACCTGCAGCCCAATGCAAGATGGGGTGGAAGCTTGGGGAGGACCTCTTTCTTCCCCAAGGGGCCTGCCACTGAGACCCCTGAATTATAACTGGAAGCAAGGAACATGTGGGGAGAGGAGGGAGGTATCTTTGAGAAAATAGGCACTGTCCTGATGACCCTCTCAGCTACTCCCTCCAGAACCACTCATGGGGGAGGGGGCAGAAGTTTTTTTTATATAGGTGTATGTATATATTTTGTAAGCTCTGAGTTGTCAATGAGACATTTTCTACCAAGTATATATATATATATATATATATATATATATATATATATACCAGGTGAATAAGGCAACAACTGTTCTCCTAAGGGCCTCATTGTTTGGTGGGGGAGTCAATTAAACAGACTCCTGAAGCACAGTGATGAGCGCTATTATAGAGATAAACTGCTATATAGCTTTTCGTCTACACATACATGCACATACGTCTATACTCACATATGAATGTACACATACTATTTTTTTCTTTTTTAAATTTTTATTTATTTATTTATTTTTGAGACACAGTCTCACTCTGTTGCCCAGGCTGGAGCGCAGTGGCACAGTCTCAGCTTTCTGCAACCTCCACCTCCTGGGTTCAAGTGATTCTCCTGCCCCGGCCTCCTGAGTAGCTGGGATTACAGGTGCACGTCACCACGCCTGGCTAATTTTTGTATTTTTAGTAGAGACGGGGTTTCACCATGTTGGTCAGGCTGGTCTTGAAATCCTGACTTCATGATCTGCCTGCCTTGGCCTCCCAAAGTGCTGGGACTACGGGTGTGAGCCGCCACGCCCAGTCTTATTTTATTTTATTTCTGAGACAGGGTCTCGCTCTGTCACCCAGGTTGGAGTTCAGTGGCACAATCACGGCTCACTGCAACTTCGCCTTCCTAGGCTCAAGCAATCCTCCCACTTCAGCTTCTCAAGTACTTGGAACCACAGTCAAGCCACCACGTCAAGCTAATTTTTGTATTTTTGGGTAGAAATAGGGTTAGTTTCACCATGTTGCCAAGAGGCTGGTCTCAAACTCCTGATCTCAAGCAATGCGCCCGTGTTGGCCTCCCAAAGTGTTGGGATTATAGGCATGAGCCACCGTGCCTGGCCTCTTGGCACTATTTTGATTGGGATGGAACTCAGGGGAAAATTCTTTGGTGCTAGAATGTTCTAAATATCTTCATTTGGATGATTACATTATACTTGATATTTATGTTTATGGTATTAAATTAGACCTCAATAAACATTTTTAAAAGATAAATTACACATGCTTCTGCTCTCATGAATATTATAAAGTCATTAAAAGTACAGCATATTAAAAATAACTACAATAGAAGGCAAAATATGTTCAAAGTGATAGACTTAAGGGAAAGTATGGCTAAGGAGATCTTGGAGGTGAAATCAGCTCCTCATCCGCAACTTACGTGAACTTAGGCCATTGTTTGTTTCTGTAAGCCTCATATCCCTGCTCTATAAAATGTGAGTCATGGTGCTTGCCAGCCAGGATTGTAGTGAGGATTAAATGGAATCCCTTATGGAAGGCACTTAGCGTAGTGCTTGGCACACAGCAGAGTTGAGCAAGTTTCAGCTCGTATTATAATTATTCCTAAAAACCCTAACTCCATGGTAAGTATAAATCCTCACAGCCACAGTAATCCACAAGCCTCAAGTGAGCCTTTCTTCTTTTTATTTTTAATTTTAATTTATTTTTTTTTGAGACAGGGCCTTCTATGTTGCCCATGCTGGTCTCCAACTCCTGGGCTCAAGGGATCCTCCCGCCTCAGCTTCCCAAAGTGCAGAGGTTACAGGCATGAGCCATGGCACCCTGCCATAAGTGAGTCTTTCTTTATTTTTTCCATAGGTCAACTTAATCTCTGAGCTCTTGTTCTGCTGTGTGGCAGAAAATAATATTTTTTCTTTTTGAGATGGAGTCTCTCTGTTGCCCAGGCTGGAGTGCAGTGGCAGAGACTCGGCTCACTGCAACCTCCACCTCCCTGCAACCTCCTTCTCCCTGAGGCAGAAGAAACAATTCTTCTGCCTCAGTCTCCCAAGTAGCTGGGATTATAGGCACCCACCACCATGACCGGCTAATTTTTGTATTTTTAGTAGAGATGGGTTTCACCATGTTGACCAGGCTGGTCTTGAACTCCTAACCTCAAGTGATCTACCCACCTTGGCCTTCCAGTGAGCCACTGCACCTGGCAGAAAATAAAATTTTGTTCTAGATTTTCTCAATCATTTCAGGCTTAAGCTCAATCACTTCATTGTTTCTGCTCCCCAGAGGTGGTTTAGGTTGTGCTGTGGAACTGGGGAAGTGGCTGGTCCTTGCTGACAACTGACGTGCTGTCACTCATTCCATAGAATCCTGTCCTGAAAGGATCTCAGCAATGTCACCCCTTCAGGTTGGCACTTACCAAGAGCAATGGGTCGCCCCAGGCTCCAGCCATCTTTTGGATGCATGATCACACCGAAAGATGTAGGCATGTTTAAGCTTGGCAGGAGCTAAATGCTCTCTTCATTTAAAATAGACAGTAGACATTGTAAAATAATCTTAAGGAAATGCTAGATCCTGCAAAACAGCTATCTGAGTGTTCACCCATGGGAGACACTTCAGTGATCTAAATCCCAAATTGCTGATTTACCACCTGCTTCTCACCACTAATCTCTCGCTGGTTGCCCAGTGATTCCATCCTCCAAAACCAGTTACCAAGAAGGTGATGCATAGACATTTTAATAAATTGAAAGCTGGATTAGCACATCACTAAACACTTTCTTTTTCTGCATAAGAGAATCAAAAAAGTGAGTGGTGCAAGATGAATGTGGGAGGTAAGGAGAAAGGATTATAATGATAACAGCAATAAAAGTTAAATTCATAATATACTAGGCACTGTACTAAGAAGTTTTCATTCATTAGCTCATTTAATCCTCACAATGACCAAATAAGGTAGTACAATAATAATCTCCACTTTATAGATGAAAGTATAGAGGTTTTTTTTTTTTTTTTTGAAACGGAGTCTCACTCTGTCACCCATGCTGGAGTGCAGTGGTGTGATCTCAGCTCACTGCAACCTCCGCCTCCTGGGCTCAAGCGATTCTCCTGCCTCAGCCTCCCAAGTATCTGGGATTACAGGCGTGTGCCAGCACGCCCAGCTAATGTTTTTGTATTTTCAGTAGAGACGGGGTTTCACCGTGTTGGCCAGGCTGGTCTCGAACTCTTGACCTCAGGTGATCCACCCACCTCGGCCTCCCCAAGTGCTGGGATTATAGGCGTGAGCCACCATGCCCGGCAAGTATAGAGGATTTTACGTGAGCATGAAACACACTCTGCTCCTGTTTAAGCTACCTTTATTTTGGGTCTCTGTATCTCACAGCCAAATCTAATCTGACACAGTAATATGATATCTTGTTTTTACTAGCTAAACCCATTTTCTTCTGTATCTTGTCTTGTTTTTGTTAGCTAGATTCATGTCTTCTCCTTTATCGTCATTATGATGCCATTGTTGCTCAGTATGCGTCCAACAGGTGTACATCAATCATGGAAAAAGCACAATCAGTTGGGATTTTTAAAACAACTAACTTTAAAAAAAAAGACTTTTTTAGAGCATTTTGAGGTGCACAGCAAAATTGAGTGGAAAGTACAGAGAGTTCCCATATACCTCTTGCCCCCCTACTCATGGCTTCCACCATCATCAAGCAGAGTGGTACCTTTGCTACAATCAATGAACCATCATTAATACATCATTTTCAATCAAAGTCCATAGTTTATATTAGGGGAAACTCTTCATGTTATACACTCTATGGGTTTTGGCAAATATATCATGCCATGTATCCACCAATATAATGTCATACAGAATCATTTCACTGCCTAAAACCCCTGTGCTCCACCTATTCATTCCTCCCTTCCCTCAAACCCCTGGCAACTACTGATCATTTTACTGTCTCTATCGTTTTGCCTTTTCTAGAATGCCGTATAGTTAGTATCATCAGCTAGGACTTTTTTTTTTTTTTTTTTTTTTGAGGCAGAATCTCGCTCTGTTACTCAGGCTGGAGTGCAGTGGTGCAAACTTGGCTCACTGCAAGCTCCGCCTCCCAGGTTCAAGCGATTCTCCTGCCTCAGCCTTCCAAGTAGCTGGGATTACAGGCATGTGCCACCATGCCCAGCTAATTTTTGTATTTTTAGTAGAGACAGGATTTTGCCATGTTGCGCAGGCTGGTCTCCAACTCCTGACCTCAAGTAATTGGCCCGCCTCAGCCTCCCAAAGTGCTGGGAGTACAGGCGAGAGCCACCTCGCCTGGCCATCAGCTAAGCTTTTTAAAGAGACTTTAATAAGTAACTATTTACAGAAGTGTGGGCAGGCCTAAAGGAAGCCACCAGGGATGCCTGGGCACTCAGGGACTAGTAAGTAGAGAAGGCATCACTACCCCCAGGCCCCCAGGCCAGAAGATGTAACCAGAATCTGGTTAAGAGTTAGTTCTATGCAGAGGATCCATCCCATGGAGGCTAAAGTCACAGAGGGTTGCAGCCACTGCCCAATCCAGGCCAAGTCACGGCAGATGCAGGAGGAAGAAATAACCTGACCCATCTCTTTCCAAGCTTCAACCTCCTGCTGGTGCCTACCATTGGCCAACCAGAAACCAGTCCCTAGAGATCAGCCTCCCAGGGTGCACAGCAAGCTGGAGTGCAACTTCCCAGGCTCAAGCAATCTTCCCACCTCAGCCTCCCAAATAGCTGGGACAATAGGCCTGTGCCACCATACCTGGGTAAGTATTTTATTTTTATTTTTGTAGAAATGAAGACTCACTACAAAAATAGCAGTCATTGCCCAGGCTGTCTTGAACTTCTGGGCTCAAGCAATCCTCCCACCTCAGCTTCTCAAAGTGCTGGATTACAGACATGAGCCACCACGCCCGGCCAGCACTAAAAATTTGGTTCACGTTATGAACCCAACTATTTGGTAAAGGAAGAAGTATGTTTCTATTAAAAAAAAATGTGGCCTCCATTTTTAATCAGTTACTAGTATGAAGACACTTTGCAGTAAATGTACATTTCAGTGTTTACATTGAAAGCACAAGCCAGTTAGCCTGTTCCCCTGCTCTGTTGGGTGTTTGTTTGTTTTGAGACAGAGTCTTGCTCTGTCGCCCAGGCTGGAGTGCAGTGGCACAATCTTGGCTCACTGCAACCTCCACCTCCCCAGGTTCAAGTGATTCTCCTGTCTCAGCCCCCTGAGTAGCTGGGATTGCAAGCACCCGCCACCACGCCCAGCTAATTTTTGTATTTTCAGTAGAGACAGGGTTTCACCATGTTGGTCAGCTGGTCTCGAGCTCCTGACTTCGTGATCCTCCCTCCTCAGCCTCCCAAAGTGCTGAGATTACAGGTATAAGCCACCGCGTCTGTCCTCTCGTACTCTGTTTATCAAGAGTTAAGTGTGTCTCTGTGTGAAGATATACTGCAAGCCTCTATGACTTTTCTGCTGGTTCTCATATTTAGAAGAAGAACCAAAATTAGCGAAAAGGAGCAGGCAACTACCATGTAACAAAGAGATTTTGTTTGTTTTGCATTTGGGAAACAGACCAGAAGTGACAGTGAGGCAGTAGGGATGGGGGAATTGTCTGTCTCAAAATATGCCTGTCATACGGCAAGATCTCAGACTCTTAGAGATGAAAAATACCTTTAAAGAAACACACACACATGCTCAAGTCCTATGTTTCTCAAGCCCTTTTAGCTGTGAAACACCTTGTTTGCCCACTTACAAACACATTTTGTTTTTTTTTAAGAGACAGTGTCTCTCCCTCTGTCACCCACCCAGGCCAGGATGCAGTGGCACCATCATAGCTCACAGCAGCCTCAAACTCCTGGGCTCAAGAGATCCTCCCACCTCAGCCTCTACAGGTAGGTGTGTGCCACCACACCCAGATAATTTTTTTTTTTAATTTTTATAGAGACAGGGTCATGATTTATTGCCTAGGCTGGTCTTGAACTCCTGGCTTCAAGCGGTCCTCCCACCTTGTCCTCCCAAAGTGCTGGGGTTACAGGCATGAACCACCATGCCCAGTCTAGAAGAATGTTAGTAGTTCACATTTATTAAGTACATGACTATGTGCCTGGTATTGTGCTTTGTACTTTACCTGGATTATCGCATTTCATCTGGACCACAATTTTACAAGAGAGCTGTTCTTATTTCTTCCATTTTACAGAGAAAGATACAAGAGGTCAGAGAGATGGCCCAAGGTCATATTGCCAGTGACTGTGGGAGATAAGATTTGAACTCAGGCGTCCTGACCCCTCAACCTGTGTCTCCACTTTCAGATAAAAGCCAAATTGCTTTGTTAAAGCAGAGGGTAGAACCCCAGAATCCTGATCACTCTCTCCTTGACCATGTCCTTGTTCGTGGCCACCAGGGGTACAGTCTGAAAACCCATTCAGTCCAACACTTCATTTGATAACTTAATTGATTAAACTGATTAATTCAATAAATAGAAGAACAATCACTCAGTTCTCAAACACTACCCATCTCTTATTTTTCTCTTTTCCTTGATATAATTAGACACCGTTTTTCATAGCTATCATCAATACACACATGTAATTTCATCTTGGGCTCTTTTTAACATAAATCTCTATTTTCTGTAAACATTTCATGTATAAACCCAGACATAAATCTTACCGATTTTAACAACTGCTTATTATGTTAACGGAGCACTTGATGAGAATTTCCTAACCTGTATTCCATGAAAGCCTACCTCCAGGTGATATGAATAAGTATCTGCAATAAAAAGGGGTTTTATACATTTTTACATTTATATTATACATTATATATATATATTTATGATAAGTTTGGGGAACAATACACATACTCTTCTCACAGTATGTTACTCTGTGAGTATATTACTCCCTTTCAATACCCCCACCAACATGCACATTAGAATATTAGAAACACTGAGAAGTCACACAAGAAAGCAACTGGCATAAACAGGCTTAGCAAACTGATCTGATGGTGAAATCTTTTTGGAGACACCCTTACTGAGCAGATTTACTGCCCAATAGACTCCAGTTGATGGCATGACACCCTACGCCAGGTTTGCTGGATTCTTTCTACATGCATGCGAGTGCCCTTACTTTACAGATGAGGAAGCTAACACTCAAGTCACCCAGCCAGCTGGCAGCACTGGTTAGGACCATAACTCAGGTCTCCTAACTTTTGCAGAAATCCATGTGACAACATTGTCTGGGCTCTTGCAGGTTGACACATGCTCTGATATTTCACAATTTCTGAAGAGCAAGTGAGCACAATGCCCAGTTCATGATGGATGGCTCAGGTCACATGGTAACTTGGCAGCTTGGGATAAAACATTCAGTCTCCCCTTAGGTCCTGTAGAAAACCCAAAAAGCCTTCTCAAAAGGTGAATATGTAGCGCTCTGCAGAGGAGGACACAGCTTTGCTCCCAAATCCTGAGGTTCTATGCTGATCCACCCCTAACCAGCAGCTCCAAACAGCATCTCTCAGCCACAGATACTTCAAGCTGCATCCTATCTTTTGGGTTGTAGGGCTCAAGCAGGGAGCAGCTTTCACAGCAACCTGATCCTGTTGTGACCTTCTCATATTCTATGCCCTTCATTAAAAAAGGCCACTGTCAGTGGGTTAGGAATGAAGATATAGGCTCAGGGAAGGAGCCACAACCAACATGCAATGGGGCGGGGAAGAAGGCAGGTGTAAATATCAGTTATGACCATGTGACTAATTGCAGAAACTAGGTCTGTTATAGTTATGGGCATTTCTTCCCGATTTTGTCATGGAGGCCGATGCAGAAGGATCACTTGAGCCTGCAAAATCAAAGCTTCAGTGAGCTATGATCTCGCCACTGCACTCTAGCCTGGGTGACAGAGTGCCTGGGGTGCTCTCTGGGTGCTCACCCAGAATGCCTGGGTGACAGAGCCTGGGGGTTACCACCCCCAACCCACCTCTCATTAAAAAAAATGTGCTAATACGATTTAACGTTGTATTTCAGTATTTAAGTCACGATTTAACCTTGTATTTCAGTATAACCTTGTATTTCAGTATTTAACCTTGTATTTCAGTATTTAAGTCACAGGATATCAAAAGGGCAGTGTAGCTCAACTAGAAAAGGAATGAACATCACCCAAAAATAGTTAAGGAGGTTTGGGGTCCCTTATGGAGGAGAAAGTTAACATGTTTACAGATGCATGAGAGGTTATCATATTACGTTTTGACCCATAGTATTTCTCATTGTTAAGGTGCCAGCTATCAAACAAATACTGAGTATAAAATGGGAAAGAGATTCAGGGGAGTCTGGTGCAGCCAGTCTGCCTATGAATTCAGAAATAATACTGTATTTGTCCATGCACAAAGTTCAGCATCCTTTTAAAGCAAGTGTGCCAACAAGGATGAAGGAAATGGATGCCCGTGTATTAGAGGATGAATAAACATACGCCACTTGGGGGAACTCATGTTCTCTTAGTCTTCTCAGAACTTACAAGCTGCAGAGACTTTTTGTTGATACTAAGAGATGGGTTAGTGTGTGTGGGGGATTCTGAGCAGAAATGGTTTTTGGTGCCAGGTGACTCATTTTTCAACAACTTCCACATTCAGCAGATGGTGATAATGCCAGCACTTAGCGATGGGGCTGAGTAAATCAGGACGGCATGTTTCCACACTTCTCAGATGCTTATTTCT
The DNA here is from genome assembly GCF_000001405.40 of Homo sapiens. Classification (NCBI taxonomy): domain Eukaryota; kingdom Metazoa; phylum Chordata; class Mammalia; order Primates; family Hominidae; genus Homo; species Homo sapiens. The sequence continues at coordinate 5,071,150 of NC_000003.12, read as the reverse complement.
AAACATTATGTAAAAACCATGTCTTCGAGCACTTCTCTCGGCAGGAAGGGATGGAGCCCGGGCAAGGTTTCTGCCCTTGGAGTTGTTCTTGCCCTCCTATTGGAAAGTTACCACGGGCCACACTACAGGAACATAAAGAAAAGGTGACAGACGCTCTCACTTTTCAGGCACCGCAAACATCAGGCCACAGAGTATACTGACCACACTGCCACAGACATTGTCTGTCTTCATCGTTTCTCACAAGAATATGACCGTATTGAAAGGACCTTCAATGCTGGGTGCAATGGCTCATGCCTGTAATCCCAGCACTTTGGGAGGCCAAGGCGGGAGGATCACCTGAGGTCGGGAGTTCAAGACCAGCCTGACCAACATGGAGAAACCCCGCTTCTACTAAAAAAAATACAAAATTAGCCAGGCGGGGTGGCACATGCCTGTAATCCCAGCTACTCGGGAAGCTGAGGCAGAAGAATTGCTTGAACCCTGTAGGCGGAGGTTGTGGTGAGCTGAGATCACACCATTGCACTCCAGCCTGAGCAACAAGAGCGAAACTCCGTCTCAAAAAAAGAAAGAAAAAAAGAAAAAAAGAAAGAAAGGAACTTCAAGTCTTCAACAGATTCCCATGTATTCCAAAACAATTAAATTATGGAATCTTAGAATTTATGGAATAGAAGACACTTAAGGTCATTGAGGCTGGGGCAGAGATAACTAACTTTTCACCAAATATTTTGCATGCCCTCTTGAATGGTATAGAGTTGATGCTGAGAAGTAGCTGCCTAGGGCAGAAATACATTTCCCAGTCCCCTTACATCTATGCAATGCCACAGGACCAGTGCTGGCCAGTGAAATGTGAGCAGAAAGGGATGTGTGTCACTTCTGGGCCAAGGCAGTTAAGAAGAGGGTGTACGTTTCTTCTGGATGCAAAGGTCTCCAAGGCCCTAAAGGATGGCAGAGCCATAAGATGAGACAAGCCTGGGTCCCAGAATCACCACATGGAGGAAACCCACCAGGAACACCATCAGATTGCAACATGAGTAAAAAATACATTTGAACTGTGTTAAGACACTAAAATTGGGAGGTTAATTATTATATTAGCTAGCATTTTCTTTATTAATACAAAGACCAATCTCCCTCAATCTACTGTTTAAATTATCCCATCTCCCTCCTGTTCCCCTACCTCAATCTACTGTTTAAATTTTCTTTATAATTCTTCATAGGGAGATTAGTAGAAATAACCTGAGACAGTCTGTGTAATGGTCAAGATGCCCGACACTGGTGTCAGGCAGACTAGGGCTAGAATTTCATTGTCAATATGAAACTAACAATGTGTTCTTGGGCGAGTCATTTAACTTCTCTGAGCCTTGATTTCTCCACCTGTAAAATGGGCATAATAGTAGTACTTATGTCAAAAAGCTATTGAGAGAAGTAAGGAACTCATCCATGTAAGGCACTAAGTATTCAAGAAATGGAGGCTTCTGTTCTTATTGGCATCATCCTACAGGGATGAATGATGGTGGTAATATCAAGGAATTTGATTTGTGAGGCTTTGTAGTAATATGAAGGAGATTGTTCTGTGTGGCTTTGTTATAATTAGGTCACTTTCCAGAGGGCCAGAGGAACTTATGGACACAGATGACTTTCCTAATTAGGTACCAGAACCCTGGAAAACAATGTGAGGTGGTAGAATTGGAAATGTAGGTCCTTGCAGACTCTGGCACCAGGAACACATAGAGAATAAGCATCAAAATCCCTGGGCATAACACATCTTAGCAGTACCCAGGTCCTTCAGGGGCGAGGAGATGGGAGCTGTTGTTTCCAGGATGTACGGGCGAGGTCATGTGGGATGTGAGTGAATCGGGGACTCTCAACACAGGGTGGTTCTCTGACTGGGTTTTGGGAAATGGGACCTTCTCCTATGGTCTCTAAGGTAACCCTAGACTGACATAGAGAAGAGAAGTCACCAGGAGAAGTCTCAGGAGGAACGCTGCTGAGAGCACAGGGCAGAGATGGAGGAGAACCAGACAGGGGGCCTGCAGGATCTACGGCAGCTTCCTCCCTGCCGTTCCTACACCTGCTCCTCCAGCTCCACTGTGGGACCTCCTGCACGGAGGGCCTGGGGCCCCCTCCCTTTCTTCTCTTAACAGAACTCCAGGGTCCCAGGCAGACTTTCTGCTGACCCGTCTGTCACCCCACTGCTTCATTTAGCATCAGGAATCTGGAAGACGACTCTCCTTCTTTTGCTCAGATGTGGAGAATTGAAAAAGGAAAAACAGACGTTTGGCCCAAAACTGCTCCAAAGATGCAAACAGCCTAATTCCTGCTGCTCTTGTGGACAGCGATGGGGAGAGTGACAACTCAGACCCTGTTCCTGTACCCAGTTTCCAACACTCTTCAGCCAAGCCATTGAAGCAGCCATCACGAAGCAGACCCAGCAGCTACTTCCGACCGCCTCTCTGAAGAAAAAGGAGAGGAAAGAAAAATGCGGACACAGCAGCTCCTGTTCCGCACCTCAGGCGTCCACACCAAGTGGCACAGCTGACCCGGGCTGCCTTCTCCGTCGGGTTTTCTCTTTTCTGTGCTTTTATTTTGCTGCTGTAATTTGTAAGTATTTGCATTTTTAATAGTGATGTTGCATACATATATAGTGATCAGATCAGGCTAATTAGCATATCCATCATCTCAAAACTTTATCATTTCTTTATGTTGGGAACATTCAATGTCCTTTTTTTGAGACGGAGTTTTGCTCTTGTCACCCAGGCTGGAGTGCAATGGCGCAATCTGGGCTCATTGCAACGTCCGCCTCCCAAGTTCGAGCGATTCTCCTGCCTCAGCCTCCCAAGTAGCTGGGACTGCAGGCACCTACAACCACTCCCAACTCATTTTTGTATTTTTAGTAGAGATGGGGTTTCACCATGTTGGCCAGGCTGGTCTCAAACTCCAGACATCAAGTGATCTGCCCTCCTTGGCCTCTCAAGGTGCTGGGATTACAAGTGCGAGTCACCGTACCGGGCCCTGTTAATATATTACATAGTTTCAAATAGCTAGAAGGATATTAATGCCGGGTGCAGTGGCTCACGTCTGTAATCCCAGCACTTTGGGAGGCCAAGGCGGGCAGATCACAGGGGTTCAGAAGTTCAAGACCAGCCTGGCCAACATGGTGAAAGCCATCTTTAAAAGAAAATACACAAAAATTAGCCGGGTGTGGTGGCGTGCACCTATAATCCCAGCTGCTCTGGAAGCTGAGCCAAGAGAATCACTGGAACCCGGGAGGCAGAGGTTGCAGTAAGCTGAGATCACGCCACTGGATTACAGCCTGGGCGACAGATCGATACCCTCTCTCAAAAAAAAAAAAAAAAAAAAAAAATACCAGACACGGTGGCTCACACCTATAATCCCAGCACTTTGGGAGGCTGAGGTGGGCGGATCACTTGAGGTCAGGAGTTCGAGACCAGCCTGGCCAACACAGTGAAACCCCGACTCTAGTAAAAATACAAAAATCGGCTGGGCGTTGTGGTGGGTGCCTGTAATCCCAGCTGCTCGGGAGGCTGAGGCAGGAGAATCGCTTGAACCTGGAAGGAAGAGGTTGCAGTTAGCCGAGATCATGCCATTACACTCCAGCCTGGGCAACAGAGCGAGACTCCATCTCAAAAAAAAAAAAAAAAAAAAAAGAAAGAAAGAAAGGAATTATGTAATATATTAACTATAGTCATCCTACAGTGGCATAGAACTCTAGAGCTTATTCCTGCTATGTAGCTGTAATTTTGTATCCTTAAACAAATCTCTCCTTATTCTTCCGTTCCCCCGACCCTTTAAGTATTTGAATTTAAACAGATTAGCTCAGGAACCAGGAAAATTTCAAATACAATGTATGTTCCAGATTCCTGTGTTTACACCAAAATAAAGTGTTGACACTGACAGAAAAAGGAAGGAAGCACCCTTCAGGGTAAAAAATTTTTTAAAAAATCTGTAAAGATGGGCCTTACTGTTTCCCAGGCTAGTGTTAAATTCCTAGCCTCAAGTGATCCTCCCACCTCAGCCTCCCAAGGTGCTGGGTGTACAGGTGTGAGCCACTGTACCCAGCTAGGAGTAAAGAATTCATCTAGTGTTTATATTGTATGCTGATTTTCAGCACCCCCAAGACTGATCACCTTGAAGAAAATGAGGTCATGAGTGAGTATATAAGTGACTCTTTCCCCCAAATCACACAGCTGAGGCAGCCCTTCCAGCTTTGGACATCTCTATTGAACATTTTCCTTCTTACTAAGTCAAATCTATCTCCCTGGTTTTTTTCCCACCCTGCCTTGTGTCCACATAGAGCAAGTCTAGTCTTTCTTTCACTTGTAGAAGTCCACAATGAAGGCCTGCTCCACGGAAAGACAGAGGGCAAGGGTGGTCCTTGTTGAGGATGAGTTTCTCCATGGGGAGCTTTCTGCTTTGGGGCAATAAAAGACAATTTCTTCTATGGTTGTATTTGAGGGATACTCAAGGGCCCTCAGCCGCAAGTTTTCCTTCCAAACTCCAATATTGGCCTAACTCTTTGAGGGTAACCTTGCTCTTGCTTAATGTTCCCGTGTGCAGAGCAGAGGTTTGAGGGAATGGGACTCAGTATAGATATTGTTTGGGGTCAGAGCATCAGACTTGATCCAGTCCATGCAGGAGTGCAGCAAGAGAGCACCAGGGGGAGTGAAGAAGCAGTTAGGAGGGAGCAAAACGTGGGGCTTCCAATGAGTACCGCAACCATGCTCAAGAGGCTAACATCAATCAGTGCAGAGACACAACTACCCATTCTCCACGGCGGGACAGGAACAGGAGGCCCTGAAATACCTCCCCTCAATCAATCCTGTCCCAACATGTATTACTGAGCCTGGCTTTCACTGATACTCCCTCGCCTTTGTCTGTTCTCCTATTTTCTAACGTGCTCCCTCCAACAGATATTCCAGATGGTGGTGCAGATGAGAGGAAAGATTAGGGAGAAGAGAAAAGAGAGGACATGGGATATTTATTCTGGAACTTGAACCCTTAAAGTCTGGTTATTTTAAGATAACTTAATATTCTAGGTTCCTCAGCTTTCTACTCATATCCTCCCCAGGTGATAAATGTTGCTTGCCCGTTTCCCATCCCTTCTCCCCCTTTTTTTTTTTTTTTTAAAGAGACAGGGTCTTGCTCTGTCACCCAGGCACACAATCATGGCTCACTGCAGCCTCAACATCCCACCTCAGCCTCCCAAGTGGCTGGGAATACATGCGTGTACCACTATGCCTGGCTAATTTTGTTAAATTTTTTTTTATAAAGGTAGGGCCTTGCTATGTTGCCCAGGCTGATCTCAAACTCCTGAGCTCAAGAGATCCTCATGCCTTAGCCTCCCAAGGTGCTGGGATTACAAGCGTGAACCACCATACCAGCCCCATTTTTCCTTCTCATGGTAACAGTTTTCCTCTGTTAAGCCACCCCTCTCAGTCCATGTGGTTCATTTGAGATGGACTTCACAGAACTCACCATTCCAGAGATGAACAAAAGACCAAGACCTGGCGAATTGGAGTCAGTGGTTGGATTAGGGATGGAAATGTGATGGGAATCATGCCAATGAGAGTCCACTCTGGGCTTTTGCTGGAACCATTGTGTTTTTCCAGCACATTTTTTGCTGGACAAATGGGTGGCGTTTGCTAAGCAAATAGGAGGTAAATCTGGAGCTGCTGATAGCCATGGAGTGCCTGCCTGAGTATGAATCCAACACTGAGGGGAGAAGGACCAAGAGATGGAGAAAGATAGGCTTTGGCTGTGAAGTTATTTGTCTCTACCCCAGTGCTCTCAACCTTTTTTTTTTTTTTTTTTTTTTTTGAGATGGAGTCTCGCTCCCGTCGCGCAGGCTGGAGTACAGTGGCACAATCTCAGCTCACTGCAACTTCCACCTCCCAGGTTCAAGCGGTTCTCCTTCCTCAGCCTCCCGAGTATCTGCGATTACAGGCGTGTGCCACCAAGCCCGGCTAATTTTTGTATTTTTAGTGGAGACCAAGTTTCATCATGTTGGCCAGGCTGGTCTCAAACTCCTGACCTCAGGTGATCCACCCGCCTTGGCCTCCGAAAGTGCTAGGAGTACAGGCGTGTAATCCACTGCGCCCAACCAACCTTTTTGGTCTCCGGACCCCTCTGCACTTTTAACATTTATTGATGACACCCAAGAGTATTTGTTTACGTGCATTACTTTTGTTTGTTTGTTTCTGAGACAGAGTCTCACTCTGTCACCCAGGCTGGAGTGCAGTGGTATGATCTCAGCTCACTGCACCCTCCGCCTCCTGGGCCTAAGCAATTCTCCTCCCTCAGCCTCCCGAGTAGCTGGGACTATAGGCATGTGCCACCACATCTGGCTAATTTTTGTATTTTTAGCAGAGACGGGGTTTTGCCATGTTGGCCAGGCTGGTCTCAAACTCTTGGCCTCAAGGGTTCTGCCCACCTCAGCCTCCCTAAGTGCCAGGATTACAGGCATCAGGCACCGTGCCCAGCCGATGTGCATTATTGTTATTGATATTTACCAATCTGAAATTAAAATTATGAAGTTTTAAAAAACTACATATTAAAACTAATAACAAATCCATTATATGTTAGTAGAAATACCATTTTATGAAAAATAACTATATTTCTAAAAGTATATTTAGGGAATAGTGTTTTGCTGTTTTACATTTCTTCAACTCTCTTGCAATGTCTGACTTATTTGAAGATAGCTGAATTCTCATATATGTTTCTGCATTAATATATTGCCATATGTTGTTTTGGTTACAGTCTGTGAAGAAAACCCAGCCTCACAGAGATATGTATATTTGGAAAAGAGAGAGGTATTTTAATAGACTTCTCAGCAAGTTGTGTATATTCTTTTTTGATACTACCACAAAACTTAACAAGTGATAGTTACTTAAAGGCTTGTTACAATGTGAAATCAGAAACTATAAACATGAGCTTTTCATGTTCTGTACACTCATGAGAGAGCAAGAAGGATAAAAGGCAAGATATCTTTATATGAATGTGAAAACTGTTTTGATCTTCTGGATCCCCTGAAAGGGTTTCAAGCACCTTTAAGGGTCTCTGGACTACTCTTTGAGAACCACTGCTCCACCCTAATTCTCATCAACTCCGGTGCTCTCTCTGCACATTTTTCTCATTTATTTATTTATTTGTCTTACGTTTGTTCTCAACATTTTTCATCTATCTATCTATCTATCTATCTATCTATCTATCTATCTATCTATCTATCATCTATCTATCTGTCTGTCTATCTGAGACAAAGTGTGGCTCTATTACCCAGGCTGAAGTGCAGTAGCACAATCCAAGCTCACTGCAACCCCCACCTCCCAGGCTCAAGCCATCCACCTCAGCCTCCCGAGTAGCTGAGACTACAGGTGCGCATCACCACGCCTGGCTAACTTTTGCGTTTTTTGTAGATACCGGATTCCTCCCTGTTGCCGAGGCTGGTCTCAAACTCCTGAGCTCAAGCAATCTGCCCATCTTGGCCTCCCAAAGTACTGGGGTTACAGGCGTGAGCCACCACGCCCAGCCTCATTTTTCTAATTTAAAGAAAGATCTGATTTGGCTCATTCAGCCACTATTCAATAAGAAAATCCCTGTTAGTTACTCAATAAGTACTATTAGGTGCTCCCTGTGTTCCAGGCATGGTGCTGGGAGCTAGGACTGCAGCAAATCTTCACATGACATCATGTCATTCAATGTCTTTTCATTATTATGTTGTTGAAAAAAAAATTTCAGGGCCACTGCCTGTGTGGAGTTTGCATGTTCCTTCCATGTCATGGGGTTTCTCCAGGTCCTCCAGTCCTCCTACACCCCAAAGCTGTGCACGTGGGGTGGACTGGCATGTCTACGTTGTCCCAGTCTGAGTGAGTGAGTGTGTGTGTGAGAGTGCACTCTGCGATGGGATGGCATCCTGTCCAGGGTCGTTCCTGCCTTGCACCCCGAGTTGCTGTGACAGGCTCCAGCCACTCACCACTGTGAATTGGAACAAGCAGACAAATAATGATCTTAATCTTGTTTTTTTATTAATCTTCCTTAGATGTATGTGTAGCTCATATTTATTTTAATATTAAGAGCATTTGGGGTCTTTTCTTAGAAGTTGGATGATTTGTTTGTTTTGAGAAGGAGTCTCACTCTGTTGCCAGGCTGGAGTGCAGTTGGCGCGATCTTGGCTCACTGCAACCTCCACCTCCCGGGTTCAAGTGATTCTCCCGCCTCAGCCTCCCAAGTAGCTGTGACTATAGGCACGCACCACCATGCCCAGCTAATTTTTGTATTTTTAGTAGAGAAGGGGTTTCACCATCTTGGCCAGTATGGTCTCCATCTCTTGACCTCATGATCTGCCCACCTCAGCCTCCCAAAGTGCTGGGATTACAGGCGTGAGCCACTGCGCCCGGCTGTTTTTTGTTTTTTTGAGAAAGAGTCTCGCTCTGTCACCCAGGCTGAAGTGCAGTGGCGCGATCTCGGCTCACTGCAACCTCTGCCTCCCAGCTTCAAGCGATTCTCCTGCCTCAGCCTCCCAAGTAGCTTGGATTACAGGCGTGTGCCATCATGCCCAGCTAATTTTTGTATTTTTAGTAGAGACAGGGTTTTGCCACATTGGCCACGCTGATCTCGAACTCCTGACCTCAGGTGATCTGCCCACCTTGGCTTCCCAAAGTGCTGGGATGGTAGGCGTGAGCCACCAAGCCCGGCCAATGATGTTTTTGTGACCAGAAATATATCATAGGAACTTAACTCTTGTTTATATCAATTAGCCTACAGTCAAATTGGTTTTATTGTGAGTCATTTCATTTAAAGTTACAGTTTCCAAGAACTTACTGACTACGTTCCATGAGGACTTAATGTATAATGGGGAGTAAAACTGCGGCAGATCTGACTCCCAAGTTGCCTGCAACCTAGTGCAGTGTGCAGACACGAAATAACAGTCACTCATAGAGGTTTACAAACTGGGGCAAGCGCTGCGAAGGAAAACTACAAAGAGCATCAAGTCAGAGAGTGGCAAGGGATTGGTTCCTTAATGAAGTGACTTTCCAACAGAGATCAAAAGGATACATAGCCATGCACTGGGCAAATGGAGAAGAGGCGTGAGGATGAGGAGAATGTAGACTGTTCCAGGTAGAGACCATAGCCTGTGAAATGTCTTAGGGAAAGAAAAGCTGCCGGAGCCGGTGTGGCTAGAAAGCAAGGGTAGAGTCTGGAGAGGTGAACAGACATCCTCCATTAGACAAAGCACTTGCAAAAGGCTCCCTTCTGGGCTACTGGCTGACCTAGAGGCCACTGCTTTTGAGACAAGTTCTCATCCCTGGTCTAACCAGCTGGAGCCCCAGCTGCAGGGTCCTGTGGCAGCCCCTGCAAAAGGGACAACTCTGAAGGGATTGTGGGTATGGCGAGCATTCCCAGAGGAGTCATAAACTCCTCTAAAAGTCCTGTTTCACCAGGCTCAGTGGCTCACACCTGTAATCCCAGCACTTTGGGAGGCCAAGGCGGGTGGATCATGAGGTCAAGAGTTTGAGACCAGCCTGGCCAACATGGTGAAACCCTGTCTCTACTGAAAATACAAAATTAGCCAGGAGTGGTGGTGCGTGCCCATAATCCCAGCTACTTGGTAGGCTGAGGCAAGAGAATCGCTTGAACCCAGGAGGCTGAGGTTGCAGTGAGCCAAGATCATGCCACTGCACTGCAGCCTGGATGACAGGATGAGACTCCATCTCAAGAAAAAAGAAAAAAAAAATCCTATTCCATCTCTCATTGCCTCATAGTTGCCTGGTATGTGGCCATTCTCGCACTGGGCTGCCTGGAAGATCTCTTGAGTTTGCTGGTTCATCCATGCTCAATTTTCAGTAGGGACATTGTCACAGGTGGGGTTCCTGGGAGGCAGCTTCTGTGAAGACTTGCAGCAGGATGCTTATTGGGCAGTGCTCTTGAGGACAATGCTTGTGGAAGAGACAGGACAGGAGGAGTAGACACATGGAGAAGTTGGCCTGTCAGGCAGTCTCAACAGAGATCTCAGCCAACTGCATAGGCAGCTCTGAAGCTGCGCTGGCCCTTCCAAATTGTTTCAAGTCAGGCCAGGCACGGTGACTCATGCCTGTAATCCCAGCACTTTGGGAGGCTGAGGCGGGTGGATCACTTGAGGTCACAAGTTCAAGACCAGCCTGGACAACATGGTGAAACCCCATCCCTATTAAAAATACAAAAATTAGCCAGGCGTGGTGGTGGGCACCTGTAATCCCAGCTACTCCAGAGGCTGAGGCAGGAGAGTCACTTGAACCATGAAGGCAGAGGTTGTAGTGAGCTGAGATCACACCAGTGCACTCCAGCCTAGGCAACAGAGTGAGGCTCCATCTCAAAAAAAAAAATTGTTTTGAGTCAGAATGAGAGGGTCAGTCATTAAGTCACCACATCTGCCAGTCACTGGATGTGGGCTGCCCTGGAAAGAAGCACAACCCTGGGCGAGGCAGTTTTTCTTTAGCTAATGCAATTCCCAAAGTGGGCTGGCAGCAGAGGGTTGTCTTCCGGCATAATTCCCAGCACCTGGGGGATTGTCCTTCTTTCCCAAAGGGGGATATCAGCAGTGTCTCACGGAGCCCACAGTATCACTAGATCCACTTAGCAAGAATCACAATGGCATTTCTGAGAACGTTGGTGGCCAGAGAGTTAGCAGAATTGAGTTCTAGTTATGGCTTTCCGTAAATCAAACAAGCATAAAAAAACATGTGGTTGGTGACTTGGGTCTACACTGCTGGTCTCCCCAGCCTTAGCTCATATTCCCTCTCCCTCACTCAACCTACTCCATCAACACAGGTTTCCATTCTGTTATTTCAACCCTCCAAGTTCACATATACCCTGGGGCCTTCGCACTGTCAATCGGAATTATCTTATTTGTGTGTTTGATGAGAACATATATTGCGTGAGCATGGAAACTGTGTATTCACTCATATATCTTCACGATCTGGAAGATGACATAAAAAATACTTGCAGAAAAATGAATGTCTGAGTACCAGGCAGGCTGGATGTGCGAGTATTCTAGGGCTGCCACAGCAAAGTGCCATGGACTGGGCGGCTTAACAGAACGTACTTCTCACAGTTTCAGGGTTGGTTTTTTTCTGAGGTCTCTCTCCTTGGCTTGCAGATAACTAGCTGTCTTTTCCTTGTCGTCACATGGTCTTCCTTCTGTATCTGTGGCTGAATTTCCTCTTACTGTAAGGACACAGCTCATATTGAAATAACGCTGATTAATCATAATGACCTCATTTTAACTTAATTACCACCATAAAGACCCTATCTCCAAATATATTCTGAGGTACTGGGAGTTAGAACTTTGACATATGAACTGGCGGTGTCGGGGGGGGGACACAATGCAATCTATAACAGTGGGGGGACACAAAAAGTCTATGTCATGGACTTTTTCTTTCAGGAGCATAGCTATACTGCACTAAAGAACTAAACACTAGACACTATTTTTTTTTTTTTTGAGTCCTCATGACATACCAGGCACTGTGCTTGGTTCTTTACAGGCATTTTCTTATTTTGCTTCATAACAATCTGTTGAGGTGGGTAGCATTATGTCCATTTTACAGAGGCTCAGAGATGTTAAGTCACTTGCTCTAGGTCACACAGTGGATAGGTGGAGATGTTAGAACTTGAAACCAGCCGGGTGCAACGGCTCACGCCTGTCATCCTAGCACTTTGGGAGGCTGAGGCGGGTGGATCATCTGAGGTCAGGAGTTCGAGACCAGCCTGGCCAACATGGTGAAACCCCACCTCTACTAAAAACACAGAAATTAGCCAGGAGTGGTGGCAGGCGCCTGTAATCCCAGCTACTCGGGAGGCTGAGGCAGGAGAATTGCTTGAACCTGGGAGGTGGAGGTTGCAGTGAGCTGAGATCTTGCCACTGCACTCCAGCCTGGGCAACAGAGCGAGATTCCATCTCAAAAACAAACAAACAAAAAAGACAGAAAATAAAAAACTTGAAACCAGATCTCCTCACTCTAAATCCACACAGTTAACCATTTCCAGAGAGTGTCTCTTGTCCATCTTCACAGCTTCCTAATCCCATAATTTGAAATGCTAATATCCTGCGTTGACAGAGCCATAATTAGTTTAATTACACGATATTTTGTGATGTGCTCTCTAAGTCACCTGTAGCCCTCTCCAAGGAGAAGGGAACCATCTGGGAAAATAACAGAAGCCCAGATGTTCTCAGCATTCAGGATAGAAAGGCATGAACAAACATTTTTCTCTGTTCCCAATACTGTCAAAGCTAATGCTATGGTCTCCTCCCTGAAACTTAAGCCACAATCAGAACTTACTTCATTCTCTGTTTTATTAGCTTGGAATTGGCCCAAGATAAGGTTAGCCAATCAAAGAGTCTGAGAAAACTGCAACCAATTGCCCTGAAAAATATGCTAAGCCTGAACAGATTTATTCAACTTTGCTTAGTGGGTGGCTTCTCAGGATGAAGGCCAAGATTTATCATCTGGTTGGCTTTGCCTTTGATTATTCATTGACTGGGATGACTTTCTTCCCATAAGCTGATACAGTCTCCCATCTCAGAGAGAGGGGGAAAATACAAAACACCACATTGTCTGATTCATTCCAAACAGAATGTTTCTAAGACAGCCAGACCTGTGCTACTAATGCATATTCCCTGTTTTCCCTTTTGAATTCACAGCAGTAGATTAATGAAAAATTTAGTGATGGGTGGAGGGGTGCAGGCAGAATGTTCTACTGATTCCACTGGGTGTCTATTCAAACACATATTTCATTTGCTTTTGCTTTTTTCAGACAGGGTCTCATCCTGTCACCCAGCCTGGATTGCAGTGGTGCCATTACGGCTCACTGCAGCCTCTGCCTCCTGGGCTCAAGCGATCCTCCCACTTCAGCCTCCCAAGTAGCTAGGACTACAGGAGCACACCACCACACCTGGCTATTTTTTTTTTTATCATTACTTTTTGTAGAGAAGGGGGTCTCACCATGTTGCCCAGGCTGATCTAGAACTACTGGGCTCAAGTGATTCCCCCTGCCTCGGCCTCCCAAAGTTCTGGGATTACAGGCATGAGCCACACAGTGCCCCGCCCAGTTCATACTTTTGACAAACTAGAAACTTCTTTCTGCCCTGAAGGGTGTGTTAGAAAATGCGAAGAAATGACCAGCAGGTGGTGTGCATGCCCCGTATCTCATAGACATGTACTCAAGGCTCTGCTAAGAGCTGCTTGCAGACACCAAAAACTTGTTTTGTTGCAAGACGTAGACTATGTGTAATATAGACTGGTGCATTCTTTCTCTCCCTTTCCTTTCTTTAAGTTCTTTTTCTCATCGCTCAAAAACCTTTGCAATAAAGGTGTTTAAAAACTGGAAAATACAGCCACCATCCAATGTCTGCTCCCACGGCTTTAAATATACCTATATGTTGATTACTTTGAAATATATTAATACACCTCCAGACTAAACTCATCCCTGGAACTACAACTGCCTACTTGACACCCCACTTAAGTGTCAAATATGCTTTTCAGAAGGAATTTAACCAAAAAGGAACTCTCACTTCCCTGACCCCTCTGCCTGCCAAATTTGTTCTTTGCCATCTTCCGTATTTCTATAAATAGGATTACCCTCCACATAGTTTCTCAGGCATGAATCCTAGGTGTGACGCTTTAGTGATCCCATTGTAACACAGACACACACACACACATGCGCGCACACACACGCATGCATCACTCCATCAGCAAATCCTATTGGTTCTACCTCCACAAGACATCTTAAATCCACTTATTTCTCCCCATCTCCACAGCACCTCCGTCATCCAAGCTGCCATCCTCTCCTGCCTGGACACTGGCAATGCCTCTGATTTGGTCTCCATGCTTCCACATGGATTGCCAAGCAAGCTTTGATGGGATCGTCCTGTATTTTCGTGTATAAATTCCAGCACCAAAAAAAATATGGCTTCAAGTTCTTTTTTTGTTTGTTTGTTTGTTTTTTAGACAAAGTCTCGCTCTGTCGCCCAGGCTGGAGTGCAGTGGCGACAGTAGTGCTTGATGTTTGTGTTTATATTGAAAAAAGAGTTAGGATCTAGGTTCAAAAAATAAGTTTTTTACCTGCACAAATGTCTGCAAAAAAGAGTAATTTCATTTCCTTAAAACTCTGGTTTTTAGTCTGGCCACAGTCCCTATTTCTTTTTTTTTCTTTCTTTTTTTTTTTTTTTTTTTTTTTTTTTTGAGACAGAGTCTCACTCTGTTGCCCAGGCTGGAGAGCAGTGGTGCGATCTCAGCTCACTGCAACCTCTGCCTCCTGGGTTCAAGCAATTCTCCTGCCTCAGCTGGGAATATAGGCATGCGCCACCACGCCCAGCTAATTTTTATATTTTTAGTAGAGACGGAGTTTCACCATGTTGGCTAGGCTGGTCTCGAACTCCTGACCTTCAGTGATCCACCCGTCTCTGCCTCCCAAACTGTTGGCATTATAGGCATGAGCCACTGCACCCAGCCAATTTCTTAAGAGAAATGTTTTTGTAGCATTGCCTTTGCTACCCTGAATTGAACCTGATAGATAGTAAAATCTACTGATACACATAATATCTAAAAATAAATATAAAGTCCTGGCTGTCATATGAAGGAGAAATAAATGAAAATAACTTATAGTACAACAACATGTATTTCAGTATGAAAATCTTCAAGCATGACTCTGACCGTACAGGAAGATGGTGAAGTAGTCAGATGTTTGCCATCTACTTTAAATAAGTGCATCTGAATTTCAGAGTAGTGAGACAATATTCAAAAAATACTGCTGACCCTTTTACTTTAAATCTGCTATTTCAAAATAATGGTCAGTTAGGCATACCTAAAGTCTCCATGAATGAAATAGCTGTAAGTGACGACTGGTACAATTGCATGGCACTATCGGCTCAGATTCCAAGGGTGGTGCTGCTGTCAATGACATCATTTTCCAAAATGGCAAACAAGTCATGGTGAAGTCCGAGGGCCTTCCTTCTATTTCCACAGTAGCAGCATTCCTGGGAAGTTTGGTGTTTGTGTTTATATGAAAAAAAAAAGAGTTAGGATCTAGGTTCAGAGAATGAAAAATGTTTTTTACTTGCACAATGTCTGGTAGGACATTACAAATCTTGGGGGATACAAGTCCGTTTTTGCCCCATAAGCCAGTTTCTCACTGGCCCTCAAAGCAAATAGGACATCAGACTTCCCCATCTCCACCGCCACACCCCTACAATCCTGTGACAACCAAAAGTACCCTCACAAGTAAACATCCCCTAAGGATGGTACCACCCTCTTTGAGAAACACTTCCTTGAAGTCATAAGTTGTAGGAGAACTTCAGGTCTTTCAATAGTTCCTTGGGTTACCACAATCCCTACCACATACCCTATCACTCAGCTTGGAATCAAAGGGTTAGCAGCAGGCGAGTGGAGTGGACTGTGAAGACTTGCAGATACCTCCAGGAAAGAAAAAAACAACTGCCCCTTTGAGCTATAGGCTGAGCCTCAGGCACCCGGTGAAACTCCAGCTCCAAAGAGCACACAGTGCTAAGGAAATAGGTTGTAAAAGGAAGAAACTAGGCAAAGAGATGAGTGGGACGGAGAGGCCCTGCAGGACACAACAGGGTATGTAAGAACAGGAAGGTGAGCTGTAGCCACAGAAGAGGAAGGGGTATAGAGCAGGGTTCCACTCCCAAGACAAGGCCCCAGTTATAGAAGAATCACAGTCTCAGGATACTTCCAGAAATTCACAGACAAAGAGATGGGTGGAGGAGACAGTGAGCACTCGTTAAGAACTTAAGTTTTGGGACAAGGCATGGTGGCTCATGCCCTATAGTTCCAGCACTTTGAAAGGCCAAGGTGGGAGGATTGCTTGAGCCCAGGAGTTTGAGACTAGCCTGAGCAACATGGCAAGACCCTGTCTCTATAAAAAATAAAATAAAACATATTTTAAAATTTTATAAAGAACTTGGGCTATGGGATCAGATGGGATCAGAGAGGTTCAAATTCTAGCTCCACCACTGACGAGAAGTGTGACCTTGGTTGGGCCCATTGTACTTTTTTTGAGGCAAAGTCTTTCTCTGTCACCCAGGCTGGATTGCAGTGGTGCAATCTCAGCTCACTGTAGCCTCCACCTTCCAGGTTCACTAGATTCTCCTGCCTCAGCCTCCTGAGTAGCTGGGATTATAGGCGCCCACCACCACGCCTGACTAATTTTTTTTTCTATTTTTAGTAGAGACAGGGTTTCACCATGTTGGCCAGGCTGGTCTCAAACTCCTGACCTCAAGTGATCTGCCCACCTTGGCCTTCCAAAGTGCTGGGATTATGGGCATAAGCCACTGTGCCCAGCCAGGCCCGTTGTTTAACCTCTCTTTGACTCAGCTTCCTCATCTATAAAATGGGCACAAATAACAGCCCATATTGAGTACAGTTGTTGCGAAATTTTAGTGAGATCACAGGGAAAGTGCTTAGCATGGGTGACCTGTAAGCCGCTCAGGGGCAGGGTCCTCTCCAGCTTTGCTCACCTTTGTACCCGTAAGTACTTGACACCAAGTCACACAATCAACTTTAGTTGAATGAACTGATGAAGAAGGGACCTATGGCAAGTAGCCGTTCTCACTACTATGAACGAAAACAAGAGGGGGAGCCTGTTACTGGAGCTGAGGTAGGAAGAGGGGACTTGGTTTTTTTACTGGGACACAAGATCACAGGCAGTGCTAGTTGCAAGAAGAGGAAGTCAGATCACCAGAGTAACTGAACCAAGGCTTCTGAAATCTCTGAGCAAGGAAGCACTGGGATCAGCACGTGGGAGTGCAGCTGAGCCCCTGGGAGAAAGCCACGCAGCCCCAGCAATGGTTAGAAGAGACCAAAGGAGACAGAGTGCTCCCGGGCACCAGAAATCCCTGGGAGGAGGGCTCAGGAGCACTCCCATGGGAGCACTCCATTGACATGAAAACCTGCGGCCCCATGACAGGTAGGGCAGGCCTGCTTCCTCCCCTCTAAGAATTGGACAAATAAGAATTAAAGAGAAGCAGGATGGGTGCCATGGCTCACACCTGTAATCCCAGCACTTTGGGAGGCTGAGGTGGGTGGATTACTTGAGGTCAGGAGTTCGAGACCAGCCTGACCAACTTGATGAAACCCCGTCTCTACTAAAAATACAAAAATCAGCTGGGCGTCGTGGCACACGCCTGTAATTCCAGCTACACGGGCAGAGTTGCTTGAACCAAGGAGGAGGTTGCAGTGAGCTGAGATTGAGCCACTGCACTCCAGCTGGGCAATAGAGTGAGACTCTGTCTCAAAAAAAAAAAAAAAAAAGAATTAAAGAGGAGACACACAAAGTGAGAGGAAATTAGGCCAGCCTTGGCTCCTGGCCACCTCTGCAGCCCCACACCACATCACTCTCCCCTTTGCGTTCAGAGCTTCAGCCACACTGGCCATTTCCTTATTTCTCAAAAATGCTAAGCTTCCCCACCCACGTCCCCACCACACATTCTTTGCCTGGCTAATTTCTGCTCACCCTTCAGGTCTTGGCTCAAATATCATTTCCTCGGAGAAGTTGTCCATGAACCCCCAGACTAGGCGGGGTGGCCTTCACTCACTCTTATACTGCTCTGTTGGAGGTGCCTCCTTCTTGGCATCTCTCACTGTGGTTGTTGGGGTAATAATTTGTTCAGTGTCCATCTCTTCCCCTAGTCTGTACATTCTTGAGGGCAGGCACTATGTCAAATCCATGACCCCATATCCTCAGGGGTGTAGCTCTGTGCCTGGCACAGGGTTAGCCCTCAGTGAGTGTTAATAGAAAGGAACATGGATGGGAAGGGAGAAGGAGCCCACAACTTCACAGCAGGGTTTACTGGGTTTGTCCTAAAAGATAATCAGATCCATAAACAAGCTCCACTCTTAAGAAAACCAGGCCACCAACATTCCTGACTGAATATTCATTTTGCAGCAATTTCTCACCCTATTTCAGGGCCTAGCTCACAGAAAAGATTTATGTTGTCCTCTCCTCTAAGATGCGAATGGCTGTGGTAGCAACTACTTTGATTTATTTTCTCCTCCTCCGTGCCATCCAGCAGGATGTCATGAGCCATGTCGGGCACAGGTCTGACTATTTTTTTCCATCTGTTTGATCTTGCTGGTGAGAAAATACATTTGGTACTAAATCCAAGGCAGAAATGGAAGCCAAAAAACAAGATTCCTCCCTACCTCCTGTGTTCCAGACCACCTCACCCTCACCAACACCACCACCACCACCACGCAAAACCCTGCTGAGCTAAAATCTACCAAATAAGATAGCTGAGTACCGTTTTCTGGTTCATGGGCAAGAAACCATAGTTTGTTTCTAGAGATTATTTCATTCTTTTTCCTTCCACATCATCATTCATGGGAAGTTCAGATTCTTTTAGGTGCTTAGAGAGAGAATGGTTGGCTCTAGAAAGCTAGCTGTTCTTGAAGGTACAGAAATGGCAGTAGGGCCTATTTGAGTTTGCCAGCACTTTACTTGCAATAACTAATGATCACTTCCAATTTTTTTTTTATCCTAACCATTAGGCCACATATCAACTTCCAGTCATTGAGCCGTCACTCTGAGCCAAGAACTATATACACGATTCTACCTAATCCTACTCCCAACAACTCTATGGAACAGATAATTTTATTGTCTCCATTTTACAGATGAGAAAAACTGAGGCCTAACTTGAGTAACTTCCCAGACCGACAGGATCAGCAAGAGGTAACAGTAAGAGTCAAACTTAGGTCTCTCTGCTTAGAGACCTTTGTCTGATCTCTAAGCACCACATTTTGTTACAACAATAATTGCTACTAATAGGGTATTTTGATGGTTGAATTAGTTAATTAATGTAGTGACAATAGCAACAACACTATTGAGAATAATTACAGCAGTGTTTAATGACTGTTAGCTGCTGCTGTTATTATTGTTGTCATTATTTTATTACCCCTGACTAAGAAATACCATCTAAGAAGGGAGAAAGAGCCATTCCTCTAACAACTCTTTCTCTTTGGCCTCTGTCCAGGGTTTGATCACAGAGGCAGCTGCCTCTGTGACTTGGGCACCTGTCTACTGAGGTGGCCACAGCCCAATTGCTCGGTTCTCCCTGGGTCAAGGATGTACCATCACATGGGCCCCAAACAAACACCCAAGTGGGATTTGAAATGCAGCCGTGAAGGTGACAAACCCCAGCTTCTATTACTGGTTCTTAGAACAAGGCTGTTTCCCCACATTGAGTCCTGCTATGATTCATACAAAATGAGAGCTGAGTGACAAGTTGAAGTCTTTCTTTTTTTAAATATACCGACCTGAAGAGACCTTGGGAAAATGGATGGGGCATTTTTAATAGCAGAAGACTACTTTAGAAAACCCAAAGCTATTTCAGAGAGAGGGAAAAATAATTCATATACATCTATATCTGAAAACCAGCTTATAATATCAAACATAATCTTCCCCTGTCCTGACTTTTTAAACGTGTTAATTCTCTGTTATAAAGAAGCTGGCTCTCCACGTGGAAGGCCACACAGGCACGGGGAATACTGGGATCAGCAGCATAAACTAAGCGAGGCAATTCATGGGGGAGGCTATTCATGGACAGAGGCAGCTCTGGGTGTGAGGCTACTCAGATTCAGGTTCAAATCCCGGCTCCACCATTTACCACCTGTGTCACTTGGGGCAAATCTTTTTAATTTCTCTGAATTGTTATGAGAGAGTCATATCACATCCACCTGGTAGATGTTTCATGGGGACCTGAAAATATAGTTGAGTTCTTTAGGTGAGCAGAGGAAGTAGGGCACAGTAGTTACGAGCTTTATGCTTGCAACCAGACCTCAGATAAAATCCCAACTCTGCCGTCTCCTTACGGCTTTGGACACATTGCTGTCATGAGCTTTGGTTTACTGATCCGTGGGAAAATCACCTACCTCTGAGGGTGGGAGTAAGAACTATGTGTGATGATGTAAGTAATGTGCTTAACCCAGTGCCTGGTACTTAGGAGGGCCTTGAGAAACGGTAAAGCCACCTAGTAGGTATGGGCAGGACCCGCGTCAGGGCTTCTTTGCTTTTGGTGTTTTGTCTTCTTTGTTTGTTATGAAATAGAGATGGGGTTTCATTGTGTTATCCAGGCTGGTCTCAAACTCCTAGGCTCGAGCAATCCTCCCACCTCAGCCTCCCGAAGTGCTGGAATTATCGGCATGAGCTGTGGCGCCAACCTGGGCTTCTTTATGACCTGGCCAGAGGTCTGAAATCAAGTGCCCAGTCTGGCATTGGGCAGCAAGTCACTCTATGCAGACTGAGGGATTCAACTTGGAGGTCAGCTCAGCCATTGGTGGGCACTTCCTCTTCCGCCCCGGAGCCTCCTGAGAGATGCTTGCCACATTTCCTCACCCCACCCCACCAACTGCATCCTTAGATGTGGGCTCTGACATTTGCCAGTGCATCTATCAGCAAAGGCTGAGGAAGGGGTTGAATTTTATTTATTTATTTTTGAGACAGAGTCTCACTTTGTTGCCAAGCCTGGAGTGCAGTGGCGCCACCTTGGCTCACTGCAACCTCAACCTCCTGGGTTCAAGCAATTCTCCTGCCTCAGCCTCTCCGGTAGCTGGGATTACAGGTGTGCACCACCACACCTGGCTAATTTTTTGTATTTTTAGTAGAGACAGGATTTCACCATGTTGTCCAGGCTGGTCTCGAACTCCTGATCTCAAGTGATCCACCTGACTCGGCCTCCCAAAGTGCTGGGATTACAAGTATGAGCCACCGCACCCAGCCGGGAGGGGTTGAATTTTAAATTGATGCAAATTTTTCTTATGGAGATGAGGCTAATAAGAAAATTGGTGGGGAGAGAATCACAGAGGATTTTTGCCTCGACCCTGGAATAATACAGAGTTGCTTCAGAGACAACTTGCCTGCATTCCTTTTAAAGGTAAATTTAGTCCTGGATAAAGTTGCAGATTAACACACCTGCTCTTTTTTCCTCCCACAAAGTGGGCACTGTCCCTTGTTATAAAGGGATCTTTGGCTGACGTCAGTAAGGGAATTCAGTGATCAGCCAATATGATCATGGAAATTCTATTTATACCGGGGCTAATCCTTGATTAACTGAAACTGGGGATTCACCTCCTCCTTTGCCTTCCCCAAAGGATTTTTAAAAATTGATTCTGACGTTCCATTCTGTAATTGTAGTTGCGGCACAGACAGGCCAAGAGCAGCAAGCAGGACTTTGGAGTCAGATAGATCTCTGTGTGTCTTATGCCTCATTTTTTATCTGTGAAACAGGACAAGGACCTACTTCATAAGTTTATATGATGATTCGGTGAGCTCAGACGTGTGGCAGAACGGCTTTCCCTCTTGTCTCCCCACACTCACCAGGGATAGCAGATACTGCTAGTTTCCTAGCCAACTGCAATTCCACATGCCTACTGTATTAAAAAGAGAATTCCAGTCTGGTTTACTCTCCTTTCAGTGACCATGTCCTTTATTTTGTAGGGTTACCCTCCTAGGCAGTTCTAGGAAATGAATCTTTTCTCATTTAAGCCAGTCCGCAGGTCTTAATGCTGTTAAGTGGGTAGTTTAAACAAGGGCACGTGATACAATTCTGGCCAATGAGACAAGAAAATTGGTTGGGAAGCCTCTGGAAAGGTTTTCACTGTTTTAAAAAAAGAAAACAAGGGGCTGAGCATGGTGGCTCATGCCTGTAATCCCAGCACTTTGGGAGGCCAAGGCAGGTGGATTGCTTGAGCCCAGGAGTTTGAGACCAGCCTGAACAACATAGGGAGACTCTGTCTCTACAAAAAAAAAAAAAAAAAAAAAAAATGGCTGGGGGTGGTGGTGCGAGCCTGTAGTCCCAGCTACTCAGGAGGCTGAGGCAGGAGGATCACTTGAGCCTGGGAGGTCAAGGCTGCAGTGAGCCGAGATTGCACCACTGCACTCCAGCCTGGGCTACAGAACCAGATCCTGTCTCAAAAAAAAAGAATGAAAGGAAGAAAAGAGAACAATATAGATATGTTTCCCTTTCTATCCCTGGATGTTGTCATCTTGTTAGCAGTAGTGAATTCATATGGGTCTGCAGCAACTTGATTCTTGCCTCCTCGGAGGAAAGAATTCGACCAAGGGGCATAAGGCAGAGGAAGAGACTGAGGCAAGTTTTAAAGCAGGAATGAACGTTTATTAAAAAGTACTAGACCAGGAACAAAAGAAAGTAAAGTACACTTGGAAGAGGACCAAATGGGCAACTTGAGAGATCCAAGTACCTGCTCTTCTGACCCTTGACTTGGAGTTTTATACATTGGCATGGCTCTGGGGTTTGCATTTCTTCTCCCTTGATTTTTCCTTAGGGTGGGCTGTCCACATGCTCAGGGACCTGCCAGAACTTGGGAGGGGCTGCATGCACAGTCTGTTTACTGAAGTTATGCACATGCTCATTTGAGGTATTTTTCCCTTACCAGTCAAGTGTTTCTAGATGAAGGTCATATACCAGTTAAACTTTGCCATTTTGCTTCTCAGTGTGCATGCTTGAGCCCACTTGCCCAACTCCTGAGATCTTATCAGGAAGCTGCTGATCATCAGCTTCAGGTGTTTTCTGTCTATTGAGAGACTACTTTTCCCTGGCACCAGCTCTGACCAATTATTATTTTAGAGATGGTTTAACAATCACCTGATGAACACCTGATGGTTGCCTTACATTCCTGGGGCAGGGGCCTCTCCTGCCCTGCTCATGTCTGCCTAGCTATCTACCCTAACAGTCTCTACATGACACATGAAAGAAGGCAGCCACTTCAGACCATGAAGAGAGCCATCCTATGAGGTTAGGGCAACAAATTGAGACTGGGAGGGCAGAAAACAGAAGGAACCTGGGTGATTGATGATATCATTAGGCCAGTGAATGAACCAAGCTGGCAAATGTCCAATATAAGATAATAAATATCCTCATTGTTTTAGCCACTTCCAGACAGATGTTTTGTTACTTGCAGTCAAAGGCACCCTCATAGGGGTTATCAGGAAGGTTTGCAAATATTTGCATTCTCTCTTTTTGGGCACACGGGAGGTGTATTAGTCTGTTCTGTTCTCACACTGCTAATAAAGAGACTGGGTAATTTACAAAGGAAAGCGGTTTAATTGGCTCACAGTTCAGCATGGCTTGGGAGGCCTCAGGAAACTTACAATTATGGCAGAAGGGGAAGCAAACATGCCCTTCTTCACATGACAGCAGCAAGGAGAAGTGCTGATCAAAGGGGAAAAGCCACTTATGAAACCATTAGATCTTATAAGAACTCACTTACTATAATGAGAACAGCATGAGGGTAACTGCCTCCATGATTCAATTACCTCCTGCCGGGTGCCTCCCATGACACATAGGGATTATGGAAACTGCAACTCAAGATGAGATTTGGGTGGGGACACAGCCAATCAGTAGCATTACACTTCCCTGTCTCCTTTGAAGTAAGGTGCAAGTATTTGGCTTGCTTTGGCCAATAAAATGTGAGTGGAAGTGGTGTGTGTCTTTCCATGCCCTCTTTTCCTATCTAAGCCATCAAGGGTGTGTAGATGAAAACTCTATCAACTTGGATTCCCCAGGGACTATAATAAATAGAGGCCTCTGAAGCCAGCATTATATATATAGTGTGAATAAGAAATGAACTTGGATGTGTTAAGCCAATGAAATTGGAAGTTGTTACTGTAGCAAAACCTAGCTTCTCCTGAATGATACACACCTTAGCAAATATATTTAAATAAGGGGACAGAGACTCTGGAAAAGAAGGAGATGGGAGGTATAGGAGATTTATCAACAGAAGGCAAATCTTTGCTGTGAAAGTCTGACTGATTCCTTCCTAGATAATTTACTCTGTTTTTTAAAAAATAAAAGAGTTTCTTTTTTTTTTTTTTTTTACATAGAGTTAGGTGTC
Organism: Homo sapiens; assembly: GCF_000001405.40. Classification (NCBI taxonomy): domain Eukaryota; kingdom Metazoa; phylum Chordata; class Mammalia; order Primates; family Hominidae; genus Homo; species Homo sapiens. The sequence goes on along the minus strand of NC_000003.12, from coordinate 5,047,232 downwards.
TCGCTCTGTTGCTCAGGTTGGTCTCAAACTCCTGGCCTTAAGTGATCCTCCCACTTTGGCATCCCAAAATGCTGGGATTACAGGTGTGAGCCACTCTGCCTGGCTGTTAATTCACTCTAAAACTAGACTACAGTACAGAATTATTATCCCCTCCCCAAATTGCCTTTAAGATTCAAGCCCCAGGTTGGGAACAGTGACTCATGCCTGTAATCCCAGCACTTTAGGAGGCCAGGGCAGGTGGATTGCTTGAGCCCAGGAGTTCGAGACCAGCCTGGGCAACATGGCAAAACCCTGTCCTGTCTCTACAAAAAAATTCAAAAATTAGCTGGGCATGGTGGCGTACCCTTTAGTCCCGGCTACTTGGGAGGCTTAGGTGGGAGGATCACTTGAGCCTGGGAGGTTGAGGTTACAGTGATCTGTAATCACACCACAGTACTCCAGCCTGAGTGACAGAGTGAGACTCCATCTCAAAAAAAAAGAAAAAAAAAAGTAACTTAAAATTAAAAAAAAAAAAAAGATTCAGGCCCCATCTAGTAGAACTAGACAGAGAAGCCACTCTAGAGATTAAATGAAAGAAAAGGCTAGACCCTATATGAAAGGAGGGGGGTAACGAAATTGAATAGACTGGCTAGGTGCAGTAGCTCACGGCTATAATCCCAGCACTTTGGGAGGCCGAGGCAGGCGGATCACCTGAGTTCGAGACTAGCGTGGCCAACATGGCGAAACCCCATCTCTACTAAAAATACAAAAATTAGCCAGACTCAGTGGTGTGCGCCTGTAATCCCAGCTATTTGGGAGGCTAAGACACGAGAATCCCTTGAACCCTGGAATCGGAGGTTGCAGTGAGCCGAGATCGCACCACTGCACTCCAGCCTGGGCAACAGAGCAAGACTCCATCTCAAAAAAAAAAGAAATTGAATAGACTGAGGGGAGCATGGGATATGAAGAGAAGAAAAGGAAAGATTCAAGCAACAGAGAGAGGTCACATTGGACTCCTAGAGTGCTGAGACCCAAGGCCTTGCACACACTGAAATGGCTGGAAATGAATCGACTAGAGTAGAGAAGTCACTCCTGAATTCCTTAGCCCTGCTTTAGAATTAGCCACTGAAACCCAGAGTAAACAACTCTTCTAGTTCTGATCGTGTAACTTGGCTAACAGTAAGTCCATTTACTTATGGATAGTATATTCATTTCCTAGGGCTGCCATAACTAAATACCACAGACTAGGTGGTTTAAACAACAAACATGTATTTTCTTGGAGCCTGGAGGCTAGAAATCTAAGATCAAAGTATCAGCAGGGTGGGTTTCCTCTGAGGCCTCTGTCCTCAGCTAGGGCTTCCCTCTGTGTGTGTCTGTATCCTAATCTCCTCTTTTTATAAAGACACTAGTCATCTTGGATTAGACCCACACATAAAACCTCATCTTACCTTAATTAATTCTTTAAAGGTTGTATCTCCAAATACAGACACATTCTGGAGTACTGGGAATTAGGACTTCGACATATGAATTTGAGATTGGAGGGACATAATTCAGCCCATAACAGAGTCTTCCTTTTCATGATAAGGGTAATAGTCCTAAGATTATATATGTGAAGGGCCTGGGCCTCAGTAGTTCCAATAAAAGGGAAGTAATACTGTTTCATTGTTAACCCACTATGGGATCATAAATTCCCTGAGGCTGGGGATTATGTTTGTGTACTTCTTTGTGACCTGCAGGGCCCAACATTGTATCATATAGTCGGCACTCAAAAAATGCAGCACTCACACTCTGGATGTTGTAGGAAAAAAATTACAGTGCTGTGGTTAAGAGCATGGCCTTTAAATTCAAGCACACTCAAGCTCAAATTCTTTTTTTTTTTTTTTTTTTTTGAGACAAAGTCACTCACTCTGTCACCCAGGCTGGAGTGCAGTGGTGCAATCTCGGCTCACCACAACCTCTGCCTCCCAGGTTCAAGTGATTCTCCTGCCTCAGCCTCCCAGGTAGCTGGGATTACAGGCATGCGCCACCATGCCCGGCTAATTTTGTATTTTTAATAGCGAGGGGGTTTCTCCATGTTGGTCAGGCTGGTCTCAAACTTCCAACCTCAGGTGATCTGCCCACCTCGGCTTCCCAAAGTGCTGGGATTACAGGCGTGAGCCACCGCACCTGGCCAGTAACTTGAGTTTTTAATATCTACCTCTATTCATTTCCTATTGCCACTACAACAAATTACCACGAACTTAATGGCTTAAAACAAGGCAAATTTATTATTTTACAGTTCTGGAGGTCAGATGAAATTAGTCTCACTGGTCCAAAATCAATATGTCTGCAGGTCCGTGTTCCTTCTGGAGGAGAATCCATGTTCTTGCTACCAGAGGCCACCTGTATTCCTTGGCCCATGGGCCCCTCTCATCTTGAAATTCAGCAACGATTGCATTGCTCCAACCTCTGCTTCTGTCATCACATCTCCTTCTCTGCCTCTGACTCTCCTCCCTCCCTCTTTCACTTACAAGAACCCTTGTGATTACCTTGGGACCATCCAGGATAATCTCCCCTTCTCAAGGCCAGATGATTAACAACACTCATTCCATCTGTAAGCTTAATTCCTCTTTGCCATATAACCTAACATATCCACAAGTGCTAGGGAATAAGATATGGACATCATTCCAGGGGATCATTATTTTACCTATTATACTACCTCTCAGAATTGTTGTGAAGGCCAAATGAAATAAACTATGCAAAGGTAAGGGGTGATTATTCAGCACAGTGCATAATCAATAATTATAGCTACTATTTCTGAGTTACATAATGTTCTTTACTTCCTAAGAATTCATTCTGTGAAATTACTCCTTGAAGGTTGGTATCATTTAGAACATTATAGGCCTGCGAAAATGAGAGTTACTTTGAAATTCAGACAGAATTTGTCTTTGTGTACTGATGTCTGGAATCGTAGCATCTTCAAGCAAACAGATGTTATGGATCATCAAAGCCAGCTCTCTAATTTTACCAAAGAGTTAACTGGGGCCTGGAGATGTCTATAAATGGCAGATCAAAAACTAAAACTTAGATTTGCTGTATGACACATATATTCAATGGCTAATCACGAGGCATTATTTCAATACTTATCTTCTACCTTTTTCCTCCCCGTAATCCAGAAAGACTGGAATCTGCATGATGTTCAATTCTGTCAATAAAATCATAATTTCTTGCATTTTACGTAGCTTTGCTTTTCCAGTGAAGTCAAAGACCCTTATGAAGAACCTTCTCCTGGAAACGGGGTGCCTGGTTGTTCATGCATAGTGACCATTTGTTTTGTGGTCTGATCAGCAATATTTTCTTTGAGCTCCATCCCTCATCCTATTTCATATTAATATATTCAGTTCGTTACCCCCAACCTTCACCCAAAGGTGGCCACATGACCCATTGACCAATCAGAGACTTCCCTGGGATTTTTACTACAGCTATTAAAAATATTTCTTTTTTTCCTCAGATTGTAACATAGGGGCCACCAGCAGCCATCTCATTTATTGTATAGAATTAGAGAAGCATGATTAAATCATCTGTTCCCCTCAAAAGACCAAATATCTAGGGATTCTTATTTATAAGAACCCAAATAAATCTTTCTGTTCTTATTGCTTAAACTGGTTTCATTTGAATGCCTCCAATTTGTATGTCAGAGTCCCCACTAATGCAACTGATATCAATTAAAGTAAAAATGTAATCTTTAATAGAAAACAGCTTCTAAACTTGAAGATTCCAGTTTTTTATAAGTGATTCATGAAACAATACTGAAAGAATATAGGAAATCATTTATTTTTAAAACTTTTTTTAAACTTTAAGTGTGGTAATCCTTAGCAAACTAAAGAACTGGTTTTGTTTTGTTTTTTTTGTTTATTTGTTTGTTGAGATGGAGTCTTGCTCTGTTGTACAGGCTGGAGCACAGTGGTGCAATCTCGGCTCACTGCAATCTCCACCTCCTGGGTTCAAGTGATTCTCCTGCCTCAGCCTCCTGAGTAGCTGGATTACAGGTGCCGCCACCAGGCCCGGCAGTTTTTTTTTTTTTTTTTTCCAAGTAGAGATGAGGTTTCACTATGTTGGCTGGGCTGGTCTCAAACTACTTCCCTTAGGTGATCTGCCTGCCTTGGCCTCCCAAAGTGCTGGGATTACAGGCGTGAGCCACCGCACCCAGCCAAGAACTGTATTTTGATGTGAATGAAGCCTCTTAAATTGTATGACCTGGCCATATGAATATCCAATCAATTACTTTAAAAATATTTACTTTGCATGTACTCTAAAAACATTTACTCTGCAAAAATATTTATATGCCAAGCACAGCTAGGAGCAGGACAACAATCAAGACTCATTTTCTTTCTTCTTTTTACACAAGTCATTTATGCTCACTGTGGCAATTTAGAAAATACAGCCATGCAAAAAGAAAACTAAAATAATTTCTAGTCCAGTTACTTAGAGAGCTGTTATGACTATGCTGAGGTGCACTGACCCAGACACTTTTCCCTGTACATGTCATGATAAAAGCTATCACTTACTGTGCGCCTCATTCATGCCAAGAATTAGGTTCAATGCTTCATGTGGATGATTTAATTTGACCTCACGATAGTTCTATGAAGCAGTGACTCTTCATCATCCTAATGTTATGGCTTGAGAAGCTGAGATAAGTCAAAGTGAAGGAACTTGTACAAGATCACACAGCTAGTAAATAGTGGTGCTGGGACCGAATAAGGGTAATCCCACTTTTATTATTTTAATGCAAAAAATAGGATTGTACTCTTTCGTATCTGCTTTTTTTGTTCAAAAATGTATCCTGAGGATTGTTCCATGAAATAAACCTACCACTTTGTTGTTAAGCACTACAGTGAACACCAAGTCACTCAACCAAGTGCTCACTTTGGACGTTTAGGTCAGTTCTAATTTTCCCACAACTGTGATGCCCACAGTCCAGGATAGGCCTAGGAAAAGGGGAGAGTATTACGTCAAGGGAACACCTTGTGGGACAAAAGATTCTGAACAGGCCATGTACAGTGGCTCATGCCTGTAATCCCAGCACTTTGGGAGGCCGAGGCAGGTAGATCACCTGAGGTCAGGAGTTCGAGACCAGCCTTGGCCAACATGGCAAAACCCTGTCTCTACTAAGAATACAAAAATTAGCTGGGCATGGTGGGGCGTGTCTGTAATCCTGTAATCCTAGCTACTAGGGGGCCTGAGGCAGGAGGATTGCTTGAACCTGGGAGGCAAAGGTTGCAGTGAGCCGAAATCGTGCCACTGCACTCCAATCTGGGCAACAGAGCAAGACTCGGTCTCAAAAAAAAAAAAAAAAAAAAGAATCTGAACATCTGGGGCAGCCTGAGCCCCAGATCTTCCTCTGACACAGCCTACCCAAATGAAAAGGAACCAGAAAGACAATTCTTTCAAACCAGACAATTCTTTCAAATCAGAAAGACAAAACAAGGTTCTTAAACACTCCCCAAAAAATCACACAAGCTCCTCAGCAATGGATCCAAATTAAGAAGAAATCCATGAATCGCCAAAAAAAGAATTCAGAAGGTCGATTATTTAGCTAATCAAGGAGGCACCAGAGAAAAGTCAAGTCCAATTTAAGAAAATAAAAAAAATGATACAAGATATGAGGGGAGAAATCTTCAGTGAAATAGATAGCATAAATAAAAAACAACCATTCCCTAACCCCTGGCTAGGAGCTTCATCACCTGGGCTAACCACTTGGGGCACCAGCAGTATAGAGAGAGGTCACCCCACTACTCTACCCAGTACATTATACTATCTATATTTGTTCACATCTGTTGCTTTCTAAAGTTCGAGGCATTTCTTATTCATGTTGGAATCCCCAGTGCCGAGCACTGTGCCTGCCATATAGCTCAATAATTGCTGAATTAAAGGAAACTGAATTATTAATATTAATACCACCATTTGAGAAGTACTAGTCCAGTTGTCTGATACCAGATTAGGCGTTGAGAAGATTTTTCATAACATACAACTAGAAATATTTATATGATGCTTAGTATGGACCTGGAACCATTTTAAGAACTTTACACAAAGCAGCTCATTTACTTCTCAGTACAATACTAAGTAGGTACTATTACTATCCCAGGCCGGGCACGGTGGCTCACGTCTAATCCTAGCAATTTGGGAAGGCGAGGTGAGTGGATCACTTGAGGTCAGGAGTTCGAGACCAGCTTGGCCAACATGGCGAAGCCCCACCTCTACTAAAAATACAAAAATTAGCCAGGCGTTGTGGTGGGTGCCTGTAATCCCAGCTACTTGGGAGGCTGAGGCAGGAGAATCCTTGAACCTGGTAGGCGGAGGTGAGCCGAGTCTGGGCCACTGCACAGTCTGGGCAACAGAACAAGACTCTGTCTCAAAAAAAAAAAAATACCAAAAAAGAAGTAAGTACTATTACTATCCTCATTTGACAGATGGGGAAACTGAGGCCCAAAGAGGTTCAGTTATTTGTTCAAGATTGTGTAAGTAGTAAGGGTCAGAGGCAGGATTTGAACCCAGTCTCCAGAGTCTACCCTGCAGGCAAGACAAATGCCCACCTATTGTTGAGCTAGTAGGTTCTTTATTACAGACAAACCCTCAGAAGACCCTGTCTGTCTGCAGCACAACCAGGGCCACTGTCTTGCTCTGAGCCAGTGGTGTCCAGATTGGAACCATTGACACACAGTACAAAGACTCTGGCCCTGAAGGCAATGCCGAATTCTTCCTCTGCTAATTGCTCTCAGAGAAACTGTTTGCAGTTCTCATAGCAGCTCTCCTCACATGGAGCAAGCTCTGAATATCAACCACGTTTAGGAGCGAGGGATTGAAGCATATGTCAGAGCCAGAGAGAGAAACCAGTGACAGCCTTCTTCAGGGAAGGAGTGTGAGTTTTTTTTTGCAGACAGGGCTGCTTTTTAAGTGAACTTCTCCTCTTCGTTTTTGAGTCCACCTGTTACCAGACCAGATGGCCCCAGCTAGCCTTTTCTTTCATAAGCTTCAAATAAAATGCAGCACCCTCTGGGATTTAACCAAATTCCACCCACTGACACTAGCTCCCTCTTTACCCAGGTGCTTCACATTGAAGACTCTTAGAATCATAGAATTTGACACCTACACAATCCTGACATTTACGAATGGGAAAATGGAGGCCCACAATGGGTTCTCAGACTCTCACTGAGTCTATCAATACATACTTAATGTACAGAAGGAGCAGTATTGAAAATAATAATAATAAAATAAATAAATCCTTAATGGGCTCTCACTATGTACTAAGAATTCTGCTAGGTTTGTGGATACAGATGAACCAGGCAAATATGGTACCTGGCCCTTCACAGAGCTTACAGTCTAATGGCCAACCTAAATGTGATTATTCATTTTCACGGGGAGAAGTGCTTTGAAGAAGTTAGAGTGCATTGAGGGTGTGTTCCAAAAAGGTCTGACCTACTGGCAATCAGGGAAAGCTTCACCAAAGAGGTGAAGCTGCAACCAGCAGGAAAGAGTAGGTACTGGCTCAAAAAGGGAGAAGGGAACAGGTGCTCCAGAAGAGGGGACAGCTTTTGCAAAGAAGCCTGAAACCTGTAAGAAACTGGCAGAGCCACAAGGTGAAGAGAGGTACAAAGAGCAGCTACAGAGCGAGGCAGACACATAGGAGCTTGCTGGCCTTGGTGAGAGATGTGAACGTTCTCGGGGGATACTGAAATGATCCAAGCAGAGGAGTGACACAGTTGGATCTGCCTTTTGAAAAGACGCTTCTGGCTTGCAGCTGATCAGTAGCACAAGCATATTTGGGGATTCAAATTCAAGTCTCTTGTCTTCCTGTTCAGTGTTCTTTTTCACCAGCCCCCAAACTGAGGAACCCTATTCCTTGTTTGTCTGTTGGTTGGTTGGTTGGTCGGTTGGTTTTGAGACAGAGTCTTGCTATGTCACCCAGGCTAGAGTGCAGTGGCGCCATCCTGGCTCACTGTAGCCTCTGCCTCCTAGGTTCAAGCAACCCTCCTGCCACAGCCTCCCGAGTAGCTGGGATTACAGGCACGTGCCACCACGCCCAGCTAATTTTTATATTTTTTGGTAGAGACAGGGTTTCACCATGTCAGCTAGGCTGGTCTCAAACGCCTGACGTCAAGTGATCTGCCCGCCTTGGCCTCCCAAAGTGCTGGGATTACAGGCATGAGCCACCACACCCAGCCTGTTTGTTTGTTTTTTTGTTTAGAAACAGGGTCTTACTCTGTCATCCAGGCCGGAGTGCAGTGTGGTATGATCATATCTCACTGTAACCTCAAACTCCTAGGCTCAAGCAACCTTCCTGCCTCAGCCTCACAAGTGGCTAGGTCTACAGGCAGGCACCACCATGCTGGGCCAACTTAAAATATGTATTTTTTGTAGAGACAGGGTCAGGGGAGAGGCATTTTCACTGTGCTGCCTAGGCTGGCCTCAAGCTCCTGGCCTCCATCCATCCTCCAGCCTCATCCTCCCAAGTAGCTGGGACTATAGGAAAAGGCCACCACTCCCAGCTCCCCTATTCCATTTTTCGTTTGTTTGTTTAAACTTGACCCACTTCTCCATCTTCTAAATTGCCAGAGGTAACTGAGAGCTCAAAATGTGGGCCCAGATGGATGACCTGAGCCAAATCCCTTTCCCACAACTGGGGCTGCTGGCTGCCATGTGCCCCAGAGGCCAACTCAGAGAGAAGTGAGAAAAGCAGAGCCAAGAGCCAGACAAAGAAAGAGAGTCTGGGCAGCCCTGGGTTGCTGGTTCTAGTCCTGGAGGCCATGGCTGCTGCACTCTGTTTTCCAGTTCTGCGAACTACCACAACAGCCCTGCAGGCTTCTCAAGTTACTTAAATCCACTTCTTGCTTTAGCCACATTGAGAGGAGTTTTGACACTTGCAACCAAAAAGAGTTCTGACAAATACACAAGGTCACAGGCAATTCTGAATCATCGACTTGGAGCCCCAAAGTTCCAAGAGGCCTCAAAAAGTCATCCAGGCCAGGGGCTTAAAAAAAAAAAAAAAAAAAAAAAAAAAAAAAAAAAAAAAACACCACAACCTCTTATTTTAAATAGCTAAATCTTCAAATCTTCAGGAGCCCAAATATATAAAACAGACAAAAGAGGAAGTGCTGTGGTAGCTGTAAGAGTGTGGAGACCCCGAGCCCTGCCCACCACCTCCTCTGTATCCAGCTGAAAGCTACTCGTCTGGTCCAACTTCCTACATCAGGAATCACTTTGACCACATTTTTGACACCTGGTCACCTAGCCTCAGCTTGAACACATCCACACAGGCAGCTGAGTAAGCCTTGAGGCAGTCCCCTTCTTTTTTTTGACTTCTCTGATTGCAAGACAGTTGTTCCTCTGCCTCCTAGAGGCATTCGCCCATGGGTCTTAGTCCTCTGGGTTGAAACAGTGTGAATTAAAGCACCTTTCCTATGGCAGCCCTTCCTGATGACAATGATCATGTCCCACTTAGCTCCCAGCTTACACATCCTCACTTCCTTCTGACTGTTGCTCATGGGACATCACGTCCAGCTGGTGAGCTGCCTAAAATAGGCAGGCTGCTGTTCAAGGTGTGATTTCAGGAGGACCATAAAGACAGAAGGCTTAGAGTTAGAGAACATGCTTATTTTAAACATACACACACACACACACAACACACACATGCACACGCACACGTTACATGCACACATGCAACGCTCAGAGGTTGACGGTAACCCCTTTACTTCCTATGTGCAGCATTTCCCCTGTGCCAGGCACTATGCTCAGGACTGTCCACTCCACTTGTGCTTCAGCCTTCACGACATACCCATGATGTGAGGCGTCATGTTTATCCCCATTTAAAATATGATCCCTTGAGGAGTTCAAGTAACTGGTTCAGGTACAAGTACTAACATGCGGTGGGAGTGGGATTTGAACCCAGGACTCACCTGACTCTAAAGCTGGGGTGGCTGGGTATATTTCTATGCGACTCCATGGCTCTCTTTGCTACTGACCACCTAGCCCAGAAGGATGATAAAGTGGAGCCCAGGAAGGATATGATCAATGCAGTTAATTTTTATATCACTGTGGTCAAGACACAAGGCGGGCACCTCCTTTGTATGTGAGCCTTGGAAACGCTTCTTTTTAAACATAACACAGTCATTGCGTGTTAGAGATGATTTAATCTGTTAGTTGAGTGAGCAATCGAGGAAGACGTGGGTCTTTGGGGTTCAAATGAGGAGGCATGACTGCCTGGTAATCAAATTGATTGCAGTGAGCTAGCTTCCCTTTTCTCTTGTCTGTAGAGACTCTCTAATCTCTTTTTCCACCCAACCCCCACTTCTGGATGCCATTGTTCCCTAGAAGGAGAATCTGGGGACCAAAAGGGTGAAGGAACCAGCCATGGCCACCTTGGAGCCCATGATGTTATCAGAAGGGAACTTGGCCCCGGCTCTCTCCCTCCTACACTCAGGGGCACATCCATGTTCCACGACTGTGTCTGATGTTTTCTTAAAATGCTCCAGGTGTGAATTGTAATAGTAGTAATAGCAATCATATTCTTGATAACTTTTATTGAGCAATTGCTATACACAGGCATATACATCATCTCACACAACCTGCCTCCCTTGTGACTATTACTGTTAGCCCATTTTACAGACATGGCCATTAAGCTCAAGGGAAACTGGGTAACATATCGAGGTTTCTTGCCCAAACTCACCCACTTATAAACAGCATGACTGATATTTCAACTTTGGCAGTTTGACCTAGATCCCAGCTATCTTGATATATTAAGGAACAAAACAGGTTTCAAAACAGTGCAGGATACTACAGCAACGAAAAGGAACAAACCTTTGACATGTGCAGTGACACAGATGACTCTCGCCGTAGTTATGTGAGGGAAAGAAGCTACGTTTTAAAAGTGTACAGATTATATGATTTCATATACATGATACATTCGATTTACAAAATTCTAGAAAACGCAACAGAAAACAGAAGGATGGTTGCCAGGGGACTGAGAGGGCCAGGAGTGAGGTGTCACAAAAGCATGAGTAAACTTTTTTTTTTTTTTGAGACCAAGTCTCACTCTCAACCAAGCTGGAGTGCAGTGGAGCTATTAAGGCTCACTGCAGCCTCGACCTCCTGGGCTCAGGCAATCCTCCCACCTCAGCCTCCTGAGTAGCTGGGACTACAGGTGTGCACCACGACGCCTGCCTAATTTTTGTATTTTTTGTAGAGGCAGGGTCTCGCTATATTGCCCAGGCTGGTCTCGAACTCCTGGGCTAAAGCAATTCTCACCTCAGCCTCCCAATGTACTGAGATTACAGGCATGAGCCACTGTGCCCAACCCAGCATGAGTAAATTTTGAGGTTGATGGAGTTCTCTGTTCTTTGATTGTGGTGATGGTTTCCCAGGTGCATGCAAATGTCAAAACTCATCAAATTGTAGACTTTCAATGCACGTCATCTGTTGTATGTCAATTTTATCTCAATAAGGATTAAGAAACAGTATTATGCATGATTCAGCACACCAACATGGCACATGTATACATATGTAACAAACCTGCGCGTTGTGCATAGGTACCCTAGAACTTAAAGTATAAAAAAAAAGAAAAGAAACAGTATTATGCGTGATTATGGTTTAGGTTTTTTTAAATTATTTTTAATTTTTTTTAGTGGGGCTCAAACTGGTTTCGTTTCTAAGGAAAAATTACATAGATACACATGTATACATACATTTATACATATTATAGGTAATACATACACATATAAAATTACATATGATAAATATTAATGCATAACTAAAATATATAAATTATATATAAAATATATGTTATATATTTATATATGACAACATGACTCACAAGGCCACTGTGCAGTCTAGTCCCAGACCCCCTCCCCAGTGTCATTTCTCACCACTGCCCACCCCACCCTCCAAAGTGGACCACAGGGTATTACTTTCATTTCCTCCATCGCCTCATGCATGCTCTGCTTCCTGGCCTTCTCATTGCTATTTATTTCATCTGCCTGGAACACTCTCCCACCCTTCCTTGATTCTTTAGGCCTCAGCTAAGGTGTCCTTTCCTCCTTGAACCCAAAGTACCTCCCCTTTGGCACCCAGTATTGTAATTGTTTAATACCTTTTTTCTATTGTTACCCTGTATGTTCCATGAGGGCAAGAGACCCTGTGTCTTTTGCTCATGGAGGTGTTCCAAATACATAGCACATAATAGGTATTTACTAGAGAGATTTCAAATGAAAGACCAAAATGATGGGTTTTTTTTGTTTTTGTTTTTGTTTTTGTTTTTCAAGACCAAGTCTTGCTCTGTCACATAGGGTAGAGTGCAATGGTGAAATCTCAGCTCACTGCAACCTCCACATCCCGGGTTCAAGTGATCCTCCCCTCCTCAGCCTCCCAAGTAGCTTGCATTACAGGCGACTACCACCATGCCCGGCTAATTTTTTTTTTTTTTTTTGAGATGGAGTCTCACTCTGTTGTCCAGGCTAGAGTGCAATGGCACGTTCTCAGCTCACTGCAACCTCTGTGCCTCCTGGGTTCAAGCGATTCTCCTGCCTCAGCCTCCCAAGTAGCTGGGATTACAGGCGCATACCACCACACTGGCTAATTTTTGTATTTTTAGTAGAGATGGGGTTTCCCCATGTTGGCCAGGCTGATCTCGAACTCCTGACCTTGTGATCCACCCGCCTCGGCCTCCCAAAGTGCTGGGATTACAGGTGTGAGCCACCGCACCCGGCATTTTTTTGTATTTTTTTTAGTAGAGATGGGGTTTCCCCATGTTGGCCAGGCTGGTTTTGAACTCCTGACCTCTGCTGATCCACCCGCCTCAGCTTCCCAAAGTGTTAGGATTATAGGCGTGAGCCACTGCACCCAGCCCAAAATGATATTTTAAAATCTTAGTGAAGAACCACTACCACCACTACCAGTATATACTAACATATTATATATATACATATATATATATTTTTTTTTTTTTTTTTTGAGACGGGGTCCCACTTTTTCACCCAGGCTGGTGTTCAGGGGCATGATCCACGGCTCACTGCCACCTTGACCTCCTGGGCTGAAGAAATCCTCCCACCTCAGCCTCCAGAGTGGGACTACAGTGCATGCCACCATGTCTGGTTAACTTATTTTTATTTTTTTGTAGAGATGGGGGTCTCACCATATTGCTCAGGCTGGTTTTGAACTCCTAGGCTCAAGTGATCCTCCTGCCTCAGCCTCCCAAAGTGTTGGGATTATGGTCATGAGCCACCGTACCCATAATATATATGTGTGTTTGTGTCCGTGTGTGTGTGTGTGTGTGTGTATGAGATAGGATCTTGCTCTGTCACCCAGGCTGGAGTGTGGTGGTGTGATCACAGCTCACTGCAGCCTCGACCTCCTAGGCTTAATTGATCCTCCCACCTCAGCCTCTCTAGTAATTGCGAGCACAGGTTCGCACCACCACATTCAGCTAATTTTTGTATTTTTTTTTTTTTTTTTTTTGACATGGAGTCTGGCTCTGTCGCCCAGGCTGGAGTGCAGTGGCGTGATCTCGGCTCACTGCAAGCTCCGCCTCCCGGGTTCACACCATTCTCCTGCCTCAGCCTCCTGAGTAGCTGGGACTACCAGTAGATGGGACTACAGGCACCTGCCAACACGCCCGGCTAATTTTTTTGTATTTTTAGTAGAGACAGGCTTTCACCACGTTAGCCAGGATGGTCTCGATCTCCTGACCGCGTGATCCGCCTGCCTCGGCCTCCCAAAGTGCTGGGATTACAGGCATAAGCCACCGCACCCGGCCAATTTTTGTATTTTTTGTAAAGATGGGGTTTTGCTATGTCGCCCAGGCTGGAATTGAACTCCTAGGCTCAAGATCCTCCTACCTCAGCCTCTCAAAGTGTTGGAATTACAGGTGTGAGCCACTGCATCCAGCCATATTATATATTCTTCAAGATGCAGGCTAGCATAATGTTAAGAATGATTATTAAAATAACATGACACAAAGTGGTTAAGAATAAAAGAGTCATTCATGGCTGGTTCTACCAGTTGCTAGCCAAGTAACCATGGGCAAGTTACTTTATCTCTCTGAATCTCCGTTTTCTTCCGTGTGTAATCAGGACAGCAATATTCCGTCAAGGTTGTAACGTTTCAGTCAGATAACACACAGTAAGTGCTTCGTATGGAGTGCCGGCTGTAGGTTATTATTATACTGGTGCTGTCATTCAGATCAATTGAATATGAACTGTTAACTGATACCTCCCATTTATCTGGAGCTCTCCATTTTACAAAGCATTTCTCATTTAATACCCCAATTATGCCTCACAGGAACCCTGGAGGGAAGGTGACACAGATGTCATTATTACCCATTTTAAAAGGAAGCTGGGGCCCAGGGATGCTAAATGACTTCACTCAAATGGTAGATAAGGTGAACAGTGGCACCAGGAGCTGACCCTGAGTAAGGTAACGGCTCAGGGCCCTTTACCAAGGGTGGAGTCTTGCCTACTCTTTGAAACACAGAAATGACTGAAGGCCCCTACTTACCTCCTCAGCGAAGTCCCTCAGCTGGAAGTTCCTGGGATTTGGTGTTCTTTCAGTCACCAGGCCTGTCCTGTTCCCACCATTTTATCTCAACTGCATCTCATCTCAGGCAGCTGATAACTTTTTTCTTTAATTTTTAATTTTTATTTATTTATTTAGAGACAGGGTCTCACTCTGTCATGCACGCTGGCATGCACTAGCATGATCACAACTCACTGAAGCCTCAACCTCCTGGGCTCAAGTGATCCTCTCACCTCAGCCTCCTGAGGATTTAAAACTATAGGCATGAGCCACCACACCCAGATAATTTTTTTTTTTTAGTTTTTTTAGAGACAGGGTCTCGCTATGCTTGTCCAAGCTGGTGTCAAACTCCTGGGCTAAGGTGATCCTCCTGCCTCAGCCTCCCAAAGTGTCAGGATTACAGGCATGAGCCACCTCACTGAAGTTGGTAACTTCTGTCTGCTCAGCTCTAACATGGAAATGGTGCAACACAGTTCCTTCCCTTCAGTCTCCACCCCTAAACCCCCAAATCTCTTTCACCTAACACAGGCCCAACTCCTAACCCTGCCTTCCCCACGCACACACACAATTTTTTTTTTTTGAGACAGTTTCAATTTTGTTGCCCAGGCTGGAGTGCAATGGCATGATCTTGGCTCACTGCCACCCCCGCCTCCAGCGTTCAAGCGATTCTCCTGCCTCAGCCTCCCAAGTAGCTGGGATTACAGGCATGCTCCGCCACGCCCAGCTAATTTTTTATATTTGGTAGAGACGGGGTTTCACCATGTTGATCAGGCTGGTCTCAAACTCCTGACCTCAGGTGATCCACCCACCTGGGCCTCCCAAAGTGCTGGGATTACAGGCATGAACCATCGCACCTGGCCCCCACACACAATTTTTAACTAGGAATGATCTACTAGCCCCTTTCTTCTTCAGGCCCCAGCCTCCTTCCAAGTTCCTTGACTCTCCTTTCTCTCCCTCACATTTTTCTGCTCCTCTATTTCTCTAGATTCATCTCACTTTGGGCTGCTCCTTTTGCACAAAAATACTCAAATCTCTCTTTTGATTAGACAAAGCATTTTACTTTCCTACACCCTCCTCAGGAATGACATGCCTTGGAGAACGTCAGCGAGCAGTGCTTAGCTAAAGAAAGGCTCACCTAACTCTGTTCCCACCCTTTGATCTCAGAATTTGGGAGATTAGGCTTTGTTTGTCCCAGCACAAAGTGTGTGTGTGTGTGTGTGTGTGTGTGTGTGTGTGTGTGTGTGTGTGTGTGTCTAATTACCCCCTTCCTTCCTGCCTGCCTTCCCTCCCTCCCTCCCTCCCTCCCTCCCTCCCTCCTTCCTTCCTTTTTTTGATGGAGTATTGCTCTGTCGCCCAGGCTGGAGTGCATTGGCGAGATTTCTGCTCACTGCAACCTCCACCTTCCAGGTTCAAGCAATTCTCCTGCCTCAGCCTCCCAAGTAGCTGGGACTACAGGGATGCTCCACCACACCCGGCTAATTTTTTTTGTATTTTCAGTAAAGACGGGGTTTCACCATGTTGGCCAGGCTGGTCTCCTCAGGTGATCTGCCCACTGCAGTGTCCCAAAGTGCTGGGATTACAGGCGTGAGCCACCACACTTGGCCTCTTTTCTTTTCTTCCTTCCTTCCCTCCCTCCCTCTCTCTCTTTCTTTTCTCCCTTCCTTCCCTCCCTCTCTCTCTTTCTTTTCTCCCTTTCTCTCTCCTCCCTCCCTCCCTCCCTCCCTTCCTTCCTCCCTTCTTTCCTCCCTTCTTTCTTCTCTTTTTTTTTGAGACCTAGTCTCACTCTGTCGCCCAGGCTGGAGTGCAATGGCACGATCTCGGCTCACTGCAACCTCCATCTCCCAGGTTCAAGCAATACTCCTGCCTCAGCCTCCTGAATAGCTGGGATTACAGGCACGTGCCATCACGCCCGGCTAATTTTTATATTTTTAGCAGAGATGGGGTTTCATCATGTTGACCAGGCTTGTCTTGAACTCCTGACCTCAGGTGATCCACCTGCCTCGGCCTCCCAAAGTGCTGGGATTACAGGCGTCAGCCACCACGCCCGGCTTTCTTTTTTTTCTGGAAAGATGGGAGTCTCCCTATATTGCTCAGGCTGGTTGTCTTGAACGCCTGGACTCAAGCAATCCACCCACCCGTTTTGGCCTCCCAAAGTGCTTGGATTACAGACATGAGCCACTGCGCTCAGCCTGATTTTCTTTCTGACGTTTAAAAACAAAACAAACCAAAGAAAAGGATACATTTCACATATAACCCTCGTTCCATGCGTCTCTCAAAAAATGGGAAGAGTCAACAACTGAGTGTGTTCAATCAAAATGGCGGCAACAAGTTAAAGTTGAGTAGCTGAGTAATGGCTGCCCACTTTGGCCAGGCAAGATAGCTTGGCCTTCTTCTTCTCCAGAACCCACCAGCCTCTCTTGTTTGTGTGACCACTCTAGCTGCTGGAAGCTTTTGAGATTGTAATCCCTTGTTTGGCAATGTAACCCCAAAAGCAGAGGTTTTACAATGTCAGTCTTCTTTCTTCCCTTTCATAAGTGGAAAGACCCAGTATAGAGATTCATTTTTCCACTGACGTAAATTATACTACCACCCCAATTTAGATTGCAGATGCAGTTACAAAGAGTTTGGTTTTAAATATATTTTCCACCTCACTGCATAAATGTTATATGGCATATTTAGAAATCCTGCCCCCACCCCCAGTAAAGGTTTCTTTATGAAAACTGAAATTCCCACCATTCAACTATCTACCATGCTTTGAGATTTGGGGATGATTCTAGCTGATTCCAGAATTATAGCTGAATAAGCATAATACCTGTCTTCTGAGTAACTTTCAGCAATGTAGCCCCTAGCATATCTAATTTAATGCTTGTTAAAGGAATTGCTTTTTTGTTTGCTGTTTGAAACTCAATGCGTATTTTCAAAGCCAGCTCCAATTTCTCTTAGGGCCTGACACCATTTTTTTCTGCCTCTCCCACTTTGCAAATTAGCTGACCCTCAATTTCTTTCAGTGATCCTTAGTCCCAGCAGAGAGGAACTGGTCCTAATTGCATAAATTTTCTCCCTCATTGCTGACATTGAACAGCCATCTGATTTGCTTTCACCTGAGAGGTCTCAGGCAAGCACCATCTCAAAGGACAGGGGAAAGTCTAGAGCAGGCGTTCTCCAGGTGTGGTTTCCAGACCAGCAGCATCAGCATCATTTGAGAACTTGTTAGAAATACAGTCTCAGCCCTGCCTCAGATCTATGGAATACAAATCTGCACTTTAAAAGGATCCCCAATTGATTCATAAGCACATTCAAAGTAAAACAAGGTCGACCAGGTATGGTGGCTCACGCCTATAATCCCGGCACTTTGGGGAGGCTGAGGCAGGAGGAATGCTTGAGCCCAGGAGCTCAAGAGCTGCCTGGGCAACACAGCAAAACCTGGTCTCAAGAAAAAGAAAAAAAAAAGGAAGGAAGGAAGGGAGGAAGGAAGGAAGGACGGACGGAAGGAAAACAAAGTAATGTCTTTGGTGAAAAGAACTGTGAAGTAAATAAAAAAGGGACAGCCGGACACAGTGGCTCACACCTGCAACCCTAGCACTTTGGGAGGCTGGGGGGGGGGGGGTAGATCACCAGAGGTCAGGAGTTCGAGACCAGCCTGGCCAACACGGTGAAACTTCGTCTCCACTAAAAATACAAAAATTAGCCAGGTGTGGTGGCACACGCCTCCCAGCTACTCGGAAGGCTGAGACAGGAGAATTGCTGGAACCTAGGAGGCGGAGGTTGCAGTGAGCCAAGATCATGTCACTGCACTCCAGCCTGGGCAACAGAGTGAGACTCCGTCTAAAAAAAATAAAATAAAATACAAGAAGGTGATATTGCAGTGATTGTGAGGAGGCACTTTACATAGAACAGCTGCTCTGAAATTTTGTGGTCTCAGGACCATTTACATTCTTTAAAAAAAAAAAACAAAACTATTTTTAGGCGAGGCGTGGTGGCTCACACGTATAATCCCAGCACTTTGCAGGGGCCAAGGCGGGCAGATCACTTGAGGTCAGGAATTTGAGACCAGCCTGGCCAACATGGTGAAACCCCATGTCTACTAAAAATACGAAAATTAGCCCGATGTGGTACTGCATGCCTGTAGTCCCAGCTACTTGGGAGGCTGAGGCAGGAGAATTGCTTGAACCCGGGAGGTGGAGGTTGCAGTGAGCCGAGATCGCGCCACTGCACTCAAGCCTGGGTGACAGAGCAAGACTCTGTCTCAGAAAACAAACAAAAATTTTAATTATTTGTAGTTCAATTATTTAAAAATTATTTTGTAATTATTTTTTAATAATTATTTTAAAATTATTTGTATTCCATTTTTAAATTATTTGTAGTTCATTTAAAAATAATAAACCCATTATATATTTATATATGTTTTATGAAAATAGCTGTATTTTCTAAAACGAACAACAATAAAAGATGAGTGAGTAGAATGCATGGTTTCAATTTTTGCAAATCTCTTTAGTGTCTTCCTTAATAGAAGACAGCTGGCTTCTCAGAGCTGCTTCTGCAGTCCGTCTATTGTAGCGTTGCATGTCGTGTGGTCTCTGGAAAACTCCACCGTGCACATGGAAGAGAAAGAGTGAAAAAGGCAAATATCCTCTTAGTATTGTTAGGAAACTAGTTTTGACTTCACATACTCCCTGAAAGACTTGGGGTCTGGAACCACACTTGGAACTGCTGCTGGGATGCAGTGATGGAGAAAGGGCTCACAGGAGCGCAAGGCCTCAGAGAGGAGTCGTCAACTATGTGAAGACTTCCGGCTTTAAAAAGCATGGAGGTTGTTGCTGGGTGCGGTGGTTCACACCTGTAATCCCAGTACTTTGGGAGGCCAAGGCGGGCGGATCGCTTGAGGTCAGCTCAAGGCCAGTCTGGCCAACATGGTGAAACCCTGTCTCTACTAAAAATACAAAAATTAGCCGGGCATGGTGGCCCACTTCTGAAGCCCCAGCTACTCGGGAGGCTGAGGCAGGAGAATCGCTTGAACCCTGGAAGCGGAGGTTGCAGTGAGCTGAGATTGGGCCACCGCACTCCAGACTGGGCAACAAGAGCGAAACTCCATCTCAAAAACAAAACAAAACAAAAGCATGGAAATTGTACGGTGAGCTTCAGTGCGAATTCCGGTCGTGACTTGGTCTTAGAATAGCTGAGGGACTATGGACAGGTACCCTGCCCTCTCTGAACCTCAGTTTCCCGGTCTGCTTTATGAAAAGAGTGGCCTCTGGCCGGGCGCGGTGGCTCACGCCTGCAGTCCCAACACTTTGGGAGGCCGGGGCTGGCGGATCATGAGGTCAGGAGATCAAGACCATCCTCGCTAACATGGTGAAACCCCGTCTCTATTAAAAATACAAAAAAAAAAAAAAATTAGCAGGGCGTGGTGTTGGGCGCCTGTAGTCCCAGCTACTCGGGAGGCTGAGGCGGGAGAATGGCGGGAACCCGGGAGGCGGAGGTTGCAGTGAGCCGAGATCGCGCCACCGCACTCCAGCCTGGGCGACAGGGCGAGACTCCGTCTCAGAAAAAAAAAGAAAAGGGCGGCCTCTAACATTCCAGGCCGCGCCCCGCCCCCACCCCTCCCAAGCCTCTGGGAGGTTCCAGGAGGGATTTCAGAGCAACTCTTCCTTTTGCCAGCAGAAGGCGATGGAGACCAGCCTTGGCTGGACCACTTCCACCCCAGAGGCTCTTCACCGCCTCCCC
The DNA here is from genome assembly GCF_000001405.40 of Homo sapiens. Lineage (NCBI taxonomy): Eukaryota > Metazoa > Chordata > Mammalia > Primates > Hominidae > Homo > Homo sapiens. The sequence continues at coordinate 5,026,988 of NC_000003.12, read as the reverse complement.
ATCCAGACCCAAGGTTCCCTAGTGGTCCAGACGGTTTCCTTGGCAGCGCTGGCACCAGGTATCTCAGGCCACCCAGGCTGTCCCAGGGAGGGGGCTGGAGGCACCGAGAGCCCTTCATATAGACCCAGACACGTGGCCAGGTTGAGATGCTGGGATTCTCCCAAACCCAGTCTGGGAGGAGCTGGGGAGAAAGAAGAACGGGTTTGGGCAAAGACACTTCAGCCCCTCCCCCCACACCCCGCGCTGGGCCTTTCGGTGGGAAACCACCCAGGAGCCGTTGACTTCTCACAGGGAAGGCCGGGCGGGGGTGGCCGGAAGGGAGCAAGACGGAGAGAGCGCGGCGCCAGCTCCCCGGGGACCGCCTGCCTGCAGGCGCGAGCCGGCGCTTGCATCAGCGCCTGCCAGGGCAGGGGCAGGGACCACGGCCACCGGCGACGTCAGTCTCTTTCCCAGAAGAATTCCACTTCCTGCGGCCGGGGCCCGGCTGTGAGGGGGCGGGGGGGGGTGGGTTGGTTTCGCAGGATGACACCTCTCGTTTACTGCATCTCCTCGGTCACACACTGTTGTCTAGGAGACCAAGAGCATCCCGGCCGCCTCAGTGAGGCTAACCCGCCCCCGGGAAGTGACCCGGGGCACGGCCCACTCAGGAAGCCACTGGCTCTAGGGTGCAGGCCCCAGGACACTAGGCCACCCACTACAGGTCCTGGATTCTGCCCTGAAGGCACCCGGTGGCCCACCTTCCATATTGTACCTGATTGTCAGGTTTTCAAAGCACACTCGCCTGAGGGTGTTAGAAACAAGCCAGAGAAAACTAAAGCCCAGAGAAGAGCCCTAGGATAGCCTGTCACTGGGAGAGCTGACTTTTCAAGCCTCTGTGATTTGGTTTGGTTTGGGTTGGGTTGGGTTGCGTTTTTTCTTACCTTTCTTGCCATAGATCAGGGTCTCACGAACCTCTTAAGAGTCAATGGCCCGTCCACTATCAGTGAAGCAATATATATATTTTTTTATTTTGTTTATTTGTTGTTGTTTGAGACAGAGTCTTGATTTGTCACTCAGGCTGCAGTGCCGTGTCTCGATCTTGGCTCACTGCAACCTCCGCCTCCCTGGTTCAATCCATTCTCTTGTCCCAGCCTCTCCAGTAGCTGGTATTACAGGTGCATACCACCACGCTCAGCTAATTTTTTTTTTTTTTTTGTATTTTTAATAGAGACAATGTTTCACCATGTTGGCCAGGCTGGTCTCGAACTCCTGACCTCAAGTGACCCGCCCGCCTTGTCCTCGAATAGTGCTGGGATTACAGGTGCGACCCACCACACCCGGCTGCAATGTTTGTTTTAATTACTTTTGGCAAGTATTTCCTGAGTACCCCGAGCGTGCCAGGTGAAGAGAGACGGATAATAACAGCGCTAGCCAGCACGTATTAAGCCTTGCAAAGCTGCACGGGCATGAACTTGTGGCTTCAACACAACCTTATGAGGTAGGTGTTATCCCCATTTTACAGAGTAGAATACCCAGTTAATGTGAGACCAGCTGGGAAGTAAAATCAAATCTGAGTCCTAAACTAGAAGTCTGTACCATTACCAGGCAGCCTTGCAAAACATCAATTAACATGACAGACATGGCCCTTTTTCTTTGGAATTGATGCTTTTTTAGTGCATTTTTAAGACCATGCATTTAATCTTGAATTATGTGTTAAAAATGTGAGATGAGGATAAAAGTAATTCCAAATAAGAAACACATAATAACAGCAATGCAACTAGCATTGAGGCCTACTGTATGCCAAACGCTGTGCCAAAGCCACTACCATTATTACCTCATTTGATACAACAACCCTATGAGGTCAGTTCTATCACTTTGGTCCCTACATTGCAGATGAAGAGACCGAGGCACAGAGGCGAAGTAACTTGTCCATGTCCCAGAGCTGTAAATTAATGCTCAGTAATGAGCAGAATAGCGTCCTGGTCCATGTAAGCACTTAATGCACTTGTACTCGGCTTTGGAAAGAATGGAGAGACTGCAGTGTATACAAACATCCCAGGAAAACCTCATTCATTTGGACCATTTCCGTCTAGATTTTATTATAATTTGAAAGGAGCCTAGGGTCGTGTTCTCTCTTTTTTTTTTTTTTTTTTTCTGCTTGCGGGGAAAAGCTAAGCAAATAGTACAAACAAAGTAAAAATATTTTTGTGGGGCGTTTTAGAATTTAGACGAGATAGGGTGCATTCAGGATAGTATGACCGTAGACACATTTTAGTATTTATAAAGCATTTTCCTACCCAGGAGTTAACTTTATCTTCACAATACCCCTGAGAAGTAGTTAGAACTGGTCATCTTAGTCCCAGTCTACAGGTGAACTCTGAGAATCTTTCTAAAGAAGAATTTCTAACTAGTAAAGAGAACAAATGATCTTTAGGGACTCGAAAGTAAACTACCCACAATAGCTGAGATGTGAAAACAATAAATGAATGGATAAACTAAATCTAGTATGTACATACAATGAAATATTATTCAGCCTTAAAAAGGAATGAAATTCTGGTAAGTGCTACAATATGATGAATGTTGAAGACATGATGCCAAGTAAAATAAGTCAGACACAAAAGGACGGTATTGTATGATTCCACTTATATGGAACACCTAGACTAGACAAATTTATACATACAGAAGTAGAGTAGAGGTACCGGGGGCTGGAGGGAGAGAGGAGTGGGGAGTTCTCGTTTGATTAGAATTCAATGAACAATTTAATTGGTGATGAATTGAAGGGATGCTGAACAAGCTCTAGGAATGGGTAGTGATGGTTGCACAACGTTGTGAATGTACTTAATGCCTCTGAATTGTGCACTTAAAAATGGTTAAAAGGTGGCTCACGCCTGTAGTCCCAGGATTTTGGGAGGCTGACATGGGTGGATCGCTTGAGCCCAGGAGTTTGAGACCAGCCTGAGCAGCATAGTGAAACCCCATCTCTCCAAAAAATAAAAAAAATTAGCTGGGTGTCGGGGCACATGCCTGTAGTCCCAGCTTCGTGGGAGGCTGAGGTGGGAGGATTGATTGAGCCCTAGAGGGTGAGGCTGCGATGAACGGTGATCACACCACTGCACTCTAGCTTCAGTAACAGAGGAAATTCTGTCTCCAAAAAAAAAAAAGTTAAAATGGTAAATTATGTGTTATGCATATTTTACTACAATGAAAAATTTTAAGAAAAAAAAGGTAACCCACATAGCAATCCCCATGCTTATCCAAGTCTTTCTTTAAAAGCAGACTCCTGGGTACTTATTAAAGCAGAAGCAGTCTTAACCCAGGCCTGCACTTGAAAGCAAGAAAACATCATGCCTTTAAAAAATAGCTCACGAGCGTGTGTTTTCACTAAACACAGGAGGCTGGTATTCCCCTCAGGTATTCCAAGTGAGCAAGATATGGCTGGTAGAGGGGAGAATTGGGAGGTGAGTCACCGGTTTGGCAGGTGACGTCACCATGAGGTGACCGTCTGCGTGGTGTGCCTTCCAACTCCCACGTCTCCCATTTTCTCCACTCAGGGGCGGCCAGGTCACCAGCTGGCTCAGCTGGAAGTCTATCTGTTCTGGTGTGATGTTTAGTGAGAAACATTCCTCTTTATGACTCAGTGACTCAATATCCCAACAGATGGGTTCAGGAAGGCTCCAGCAGCTAAAGCCAACTCCGAGGTCGAAACCTGGATAGCCAAGGAGGAGATGAAAGACATAAACCCTTGGGAAGGGAGAGGAGAGAGCTCGTTTTCTGTTTGTTGGAATGCTAAATATCTAAGAAGTAATGGGATGATTTAGGATAATAATTATTATCCTAAGACAACTTAGGAGACTGGCACACGGAAGAGGATAGTAAATATTTATTGAATGAAATATTCATTGATTATTATTTCAGAGGTATTCAGCTGCAAGAACAATCCCAAACTATGAGTGAAAAACACAGATTCTCGGGCGGGCACAGTGCCTCACGCCTGTAATCCCAGCACTTTGGGAGGCCAAAGTGGGTGGGTCACTTGAGGTCAAGAGTTCGAGACCAGCCTGGCCAACATGGTGAAACCCTGTCTCTGCTAAAAATACAAAATTAGCCAGGTGTGGTGGCACAGGCCTGTAATCCCAGATACTCAGGAGGCTGAAGCAGGAGAATCGCTTGAACCCAGGAGGCAGAGGTTGCAGTGAGCCGAGATTGTGCCACTATACTCCAGCGTGGGTGACAAAAGGGAAACTCCATCTCAAAAAAAAAAAAAAGAAAAAGAAAAATGTATATTCTTACTTATGTCTCACCAACTCTAGTTTTCTCAAAGGGGCACCAGAAATGGAGCTTGATATATTTTCATGGAATTGACACAGGTTTGATACGGACAACTATGATACTGACACAAAGAATCATGATGTTTATGCAGGTAATGAGATCATTAACAAGTAGTAATGTGAAGGGATTGTCTTGGACATGTTTGTACACTCATCCAGCAATTGTTAGCAGAGGTACCATATCTATATAAGATGAAAGGAAATGAGAAAGAGAAAGTATTTGCTTTATTTGTTTTTCCTTTTTTCTCTTTAGGCTCTATACTGTTGAGTCAATCTGGGATGGTTTAAGGTACATGAGCCTCGGTATCAGGCAAGCCTCAAATTAGTCAGTGAGGACTCTTAGTTGCAAGACAGAAACTGGATTCAAATTAGCTACAGGGGGAAAAAAAAGATCCAGCTGATGGCTTCAGGCATAGCTGTTTCCAGGTGCCCAAATGCTAGTGTTAGAGATTTGTTGTTTTTTTAATCTTTCAGCTCTGCCTGCCTATAAGATGACAAGGAATTGTCCCAGTAGCTCTAGTCTTACCTTTTGTGAGCTTAACAACCTCATTAGAAAGAGATCTTTCTTCTCAACAAAAATATCAGGATTAACCCTGGCCAGCCTGGCTTGAGTCACATATTCCTCCCTAGACCTGGAGATGGTGTTAAAGCCATAAGATGATGTTTCCAGAATAAAAAGGAATGGTTGCTGGGCAGGCAAAAACAATGGGTGTCACTCCCTCTGTGCAAATGTATGCCTGTGGGAGAGAGGGTTTATAGTTTATGTGGCACTTTCCTGATTTGTCACTACCTAGTGAGTCAGTCTGATGTGGTGGAATACGAGCGCTCTGGACTCAACAGGCCTGAGTCAAAATGTCGGCTCTTCATTAGCTGTGTGGCCTTGGGCAACTTACTTAAAAGTAACCGTGCGGGTAACTAGCATGTTTTGAGCGCTCGGCATGTGCTAGGTGTTACATATATTAATCTCGTTACTCCACAGCTCTGCAAAAGAGTTATTTTCTCCTTCTTATAGATGAGGAAGCTGAAGATCAGACAGATTAAGTGACCTCCTCAAGGTCACTAAGCTAGCTAGGGACACTCCAACCCAGGGTGCTCTGACTCAAGGCAGCCTCTCTGACCTTCCCTCTCCATGCCTGAAAAATGGACATGACATGGAGAAGAAGAAAGTGGCAGAAGAGGAGGAAAAGGAAAAATACTGAAACAGTGAAACGCCCACAACATATTAGCTATGCAATCAATCTAGTTCCCTTCATCCGTTCTTCCACTCACTTCTTTTCTTACTTTCCTCCATCTTTTTCTTTCTTTGGGCACTTCAAAAGGTCCTAGCTTTCTCCTTCCTTCCTTCCCTTCCTTCCTTCTTTCTTTCCTTCCTTCCTTTTTTTCCTTCTCTTTCTTCCCCCCACCTGCCCTTTTTTTTTGGACAGGGACTCACTCCGTCATCCAGGCTGTAGTGCAGTGGCGCGATCTCAGCTCACTGCAACCTCCACTTCCCATGTTCAAGCGATTCTCCTGCCTCAGCCTCCCGAACAGCTGGGATTACAGGCGCCCTCCACCGTGACTGGCTAATTTTTGTATTTTTAGTAGAGACAGGGTTTCACCATGTTGGCCAGGCTGGTCTTGAACTCCTGACCTCAAATGATATGCCCGCCTCAGCCTCCCAAAGTGGTGGGATTACAGGCTTGAGCCACTGCACCCGGCCCATTTTTTCCCCCTCTTTTTGAAGTCCTTACCTGGTCCAAGGTGGTATTTCTGAATCATAACAGGATAAACACTGGGGCTCTAGTCATTTTTAAAGCACTCACCCTCATAAGCATGACTGCCACCCCTAGAGGAACCCCCGGCCATGGCCCCTACATCAGCACTCCGGCTTGACCAAGATCATGTTCTAGCTCACTGGGAAGGGGGAAACCAAGGTACTTGGGATTCCTCCCACTCCAATTCATGCCTCTGTACCCATCAGTCTCTGCGTGAAGTTTTCCTAATCTGTTTAACTCATGTGCCAGCTCTGACTGAGGTGGGGCAGTGGCAGGGGCACCCTTTTCTCTCCACACTGTTTTGGCTTCAGCCCTCACCTGACCTTTGTTTCACCCCCTCCTGCCTACTTGGGGAGCCTGCCCAAGCCCTGATGAAAGGCGAGGGAAGTGAGCGCCAGGCTGAGCCATGGGGTTTGGAGATAAGCACCTTCCATTTTGGACATGTCGGAACTAGAAATCAAGAGGAACTGGCACTCCAAAGGGAGAGTCAGGCTTCTTCCAGATGCTGGGCTGGTGGTGGTGGGGGTCCCCTCGGCAGACGCAAGGGTAGGACTTCACAACATAGTCTTGCTGGGTGAGGAACTTGCCGAGGGTGAGCAAACAGAGAACCTCTAACTCCTTAATGATTTTTATAGAATGTTCTGGCCTTGGGAACAGGAAGTCCTCCTAAGTGACAGAGCCACCACTTCACCCACACCTTGTACAATGTGTGAGCGTGTGCAGGTCATTCTCCACATGGCCACATGCCCTGTTTGGTGTGGGAGCCGCACCCCATGCCCAGGCCCCTCAGGCCGCTCCACATGGGTTCCCCCACCCAGGTGGGCACTGCAGTTGGGCTCAGGGTCTTCCCTCTTGGGGTAGCATCCCTGGTAGCAGAAACTGCCTCCTCTTCACCCCATCCTCAACGTAGGGCACAACATTCAGAAAGTCCGAGTCCAGGAAGGCTTTTGTGAGATAAAGGGGGAGCTGTGGCCAGAGAGGAAAGGGGGCATGGTGATGAGTTCACACTTATTAAATACCATCAGCCCCGAGAAAGAGTATGAATAATCCCCATTCTAGAGATGGGAAAACTGAGACTAGAGTTAGTTAACAGGAAGATGCGGTGTCTACCAACAGAACAATTTCATTTTATGGACTTGAGTCCCTCCCAAGATGCCTGGCCCCTGAACATTCTGACTTCCTCACCCGGTTCTTCTTAAACTACAATGCGCCCACAAATTCCCTTGTTCAAAGGCAAATTCTGATTCAGCAGTTCTTGGGCGGGGCCCGAGATCCTGCCATCTGACAAGCTCCGGGGCTGCTAGTCTGAGACAACACTTTGAACAGCCAGCGAGGCTCCAGGTTGAGGCTGTCTTTCTGATGAACTTACGACAGCACGCGCTTCCACTCCTCACACAGGCAGCGGGGCTGGGTGGTCTAGAGTCGCGCTATCCTAATTGAGATGTGCTGTGAGTGTGAAATACACACCAGATTTTGAAGATGTTGTAAGAACAAAAGAACATAACATATCTCATTAATAATTCTTTATATGAATTACATGTTGAAATAATATTTGAGGTAAAATCAAATAGATTTTTTAAAAATCTATTTTAACCGTGTCTTTTTTCTTTTCTAATGTGGCTACTAGAAAATGTAAAATCATGCATGTGGCTTGTATTTTTTTTTTTTTTTGAGACAGGGTCTCACTGTCACCCAGGCTAGAGTGCAGTAGCATGGTCATTGCTCTCTGCAGCCTCAATATTCTGGAGTCAAAGGATCCTCCCTCCCATCTCAGTCTCCTGAGTCGCTGGGACTACAGGCACTCACCACCATGCTTGGCAAATTTTTTTATATTTTGTGGAGATGGGGTCTCCCTATGTTACCCACGCTGGTCTCCGACTCCTGAGCTCAAGTGATCCTCCTGTCTCAGTCTCCCCACGTGCTGGGATTACAGGCATGAGCCTCCAGGCATGAGCCTCCAGGCCTGGCCACATTATATTTTTAGTGAACAGCTCTGGTTTAGAGCAGTGGTTCTGAACCAGGCAGGGGTAATGCTGGCACTCCAGGGATATTTGGCAATGTCTGAAATGTTTTTGGCTTGGTTGCCATAAGTAGTGGGGTTGCTACTGGCATGTAATGGGTAGAGGCCAGAGATAGTGCTAAACATTCCATAGTGTCCAGGACACCCCCTTATCACCAAGAATGTATCCAGCCCCAAATGTCAGTAGTGCCAAGGTTGAGAAAGTCTCATCTAGAAACATCGCCACCATCTCTGAGATTATTTTATTGACTTCTTAATTTGTCCAATGCCTTCACCCCTCTACTAGAACACGAGCTGCATGAAATCAGGGACTTGCCTGCCTGTAGCTGCCAGAACAGTGCGTGGCACAAGGCAGCATTCTGTAGTACACATTAAATGTCCCTCTATCCACTTGAGCCCACCAAGTGGTTCGAATTCGCCCATGCAAACTGGCACAGGCCCACCAGCCAAGGGCCTCAGAACACAGTGAGACCACTCCACTCTGAAATCAAGCTAAGACAAGACAAAATCTAAATCCACAGGTCTTGACAGGTTGTCCTCACAACTGCACATTAATCAATCTCTCCACAGGCAGGCATTAACCCCAGGGAGCAGAGATAGGAATTGCCTCTGAAGGCTTGTTAGGCCTCTGTGCACAGCTTGGCCCAGCCCAGCCCTGGCAGGCCTTTCATCCCGGGCGGGGCCACCTACCAAGCTGCCACAGACCAAGCTTCGTTCGTTTCCAGTGATTTTATTCACCACCCAGTGGTGGTTTCAAAGGGCTGGCTCCAGCCCATCTGATCTGCTGCCTTTTCTGAGTTGCTGGGCCCTGTGTGGAGCCTAGAGCTGGGCTTTCTAAGGGAGAGTTGTCTCCTAGCCCTCTCCTTTCGCAAGCCGGTGGGTGGGGTTAGGGTGAGGCCAAAAGAATAACTTGGGTCCACCCAGGGTGTGGGAGGGAATGGAATCAGGGCAGATTAATTTCTCTTGTTGAGATAACTCTTTAATCGTCAATATAAAGTCTTGAAAGCCACTGTTCTAGGCCTTCTCCCTTTCCCTCTTGTCTCTCCCTGGGGTGCGGCCCTCTCCTGGTAGGAGTCCAGAGACCTGGGTTTGGCCCCAGAGCTGGGCTGTGTGACCTAGGGTAAGGGAAGAAAGCCCTTCTGAGCTTTTTAAATTTCTACTATTATTATTATTTTTGAGACAGAGTCTCGCTCTGCTGCCAAGCTAGACTGCACTGGCGCGAACTCGGCTGACTGCAACCTCCATCTCCCGGGTTCAAGCAATTCTCCTGCTTCAGCTTCCTGAGGAGCTGGAACTACAGGCGCGTGCCACCATGCCCAACTGATTTTTGTATTTTTAGTAGAGATGGAATTTCACCATCTTGGCCAGGATGGTCTCGATCTCTTGACCTCGTGATCCACCTGCCTCAGCCTTCCAAAGTGCTGGGATTACAGGCGTAAGCCACTGCACCCGGCCTCTGAGCTTTCTTTTAAATGGAGTAGGGGAGAGAGGAGTAGGAGTTATACTGATCTTTAAATCTTTTAGCATTTCAATCTTGCCTCTAGTCTTTAAAATAAAGCCCGAGCCCCTTAGCGTGACCCAACTTCTCTCCTGTCCACCTTCCTGCCTCCCAGTCGGCAGTCCAGCTCCTTGCCCCATATGGTGAATACATCCCACTTCAGCCGCAGTGGCCTATCTTCAGTTTTGTTAAAGTGCCTTGCTCTCTTTTACCTTCTAGTCTTTGGACTTGTCATTCTGCTCTTCCACGGAGTTTTCTAGGGTAATGCTTAAATCTATGTATGGTAGATCACATGACATCTGTTCACTGTGTGCCCTTGGGCAAGTTACTTAGCTTCTCTGTGCTTCAGTCCCCTCTTGCAGAAAAATGAGAATAACACTGGTCCTTAATTCATGGGGTTATTGTGCAGGTTGAATGAGATGATGCTTGCAGAGTTGTTTACAGCAATATCTAACACCCAGAAAGCAACAAGGGGAAACGTTCCCTGCCATCATTATGATTATTTCTGGAACGTGTTCACAATCAACTCTCAGGAATCAGCTCCGTTGTTACCCCCTTTCAGGAAGGCTTCCCAGGTTTCCACTCTCCAGCTCCCGTGTCTGCCCCTCCTCTGCCTCCTGACTCACCCTGGGTTCACTGCTGTCACCACCCTTATCACCGGTGTGGTAACTGCCTGTTTACTTGTCTAGCTCCTCTCAATAGATTGTCACTTCCTCAAGTCTAGAGATTAGAAACAGACCACATGCTGGCCTAAGCCACAGATGTGCTTTAGCTGGACTGGGGGCAGGAAGTTTGGAAAACTTTTAATAAGGTGTATTTTTTAAAACCGAAAAAAATAGTTTATTTTAAAAATGGGATGATTTCACATAAAAATCTGAGTTTCCAACTTCTCTTGGAAAATTAGAGACTGCAAATACAAGCCCCTGTCATTGCCTGCACCTGCGGGAGCATCGGCTTCAGGGGGGCAGGTGCTCCTGGCTTATTGCAGGTTCCACCCAGCCCGATTACTCACACTCTGCCCCCAAAAATAAGGTGATGACATAAGCCTCTCCTCTGAATCAGGACACCTTTGAGAGTGAAAGTGATATGTTATTAATAACCACAAATAAACCAGACAGATTAGGGAAAACTGGAAAACAGACTCCCGCTGAACTACAGAGTCGGGGGCTTTGACATCTTTGGGTCCCACATGACACACTTCCTGCCACATATATGCTCAATAAACGATCATCACAACAACTAGGGCATCTTGAGCATTTGCTTCATACAAACTTGTCCAATCCATGGCCCACAGGTCTAGGACAGCTCTGAAGGTGGCCCAACACAAATTCGTAAACTTCCTTACAACATTATGAGGCCGGGTGCGGTGGCTCACGCCTGTAATCCCAGCACTTTGGGAGGCGGAGGCAGGCGGATCACGAGGTCAAGAGATCGAGACCATCCTGGCCAACATGGTGAAACCCTGTCTCTACTAAAAATACAAAAATTAGCCGGGCGTGGTGGCGGGTGCCTGTAGTCCCAGCTACTCGGGAGGCTGAGGCAGGAGAATCGCTTAAACCCAGGAGGCGGAGGTTGCAGTGAGCTGAGATCTCACCACTGCACTCCAGCCTGGTGACACGGCGAGACTCCATCTCAAAAAAAAAAGTTTTTCTGCATTTTTTTAAAGCTCATCAGCTATCGTTAGTGTTAATGTATTTTATGTGGGGTCCAAGACAGTTCTTCCAATGTGGCCCAGGGAAGCCAAAAGACTGGACTTTCCTGGCTTAATGTATTAACTCAACAGCCCTCCCAGGAGCCTTATGAGGTAGAGACTGTTGTCTGCATCTTGCAGATGAGGAAACTGAGGCACAGATATATTTAATACTGTAACCTGTCTCAACTGCACAGCTAGGAAATGGGGAACCAAGACAGTTTGAGTCTTGAGTCTAGAGGTCGTGTGTTGGCAAAATCAATAATTCGCTCTTAGGGTCCTTCCCACCTCTACAAACCTCGGGTTCTTTTGATGTTTTTCCTCGTGTTTTCTCCTTTCCCAAGTCTCTCCTTTTGTCCTTTCCTCCTTTCTCTCTTGTACTCTGTTCTCTTTGTCTCTCCCTCTCGCTCACTCTTTCTGTTCCACCAACTCTTGCTCTCTCTGTCTCTCCCATCTTTGTCTCTCTGTGTCTCTAACTGTTGTTCCTGCTCTTGGGAACTCTCTATTTCTGTCCCTCTGTATTTCCCTTAACATCTTTTTTTTTTTTTTTTAAGACAGGTTTTCACAATGTCACCGAGGCTGGAGTGCAATGGTGTGATCTTGGCTCACTGCAGCCTCAACCTCCCAGGCTCAAGTGATTCTCCCACCTCAGCCTCTCAAGTAGCTAGGACTATAGATGTGTACCACACTCGGCTAATTTTTGTATTTTTTTGTAGAGATGGGGTTTTGCCATGTTGCCCAGGCTGGTCTCAAACTCCTGGGCTCCAGCAATCCTCCGCCTTAGCCTCCCAAATTGCTGGGATTACAGGCCTGAGCCACTGGCGCCTGGCCATGACTCCTTTCTTGAAAGACTCTCACTGTCTCTTCTCTTGCCATCTCTCTGCTCTTCCTTTTTCTGTCCTCCTTTGTCCTCCTCCTCTTTCTCCTTCTCTGTCTCTGCCTCTCTCTGTGTGTCTCTCTCTTCGTGTCTCTCTCTTCCGCACATCATGCATTCTTACCAACCATGACTAAACACTTATGCGATAGAAGAATATGTTTTCAGTAATTCACTGTGGGTCTTGGCTTGTAGAAATCCCACAAGCCAGGCTCTGTGCCTTCGCTACACTTTTGGTGAGAACTTCTGTGGACAGAGGCACAAAAGCCTCAAGCTGTGAGATTCAAAATCTGGTGGTTAAGCCAGCCCCTCAGCGCTCCCAGCCTGCGCCCCTCGTTGGAAACAATGAGTTGGAAAGTGTCTTGATGACTTTCAGCAGACAGACCTGCAAAGAAGAGAAGCTGATCTGGACTCTGGCCTTCCTTCACAACACACTGACAAGTAAATAAAACTAATGGCATGTGTTTCTTTTCTGCAAGAGAAGGATAACCAGAGTATATTTTTTGCAACAAATATGTATGTTCAAAGCACATGAAATGAATGTCTCTTGAAAGAGAAAATAGCCTTCGAATATCAGTTTGAAGCCAAGGAGAAAAGTAACTTTTTCTGGCTGGGCGCAGTGGTTCACGCCTGTAGTCCCAGCACATTGGGAGGATGACGCAGGAGGATCTCTTAAGCCCGAGAGTTTAAGACCAGTCTGGGCAACATGGCAAGGCCCCCATCTCTACGAAAACACAAAAATTAGCCAGGCGTGGTGGCGTGCACCTACAGTCCCAGCTACTCAGGAGGTTGAGGTGGGAGGATGGCTGGAACCCGGGATGTCAAGGCTGCAGTGAGCTGAGATTGTACCACTGCACTCCAGCCCAGGTGACAGAGTGAGACCCTGTTTTGGAAAAAAAGAAAAGTAACTTTTTATTAACATGTAAACAGGGAGAAAAGTAATCGAAAAGGAAAAAGTGGTACTCCTCATCAGTGAAGTGAGTGAAAAATTAAGTGGGGAGTGCAGAGAGGGAAAGAGAGGGGAAGGGAAATTAAGCAGAAGTCACAGTGACCCGAGGAATGAGGCAGAGGAGGAGGAGGGGGAGGAGAGGTGGAGGAAGAGGAGGAGGAGGCAGAGGCAGAGAAGGAGGAGAAGGAGAGGAGGAGCAGGAGCTGAGAGTGGGGGGAAGAAGGTGACTGATCTTAACAAATTTGAGATGAGACTTCAGCAGCTCCAGCTTAGGCAACTACCTGGTTGGCTCTGCCTGAATGAATGTCCACTTATGGAGGGAGGGAGGGAGACAGGGAGAAGGAGGAAACCTGGAGACCAAAAGGGTCCCAGTGATGTAGATAATCAGTCTCAAATCCCAGACTGGGCTCCACCCTCTTTTTCACCTTGGTTTCCGAATGGCTATCCCTGTGCTCTGGAGGGGAAGTGTTCAGACAAAGGCTCACTGGTGGCGATGAGTCAGGGCCCCACCCAGACCCTACCAGCCCCAGGAGGCCTCTCCTTGCCCATAGGCCTGACAGCAGCTGGGTGTTATCAGGAGAAAGCAAGAAACAGTAGGGGCATGGGAAGCCATTCAAAGTCACTCCAAAAGACCTGCTGTGGCCATAGGGTCTAGCTGCCAGAGCTCTGTAGCTGGGATGGCTCCATTCATCCTGGCAATTAATGGTGAGTTGGCTGCCCAGTGTTTGTCATTTCAATGTCAACAGCCCAAGGGAGACAGCTCTGTGGAGCAGGACCAGCCCAGCTATAAAGATCTGTCACTTGGCCTGGCCCAGTGGCTCATGCCTGTAATCCCAACACTTTGGGAGGCCGAGGCAGGTGGATCACTTGAGGCCATGAGTTTGAGACCAGCCTGACCAACATGGCGAAACCCTGTCTCTACTAAAAATACAACAATTAGCTTGGCGTGGTGGCACACGTCTGTAATCCCAGCTACTCAGGAGGCTGAGGCAGGAGAATTGCATGAACCCAGGAGGTAGAGGTTGCAGTGAGCCGAGATCACGCCACTGCACTCCAGCCTGGGTGACAGAGCAAGACTCCATCTCAAAAAAAAAAAAAAAAAAATCTGTCAACACACTATTTCCACCATCAACACCCTTCCTTTAGCTGTAAGACCTGAGAGGGCAGTATCCCACAGCATACCCAGCAATTGACATGCAGGCTGGTATGCAGCAGGTGCTCAATAACTGAACAAGTTAACATGCATTTAACTCTCCCTGCTGCCACAGACCAGCTGTGTGACCCTGGTCAACTTCCTTAACTTGTCTGAGCTACTACTTCCTCTATCAGGACACGGGAGAGTGCCAGTGAAAACACAGACTGTTGCCTTCCCACCTTTGTGAGATAAGAAAGCAGGAGCATCGAGTCCATAGTTGTCATCAAAATATGGTGGGGGTGGAATGGAGGAGCTACTTTCCCTTTCCAAAAGTCTGCAGCTTCTGTTGCTGCTAGTTCCAAGGGTGTGGTACAGATGTTACTTTTTAGGAAGATGGTGTGGGGATGTGGTTAAGAGCCCATGATCTGGGGGCTGAGTACCTGGGTTCAAATGCTGCCTCCTCCACCCATCACTACCTGGTGGCCACCGGCAAGCCACTTCATCTCGCTGAACTTGTTTTCCCATGTGTAAAACAGAGTTGTCAGGAGGCTTACGTGAGATAAATCCCACATCCCTGGCACATAATAGATGCTCCATGCACCTTAGCCATGATCACCAATTTCCACCTCCCAACACTGTGAGGGAGATGACTCTCCCCAGGGTGCAAAAGAGGAAACCAGGGCTGGCCAGGTGGAGAGGCCCTCTCCTGACAGCAGAACCAGAACCAGACACCCTTCTCCCACCCAGGCCCACCACAGCTGCCAAACATGAGGTGATGGGACAGCCCTCGTGGCCTCCACCCACCGCCCTGGTGGAGAAGTGAAACATGAACCCACCAGTGCAAGACAGAGGAAGAGGCACCAGCGAAGGTAAGAAGAGTCGGGTGGCCCTGAATTTTGTCAAAGGGACAGTCCAGGACAAGGTCAAGTCCGGGGTGGCAAGAGGGTGGAGGCGGTGGGAGGATAGTATGACAAGAGGGGTATGGGGGTTGAGTCGGCCGGCGGCCCGGGGTGAAAAGCTGGTCCCGAGAATGAGGAAGGAAGCCTTTTTATCAGTGTTAACAAGAACAGAGAGGGAAGTTCTTTGCATCTGGCCAGATACCTCAGCTGTGACCTCCTGTCTCTAAGGAGGGGGTCCCTGCAAGTTTTGCTTTCAAAAGTCTCTTGGGAGAAAACACAAGTCCCTGATTCTTAGAAGCTGCCTTCGTCTTAACTTAAGAAATCCCTCAGTGGCTTTTTGGTTAGCACGACAGGGTTAGCCTTTCTGACTGGTGGGCTTCCAGCCTCTAAGGATAGCTGGGTTTCCCTTGCTTTCGCCTACCCATTTGCAGGCAAGAAAACTGAAGCTGGACGCTGGCCTCCAGTCCTGTCTTTGCCATTAGCAGCCCTGGGATCTTAGTGCCTTCACCAGCCGAGCTTCAGTTTTTCCACCTGTAAAATGGAGGGTTGAGGCCACATCTTCCTTTTAGTCCTTCCTCTTCCCTTCCCTCCAGAGCAAGTGGTGTGGAATTCTAAGGCAAAAGTCACCCTGATTGAATGGTGTAGATTAGTCAAGAACCCAGCACTGAGGTCAGCCTCTGGAAGCAATTTAAGATGACCCAAGGATTTGAGATTCCAACCTCCTGCATGCAAGCAGAAGTGCTTCCTCCTACATAGGGCTGCCCTCCTTCCTGAGCAACTGGGCTGATTTGTGGAAGAAACAGCTGTGCTTTCTGGTGAGCTCCAATGCCAAACATGTAGGCCTTGGATCAGGCAGGATGTTCCATCAGCAGTCATTGTTCACACCTGTGCTGTATGGGCCAGGCATCGAGCCAATAGTAACACCTCCTTTCACCCCACAACAACCCTGTACCAAGCACACACCCATTTTATACCTGAGGAAGCTGAGGCTTGGAGAGGCACCGCGCCCAGGGTCATGTAACCACAGGTGACAAAATGAAGATGCAAATGCAACCTGAGTGATTCCTTTTGATGGAGCCACACCATTTAAATCAATGCTGGGTGATTGGATTATATGTAATTTTTTTAAATTAAAAACATTTTTTTGCCAGACACAGTTGCTCATGCCTGTAATCCCAGCACTTTGGGAGGCCGAGGCGAAGTGGATCACTTGAGGTCAAGAGTCCGAGACCAGCCTGGCCAATACAGTAAAACCCCGTCTCTACTGAAAATACAAAAAATTACCTGGGTATGGTGGTGGGCAACTGTAATCCCAGCGACTTGGGAGGCTGAGGCAGGAGAATCACTTTAACCTGGGAGGCAGAGGTTGCAGTGAGCTGAGATCGCACCACTGCACTCCAGCCTGGGCAACAGAGTGAGATTCTGTCTCAAAAAAACCCAAAAAACAAAACAAACAAAAACATTTGTTTCCCTATAATGAATAGGATTGCTTGTGTTTTAAAAGGGAGTAACCCAATCACAGCACTTGCAGATAACATTATATGTTGCCTGGAATCTGATTTAAACTATTCCACGGGGTGGGGGGTGGTGCAGAAATAAAGCCAAATTATCCGTGAATTCATAACCCTTGAGGCTGAGTATTGGATATGACGTTCATCATCCTATTCTCCTGTAGTGAACGTGTTTGAGAAGTTCCACGATATTAAAAAAATTTAAATTTAAAATTTAATAAGTCTAAATTCAAGATAAATGAACTAGCCTGGGAATGCCCTGTCATGAGGGTGGCAGTCCTTCGCCCCACCCCACAGCTGAAAGCATTTTAAGGTCGGCTTCGAGAAGGTATTCATTAAGGCCTCCTGGTT